>NC_000003.12:20010000-21260000 GCF_000001405.40 Homo sapiens
AGAGTATAATAAGTCCCCATACACTCATCACTAGCTTCGACTGTCATCAATATTTTTTTACTCCTGTTTCATCTATATCCCCATCCACCTTATTTTATGTTATTTTATTTTATTTGAGGTGGAGTCTTGCTCTGTCACCCAGGCTGGAGTGCAGTAGTGCTATCTCGGCTCACTGACATCTGCCTCCCAAGTTCAAGCAATTCTTCTGCCTCAGCCTCCTGAGTAGCTGGGACTACAGGTGCCTGCCACCATGCTTAGCTGATTTTTGTATTTTCAGTAGAGACTGGGTTTCACCATGTTGGCCAGGCTGGTCTTGAACTCCTGACCTCAAGTGATCTGCCCACCTCAGCCTCCCAAAGTGCCGATTTACAGGTGTGAGCCACTGTGCCCAGCCTGTTATTTAATTTTATCACAATTTTTGCTGGAGTATTTTAATGCCAATCTTCAAATCATATCAACTCACCCATAAATACTTCAGTCTCAACAGTCTAATCCAATCACTTCTTCAATACCTACAATAGGCCAGGCGCAGTGGCTCATGCTGTAATTCCAGCACTTTGGGAGGCCGAGGCAGGCGGATCACCTGAGGTCGGGAGTTCGAGACTAGCCTGACCGACATAGAGAAACCCCATCTGTACTAAAAAAATACAAAATTAGCCGGGCATGGTGGTGCGTGACTGTAATCCCAGCTACTGGGGAGGCTGAGGCAGGAGAATTGCTTGAACCCAGGGGCGGAGGTTGCGGTGAGCCAAGATCATGCCATTGCACTCCAGCCTGGGCAACAAGAGCGAAACTCCATCTCAGAATAAATGAATAAATAAATAAATATATAAAAATAAAAAATACCTACAATAGGCCAGCTACCGTGCAAGGTGCTGAGATGCACAGATGGATGAGGATGCACCCTGCCCTTGAAGCTATGAGGGAAAAAGTTTGCAGTGCTGTCCATATGCTCATCCAGGTCATTAATAACAGAATGAAACAGGTCAGGTGGAGCCAAGGACAAAGTCCCATTATTGTGCCCAACCGGGAACCTAGCCCTTCATCTGGCTAGGAATGGTGTGATGAGACCTAAGAAAATGACCTAGGAAAACTCACAGCTGAGACATATTAGCAAGGGGTCCAAGGCAATATCCAAGAGAATGATCAGTTAGCCGGCAGAAGGAGCAAGAGGACCCAGCAAAAGAAATGGACAGGTAAGCAGAGAAGTAGGGGAAGAAACTGGGTCTGTCAAGGCCTTTGAGAGCTTTTGGCCAAAATATATAAAAATATTTTAATTGCTATTTTTTGGTAATATTCATGTAAAGGATGTAGTTTTATGAGCCTTGATGGACTATTGGGACAATATATAAAGCACCGCAACAGTGTGTTTTGATCTGAAGTCAATTACTTGTATCAGAACTTCATTTTTCCATACGCCGGGGACAGCCATAATACAGCTCTATCACACGTGGGCCATTCTTAGAATGTATTGCATCATTCATATGTTCATTCATTCATAATAACAAATTAAATAGGCCGGGCACAGTGGCTCATGCCTATAATCTCAGCACTTTGGGAGGCTGAGGCGGGCCTATCACTTGAGGTCAGGAATTCGAGACCAGCCTGGCCAACATAGTGAAACCCTGTCTCTACTAAAAATACAAAAATTAGCCGGGCATGGTGGCAGCCGCCTGCAGTCCCAGCTACTCGGGAGGCTGAGGTGCGAGAATCACTTGAACCCGGGAAGCGGAGTTTGCAGTGAGCCGAGATCGCGCCATTGCACTCCAGCCTGGGCAACAGAACGAGACTCTGTCTCAAAATAAATAAATAAATAAAATAAGTTAATTAATTAATTAATTAACTATAAAGACATCAGAATAAGAGCATAGAGAGGAATGGAATTCCTCTTTTGTATAAGGCAGAGGGATATATCACTCTTCAATGTACACAGTTTAACAGGAAGCCAAGGTTTCATCTGATAATTAAGAAAGTGGAAGAAAAAAATACTGTAGATATAATTACTCATTGGCTATACGTATTATCCAAAAAAGATTTAAGAAAGTTTACCTTAAAGCATTATTGGTGCTCATGTTCCTTTGGAATTACCTTTCTTTGCCCTCCCTTTATCCCCTTCCCCTGGCCTCTATTTCTCCAACTTGAGTAGTGATGGTGATGGTGGAGGTAGAGGTGAATGTGATGGCTGTGGCAGAAGTAGTGGTGATGGTGATGATAGCGATGGTGGGCATTCCCCTCACTTGATGGTAGAGCTCCCTGTGTGGAATGTTCACTACATCACCTGGAACCTCAGTCAGAACTCACTTTATGATTCAGAAGGACTGTGAAGCAATAACATCACAAGTTGTATGAAGTAAACTTTGGAATTTCTGAAAGAAGGAGCATTTGTTAAATATACTGTCTTACTCTTCCTTTCTCCGCCATCATGGTGTGTGCTTGACTCTGCTTCTCGCCATGTCTTCTCACAAAACCTTCAGGATTAAGCGTTTCCTGGCCAAGAAACAAAAGCAAAATTGTCCCATTCCCCAGTGGATTTGGATGAAAACTGGTAATAAAATCAGTAGAACTTCAAAAGGAGACATTGGAGAAGAACCAAGCTGAGTCTATAAGGAATTCCACATGAGATGGCGCACATATTTATGTTGTGTGAAGGTCACGACCACCTTACCATATCAAGCTGAAAATGTTACCACTATCTGGACAATTGGACATGTTTCACTGGGACTATATTTTTTCTTTCTGTGTGTGCTATGAAGGCACTGGTTGGCTGGGTTCAGTAATAAATATGTGAGGTCTTTCGTTTTTCTCTCTCTGCATATATATATATATATACACACACACACACATATATGTATATATATAGACAGTATATATACATAGACAGTATATATATAGTGTATATATATAGACAGTATATATATATACACATATATACATATATATGTGTATATATATACAGTATATATATATATATATATATATATATATATACTATCTTACTGCTGGATGCAGGGGCTCATGTCTGTAATCCCAGCACTTTGGGAGGCCAAGACAGGAGGATTGCTTGAGGCCTGGAGTTCAAGACCAGCCTGGGCAGCGCATATCGAGACCCCATCGCTTCAACAAAAAAAAAAAAAGAAGAAAGGAAAGAAAAATTAGCTGAGCATTGTGGCACACACCTGTAGTCCTAGCTACTCAGGAGACGGAGGCAGGAGAGTTACATGAGCCCAGGAGTTTGAGGCAGTCAGCTGCAGTCAACTATGATTGTGCCATTCCACTCCAGCCTGGGTGACAGAGCGAGACCCTGTCTTTAAAATAAATAAATAAACTGTCTTATGCCTATGTAGTAGAAATGAAAATGTAAAAGGAGTGACTGTCAATTATTTTTATAACTTGTGGCACTTTCAAATAGCCATTTTAGGAGACTATCCTTACTGTACAGATGGGATGTCTTCCCACCCAGTGTTACAGCACCTCAGGCCATCTCTCGAGGACACCTCCTCTATCTGCTCTGTAGAGCCTGCCCACCCCATCTTGCTGTCTCAATTAACTGCCTGAGAGTTGTAGATCTTGACTGGACTGCCTTCACTCTTTCCCCTGCCTTCACTCCTGACTAATATCTTTAGTTCCCAAATGTTTAATCCACAGCTGCATGCCACTCCCTTACCCCAAGGCTGAGTTAGAACAAGAGTCCTAGAGCAGGTTGCCTGAATGCTGAAGAAGTTTGGACAAGCCCAACTGTCAACTAGGTGTCTCCCTGAAGAGGTATCAAAGTCAACATGTTCAAAATGGAACTCACTAACCTTCCCTCCAGAATCTTCTTTGATCATCAACTTAGTTTAACTGGAACGTCTCAGAGAATCCCTTTTCCTGTGTGGTTCCAGGTTAAATTTGGCCAAGAAGGGAATCTTAATATTTAAAACTTAGGGGTTTATATTGGAATGCTATCATCATCCAATGAGTTCACCCACAGATGCTGAAGTGCCTAGCAGGTTTCTGCTTGTCCTTTGTTCCCCACTACTCTGCCTCCAGCTTTTCCTCCAGCTCCAGGTCTTGCTGACCAATAGCAGCCCCAGGCCTATTAGCTGGCACCCGTCTTTGGGCCCACAGAAGCAAACATTTCCTCTAGCCTTCCCCATCAGCTTCTCCTTCATGGTCCAGCTTGGGCATCTGGATGTCCCTGGCTTCTCAGACTGACTGGCTGGGGACTTCCCTGATGCCCCATCTCCTCTTCCCAGATGTTTAGTTGACCAGCTTCTCCCACAAACTAATTTTAACAATAAATCCTTTATTCCACAATGCCTAGGGTTCTGCTTTACTGACTGAACCCTAGCTAATACAGAGACCAACATCACCCCATCCTCCTTTTCAGGATATATGAAATTGATCACCAAGACCTGTCAGATCTCTCTCTCTCTCTGTCTTTTTTTTTGAGATGTATTCTCACTCTGTCGCCAGGCTGGAGTGCAGTGGCACAATCTCGGCTCACTGCAACTTCTGGCTCCTGGGTTCAAGCAGTTCTCCTGCCTCAGCCTTACGAGTAGCTGGGAATACAGGCGCTTGCCACCACACCAGGCTGATTTTGTATTTTTAGTAGAGACAGGGTTTCACCTTGTTGGCCAGGCTGGTCTCGAACTCCTGACCTCAGGTGATCCACCCTCCTCGGCCTCCCAAAGTCCTGGGATTACAGGCGTGAGCTGCCACACCCAGCCACATCTCTCTCTTCAATATCCCTCTACCCACCCACTTGTCTCCATCCCCAGTGCTATCTCATGGTTCCAGGAGGCGAAAATATCTTGCCCAGATTACTGCACAAACTCCTAACTGCTCAACTCACTTCCAGTCTGGTTGCCTCTCAGTGCATTCCCCTTAGAGCAGTCAGAGGAGGTGATGCCCTGACTGAGGCCCGTTACTGGCTTGTCCTTGTCCTTGGGATAACCTCCTTAATGTGCCTGACAAAGCTCTGTCTCTGTTGGCGTCTGCTAATTTCTCCAGCCCCATCTGTTGGCACTGCTCCCTCAGCCCATGCCAATATTATGTAGAGTCATTAGATAAATCTTTGCCAGTTTGGTATTAGATTATTATAACCTGAATTTTGCCTTATTTATTGCTTTTTAAATCACACTGAGCATACAGGCACTGCATATTAATATCTAGCAGTTGGCCAGGCACAGTGGCTTATGCCTGTAATCCTAGCAACTTGGGAGGCTGAGGCAGGCAGATTGCTTGAGCTCAGGAGTTTGAGACCAGCCTGGGCAACATGGCAAAACCATGTCTTTACCAAAAATACACAAATTAGCTGGGTGTGGTGGTGCATGCCTGTGGTCCAAGCTACTTGGGAGGCTGAGGTGGGAGGATCGCTTGAGCCTGGGAGGCAGAGGTTTGCAGTGAGGTGAGATTGTGCCACTGCACTCCAGCCCAGGTGACAGAGTGAGACCCCATCTCATAAAAAAAAAATATATATATATATGTGTGTGTGTATTTTATATATATATATAATATATCTATTATATATTGGATATCTAATAAATAAAATAAATAATATACATATACCTATGTATATATATGGCAGCTGCATTATCCCCATGCTACCATAGATGTGGGGAAGAATGAGGCATCTCCTTCAGGCAAGTGCCTGTAAACCCCAGCTTCCCAGAGTGGGGTCAGGCATCTCATAGGGTGGCTGTGGTGTTCATATCACACTTCCGCATGCAGCTATCAGGCTGGATGGTGATTGAGGATAGTGGAAAGGCCCCTTACAGAAGTTAACTGATGACTTACTGTAAACTTCCCTTTAGAAAGCCAAAAATAGAGAAAACATAGTTCTGAGATGCTTCCCAAGAGTGAAGATGAGTATATGTCTACATAAATTCTCAGCAGCTTGTTTTCTTCCAAAGTGTATTTGTAGTGTGTTAATTTTGTCTATTAATTGATCAATTATTTATTTTATTGACTTAAATAAAAATTTTGTATTTTTTATTTATTAGATATCCAATTCATGCATTCTCCTTTTTAAAATATTCAAATAATACAGAAGTATGCAGAGGAAAAACAGAAGAAACCACTGCCAAAAGCAGGGTGTGTATTATTCTGGACTGAGTTTTATGTATTTTTATATATACGTGAAAATATACATGCTATCCATTATTAAATTTGGGTATAATTTGCATAAAATCAATTGCTCAATTTTTAAATGTTTAGCTTGATAAATTTTTATATAGGAACTTAACTTGTAGACTCCATCAAGTTTTGTTTGTTTTCTGTATTTTCCTTTTTTTTTTTTTTTTTGAGATGGAGTCTCACTCTGTCCCCCAGGCTGGAATGCAATGGTGCAGTCTTGGCTCACTGCAACCTCTGCCTCCTGGGTTCAAGTGATTCTCGTGTCTCAACCTCCCAAGTAGCCTCTATTACAGGTGCGTGCCACCACATCCAGCTAATTTTTGTATTTTTAGTAGATACAGGGTTTCACCATGTTGGCCAGGCTGGTCTCGAACTCCTAACCTCAAGTGATCCACCCGCCTCAGCTGACTGAAGTGCTGGGATTACAGACATAAGCCATTGTGCCCGGCCTGTTTTCTGTATTTTCTTTAGTAAATTGGCAACATAATGACAATATTATTCTATAAATGTTTTCTTTCACTTACCAGTATGGAATAGGGATTTTTCAAGTCAGTACTTATCAACTTACCTATTCTTTTTAACCACTCTATTATATTCCATAGTAAATGTAAAGATGTAACATGGATTAACCACTTATCTATAATAATGAAAATTTTTTTGCTATAACAACATTTCATAAGGAAAAGAAATGAGGTAATTCAGTAAGGTAGAGGATCACATAATCAATGTGCAAAAACCAAAACAATTAATTTGAAAATATAAAAGCAAAAATAACCTATTAGATATTATAAAAAATAATTTAACTAAGAATAAACAAAAAAAGTTTGAGTGAAAAAAATGCATATAAAAAAACTATAAAACTCTACCAAGAACAAAAAAATATGAATAAAGGCAAAGACTCATCTTGTCCTTGGATCAGAAAACTCAGTATTGCCAGGTGCAGTGGCTCACACCTGTAATCCCAGCACTTTGGGAGGCCGAGGTGGGTGGATCACCTGAGGTCAGGAGTTCAAGACCATCCTGGCAAACATGGCAAAACCCCATCTCTACTAAAAATACAAAAATTAGTCGGGCATGGTGGCGAGTGCCTGTAGTCCCAGCTACTCAGGAGGCTGAGACAGGAGAATCGCTTGAACCCAGGAGGCGGAGGTTGCAATGAGCCGAGATCACACCATTGCACTGCAGCCTGGGTGACAGAGCAAGACTCTGTCTCACAAAAAAACAAAACAAAACAAAACAAAAAACCTCAGTATTATATAAAGTTACCATCAAAGGGGGGAAAGCAAACCATCCACAGGGAGAAGATATTTACAGCATGTATATTGACAAATAACAAAGTATTCAAATCCAAAATATGTAAAGATATAAATAACTCAAGCAAATCAATAATGGAAAGACAGACAGTCCCTTCTCCCCAAAAGGTAGAAGACTTGAGAGACATTTCACAGAGGAAATGGAATTATTTATATGATACAATGTCATACCTCAGAGGAAAGAACCACTCCTACTACCCACAACATTAAAGAATATCAGGAGGTACATACATATTGACCAAAAGAACTGACAACATTGAACCTACAGAGGAAGATTCCATATATGTGAAGTCCATTAAGTTGTAAACTAATCCTACTACCCACAACATTAAAGAATATCAGGAGGTACATACATATTGACCAAAAGAACTGACAACATTGAACCTACAGAGGAAGATTCCACATATGTGAAGTCCATTAAGTTGCAAACTAAATATGTTGTTTAGGATGCAAATGAGTGTGATAAAACATTTAAAAAACAAAGGTAATAATAAACCAAAATCCAAAATAGCACTTATGTCAGAAAGGCCAGGAAAAGAAATGTGATTGAGGCCTTCAAAGTAATGCTGATTAGATGATGGGTACATTATTCGTCACAGTATTGCTATTATATTTTACATATATATTTAAAATGTTACTTTGTGGCTATTATTTTTTAAATGAATGAGGCAGCATTGTTTATAGTGCTCAAAAATAAGTGACTGGTTGACTAAATGAGTCAAAAATACAATGGCATATTATACAGCCTGTTCAAATAATACATATTTATTTATTTAGAAAGAAATCCACTGAATATTTTTTTGATGAAAAAAAAGCAGACCAGGCCGGTCGCAGTGGCTCACGCCTGTAATCCCAGCACTTTGGGAGGCCGAGGCAGATGGATCACGAGGTCAGGAGTTTGAGACCAGCCTGGCCAACATGGTGAAACCCCGTCTCTACTAAAAATATAAAAATTAGCTGGGTGTGATGGCAGGTGCCTGTAATTCCAGCTACTCGGGAGGCTGAGGCGGGAGAATCACTTGAACCTGGGAGGCGGAGGTTGCAATGAGCCGAGATTGCACCACTGCACTCCAGCCTGGGTGACAGAGCAAGACTCCGTCTCAAAAAAAAAGAAAAAAGAAATATGATAAGCCCGTTTATGTAAAATTGAACAGAGGCATAAAGAAATAACTAAAATAATGTTTACCAAACCACAAATATTAGTTTTATCTTTGTAGGAGATTTGTACTTTCTTCTTTTTGCTTACATATATATATATACACACACATATATACGTATATACGTATATACACATATATACGTATATACACATATATACGTATATACACATATATACGTATATACACATATATACGTATATACACATACGTATATACATATATACGTATATGTATATACGTATATATGTGTATATACATATATGTATATATGTATATATGTGTATATACATATATGTATATATGTATATATGTGTATATACATATATGTATATATGTATATATGTGTATATATACATATACATATATTATATTATATATAATATGTATAACATATATATGTTTCTAAATGAGAATGTATTATTTCCCTTAAATTATATATTTTCAAATAAATCTGTATCCCTTTTCACTTTTTTACATAAAAACCTTCACATTGCCCAGGCTGGAGTGCAGTAATACACTCACAGCTCACTGCAGCCTCGATCTCCTGGGCTCAAGTGATCCTCCCACTTTCAACCTCCTGAGTAGCTGGGACTACAGGCACATGCCACCATGTCAGGCTAATTTTTTGTTGGTGTGTTTGTTTTTCCTTCACACATTTTATTTTATTGAGATGGAGTTTCACTCTCTTTGCCCAGGCTGGAGTGCAGTGGACCAATCTTGGCTCACTGCAACCTCTGTCTCCTGGGTTCAAGTGATTCTCCTGCCTCAGCCTCCCAAGTAGCTGGGATTACAAGCCCCCACCACCATGCCTGGCTAATTTTTTTTTTTTTTTTTTTTTAGTAGAGACATGGTTTCACTATGTTGGTCAGGCTTATCTGGAACTCCCGACCTCAGGTGATCCACGTGCCTTGGCCTCCAAAAGTGGTGGGATTATAGGCACAGGTCACCGCGCCCGGCCTACACATTTTAATCTTAAAAATAAACCAATTTAGGCCAGGCGCGGTGGCTCATGCCTGTAATCCCAGCACTTTGGGAGGCTGAGCTGAGCAGATTACCTGAGGTCGGGAGTTTGAGACCAGCCTGACCAACATGGAGAAACCCCATCTCTACTAAAAAAAAAAAAAAATTAGCCAGGCATGGTGGCACATGCCTGTAATTCCAGCTACTCGGGAGGCTGAGGCAGGAGAATCTCTTGAGCCCAGGAGGCAGAGGTTGCGGTGAGTCAAGATTGTGCCTTTGCACTCCAGCCTGGGCAACAAGAGAGAAACTCCGTTTCAAAAAAATAAAATAAATAAATAAATAAACCAATTTAAAAGGAAAAAAATCATAAAATTTTACTTGCTTCTTATTAAAGTGGAAAAAAACTAAGCAAATAAGTTAGGCTCTGATGTGAAAGTGTTCTTTCCCTCCTTCCTCAATCCATCACCCAAAGATAGACTCACTGGAAGACATGAAACATTCCAATATGGGTCAGAAAGCAGGTTTCTTATATTTCACATATACTCAAACTATAGAAACTGTTTTAAAAAAATAAAAACTTATTTTTTAAATTGAGATGGGGTTTTGCTATGTTGCCCAGGCTGGCTTCAAACTCCTTGGCTCAAGCAATCTTCCCACCTCAGTCTCCTGAGTAACTGGGACTACCAGTGTGTGCTATGGCATCCAACTGAGACTATTCTGTAATTTGCTTTTTTACTTAGCAATATGAGTATACAAAAAGTTATCTAATACTTTATTGATGGACATTTAGTCTGTTAACAGCATTTGTCTTTTACAAACAATGCTGCAACAACAACAACAAAATTTGCACATGTATCTATTAGATAAACACCCTGTAGTAGAATTCTCTGTCTGTGAATAAGTAAATTTTGAATTTTTCAGATTCATGCAACAACACTTTATTGAGGATGTACTATTTGCCAGGCACTGTTTTTAGCACTAGGAATTCCATGATGAAGAAAATGCTGACATGATCCACGGAAGAAAAATCGATAGGCCAGGTATGGTGGCTCACATCTGTAATCCCAGCATTTTGGGAGTCCAAGGCAGGAGGATGGCTTGAGGCCAGAAGTTCAAGACCAGTCTGGGGAACATAGTGAGACCCCCCATCTCTACAAAAATTAGCCTTGCATGGTGATGTATACCTGTTGTCTCAGCTTCTCAAAAGGCTGATCTTGGGAAGATAGCTTGAGCCTGGGAGGTCAAGGCTGCAGTGAGCCATGACTGCACCACTGCACTCCAGCCTGGGCGACAGAGTGAGACGCTGCCTCAGGAAAAAAAAAAAAAAAAAAAAGAAAATGAAAAGACAAGCCACAGACTAGGAGAAAATATTTTATAAAACATACATCTGATACAGGACTTGTATTCAAAATATGCAAAGAACTGTTAAAACTCAATAAAAAACACAACTCAATTTTAAAATGGGCATACAATCTGGATAGACACTACACTAAAGAAGATACACAGATGGCAAATAAGTATATGCAATGATGTTAATAATGTATGTCACTAGAGAATTGCAAACTAAAACAACGAGATACCACTACACAGCTAACTAGAATGGCCAATCCAAAACACTAGCTACAGCAAAGGCTAGTGAGGATGTGGAGCAACAGGAACTCTCATTCATTACTGGTGTGAATGCAAAATGGTATGGCTACTTTGAAAGACAGTTTGGCAGTTTTTTACAAAACTATACATAGTGTAACCATATGATCTAGCAATGTTACTTCTTGGTATTTATCCAAATGAGTTGAAAATTTATGTTCACACAAAAACCTACACATAAGTGTTTATAGCAGCTTTATTCATAATTGCCAAACTTGGAAGCAGCCAAGACATCCTTCAGTAGGTAAACAGACAAACTATGGTACATCCATACACATTGCTCAGTGATAAAAAATAAATAAATAAAAATAAAAATAAGCAGGTACGGTGGCTCAGGCCTGTAATCCCAGCACTTTGGGAGGCCGAGGCAGGTGGATCACTTGAGGTCAGGAGTTTGAGACCCGCCTGACTAGCATGGTGTAACCCCGTCTCTACTAAAAATACAAAAATTAGCTGGGCGTGGTGGTGCGTGCCTGTAATCCCAACCACTTGGGAGGCTGAGAGGTAGGAGAATTGCTTGAACCCAGGAGGTGGAGGTTGCAATGAGCTGAGATCGCGCCACTGCATTCCAGCCTGGCAACAGATCAAGACTCCGTCTCAAAAAAAATAAAATAAAATAAAAAAGAAATGAGTTGTCAAGCCCCCAAAAGACAAGGATGAATCTTAAATGCATATCACTATCAGTAAGTGAAGGAAGCCAACTGAGGCCAGGCATGGTGGCTCACGCCTGTAATCCCAGCACTTTGGGAGGCTGAGGCAGGTGGGTCACCTGAGGTCTGGAGTTCGAGACCAGTCTGGCCAACATGACGAAACCCTGTCTCTACTAAAAATACAAAAATTAGCTGGGTGTGGTGGTGCGGGCCTATAGTCCCAGCTACTTGGGAGGCTGAGGTGGGAGGATCACTGAAGCCTGGGAGGCGGAGGTTGCAGTGAAGCAAGAGTGTGCCACTGCATTCCAGCCTGGGTGATAGAGTGAGACCCTGAAAAAAAAGGAAGGAAGGAAGGAAGGAGAAGGAAGGAAGGAAAGAAAGAAAGAAAGAAAGAAAGAAAGAAAGAAAGAAAGAAAGAAAGAAAGAAAGAAAGAAAGGTAGGAAGAGAAAGCAAGCCAACTGGAAACAGCTACATACTATATAATTCTAATTATATGACATTCTGTAAAAGACAATACTATGGAGACAGTAAAATGATCAGTGGTTTCCAGGGGTTCAGGAGAAGAAGGGATGAATAGGTGGAGAACAGGAGATTTTTAGGGCTGTAAAACTATTCTGTATGATAATGTAATGGTGAATACTTGTGACACATTTGTCAAAACCTATAGAATGTACAACACAAAAAGTGAACTTTAATGTCAACTATGGACTTTAGTTTATAATGATATATCAATATTGGCTCATCAACTATAACAAATGTACCACGCTAATGCAAGATGTTAATAATAAGGGAAAGAAGTGGTGGGAGGCAGTGAAGTGTATATTGGAAGTGTCTGTACTTTCTGCTCAATTTTTTTGTAAACCTAAAACTACTCAAAAGTAAAATGTATTAATTAAAGTGTGGTGTGTGTGTGTGTAAGCAGGGCATTCTGAGAAAATATCTTTCTGGAAGTGCATCTAGTAATTTTTTCCCCCTAATTCATATCTGAAACACATACAAATAAACAGTGAATGTTGTAGGAAATTAGAAGATAGACCACTATCTTGGGAAAGATAACAATGCAAGAGAAGAATTCCTTTATTTTAAGATGGTTATTTCAATTAATTATTTTATATATTGAGCACCTGCAGGGGTAGGCACTAGACATAAAGGCCAACAGCAGGTCTCTGTGCTTGATGAGCTCAGTGCCTGTCATGGGGAAGACAGACACACAGATGCACTACTAGATAATAACATTATCAGTGCTGACCATGTGCTGGGCTCTTTCTAAGCATTCCACCCACATTGTCTCTCAACCATACAACAACCCTGCACACAGGCACTAATAATCTACTTTACAGACAAGGACCCTAAAGCTCTAGAAAGTGAGTTAACTTTGCTGCAATAAATGGCAGAGCCCAGGTGTGTTGACCTGCAAACAGTTTGTCAGAAACTGCCAAACTGTCTTCCAAAGTGGCTGTAAAAATCAATTCATTTTGGAAGAAGAGGACAATCAGTGATACATTTGCTTAGATGTTTCTTTCACATTATTTGAAAGCGTTGAACTTCAAATACATTCACAAATCTTAATATCTGGTTCTCCCTCTTCCATTCTTGCCTTACTCCCACTGGAATAAATTCTTTGGCTTGTCATCCTCCCAACTTCAGGACAATCAAATACATATGGCTTAATGGGAAGGTGGTCAGATTAGAAAATATTCACAGCCAATCTCTCCAGTAGGCAGCCCTTGTTTGGCTTAAAACTGCCCGTTGAATTCAAGTTTCTTACATGTTCCACAACTATGATTGTAAAAGTCAAGGCAGCAGGCACCAGCCTGTGTGGAAGAAAGTTATATTTAGTATTCCTTTCGGAGCTGTCTCTTTGGATATCGTGGAGATTCTGGTACAGGCTGTTACTGTTTGAGGGCTTCTGGGCCTGTGGCAGAGAAGGAGTGGGTGGTTTGCTGACAGTTCTTATAAATACCCCCAGTATTTATTTAATGGCAGAAACACACAGAGAGAACACACAGAGTATTAGAGGAGAGAACATAGCTTAGCTCCATTCATCCCCTGGGCCCAGGACCAAGCACTTCTAATCTGTTCTGAGGAACTGCTTCTGGGGCCAGCTGCAGCCCTGTGTCTGGGGGAAGTCACCTGCCTGCTTGCTGAAGGAGGAAGGAAGGAAGGAACAGGGAACAATGAGGCCCTTGTAAAAGCCAAGTTTTGCTTTTTTTTTTTTTTTTAAGTTTATTTTCTAACCATATCACTCTTCTGCTTAAAACCTTTCAGTAGCTTTCCACTGTTTCTGGAATAAAGGTCAAAAGTCCTAATATGATGAGAAAGGTTCTGTAGGGCCTGGCCAAAGCCTGACTCTTCAGCCTAATCTCTCCCCACTTTCCCATTCATTAACATTCCTCAAACATAATCCACACTCTGCCCACCTCAGGCCTGTACATGCTATTCTCTCTGCTCAAAGGCTTTTCTCTCCACTGGCACTCAGTTAATTCTAACTCATTCCTCAATTAAAACCTCATTTCCACAAGCTGAACTTTAGCATCATCAGAAAAATGTTTCCTGATGCTTCACAGGAATCCTCCACACTTTGTCAAATGCCTCCAGAACTCCTTATGCTTTGCATTGATTCAAGTTTTTTATTTTATTTTATTTATTTATTTATTTATTTATTTATTTATTTATTTATTTACTTACTTACTTACTTACTTACTTACTTATGTGAGACGGAGTCTTGCTCTGTTGCCCAGGCCAGAGTGCAATGGCACGATCTCAGCTCACTGCAACCTCCACCTCCCAGGTTTAAGCGATTCTCCTGCCTTAGCCTCCTGAGTAGCTGGGATTACAGGCACGTGCCACCACGCCTGGCTAATTTTGTATTTTTAGTAGAGACGGGGTTTCTCCATGTTGGTCAGGCTGGTCTCGAACTTCTGACCTCAGGTGATCCACTCACCTCGGTCTCCCAAAGTGCTGGGATTACAGGTGTTAGCCACCGAGTCTAGACTTTTTTTTTTTTTTTTTGAGACAGAGTTTTGCTCTTGTTGCCCAGGCTGGAGTGCAATGGCTCGATCTTGGCTCACCACAACCTCCACTTCCCAGGTTCAAGTGATTCTCCCGCCTCAGCCTCCCGAGTAGCTGGGATTACAGGCATGAGCCACCACGTCCAGCTAATTTTGTATTTTTAGTAGAGACGGGGTTTCTTCATGTTGGTCAGGCTGGTCTGAACTCCCGATCTCAAGTGATTTGCTGCCTCAGCCTCCCAAAGTGCTGGGATTACAGGCATGAGCCACCATACCCGGCTGATTCAAGTTTGTAATGGTGTATTTGTTTGATTATTTAAGCAATGTCTGTCTCTTCATTCCCATCCTGCTTGCCTTTTTAATCCCAGAGCCAATTCATAGATTCGTAGTAAATATGCCTGCTATATAGTAAAAGTTTCATAAATATTTATTAAATAAATTAATAAACAAATAGAGTAATCATTTGAGCTCTTAAATATTTAGTTTTTAATAGAGGGAGTAAGAAAGATTCCCATATTTTTCCCTCATCCTCAGTTCTTAGCAGTGAGGTCTTAGTCTGAAGATACGTGCCTCAGAAGCTGGCCAATAGAAGAGGTAAGAGAAGCCAGAGTGGACTCTGCTGAGAATTTGGCCACCAAGCAGTCATCTCCCTTAGAACTGTGCTCTCCAACATGGTAGCTATTAGCCCCATAATAGGTGGCTATTTAAATTCAAACTATTTAGAATTTTAGCTTATCAGTCTTATCAACCACATTTTGCACACTCACACATGGCCAGTAGCTACCATATTGAATAATGCAAATAGAGAACATTCCCTTTATCACAGGAAAATGTATTGAAGAGTGCTGCTCTGGAATAGAAAATACCCTCTTCTGCACAGAGCATAGGATTCTCAGCAGGGTGACAGAAGAGAGCCCATTTTCCCCTCTGCTTTCAAATCAGGAGATGGGGGAGAGACCCTGCATCTATTACTACATTTGTTTCTATCACATAGAATTGTAGGTGCTGCAGCTGAAGGTGCTTTATTGCAAATAAAACCACTAAATGCTTCCAAATACAGGGTTGTTGTGAAGATTAAATTAGTTACAACCCATGTTCAGGCCCTTAGTTGGCTCTCAATAAATGTTAGCCATTTTGCAATACTCATCATGTGAATGAAAAAACAAAAAAAAAAATTTAAATTTAAAAAGTTGGGCACGCCTGTAATCTCAGCACTTTGGAAGGCTAAGGTGGGAGGACTGCTTGAGCCCAGAAGTTTAAGATCAGCCTGAGCAACATAGTGAGACCCCTGTCTATACAAAATTTTTTTTAAAAAATTAGCTGGGGCTGGGTGCAGTGGCTCATACCTGTAATCCAAAAACTTTGGGAGACCAAGGTGGGTGGATCATTTGAGGTCAGGAGTTCGAGGCCAGCCTGGCCTACATGGTGAAACCCTGTCTCTACTAAAAGTACCAAAAAAGTTAGCCGGGCATAGTGGAGCACCTGTAATCCCAGCTACACGAGGGCGGAGGCAGGAGAATCGCTTGAACCCAGGAGGTGGAGGTAGCAGTGAGCTGAGATCACACCACTGCACTCCAGCCTGGGCAACAGAGTGAGACTGTGTCTCAAAAAAAAAAAAAAAAAAATTAGCAGGGCATGGTGGTGCATGCCTGTAGTCTAAGCCACTCGGGCAGCTTAAGTGGGAGGATCACTTGAGCCGGGGAAGTCGAGACTGCAGTGAGCTGTAATTGTGCCACTGCATTCCAGCCTGAGTGACAAAGCAAAGCTTTGTCTCAAAAAATTAATTAATTAAATAAATAAAAAGTAAATAGATGGTAGCCACAATTGTTATTGGCTGAAAACCAAAGTGTTAAGTGCAGAATAGACTCTGGTGAAAATAATCTAACTTCTCTGAGCCTCAGGTTCCTCATCTGTAAAATGAGAACAGCTTTTTCTATCCTGGTAGGATTACATAGCGTGTTTTGCAAAAAGGGGTTATCACAGTACCTAACATGCAGTAGGTTCTCCAAAACCGTTAGCTCTTCTTTTTTTTTTTTGAGACAGAGTCTCGCTCTGTTGCCTAGGCTGTGGTGCAGTGGTGCAATCTCGGCTCACTGCAATGTCCGCCTCCCGGGTTCAAGCAATTCTCCCGCCTCAGCCTCCCGAGTAGCTGGGATTACAGATGCCCACCAACATGCCCAGCTAATTTGTGTATTTTTAGTAGAGACGGAGTTTCACCATGTTGGCCAGGCCAGTCTCGAACTCCTGACCTCAGGTGATCCACCCACCTCAACCTCTCAAAGTGCTGAGATTACAGATGTGAGCCACCGCGCCTGGCCAACTCTTGTTGTTTTATTATTGGTGGACGCTATATCAAATTTGACTTTCTCATGAATCACCTCAGAAATTGGATTCCAGCTGTTAAAACATTCCAGGTGTGTGTTTTAAGATGTACGGATGTGGCTAGTAGTGCTAACTTCCTGAAGCTTTCATTTGGTTTTGCTGAGGGCTAGCAACCCAACCTGTAAGTCAAATTGTTGGCATGAGTTAAATTTCCTTTGGTCCCACCCATATTTCTCAGTGCCCATTACTTCTCACTAGGCCAAGAAGTGCCTGGCAAATGCTATATGTCAGAATTGTGCTAAAAAGTGTTGTTCATTTTAAACAACTGAACTTCTAATTTTTCCATTTGACCTTAACTAGGTTTCTCTAATGTCTCCTGTCAAATCTTCTGGCTCTGTTATCTTCCAAATTTTAGATTTGTTTCCGTAAAGCAACCAAATTCCAAACAGGATATGTATGTTTGTATTTGGAGGGTGGAGAGTGGGAAAAGAAGGAGGAAGGGAAATGATGTTTAATCTGATGTCAGGTTAAAACTAACAGAGAGTAAGCAGGGGTGGCAGAAGGCGACTCCTAATACTTACTGAAAATGCACCGTTTGCCAAATACTGTTTTAAGCACTTATTTTTTTCTTATCAACCTTCTTTTCCTCCTTTTTTGTTTAATTTTTAATTCAAATTAATATATGTGCATGGCTAAAATGTTATTACATGTGCATGGTTTAAAATGTAATTGTAGTTAAACTGTTCATTTTTTTTTTTTTTTTTTGAGACAGAGTCTCACTCTGTCGCCCAGGCTGAGTTCAGTGGCATGATCTTGGCTCACTGCAACCTCCACCTCCCAGGTTCAAGCAATTCTCCTGCCTCAGCCTCCCAAGTAGTTGGGATTACAGGCACAGGCCATCAAGCCCAGCTAATTTTTGTATTTTTATTAGAGACAGAGTTTCACCATGTTGGTCAGGCTGGTCTCGAACTCCTGACCTCAAGTAATACGCCCGCCTTGGCCTCCCAAAGTGCTGGGATTACAGGCATGAGCCCCCATGCCCAGCCAAACTGTTCAAATTTTAAATGTATTTTTATCCAGAAAATATGAATGACAGTAAATGTAAAAAAATCTAAAAATTATTTTTCACATAAAGTTCTCTTTCTTTTAAAATATTCAAAATGATCTATCAAAACTCAATGGCAAATGAAGTGGTTAGTCACTCTCAGATTTTTAGTCAAAGATCTTTAAATAAAGCTGAACATATTATTAGCTTTTTACAAATTTGAATGAAGGTTTTTTTTGTTTTGTTTTTGAGAAGGAGTTCCGCTCTTGTCGCCCAGGCTGGAGTGCAGTGGGACGATTTCGGCTCACGGCAACCTCTGCCTCCCGGGTTCAAGCGATTCTCCTGCCTCAGCCTCCCAAGTAGCTGGGATTACAGGCATGCGCCACCACACCCGGCTAATTTTTTTTGTATTTTTAGTAGAGAGAGGGTTTCTCCATGTTAGTCAGGCTGGTCTCAAACTCCCGACCTCAGGTCATTCGTCCGCCTCAGCCTCCCAAAGTGCTGGGATTACAGGCATGAGCCACCCTGCCCCACCATGAAGGCTGTTTTCTAAGAATGTTTAGTCTTTGCATTCAATGTTCACGTATTTGCTAAAGAATCCATGTCATGCTTCCCATATGTAATATTTAGATCTCTATATATACAAATGTGAGGGTAAAATGAATTTATACTACGAAATGTTTCTCAGCCACTCTGTGCACGTTAGTGAACACTGCGCTAATTCATGAGGATCTTCAGAACCATGAATTGGAATACAAAGAGAAGCAAAAAAATCGGCTGCTTGGCACTCTGGGAAACAATACTTTGTTATGCAAGAATCTTTTGCATTCATGCTAAGAAGGAGGATTTGACAAGTTAATTAATTTGTCTTTTCTCTTACCTAAGTACTCCTGCCACTCAAATTCTTTCTGCACTCCAAAGCCATGCCTCTTTCACCAAAAAACTTCTCAGCATTCCAATGCGGGTGCCTTTTGTTTTGAGGATCTAGGGCAAGGGAATATGCTGGAAGTGCGTCTGCCCGGGGCTTGCAGATTGTTAGGCAGAAGGGTGAATGTCTAGGTTTACAAGGTCGCCCTGTCTAGAACTCATACCAACTGACACTAACACCACCACCCCCATCTCACAACTCACACACCTTTTTTTTTGAGACGGAGTCTCGCTCCGTCGCCCCGGCACAATCTCAGCTCACTGCAACCTCCGCCTCTCGGGCTCAAGGGATTCTCCTGCTTCAGCCCCTTGACTAGCTGGATTACAGGGTGCCCGCCACCACGCCCGGCTATTTTTTTTTGTATTTTTAGTAGAGGCAGGGTTTTGCCATGTTGGTCAGGCTGGTCTGGAACTCTTGAACTCCAGTGATCCACCAGCCTAGGCCTCCTAAATTGCTGGGATTATAGGCGTGAGCCTCCACACCCGGCTTCACACATCTTTTTTTTTTTTAGTGTTTATGACATGAGGAGCTCTCTAGACTATGCGACCCGGCATAGGATTCCTCTTGCCTGAGTTTAAGAGTGATCCCGCTTTAAAAAAAGAGTTAAGGCTGGGAGCGGTGGGTGGCTCAGGCCTGTAATCCCAGCACTTTGGGAGGCCGAGACGGGCGGATCATTTGAAATCAGGAGTTTGAGACCAGCTTGGCCAACATGATGAAATCTTGTCTCTACCAAAAATACAAAAAAATTAGGCGGGCATGGTGGCACACACCTGTAATCCCAGCTACTCAAGGGGCTGAGGCAGGAGAATCGCTTGAACCCTGAAGGTGGAGTTTGCAGTGAGCTGAGATCCTGCTGCTGCACTCCAGCCTGGGCAACAGAGTGAGACTGTGTCTCAAACAAACAAACAAACAAACACACAAACAAAATAGAGTTAAAAGACTGGGCGCGGTGGCTCATGCCTGTAATCCCAGCACTTTGCGAGGCCCAGGAGTGTGGATCACTTGAGGTCAGGAGTTCGAGACCAGCCTGGCCATCATGGTGAACTCTCGTCTCTACTAAAAATACAAAAATTAGCCGGGCATGATGGCAGGCGCCTGTAGTCCCAGCTACTCGGGAGGCTGAGGCAGGAGAATTGCTTAAACCCAGGAGGCAGAGGTTGCAGTGAGCCAAAATAGTGCCACAGCACTCCAGCTTGGGTGACTGAGTGAGACACTGTCTCAAAAGAAAAAAAATAAGAGTTAAAGAACAATCATTAAAGGGATACAAATAATATTCTTTAAAAGCACTACAGTGAACTTACAGTAAAAACTGAGCTATACTGGCTGGGAGCCATGGCTCATGCCTATAATCCCAGCACTTTGGGAGGCCCAGGAGGGTGGATTACCTCAGGTCAGGAGTTCAAGACCAGCCTGGCCAAGATGGCGAAACCCTGTCTCTACTAAAAATACAAAAATTACCCAGTCATGGTGGTAGGCACCTATAATCCCAGCTACTTGGGAGGCTGAGGCTGGAGAACCACTTGAACCCCGGAAGCAGAGGTTGCAGTGAGCCAAGAACACTCACTGCACTCTAGTCTGGGTGACAGAGCAGAACTCTGTCTCAAAAAAAAAAAAAAGAAAAGAAAAAAAAAGAAAGAAAAAAAATTTGAGCTATGGGGTCAGAGTCGTGCTATAAGGCACTCCCTTTACTCCAAATATTTAACACTGATAGATAAAAAATAAAATATAAAGAGAAAATTATTAAGATATGGTGACTGTTGCCTCATGCTATCTTCAGTAATTAGATGAGAAGCAACAGGGCCCTAAATATAAAAGATGCGAGCAATAAAACTCAAATAACACATAAGAGAATATCTCCACAACCATGGCTTAGGAACAGCGTTTTTAAACAAGACACAAAAGCACTACTATGAAATGGTAATTGTATTGATAAATCAGGCTTTAATAAAAGTAAGGGCTTCTGTTAATTAAAGGACACTATTTACAGAGTGAAAAAGCAGCCAGGTACGGTAGCTTGTGCCTATAGTGTCACAAAAAGACAGACAACCAATTTTAAATTGGGGAAAAGATCTGAACAGGCATTTAGTTCACAAAAGAGGTATTCAAAATGCCAATAAGCAAATGAAGTTTTAAAAAGCATTCAACATTATAATGTATTAGCCACAAATAGATATCACCAAAATGGCAAAAACTAAAGAGATTGGTAATGCCAAAATTGATTTGAGGATTTGCCCAGTCTTACTTTCTTTCTTCCTTTCTCTCTCTGTCTCTTTTTTTTTTTTTTTTTTTTTTTTTTTGAGACAGAGTCTTGCTCTGTCACCCAGGCTGGAGTGCAGTGGTGCAATCTCAGCTCACTGCAACCTCCGCCTCCAGGGTTGAAGCAATTCTCCTGCCTCAGCCTCCTGAGTAGCTAAGATTACAGGCGCCTGCCACCGCGCCCGGCTAATTTTTGTATTTTTAGTAGAGACGGGGTTTCAGCATGTTGGTTGGGCTGGTCTTGAACTCCTGACCTCAAGTGATCCGCCTGCCTCGGCCTCCCAAAGTGCTGGGATTACAGGAGCGAGCCACTGTGCCTGGCCACTTTCTTTTTGTTTTTGAGACAGTCTCCTTCTGTCACCCAGGCTGGAGTGCAGTGGTGCAATCTTGGTTCATTGCAACCTCTGCCTCCTGGGCTCAAGTGACTACCTGAGTAGCCGGGATTACAGGTGCAAGCCACCATGCCCAGCTAATTTTTGTATTTTTAGTAGAGATGTGATTTCATCATATTGGTCAGCCTGGTATCAAACTCCTGGCCTCAAGTGATCCATCTGCCTCGGCCTCCCAAAGCGTTGGGATTACAGGTGTAAGCCACCATGCCCAGCCAACACTGTCATTTTTATACACTGGGGATAGGAGTTTAAACTGGTATGATCACTTAGCAAAACTGGAAGTATCTATTAAAGCTGTAATACATTTTTGCTATGATTCAGCAACCATACCCCTAGGTATATGCCCTGGAGGAATGAGTGCATATGACTACAAGAAGGCATTTAAGAATAGTCATAATGGTGGGCCGGGCGTGGTGGCTCATGCCTATAATCCCAGCATTTTGGGAGGCCGAGGCGGGTGGATCACCTGAGGTCAGGAGTTCGAGACCAGCCTGACCAATATGATGAAACCCCATCTCTACTAAAAATTAGCCAGACGTGGTGTCAGGTGCCTATAATCCCAGCTATTGGGAGGCTGAGACAGGAGAATTGCTTGAACCCAGGTGGCGGAGGTTGCAGTGAGCCGAGATTGCACCACTGTACTCCAGCCTGGGCAACAAGAGTGAAACTCCGTCTCATAAGAAAAAAAAAAGAACAGTCATAACAACTTTATTCATAATAGTAAAAAACTAGAAATGTCTATCAACAAGAAAATGGGTAAATTGTGGTAGAGTCATACAGTGGAATACTATATGGCAATTTAAAAAAGTGACATGAGGCCAGGCATGGTGGCTCATGCCTATAAGGTGAGCACTTTGGGAGGCCGATGTAGGCAGATCACTTGAGCCCAAGAGTTCAAGACTAGCCTGGTCAACATGGTGAAACCTTGTCTCTACAAAAAATAAAAATTAGTCAGGTGTAGTAGCGCCTCCAGGTAGCCCCAGCTACTTAGGAGGTTGAGGTGGGAGGACTGGTTGAGCCCTGGATATTAAGGGTGGAGTAAGCCATGATTGCACTACTGCACTCCAATCTTGGCGATCCAACCTAAGCAACAGTGTGAGATGCTGTTTCAAAATCTAACAAACAAGCAAACAAACAAAAAAAGTGACATGGCTACATGGAACAGCAGGATGGACTTTATAAACATAATATCTTTAAAAAGGAGGCCAGGAGTGGTGGCTCACGCCTGTAATCCCAGCACTTTGGGAGGCCGAGGTGGGTGGATCACCTGAGGTGAGGAGTTCAAGACCAGCCTGGCCAACATGGTGAAACCCTGTGTCTACTAAAAATACAAAAAAAAAAAAAAAAAAAAAAAAAAAATTAGCCAGGCATGGTGGCAGGCACCTATAATCCCAGCTACTTGGGAGGCTGAGACAGGAGAATTGCTTGAACCTGGGAGGCGGAGGTAGCAGAGAGCTGAGATTGCGCCGCTGTACTCCAGCCTGGGCAACAAGAGCAAAACTCCATCTAAATAAATAAATAAATAAATAAAATAAAAAGGAGCCCAACAACAAGAGTCCATGCTGTGTTATTTTTATATGAATTTTATGAATAGGCAAGACTATATAAGCCAGAATAGCAATTGTCTTAGGATGTTGATTAGAAGGGGGCAAAAGGAAGTCTTTTTTTTTTTTTTTGAGACGGAGTCTTGCTCTGTTGCCCATGCCGGAGTGCAGTGGCGTGATATGGGCTCACTGCAACATATGCCTCCCGGTTTCAAGCGATTCTCCTGCCTCAGCCTCCCAGGTAGCTGGGATTATAGGCGCATGCCACCACGCCTAGCTAATTTTTTGTGTTTTCAGTAGAGACGGGTTTTGCCATTTTGGCCATGCTGGTCTCGAACTCCTGACCTCAAGTGATCTGCCCGCCTTGGCCCCTCAAAGTGCTGGATTACAGGTGTGGGCCACTGTGCCCAGCCAGGAAGCCTTTCTAGCACTGGGGATGTTCTATATATATTGATCTGGCTGGTGAGGAATCAAGTGTATCCATATATAAAAATTCACTGAGCTGAACAATTAAAATTAGTGTACTTAACTAAAGCATATTGTCTTTTATTTTATTTATTTGCTTATTTTAGAAATAAGGTTTCACTCTATCCTCCCACACTGGAGGATAGCTCACTGCAACCTGGAACTTTTGGGTTCAAGCCATCTTCCTGCCTAACCCCCCAAGTAGCTGGGACTACAGGTATGTGCCCCCATTCTCAGGTAGCTTTTTTATTTTTTGTAGAGACCAGGTCTTGCTATATTGCCCAGGCTCATATTATCTTAAAAAAAAAAAAAAACTTGCTGAAAAAATAGAATAAATATTCCAGAACAGAAAGACAAAAACAGCTGAAGACACATATATATTGGGCTTTGTCTCCTTTTGTTTCTTTCGTTTTTCTTTCAGTGTGAAAAAATGCATAAAAGCTTATTTTAAAAAATTGATGTCAAATGCTATTTGGAGTAGAAGATGTCATTTTTCTTTACAAGCTAATAAAAATATTAAACTCAACCTAGCCAAATATAATGCACATTTGTTGGCAGGTGTTTCAACTACTACAGATTAAGGCCTTCCCTGAGTAGAAGACTAGCTAAGTAGTGGTTTAGATCCTTCCGGAAAGAACTGCTGAAGGATGTGTTTAGCAAGAAAAAAAGCCAATGTAGAGTGAAGGAGTATATTGAGCATGGGAATCATTAAAATACATTGGAAATGTTAATGATCTATTGATTGCATGTTGTGGGCTGAATTGTGTCCCTCCAAAATTCATATATTGAAATTCTAATCCCTAGTACTTCAGAATGTGACTGTATTTTGAGATTGTCTTTAAAGAGGTAGTTAAGGTTAAATGAGGTCATTAAGGTGGGCCCTAATCCCATATGACTAGCATCCCTAGAAGAAGAGATGAGAACACAGAAACACACAGAGAGAAGATCACATGAAAACACCGGAGAAAAACCACCATCCACAAGCCAAGGAGAGAGGCCTCAGAAGAAACCAATCTTGCTGTCACCTTGATCTTGGGTTTTTAGCCTCCAGAATTCTGAAGAAATAAATTTCTGTGTTTAAGCCACCCAATCTGTGGTACTTTCTTATGGAAGCCCTAGCAAACTTATATACTGTGGTAAAATCAGAAGTCAGTTTGTGTCATAAAAATGTAGATAAAAAATTATAGACAATAACAAAAAAGATGGGAGCATTTGGTGAGTACTTCTATACTAACATCTTGCTTGATTTTTAACTATGTAGGATAAACACATGTCCTTTCCTAGAAATGAGACCCTGGCAGAGTTGAGTAGTTGTGAGAGACCGCGTCCCACAAAGCCTCAAATATCTTCATCTAGCCTTTAACGGTGAAAGTTCACTTGATCCTTCTCCATGGGTTTATTTTGCAAACATCAAAAAACATGACCAAAGATACACTTCCGTACATATTTACTTCTGGGGTGGGCAGGCAATTGGGAAATGAGATAAAGAGAGATATAAAAGAGCAGTCTTTAATTACATATTTATTATATATGTTTATGGAAAATGAAAACATTAAAAATCTGGTTGGTGAATATACAAATATATTACTTTATTTTTCAATATGTTTGAAATATTTTATAACAATATAAAACTATTGTGGTTTTGAAGGGATATAATGTTACTATACTGAACAATCGTCATTTTTCTTTGTTTTTCTTAGCCAAAGCATTTGCTGATGTATAGCACCTATTTTATACATTGGAACACACTACTCTGTGCTTTGATTTTAGGCTTAAAAGGTCAGTGGCAGTGTGCTCAGCCAATCAGGAATTAGGATTAAGGAATTGAAGCCTTTTATACTAAAGGCTTCCCTTATAAGGGGACCCTAAATTAGAAAACCTGTTTTGAGAAAGATTTTTTCCCTAATTTGTGAAACTATATATATGAATGTTTTTATATATTTAGGGAATTAGAATCCCTCAGGTTTATTTTAAACAATTATCTGGCACTAACAGGAATACAATTTATGATGTTCATATCATTCCAGAAAATCTAGGTCACACCAAAGTCGGTTCTTTGGAAATTTGATTTCCTTATATAATTTTCAAGGTGCTTGAAACAATAAATTCTCATGTGCTGCTTTGGAAAAGTAGAAAGTCATTTAGCCTGAATTCAGAAGAAAGCCGACTTTATTTCTTTTACTTACATTGTACTTTCATTGTAAATGGTAAGTAAACTGGTGAAATAAGTATGCGTTAATATTTAAAACAGAAAGCAATATAAAAAAACCCCTCTGTCTTTACAAGGGCAAGGCTTAGCCAAATATACTTAGGTCTATTCATATTAATAATAGAAGATTGTTACTAAGGATAACTAAGAATTAAAATAAATAAGGTTGGGTAGTGCAGTGGCTCATGGCTGTAATCCCAACACTTTGGGAGGCCCAGGCAGGAAGACTGCTGAGGCCAGGAGTGAGAGACCAGTCTGGGCAACATATTGAGACCTTGTTTCTAATAAAAATTGGAAAAAAAAAAAAAAGTAGCCGAGTGTGGTGGCACATGTCTGTAGTCCCAGCTACTTGGGAGGCTCAGGTAGGAGGATTACTTGAGCCCAGGAGGTCGAGGCTGCAGTGTGCCTTGATCATAACACAGCACTCCAGCTTGGGTGACAGAGCTAGACCCTGCCTCAAAAAGAAAAAAAAAAAGGTTGAATAAAATAGCACTAATGGCGCTGGGCATGGTGGCTCACGCCTGTAATCTCAACACTTTAGGAGGCCAAGGCGGGTGAATCACGAGGTCAGGGGTTCGAGACCAGCCTGGCCAACATGGTGAAATCCTATCTCTACCAAAAATATAAAAAATCAGCTGGGCGTGATGGTGGGCGCCTGTAATTCCAGCTACTCGGGAGGCTGAGGCAGGAGAATCGCTTGAACCCAGGAGATGGAGGTTGCAGTGAGCCGAGATAGCGCCACTGCACTCCAGCCCAGGCGACAAAGCGAGGCTCTGTCTCAAAAAAAAAAGAAAGCACTAATGGTATTTGGGGCATGGTTAAGATTCACACTGGAAATGATTTAATTCATAAATGCTTGAAAACTAGGGAAGGGGATTTTATGTTTCCTCATCCTAGGATTCATTTATTATTTTCAAAACTTTTTTCCTAGGAGGATTTATTTTATTTAATTTAAAATAAATGTTCAGTAATTATAGCCACTTCCCTCAGAGGAAGGTTGGCCCAAGGAGCCCCACTTAGGCATTGACATGTCTCTTTATTTTACACTCATATCCAACTGCTGTTTCTAAAAGCAGGTGTCTGGGAAGAATGTCAGTCATGGTCCATGTACTGGGCCAAACCTGCACTTTGACCACTTGATCTGTACCCTTACAGTCTGTGCCTTTACTGGGGATAATTTCAATCCATCTGTGGGATTCAGGGTTACTGGTACATTACAGAAGCTGTATAGCCTTGGTAGGAAGGAATATGGCAAGAAACTCTGCTAGATGATATAACAATAGATGGCCACAAAACTTGCCTTTTTTAGGAAGGCATCTCTGAGCAAGGAATACCAGATGAATAGGGTTAGCCATGCTGTTTGGTGGAGGGTATCCACATAGTACAGCAAATGCAAAGGCCCTGAGGTAGGAAAGCATTTCCTGAGTTTGGCTGAAGTATACTGCAGCACCAGGGAGAATGGGAAGGGGTGGACCTTATCAACTTCTTGTTATATAATCTCGTGTTCTGAAGTTGAAATTTTATTTTATTGCTATGTACCTTTTTAAATCTTTCCCTTACTTTTGAATTTCCCATGCATTTATTGAACATATACAAAATTGTGCTTATATGTCAATGTGAGTTTGTTTTTAACATAAATGGTATTATGCTGCACTGAGATTTATTCAACAGTGTTTCTTAGAGATCTATGTTATTATATTTTTATAAAGGTCATTGTGTATAACAGGTATAAAATATTCTGTTGTGTGAATATACCACAAGTAACCTCCAGTGGTCAGCCTGCCTCTACCATGCCCACTCTCCAAGCTTTTATTTTCTGAATGTAGCTTCTTTACCTCAGTAAGTGGTAAATACTTTGTAAATGAAAACATTGCCTTTTATTTTCTTGGTAGTTATTTCTTAAAAGTACTGTGTGCACAGAAAGAGCACACTGAATGCTTACAACAACCTAATTATGGAAAAGCAATAAGCCTCCTGAATCCTTTGCCCTTGAAATTTCCTTGCCTGGTGCTCATAACACACTTTGAATAGGTCTTGAAACCACGGGCCTTCAGCCTAAGGCAGTATGTCATCTGGGTACTCTGAGCAGGGAAATAATGAAAAATAATGTTCAGTTAATGGCACAAGCCATTCGCCACTCAGACAGTGATGGTTTTCAGAGTGGATTGAAAGGAGATTGGCTACTTCTGCTTCAAAACATCCTGGAAATTGTCTGCCTCCTGAATTCTGAGGGACGCTTGGGAGGAGGAGTTGATAGGTGACTTAATGTTAAATCTGGGTTCCCTCCCCCAATTGTCACTGTGAAAATTTTCAAACATACAGAAAAGTTGAAAGAATTGCGCACTGTGCCCATTACCTAGACTCTATTATATGGACCCCTATTTGCTTTATCATATCTCTGTTCATCCACCCTTTACCCATGCATGGAGGCATCCATACATCTTATTTTTGATGTATCTCAAAGTACAAAGAGCACCATTAGAGTTCAATGCTTGTGATTTTTCTTTTTTTAAAAATTTTTGAGGCAACATTTATATCCAGTGAAATGTACAGATCTCAAGTGGATCATTCCATCAGTTTGACAAATGCCTGCAAGGTGGAACCCAAGCTCTTATTAGTATCTGTTAAATCCATGTTAGAGGTTGATCAGAGAAGCACAGCCTTTAAGACTCTCACCCTGCTTTGCGGAGAATGGCAAAAATCTGCGAAACATCTCAGCAGAGCCAGGAGAGAGTAACACTGGTAACGTGAAGCACGTCAAGCTAAGAAAGGAAGCACTGAAATTAATTGTCCTGAATGGAACCTGATAAGAATCTGCCATTTCATCCCCTCAAGACTGGACTCAAGTTGGGAGAGAATATTGCCTTTTGCCCTGTCTAAGCTAATATCACTGTTTAGATCTACAAACTCCCCCACCTCCCAATGTTTATATATTAACCTGCATTACAAGTCAAAATAACACAGAGAATCTGGAAAAAGAAGAAGGGGAATGTTTCCCACGAAAAGCACACCCCTTAAAGCGTCTGGCCTGAGAGCTATACAGCATGCATAAAATCTGATAATAAGCACATTATGACCCACATTGCATATAACAAAAAGTAGGGCACTTCTGAAGGGTCCTGAGAAAAAGCCCTGGGCTTTTAAAACCTGCTTAAGAAGGCGATCAACGGTACACCACTTTCAAACGCAGCACTGACTTGTATGCTCCACAGTCATCAACAGTGAAAACAACAGTTTTCAACAAGAGTTGGAAACACTGAGTTGAGGGTTTTTTTTTTCTTTTTAAAGTTTGAGGCCAAAATCGATATTTATTCTTTTGAATTATGCTTATATCTTTTTCCTGGTTAATACGCACGCGGTGGCACAATTTTGAAAACTACGTAACGTTATAGAACCACCACCCAGAAACGAATCCTGTTAACAAACTTTTTGTATTCAAACTTTTTCCACTGCATAGTTTTTGACAATGCTTTTTAGACAATCTTTCTTTTAGCAACCAGCACTTTCAAACAAAAATTACAGAGAATAGTAAGTTTTTTTCCCCTCCTCCGGCAGATTTGACCCAGAAATTGCTATGGGAAGAAAGTGTTAATTATATTAAAAAATAGTTTGACAGAAAGTATTTAAAAAGAGAAAGGGAGAACATCACGTCTTTATTTTGGTGAATTAGCAACAAAGAAAAAGATTAGCATGGACGGGTACTTTTCAAAAATATATTTTTTTTCCTCTGGCTCCCGCTAGGGTGGAGGAAGTTGTCTCTCTGTCAGAGACAGGGTGGAAGAGAGTGAAAGGACAAATGATTGAGAGGCTGCCCCCTCCCACTGGTGCAGGCGTGCGGGGGTCGGATGGGGGGCCGCGGAGGGGGGAGGTGGCCAGCAGGTGCCTGGGCTCCAGGCCCCTACCCCCACCCTCGTCCCCACCCTCACCCACACCCAGGGATTGGCCTCGCCCCCTGGCGGGCGAGCGGTAGGTGTCGAAGCACTGGGGTGGGGGGTGCAAACCCCGCGGGCAGCGGAAAAGAGGCCGTGGGGGGCCTCCCAGCGCTGGCAGACACCGTGAGGCTGGCAGCCGCCGGCACGCACACCTAGTCCGCAGTCCCGAGGAACATGTCCGCAGCCAGGGCGCGGAGCAGAGTCCCGGGCAGGAGAACCAAGGGAGGGCGTGTGCTGTGGCGGCGGCGGCAGCGGCAGCGGAGCCGCTAGTCCCCTCCCTCCTGGGGGAGCAGCTGCCGCCGCTGCCGCCGCCGCCACCACCATCAGCGCGCGGGGCCCGGCCAGAGCGAGCCGGGCGAGCGGCGCGCTAGGGGGAGGGCGGGGGCGGGGAGGGGGGTGGGCGAAGGGGGCGGGAGGGCGTGGGGGGAGGGTCTCGCTCTCCCGACTACCAGAGCCCGAGAGGGAGACCCTGGCGGCGGCGGCGGCGCCTGACACTCGGCGCCTCCTGCCGTGCTCCGGGGCGGCATGTCCGAGGCTGGCGGGGCCGGGCCGGGCGGCTGCGGGGCAGGAGCCGGGGCAGGGGCCGGGCCCGGGGCGCTGCCCCCGCAGCCTGCGGCGCTTCCGCCCGCGCCCCCGCAGGGCTCCCCCTGCGCCGCTGCCGCCGGGGGCTCGGGCGCCTGCGGTCCGGCGACGGCAGTGGCTGCAGCGGGCACGGCCGAAGGACCGGGAGGCGGTGGCTCGGCCCGAATCGCCGTGAAGAAAGCGCAACTACGCTCCGCTCCGCGGGCCAAGAAACTGGAGAAACTCGGAGTGTACTCCGCCTGCAAGGTACGCGCTCGCCGCTCTCGGACCGCGGATGGGTGCTAGGGGCCCAGCCCGCGGGACCCCCCTCCCCCTCCCGCTTCCACCTCCGCCTCCCGCCTCCTGCCTCTCGCCTCCCGCCTGGGGCCGCTGCACCGCGGAAGTGCTCTTGTCGCCCGCGCCCAATTAGCTTCTTCTTGGATAAGAGTCCTGCTGGGTTTGAAGAAGGGGGATCACTAAGACGGAGAGCCCTTCATTCCTTCCGCTTGAAAGGAGTAGCTTCGGCATCCGAGCTCCCGGGCTACCTTGGGGTTTTGTTGCTCTGTAGGAGCTCGCTGGAGTCACTTTCCCGGGAGTGGAGCGGTGCTCTCCATGTGGCGGGTGACCCAGGGGCAAGGAAAAATCTTTTGGGGGACTGAGTGGTCCCTTCTGCAATCGATCCCTTCCTGTGTCCCACTGGGAGGAACTGGGTGCAAGGAGTGGGGGTGGAGAAGACTCCCGGACTCCTGGCGCTTTGGGAAAGCGAAGGGGAGGAAAGCGCGGGGTGGGAAGGTGGGCAGAGTCCGAGGCGAGGGTCTTGTGGTGCCTGGCGCCCTCGGCTGGGGGCGGAGGCACTGCCGCGCGCGGTGACAGCCCTGTCATTATTGTATTATTACTTGTTTAGTTAAAACGCTGTCCCAGCTGCTCGAGGTGTAAACAGGATTTGGCAAAGTGACAGCCCAGCGCGGCGGGCGCTACTGCTCAGTTTGAGGACACCCATTTCTTGCTACCCACTCTCCATGCCAGTTTAGGCACCCTGTCACCTCCAGCTGCAGATCCAGATGTGGAGGCTGTGTTCCCGAGGTGGGAGGATTGCCCGAGGCCGCGGGGCAGGCTGGCCCTGCGCTGTCAGCAGCGGCTTTGTTTTGACAGGGTGACAGCTGAGGGGGGCGGGGACTTGGCCTTGTCAGCTCCTGCGGCCTGTGGCTGAGGCAGGGAAGAGACACACTCACACACACTCACACCTCCCTGTATTCTTCCTGCCTGCTGTAAAGAGGGTCAAGTTCCCAGATTCCAGATTCCCGATTGTCACAACCAAGCTGCAGTGACCACTTCTGAATTTTGACATAACTATAATTTATTCTACTAGAACATCTAGGTTATACTCTTCTTGGTACTTGCAGGAGCTTCTCAGTCACAATGGAATGTCTATGCTTGCTCTTTTTCCACACCATATGCTCAGGTTTATGTTAAGCACCTCTGTATCCTACACTGGTTCAATAAATATTTGTTGAGTGAATGTAGGATCTAGCCCAGTGCTCCTCAAACTTTAATGTGCATGGGAATCTCCTGGGGAAGCTGGTTAAAATGCTGATTATGAATCAGGTGGTCTGAGGTGGAAGCTGAGAGTTTGCATTTCTGACAAACTCCCAAGTGATGCTATGCTAGTCCACAGACCACATTCCAATTCAGACCTGGACAATATATTATTTGTCCCCTTTGATTTTAGCAGAAAAGACAGAAACAAATAATAATGCTATGTGGTTATTTCTGAAGAAGGAATGCAAAAAAGATGAAGTGGGGAGTGTGCTTCTAAGAAAGGTGCAAGCCCAGGAGTTGATCATGAAGGGCATTAGACGAATGAGAACAGGACACCGACTGTAGTAGGCAGAAGGGCGAGCTATGTACAGAATTAAGAACAAGGTCATGGGTACAGGGCATACTGCTTGGGTGATGACTACACCAAAATCTCACAAATCACCATTAAAGAACTTATGTAATCAAACACCACCTGTTCCACAAAAACCTATGAAAAAAAAGAGCAAGGTCAATTACTTGGTGGCCTTGGCGTTTCGCAGCCAAAGTGGGCTCATGCAGGAACTGTCTCAACTCAGTGTTTCTGTTCTGGCTTTATTTTAAAATTTATTTATTGGGTTCTCATCACCAGCACCTCTTAAAGACTTCCTGCTGCCTGCTGTAGCTTTAATATCTGAAAACTTTCCTGAAGTTTTGGTTTTGTCTAAAACCATGAGCATATGTGGCCTGCATTGATATTTTTGATCTTTTCAAATTTCCATGGGTGAGATGTAGCACCACTTCCAAGTGGGATTTGAGTGTTTCCTGGTCACTTTCATGACCCAACAAGAGAAAGAGAAAATTTATTTTAACGTCTTTTTTTTTTTTTGAGACAGGGTCTCACTCTGCCACGTAGGCTGGAGTGCAGTGGCATGATCGTAGCTCACTGCAGACTCAACCTCCCTGGGCTCAGGTGATCCTCCTACATCAGCCTCTTGAGTAGCTGGGACTACAGGCATGCGCCAGTACACTATTATTATTATTATTTGTATTCTTTGTAGAGATAGGGTTTCACCTTGTTGCCCAGGCTGTTCTCAAACTCCTGAGCCCAAGCAATTTGCCCGCCTTGCTTCCCAAAGTGCTGAGATTATAGGCATGGGCCACCATGCCTGGCTGAAAGTGTTCATTTTTATGTATCCATTCATTCAGTAAATATTTAGAGGGTTACCAACTGGGTGTCAGGCATTGGGCTAGGTGCTGGGCCTATGACACACAGAATTTGTCCTTCAGGAGTTACTTATTGTGTGTGTGCACAAGTGCATGTGTGTGTATGCATGTGTTGGGGGCCTAGGGATGAGGGCAGTGAACCAAAATTACAGAGAAGTTCAGAAAAACTACTTTCTTGGAGTAGTTGCGGACCCAGAGCAGGACAGTTCATAGACTGGGGCACTGGTAGGGTGGGATTGGCTTCCTGGAGGAAGTGTCAGTGGCTGCTAAGAACTCTTGGCAGGGCAGAGTGGGGTGGGGTGAAGCTTCTTGTAGTGGAGAAACTGAAAGCAGTTGTGGAAGCTTGGAGGTGGGCCAACTGAGCCAGACCTTTGTTGCCTAGGGCCACCGGCTGGGGTGCGTGGCCAAGAGGGCACTGAGGAGTGCAGGAATCTTAACCTGGAGAGTGACATTATCTCAGATTTGCTTTTTTTAAAAAAAAAAAAAATTTAACTGGACTTGATTGGGTACGAGGGAGTGTAAGAGAGCAAAATCTGTGGTTCTCTCTCAGCTTGTTTCTGCACTTAATATGAGCAAGCCCAAAAGGACAGATTGCTCTACCTTTGCCACAGGCCCCTTGGCAAGTTAGATTAGAGAGATTAGAGAATGAGGAGGGATCTAGAAAGAGATAAGGTAGTTCACTGGGGGGCTTTTGAAAGAAAAACAGGTCCCAGGCCTGATATAAATCTGGCCTTTAAACTTCACAAACGAAACCAAAAAAGAAGGGAGCTAAGTCAGCCAGGGTGACGTGCCACACCCCAGAGAATAGAAAAAGAAAAAAAAAAAAGAAAAAAGAAAAGAAACAAACAAACTTGTTTCGCAGGATCCAGATCTTTGAACTGTGTCCTGGTAAAGGTTGCTTCAGAGTCATTTTGGTTCTGTGTTCATTAAAAATGTAGATCTAGGCCAGGCGCAGTGGCTCAGACCTGTAATCCCAGCACTTTGGGAGGCCGAGGCGGGAGGATCACTTGAGTCCAGGAATTTGAGGCCATCCTGGGCAATATAGTGAGACTTCGTCTCTACAAAAAATAAAAAATTAACCAGGCGTGGTGGCAGAGGTTGCAGTGAGCTGTGATTGCACCGCTGTACTCCAGCCTGGGTGACAGAGCAAGATTCTCCCTAAAAAAAAAAATAAATAAATAAATAAAATAAAGTAGATCTGACCATGTTATACCCACACTTCAGGCCCTTTAATTTCTCTTTATTGTGGTCCACAAGGCCCTGCATGGCCTGGCTACTGCTATCTGTGGCTCCTTATCGAGGGTTCAGGCACATGGTTTCCTTTCACCTAGTCGGGGGTGAGGTGGGGTGAGGGGCTTTGCACATGCTGTTCACTGGGACTGGAAGCTCTTCTTTCCACATTTTAAAATTAACTCCCAACCCTTCCTATAGAACTCAGATTCCTTGCCTTTCCTTTACCCCCCTGAGCAGCCTTCCCATTAGAAATTATCCAAATTCATCTGTACTCTTCCTGGTGCTTATATTATGATTTTTATGATTTGTATGATTATTTGATGTGCATTTAGAATCTTTGAATAGATTCTTAGCCATGCGGTTATTGACTAAGCGAATGAACCAGAGAAGAGAAAATGGAAGAAATGATTAGCTGTGATGTTAGCAGTTGTGGAATTTTAACTTAATCACTTCTTGACAACTAAGTAGAGATTTGTCATATAGGACAGTTCTAGGTGTCCCACAGATATTGATAGGATTGGGTTATTTATTTATTTATTTTTTTGAGACAGGGTCTCGCTCTGTCACCCTGGCAGGAGTACAGTGGCGTGATCTTGGCTCACTGCAACCTGTACCTCCCAGGCTCAAGTGATCCTTCCACCTTAGCCTCCTGAGTAGCTGAGACCACAGGCATGCACCACCATACTTGGCTAATTTTTGTATTTTTTTTGGTAGAGATGGGGTTTCGCCATGTTTGCCAGGCTGGTTTCCAACTCCTGGGCTCAAGCAATCTGCCTGCCTCCACCTCCCAAAGCGCTGGGATTACAGGTGTGAGCCACTGCACCTGGCCTATTTATTTATTTATTTATTTATTTATTTATTTATTTATTTATTTATTTTAGAGACAGGGTCTTGCTCTGTTGCCCAGGATGGGGTACACTGGCACGATCATAGCTCACTGCAGCCTTGAACTCCTTGACTCAGGTGATCCTCCCACCTCAGCCTCTTGGGTAGCTGGGACTATAGGCCTGCACCACCATGCCTGCTTGGGATTGGGTTTTTAATGTTATAAAAGAAACCCCAAGTGAATGTATGAGTAGGCCAAATCCAAATCTTCTTGAATTAAAGTATATCATCTACTAACTTCAAAAGAGAAACAAAACCCATTGACTAACCCTTCCTAAAGGAGCAGGCCATTTATATTAATACGTAAGAGGAGGCAATAGGGTATAGTGGCTAAGAACATGGGCTTCAGAGTTCAGGCTAATCTGAATTCAAATTTTGGGATATCCAGCTCTGCAACCTTGGATAAGGATTTCATTTAAGCCTTTATTTCCCTGTCTGTAAAGGAATGATGTTACCCGCCTCATGGCATAACAGTGAGGATTTAAAATGGGCTGTATTAGACATCCAGCATGGTGTCTTGCCCATGGCAAGCCCTCAGAAGGTAGGGGAGACGCTGTTAACTTGAAAGTCAAGTAAGAGCAACAGACTCAGTCCTGAATCCACCCCAGCTCTGCCACTTGTGTGATCTTAGGCACAGGTCACTTAGTTTTTCTCTGAGCCTCAATGACTGCATGTATAAAGTGGTGATCATGACTTCAACCTTAAAGTTAAAAGAAAAAAGTGTCCCCAGAATTCCTAGAACATAAAGATGCTAGGTTAATGCTGGCTAAATAAACGGAATTGCCTGGTGCTTTACTCGTATATCAGAGTCAGTGGCCACAAAGCATTTATGGAGAACCCAGTTGCTTGGGTTCTCGGCAAGGTGCCACATTTAAGGAGTTTCATGGGTACAGGACTATAAAATTAGTCTTAATTGAAAAAATAGGCCCAGGGCATGGTGGCTTGTGCCTGTAATCCCAGCAGTTTGGGTGGCCAAGGCAGACGGATCACTTGAGCTCACGAGTTCGAGACCAGCCTGGGCAACATGGTGAAACCCTGTCTCTACAAAAATTACGAAAATTAGCCGGGCATGATGGTGCGTGCCTGTAGTCCCTAGCTACTCAGGAGGTTGAGGTGGGAGGATGGCTTGAGCCTGGGAGGCAGAAGTTACAGTGAGCTGAGATCATGCCACTGCACTAGACCTTGTCTCAAAATAATAATAATAATGATTTATAATCTAGAAGTAGCACTGGTTGTAGAATATACAGAGAGCAGAGGTAGATGTGCCACCACAAAACAAAAAGCATCCTCTGTTGGCTAAGGGCTGGTGGGTGGGGCACTAGAACAAGCCTTATAGTTGGAGAGCGCCCCCAACACCTTTGTATTTGTCAGTCACTCCCCCAGAGAGCAAATTGTCTTTTTCATTTGTCAGCATTTAGAGCAGTGGCTCTCACCCAGGAGCTATTTAACCTCCCAAGGGACATTTGACAATGTCTGGAGACATTTTCAATCTTTGCAGTTGGGAGGAGGGAATGCAACTGGCAACTAGTGAGTGGAGGCCAGTAATGTTGCTATACATCCCACAATGCACAGGACAACTCCCCCCAACGAATGATTATCTGGTCCAAAATATTAATAGAATTAACAGAAGTTGAGAAAGCCTGTTTTAGACAAATACCTTTGCAGCACAGAAAGAAAAAACATCAATGGTTTTTGTTTTGCCCCCCCCTTTTTTTTTTCTGAGGCTTTTTTGAGGCAGGGTCTTACTCTGCTTCCCAGGCTGGAGTGCAGTGGGCTCAGGTGGTCCTCCCACCCTAGTCTCCCAAGTAGCTGGGAGGCTACTTGGCCAGGCGCACGTCACCATGGCCGGCTAATTTTTGTATTTTTTATAGAGATGTTTCGCCAACCTGGGTTTCGCCATGTTTAACAGGCTGGTCTTGAACTCCTGGGCTCAAGCAATTGGCCTGCCTTGGCCTTCCAAAGTGCTGGGATTACAGGCATGAACCACCACGCCTAGCCTAAACCAATGCTTTTAATATGAATATGACTAACACTTAAAATCTGAAAAATCTCACTTCGTGAATCATGGGCATATATTTTAAACAGCTTTATTGCGGTATAATTTATAGATCATAAAACTTGCCCACTGTAACTATGCTGCTTTTGAGTTAATGTATGCAGTTGTGCATCCATCACCACAACCCAGTGTTATGACTTCTTCCATCCCCGAAAGTTTCCTCTTGCCGTGAGTACCTTTTTTTTTTTTTTTTTTTGAGACGGAGCCTCACTCTGTCACCCAGGCTGGAGTGGAGTGCAGTGGTGTGATCTCAGTTTACTGCAGCCTCCACCTCCCGGGTTCAAGCAATTTGCCTGCCTCAGCCTCCTGAGTAGCTGGGATTACAGGCAAGTGCCACCATGCCCTGTTAAATTTTTTTGTATTTTTAGTAGAGACGGGGTTTCACCATGTTGGCCAGGCTGGTCTCAAACTCCTGACCTCAAGTGATCTGTCTGCCTGCGCCTCCTGAAGTGCTGGGATTACAGGCATGAGCCACCACACAAGGCCCATGAATACCTTTTTAAAGTGATATTTTGTATCAAATTGGTTGTTGGTTTGCAAACAGAAACTAAATTAGAAATATCTTTTTGGCAAGGCTTCAGATAGGCAATATTGTCACAGCAAAGTACAAAGCATGGAGGGAGGTGGATAAGATGTTGTTTTAAAAGATCAGTCTTTAGCCACATAAGTTTATTGCATACAATTGTATCCTGTGGTGACTTCTCTAAAATGCGGTAAGTGTCATAAAGCCAAGCATACAAAGGAAAAAATGTTTCATTTGGCAGGCACAATACAAAAAGCCTGAGAGAAAGATGTCCAAATTTAATTCTGTATCCTCAGAAATTTTCAGGGAAGATGGAAATTCAAGCCTGCAAAGCCTTCAGATTGCAATTTGTAGTTTTATATAACTGAGAAAGTGTTTTACAGGGCAAAACAGCAAAATCTGCTGAGGACTGTTTTGTTTTAGGAAGTGTGTGCTTGGAAATAGCGATTTGTGATATAGCGCTGTTTAAGGTTTTTGTTTTGTTTTGTTTTTAAAAATCATCTGGCAGATTTAAACCCAGTTGCCTCGGTGTTAGCCAGATTTAATTCTGCGGTTGTTAAGTAAATCCATAGGGTCTGATCCATCATGGTGACTATGGAGGGTGAAATATAAACTTTCCTGTAAGATGCCTGGGAGCAGTCAGCACATCTGCTTCTCAGATGAATACTCCGTGTAGTGCCAATAAAATTAGGATTTTCAAGGCTCAGTGGCTTCTGATTTAGTTAGTCTGTCGTTAAGAGAAAAGTGGCTATTTAGGAAAAATTGTCAACAGTTTCCTACTCTTGCATGCTGCTTTTCTGCTGTGGTCATCTGATTCAAACGGGGAATTAGAACAGGCACATTGGCTACTCACACATGGGGAGAGAAGGAGGGGAATCCTTGCTTCTTTCCCTCTATGCTGGGTGCCTTTGGGCAGCGCCCCCCTTTTCTTTTTTTTGAGACGGAGTCTTGCTCTGTCGCCAGGCTGGAGTGCAGTGGCGTGCACTGCAACCTCCACCTCCCAGGTTGAAGTGATTCTCCTGCCTCAGCCTTCCGAGTAGTTGAGACTACAGGCCCCCGCCACCACGCCCGGCTAATTTTTGTATTTTTAGTAGAGACGGGGTTTCACCATGTTGCCCAAGATGGTCTCGATTTCTTGACCTCGTGATCCGCCCACCTTGGCCTCTCAAAGTGCCGGGATTACAGGTGTGAGCCACCGCGCCTGGCCGGGCATCGCCTTAACTGCCTAGTTTCAGTTTCCTCCTTGGTGAAGTAGGAGTCCAGGTGCCACCTCATTGACTTATTGTGAAGATTAAATACTTCAGGATATATGAAAGTTCTTGGAACCTAGGCATTCCACAAATGTCTATTTAATTTTATTTGTAAAAAACGTTCCATTGGTATTAGCAGTTTGTGTGTTTGCCAAAGTGTTATGTCTCACGACATTTGATTCTTCTACCCGGGGAAAGTGGAAGGTAAGGGAGTTCATTTTACTAGCAGGGAACTGAGACTCAAAGAGGTTAAGTGACTTCTTCAAGCTACAGTGGTTACTCATGAAAGCGTCTGCCCAAGTAGATCCTCTTTCCTATGCACCATTTTGCCTCCTCTTCCAAAACTTTCGCATGGGGTAGAGGGGGTCGCTTTTCTTCCAAATGGTTTCTTGAGAGGATTACATTTGTTTTAGGCATTCTGCTGTCGTTTGAAATTTATTGTACTCCAATTGAGAGGTATGTTCAAAGGATTTTCTAGTCCATTGAACCTGTGCAGGCCATAAAGTAAACAAAATAAGCATTCTTTATTACTGGCCCAGGACAGACATATACATGCTCTTGATTGTTTTAAAGTTGACAATCAAGACTGGTCACTGTGCTGGCCCAATAGAATTCTCTGTTGAAGAAAGATGAAAGAGACACCTACTCAGGCTATAGAAGGTGCCAAATGTGTCAGAAAGTTAAGAAATTGACTGTCTTGAAAGTTTAGAAGTCCAGCTGGGCACCGTGGCTCCCCCTTGTAATCCCAGCATTTTGGGAGGCTGAGGCAGGCGGATCGCTTGAGCTCAGGAGTTCGAGACCAGCCTGGGCAACACGGTGAGACCCGGTCTCTACTAAAAATACAAATATTAGCAGGGCGTGGTGGCTTGCACCTATAGTCCCAGCTACTCAGAAGGCTGAGGTGGGACGACTGCTTGAGCCCAGGAGGCAGAGATTGCAGTGAGCTGAGATCATACCACTGCACTCTAGCCTGGGCAATGGAGTGAGACCCTGTCTCAAAAAAAAAAAAAAAAGATTTAGAAGTCCCCCAACCAGTTTATATAAGACGGTTCACACAACAGTATCTCAACATGATAAAAAGGAGTCATTAAAAAAAACTTTTAGTTGCATTACACATAAAGGGCTCAAATCATGTTTATAGCGCAATTAATTTTTACATGTGTATACATCTATGCAACTGCCACCTAGATAAAGCTGTAGGACATTTTCAGCATCTCAGAGGGTTCTCTTGTGCCTCCTCCCCACTCCTGGTAATCCTTATTCTGACTTCTATTACCAGAGATTAGTTTTGTCTGTTCTTAAACTTTACATAAATTGAGTCATATGGTATGAATTATTTGTGTCTGGGTTCTTTCACTCAACATTATGTCTGTCAGATGCATCTATATTATTGCATATAGCAGTAGTTTGTAAAGACACATGTTTTTAAATTAAAAAATTAAAACATTGCCAGCAATTTTCAGGAGGAAGTCATTGGATGTGGACAACCTCATGGGATGAATCTTTTTTTTTTTTTTTTGAGACGGAGTCTCGCTCTGTCACCCAGACTGGAGTGCAGTGGCATGATCTCGGCTCACTGCAGGATCTGCCTCCTGGGGTCATGCCATTCTATGGGATGAATCTTTAACTAAGCTTTTGAAAGAAAGGATGGGAATTTGATAGTCATATTTGGAAGAACCCAGGAGGGCAGGAATGTGGATAAGAAATCAAGGAGGTGGCCGGGTATGGTGGCTCATGCCTATAATCCCAGCACTTTGAGAGGCCGAGGTGGGCAGATCGCTTGAGGCCAAGAAATCAAGACCAGCCTGGCCAACATGACAAAACCTTGTTTCTACTAAAATACAAAAATTAGCTGGGCATGGTGGCACACACCTGTAGTCCCAGCTTCTTGGGAGGCTGAGGCATGAGGATGGCTTGAACCCAGGAGGCAGAGGTTGCAGTGAGCCAAGATCACACCACTGTACTGTAGCCTGGGTGACAGAGCAATACTCTGTCTCAAAAAAAAAAAAAAACCCAAACAAAAAAAACAAATCAAGGAGGGGTACTTGGCCAAGTAGATGTAGATAAGGAATATGAAAGGAAGAGAGGTAGAATGATAAGGAGGTGGGTGCATGTGGGCTGATGATGTCACTGCTGGTAGTATGTCTAGCCTGCATAGCTCCTTCTCCCCTGGAGTCCGTATTGGTGAGTCCTTACTGGTAAATATTCATGTGAAATCCTGTTGCCACTTGTCCCTGGTTCTGGAAGATGACTAGAGTTGCTATACGTTGTAGTCGGTGAGCCATGCAGAACCATACATGTTGAGAGTGATGGCAGCTTTCCTAAAAGGCTGGCAGAGCCCAGTACATAAAGCTCCAGTGGGCAATGCCACCTTTCTTATGTGGGCCTAGTTGATAGAGATGTTGGAAAGAGAACATTCAGTCCTGTGTTCTCTAGAACTACTTGCTGAGGCCATTAAATGCCACCCTCTCCCCAGGAATGACAGTGAGAAGCAAAGATTACTCTACAGCTCCACAAAGATTTTTCATAACAACTGTCCCTGAAAAGTAGTATTGAATATATGATGAGCTCGTTATTTAATGGCTGATTCATTTGAACCATCCACTTATAAATTAGTCTTTTCCGTAATTGGTATATTTAACAAAATGGGAATTTACTTAAAGATTGTGTGTTTGCACACATGGGGTGTTATATCTATTGCCATTTATTTATTCATTTAACATTAAATTCCATGGGCTGCTTTGGAAGATTTCTGCTCAGGTACCTCCTGTTCAAACTTCTTAAGATAATTTATCACCTAGTTATAATTGAAATGGAATCAAGTCTTTTATAATTTTGAATCACATTCATCTCTAGCATCTAATTGTGCATGTGGTTACCTGCTGCTTTGCACACTTTTCTCTGCCATGTATCTCTGTATCTTGTTCTCAAAGCCTCATTCCAGTCTGTTCTTAAATGCCAGCTTCTCAGAGAAGCCTTCCTGACTCTCCGGTCTAAAGTAGCAGCACCCCATCTATCACTCTATAATCTTATCTTGTTTTGTTTTCCTTTACTGCACTTCTTAATATTTGGAAATTATGTTTTAAAAAATGATTTCCTATCTGTTTTCCTTATGACAATAGAAGCTCCATGAAGCGGAGATTTGGGTTCATGGAGCCCATAAGGCCTCAGCCCATAGGAGAAACAGACAAGTTGTACTGGGGATTAAATTCCATTAAATTTTCCATTAAATTCATATCTCGGGTGGATCATACCTTGCACATAGTAGGCACTTGATAAATATTTGTTGAATAAATTGGTAATTTGATATTCACAGGCTTTGTGAGATTGGTGGAAAGGAAACTGTATTGTAAAGATGGCCAGGCATGGTGGCTCATGCCTGTAATCCCAGCACTTTAGGAGGCTGAGTTGGTGATCCAGCCTAGGCTACGGAGAGAGACCCCATCTCTTAAAAAAAAGAAAAAAAAAAAAGAGAGAAAAAGAGGCCGGGCACGGTGGCTCATGCCTGTAATCCCAGCACTTTAGGAGGCTGAGGTGGTCACATCACCTGAGGTCGGGAGTTTGAGACCAGGCTGGCCAACATGGTGAAACCCCATGTCTACTAAAAAAACAAAAAGACGAAAATTAGCCAGGTGTGGTGGCAGGTGCCTGTAATCCCAGCTATTCGGGAGGCTGAGGCAGGAGAATCACTTGAACCCAGGAGGCGGAGGTTGCGGTGAGCTGAGATTGCGCCACTGCACTCCAGCCTGGGCGACAAGAGCTAGACTCCGTCTTCAAAAAAGAAAGATGAGGAAACTAAGGTGCAGGGAGGTTTAGTAGCTAGCTTTGTGGTCTGCAGCAGGGCAGCCTCCAGCTGGAGCTGGAACAACACTTACTCATAGTTAAGTGTGTTTCCCCTTGGTTCATGGCAGACTTGATGACAAGCAACAGTTATCTTATGGCCTGAACGTCTCCTACAAATCAAGCAAAGAGGAATCACCTATATTTTAATCCTCTCCAACCACTGTTTCCTCTTCTGCAAGTTACAATTAAATTCTTAAGGCCAGGAATGTGGCTCACGCCTGTAATCCCAGGTGTGGGATCCTACTTTTGGGTGGCCAAGGTGGGCAGATTGCTTGAGCTCAAGGGTTTGAGACCAGCCTGGGCAACATAATGAGACCCCATCTCTATAAAAATACAAAAATTAGCTGGGCATGGTGGCACATGTCTGTAGTCCTAGCTACTCAGGAGGCTGAAGCAGGAGGATCACTTGAGTCCAGGAGGTCGAGGCTGTGGTGAGCCGTGAGTGTGCTGCTGCACTGTAGTTTGGGTGACAGAGTGAGACCCTGTCTCAAAAAACAAGACAAAACAAAAAAACTCAGGAAGGTATATGAGTGTTATGAGATCAGTGAGTTAAAAGCTACAAAGTGAGACAAAGTTTTAGCATATATTCTAGAAGTCTGTATTATATTAGTAAACTTAAAAATCAATTGTATATGAAGGCATTCTTTAAACTACTATTTATATTTTTTGTTACTTTGTGGCCCACTTTAAAGTCTACAATAGACTTTCTTTAATTGTTCCTTTACCATTTAGGCTTATTTTTTATTTATTTTTATTTTATTTTATTTTTTTGAGATGGAGTCTCACTCTGTAGCCCAGGCTGGAGTGCAGTGGCATGATCTCAGCTCACCGCGACTTCCATCTCCAGGTTCAAGTGATTCTCCTGCCTCAGTCTCCCAAGTAGCTGAGATTACAGGCATGTACCACCACACCGAGCTAATTTTTGTATTTTTAGTAGAGATGGGGTCTCGCCATGTTGGCAAGGCTGGTCTCAAACTCCTGACCTCAAGTGATCCATCCTCCTCGGCCTCCCAAAGTGCTGGGATTACAGGCATGAGCCATTGTGTCCGGCTTTAGACTTATTTTTTTTTGTTTTTGTTTTTTGTTTTTTTGTTTTTTTTTTGAGACGGTGTCTCGCTCTGTCACCTAGGCTGCAGTGCAGTGGCGCGATCTTGGCTCACTGCAATCTCCGCCTCCTGGGTTCAAGCAATTCTCTGCCTCAGCCTCCTGAGTAGCTGGGATTACAGGGGTCTGCCACCATACGCAGCTAATTTTTGTATCTTTAGTAGAGACGGGGTTTTACCATCTTGGCCAGGCTGGTCTTGAATTCCTGACCTCGTGATCCACCCTCATCGGCCTTCCAAAGTGCTGGGATTGATTACAGATGTGAAGGAGATGGATGCATTTATTTTGGAAAAAAGTGTGAATAATGTCTCTAATGGTCCACTTGGAACAATACATCACCTAATATCAGGAGGAGGTTTAGGGTAATCTTGTCAGTAACCTCAGGGCAAGTTGTATGGGGTTGCTTCCATTAAATTCCATGCCATCCTAATCAGTCCCCATGCGTTGTGTACTCTTGGCTTGTGCAGCTTTTTGCGAGGTTTGTGTGGTATGCAGGAGGTTCCAGAAGTACAAGGATGAGACCTGAGTAATATCATAGTGATTGATGGTGGCAGTGCCAATTTGCATCAGCTCTGACAAGCTGGTGTTGAAACTAGATGGCAGAATGCCAAAGATGCCAAGGTCAGCATACTTTGAAATAATGAAGTGAGTCATGTAACCCAGGATTGGCACATACTCACAGGACTACCTGACTCATCCCACCTCGAAAGGAACACATCTGTGAGCACCGGTTAGGGGCCTGTGGCCACTTCTCTGCTACATGTGCAAAAGGAAGCAAAAGCCACAAGGAGCCCTTTTCTTGTTGAGGAGACAGATATTAAGTGAAAGAAAAATTAAAATGAATAATCAAGCATGAAGTCAATGCAGAGAGAAACCATTGTGAGCCAGGGGGAGGTGAAAGGGTGGGAGAGAGACCCAGCCCAGATAGAGGGAACAGAGTAAAACCAAGCAGAGAAGCAAAACTGTTGTGAGCCAGACGTGAGAGTAGTTTAGAACATGGACCTGGGCACCAGACTGCCTGGGTTTGAACCCTGATGTGTGACTATGGGGAGGTTACTTATGCTTTACAAGCCTCAGATTTCGCAGCTGTAATGTGGAGACAGTGATATATGTCAACTTTTTCCGTTTACTCAACAAATTGTTATTTAATGTGCCAGGTGTTGATTTAGATGCTGGTGATACAGTGACAGATGGGTCCTTATTCTTGCAGAGCTTGCTTTCTGGTAGCAGAAGCAGACAATAAGCCAGAAAATAACAGAAAGTGGTAAGTGCCTCGCAGAGAATGAAAACAGAGAATTAAATGAGAATGCCTGGGGAATTCCTCTAGATACATGCCCAGGAAATCCTTCTGCAGAAGGGACACGGACCGAGGCCTGCATGATAAGAAGTGAGGAAGAGGGTGCCGTGCAAAGACTCTGGGGCCAGAAGTGGCTTGTCGTGTGTGAGGCCTGTCAGGAGACCTGTGTGGCTAGATGGAGGTGGGTGGGGTGGGGGGTATGAGTGTAGGAGATTAGGTGGAAGGGATAAATGGGGGCCAGATTGCCAACATATAATTTTTACACAGTGATGTCAAGATCTTTAGTTCTGATACGTTTCAACAAATACGTATCAAGACAGAACTTTTCCATCCCCCTAGAAAATTTCTGCCTGCTCCTTGCCATTCAAGTCTCTCTCCCTTGGAAGCAAGCACTGATCTGATTTGTGTCACTTTAAGTTAATTTAGCTATTTTTCATATAAATGTTACCACATAGTACATACTGTTCTTTCACTCAGTATATTTTTGAGATTAATCCGTGGTGTTGGATGCATTGGTAGTTAATTTCTATTTATTGCTGAGGAGTATTCTGCTGTATGGACGTACTAGTTTGTTTATCTGTTGACTTGTTATGGACATCTGGGCTGTTTCCAGTGAATTCAAATTAGATTTCCGGTTTGAAGTGACCCCTCTGGCTGCTCTGAGAAGAATAAAGTATATGAGAGAAACAGTAGATAAAGAGGGCCAGTTGGAAGTTATTATAGTCTAGGTATGAGTAGATGGTGTCTTGGGCTAGGGTAGCAGGAATGGAGGGGTGAGAATTAGTTTGGGCTATATTGTAAGGGTAGAGGCAACAGGACTTAATTTGTTACAAGGGAGGTGGTGATGAAAAGACAGAAATGAAGGATAATGTCCAGGTTTTTGGCCTGAGCAACTGAATGGATGGTAGTTCCATTTACCAAGATAGAGAATACCATAGGAGAAGCAGGTTTGGGTAAGAATAAAGAGTTCTTTGTTGGAGGTGATACATTAGATATGTCTGTTAATAGACAAATGCTATTTTGAGGATAAAATGAAATAATGTATTTAGTAACTTGGTATAGAATCTGGGACATTCTGAATGCCTCATAGATGTCAGTTACTGTTACAATTAAAACAATGCTAAATAATAATTATTGTTTTTAATAAAGAGGCTAACCAACTTGGAGGAAAAGAGAAATATGGTCAAAGAGAAACTGGGACATAGGGTCTGCTAGGTTAGGAAGAAATGAGTTGATAGAAGGTCTTGAATTTCAGGTAGAAAATTTTGGACTGAATCCATTTGATAATAGTGTCCTTGCCTTTTAAGAAGGAGGAGGCACAAGGTATTTTAGAATGCCACAGAGGAGTTCTAGGTTTTGATGTTGGCTTCTTGTTCTTTGCCAGCTGAGTGAACTCAGGCAAGCCACACCCCTTCTCTAAGCATTGAATTACTTGTCCTACAGGGTTGTTGGGAGGGGAACATAACATGATTTGGACTGCAATTGCCTTGGAAAGTAGTAAACACAAATGCTTGACGTTCTTAAGTGGCATTTTAGAGTACAGTGATGTGAGCTGGTATTAGGAGGAAGGTTGGGAGTGGGAATGTATTGGAAGAGGGGAGGAAGTATTTCTTCTAGTTGGCTGATAAGGGCCTGAACTGGGGCCCTGGCAATGAGAATGGAGAAGGTATAGATCTGACAGAGTTTGAAAGAAGAATCAGGTGGCCTGGATGAGGGCATTGAGTGCAGATTAACCTTAGGAGCTGGGAGAAGGACAGTGCCAACAAAGGGAATAGGGTAGTTGAAAAGGGAGTATTGGGATGGAGGGCAAGCCTTTTTGTAAAACTGACTGGGCAGAAATGCTGGATGTAAGCAGTTAGAAATGAGGGCTGGAAGTTCTGCTTTACAGGTTGGGCTGGTTATGTGGATGTGAGAGTCATCATCTCAGATAATGACTGATACCATGAGAACGTGAGCTGTCCAAGGAAACAACGTATAAGGCACTACTTATTTTGCTCATCCTGGTTGATTTGGTGCCAAAACAACAGGCGGAAGGGTGAAAAATTCTATTAGTCAGCTGGTTGTCTGAACTGCTCAATGTTAGCCAAGCAGTTTGACAGATCTTTCCACTGTGTCGAAGTCTGAGCTGACTGCTCTGGCATTTTGACAGATAATTTCTGATAAATTCTGTGTGTGTGTATTAAATGGAAAGAAATTGTCTTGGATTTAGCATTCCAGGGTACTAGTTTCTAGGCCCCAGTGTCACCCAGGACCTCCTGAGGCCTTTTCAGGGGTAATGCATGCTTAGGTTTGCTCCTGGAGAGGTCACTCGGATGTAATGAAGGGTCTGGCCAACCCCTAGGCTATTTGGTAACAACTGGAGCCATTCCAGCATCTTCAGAGAGCCTGCCAAGGGGGTTCCAGACCTTTCAGTCAGCGGGACCTAATTATAATATTTAGCAAAGGGAGGGCAGTTTCTTATTCAACTCCAGCATAAACACAAGGATTTCTTCCAGACAGGGATGTCATGAAGATTTTCTGTTGATTTGATTTTGGAGTAACCATGGAGAGCATAGATGAGAAGAATTTGAATGAGGTGTTTATTTATACCTGGGTTGTTTTGTCTTGGGTCATTTCCTCATGATATGCTTTCCACTCTCTTTCTGTAGCCTTGACCACTCTTTAATATTTGTTTTTTTGATTCCTTGTGGCTTCACAGACCAAAATGGCACTCATAAATTAAGGTATTCAGCCAGGTGCGGTGGCTCACGCCTGTAATCTCAGCACTTTGGGAGGCCACGGCAGGCAGATCACCTGAGGTCAGGAGTTCAAGACCAGCCTGGCCAACATGGTGAAACCCCGTCTCTATTAAAAATACAAAAATTAGCTGGGTGTGTTGGTGGGCAATAATCTCAGCTACTCGGGAGGCTGAGGCAGGAGAATTGCTTGAACCTGGGAGGCGGACATTGCAGTGAGCCGAGATTGCGCCACTGCACCGTAGCCTGGGCAACGAGCGAGACTCTGTCTCAAAAAAAAAAAAAAAAAAAAAAGGTTTTCAGAGATGCTTCTGATAGTGAATTACCTCACTAGTTATCTTTTCTCTCTTACAATTCTATTTCTATCTCAATCCCAGGCAGTTTTGTTCTCCTGAGGGAACCCTGATCCCCACCCTGTATACTTTCCTCTTTTCACTTGTGTCAGATTTTTAAAGTTCCCATAGTTTAAAAATCCCAGCTTGAAGTCATAGCATTATGGTATCTTCTGCTGGCCTTCCATGTACAACTGTGTGAACTGGAAGGATTGTCACACAGTGGAGGAAGAAAAAGGGCTTGTGTCCCAGGGAAGGATTACTGAACCATTTAATCTGTATATGAAAAGCTAAAGTTAATTCAGGGAGAAGAGAAAGGTGTTGCTGAAGTCAAACCATCTTTATCTCTTCAAATCTTGGCTACTCAAAGAGTGGTCTTCACCCAGGAACTTTTAGAAATGTAGAATCTCAGGTTCCACCCGACACCCACTGAATCTTAATCTTCATTTTGATGAGATCTCCAGGTGATTCCTGAGTAGATTGGAGTTTGAGAAGCACTACTCCTAATTACATCAGCATAATTCAAACTGCTCATTTCCAAAGAGAAAACTTCTGGCAATCCCAGCTGCTTACAGTGGACTCCAGGTGTTGTTTTTTAAAAATATTATTAAAATATCTTGCTGGGCATGTGGCTCACACCTGTAATCCCAGCACTTTGGGAGGCTGAGGTGGGCAGATCACTTGAGGTCGGGAGTTCGAGACCAGCCTGGCCAACATGGTGAAACCCCGTCTCTACTAAAAATACAAAAATTAGCCAGGCGTGGTGGCATGCGTCTAGTAGTCCCAGCTACTCGGGAGGCTGAGGCAGGAGAATCGCTTGAACCTGGGAGGCGGAGGTTGCAGTGAGCTGAGATCATCATGCCACTGTACTCCAGCCTGGGCGACAGAGACTCTGTCTCAAAAAAAAAAAAAAAAAAAAAAAGGCCAGGCGTGGTGCCTCACGCTTGTAATCCCAGCACTTTGGGAGGCCGAGGCAGGTGGATCACGAGGTCAGGAGATCGAGACCACGGTGAAACCCCACCTCTACTACAAATACAAAAAATTAGCCAGGTGTGGTGGCGGGCGCCTGTAGTCCCAGCTACTTGGGAGGCTGAGGCAGGAGAATGGCGTGAACCTGGGAGGTGGAGCTTGCGGTGAGCCGAGATCGTACCACTGCATTCCAGCCTGGGCGACTGAGCGAGACTCCATCTCAAAACAAAAACAAAAACAAAAAAAACTTTACTGAGTTATGATTTAGGTACCATAATATTCTCTAGTTTTAAGTGTACAATTCAATGATTTTTAAGAAATTGACAAGTTGTACAATCATCACCACAATCTACCTTTTAGAAGATTTCCATCACCTCCAAAGGATCCTTGGGTCCATTTACAGTTAACCCTGTTCCTACCCCCCACCCCAGATGACCACTAATCTTTCTGTCTCTATAAATTTGCCTTTTCTGGATGGTCATGTAAATGGAAGTATACAGTATGTGGCCTTTTATGATGGGCTTCTTATGCCGAGTGTAATGTGTTTGAGATACATCCATGTTGTAGCATATGTCAGCACTTCTTTATCTTTCATTGCAAGTAATAATCCGTTATATGACTAGAACACATTTTGCTTATGCGTTAACTAGTTGATGGGCATTTAGATTATTTCTGCCTTTTGGCTATCATGAATAATGTTGCTGAGGCATCTGCATGCAAGTCTTAGTATGGATATATTTCTGTTTCTCTTGGGTAGATACTTAGTGGATTTGCTGGGTCATGTGGTAAATTTATGTTTAACTTTTTGAAAAAATTGTTGTTTCTTAAAAAACTGTGGGCTGGGCATGGTGGCTCACGCCTGTAGTCCCAGTACTTTGGGAGGCCAAGGCGGGCGGATCACCTGAGGTCGGGAGTCTGAGACCAACCTGACCAACAGGGAGAAACCCTGTCTCTACTAAAAATACAAAATTAGCTGGGCATGGTGGTGCATGCCTGTAATCCCAGCTACTGGGGAGGCTGAGGCAGGAGAATCTCTTAAACCCAGGAGGCGGAGGTTGCAGTGAGCTGAGATCACGCCATTGCACTCCAGCCTGGGCAACAAGAGAGAAACTCTGTCTAAAAACAAACAAACAAACACACAAACAACAAACTGTGGTAATGCTGGGCATGGTAGCTCATGGCCTGTAATCTTAGTACTTTGGGAGGCTGAGGTGGGAAGATCCCTTGAGTCCAGGAGTTTGAGACCAGCGTGAGTAACATAGTAAGACCCTGTCTCTACCAAAAAATAAAAATAAAAAATAAAATAAAATAAATTATCCAGGTGTAGAGGTACATGCCTGTGGTCCTGTCTACTCAGGAGGCTGAAGTTGGAGGATTGCTTGAACCCAGGAGGTTGAGGTTGTAATAAACCATGATCATGCCACTGCACTCCTGGGCAACAGAGTGAGACCCTGTCTCAAAACAACAACAACAACAACAACAACAAAACTGTGGTAAAATATAGATGATCTAAAGTTTACCATCTGAACTATTTTTAAGTGTCTAGTTCATTGGTATTAAGAAATTCACATTATTGTGCAATCATCACCACCATTCATCCACAGAACACTTTTCAGCTTGCAAAACTGAAACTCTGTGTTCATTAAACAGTAACTCCCTCTTCCTTCCTCCAACCCCTCGGCAACCACCATTCCTATCTCTATGAATTTGGCTACCATAGACACCTTATCTAAGTGGAATCATACAGTATTTGTCATTTTGTGACTATTTTACTTAGCATAACATTCTCAAGTTTCATTCAGGTTGTGGCATGTGTCAGAGTTGCCTTTCTTTTTAAGGTTATATAATAGCCCTTTGAATGTATATACTACGTTTTACTTATTTATTCATCTCTTAAGGGATGCTGGGGTTGCTTGGACCTTCTTGCTGTTGTGCTTAATAATGATACTAGGACATGGGTGTCCAAATATTTCTTTGACTTCCTACTTTCAATTCTTTTGGGTATATACCCAGAAGTGGAATTGCTGCGTCATATAGTAATTCCATTTCTAATATTTTGAGGAACTGTCATACTGTTTTCCATAGCAGCCATACCATTTTACGTCTTCAGCAGGAATATTCAAGGTTTCCAGTTTCTCTACATCCTCTCCAACACTGTTTTCTGTTTCTTTTGTAGTAGCCATGCTAATGGGAGTGAGGTGGTATTTCATTGTAGTTTTAATTTGTATTTTCATACGTATATATGAAAAAATAATATATATGAAAAAATATATTATACATAAAAATATATAATTTATAATACATAAAATATATTATATATTATATATTATACATAAAGTATATAATATATAATATACATAAAATATATATAATATACATAAAATATATAATATATTTGTATAAAATATGTATTATATATTATATATAAAATATGTATTATATATCATATATAAAACATAATATATATTATATATAAAACATAATATATATTATATATAAAACATATAATATATAAAACATATAATATATATTATATATAAAACATAATATATATTATATATAAAACATATAATATATATTATATATAAAACATATAATATATATTATATATAAAACATATAATATATATTATATAAAACATATATATATAAAATATATAATATATAAAAATATATAATATATAATATATATAATATATAATATATAAAATATATATATTTTATATAAAATATATTATATATAAAAATATATATAAAATATATAATATATAAAATATGATATATAATATATAATATATAAAATATAATATATAATATATAAAATATAATATATATAAAATATTTATTATGTATAAAATATAATATATAATATATTTTATATATAATTTATAATATATTATATATAACATAATAAATTATATATTATATATTATATATTATTATATATAATATATAATATATAGAAATTATATATATTTTATTTTATATATATATATATTAGAGGTAGTTTTGCTCTGTCACCCAGGCTGGAGTGCAGTGGCATGATCTCGGCTCATTGTAACGTCTGCCTCCTGGGTTCAAGCGATTCTCTTGCCTCAGCTTCCCGAGTAGCTGGGATTACAGGCATGCGCCGCCACGCCCAGCCAATTTTTGTGTTTTTAGTAGAGACGGGGTTTCGCCTTGTTTGCCAGACTGGTCTTGCATTCCTGAGCTCAGGTGATCCACCTGCCTCAGCCTCTCAAAGTATTGGGATTACAGGCGTGAGTCACCGTGCCTGGCCCATTTTCATAATTATTAATGATGTTGAGCATCTTTTCATGTGTTTATTGACCATTTGTATATTTTCTTTGGAGAAGTGTCTGCTCAAGTCCTTTGCCCATTGTAAAATTTCGTTGTTGTTGTTGTTGTTGAGTTGTAGGCATTCTTTATATATTTTGGATATTAACCTGTTATCAAATATATGGTTTGCAAATATTTTCTCCCATTCTCTGGGTTGCCTTTTCACTCTGTTGTGTATGTCTTTTGGTGCACAGAAATTTAAAGTTTTTCCTAATTCCAGTTTATCTGTTTTTCTTTTGTTGCCTGTGTTTTTGTTATTTATTTTTAGACAGTATCTTGCTCTGTTTCCCAGGCTGGAGTACAGTGGCACAGTCATGGCCCATTGCTGCCTCGAATTCCTAGGCTCAAGGGATCTGCCTGCCTCAGCCTTCTGAGTGGCTGTGACTGCAGGCGTGCACCACTATGTCCAGCTAATTTTTAAAATTTTTGTAGAGATGGAGTCTTGTTTGTTGCTCAGGCTGGTCTTGAACTCCTGACCTTCCCAGCGTGCTGGGATTATACACCTGAGCCACCACACCTGGCCGCCTGTGCTTTTGGTATTATATCCAAGACACCATTGCCTGATCTAGTATCATGAAGATTTTTTCTGTATTTTCTTTTAAGAGATTCTTTCTTTCTTTCTTTTTTTTTCTTTTGAGATGGGGTCTCGCCCTGTTGCTCAGGCTGGAGTGCAGTGGTGCGATCTCACCTCACAGCAACTTCTGAGTAGGCCTCTTTTTTTTTTTTTTTTTTTTTTTTTTTTTTGAGATGGTTGCTCTGTTGCCCAGGCTGGAATGTAGTGGCACAATCTCAGCTCACTGCAACCTCTGCCTCCCAGGTTCAAGCAATTCTCCTGCCTCAGCCTCCCAAGTAGCTGGGATTACAGACGTGAGCCACCATGCCCGGTTAATTTTTGTATTTTTAGTAGTGACAGGGTTTCACCATGTTGGCCAGGCTGGTCTTGAACTCCTGACCTCGTGATCCAACTGCTTCGGCCTCCCCAAGTGCTGGGATTACAGACGTGAGCCACCACGCCCGGCCGAGATTCACAATTTTATGTTGAAGTCTTTCATCTATTTTGAGTTCATTTGTGTGTGTGTTATTAGCTAAGGGTCCAGCTTCATTCTTGTGCACACAGATACCTAGTTTTTCCAGCACCATTTATTGAAAAGACTGTCCTTTCTCTATTGAATGGTCTTGGCACACTTGTCAAAATCATTTGACCATTATCTGTGAGGGTTTATTTCTGGGCTATCTATTCTGTTCCATTAGTATATAAGAAGCTAGCAAACTGTTTTCCAAGGTGGTTGTACCTTGTTACATCCCACAAACACTGTATGAGGATTCCAATTTTTCACATGCCTGATAATTTGTTATTGTCAGCTCCTTTTGAAAAAAGAACTTATTTTGTGTTTAATTGACACCTAATAATTATACATATTGATGGGGGCATAGTGTGGTGTTTTGAAACATGTATACATTGTGTAATGGCCAAATCAGTGTAATTAGCATGTTCATCACCTCAATCACTTGTCATTTCTTTGTGATGAGAACATTCAAAATCCTCTCTTGTAGCTATTTTGTAATATGCAATATATTATTGTTAACTATAGTCACTCTGCTGTGCGATAGAACACCAGAATTTACTCCTCCTATCTATATTTGGTTAGAGAGATCTTATTGGGTGAGAAGTTACGGTTTTGATCCTTGACATTTAAACATTATGACTTTGTCCAGCATGGAGCAGAGAGGTAGTGAATAAGAGTGAGTCCTTCCTCTCTCACAACCACAGTGCCAGTTACCTGCCTGGACACATTTTGTGCATCTGCAGGGTAGAATGAGTAACCCCAGGCAAGTCTCTTATCACCTAGAGCCTCAGCTTTCTCTTTTAATAATGGCAATAATTCATACTTTACTTACATCGAGTGAGATAAGAGTACATGTACATTTTTAATTTTGGGTGCTAAATAAATGTTGGATCAGTTATACTGAATAAATTTTCCATCAACGTGTTCTTGCTGTGGGACATCCTTGACACTAATTTAAGTTTTCCAACAAATGCGACTTTCCAATATTTTAAGCATGACAGAATTTTGCTAGACAGCTGGCTGTCTTTCTCCTGTTCCTCTGGATGCCACTCAAATATCTTCACACCCATCTCACTCATTAACACTGCGTGAACTGTGAGCTCTCCACCCCTTGTCTGTCTGTAATCTGGGTTGTGACTACTTGTTTATCCAGTTTATCTTCTTTCTCATCATCCATCCTGGTTTCTGCATACTATAACAACATCGGTTGCATACTATTGACCTCTAACCCTGGATCCTGTTGGGATGAAAACATTATCCCAGTCCTGTTGAAAGTAGTGCAGTGGCCTTTTCTTCTTTCTTGGTTCTGCAATGTCTGCAGAGATGTGCTCTTGGGGGGATGAAGTCATCTGGGTAGCTTTCCCCTCCCTGTGCCCAGGTTGCTAGCTGCTACAGTAATTGGCTTGGCAGTGCACTCCCTAAAAGGTTGTCCTTCAGCTGGTACTTCATTAAAGCTGCAAGGCCAACTCCCTTGGGAGTTCCCTTAGACAGCAGCTGTCATGCCTAATTAAGGAGAGACATGGGAAAGGTGTTTTGAAAGGAGACCTCTTATCTCGAAGAACAGTGGCCAGGCCTGAACATTGGAATGGGGAGATGAAGGCCAAAGTGGAGGGCATGGTAGCAGCAGCTCAGAAAACTTGGCAGAAAATGCTTTGCTGGCAGTCAAGGATAAGAGCATTGACTGTTTTTTAAAGGACACAGTATGTCCTTTTTAGCAAATCAAGTAACGAGTCCCATATATATTAAAAATTTTGTACACTTAGGTTGTTAGGTGTCCCATGGAGCATGCACACATGCAAGAACCAATTTTCATATCCTGCAAAAAATACTGAAACAAGTAAGGAAAACTCAAGGGATTCTCATATATATCAATAGGGTATAACTTTAAAGAGTTAGGACCACTTAGGGATGCTGAGACTATTCTATGCTTAAACTGTTAGGGTCCATAGTGAAGACCTGGGGCTTGGGGGTGGAGTCCCTTTATAGTCTAGTGCACCAATATCCAATAGTAATATGGAGGCCGCATGTATTATTTAACATTTTCTAGTAGTCCTGTGTATTAGTTTCTTAGGCCTGTCATAACAAATAACCACAAAATATGTGGCTTAAAACAACAAATACAGTTTTTTTTTTATTCACAGTTTTGGAGGCTAGAAGTCTGAGATCAAGATGTCATCTGGGCCACACTCCTTTTGAAGGCTGTAGGGAAGAATCTTTCCTTGCCTCTTCCTAGCATCTGGTGGTGCTTGGCAATCCTTGGCATTCTTTGGCTTATAGTGAGACCCTGGTCTGTCTCATAGTGAGATCCAGCCTCTGCTTCTATCTTCACTTGGCCTTCTTTACTGTTTGTCTGTGTCTGTCTCCAAATCTCCTTCTTCTTTCTCTTAGGAAAACGCCAGTCATTGGTTTTAGGGCTTAGGATAATTTCATCTGCATGTCCTTAACTGATCACATCTGCAATGAACCTATTTCCAAATATGGCCCCATTTTGAGGTTCCAGGGGAACATGAACTTTATTTATTATTATTATTTGAGACAGTCTCACTCTGTCACCTAGCTGGAGTGCAGTGGTGCCATCTCAGCTTACTGCAACTTTGGCCTCCTGGGTTCAAGCAATTCTCCTGCCTCAGCTTCCCGAGTAGCTGGGATTACAGGCATGTGTCACTATGCCTGGCTAATTTTTGTGTTTTTATTAGAGACAGGGTTTCACCATGTTGGCCAGGCTGGTCTCGAACTCCTGACCTCATGTGTGATCCTCCCACCTCGGCATCCCAAAGTGCTGGGATTACAGGCATGAGCCACCGCACCTGGCTGGGACATGAACTTTAGGGCACACACTATTTAACCCACTGCACCGCATTAAAAAAAAAAAATCAGAAAAGCCAAAAATTTAATTTTATTAATTCTAATTTTTACTTTAACTGAATATTTCAAAATATTATTATAATATGTAATCAATATAAAATAATTCTTAATGTGATATTTTAACATTTTTTAATACGAAGTCTTTGAAATTCAGGGTGTATTTTCAAACACTCATAACACATCTCAATTTTTATTGCCAATTTTTAAAGACTCCGTATTCGCTTGTGGCTGGCTGCCACATCTTGGACAGCACAGTTGGAGTGCTGCGGGGCTGACAAAACTTTTATGCTTCTCAGTGTTTCACCCCATGTTGTCTCCCTCTCTTCATTCCTCTTAGTTTTCAGGGAATTTTAATTTGTTTGGGAAGTCTCAGTCATTATGAACAAAAGAAATAAAAATATACTTTGTACTGGGATCCCAAGACTCAGTGGAGGAAGTAAAATCAGCCAGTTTTGAAAGAAAAGATCTTTATTCAGTTACATTTTTAAGCATCAGTGTTTATTGTATGGTAGAATTCATTAAGCACTCTATCACAAGTGGTTTCAACACGTGCGGTTAATATTCAAGATGTAACTTTTTTTTTTTATTGAGTAGGGGAAATATAAGACCTTATTATTACAGATCTCCCTGCCATGAGATTTGTGACTCACCCATTTATGAGCCCCCAGTGAACACAGCCATTATTCTCTGTCATGTTAAGACAAGAAGGGGCATAAATAAACTTTTTTTCTGGGCTGACTGAACTTAGTCTGTTGCAACAATGAAGTTAAGATCTATATCTCTAAAACTCTGTGTTGTCTTCTCCAAGAATTTAAAGCTTGTTACTTGTTAGCATGCATCTCAGGGCAAGGCAGAGTTTTATAAGCAAGCCCATAGGAAGAAAAGTTTTAGATCCTTGAATTCTTTCTTTATTTATTTTTTTATATTTTTTTAAACTTCTGAGACAGGGTCTCACTCTGTCACCCAGGCTGGAGTGCAGTGGTGCGATCTTGGCTCACTGCAACCTCTGCCTCCCAGGTTCAAGCGATTCTCCTGCCTCAGCCTCCCAAGTAGCTGGGATTACAGGTGCCCACCACCACACCTGGCTAATTTTTGTATTTTTAATAGAGATGGGGTCTTGCCATGTTGGCCAGGCTGGTCTCGAACTCCTGACCTCAGGTGATCTGCCTGCCTTAACCTCCCAAAGTTCTAGGATTACCTGTGCCTGTCCCGTCTGGCTTAATTTCATTTCTTTTTTCTTTCTTTCTTTTTTTTTTGTTTTTGAGGCAAGGTCTTACTCTGTCACCCAGGCTGGACTGCAGTGGCGCAATCTTGGCTCACTGCAACCTCTGCCTCCCGGGTTCAAGCGATTCTGCTGCCTCAGCCATCTGAGTAGCTGGGATTACAGGTGTGCACCACCATGCCGACTAATTTTTGTATTTTTAGTAGAGATGGGATTTCACCATGTTGGCCAGGTTGGTCTCGAACTCCTGACCTCAGGTGATCCGCCTGCCTCGGCCTCCCAAAGTGCTGCAATTATAGGTGTGAGCCACTGTGCTTGACCCTGTCTGGTTTAATTTCAACACGTCTTTACCCACTGCGCTGTAGCCACATTGGCCTTTACTTTCTGTTGAGCAAGCCAGGCACTCTCTTGCCTTTGCGCTAGCTGTGTTTCCCTTATACTAGATACCTAATGACCAACTCCCACCTTTCTTCAAGTCTTTGCTCTAAGGTCATCTCAAAAAGTCCTAGTTAAAATTATACCTTTTATCCCACCCTCTGCTAAGTTCCCTGTACTCATCCTTTTTTCTTTCTTTCCATAGCACCATCACATTCTCCAGTATATTCTATAATTTACTCATTTGTGTTAATCTTGTTTTCCCCATCCCCGGCTACCCCTAATGTAATCTCCAGGAGAGCAGAATCTTTGTTTCATAGTCAATAGTACCTGGCATGTAGTAGGCCTCAATAAATATTGTTGAAAGAATGAGTCAGTGTGCATAACTGCTTGGCTTGAAATGCTGTTCTCCAAACTCAAGGTGTTTTTGGTTATTACTGTTTTTTCCTTCTAGGTTTGGCCTGCCATATTTAATTGCTTTGTTGGGGCCATTTAGTCATTTTTCTTTCTCTAACTTAAGGTCCTTTGGGAAAGGGCTGTGGATCAGACCAACTATTCAGAAAAGCTGGAGGCTTAGGGAGTTCCTGGAAGTAGCTATGCGGCAACTAAGAGAGGTTGGCCCACAATAAGGGTGGTTTCCTCTGACTCTACAAAATCTTAGTGATACTTTTGTAGGGGAAGAAAGCTGTTTTCCCTTTACCATTTTAGGTGCATTGGTTGGGGCCCTGTCAGTCAGACTAACAGAATACATTAACAAGAGAAAAACAAAAACAAGTTTATTGACATATTCATTGCGTATGAACATGAGAGCACCCAGTGAAGAGTAACTCAAGGAGGTAGTTAGAACTTGGGCTTATAGGCTATCTCAGCAAAGACTAGTAAATTTTTAGAGAAGTGAGAAGACAAAGGAAAAGGACCTTGAGCTGCTAGGGACAGCAGATTGTGGGAAGGCAAGTATGTGGGGAAACCAATGGTAGATCAGGGCTGGTTTTAGCAAGGTTTGTTATGTAGATTCCCCTGGTACCCTATCTGGGCTGATAAAGGTCAAGAGTTGTCTCCAAGATCAACTTCTGTCCTTCTTGTTAGAGAGGGAAGTGGGGATACCTTTAAGAATTTATGTCCTGCTTCTGGGGATATAGGGGAGGGCAGAGAGCTTTTCTTTTTCTTTTCTTTTCTTTTCTTTTTTTTTTTTTTGAGACAGAGTCTCACTCTGTCGCTCAGGCTGGAGTGCAATGGCGCAATCTCAGCTCACGGCAACCTCTGCCGCCCGGGTTCAAGTGATTCTCCTGCCTCAGCCTCCTGAGTAGTTGGGATTACAGGTGGCTGCCACCATACCCGGCTAATTTTTGTATTTTTAGTAGAGACGGGGTTTCACCATTCAAGACTGGCCAGGATGGTCTTGAACTCCTGACCTCATGATCCACCCGCCTTGGCCTCCCAAAGTGCTGGAATAACAGGTGTGAGCCACTGCGCCCGGCCAAGCTTTTCTTGTATCTGCATTTTAATAACCCTTAGGCCAAAGTTGTATATTTCGGTTTGCCATATTCTCCTATTCACTGTCTTCATTGTAAATTCTCATGACAATTTCCTTCAAGAACATGGCCTCTGAGATCTTTGCAACCTCTGAAGAGGTGGATGGTTCATTACAGAGAATTTCAAGGCCAGGTTCAGCCTGGCAACAGAGAACTCTGGGGGTAAGAGTTGGGCCTTCCTGATGCCTAGACAAAAGACGGTCACTTGAGCTACTCACTGGGGGATGTAGCTATGGGGATGCTGATGTAGGTGCTTCTCCTGGCCCTGCCTTCTCCATCCTCATTAATACAAAATGGGAAAAGCAGTCAGGTTAGGTATTCCAGATTCACATGGCCCACTGAAAAGGACTCATTCAAAGGCAGATTTTTCTTCTACCATGACCCTTCTTACCTTGCCAATCGTTTATTCTCTTTTCTTTCTTTCTTTCTTTTTTTTTTTTTTGAGATGGAGTCTCGCTCTGTACCCAGGCTGGAGTGCAGTTGTGCAATCTCGGCTCACTGCAAGCTTCGCCTCCCAGGTTCACGCCATTCTCCTGCCTCAGCCTCCTGAGTAGCTGGGACTACAGGCGCCTGCCACCACGCCCGGCTAATTTTTTGTATTTTTAGTAGAGATGGGGTTTCACCATGTTAGCCAGGGTAATCTCGATCTCCTGACCTCGTGATCCGCCCACCTCGGCCTCCCAAAGTGCTGGGATTACAGGCGTGACCCACCGTGCCCGGCCTCTCTTTTCTTATACTGTTACACATATATACACACTTCAGAAATGATCTCTGTCCTGGAGAATTTTATGTATGAGGTCAAAGCAGCAGCCACTCTGACAATTTTCTTCAAATTAGACTTATGCTGCTGGTCACGGTGGCGCACGCCTGTAATACCTGCACTTTGGGAGGCCAAGGTGGGCGGATCACCTGAGGTCAGGAGGTCGAGACCAGCCTTGGCAACATGGTGAAACCCTGCCTCCACTAAAAATACAAAAATTAGCTGGGTGTGGTGGTGCATGCCAGTAACCCCAGCTACTCAGGAGGCTGAGGCACAAGAATCACTTGAACCTGAGAGGTGGAGGATGCAGTGAGACAAGATCTTGCCACTGCACTCCAGCCTGGGCAACACAGAGAGACTCTGTATATAAAAAAAAAAAAACCAAAAAGTTTGGATAACTGTATTACAAAAGTAAAAATAAGTCAATATTAATAATATCTTTTCTTTAACCCATATATCCAAAATAATACATTTAAACATATAATTTCAATATGTAATATAAACATTGTTAATGATGTATTTTATATTTTGCGCTAGTCTTCTAAATCTGTATATTTTGCAACTACAGTGCACTTTGATTTGAACTAGCTGGATTTCTAGTGCTCAATAGCCACATGTGGCCAGAGGCTACCGTACTGGATAGTATATGTAGATGGCTCTACCCTAGAGTGACTTCATCTGTGTTACATGTTATTCTAACAATGTATCTTCTGGTTTCCCAGCCACAGCTGACTTGAAGCAGTAAATAAATGGTGAGAGTGACAGAGTGCTAAGAATAGTAGAGAAGGGGCAGAAGAATTATTTTTATAAGTGGCTGAGGTCATTCATTGCAAGCACAAATGAAAGGTATGAACCTTTCATACGTTGAGACCTGCTGAAGCATACAGTGTGGTACCTGGTAGAATAATTGATAATTTTTCATGCTTGCCTTCCATTTCATAGGTCAGATCACTTAAAGAAGGCTACATCATGTTCACTCTTGGCTACAAACATAGGGAAGTGTGAAGAGTATGTGGACAAAGTTAAGGAAGCTTTCTATCAAGTGTTGCTAAAATAATGGTGTTCTAGTACAGGAAACCTGGGAAATGTACGTGTAAGTAGAAACCCAGGACTACATGATGAAGCCCTCTTCATTTCTAAAGCTGGGAGCTCACAGAAGTCTTGGAGGAGCCTGCAAGTGTGCCTTCAGCTGGGTGTGCCCCGTCTCATCTTCCTAAGATTGCTAACTTCTTCGGTTCTATGGGTTTCCCTTCTGGTCCATGGGGCAGAGATGCAGCTGGTGCCTTGGAACCTGCAAGGCTCAACCTTAGCCTAGACCTTAGCTGTGTTTGTGGGACATCAGGAGTCTGGCTTGTGGATTTGGAATGTCCATCTTTTGAGATGGACTTTCTTGGAACTCACCACTTCATGGACACCCACTGGGGGCAATGGTAGCAAAGTGTGTGGGTCAGCTGCGTGAGCTGTAGCATGCAGATTCCAGCCAGCAGACAACAAAAGAAAACAAAAAGCAAAGCACTCAAATCAAATACCACCTTTGGGTTTTCTGTTTTTCTCTTGTGTATATGGCAGACGACAAAGTCAGGGGTGAGGGGATAGCTGTCATATAATTAGTGTACATTGTTCTCATGTAAAACCATCAGTCCACGGCTGCCTGTTAAATAATTTTGTCTCTTTCTTTATTCCATTTTTAGGCCGAGGAGTCTTGTAAATGTAATGGCTGGAAAAACCCTAACCCCTCACCCACTCCCCCCAGAGCCGACCTGCAGCAAATAATTGTCAGTCTAACAGAATCCTGTCGGAGTTGTAGCCATGCCCTAGGTGAGTTCCTAAATCTTCAAGGAAAGTATAACGAGTTCATTGTAGCGTGAGACTCTTAACTTACTGAATTCTGTGGGTTCACCAAATTTGAATGCTGTGTACCTCTGTATGAGAGCAACAACAAGAGCCTCTCTAGTCTCACGAGTTTGCTGGGAAGGGCTTCTCGTGAGAGACAAATGCTGCACTGTGTGCAGTGACTTTGTCCCTTCTTCCTTTCAAGAGCTGAGTTGGACTGGGGGATTGCCAAATAAGATGAAACATGACAATCGAGCTAGTTAGCATGAATAATGTGTAACATGTCCTGATTCATTTTGGGGGTTGGGGCCTGAGGGTCTTTGACCTCAGGGTTGAAACCTCAACCAACTGGTTTAATGATAATAATGATCATTTTTATTATTTCTGTTGCCCTGAACTTTCTGGGGTGCTTCATTTTATCTTCATATTCCTTAGTTTTGTGTATCTGATAGCTCTTTCTTCACTGGGCTGCTCTTTATTGTGTTTATTGAATGTTTACTGGTGGTTTCCCTTTCAACTTTCTTATCTGACCCTGCAAAATAATCATTGTCAGTGATGGCTCAGTAGGCTCTGCTGCAGTCACTCAAAAGGCCTGTGCTAGTATGTTGTTCTTTGTCCTAATACTAGTTTTATGATTAAAATATTTAAAAAAATCATGTGTTGTTTGAGTAGATAAAAGTTGAGGAATTAGTTTTTCCTAGATACTAAAATTTCAGTCCACGAAGAATCTTAGACTATTCTTACTTTCCTGCCTTCAGTTATACAGTCTCCCCCAAAATGTCAACAAGGCCAGTTTGCTGTCCGTGACTGCAAGGACATAGCACTCACTGGGCAGAACGTTCTTGCTAAGGTAGTTGCTCTTTCCACCTGACCATTATAAGTGGGTGACTTCTTATGCCATCATTTCTCTAGAGCTTCCTGCTTACAAGAAATGGTGTCGCCTCCAAGGTTAGCATGGTGTTAGGTCGTCTGAAATTTTATTTTGTACTCAGAGAGTATTTCAATATTTACAGAGCATACAAGTAGATAATGTGATCTTCCCAAGAAGTCATCACATTGGAATAACCTTCTGAAAATAGAAATAGTCCTGATCTCACAAAAGCAACACACTAATAATTTCATCATTTTGTTGACTTAATTGGTATCTCAAACAATGTGAGCTCTGAGTTTTGAAGCACTCAATACAGAGCAAAAATTTCAAAAGTTAGAGAACTGTCCTTGATTATAATTTACCTTTTTAAAAAAATAAATAAATAAAACAGAACGAAACAAAACAATCACTAACTCTGAATGGAGTGAATGGAGTTTAGGATTGCCTCAGGAAATGTGACGTAATAAATGTCTGGACTCAAGAAATCCTTAAGCCCTAGGCTTGAAGTGTATTTGTTATTGATTGGGAAATCCTATTATCCTACATCAATTAACATTTAAAACAGGATCTTCTTTCTTTCTTAGCCGAGCAGATTGTCTCCATTCTAAGCACGTAAACACACATGAATGCCTGAAGGCAGAGACAGTGCTTCACAAAAAAAGCCAACTTTGTTTCCTTTTTTATTTCTTACCAAGCTTTGAAAACAAATGCCCTCATTCTGCAATACATAATCAAGAATGAAGAATGAAAAAAAAAATCACATATCCTTTGACCTGGCAAATCCATGCCAGAAATTTAATCTGTGTGTAAATTAAGATGTGCCCTCAAATTAAACTAAAAGGACGGTGACAGTGTTTTCTGGCCTTACTTACGATAGTAAAAAGCATGAAACAACCTAAATATTCCAATGTAGGAGATGATTGTGAAGAAATCAGGTAATAAAGCAGCTTGATAGGAGGTTTTATAATTTAGGACTAAATTATTGGATCTATCAGCCTGAGTTCAAATCCTAACTCTATAACCAGTAGCTGTGAGTATGAGCACATTACTTAATCTGCCTGGACCTCAGTTTTTTCAACTCTGAAATGGGTTAATACATAGTAGTATTTACCTTGCAGGATCATTGTGAGGATTAAATGAGATAAGAAAAAATCTTAGAATAGTACCTGGCATGTAAATACATGATTATTGGCTGATGTTGTTCGTAGTAGTGGTACTATAACACTATCAGGGTTCTTTTACTTCACACAGCAGATATATACTCTGTCTAGCTTAAATAAGAAAACAATGCATATAAGAAGGGTACTAGTAGCTTCTAGAAGCTGAAAACAATGGGAAAACAGGTTTTGATCTTGTTTGGGGATCTCAGCTGCAGAAGTTCACAGAGCTTCTGTTCAGTCTGCTGCCACTGAATCATTTAGGATTCAACTCCAACTGCCTCTGTCCCTGTGAGTATTGGTTCAGGATTTAAATACCCTGTGGAGGAGCTTGTGCCTGTTATGTGTTTAACTCTGAAGTTTACCCCAAGGGAACTAAGAAGTTGGTCCTTTCCCAAATACAGGATGCTGACTCAGAAACAGCATTGATGTTTCATGAGTATGATCCCATTTTATTACTTTAGAAAATATAATACCATAAGGCCGGGCGTGGTGGCTCACGCCTGTAATTCCAGCACTTTGGGAGGCCGAGGCTGGCAGATCACAAGGTCAGGAGTTCGAGACCAGCCTGGCCAACATGGTGAAACCCCGTCTCTACTAAAAATACAAAAATTAGCTGGGCATGGTGGCAAGCACCTATAATCCCAGCTACTCGGGAGGCTGAGGCAGGAGAATTGCTTGAACCTAGGAGGCGGAGGTTGTAGTGAGCCGAGATTGCACCACTGCACTCCAGCCTGAGCGATATTGCGAGACTCTGTCTCAAAAAAAAAGAAAAAAGAAAATATAATAGTATAAAACTTTTTTCTATTTTACTCAACACAGAACACTTCTGTGACCAGATGTGTGGGTTTTTTTTTTCTTCACTCACCAAGCAATTCTCCCACTCTCTGAACACTAGCTGGAGGTCCCATAATTCATTTCGGTTCTGACATGACCTACTTGGAGATAGCATCACATCCCACAGGTTAAGGGCACAGTCCCACAATAGTGCTCCCACTTCAGATGCCAATTGCAAGTCCCAGGTTATGACCTTTGCTTCTGACCTACCGGCTATAAATCAGGGTTCCCATCATACCCCTTCCTTGGTTTCAATAATTTGCTAGGATGGCTTACAGAACTCAAGGAAACACTTCAGTTTACTGGTTTAATATAAAGGATACACAGACAGCCAGATGAAGGGATGCACATTGCAAGGTTTGGGGAAGGGGAGTGAAGCTTCCTTGCCCTCTCCAGGTGCACGACCCCCCAGGCACCTCCACATGTTCAGCAACCTGGAAGCTTGAGCCTGTAATCCCAGCTACTTGGGAGACTGAGGCATGAGAATCGATTAAACCTGGGAGCAGAGGCTGCAGTGAGCCGAGATCTCACCACTGCAGCCTGGGCGACAGAGCGAGACTCCCATCTCAAAAAAAAAAAAAAAAATTTTTTTCATACGGCTTTATCTCTACACTTTCCCTCCCTTACCTTTCTTGTAGATTGATGGGTGGGGTTGAAGGTTCCAATCCTTTAATCTTCTAATAACCTGGTCTCTCTGGTGAGCAGCTTCATCCTGGGTTATCTGTGCACTATCTTAAGTCACCTCATTAGCATAAACTCAGGTATGATCGAAAGGGGCTCATGATGAACAATAAAAGATACTCCTCCTGCTCAGGAAATCCCAAGGGTTTTAAGAGCTTGTGACAGGAACTGGGACAAAGACCAAGTATATTTCATACTATACCACAAACATGTATTTTAATATATATGATCAGGAAAAGGTCTGGAAGGATGTATATTGAGTTGCTGACTGATTTTCTCAGGGTACGGGGGGTATAGGTATTTAAAAAATATTTCCCCCTACTCCTTCCTTTCTTCCTTGTTTCTTCTCTATTCTTTAGTCTGCTTTCTTAAAACTGAAATTACTGCACATTTTCAAGTGGTCTTGGAATTATTGTTGGAATGCCAGTGTTTATTTATTGGTCTTAGTATAACAGCTCTAGAAAACCTTTTTCTGAGATTACTCTTCCTTCCTCCCTCCTTTCCGTGCTTTTTGAAAAACTTTTTTTCTTAATGGAAAGTTTCAAACACCCGTAAAGGCAGAAGGGATAGTTGAATGAACTGCCTTGGACTCAGCACCCAGCTCTAATGATTATTTACATTTGCCAATTTTGTTGTATCTAACCCCCTGCTTTTATTTGCCAGAGTATTTTAGCAAGTTTCCTACATTTTTTCTTATCTTATTCATGCAGATATCTTCTTAATTGTTACCGACAAAGTACAAGTTGGGGTCTAGGGAATTCTGTTAGGAATTACGCAAGCCTGAATTCTCAAATACATTTCAGTTGGTATACATTGTTGTTCTGTTTTCACATACAGTAGTCACCATTCTGAGCATGGTTGATTTACTCACCAGTAATTGTACACACGAAATGAAATATTCTTGAATTTGTCAGAACAAAACATACTGGCTTATTGATTGAGATAGTATCAATTCTATTGATTAAATGTTGGGTTTCTTTTGCCTCAGCCATATATGTTCTTTGGAGCTGTGGTTTTGTGTAGTCTCCTGACAATTTCTTTCATCCCAGACATCTTTGGTCTACCATAATTTAATACTGTTCTGTGTTTCATGGACATAAAACACAGGAGTGAGATAGTCTGATCAAGTAGAAAGAACATTCAGTTGGGAACTAGGAAGTAATAATTCTAGCCTGTCTGGGTATGGTGGTTTGTGCCTGTAATGGCAGCTACTCAGGTCGCTGAGATGGGAGGATCCTTTGAGCCCAGGAGTTTGAGGCCAAAGTGAGCTGTGATGGGGCCACTGTGTGTGTAGCCTGGGAGACAGAGCAAAACCCCACCTCTAACAAAACAAAACCAAGAAAAGAATTCTAGCTTGGCCCTGCAGTTTACCAAGTTCCTTAACCTTTTTGCTGTTTAGTATCTCCATCCACAGAATGAAATGGTTGGTCTAGACCTATGCTGTACAATACGGTAGCCACTGGCCACATGAAATGTGTTTACTCTGAATTGAGATATACTGTAAGTGTAAAATACACACAGTTTTTGAAGACATCATAAGCAAAAACAATGCAGAATGTCTCAGTAATTATATTTTATATTGATTATATGTTGAAATGATAATATTTTGAATATGTTGGGTTAATGTATTATTAAAATTATTTCTACTGGAAAATTTAAAAATCACATTGTATTTCTATTGAATTGTGCTGGTTTAGAATATTCTAGTTCATTCTCTGAAATTATATTTGGGATTGGCACAATAATATTCAGTTTACAAAAATTTGACAAAGGGATCTAACAAAGTGCTTTAGTTGGTCCCAGCATTTCTCCTTATTTTAGTATTAATAAAGATTTTTCTTATTTTGGGACTGCTATTTAAAAAGCAGCTTGGGTCTTGCATGGTGGCTCACACCTGTAATCCTAGCATTTTGGGAGGCTGAGGCAGGTGGATTGTTTGAGCCCAGGAATTCGAGACCATCTTGGGCAACATGGCGAAACTCCACCTCTACAAAAAATACAAAAATCAGCTGGTGTGGTGGCATGTGCCTTTTAGTCCCAGCTACTCGGGAGACTAAGGTGGGAGGGAGGATGGCCTGAGCCTGGGAGGCAGAGGTTTCAGTGGGCCGAGATCGCACCACTTGCACTCCAGCCTGGGTGGCAGAGTGAGGCCCTGTCTCAAAAATAAATAAATAAATAAATAAATAAAAAGGCAGCCTGTTTTTACGAGCAGGAAAGTAGGAAACAAATCCTTGTGATCAAAACATAATTGGAATTTCTATTGTTATTTTGGAGTCCATTGTTCTGAACTGTTTCAGAATAGACTGATTATTAAATTTGTCTAGTAATAATATTTTAGTTTAGAGGTTTTTTGATTATTTTTCAGTGTTGTCACCTTTTTCTTTCTCTTCTGTCCAGGCTGATGTGCAGTGGTGCGATCTCAGCTTACTGCAACCTCCCCCTCTTGGGCTCAAGCGATCCTTTCACTTCAGCCTCTCGAGTAGCTGGGACCACAGACATGCAGCAACATGCCCAGCTAATTTTTTTTTTTTGTATCTTTGGTAGAGACGGATTTTGTTATATTGCCTGGGCTGGTCTCAAACTCCTGAGGTCAAGCGATCTGCCCACCTCGGCCTCCCGAAGTGCTGGGATTACAGCTACCGCACCCTTCATCATCTTTTTCTGATATATGTGTATATATATGTATATATATATGTACACATTCAGCAGTGGGAACTGACTGTTTTTTGTCACTATAGATTCCTTGCTTTTCTGCTTGTTTACAGTAGGGAATTTCTTTTCTGTTAACTTTTAAAATTTTGAGTTAGGCAGACCCCTCACCCTACAACCAGAATTGATTCAAAGAGACTCCCAGAGCTTTTTTTTTTTTTTTGAGAAGGAGTCTCACTCTGTTGCCCAGGATGGAGTGCAGTGGCGCGATCTCCACGATCTCAGCTCACTGCAACTTCCGCCTCCCAGGTTCAAGCAATTCTCCTGCCTCAGCTTCCCAGGTAGCTGGGATTACAGGCTTATACCACCACACCCAGCTAATTTTTATAATTATTATTATTATTATTTTTTAGTAGAGAGTGGATTTTGCCAAGTTAGCCACGCTGGTCTCAAACTCCTGATCTCAGGTGATCCACCCGCCTCGGCCTCTCAAAGTGCTGGGATTACAGGCATGAGCCACCACACCTGGCCTCTTTTTTTTTTTTTTTTTTTTGCCACAGAGTCTGGCTCTGTCACCCAGGCTGGAGTGCAATGGTGCAATCTCGGCTCACTGCAACTTCTGCCTCCCAGGTTCAAGCTATTCTCCTGCTTCAGCCTCCCAAGTAGCTGGGATTACAGGCACCCACCACCATGCCCGGCTAATTTTTGTGTTTTTAGTAGAGACGGGTTTTATCATGTTGACCAAGCTGGTCTCAAACTCCTGACCTCAGGTAATCTGCCCGCTTCAGCCTCCCCAAATGCTGGGATTACAGGCGTGAGCCACCGCTTCTGGCCTGAGACTCCCAGAGATTTTTAAGGAAGGTCAAGAGTTAGCTTTAACAATCACACTAGAGCTTACTTCTTGAGTATTATGAAGAAAATACCAGTATTTTTCTCATGGATATTTCAAGTATTTAAATCATTTAGGCAGATCATTTGACTCAACACATTTTCTTTGATCATACGACATTTGCATAGACTTGTACCATATAATTGCCCCCTCAGTTCCCATTTATACATGTACTGTGCAGATGCCAAAGGACGTAAACATGGGGCCCAGCTAGCACAATGACACAGCCTCCTGAATTGAGCCAGCATATTCCTCTTGGCTGGATGTCCACTGCTGGCTAATGCAGCCTTTCAGATGCCGGTTTCAGAGTTTTCAGGAGCTGTGGGTCGGGCACAGCAGGAGTTAAGGGGATAATACTGGTAATATTTTCTCTGCTCATTTGGTATAAGTTATGTCTCCCTGACGTCCTCTGGTCATGAAATCCTGTTTGATACTCCCTTCAAGTTCCTGCCTCTAGCACTGGCTGAATTTAGGCTTTTCCTCATTATTCCTTGCCTGTGTCTGCTGCAGCTTCTGGAGTTCTTATTTCCATTCCTGCATACCTGGCTTTCCCATAAAGTGATGATACAATGTGATCCCATTCTCCTGCTTAACCCCTCTGAGCTTCTCATTATCCTCAGAGTGAAGGGTGATCTGTAGTTGAGCAAGCAGGTTCAGTTCATTGAGGCCTCTTTATTTTCAAAGCTTTTCTCCAATTATCTTCATTGCATTTTGGCCATCAGGCTGCTCCATGTTCTCCAAAGGTTCTTTGAACTTTCTCCCACCTCTGCCTTAGATCTGGAAGCTCACACCACCTTCAATGCCTTTCCTTCATTTTCTGCCAGGGAATTCTGCTTATCCTCCAAGGCTTGACTGCAGAACTCTGTAGAGAGAATAAAGGCCTTCTTAGAGCTCTGTGGCAATGTTCCTTCTTATATAACTATAATTATATACCAATCTGTACTGAACTGTGATTAAGAGTTGACTTTTTCTCTAGTTTGTAATATATTTAGTTCGTTGTGCATAATTGTGCTTATTCTTTTGTTGGTAAATAGTCATTGAATTCAATAATGGTAAAATGAGGGCTGGTTGCATATATTTGCAGAGGAGCTTTCAAAGTTTATAATCTATACCTGCTGTGTCCAACACAGTAGCCACTAGCCATGTGTGGCTATTGAACACTTGCAATTTCACTAGTTTGAATTGTGCTGTAAGCGTGAAATGCACACAGGTTTTGAAGACTTAGTACAAGAAGAGGAATGTAAATAGTAACTTTTAATATTGCATACGTATTGAAAGAATAATACTTTGGTATATATTAGGTTAAATAAAATATATTATTTAATGAATTTCACCTGCTTCTTTTGTCTTTTTAAACACAGCTACTGGAATACTTAAATTTACATATGTGGCTTGCATTATATTTCTACTGGACTGCTCTCATCTAATGGGCTCTTACTCTTAGGCTTCTCTTTTTTTTCATTCCAGATCTGAGATTACAGAAAATGAAACCACTTTTAAATGATAAGCCTTTTGCACATTAGTCAATTTGACAGATTTCATTGTAGTCATTAATTTTACCTCTTCTAGCCTCGATGCCAAATTCCCATGAACAAAAAATGTATTTGAGCAGCCTTCAAATCCTATTGTGTTATTTGCTTCTGGTCCAGAGGAGCAGGGACATGTTAGCTGCCTGCCCAGCTGCTGCCTGTTCACACTGCAGGGCATGTGAGGACTGGCTGACTGTCTTCACGAGAAGTGCAGGCCAATGATACACGGAGCCAGAGGTTAGTGAGGGTCACGGCACACAGTGACAGTGTGCTTCCTGTTCTCAGCAAGGTTGACAGCTGCACCGTGATTCTTGGCAGCAGTCACACGGCGGGTCACTCTCTGGCACCCTGGGTGTTTGCAAGTCTGACACAGCACTGAGAGGTGCCAAGGTATACCCTTCTGGAGTGATCTAAAGAAGGCAAAGCCTCCCCTCGTCCCCTCACTTGCACCTTCTGTCTGCTTTCTTGTGCCCTTCACACAAAGTGGACACTGGGGGAACTGTGGCCCACCAAAAGGAATAAACTTTGCCACAGCTCAAGGGTTGGTCAATCTTGGGTAATTAGTGTATATCAATGCTTTGTATCAGGCTCTTGGAAGACTATTTAAAGTAAAAGCAGGATTCTTTAATGATCAAATTCAGGTGGAGGAAAGATTGTAAAAACACTTTTAATTTGCAAATAATTAAAAATTTACATAAAAGTCATGAGAATAATAACGAAGAATATCCCATAAATCCTTTCCCTAGATTTACCTATTAGTAACATTTTATTTTATTTGCTGTCATTGGCTCATATATATATATGTATAAATGTATATAGAGAGTCTCATATATATATATATATGAGTCTCTACGTATAAATTTGTTTTTCTGGAACTATATGAGAATAAGTTACTTATATATCATAGCCCTTCCTCCCCTAAATATTTCAATATACAGTTCCTAATAATAAGGTTTTCTTTTTTTGAAATGGAGACCCACTCTGTTGCTCAGGCTGGAGTGCAATGGTGCAGTCTTGGCTTACTGCAGCCTCCACCTCCTGGGTTCAAATGATTCTCATGCCTCAGCCTCCCAAGTAGCTGGGATTACAGATGCCTGCCACCATGCCCAGCTAATTTTTTTATTTTTAGTAGAGATGGGGTTTCATCATGTTGGCCAGGCTGGTCTCGAACTACTGACCTCAAATGATCCGCCCTCCTCAGCCTCCCAGAGTGTTGGGATTACAGGCTTGAGCCACTGCACCCGGCCACGGTTTTCTCTTAATAACCTCAGTTCAATTACCAACTTTAGTAAATTTAACATTAATATAATACCTTTATCTAATCTACTGTTTGTATTCTAATTTTATCTGTTGACCCAAAAATGTTCTTTATAACATATTTTCCTTTCCATTAAGCCTCCACTCAAGAATCACATATCTGTTTAGTTGTCATGTCTCTTTAGTTTTCTTTAATCTGGAGTTCCTCAGCATTTTATTTTATTTGTTGACTTTTATAACATTGACATTTTGATGGAGGAATGTTTTAAATTTTAAAAACAAACTCTTTAAAGAGCTAGGAAAAATACATTTTTTGTTATTTTTTGTTTATGTAGGAAAAACCTTTGCAAGCAAAACCTTAAAGAACTGCCAACGTAGATATGGCTTTCTAAAAAGATTAACATTTTTCTACAACCAAACCAAATAAACCAAAAATCCCTCCCCACCAAATACGTAAGCATTTGCAATGAGTATGGCAGACTAAAGGTAGTACATAAGGTTTATTCAAGGTGGTAAGAAAAAGACTAACATCTTAAAAACCAAGCAAAGGAACTCAAATTGGCAGGTACACAGGAGATCAAATACAAACAGCCAGTAGTATGAAAAACAAACAACTCCCTGGGCCTTCCGTTGAATGCAGATCAAAACAGTAGGGGGTGCTTATTAATTTTCAAAAGATTGGTTAAATTACCGAGGATGGTTCTCCACTGTAGGCAGAGCACAGGAAAAAGGAATAGTCTCTCACTACTGATACAGTGTACATTGATGCACATCTTGATGAGGGAGGTTAAATTAGGGAGCGATACATCAAAGTTTTACATAGCAGCGACTTCATATCTTGAGTTTTGTGGCAGGTTGACTGCTATAGATTTGTGCATTGTAGTTTATAGATTTTTATTTTATTTTTTAGTTTTTAATAATATGCTCCTAGACTCATAAATAATAGAGGCCTATCTCTTTAAGAAAACATACTTTTAGATAATTGAAGGGAGCCTATTTGCATCAAAAAGTCTTCTTAATAAAAGGTTAAGAGAAGGGTTTCTTTTAATAATGAATGACTCTTTTTGGTTTAATATGAATTGATTGTCAGTATAGTAAATAGTTTAGCTTTGCAGTTAGAGTGAGGTTCACCTGGGTGTTGACATGGGTTGGGATTAATTAGGAGACTGGTAAATCTAGAGATAAGTTAAACAAGTCTAATTCTGGTCAGCATCCCCAAAGAGCCAGGAGTAGTCTCTGGATCTGGTAGAGATGGGGTTGTTTAAGGAAAGTGGTATTTTAGGAAGACTACCCTGGCAGCAGAGAGAACAGTCTAGGGGGCTATTTTATTATAGTAGGTTTGACATTCCAATGGAAGAAAGGTAGGATGGGGAAATGCAGTGTCTCTGAGAGAGAATGAGGAAGCTCAGTGGAGTCTGGTGGCTGGTAATGTGTGGAAGGTAAAGGACACTAAAGGAATGAATGATGGGCTTGTTGGCAGAAACAGGGCCAGCAAGAGGTAGCTGCCATTTTGAGGAGGGCCATGAGGAGTTCAGTCTTTGAGTCATTTTCCGTGATGGTGGTGCACCTATTTTGTTGGGATAGGGAGGATGGAAGGTGGGGTTCGGGGAAGATTGGAGCTGGAGAAGAGGTTAGCTGGTGATGTGTATTTGTTGAGAACAGAAAGTTCAGCGCTACTTCCTCAGAGATTGAGTTAGGTGAGAGCTGAAAAGGATTTTTGGTCAAAAGGGATCTGTAGTTGGCCTCCTTGGAGAGGGGCTACATTGGAGGGTCTGAGAAGTTGGCACATTTAGACAACTACGTATTTATATAGTGTAGTCATAGCTGTTCTTGTCTGGCTTTCTTATTACAGGGAAGCTTCTCTTTGATAACAACTTGTCTGGACCTTTTTCCACCCTTCTCCAGCAGACTGTCCACTCCATCTACTTTCATTTGATCTTCCTCCACCTCATTGTTTATTCTAGGAAGCTTAACCTTTCTCATACAATATTCTCCTGCTTCAGTGCTCCCCCTACCACTCCAGACCTGCGTTTATTTCATTCTCAGAGTAAGAGCTATCCTCTTCTGCTATGAAAGTTACTCACCCTTTGTACAGGGGAGCCTCTTTCTTCTCTTCTGGGAAACTGTTGCTGCTTTATTTACATTTTCCCCCATCTCCATCTCCCTATTCCTTTCTACTTTGGGTTTCATACAGAGCTCTGAGGAGAGATCACATATTGCATTATGGTAATAAATAAATAAATAATTAATAAATGCAAAAAAAAATCACAAAACCACAAGCACATTTCATTATGGGCAGAGTCAGAGGGAAATGAGCCTCCTCAGGTTTCACTTAAGCATTTTAATTTTTATCAGGCTACTCTTCAAAATATGCAAAAAGTTGGTTCTAAACAGTGGTTTTAAAGCTGCAGAATCCCAACAAGGGAATGGGATGGGTTCTTGAGCCTTCTAAAAATAGAAGCTTTCACCTCTATTTCATCCAGAGCAACTCCTTCTAATTCTGATTAGTAATTAATTTTGGTAAAGTGTTTTGGGGCTTTGAAAAAGTAAGCTACTATTTCAAAAGTAAATCATGGCATGTACTTCCATGAGTTAAACCTACTATATGTAGCACCTTAATTAGATGGTTTCATATTATGGAGCATCTGAAGGAATTTACTTGATATTGTATACTGATTGCTTTCATAGCTTATCACAAAAAGAGATTAAAAGTTTGTAAGACAGGCCAGATGCAGAGGCTCACACCTGTAATCCTAGCACTTTGGGAGGCCAAGGTGGGAGGATTGCTTGAGCCCAGGTGTTTGAGACTAGCCTGGGCAACATAGTGAGACTCCATCTCTATGTCTATTAATTTAAAAAAAAAGTTTATAAGACAAAAATAGTCCTAAATAAAATTATTTCTGTAAATAACTGACATAAAAATGTTGACCTAATTGTCTGCAGAATGAGGCCTGTTTCCCAAAGGCTTCAGATTGACCTCAAGGAAAATTTTGCAGTCTTAAGAAAAAGATGACCCAGCAAATGTTCTACCTAAGATGAAGTCTGATTTTGGGTATCTTTTAGAAAGTGATGAGGTAACGTATTGTATAGTCAAACAGCAAATAATATATTTAAACATTAATTTTTGTGTTTACACACACACATAATTTTTCTTTTTTCTTTCTTTCTTTTTTTTTTTTTTTGCAGGGGGCAGAGTCTTGCTGTCTCCCAGGCTGGAGTGCAGTGGTGCAATTTTGGCTCACTGCAGCCTCCACCTCCTGGGTTCAAGTGATTCTCTTGCCTCAGCCTCCCGAGTCGCTGGGACTACTGGCATGCACCACCACACCCGGCTATTTTTTGTGTTTTTAGTAGAGACAGGGTTTTGCCACACTAGCCAGGCTGGCCTCTAACTCCTGACTTCAGGTGATCCACCTGCCTTGGCCTCCCAAAGTGCTGGGATTACAGGCATGAGCCACTGCGCCCTGCCTACATGTAATTTTTCTATGATGTAAGTTATTTATATACTTAGAAACAATTTAATTGATTATTCTTTTTCTATTTGATAATGTAATAATACAGTGTTGACATTTTATTCAATACTGCTGAAGTCAGACAGATTATAAAGATTAATTCCTCTCTTCTTACCTTTTAAAAATGCTGTTTTGAGCTGGGCATGGTGGCTCACACCTGTAATCCCAGCACTTTGGGAGGCCACAGTGGATGGATCGCTTGAGCTCAGAAGTTCGAGACCAGCCTGGACAACATGGTGAAACCCCATCTCTACATAAAAATACAAAAACTAGCTGGGCATGATGGTATGCACCTGTAGTCCCAGCTATTTGGGAGACTGAGGTGGGAGGATTACCTGAGCCCAGAAAAGTCGAGGCTGCAGTGAGCCATAATTGTGCCACTACAATCCAGCCTGGGTGACAGAGTGAGACACTGTCTCAAAGAAAACAAAAACAAAAAGGAAGAAAAACAAGCTGTATTGGAGTCTGGGCATGGTGGCTTACACCTGTAATTCTAGCACTTTGGGAATCCGAGACGGGAGGATCACTTGAGCCCAGGAGTTCAAGACTAGCCTGGGCAACATGGTGAAACTTTGCGCCAACGGAAAATACAAAAAAATTAGCCAGGCATGGTGGTACACGCCTATAGTCCCAGCCACTTGGAAGGCTGAGGTCAGAGGATCGCTTAAGCTCAGGAGGTCAAGGCTGCAGTGAGCCAAGATCGCACCATTGCACTCCAGCTTGGATGACCAAGGGAGACCCTGTCTTGACACTGCCCCACCCCACAAAAATGCTGTATTGGGGTGCACACCCATGCATATTCCTCATCATGGGTCCATCACTCTGCCTTTCAATTACTTTTCTGTATTAGAAATGAAAGGTGGGTGGCCTCTACCTCTCTAATTTTAAGCCCTTTAAACTGTCTTCCTCTAGGACATTTGTGTTATTTAAAAACAAATAGATTTTTTTTTTTTTTTGAGATGGAGTCTCGCAGGCTGGAGTGCAGTGGTGCAATCTCAGCTCACCACAACCTCCACCTCCTGGATTCAAGTCATTCTCCTGCCTCAGCCTCCCAAGTAGCTAGGATTACAGGCATGTGCCCCCATGCCTGGATAATTTTTATATTTTGAGTAGAGATGGGGTTTCACCATGTTGGCCAGGCTGCTTTTGAACTCCTGACCTCGTGATCCACCTGCCTTGGCCTTCCAAAGTGCTGAGATAACAGGCGTGAGCCACTGCGCCTGGCTGAGATTTTTTAAAGGATACAAAATTACTGCTGGATAGGAAGAATGAGTTCTAGTGTTCTATGCCACTGTAAGATGACTGTGGTTAACAATAATATCTAGTTTCAAATAGCTAGATGGATGATACCGAGTGTTTCCAACACAAAGAAATGATAAATATTTGAGATGATGGATATGCTAATTACACTGATCTGATCACTGTATATTAAATGTATCAAAATATTGCTGGGTACCTCATAAATATGTACAATTATATGTTAATTAAAATGAGAAAATAATTTATTTTTTTCGGTTTTATTAAGGTTTAATTGACAAATAAAAATGTATATATTTATCGTGTATAATGTGATATTTTGAGATGTATATATTATAAAATGATTAAATCAGGCTAATTAGCATATCTATCACCTCACATACTTTTAATTTTTTGTGGTGAAAATATTTAAAATTGATTCTGTTAGCAATTTTCAATTATATAATTACAATGTATTATTATTAATGATAGTCACCATGCCACACAATTGATCTCCAGAACTTCTGTGTAAATGAAACTTTGTACTCTGTGACCAGCATCTCTACCCGTACCTCACGTTCCAAGTCCCTAATAACCATCATTTTACTTTCTGCTTCTGTGATTCTGACTTTTTAAGATTCTACATACAAATAAGATCATGCAGTATTTGTCTTTCTGTGCCTGGCTTATTTCACTTAGCCTTAAGACAGGCTCTCACTTTGTTGTCCAGGCCAGAATGCAGTGGTACAATCATAGTTCACTGTAGCCTCAAACTCCTGGGCTCAAGGGATCCTCTTGCCTTAGGTTGCTAAGTAACTAGGGCTACAGATCTGAGCCACCATACCTAGCTAATTAAAAAAAAATTTTTTTTTGTAGAGACAGGGTCTTGCCATCTTACCAAGGCTGGTCTTGAACTGGGCTCAAGCAGTCCTCCTACTTCAGCCTTCCAAAGTGCTAGGATTACAGGTGTGAGCCACTGTGCCTGGCCATTTCCTTAGTTTTTAAGGCTGAATAGTATTTGATTGTGTTCATATACTACATTCTCTTTATCCATTCATTTGTTGGGGTGGACACTTAGGTAAATTCCATATTTTGGCTATTGTGAATAATGCTGCAGTGAATATGGGAATGCAGATGTCTTTTTGACATACTGATTTCCTTTTCTTTGGATATATATCCAGAAGTGGAATTGCTGGGTCAGGTCATATGGTAGTTCTGTTTTGGATTTTTTGAGACATATCCATATGGTTTACCATACTGGCTGTACTAATTTACATTCCCACCAACAGTGTGCAAGGGTTCCTTGTCCTCACATTCTTGCCAACACTCATCTTTCATCTTTTTGATAATAGCTATCCTGAGCGTGAAGTGATATCTCATTGTGATTTTAATTTGCATTTCTCTGATTAGTGATGTTGAACATTTTTCCATATACCTGTTGGCCATTTGTATGTCTTCTTTTGAGAAATGTCTGTTCATATCCTTTGCACATTTTAAAATTGGGTTGTTTTCTTACCATTGAGTTGTATAAGTTCCTTATATATTTTGGATATTAGCTTCATCAAATGTATGGTGTGAAAATGTTCTCTTCCATTCCATAGGTTGTCTCTTTACTCTGTTGATTGTTTCTTTTCCTATATAGAAGCTTTTTAGTTTGATGCAATCCAGTTTGTCTATTTTTGTTTTGTTGCCTGTGCTTTTTGATCATATTCAAAAAATCTTTGCGAAGACCAATGTCAAGAAGCTTTTTCCTATGTTTCCTTCTAGTAGTTTTACAGTTTCAGGTCTATATTTAAGTCTTTAGTCCATTTTGAATAGGTTTTTGTATATGGTATGAGATAAGGGTCTAATTTCATTCTTTTGCATGTGGATATCCGGTTGTCCCAACAGCATTTATTGAAGAGACTGTCCCTTCCCCTTGGCATCTTTGTTGAAAATCAGTTGACTGTAAATGGATAGATTTCTGGGCTGTCTATTCTGTTCAGTTGGTCTATGTATTTGTTTTTTATGTTGGTAGCATTTTGTTTTGATTGAGATAGCTTTGTAGTAGATTTTGAAATCAAGTGTAGTGTGATGACTCTGCCTTTGTTCTTTTTGCTCAAGATTGCTTTGGCTATTTGGAGTCTTATGTAGTTCTGTACAGATTTTAAGATTATTTTTTCTATTTCTGTGAAAAATGTCATTGGAATTTTGATAGGGATTGCATTGAATCTGTAGATCACTTTGGGTAATATGGACATTTTAACAGTATTAATTCTTCCAATCTGTGAACATAAAAGATATCTTATCACTTATTCGTGTCTTCTTCACTTTTTTTTTTTTTTTTTTTGAGATGGAGTCTCACCTTGTCACCCAAACTGGAGTGCAATGGCGCAATCTCAGCTCACTGCAACCTCTGCCTCCCAGGTTCAAGTGATTCTTCTGCCTCAGCCTCCTGAGTAGCTGAGATTACAGGCGTGCGCCACCATGCCCGGCTAATTTTTTTTATCTTTAGTGGAGATGGGTTTTCACCATATTAGCCAGGCTGGTCTCAAGCTCCTGACCTTGTGATTTGCCTGCCTCAGCCTCCCAAAGTGCTGGGACTCCCAGTGTGAGCCACTGCGCCTGGCCTACTTTCTTTCATCAGTGTTTTATAGTTTGCAGTGTACATATCTTTCATCTCCTTGGCTAAATTTATTCCTAGGTATTTGATTGTTTTTGATGCTGTTATAAATGAGATTGTTTCCTTGATTTTTTGTTTTGTTTTGATAGTTTGTTGTTAGTATACAGAAACATGGCTGGGCATGGTTACTCTTGCCTGTAATCCCAATGCTTTAGGAGGTGGAAGGATTGCTTGAGCCCAGAATTTGAGAAGAACAGCTTGGACAACATAGTGAGAAGCCATCTCTATTAAAAAACAAACAAACAAAAAAACAAAACAAGAAAAAAAAAAACGAATGGTACTGATCTTTGTGTGTTGATTTTGTATCCTGCAACTTTACTGAGTTTGTTTATTAGTTTTAAAAGCTTTTTGGTGGTGTCTTTAGGGTTTTCTGTTTATAAAATTATGTTATCTGCAGAGACAATTTAACTTCTTCTTTTCTGATTTGGATACTTTCATTTCTTTTTCTTACTTAATTGCTTTGGCTAGGACTTCCAATACTACGTTGAAAAGAAGTGGCAAGGGTGGGTATATTTTTCTTGTTCTTAATCTTAAAGGAAAAGCTTTCAGCTTCTCACCATTGAGTGTGATGTTAATTGTGGGTTTGTCACATACGGCCTTTTTGTGTTGAGGTACAGCACATTCCCTCTATGCCTAATTTGTTGAGAGTTTTTATCATGAAAGGATGTTGAATTTTGTCAAATGCTTTTTCTGTATCTTTAGAGATTACCATATGATTTTTCTCCTTCATTCTGTTAATTTGCTGTATCAATTTATTGCTGAACCATCCTTGCATCCCTGGGATTAATTCCTCTTGCTCGTGGTGAAGGATTCTTTTAATCTGCTGTTGAATTCAGATTGCTGGTTTTCTGTTGTGTATTTTTGCATCCATGTTCATCAGGGATATTGGCCTGTAATATTCTTTTCTTGTAGTTTCCTTGTCTGGCTTTGGTATTAGTATAATGCTGACCTTGTAAAGTGAGTTTGGAAGTATGCATCCCTCTTCAGTTTTTTGAAGTTTTTTTTTAGAGTTTCACTTTGTCATAAAGGCTGGAGTATAGTGGCACAAGCATGGGTCACTGCAACCTCAATCTTGTGGGGTGGGTTCAAGCAATCCTCCAACCTCAGCCTCCTGAGTAGCTGGGACTACAGGCATGTGACACCACACCTGCCTAATTTTTATTTATTTATTTTTATTTTTTGTAGAAACAGGGTCTCACTATGTTGTGCAGGCTTGTCTTGAACTCCTAGGCTTAAGCATTTCTCCTACCTCAGCCTCCTGAAGTGCTGGGATTATAGGCATGAGCCACTGCACTTGGGCTTTTTGAAGAGTTTGAGAATTAGTATTAGTTCTTTTTAAAGTGTTTGGTAGAATTCAGCCTTGAAGCCATCAGGTCCTGGGCTTTTCCATGATGGAAGATTTTTTATTTAATTACTGATTCAGTCTCCTTACTTGTTATTAGTTTGTTCAGATTTTCTATATTTTCATGATTTAGTTTTGGTAGGTTGTACATTTTCAGGAATTTACCCATTTCTTTTAGATTATCCAATTTATTGACATAACTGTTCATCATAATCTCTTATAATCCTTTGTATTTCTGTGGTATCAGTTATAATGTCTCCTTTTTCATTTCTTATTTTGAGTCTTCTCTTTTATTTCTTTTGTAGTCCAGCTAAAAGTTTGTCCATTTTTTTTATCTTTTCAAAGAACCAACTTTTAGTTTTGTTGATCTTTTCTATTGTTTTTCTTGTTTCCATTTATTTCTGCTCTGATCTTTTTTGTTTACTCTTTCTACTAACTTTGGACTTTAGTTCGTTCTTCTTTGTCTAGTTCTTTGAGGTGTAACATTAGGTTGTTCATTTGAGATCTTTTTTCTTTTTTAATATAGGCATTTATTGCCATAAGCTTCTTTCTTAGAACTGCTTTTGCTGCATTTTGTAAGTTTTGGTATATTGTATTTCCACTTCTGTTTGTCTTAAGATATTTTTAAATTTCCCTTTTAAGTTCTTCTCTGACCCATTGGTTGTTCAGGAGAATGCTGTTTAATTTCAACCTATTTGTAAATTTTCCAAAATTCCTCCTGTTAATGATTTATATAGGTTGGTCCAAAATAATTGCGGTTTTTGCCATTGAAAGGAATGGCAAAAATGCTATTATTTTTGCACCAATCCAATACTTTCCTACCAGTGTGGTTGGAATAGACAGTTGGTATGATTTCAGTCTTTTAAAAGTTGTTAAGACTTGTTTTATGGACTATCATCTGATCTGTCCTAGAGAAAATTTCATGTGCACTTGAGAAGAATGTGTATTCTACTCTCATTGAATGGAATGTTCTGTATATGTCTGTTAGGTCCATTTTCTTTAAAGTATAGTTCAAGCCCAGTGCTTTGTCATTGATTTTCTGTGTAAATGATTTATCCATTGTTGAAAGTGTAATATTGAAGTCCCCTACTATTATTGTATTTCATTCAATCTCTACTTTCACATATTTATTTATTTATTTATTTATTTATTTGAGATGGAGTGTTGCTCTGTTGCCTAGGCTGGAGTGCAGTGGCATGATCTAGGCTCACTGCAGCCTCCACCTCACAGGTTCAAGTGATCCTCTCCCATCAGCCTCTCAAGTAGCTGGGATTACAAGCATGTGCCGCCACATCCAGCTTATTTTTTGCATTTTCAGTAGAGACGAGGTTTCACCATGTTGGCCCCACTGGTCTCAAACTCCTGACCTCACATGATCCACCCACCTTGTCCTCCTAAAGTGCTGGGATTACAGGCATGAGCCACTGTGCCCAGCTCAGATTTATTAATGTTTGCTTTATATTATATTATATATATATTTTATATATTTACAGCAAACATTAGGTGCTGTAACATTAGGTACATGTGTATTTACAGTTGTTATATCCTCTTGATGAATTGATCCCTTTATCATTATATAATGCCCTTTTTGGTCTCTGTATCGTTTTTTGTTGTTGTTGTTGTTTTTGAGATGGAGTCTCCCTCTGTCACTAGGCTGGAGTGCACTGGTGTGATGTCGGCTCACTGCAATCTCCGCCTCCTGGGTTCAAGCAATTCTCCTGCCTCAGCCTCCTGAGTAGCTAGAACTACAGGCACGCACCACCATGCCCAGCTAATTTTTGTATTTTTAGTAGAGATGGGGTTTCACCATATTGGACAGGCTGGTCTCGAACTCCTGACCTTGTGATTCGACTGCCTCAGCCTCCCAAAGTGCTGGGATTACAGGTGTGAGCCACCGTGCCCAGCCAGTTTTTCACATAAAGTCCATTTTGTCTGATATAAACATAGCTGCTCCTGCTCCTTCAGGATCCCCTACCCCTTGGTGTTTAATCCTCTTAACTCTCTGAAAATGCATTTGTTTAGACATGTTAGTTTGAGTTCCCCAAGAAACAGACTCTGAGACAAGGATTTGAGTGCAAGTAGTTTATTTGGGTTGAGAGTAGGAGAGTTAAAAGTGAAACACTGAGGAAAAGGTGGCCAATAAAGAGTGAATTACTAAGCCAGCTCTCACTGTGGGCAATTGGTACTCAATTCTGTGCAGGAATAATTGGGAGCTGGTGTAGAACACTTACCTCAGAGTTATTCCATCTGAAGAGTGAGGAAATGAGTATTTATACCCTAACTTCTTTAGTCTTTGGCTAAGAGCTGCTCTTGAGGGTATATAGGTGGCAGAGTAGGTTACAGTGATAAGAAAAGCCCTTAGGCCAAATGGAGCTGCTGGTAGTTGGAAACCAAGAGTTGTGGTAAGGAGGGGGGATATATAGGTGGATATTAGCAGCATCCTCTATCCCAGGCTTCTGACTGAGCATTGTGGTTCAATGGTGAGCGCATCATGGTCTCCAGAGTAGACTGACCTGTGTCCAGCACCTGGCAGATATTCCTCAATAGCCTTTAGTTTCATCTCCCTTTAAAAGAACGAGGAAAAATCTATCACTTTTTAAATACGTATTTTAATCTTTCTTTAAAAATCATTTCAAGCACTTTAATCTTCAAGCATTTTTAAGCCAGCACACTTAGAGCTATACCTAAGAGGATCGTTCTTGAGGTGCCGCCTCCTGTTATGTGGCAAACGTAGTAATAGATGTTGGGGATAACAGAAATAAAAGACATGATTCCAGCCCAGAGAAGTTCCTGGGCTAGTGGGTGATTATTAGATGGTTTATCTAGGGATCCTTTTTCAAGTGAAAAGGGACTTGAAGTGAATCATTTAGTCAACAAAAATATGTTTGTAGGTGCTTTAGAATTTGGGTCAAACCTTTTTCAGTTTCAAACCCTAGCTCTGCCTTGTTGGCTGAGTGACATTTGATGAAACAATATTTAGTCTGTCTGAGACTGTATTAGTTCATTTTCACACAGCTATAAAGAACTACCTGAGGCTGGATAATTTATAAAGAAAGGAGGTTTAATTGACTCACAGTTCTGCATGGCTGGGGAGGCCTCAGGAATCTTACAATCATGGTGGAAGGTGAAGGAGAAGGAAGGCAAGTCTTACATGGCAGCAGGAGAGAGAGAGCGAGCGAGCGAGGAGGGACCTGCCAAACACTTTTAAACATCAGATCTCATGAGAACTCACTATCATGAGAACAGCATGGGGGAAACTGCCTCCATGATCCAATCACTTCCCAGCAGGTCCCTCCCTTGACATGTGGGGATTGCAATTTGAGATGATGTTTGGGTGGAGACACAGAGCCAAACCATATCAGAGCCTTAGTTTCCTCAATTGTAAAATGCAATTACTAATACCGACCGCATGGGATTGGGGATTAAATGTAATAACCTTAAAAGATGGACTGTATTTGAGTAGAAGAGATCACAAAGGGATGAGTGAGGAGAGAGTCAATGGACAGGTCACAAAACTATAGTAAGACAACAGAACAAAGATGCAAAAGTGGGTTTGCAGCTGGATCACGGAGGATGTTGAATGTCAAGCTAAAATAGGCCGTGGGGACTTTGCAGCAGACAGTGAGGTTTTAGTGTGTCTCAATCAGAAAGGCTGAAGAAAAAGGCCTTCAGTCTTTACACTGTCATGATATTCTTTGGTGAATGAGCTCTCCACAGGACTTAGAGCTATACCTTTAGGGAGCTTGGTTTTCTGCATCTCTGAACCACCAACTTACAAGTCCTGCATTCATGACTAGGACCATAGAGAACCCTCTTGACATGGTGGAGAATTTGCTTATATGGAAACCTAAGAAGTTGACCCTATTAGGACCAGTCTTGATGCTACCAGTACTGATTCTTAAAATATACATTATTTGCATACATTAGCCACCAGCCCATTTTTAACGTTGGGTGGGGAGGCTAAGGCTCAAGAACATGGTAGTCTCTTAATTATAGGTAGATTTTGTGAGAAGACTTCAGTCCTACAGGAGTTCAGAAATTTTCTCTTATTACCAGTGAACTTAAAGGATTGATGGTAAGACTGATGAAAGAGGACCTTCCACTTAAAAATGGGGAATGTTTGGTTTCCAATTGAGGTCTTACATATGTTTCTTTGATCTTATCATAAGCTGCTCATGTTTCCCACCTGGAGAATGTGTCAGAGGAAGAAATGAACAGACTCCTGGGAATAGTATTGGATGTGGAATATCTCTTTACCTGTGTCCACAAGGAAGAAGATGCAGATACCAAACAAGTTTATTTCTATCTATTTAAGGTGAGATTTTAACATTTTAAAAACATTTTCTCTCATTATTCAAATGTACCCAGTCTCCATATGCCAGGTCGTGGCTGTGAAGGCTTTCAGCTCCTGGTACATTTTGCCCTCAGAGTTTGCTGAACAATACGTTTCTTCATGACTGATTCTCTAAAATGGCCCACCATAGTTTGAACACATCATTCTCTTTGAGGCTTTTACACTTGTATGCAAAGTTGAGTATCTTGGTTTGCATATGCAAATAGATTTTTTCCATCCACCCAACAAATATTTATTGCACATCTGTTCTGCATGTGGCACTAACGTAGGCATGAGGGATAGAACAGTGGACAAAACAGAGTTCTTCCCCTCATGCAATATATATTTCAGCAGAAGAGACAGTCAACAAGTAAATAATACCTTTGCAGGTGGTGATAAGTGTTGGCCGAAGAGAAACAAAGTAGGATAAGTGGAATCAGAATGGCAGGGATGGTGGCGAGTTGGGGACATGCCAGCGAGGAAGGTCAGTTAGGATAGCCTCTCTGAGGAGATGGAAGTTGAGCAGAAACCTGAGTGGGAGATAGGAGCCATCTGTGCAAAGTGCTAGGGGAAGAGACTCCGAGGCAGAGGGAGGAACGGGTATTTTAGGCCGTGCACTAAGAGAGCTTGAAGTGATGTCTGTACAGCAAGGAGGGCAGCGTGGTGGAGCCCAGCGAGCAGAGGGTTGGGTGGGAGGAGATGTAGTTGGAGGAGTGGCTGTAAGTCCTATCTCTAATGCTTTAAGAGGAGAAATCAACATATTCCAAATTTATTTTGGTAACTTAGCCACTGTTACCTGTTTCTCACTGACACCAGTCACCGATTACTGCTGCCATTCCCCGTAGCTGCCTCTTCACTAGTTCTACCTCAGCTCCATGTGGGTCACATCCATTCCCTACTATAGACATACATCTCCTCAAGCTTCTGATTAGAGCCAGGACTAACGATGTGGGAAGGAAACTGGTGGTGGAAATGGATAGCAAAACTTCAGGTTGCCAAAAATAGATCTATAAAGGAGGCTGCCAGAAGGAATAACCTTAAAAAAAAATAAACCTGCTACTGAGGGCATTGTAGATTATGTTGTATTGTGTAACCCTTACAAGGATGTTGAAAGCAAAACAAAAGCACTCAGAGCTTATGGGTAGGAAAAGTTTGCCTCTTCTAATAAGAAGCACTGTGCTTCATTTTATAATAACTCTCCTTCAACTCATTTATATTTATTTGTACTTCATTTTTATATGACAAAAACAGCTAAATTTTCCAGTGAGTTCCCTCTTTTGCTTTGGCTGCTAGGAATCTTAGTGCAAATTTTGTACCCAGTTCCTATAGCTCTTTTCTTTTCTTTGTCTGAACTTATTTGATTCATAATTTTGCCTTTCCCCCTTTTTATTAACTTTTGTCTTTTATTGTACTAATGGGTTTTTTTGGGTGGTTAGGAGATAGGAGTGGGAGGTAGAATTATATTTTTAAAATTTGGTAGATATTAAATTTGGGGATATTAACTTTAAAAAGAATAATAGGAAAGAGAGAGAGAGAGAGAGAGAGAAAGAGAGTGGGGGAAGAGAGAGAATATGAACAGCTGGATTCCCCACAGCCATTAGCAGGCACTGGACCACTTTAGGCATCCAGGTGACAACTTGTTGACATGGCTGTGAGGTTTGAGTCATTCAGCTCGAACCCTGGCAGGTTCATAGTGTTTAGAGCTTCTTTGGAAAAAGATCTTAGTTGAAGAAAAACAAGGTCTGCCTGACTACAGCTATTATTTGTCTTGGAACTGTGCTCCCTGGCAGCTCCCCACTACCCTGTTGGAAGTGAAGGTGGTGTCAAGGTTTCCATCCTGTCAGCCTCTATTTAGTTTATAACCAACCAAACAAGCCAGAAAGCATTGCTCTGCTTTAAAGTACATCTTCTCTCTCTTTCTTCCCTCCTTCATCTTAAAATAACAGTGCAAATATATTTGCTTGTGGAAACACAATCCAAAATATTCAGCATTCTCCCCACCTCCTGCAAAAAGTATTATTCTTGGGCAAATAAGTTATAAATAATCTATTCCTTAGCTTCTGAAAGGCAATTCCTAAAAACAAAACAAAAATAATGATTAAAATTTTTTTTTAATTTTAACTTTTTTGAGACAGAATCTTACTCTGTCATCCAGGCTAGAGTGAAGTGGTGTGATCTCAGCTCACTGCAACCTCCACCACCTGAGTTCAAGTGATTCTCCTGCCTCAGCCTCCTGAGTAGCTGGGATTACAGGTGTGTGCCGCCATGCCCGGCTAATATTTGTATTTTTAGTAGAGATGGGGTTTCACATTGTCGGCCACGCTTGTCTTGAACTCCTAGCCTCAAGTGATCTCCCCCCTCGGCCTTCCAAAGTGCTGGGATTACAGGCATGAGCCACTGCATCTGGCCCATGATTTTTTAAAAAGAAAAAAAGAGAAAGGCAGTTCCTGTGTCTCATGTGTCAATAATTAAAGTAAAAATGTGTTACATATTTTAGTAGAATTAAAAAATTTCAGTCTTAGTCTGGGCACGGTGGCTCACAACTGTAATCCCAGAACTTTGGGAGGCTGAGGCAGGCCCATTACCTGAGGTCAGGGGTTCAAGACCAGCCTGGCAAACATGGTGAAACTCTGTCTCTATAAAAATACAAAAATTAGCCAGGTGTGGTTGTGTGTACCTGTAAATTCCAGCTACTTGAGAGGCTGAGGCAGGAGAATTGCTTGAGTCCGGGATGCAGAGGTTGCCATGAGCTGAGATCATGCCACTGCACTCCAACCTGGCCGACAGAGTGAGACAACGTCCCAAATTAAAAAAAAAAAAAAGTCAGTCTTAGATGTTGAACATAAACCCAATGGAAAGCTGCGTCCTAAAGTTGAAGTATATCTTAGTGCTTACAAATGTGGCGCTGGAGTCTAACTACCTGGGTTTAAAACTTTGCTCTATCACTTACTAAATGTGACTTTGGGCAAGTTAATCTGCCTTGTTAGTAGTAGCACCTACCTCAAAAGGTTGTAAGTATTAAATGAGATAATATATGTGAAGAACCATGAAGATTGTCTGTTGAAATTAAGGATGCAAATGCCTGCTGCTATTAAGAACTTTTTTTTATATGCACACTTATCCCAGCTTCATCATCTTATAGATAAACTGAAGTTCAACATCTCCACAATCCATCAGTTTACCTCCAAATTGAAACCCCCAAATGGGCCAAGTTCCTAAATGGTCTTATTTTAACTGGGGAAAAAAAGTAAGCAACCAGAATTATTTGTATTTAATTTTTATGACCAATCTTTAGATATTCTTAGAAACATATACAATGACTTATCTTTATTGCTAATTTGCTTTTATAAAGATGGGCATAATACTTGAAAGGATGAACAGATGCCCCATACTCATAATTTGTATGGCACCCCTGGAAGGAGTTGAGGTCCTTGTAAGACACAGTTCAGTGGTGAGACATGGTCATCTTCAATCTTGGTGGTTCATCAGGTTCCATTTACCCCTGAGAGAATGGTTTCCATGTTTTGTTTCTACTGAAAAGGCAGTAAGCGAGAAAGGAGGGAAAGATGTTACTTAAATAAATGTGTGGCCATATCTAACTGACCCACATGTAAAAGTTACAGAAGATTCAAGCAAAGATCGAAGGTAAAGAATTTCAATATCAAATTTATTTTCTGCGTTGTTCTTGGTAAGTGGCTCTGTGTTCCCTTTTCTGTTTGCTCTTTGAGAGCTTTAAATTCCAGTGGCAGGAATTAAGAGCAGTGTTTTTGTTTTGTGGGCATTGAGATGCCAGAACAGTTGGCCTGCATTCTACGGATGGAAGGGAAATGAAAAAAAGACTGTAACAGTGAAAGTTGCCCATTTAGAGCTCTGCAGACTTTCTTCCTAAAGAGCCTGTGCCCTAGATGATGCGTATGCCGTGCAGCTGCTGTAGACAGCTCCTGTCCCCTGGCCTCTTTTGTGCAGAATAGATCTTGGTCTCTCACGTCTTTAAATAAGATCCTCTAGAGCTTCAGCACACCTATAGTGGCCTGGATGGGCATGTGCCAAGTGTGTAGGGTTGCATACCAGGCCTCTGGGTCAATGGAAAGCCAGAAACAGTGGGGAGAAGAGGGAAGTGCATGGGACGGTGGTGTCTGTTGGACCAGCATGGGTGGCCTAGGCTGCCCAGAACATGAAAGGTGTCCATTTCTTCATAACTCTGGCCGTGGACATGAAGGCCAATTTGGGTTACCTGATAGTTGCCCATTTTATTGACTTAAGGATTTGTTTATATATAGTTAAGATAAATAGAATATGGTAACTTCCTTTAAAGGCTGTGTGTGTGTGTGTAAGAGAGAGAGAGAGAGACAGACAGAAACAGAAGAGAGAGGAGAGAGAGATAGACATACCAATTAAGTTTTTCTTTTTCTTTTTTTTAATGATTTCTTTGCAGCTCTTGAGAAAGTCTATTTTACAAAGAGGAAAACCTGTGGTTGAAGGCTCTTTGGAAAAGAAACCCCCATTTGAAAAACCTAGCATTGAACAGGTAAAAAGATTTTAAAAGCCCTCTTTTTATTGGCTCAAGGCTGAAGAAATCTTTTAATCCTCCTTTTATATCTCTATCTACGGCTTCCCTCCTCCATACCCAGGTTAGAGATGTTTACCAGTCTGTGGAAATTGTCCTGGAGGCTTTGGATCAGAGGTGTATACCTAATTTAATACATGATCTAGCTTTTGCCTTTTAGGGTTGTTACATACTCACAGTTTACTGTGTGTTTGGGGAAGAAAAACATTAAGTAGAACATGTAGTTTGTAAGAAGAACACATGAAATGTGCTTTTTCTTGTTGTTGGTGCTTTAAAATGAAGTCTTTGTCCATTTGCTTGGCACTGTCTGAGAAAGCCTATTGAGGTGAGGGGATTTAGTAGCAATGTGAAAAACATTGTAAGTCAAGCAAAAAAAGCAAAAAAGAAATGAGATTTTGTACCCAGAAATGGACTTCCTGCTACATTATGATTCCTGGAAAGAAGCCGTTTTACTCAGGGAATCTGTTAAAATGTAAAGAGTTTTTCTGTTAGGTGTTGTCAGTATCTCTCATTAGCATCACTTTTTTAGCCTTTGATTGTTTGGCTAAACAAAAACACTCTGGACTGAATTTTTTGATGAGAATGACTACTGAAGTCATGATACCAGAATCCTTAAAAATAAATGCATTTTTATCAGTCAGTTTTCAGTAAATTTTATTTTGCCTCCAAACTCTATTAAATAAGAATTCATTGCTCTTTTATTTGAAATTAGATGAGATGGAAATATTCTGTAGAAAGATTAAATTAACAGTTTTTTTAAAAGCCCATAATTTTGAATGATATATATATTTTGGTAAGCTTATTGACTTCAAACAAATGATAGTAAAGAGTTTAAATTTTAGTTGTTTAGTTCAGTGGTAGGCATGATAGCAGGTTTTTGATTAGCATTTTTGTAATGTAAAAACAATATTTATCTAAGAACTGCATTATATGTGGGCTACTCTGCTGATAGTAAAGCAATAATTATTCTGCACAACAGTCATATTTTCTTGTTTCAGGGGTTTTGACCTTTTCAGTCCATGGTTTTGATTTTCTCCTTAATGCTTCAGGATTTCAGCAGGCGTAGAATCACAACTCACAGCCTCTCTGTCTTGTCACTTTTCATCCACCGTGATCTGAGGCAAGATTCCCTCTGGGGATTGCTATTTTCTTTTAGGGAAAAGGAAGAGATTTTTGTGAATAGAGAAATGTCTGTTATTTTGCTAATAACCACCAATCATGCTGGCTGTGTGGGTGTTCAGAATTAGTATGATTGCATAGCTGCATGAAGAAATTGCCTTCCCTCTTTTTAAGGGTGTGAATAACTTTGTGCAGTACAAATTTAGTCACCTGCCAGCAAAAGAAAGGCAAACAATAGTTGAGTTGGCAAAAATGTTCCTAAACCGCATCAACTATTGGCATCTGGAGGCACCATCTCAACGAAGACTGCGATCTCCCAATGATGATATTTCTGGATACAAAGAGAACTACACAAGGTAATCAGATGCAAGTTCTTTTCCTTTGGCCCCATAAAGCCTGTTACAGACCTAAAATTGTACTTGACTCTATAAGTATAGGGCTGCCTAGTTATCATTATGACTCCATCAATTCAGAGATAATGTCTTTATAATTTAACTTGCAAACTCCTGCTTTTCATTGCTATCATAATATGTTGAGGTGTGAGGGATGTAAATCATCTATACCCAGTGTGATAGCCACTAGCTATATGAGCACTTGAAAATGTGGCTAGTTTGAATTGAGATTTCTATGATTGTACCAAAAAGGAGTTTAAAATTGCTCATTAATACTTTTAAAATATTGATTACATGTAGAAATGATAGTACATTGGATACATTGGATTAAATAAAATATATTGAAGTTAATTTTACCTGTTTTTACCATTCCAGTGTGGCTACTAGAAAATTTAAAATCCATATGTGGCTTGTGTTATTTATCTATTGAATATAGTTGACTAGATAGCTACACTATAACTCTGAAATTAATTAGAGCCCTCACTCAAAAAATGCAATGACCATATAATGAAGTTAAAGAATTTTTTTTAGGCTGGGCATGGTGGCTCACACCTGTAATCCTAGCACTTTGGGAGTCTAAAGTGGGTAGATCACTTGGGTCAGGAGTTCAAGACCAGCCTGGCCAATATGGTGAAACCCCATCTCTACTAAAAATACAAAAATTAACTGGGCATGGTGTCACGTGACTGTAATCCTGGCTACTTGGGAGGCTGAGGCAGGAGAATCACTTGAACCCTGGAGGCAGAGTTTGCAGTGAACTGAGATCGTGCACTCTGGGCAACAGAGCAAGACTCTGTCTCAAAAAAAAAATTTTTTTTAAAGGAAAGATTAGCTTAGTTCCAGAACTGTGATGGAACTGACATCATTATACATATTATCTTCCAGGTTTTGTCCTTTTAAATAACATTTTACATTAGTTATAATGAAAGAAAATGTAGAATTTTGTAGCCTTTATGTCTCTTCACTTAATATCATATCAAACATTTCACAGGTTACATTATAGTCCATTGAGTTGATTTACCACAATTTACCTAACCATTTCTCTATTGCTGGACATTCAAACTCTGCAGATAGTCTTGGATTGAACATATATTTTCTTCTAAAGTGGAAATTTATTTTTATTGCTTATTACTTGCAGAATAACAGAATTGGTTTTACAAATCTTAAACTTGTACCATACAAAATATAAGGACCTACATTTATTTTCATCTGAAGGACTGTGACTTGGGTCATCCATTCTTTTCAACTTTTTTATAACTTTTCTATAACTTTTCTCTGTTTATATTTCAGAGGCACATCAAGCTTGCATTAGGGAGCTTTAGTGCCTACTTTTTTCCTGATTTAAAGTGGGCAGTAGTATCTTTTGATAGCCTGTCAAGACCACTTGTGCCCAGGTTATTTTCTGTAACAGCAGATAACATGGAAGAATTGTATAATTTAAAATAAGCTTTCCTCTCTGACATTGACCTAGTTTCATGTGTAACACACCCTTTTCCTCTCTTTCTCTTCACTTTTGCAAATATATGCAATTTCAGTTATAAAGTATTTTCTCCTTAATAATTGATATTTATAGGAATTGCAGATTTCTTCAAAATAAGTTTTTAAATTATATCTTCATTTCCGTATCTTTCATTTTAGGATTTTACATTAACAATAGTTCTGTATTATTGAAACTCTGCTATATTATTGAAACTCTTGTTTATAATAAGAGTTGAGACGATAAGTCTCTCAAAAATATGTATTTTTTAATCCCGTCTGTGAACAATTGACAAAGCTGAATATTTGTCAAAGCCAGGGCCCTGAATGCATTTGCGACTTTTAGCAGAGAAAATAATCGTTTCATCAAGAAAAAGGAGAATTAATTGTGAAGCAGCTTGGGAGACATTAGTATATTTTGTTTTATTTTTATTTTTATTTTTTTTAGAGATGGTGTCTTATTCTGTATCCTGGGCTGGAGCGCAGTGGCATGATCATAGCTCACTGTAGCCTCAACCTCCTAGACTCAAGCAATTCATCTATCTCAGCCTCCTTAGTAGCTGGGACTACAGGCACATGCCACCATGCCTGGCTATTTGTTTATTTTTTATAGAGATGGGGTCTCGCTGTGTTGCCCAGGCTGGTCTCAAACTCCTGACCTCAAGCAATCCTCCCACCTTGGCCTCCCAAAGTGCTGAGATTACATGTGTGAGTCACTGTGCCCAGCTATGATATTTTAGAAAACAGAAGAAAAATGCAAGGCAGCCTTTGAGAATTACTAAGAAATTGGTGGCACTTATGAATACTTAAGAAGTAGTAAAAATGGAAATTGGTTTGGATGAGTGCTGGGTTTGAATGGTGTGGGTCCATCTCTCCCTTTTTACATGAGCTTTAGACCAGTCTCTGGTCTAAAGAGACTTTTGGTTTCTTTCTCTGTCCAAGTGTCATGACTTTTGTGAGTATTCCATGGGTGGTTTGTATGTAGTTTCTGACACACAGAGCAGGTGCTGGGAAGATGCTCATCATCATTTTCCTCCCATGCACATTGTTCTCTAAAACTCAGTCACTGCCAATGTGGAGCTTATTAAGCTAAAGCCTTAAATGTATAATTGAGTGAGTGTGTAATTATTTGAATATCGCTTTAGAAATTAAGATAGCAGGGAATAGAAAAACAGCAAAAGAGTCCTTTATAGCCCAGCCTCCTGAGCCAACAGCTGAAGGCAAAAAGTGGAGTCAGACAATGGGAAAGAGAAACTTGCTGAGAGAAACAGAAATGAATATGCCCTAATGAGTTCTGAAACGTGCTGATTTCTAGGTGAAATGTAGACCAATAGCCCCTATTAATAATAAATAAGGAAATGAAGGTAGATGACACCAACCTCCCCCACGTCCCCACCATCACGTCATGTTGATGAGGAAAGGGAAGTAGAGAGGAACAACCTGTGAAAATTAGGAGAATCAATATTCGGAGTAAAACCTCACTGCCATGACCACATGGGGAATTAAAAAAACCACATACCACCACAGCATGATGTCTCACTGATACTGATCTTCTCAAAAATGGGTAATATTACTGGCTGCAGGCACCAGCAGGCTTTATCTTGATGTTGCTGTAAGAGAACCTCAGGACCTATAACGCTGGTTCAGCTTATAACTTACAGCAGTTACTGTAAATATTAGAACAAAGATGTGCCGAAAATGTTTGCAGTATATCAGTCTGAAAATGAAGTTAAACAGGATTCTTTGTGGAAAAGACTGGACTTAGAAAATGATTGTGTTCATTACAGAGCTAACTTGTAAATATTTATTCCATAAAAATTAAAAGCAGACTGAACAGTAGTACTGCTTAAATTACTTCTCTGTTCTGAAGAAAAGAAAAATATAAGTATTCTTTTTTTGTTGTTTTTTTGTTTTTTTTTTTTTTGAGATGGAGTCTCACTCTGTTGTCCAGGCTGGAGTGCAGTGGCGCGACTCAGCTCACTGCAACCTCCACCTCCTGAGTTCAGGCGATTTTCCTGCCTTAGCCTCCCAAGTAGCTAGGATTACAAGTGCGTGCCACCATGCCTGGCTAATTTTTGTATTTTTAGTAAAGATGGGGTTTCACCATGTTGGCCAGGCTAGTCTCGAACTCCTGACCTCAGGTGATCTGCCTACCTCGTCCTCCTAAAGTGCTGGGATTAAAGGCGTGAGCCACCTTGCTCAACCTAAATATTGTTACATAAGTGTATGTTAACTGTACCTTATATATACTCCCAGGAGCAATTGTGGTTATAGAAAAAAATGTGGGCAAATATTTTGAAGTTCCTGAATTTCATGATAGTACACTATTTAATTCCATGAAGAAATAACCTAAAAAGAAAGTGTCACAGGATTATGACTTCTTAAAATACAACTGTCCAACAGTCTGCTGAAGGAAAGTGCAAGTAATTAGTCTTAGATTTTGAATTGTGTAGAACTTTTGAAAGTTAAAGCTTACCCCCACACTGGGGAGATGTTTCATAAGAATACAGAGTGGCTGTGTGCAGTAGCTGATGCCTGTAATCCCAGCAACTTTGGGAGGCTGAGGCGAGAGGATCGCTTGAGCCCAGGAGTTTGAGCCCAGCCTGGGCAACAGAATGAGACTTCATCTCTACAAAAATAAAAATAAAAAACTAGCTGGGTGTGGTGGCATGTGTCTGTGGTGGCATGAGCCTGTGGTCCCAGCGACTCTGGAGGTTGAGGTGGGAGGATTGCTTGAGCCCGGGAGGTCAAGGCTGCTTGGAGCTGTCCATGATCCTACCACTGCACTCCGGCCTGGGTGACAGAGCACGACCCTGTCTGAAAAAAAAAAAAAAAAAAGAAGAAGAAGAAGAAAAAGAATACATAGCAAGTTAGCTAGAACTAACTTGTTTTTGGGAAACAGTTTTATTTAGCCATTCTTCTATGATGTACAGCCTATTGCCATGTATACTGAGCATTCATTATTAGACATGTAAGTCTAGAACAGATTTATCAGGAAGCATGGAAAGAACACTAGGAAACAGGAGATCTGACTTCTAGTCTGGACTTTAATTAAGTAACTGGGCCTCAGTCCCTGTGAACTAGGGCAGATCAGTTTATTCCTGAAAACCACAGGATTTTCAGTTCAGCAAGTCAGTAGAATGACATGGTCTTCTGTGTTCACATTTTTAATTTCTGTTCACAGAAGTTACAAATCATCATCATGATGTGAAAAATCTGGGAGTTATTTGAACAGTAAGAAAATAGCATGCAAATACCATCTTTATTAGACATACAAAAATGAACGAACTATCATTTTGCTTCTTTTTAGTAGACCCGAAATCAGTCATGTAGGTAAAATCTTTTCTACAGTTACTTCTTTGGAGGAATACATGTGCTCATGCACGTCCGTTTCCTTCTTTCTGTCTCACTGTGTGCAATAATAATATCAATCAATTTATTAAAACAACACCAGAAGTACACACACACACACACACACACACACATTCTGTCTCTCTCACACACACACACATTGACTCAGCCTCATTGTCTTAATCTACAGTGAATTTAACAGAGTACAAAATAAGATTAATCTTGGAAGTTAAGAAAAAGCTGAAAAGTATAAATTGAGGTCTATAAAATGACTTTGAGGAAATGAATGAAAGCCCATTATTTGAACATTTTTACTAGCTAATAACAATCTATGCTGTCTTCTACCCTGGGAAGATTGAATAACCTGTTAAAGCACTTTTGGATAACTTTTTAGGATTTTATGATAATATTTATAACCTATCATCTTTGTATCAGAAATAATGTCAGTCTTAGAGCCTTAGACGTTTGCAGATCTCTCCTCAGATGGAAATGCTGTTTAGACTCTAAATCAGCACTGTCCAGTAGATATATAATATGAGCCAAAAATGCAAGCCAGATATATAATTAAAAATTTTCTAGTAGCTACGTATAAAATGAATAGATATAAGAAATTATTCTGAATTTTATGTGTATATATATATATATATGTATATATATATATATATATATATATATATATATATATTTTTTTTTTTTTTTTTTTTTTTTTTTTTTTTTTTGAGACGGAGTCTTGCTGTGTCTCCCAGGCTGGGGTGCAGTGGTGCAATCTTGGCTCACTGCAACCTCCACCTCCTGGGTTCAAGCCATTCCCGTCTCTGCCTCCCGAGTAGCTGGGATTACAGGCATGCGCCACCACAGCTGGCTCATTTTTGTATTTTTAGTAGAGACGGCGTTTCACCATGTTGGCCAGGCTGATCTCGAACTCCTGACCTTAAGTAATCTGCCCTCCTCGGCCTCCCAAAGTGCTGGGATTATAGGCATGAGCCACCAGACCTGGCCAATAATATATATATTTTTTACCCAATATATAAAAAATGCCATTTCAGCTGGGAGCGGTGGCCCACGCCAGTAATCCTAGCACTTTGGGAGGCCAAGGCGGATGGATCACTTGACGTCAGGAGTTCAAGACCAGCCTGGCCAACATGGTGAAACCCTGTCTCTATTAAAAATACAAAAATTAGCCAGGCATGGTGGCGGGCACCTGTAATCCCAGCTACTTGGGAGGCTGGGGCAGGAGAGTTGCTTGAATGGGGAGGTGGAAGTTGCAGTGAGTCGAGATCATGCCATTGCCCTCCAGCCTGGGGCACAGAGCAATACTATGTCTCAAAAAAAAAAAAAAAACCACAAAAACAAAAAACCCACAAAAATATAATTTCACCATGTAACCATTGTGAAAAATTATTAAGGATGTATACTTACTTTCTTAGTACTGAGTCCTTCAAACCTCCAAATCCAGTGTTTATTTTGCTTTTTCCTTTTTTTTTTTTTTTTTTTTGAGTTGGAGTCTTGCTGTGTTTCCCAGGCTGGAGTGCAGTGGTATGATCTGAGCTCACTGCAACCTTCGCCTCCCAGGTTCAAACGATTCTCCTGCCTCAGGCTGCCAAGTAGCTGGGACTACAGGCGCCTGCCACCATGCCTGGCTAATGTTTATATTTTTTAGTAGAGATGGGGTTTCATCATGTTCCCCAGGCTGGTCTTGAATTCTTGACCTCCGGTAATCCACCTGCCTCAACTTCCCAAAGTCCTGGGATTACAGGTGTGAGCCACTGCACCCGGCCAAATCCAGTGTGTATTTTTCACACATCTTAATTCAGTAGCTAAATTTTAAACAATTAAAACTAAATGGAGTCCTACTAGAACAATCAAGTTGTGTTTAATGGGAAAACATTTTACACTGTTTCCATTTAAAAGTAAAATTGAAATTGATTAAATAAAATTAAAAGTTAAACTCAGTCATACTAGCCACATTTCAAGTGCTCAATAGTTACCAATGGCTGGTGGCTACTGTATTGGATAGCAGAGACATAGAATCATCCCCATCATCAGTGAAAGCTTTATTGGACAATAAATCTTTAAACCTTTCATTGCAGAAGATTGGACATATTTTGTTATTTTTAAAATTTAGGATCTGCATAACAACATTTTAGTCAGCAATGGACCACATATAATGACAGTAGTCCTTTAAGATTATGCCAAAATTTTGCTGTACCTTTCCATGTTTAGGTATATTTAGATATACAAATACTTACCATTATGTTACAGTCGTTTGTAGTATTCAGTACAGTAATATGCTGTAGAGGTTTGCAGCCTAAGAGCAATAGACTAGACCATAGAGCAGGGGTCCCCCACCCCTGGGCCATGGTCCACCATAGGTCCGTGGCTCATTAGGAACCGGGCTGCACAGCAGGAAGTGAGTGGTGGGCGAGTGAGCATTACAGCCTGAGCTCCACCTCCTGTCAGATCAGTGGTGGCATTAGATTCTCATAGGAGCCTGAACTCTATTGTGAACTGTGCATGTGAGGGATCTAAGCTGTACATTCTTTCTGAGAGTCTAATGCTTGATGATCTGAGGTGGAACAGTTTCATCTGGAAACCATCCCTTCTACCCCCAGCCATGGAAAAATTGTCTCTCATGAAAGCAATCCCTGGTGCCAAAAAAGTTGGGGACCTCTGCCATAGAGCCTAGGTGCCAAGTGTGTAGTAGGTTCTACCATCTAGGTTTGTGTAGGTACACTCTCCAGTGTTTGCACAATGATAAAATCACCTGACTCATTTCTCAGAATGTATTCCCGTTGTTAAGCAAGACATGAAAGACATGACCATATTAATTCTTACAGATAGTCTTGTGATTGCCTAAGTCTCACGAAATTGAACTTCTGATTATGAAGATCTGTGACTGTTTAACTCTATGGTTTCATTACTAGTTATTTGATCTGACTTCCCCTCAGCCCCAGATAGATAGATAGATAGATAGATAGATAGATAGATAGATAGCATGTCAGTGTCTCATTCTGTCACTCTGTCACCCAGGCTGCATTGCAGTGGCACAATCATAGCTCACAGCAGCCTAGAACTCCTAGGTTCAAGTGATCCTACCTCCTCAGCCTCCCAAGTAGCTAGGAATATAGGTATGTGCCAATACATCTGGCTGATTTTTAAACTTTTTGTAGAGATGGGCGTCTTACTATGTTGCCCAGGCTGGTCTTGAACTCCTGGGCTCAAGCGATCTTCCTGCTTGGGCCTTCCAAAGCACTGGGATGACTGGTGTAAGCCACCATGCCATGCCTAGCCAGCCCATTCTTTTAACTTAATTAAGTGGCCACAGACTAACATCTAGCAAACAATTGGCTTTGAAAGCAATGAATTTCTATATGAAGCACCTTATGAATTACAAAATAAATGCACTTTATAATTTTTTTCTGCTACCAAGATCACTGTTTCAGACAAAAGACAACATTAACACTTAAGATACCCATTTCAGTATTGTAAACATAAACAACATTTGGGTGTAAATTATTAAAGGAAAAAAGTTGAGAGAAGACATAGAAATAGTAGCAGAAATTTTAGGTTAATTTTTAATGTAGGCAGATGAACTAACACTAATGAAAGCTTTTTCTCCAAAGGTGAACCACTGCCACAGCCACCACCATTTCCACCACTAGCACACATACAGGCAAAATATTTTATAATGCAGAATAAGATTTAAAAAAAAAAGTCAGGAGCATGAATAAATTAATATTATTCCTCTCTTCATTAAAGGGCTCAAAGTTCATTGGGAGCTTTTTGTAGCAGCTTGGGCGCATTAGAAAGCTGTCTCCCATTTGAAAGGAGAACAGGAAAGCACATAGGGAGGAGAGGTTTGATTTTTGGAAGGCAGTCCTTTCCTAGAAGAGGATGATTTGGGTCTGCTCTGAAGGAATAAGAATCTGTGGAATAATGCTTTTTGACCTTTTCCTCGTTTGGTGCCACCCTCCATGGCTACCACTGTTATATTTATGTTTTTGGGTCCTGGGAAATTCACATCTTCACTTCTGGGAGATAAAAAAAAAATAGGGTTGTCTCAGTTTGGTAGCTCATGCCTGTAATCACAGCACTTTGGGAAGCCGAGGTGGGTGGATCTCTTTAGTCCAGGAGTTCGAGACAATCCTGGGCAACATAGTGAAACCCCGTCTTTACAAAAAATAAGAAAAAATTAGCCACATGTGGTGGTGCATGCCTGTGGTCCCAGTTGTTTGGCAGGCTGAGGTAGGAGGGTCACTTGAGCCCAGGAGGTAGAGGTTGCAGTGAGCCGAGATTGTACCACTGCACTCCAGCCTTGGTGACACAGTGAGACCCTGTCTCAAAAAAAAAAAAAAAAAAAGAAAGAAAAAGAAAGAAAAAGAGGTTTATTTTTGAATAGACTTTTACTCTCCACTGTATGTTGGCCGAATGCACTTTCTAAATTAGATGACCTGTATTGTCAGTGTACCCTAGAACTGTGGTCACATCTCAAGAAAAGTCCTGGCTTCCCTCTGGTCTGGGTCCTCCTCCAGCGTCGTGCAGTGATGCTGAGGTGCATTTTTGACTTTGAGTCTGAGTCGTTGAAAAATGTACCTAGGCGACAAATGGTAGAAGCTTAATACTTCCTACATTTTTGACTGAGTTTTAAACAGTCCTGAAGATCATTATCTTCCCACCAAACCTCCGATAAGTGCTGTGTAGGCATTTTAAATAAATCTTACATTTTACTCAAAGGACTAGGTGGTTAATTCTGATTCTTTCACAAAAGGGTCTTCCTCAGCTTCTCCTTTAATTTTTTCTTTTATCTAAACTACCATTAATGTGCCAGTAACTCCAGTTATACTATGCATTTTATATACAGTATTTCATTTAATGCTCACAAGAACCCAATGAAGTAGGTATTATTGTTGTCCCCATTTTACAGGTAAGGAAGGAAAGGCTAAATAGCGTAATCAAATTTTCAAAGTTATGCAGCTAGTTAAGTGACACAGCTGGAATTTGATCCCAGGGGCTGTTTCATTCCAGGACTCACTGTATGATGCTGCAGAATAAGGTGATTTTAACAGAATTAGACACAAGTGGTGATGTAAGGGTAATCTAATTGCATTCCCAAGTTTCACTAGCTGGCAGGGATATTGTTGCTTGTTATTGCAGGCCTAGTTTTTTTCTGCTATAGTTAATAGTACGAGATAAACATAATTGAATATTTCTGATGACCTGGGGGTTTATGGGATATTGATGGTGCTTGACTTCTCTTGTCACAGGTGGCTGTGTTACTGCAACGTGCCACAGTTCTGCGACAGTCTACCTCGGTACGAAACCACACAGGTGTTTGGGAGAACATTGCTTCGCTCGGTCTTCACTGTTATGAGGCGACAACTCCTGGAACAAGCAAGACAGGAAAAAGATAAACTGCCTCTTGAAAAACGAACTCTAATCCTCACTCATTTCCCAAAGTAAGGGAGAGTTTTTGCTGGTCTTTGTTTGATCCCAGAGCTTGAGGTTGCTAAATACAATGCCAAAGCCTGCATAAATAACAAGATCGGAAATGACAGAAGAAACATTCCAAGGGGATGGGAGAAAAGACCCTCAGTTCCCTTTGTGAATCTTCTTGGGTATTTTCCAGTCCATTTATTAGCCTGACTTTGGGTTGACTGCCGTCATTGCTCCCTTATCCCCTCCTCGTCCTACCTGAGTCATTGTCTCTGACTCACATAGAATGGGGCAGTGCTTTCTTTTGTATATTCAGCGGCCAGGAAGCTCTAGGACGATGAGGGAGAATGTTTAGGTACATTTTCCAGCCACTCAGAAATGGTGCAAAAGAGCTCAAGTGGCTTTTTTTTTTTTTTCCGTTCAATTTCTCCAACTTTTTCCAAGCACTGGTGAACCATCCCTGCCTCAGCTATAGTAGACTTGCCCCCACTCTTTGGAAACTAGACTGCAAAAGCAGGGATGAAGAGGAATAGAGAGCTCCTTCAGCGTGATGAACCTCTATACTAAATTTCTTGTAGAATAGGCATACTTTGGTGCTCCTTGCTTCTTGCACCTGTCAGAGCTCCAAGGCATAAATGATCATTTAAATATTTTAAATGGAAGGAAATGCTGCAAAGCAATAGAAAGTTGCAGTGCTGCACCATTGGCCTTGGAAATGCATTTTTAATGCTAAAAACCAAAAATTTAAGCTAAGCGGTTGGATGCTGGTGGGATAGGCCAAGGGTGCAGTTGATGACTTCTCATGGAGCAGTAACAGCGAGAAATGAATGAGACAGTTCATTCTGTGATTATCATTCCGCCTAGATCAGCGCTTGGTCAGGAAGGTAAAAGGCGTAATTTGAAAAGGCTGGCTAGGTATGATATAGCCTTCCTTCCCCATGCCATTCTGAACTGCTGATGTAGAGAATAGAATTTGAGAGGAAATATTCTTTGATCAAAGATTGATGAAACACTGTTTTGTTTGAGAAACTAGATTTTTATTATTCAGATAGTGTTATTAGATTATGGAATTTTTGTCTCAGTGAAGATAGAGTTTTAATTCATAACAATAAGTTAGGTTCAAAACAACAAAAATAAAATGGTTTTCTGACAGAAATTGACTGAAGATTCCTTGGCAGTTTAACCCAAATCCTAAACCTTAGATAGATGTCATGGGTAATTCTGATGGGCTTTGGCCAAACACCCAATATTTGCACATATATTTCAACAACCTGATTGTCAAATTTTTCTTTAGAGAACCAGTACATGAGACTAAGTCATGACATGAACATTTTGTTGTCCTCTGTGGAGGGAGATTCTGAAGCACTTAAACTGCAGTTTGGATGTTGCTCCCAAAATGGGTTATGAAATTAGGGCACACTCATGTATTTCAGTGTCTTTTAACTGATGTAAGCTCCTTTCCTTAGAGATTGAAGCAGTTTTCTTACTTATGTATCTATTACATTTGCCATATAAGCAGCATTTTATGTTTTCAGGTAATAGTTGTCATTCTGTCTCTGAGTCAAGGTACAAAGAAGACTCCTCCCTTCCCAACACCTGTTATGGTATTTAAAGAGAAATTTTAGTTACTTTGCATAATAAATTTTTTTCCCATAACAAATTCATTTTGCTTCTTGCAGGTATTTGCTAATTATAGTGTGTTTTGTTCCCTCAGCCCATAGTTCTGGCATGCTTATGCTAGGAGCTAAAACATCAATGCTGCCTTCTTTTCTTCTCTATTACTAATGGTGGGGTAAAACTACCACCCACTTCTCCTTTTAAATCCTTTTCACCGAATATGACAACATTTAAGGCTATTGGGGATTTATACCTACAGTTTTGGCAGCAGAACCACACATGTTGAAGCCTGAGGTATTATTTGAGTCTTGGGCACTGTTTCAGAGTGAGAGCTGGGACCGGCTTCCCAGCACCCAGGGAGGTCTCTGCAATTCTCAGATGTGTTTTCAGGGCTTACATTCTTATCTTCCTATTCTTCATATGTGCTGCCTTTTTTTCCACTTGGCTTTAATGTGTGCCTCTTTCCCCATTCACCTATTTACAAAGTGTTTTTGTTTTTGTTTTTAAGTTGTGTATCTATATTTCATTCTAAAAGTGAAGAAAATTTGGTTCAGGGAAAAAATGAAGAAGACCACTGATAGCTTCACCACTCTGAACTATTTTTAGTGCTTTTAGTTATTTCTGTTTTTCTCCCATTTATTGGTGAAAAAAATTCAGTAAGCCTCAGAGGGACTTAGGTATCTGTATTTCTTTTCTCTTTTTTTCTCTTTTAATTTTTTATTCTTTTTAAATCACCTGCCCTATTCTGATAAGCATCTGTATTTCTAATAAGGTTTCCAGATGATTTCTATGGGTTGCCAAAACTTGAGATCCATTTAGTTTAAAGTTAGCATAGTAATTAATCACTGGTTCCAATCCTGATCCTGCCATTTACTAGTTGTGGGAATTTGATCTAAATATTTCACTTCTCTGTGCCCTAGTTTCTTCATCTGTGAAATGGGTATGAATTTTATCTCATAGGGTCGTTATAAAGATCAAGTGAGTTAATATACATCAACCACTTACAACACTGCCTATCATGTAGTAAGAGCTATATATGTGCGTGACAAATAAAAATAGAATATATAACTCATAGGGTTGATGTGAGGATTCAGTAAGAAGTTCTTAGAGCAGTGCAGGCACAAAGCAAGCACTCGATAAATATTAGTAACTTTTATGATGGTAATGACAGTGACAGTGCAGCTATATGGAGGGCTGAAATCGTGCTCTGAGATTCACTGAGGAAGATTAATGCATTTCTACTGATGTAATTCATATGTCTGTATCCTGTGCTGTGTTAAGCTATGCAGGGTCAAAAGAGTAAACATTTGTATAAATGCATTTCTGTATTTGAATATACCAGGGCTGCCCAACTAAATCATAATTTGAGTTGTAATTCTCCATTATATTTCTGATTGAAGGTTTGAGACGCTGATGTTAAGGTGATTGTCACAGATAATTAGGGCTGTTATCCTTACAGTAGTTTTTTTTTAATCTTATTGCTATTACTCTTGTGTCTAGATTTCTGTCCATGCTAGAAGAAGAAGTATATAGTCAAAACTCTCCCATCTGGGATCAGGATTTTCTCTCAGCCTCTTCCAGAACCAGCCAGCTAGGCATCCAAACAGGTAAGTTTCCTTTTACATGAATCAGAGAACAACCAGGGAGGCCAACCTGAAGTGTAAGTTGCAGTTCACTGCAACTTATACTTAGCTCTATAGTCAAATGAGCTTAGCTCTATAGTCAAATGCTGGCTATTTTCAAACCCAATTATAGTCTCAGTCGATGGCTAGATACACCTAGGAATCAAGTCTCAGTCTGACCTCTTAATCTATGATGTCTGTTTTATACATCAAGTTACCACCAGGTATAATGGTGGATAGTGAGTGAAAGCGGCAGTCTTGAGTCTCAGGATGTGAACTACTTCCCTGTGGGGCAGGGCATCCTTGCTATTGCTTAAATCAGCCAGTGGCATCAGTTGGCATTTTGTGAGGAAGGAAGACAGATGCCTTCTGGAGTCGCAGTGATCCCAGAAAGAGGATCTGAATTCCTGCCTTTGACACTAGGAAGACTCCATGGAGAGGTTTGGCAAGAAATGCCAAAGCAGTTTATATCTGGCCATGGGGAAAGACAGGATGCAAAATTTTGACGTCAAGAGTTTTTTGTAGTGCTCTAGGTCAATGTGTATTATGGGGGCTTGTGAGTATTGCCTCTAATGCCTCCAGCAAAGAAAAAATGATTTATTCTTGCTTTAAAAACAAAATTGAAGTATAATTTATATATAGTAAAATGTACTCTTTTTACTGTACTGTGTTTTGACAAACACATATACTTGAGTAATGACCACTGCCATCAAAATATAGAACAGTGGCCTCCTTCCAGACAGATTGCCTTGTACTTCTCTATAGTGCATTCATAGTCCTACCTCCAGCTCTGGGAACCAGTGATCTGTGTTTTTGTTCTTACAGTTTTGCCTTTTCCAGAATGTCATAGGAGTGGAATCATATAGTAGATAGCTTTTTGAGACTGATAACTTTAATTCAGCATAATGCATTTGAGAGGTGATTTTTGAAAAAGGTTTTCATCTGAACCTCAAGTTTAGGTGTAAATATAACTAAATCCCTACAAACCAAAGTACTAGTGAATGAGGAATTTTATTTGAATCATACTCTTTTTGTTTGAGCTCATTACCAAAAACATGTCAAAAACATCTTTGTGTCCTTTTTTTTTTTCTAACCTGAGATCGTAATTTCATGTATCTCTGGTCCAAAACCTGTAGTGCTTTGGGGCCTGTCTGTGCCTATTACATGTTTCTTCTACAGTTGAGCAGTTAGCATTTAGTGGACATGTTTTCTGTGGTTACTGGACATATCCTTTGCATTGCTCCCTCTGTACCTGTGCTATTCACTTTACCTTGGATTTGATCTCACCTAACTTTCAAATGGCATTTCTTCTGCAAACTCTTCCCTAAGTTCTCCCATCCCCTCTAGCAAGGACTGGATCTCTTTTCTTCCAGACTTTCATAGAGCCTTGAATATATCCTATCCATGGTTCTCAAACATGGCAGCACAATGGAATCACCCATGGAATTTGAAATGCACTGTATACTGTTTTCTGAGTGCCATTCCAAGAGAGTGTGAGATTATTGTCCTGGGGTGTGGCCTGGACATTGGGACTTTTAAAAAGCTCCCCAGGTAATTTTAATATGCAGCAACATTTGAGAATGACTGTGTTAGACAATTCTCACCTCATATTATCCTAGCCCCTTTTTTTCTGTATGTCTTTTCATCTCCTGTGAATGCAGCTTTTTGATGGTCAGAGACCCAGTTTTGTCACAATAATTGATACATTTATTAAGTGCTCAGCTAAGATGCTTCCTTGGTATCTAAGCCTTTTCACAAACCCTGGGAAGTTGGAATTATGATCTCCTTTACATAGTTGAGGAAATAGAAGCTCAGGGAGGAGCAACAAATTGCCCAAGATAGACCTTGTAAGTGATGGAATTGGGTTTCACATCCGTATCTAATTCCTAAATATTACACTGTATTAAGAGAGCCAGAACTCTAACCACTACATCACACCATCTTGGTGTGTGCTGCCAATATACAGCATACACTTGTGGAAGGAATGAGTGAAGAACAGTTTCCTCCCTCAGGCAGTGGGGGACCAAAGTTATTCAGCAGGATCAACATAGTTCTCCTGTGGTGGGTCTGTGGAGAGGATTTCTGTGTGTGAAAACTCCCCTTGACCCTTGTTTGCTCAAAATTCTCCAGTCTGCTCAACTTCCAGCCACATTGTTATCTGTCATAGTACAGGATGGAGAAGGAAGAGGTTGTTGCCTGTGACCCTATGGGAATTTTATTCGTTTTTCTGTGGCTAAGGTTGTCACCAAGTTAAGTTGGCGTGTACACTTTAGTATTACCTGAAGCCATCAGAAGTGGGCTGTCTTCTCTTGTTCTACTGTAATTGCAATGTGTTCTCTTGGGGGAACAGAAGAGTGTAATCATCTACTTAATTAGCATGTCTGCGTATCGATGCAACTGTGATAAATGACATTCATAAGGATGAACCTGAAATTTTACAAGATACTCAGATGTCTTCTGAATCACCAGAGCTTTCTCTTTGTTCAGAATCACTCCAGTATGCTTTGAAATTCAGAAGGCCTATATATTGGGAGAAAAAAACATAGAGCCTGGCACTTTAGTATATTCTGATTTTTGACAAACCACTGGCTATTCAGTTAGAAGTGCTATGGGTTGGTATCTCTCTTGCTTGGTTTACTTATTTTATTGCCTTCTTGGCTGCTGGGAATGTCCTTGTTGACTGAACTGTGGCTGTGTTGAAACGTAGATGAACGTTCTCTCTGACAATTGTCTGTACTGCCATGCTGTGTCCTGTATGTGACCAGTGTTATTGAGAATGTCTGTACCCCTTGTCACCTCTCACCTCATCAGCTACCAGTCAGCAACACAGCTAGCAAAGCAGCATCCTACTTTGTACAATGGCCTTTTCTAAAATACAAAATAGTCCCTTTTTGTTTGGAAATACTGTCAAACTCACAGAGTTACAAGAAGAGGACAAAGAAATCCTGTATATTTTCAGTAGAGTTACAAGAAGGTGACAGAGAAATCCTGTGTATTTTATATGCTTTACCTGGTTATAAACCAATTGTTAACATTTTGCCATCCTTGCTTTATTATTACCCTTTCTCTATCCCTTCTTTTTCTCTTTAATTCTCTCCACTCTTCCCCTAAGTTATTTACATGTATATATAAAAAAAAATTTAGGAGAAAAAAATTAAATATATATAAAATATATTATATAGTTTAAATTTATATATAATATACTATATATTTACATATGTAAATATGTAAATATATTTACATTTTTACAAAAATATGTAAATATATTATTTATATATAAATAAATAATTATTTATATATAGGTATATATATTTTCTCCTAAATTTGTGTGTGTGTGTGTGTGTGTGTGTGTGTGTATGTGTGTGTATATGTATATATAAAACTTAGGGGAAGAGTAGAGAGAGAGAAAAAAAGAGAAAGAGAGCTATATAGGCCAGGCGTGGTGGCTGACACCTGTAATCCCAGCACTATGGGAGGCTTAGGTGGGCGGATCACCTGAGGTCAGGAGTTTGAGTTTGAGACCAGCCTGCTCAACATGGCAAAACCTCATCTCTACTAAAAATACAAAAAGTAGCTGGGAGTTGTGGCAGGCACCTGTAATCTCAGCTACTCGGGAGGCTGAGGCAGGAGAATAGCTTGAACCGGGGAGGCAGAGGAGGTTGCAGTGAGCCAAGATTGCACCACTGCACTCCAGCCTGGGCGACAAAAGCGAAACTTTGTCTCAAAAAAAAAAAAAAAAAAAAAGAGAGAGAGCGAACTATATATATAATATATATATTTATACGTTATATATAAATACAAATATATATTATATATATTTTTTCTCCTAAATTAGTTGAAAGTTACAAACATCATGCCCCTTTAGTAATTTTGATGTCTCTCATGTATTCTCTAACATAAAAACTATAGTTTTCTGTCAGCAAATGTAACATTGATATAGTATAGTTACCTAAGCTATATGCTGTCTTCTGTTTTTGCCTCTTGTCTCAATAATGTGGTTTATTGCAATTTTTCCATTGCATCAGGAGGCATATGATGTTGGCTTGTCCCATCATTGTTGGTATTAAGTTTGATCACATGGTTCTGGTGGTGGTCACCAGCTTTCTCCACTGCAGTATTACCACCTTTCCTTTTTAATCAAAAAAATACTTTTGTGGGGAGATATTTTGAGACTGTATAAATATCTTGTCTTCATCAAAATTATACTCACAGGTTTTAGCCTACACACATGAACTTCCCCAAATCAGTTATCATATGGTGGCTGCCAAATAGTGATTTTTTTTTTTTTTTTTTACTAACTACCATAACTCCGTCCTTATTTCTTTGTTGGTGTTCTTGAGCTTTTCTCATCTCCACTAATTTATTTATGTATTCATTTATTATTTTATCAATATAGACTCAGATATCCTTATTCTATTTAATGAGTTATAGTCCCTGCTGTCTTTACTATTTTGATGCCTTGTGGCTTATGTTTTAAAGATGACTTATTTTGTGGCATTGGGCAGGAGTGGGGTGGTCCCATGTGCACTTCGTTTCTTGTTACCTAAGAAAGGAGTCAGTCATCTAACACCTTCTTCTCCTTTTGCCGGGGCAGTTATCAATCCACCTCCTGTGGCTGGGACAATTTCATACAATTCAACCTCATCTTCCCTTGAGCAGCCAAACGCAGGGAGCAGCAGTCCTGCCTGCAAAGCCTCTTCTGGACTTGAGGCAAACCCAGGTAAGCTCTTAAGAGGGGATAAGAGAGGGCTGTGACTTGCTCCAGGAGCTCCATTACCTGAGGAGTGCAAAAGGTAGACTTGAACCAAGTACAGATTGTGCATGTCCAGGATTTTAACAGCTAGAAATAACTTTGTATTAGGCTTTTGGCTGTACTGGTTAGTTATTGCTATCTTAAAACTGTAATAACTTATTGTCATAGCTCACTCATTTGGTGTGTTGCCTGAGAGTTGGCTGATTTCAGCTAGTCTCACTCAATCTTGGCTGGGCTTGGTTGCAAGTTACCCATTGATTATAATCTCTGTTTTGGGCTTGGCTTGGCTAGAGCACTTAAGCTGAAGCAACTCTGCTTCACATATTTCTCATAATTTTCCTGGGACTATTGGGCTACCCGGAACATGTCCTTCTTGTGATGAGAGAGGGCAGGAAGAAATACACAGTCTCTTGAAGCCTAGGCTTGGAACTTGTAAACCATCACTTCTGCCACATTCTTTTTTTTTTTCCTTTTCTTTTCTTTTTATTTGAGACAGAGTCTCACACTGTCACCCTGGCTGGAGTGCAGTGGTGTGATCTCAGCTCACTGCAACCTCTGCCTCCTGGGTTTAAGTGACTCTCCTGCCTCAGTCTCCTGAGTAGCTGGGATTACAGGTGCCCACCATCATGCCCTGCTAATTTTTGTATTTTTGGTGGAGATGGGTTTTTGCCATATTGGTCAGGCTGGTCTCAAACTCCTGACCTCAGGTAATCTACCTGTCTCGGCCTCCCAAAGTGCTGGGATTATAGGTGTGAGCCACCATACCCTGCTGACTTCTGCCTCATTCTGTCGTCCAAAGCAAGTCACGTAGTTGAACTCAGAGTTGAGAGGTGGAGAAGTGGAAAAAGGTAGTCTATTCCTTTCGTAGGAATAACTGCAAAGTCACATAGCAAAGAGTGTAGATACCAGGAGGGTAAAGAATTTGGCCATTAATGTAATCTACCACATGGGCAAAAATATCTCTTGAGCCTAGAAGCATTTCACAGTTAGAGAATGTTTTGAAGGTTGCATTTCTGTCCACAGACTTGACGTCAGACAAATCTTGGATGTGACCAAATTTTTAAATAAAAGAAGTACCATGAAAGAGGGAAAGAAGAGGACCTTATAATATAAGAAGTGCCATATATTTAGCATATGCCACCATTCCCTTTCACTTCCAAGGGAGATATCACTAATTCATGCAGAAACTCTTTACCAGTGAGCTTGGATTCAGCCTCAGACTTTTTAAAAAAAATCATAAACACCATTAGCAGTCTAACAAGCAGAGGGCATATCAAGTACAAACCCCAGCTACGAAATAAATAGTTTTCAGCATTACTCTTAGGGAATCATGGAATTTGAGGACTTATTGGTCAGATGTCTGAAAATATTGTTACTTGTCTCCAAAAACAAACAACAAAAAATTGTAAAAAAAAGAACTCGACAAAAGTGATTTAGTAAATAATATGTAATACTTCTGGAAGAATCGTCTACAGTCAAGTTACTTTATACTGTTCTGCTCCTTTTCAACTAGAGATAGTGAGAATGCTATGTGGAGAATGTTATATTGAGATAGCAGTGGGATTCACATGTGAGGAAATAAATTAGATCTAGACATCTTAAAAATTCAAAAAATTTACTTGTAAAAATAAATACATGTTATGTCTGGAAAAAACTGGAAAAACCAAACATGAGAATAGAAAGGAGAAAAAAACTACCATGCAATCTCATGAGGAAAGCGGAAGAAAGTTCTCTCTGCCTTTGCATGGCTCTCCTATTGTGTGGAATGGTGAGATTGCATCTACTTGATAGGCTAGTGGTCCTGCTCACTTTGTGAGGCATCATTTTAGGGCAAAAAAGCATTGTAAAAGATAAAGTGTGTCATTTTATAATAGAAAATTAAATCCATAAATTTGTTTATTAAAAATAATTTATGGTATATTTCAAATATATAGCTATATATACATAATATATATGCATACATACACATATGCATATGTGTGTGTGTGTGTGTGTGTGTGTGTGTGTGTGTGTGTGTGTGTGTGTGTATAGCCAAGCCCAGCACAGAGATTCCAATCAGTGGGTAGACTCATGAACAAGCCTGCCAAGATTGAATGAGATGAGCTGAAATCAGCCACCCATCAGGAAACATACGAAATGAATGAGCTATGATAGTAAGTTATTATGGTTTAAGACTCATTTGGGGTTGGTTTATTACATAGCAATAACTAACCAATAAAGCCCAAAGCCTAATGCAAACTGATTTCCGTACATATATGGTGGGGTGCCGGTGGGGGCGGGGTGGAATTAACATGACTACAAGGAGAAATAATCAAATCAACCAACGGTTGAGGCTTTAAACAAACAACTGAGTAATTCATAGGTCAAACAGACAAAAATATCAGTAAGGCTCTTACTGATATCCATACAACATGATCTGTAAGCTGAAGCTAATGGAGTTATAGAGATCAAAATATGAAAATACACATTCTTTCCAAGAAGACACTGCACATTTACAAAAGATTGGTCTTATTTTAGGTCATAAGGTAAAAATTTCAATCCATTTTGACGTTTTGGTGTCATATGGACCATGTTCTCTGACCTTGAAGAGACTATATTAGAGAGTACTAACAAACAATAGCTAGAATCACCCCTTTGCATTTGCAGATGAAGGAACATGTGCCTTAATATTTCATGTATCTAGTTAAAAATCATCATAGAAAGTAGAAAATATTCACAATGAATTGGGTTGGCAGTTATTGTGAGCTCACAATGGCTCTCTTTCCTGTCTTCCTTTGTCACCCCTTCCCCTGGTGGTAAAGATAGAGTTGACCTCCATGCCCATCAATGCTGTTAGAAAATTAGTTGGCGTGTATTATTTGTTTTGTGTTTAGAACCACCCATTGTTTGCCTTTTATTTTGATCATCATAGGAGAAAAGAGGAAAATGACTGATTCTCATGTTCTGGAGGAGGCCAAGAAACCCCGAGTTATGGGGGATATTCCGATGGAATTAATCAACGAGGTTATGTCTACCATCACGGACCCTGCAGCAATGCTTGGACCAGAGGTCAGCAGGGTAAACCTGGGCAGCCAGCTGGTAGACCTCTTCTGCTCTCCTGGCCACTCCAGCTGTCAGAAGTGGGGATGCTAATGCTGAGAGTTAACATGTTATGCTACCCTGGTTTGCATTTAACCTGGTGGTCAGTGTGGAGAGGGCAGGAACAACTGATCAAGAGGTAATTCCCCTTGATGAATATCACATCACAGGTCCACTTACTAATAATCTCACAGTTGAAGGCATCATTCCCAGCTTTTTATCTTGAAAAATTTCAAGCCCTCATAAATGTTGCAGAAATTCTGTAATAAAAATCCATAGACTCTTTACTGAGATTCAGCAGTTAACATTATGCCACATTTGCTACCTCTCTTTCTCTCTGCGCCTCCCCATATGCTCTTTTTCTTTCTCTCCCCACTCCCCATGAACCATTTGGAACCATTTCAGAATTAAAAACACATGTCATAATACTTCACCCCTAACTATTTTTGCATGTACTGTATCTCATAAGGAAGCTATTCTCTTACATAACCACAATGCAGTCATTACTCTTAGAAAATTTAGCCTGGTTACAATATTTTCTAATACAGGGTTGGTGAATTACAGCCTGCAAGCCAAATCTGCTCCACTGGCTGTTTTTTTCAAATAAAGTTTTATTGAAACATATTGTTTGCAGCTGTCTTTGCATTACAACAGTAAATTTGAATAATTGAGACAGGGAATGTGTGGCTTGCAAAGTATGAAATATTTATTATCTGGCTTTTCACTGAAAAGTTTGCTGACCTCTGGCCTAATATAAAACCGTATTTAAATTTCCCATATAGCCAGATGATGTCAGTTATAACCTTTGTTGTTGTTGAAGGATCAGTTAGGGATTGTGCATTGCATTTAATTCTTATCTCTTCATTTGTTTAGTCTCCTTTAAAACAACTCCCCAGCCTTGTTTTGGTCTTTTGCAGCACTGCCATTGGTGAAGAGTCTTGGTCGCTAGTTTTGTATAAGGTCCCTCTTTTTGGATTTGTTGATTGTTTACTAAGGATTAGATTCAAGTAAGGCATTTTTGGTAAAAATGCTGCTGTCATCTCATTGCCTTGCATCTGAGGGCATGCAAGGCAATGACATTTCTTAAGACATACCTGTCTTAAGACATTTCTGACAGCTTCCAGGAAATGAAGAAATGGCTTGGAGATTATATTACAGTGTTAATTTTCAATTTGTCATGTTTCTTTAAATATTTATTTTATGACATTGAGGATACTTCAGAGAACCAGAATGTTGTAATAGAAAAATCTCTTCCTAAAATTGATCTTTCCATTTCCTCCTAGATGTCCAGTCTGTGAGGGCTTAAGACTATAGTTTTTTAGGGATTTAGTAACATTACAGATTAGCTGAGTTTAGGTTTTTTTCAGCTATAAAATGGGGATTTGTACTAGTCTATTGCATTGCTACAAAGAAATACCTGAGACTGGGTAATTTATTTTTTTAAAAAAGAGCTTTAATTGGCTCACAGTTCCACAGACTGTACAAGAATGGCATCAGCATCTGCTCAGCTTCTGGGGAGGCCTCAGGGAACTTATACTCATGGTGCAGGGTGAAGTGGGAGCAGGCACATCACATGGTGAGAGAGGGAACAAGAGAGTGAGGAGGAGGAGCCAGACCCCTTTAAACCACCAAATCTCATATGAACTAACTGAGCAATAACTCATTCATCAACAAGGGGATGGTGCTAGGCCATTCATGAGGGGTCTGCCCTGATGATCCAACACTTCCCACTAGGCCCCACCTCCAACATTGGAGATTGCATTTCAGCATGAGATTTGGAGGGGTCACACATTCAAACTACATCAGGATGCAGTCACATGTTTGAAAATATTTTGGATATATTAATATTTAGTAGTGTACTAGAGCTGGCTTGTACTGGAATGCACAAGAAAATTGTTAAATTTTCAGGAGTTTTGTGAGCTGGTTGTTCCATATGTTGGTAGCTTGAAGTTGACTAGCATGGCACCTGGTTACCTGGATAGCCAGTTCTGGACTAATGAGATGAAGTGTCACCAGTTAGGGCCTTCCTTCCTTGAAGAGCTGTTTGTGGAGCATCTACTTGCAAACCACTAGGCAGATTAAATAAGATGGGGAGCATAAGTGCTGGCACATGGTTGTGCTTCCAGCTATGGTTGAGTGTAGGTCAACAGATATTCTCTGGAAAGAAAACTGTTCTTTAAAAAGAGGTGTTAAGAATATATACATGAGGCCGGGCGCGGTGGCTCAGCCTGTAATCCCAGCACTTTGGGAGGCCGAGGCGGGCAGATCACGAGGTCAGGAGATCGAGACCATCTTGGCTAACACGGTGAAACCCCGTCTCTACTAAAAAATACAAAAAATTAGCTGGGCGCCGTGGCAGGCTCCAGAGGCTGAGGCAGGAGAATGGCATGAACCCGGGAGGCGGAGCTTGCAGTGAGCTGAGATAGCGCCACTGCAGTCTGGCCTGGGCGAAAGAGCGAGACTCCGTCTCAGAAAAAAAAAAAAAAAAAAAGAATATATACATGAGTGCTACTATTGGGCCTGTAATGAGAATTTGAATCTGTCATCTCAAGGGTCCTTAAAGCTCAGCTGGAGAGGATTCCTTGAAGCCAGAGGTTGGCAAACTATAACCCACAGGCCACATTTTGTCTGCTTACTGTATTTTTAAATAAAGTTTTATTGGAACAGTACTGCACCCATTCTTTAACATATTGTCTGTGGATGCTTTTGCATTATAGCAGAAGAAGGAGTAGTTGTGACAAACACCTTATGGCTCACAACGTCTAAAATATTTTCTATCTGGCCCTTCACAGAAAACTTTGCTGGCCCCTAATCTACACTGAATATCATCCGTGTACACATATAATACTCCAATTTCTCAAAATGCTTTACCTGCCTTTTCTGTCTTGTCTTCATAACTTGTATGTGTATGTGTCTCTGTGTGTATGTGTGCACACATGTGTATTTAGGACTCTGAAAATCCACAAATGTGTATCTTATTAGAACAAAGATGAGAAGCTTGGATGTGTCCCATCCCCACTGTCTTGAGAGAATAGCTCTGTGTAATTTTTTCCTGTCTCTTGCATCTCAGACCAATTTTCTGTCAGCACACTCGGCCAGGGATGAGGCGGCAAGGTTGGAAGAGCGCAGGGGTGTAATTGAATTTCACGTGGTTGGCAATTCCCTCAACCAGAAACCAAACAAGAAGATCCTGATGTGGCTGGTTGGCCTACAGAACGTTTTCTCCCACCAGCTGCCCCGAATGCCAAAAGAATACATCACACGGCTCGTCTTTGACCCGTAAGTGGTACTTTCTGTTCCTTCTTCCTTATTTCCTTTTTAAATGAAAGAGGAACTGCTTAGATAGTGAAAGTCAGCCATAGTCATCCACCGAATACTACTGCACCTGTCTTGCTGTGGATACAGAGCTTCACCAAGCTGATTTTCATGTCTGAAAGTGCTAAGAGTAATTTTCAACAATTTACAAATTTTCTTGTTAATGATGATGAAACTTTATATTTTACATTGCTGATGACTCTCCTGTGCTTCATTCTTTATAGCAGTGAGAGAATGTAACACTAAGATGTTCTGCTTTCTTCATAATCAAAATATTGGTTTTGGTATCTTAACTAGGTGCCATTATTGCCCAGGTCTGTGGGCAATTATTGGGATATAAGACAGGTTAACTTTGAAAATCCATTGCTTAAAAAAAAAAAACAAAAAACTAGGCCGGGCATGGTGGCTCATGCCTGTAATCCCAGCATTTTGGGAGGCTGAGGTGGGAGGATCACCTGAGGTTGAGAGTTTGTGACCAGCCTGACCAACATGGAGAAACCCCGTCTCTACTAAAAATACAAAATTAGCCAGGCCTGGTGACACATGCCTGTAATCACGGCTACTTGGGAGGCTGAGGCAGGAGAATTGCTTGAACCCAGGAGGCGGAGGTTGTGGTGAGCCGAGACCGTGCCATTGCACTCCAGCCTGGGCAACAGAGCGAAACTCCATTTCAAAAAAAAAAAAAAAAAAACCCACGAAACCCTAAAGAACTAAACTTCTCTAATTGAATTTATTTTAACATACATAGCCCAGTAGCCTATGGGGACTGTGATCCATGCCTGTGACAATTCAGAGTGATGCTTTAGACAGAGGGAAGGATTCCATAATGCGGAATTTTGCAAATTGTATATGTAAATTTTAAATTCTTTTTCATAATGTTTCTGTAATATTTTGGAGTAAGACTTAACTCTTCAGAGACACATACCATGTTTGTCCATGACTTCCTGCTCTCCCTGACCCCTCCTTGGCACTGGCTGTGCCAGTTCCAGAGCACCTCTGCACATACTCTGTTCTCTATTTGTAAACCTCAGGCACTTCTTAGGTGACTGGTATTTTGTTCTGATGGGAGTGCTGATGACATCTTGTGCAGGCGACCTAGCTCTAAAAAGTTCAGATAAAAGGATGGTCTAGCGAGATAGGGGCTACATGAAGGAAGTTTCTATAGAAACTTAGGACATGTCCCTCTTTCTTAGTTGGTTAATAAGGAACACCCCAAAAAGTATATTTATATAACTAGGATAGGTAAAACTTTGACATAATCTTATTCTTTCAGGAAACACAAAACCCTTGCTTTAATTAAAGATGGCCGTGTTATTGGTGGTATCTGTTTCCGTATGTTCCCATCTCAAGGATTCACAGAGATTGTCTTCTGTGCTGTAACCTCAAATGAGCAAGTCAAGGTAAGGGTAAACCCAAGGTCTTAGAAGAAGAGCAGAATGTGGGGCTTCTCACTAAGGCCTGCAGAGCTTGGGAAGATCTCTCTGTGCCATGTCCAGAGAAGGTTCAAAGTGGAGTTAAGGACTTTCTGGGAATAGTCCTCTCACTCCAATGGTCTCCAACCTTTTTGGCACCAGGGACTGGTTTCACGGAAGACAATTTTTCCACGGGTCAGATTAGGGCTATGATTTTGGGATGAAACTGTTCCAGCTCAGATCATCAGGCATTAGTTAGATTCTCATAAGGAGCATGCAACCTAGATCCCTTGCACGCATAGTTCACAATGGGGTTTGCACTCCTATGAGAGTCTAGTGCCACCACTGATCTGACAGGAGGCAGAGCTCAGGCGGTAATGCTCACTTGCCTGCCACTCACCTCGTGCTGTGCAGCCCGGTCCCTAACAGGCCACGGACTGGTAATGGTCTAGGGGTTGGGGACCTCTGTCTCACTGTGAGTGTATGTGTATGTGTGTGAGGAGAGTAAGTGGTTTCACCTACCAACAAGTAGGGTTGTACCAAGGCTTTGTTGGACTTTGGGGCGAGGTACCAGGATACTGTACAAGTTCAATATGTAACTCAAGTGTAGTCGATAGCAAATGAAGGGATATTTGAAAAATAGATCTCAGTGTTCATTGTTAATTTACACATACACGCAAACATGTAATCACAATTAGTGACACTGAACTACTGGAAAGGATATGGTTAATGTGGATTAGAAAGATGATTTAGGCAGCTTACACTTCAGAAAGATTTCTTATGACCTTGTCCCTAAGGGAAAACAAGGACTAAGGAAATTCTTTAAGGGAAGTCATGAAATTCTATAAGGGAAGTCATGTAAATTTATGAATAAATTTCAGAAGTTATTCCTGTAGGGTTTGGCATGTGTTGGAGTGTCTTTTTGTTTTGTTTTGTTTTTTTTTGTTGCTAATTTATCTTCCCAGTTGTCTTTGGCTTAGGTCCCTTCCTTTCCAGGAACTGTGTCCATGTTTTATTGGTATTGCAGTTGGTGTCGCAGTCTGGCGAGAATAAACCAGACTCTGAATTGACAGAAAGAGCTCTCATCTATACCTTGTCCTGTTCTACTTTCTTGCTTTTAAGAAAAGGGAACCAGAAAACATGTCCTTAGAATGTTATTCATTTAGGGCTGGGCAGTGGCTCACACCTGTAATCCTAGCACTTTGGGAGGCCAAGGTGGGTGGATCTCCTGAGATCAGGAGTTTGAGACCAGCCTGACCAATGTGGTAAAACCCTGTCTCTACTAAAAATACAAAATTAGCTTGGTGTGGTGGCACATGCCCGTAGTCCCAGCTGCTTGGGAGGCTGAGGCAGGAAAATTGCTTGAACCCGGGAGGCGGAGGTTGCAGTGAGCCAAGATCACAGCACTGCACTCCAGCCTGGGCAATGAGAGCGAAACTCCATCTCAAAAAAAAAAAAAAAAAAAAAAGAATGTTATTCATTTAGGATTTTCATGGGTGGACTAAAGATTAGCAGCTCCGGATGATTAAGATGGCTGCTGAGAAAAATTATTGGAAGGTCTAAAGCAATGTGTCCAATAGAAATATAAAGCAGCCTGCAAATATGAGGTTATAAAAGCACACATATTATGTGCTTTTAAATTTTCTAGTAGTTATATGTATATATTTTTAAAAAAGCAAGTGGAATCCAGTGAGATTAATTTTGGAAATTTATTTTACCCATATATCCAAAGTATTAATATAACTGCAACAGGCATTCAATGTCACGAAGAATTATGGAGACCTTTTACATTACATTCTTTGTTCTGTACTGTCTTTTTTTTTTTTTTTTTGAGACAGGTTCACACTCTGTTGCCCAGGCTGGAGTGCAGTGGTGTGATCTTGGCTCACTGCAACCACCGCCTCATGGGTTCAAGTGATTCTCCCACCTCAGCCTCATGCGTAGCTGGGAACTATAGGCACATGCCACCATGCCCGGCCAATTTTTGTATTTTTAGTAGAGATGAGGTTTCGCCATGTTGGCCAGGCTGGTCCTGAACTCCTGACCTCAGGTGATCTGCCCTCCCTGGTCTCCCCAAGTGCTGAGATTACAAACATGAGCAACCACACCCAGCCTTATACTAACTCTTTGAAACCAAGCATGTATTTTACATTTATAACACATCTCAATTTAGACAAGCTGCCTTTCAAGTGCTTGATAGGCACGTGTGGCCAGTGGCTCCTGTATTGGACAGTGCTGGTCTAAGTATTTTGTTGACTCCTTCAGCTTCAAAGAAGCAATACCATTTACAGAAACCAAAAGTAAGTCCCTGAAAGGAATCATTCTCTGCATTAGGGGCACAGCCTGGGCTATTGGTACTTTAGCTTTCATTAACAGCTTCACTCTCTGGTCACAGTACCCATTTTTTAAAATTATTATTATTATTATTATTATTTTGAGACAGAGTCTTGCTCTTTTGCTCTGGCTGGAATGCAGTGATGTGATCTGCTCACTGCAACCTCCGCCTCCTGGGTTCAAGTGATTCTTATGCCACAGCCACCTGAGTAGCCGGGATTACAGGCGTGAGCCACCACGCCCGGCCTCAGCACGAATTATAGCTGCTGCAATGTATTTATTCTCACAAAGCACAAGTGGAGCTTTTTGTCTTCGACTCCTAGCACTAAGCATCAAAGGGCAAATGCAATTCAGCAGTCTTACATTCATCATTCTGACTGGGGAAGGTGAAGACCCACATTTGCTTGAAACTGATCTCTGGCTCATTTTCAAGGAATTCTGACAGTGTGTCTTTAGATGGTGCTGTTGCTGTGTTTATCATTATTCTCCGCTAGCCAAAGTGACAAATGTCCAGATGTTTCCAAATGTTCAAAGTTTAAGAACTTACTTAAAGGAAAATTTTATTTGGCTTTTCTTAGGGTGAAGACCTGGAAAATATGCCCTTGGTTTGTAATTTTAGAAAAAGATGGCGTAATTTTTATTTTCAAAGATAGCTATACCAAACACCTTGTTTGGAAATGCTGATTAAGGTTGAGTTGGACACTTTTAGGGATACTAAAGGGAAACTGAAGGTATTTAATACGAATTGGATACTTTGTCTTATTACTTCCCAGAAAGGCAATTCCCCCCCATAACCATGTAATTTTCTAAAGACTTGAAGGAAGGTGGCCAAGCATCACAAACTCAGAAGGAAGAACAAGAAAAGCAATCACTTCTTGTAAGTGACTTGAAACTGTAGTTTTAGAAAATGAAGATAATGAAGATTAGTCTTTCAAAACAAAATAGAATGGATGAGTTTAGTGTGTGTGTGTGTGTGCGTGCATGTGTGTGTTTTTTAATGGTAAGAACGTGTGTGTGTGTGCATGCGTGCGTGTGTGTGTGTGTTCTAATGGTAAGAACCAATCTTTAGTAGAAGTAAGAATGTGAGAAACAGTTCTTCCTTTAGTTTCCTGGCCTTTTTTTTTTTTTTTTTTTTTTGAGACGGAGTTTTGCTCTTGTTGCCCAGGCTGGAGTGCAATGGCGTGATCTCGGCTCACTGCAAACTCCGCCTCCTGGGTTCTGGTGATTCTCCTGCCTCAGCCTCCCGAGTAGCTGGGATTACAGGTGTCAGCCACCATGCCCGGCTAATTTTTGTATTTTTAACAGAAATGGTGTTTCATCACGTTGGCCAGGCTGGTCTCAAACTCCTGACCTCAGGTGATCGCCTGCTTCGGCCTCCCAAAGTGCTGGGATTACAGTTGTGAGCCACTGTGCCCAGCCAATTTCCTGATCTTTTTACTGTCCTGTGTCATTAATGATTAATGAACAACTTTTGAGACATCACACTGCCCAAGATATTTACATTTTCACTGGCGTATAGTCTAAGATAAAGATTGCTGAGCTCTGCCAACCCAGCAACACTAGACAACATGGAAGCACTTCTTCAATATGGAGTAAAACTGAATGGGTCCCAGTGGCTATAGCATATATTACTGAAGACAGCAAATTCATAAGCAGAGGTTTTATTTTTATTTTAATTTTTTAATTTTTTGAGATGGGGTTTTGCTCTGTTGCCCAGGCTGGAGTGCAGTGGCATGATCACAGCTCCCTGCGTCTGCGACCTCCTGTGCTCAGGTAATCCTCCTACCTCAGCATTCTGAGTAGTTGGGATCACAGATGTGCACCACCATGCCTGGCTAATTTATTTTTTGTAGAGATAGGGTCTCCCTGTGTTGCCCAGGCTGGTCTTGAACTCCTGGTCTCAAGAGATCCTCCCTCCTTGGCCCCCCAAAGTGCTGAGATTATAGGCGTGAGCCATTGTGCCCAACCATAAACAGACGTTTTAAGTATTTATTTACTATATTAAAAATCTTGGCTAAATGGCACTTTAAAATCTGTATATGGTCATTTTGGAGAATCATGCTGATAAATTCCTGTGAATTCTTTAAATTAGATTTTTATGTGGATTTATTGTGCTGAAAACACAAGATAACATATGAGAATTTATTTGAAGCTCCTCTCCTGATTTTGGAATATCCTGTAATCTAAAAACAATTTGGGCCAGGCGTGGTGGCTCACACCTGTAATCCCAGCACTTTGGGAGGCTGAGGCGGGCGGATCACCTGAGGTTGGGAGTTTGAGACCAGCCTGACCAACATGGTGAAACCCCATCTCTACCAAAAATACAAAATTAGCTGGGTGTGGTGGTGCATGCCTGTAATCCCAGCTACTCAGAGGCTGAGGCAGGAGAATCACTTGAACCCAGGAAGTGGAGGTTGCGGTGAGCCAAGATTGTGCTATTGCACTTCAGCCTGGGCAACAAGAGTGAAACTCCATCTCAAAAGAAAAAAATATTGAATTTGATATTATATACAGCTTTAAAATTATGTAGCTAATGTTTATTTACCATAATAGGTATTTAAATAAACACTGAAGTTACCAGATAGTTAGAAAATGATCCTTTTGATGGCAGGTAAAAATAAAGGTGTACAAACAAGGGGAAATAGGTCTGGGGTTAAAATCTAAATAAACATTTGCTTATAATAGCTTTATGTTGTCACTGCCTCTCTAACCAAGGCAGTACTTAAACTACCATGACTGCTAGTCACAAATACTAGCTAGATACAGAGGAAGTTCAAGTTAAAAGACACAGCCCTTTCTCACAAGCAACTTGGAATCTGGAAAAGATTTTTGGAGAGATGGCAAATTTGTGGTCACTGATGAAAAATATCTTATGCAGGTTTTGAGAAGCTATTTACCAAAGAACCATTGTTGTTCTTGAGTAAAATTAATTGGATTATGGATGAAGGGTACAAATTTATAGTTTCTATTAACTCCTTACAAGATGGTGCATACAACAATCTCTCTTGCATCGACATCCGTGTTAAAGTGAATTTCATTAGAAGACACATTTCTTACTAATTTTTAGACATTACTTTTCCTGTGCACATGCAATTCACTCCAACTGGCCAACCATTTGCTTTCCTCTAGTTAAAAAAATTTTTTTAGAAATAATTTTTAATTATGTAAGACATATACAAATGCGTTTTCAGATAAAACAAAAATCCCATTTCCCCTTCCCACTACCATCCTGCTATTTTTGTCAGCTTGGTACGCATCCTTCCAGGTACTTTGGTATTGACACATATATTGGAACTTACTGAACTTACAGGTAAGAGGTGACTGTGTGTTTTGTTGTTGCTTTTTTCCCATTTAAATAAATGGAATTCATATTGTATGCATTGCATTACTGGAAAAAAACTTTACATTGTCCTAGAGACCTTTCAGCTTTAGTGCATATATGTGATTGTTTAAATTTGTATTTAGATACCTTAAATTAAAATGAATATTTACATCCTTGGTTACTCAGGTACTCAGTAGCTACATGTGACTAATATTACCATATTGGATAGCATAGATAAAGAACATTTCCATAATTGCAGGAATTTCTATTAATGCTGATATATAGCTACTTTATTCTTTTTATACAGTATTTTATAATATGGATGCACCATAATTTATGTAATCATTTCTCTATTGAAGACATATTTGCTTATTTCTGGTAATTTTCTATCATCAGCAATGTTCTGTTTGGAAATGTTTCCTTAGACACTGAGAAGCAGAATTCCTATATGAATGAATATGGCCGGTCTAAATTTAAAAAATTATTTCCAGATTGTCTTCTCAGTGGGTCTCCCAGTTTACATTTTTCACCAGTGGTGTTGGAGAGAATAGTTCCCCCTACCATTGCTGGCACTGGGTACATAAACTGTAAACGTATTTGCACGCCGTCAAGTGCAATATTTCATTTTATGGTAGAGCGCTCTGATCACTATTGAGGTCGAACATATCTCTTATATTTACTGGTAATATTTATTCTTGTTCTAGCCTTTGACAAATTTTCTTTTATTCTATCTCTTTTTTGTATTGATTCTATAGAAGATATTTATGTATTTTTGATATTAAATCTTTGTAATATATGTTGCAACTACACCCCCCCTCACTTGTCATTTGTCTTTTGTTTATGGTATCTTTGATTACTTATGGTGCCTTGAAGACGTTTTAAAATTTGAAGTATTCTACTTAATAATCAGTCTTTTACTTCATGCTTTTGCATTTTATTTTTTCTTTAAGAAGCCTTTTTGTATCCCTAAGTTATATGCCCACTTTTCCTATATCTTTTTATAATACTTTTGTAAAGGTTTATTTTACCTTACATTTAGATTTCTAATCCATTTCCTTCTCTTGTTTTCAATTTGACAAGCTCTTTTAAGGCCTAGCTTAAACATTTCCTTTTCCTCTATTCGTCTTCTCTTTACCACCTTGATTATGGTCTTTTTCACTATCGTTTTGTTTTGTTGTTTTTGTTGTTGTTGTTGTTTGAGACGGAGTCTCGCTCTGTCGCCAGGCTGGAGTGCGTTGGCGCGATCTCAGCTCAGATCTTGGCTCACAGCAACCTCCGACTCCCTGGTTCATGCCGTTCTCCTGCCTCAGCCTCCCGAGTAGCTGGGATTACAGGCACGTGCCACCACGCCCAGCTAATTTTTGTATTTTTAGTAGAGATGGGGTTTCACCATGTTGTTCAGGATGGTCTCGATCTCCTGACCTCATGATCCGCCCACCTCAGCCTCCCAAAGTGCTGGGATTATAGGCGTGAGCCACTAGGATTATAGGCCACCGCGCCCAGCCCACTATTGAAGATACAAATATATCACTCTGTACAAATGCTGCATAACAGGAATGTAATGCAGGCCTCAAATGCAAGTCACATAAGTAATTTCAAAATTTTGAGTAGCCATATTTAAAAAAGTGAAAAGAAACAGGTGAAATTAATTTTGACTTTTTTTTACTTAATATGTCTAAAATTATTGTCATATCAACATGTAATAAGTATAAAATGTTAGTAATGAGAATTTTTTTCCTAGTGTGTTTTTATACTTCAGGACATTTCAAACTGGACTAGTCTCATATCAATTGCTCAGTAGCCACATGAGGCTAGTGTCTACTCTGTTGAATAGTATACCTCTATACACATGTGTTTATATGTTTATCTTCCCCATTTTACTATCGTCTCCTCAAGGAGAGAAATAGTTCATTTGTGTTTTTATCCAAGTTTTATTCAAACTCTCAGTGTTCAGTATTGTGATATGTTTGGGAAAAGTTAAAAGCTAAAATGTCTTTGGGTGACATCAATGGAAGAATAATTTGCAGAAGAGGGAGATGATGATACTGTTCTGTTTACTAGACATACCGTCCCCTTATTATTATGCTTGGTCCTAGGATCCATGCTTTAGAAAGGCATTGTTATATTAGAAAAAACTCCGAAAAAAGTGATTAGTGGCCGGGCGCGGTGGCTCACGCCTGTAATCCCAGCACTTTGGGAGGCCGAGACGGGCAGATCACAAGGTCAGGAGATCGAGACTATCCTGGCTAACACAGTGAAACCCCGTCTCTACTAAAAATACAAAAAATTAGCCAGGTGTGGTGGCGGGCACCTGTAGTCCCAGTTATTCGGGAGGCTGAGGCAGGAGAATGGTATTAACCTGGGAGGCAGAGCTTGCAGTGACCCGAGATCGTGCCACTGCACTCCAGCCTGGGTGACAGAGCAAGACTCCATCTCAAAAAAAAAAAAATAAAAACCAAAGTGATTAGTTTGATAAGGTGTCATTCAGTCATGCCATATGAGGAATGACTATAGCCTTGATGGTGCTTGGCTTGGGACTGGGAAAGTACGGATGGGCATGTGTGAGAGAGCATAATCTTCAAAGGCTTGAAGGGCTGTTAAAAGCAGGAATGAGTCTTTGTAACTCTAGGAGTAGAACTAAGGTCAATAAGTAGAAATAACAATGACCAGATCTTGGGTGAACGTTAGGAAGGAATTCCCAACTATATGATGCCTGAAAATGAATTGGTCTATCTCACCACCAAGGAATTGGCCTACGTTGGCGGTGTTCTAGCAGATTGCCTTTTCATGATAGATGGCAAAAGACCTCTAGCCTCATATGGATTAGGGGGTTAGATAGAATGACTTCCAAAGATCCTTCTGACCTTGAGGTACTGTGATTCCATGAGATCATACCTGGGAATATATTTGAGTTCTTTAGAAAAATGTGCCACCAAATTGCAGAAAATTTATGTGAAGATATTTGGGTCTGGACACTTGGATTTACTTTTATCTCTCTTTATGAGGTTCCAAAACAATCACATTAGATTTACACGTTTTCTGTAAGCTTTGTCACTGAAAAAACTTGATATTATAAAAATATTTCAATGACTGAGTTTATTCAACATTGTTGACTACCTTTAGTTACTTTCTAATGTCTTCTGGCTGATTCAGAGATTCTGGGCTTCTCAGACCTTACTTGGAAAGGTCTGATAAGACCAAATTTAAAATGCTATGTATGTGATGATTCAGTTCTTTAGAAGGGTTGCCAGTTTGTGGTGTACAGTAAACACTTGGATTACTAAATATTCTAGTGAAGATTAGCACTTTTCATTTGCATCTTTTTTTTTTCTTCTGAGATTCTCAAATACCTTAAAGATAAGCAGAAATTCATAATCTACATTCATTCTGAAAACTTTTATATTACTATTCAGCAAGTGATCTTTAAGATTGAGCTAGGAACTTGTGGCCCTGGTGTGTTATTTTCAAATAACTAGAAACTTACATTTTCAAATGATGATTTTTATCTTTGAAGCAAGGATTTTGATTTTGTTTTGGTTTTATAGCTTATTTTCAAAGTTAAGAAACGCAAGAAAGGGTGTTAATATATTTCATTCAGGAAAGGTCCTGGTTGGTAAAATATGTAAAAGTACAAACTTCTGAATTCACCATCATTTCCTGATGGATTTGTAAAAATTTTTCTCCCCAGTCTAATGTATTTGTTTGTATACTAACTTCCACACAGGGCTATGGAACACACCTGATGAATCATTTGAAAGAATATCACATAAAGCATGACATCCTGAACTTCCTCACATATGCAGATGAATATGCAATTGGATACTTTAAGAAACAGGTTGGTTTCTCACCACGCAACACTGTTTTGTCACTCCTTTTCTTAATATGTTCTCAGGTAGCGTTCTTCCAAATAAGTTTCTCCCCCAGTGTTTTCTACTTATAAGAACAGGCATTTGTTTTACAAGCCTTATGTCAAAAATAAGCTTCAGCCTGGATTAGAGAGTGTCACTAGCACATAGTAAGTATTGAATAACTATTTGTTGAGAGAATGAATGAATGTCACCTGTCAGTGAGGTATAATATTGCATCCTAACATTCTAAAATATGGTTTCTAATAAGAAATTCCCAGTCCTGGAATTTGGTGGGTAGCATTCTCTGTGAATGAGAAAAACAGATTCAGTTTCTGGAAGGCCTCCATTTATGACAGCAGAAAGGAAATCCTGGAGTTTATAAAAACCTGCAAACAGTCCTGATTCTACAGCACATAGTGGGCTAGGAGCTTGGCTGTCATCTTTGCAGTTCCTTCCTTTCTCCGTTCCTCCCTTCCTTTTTTTTTTTTGAGACAGGGTCTCACTTTGGTGCCTAGGCTGAGACTGCAGTGGTGCAATCTCAGTTCACTGCAGCCTTGACCTCCTGGGCTCAGGTGATTCTCCCACCTCAGCCTCCCAAGTAGCTGTGACTACACCCAGCTAATTTTTTGTATTTTTAGTAGAGACAGGGTTTTGTCGTGTTACCCAGGCTGGTCTCGAGCTCCTGGACTCAAGCAATCCACCCACCTCGGCCTCCCTAAGTGCTGGGATTATAGGCGTGAGCCACCTCACCAGGCCTCTGTCCTAGCAGTTTCTTATCAGAAGTTTTCAGCTCAGGCCAGGTGCAGTGGCTTATGCCTGTAATCCTAGTACTTTGGGAGGCCAGGGCAGGAGGATTGCTGTGCTCAGGAGTTTGAAACAGCCTGGGCAACATAGTGAGAACTTGTCTCTCTTTAAATAAGTCTTAAAATAAGTTTTCAGCTCAGCTTTTTGAGGACTATTCTTTGACTGCATATTATTTTTAATAGTGATTTATAATTCCTAAACATTTTCATTTACTTTTCTGACTATAAAAGTAATGTGTAATCATTGTAGAAAATGTAATAAAGCAAAAGAAGGAAAGAAAAATGGCTTGTAATTCTGTCACCCCAAGAAATTTACTGTTAATGCTTTGATTTTTTTATTTTAAAATTTTTTCTGTTATTTTTCCTCTCAGCTCATACCTATGCTGTTAATGCTTTGACATAAATCTTTTTAGTATTTTTTCTGTGTGTATATAAACATAAAAGTTGGTTCATACTGTGTATATAATAATTTTGGTGGTTTCCTAGGATTTTGTTGTAGAAATAGAAAATATTTAACCAATACATTTTTGACTAGGTGTTTCTTGTAGGTAATGTGCATGTGTATGGGTGTGTGTTTGTGTACATGTTTTGCCCTCATTGATGGTAATTTGCTTAGAATAAATCAAGGTTTTTGTAATGTGTTGCTAAATATTTTAAAAATTTCCATTTTTGTCAGCAGTGTATAAGGGGGTCAGGAAAGGAGTTGGTAACTGAAAAAAAATTTACCACTTTTCCAGATAATAAATTGTGTATGTTTGAATTTATTTATGTGAAGTTTGATTTATTTTTCCATGTTTATCAATTCTTTGTATTTGTTCCTTTTTTGGATTGCTAATTCATTTTCTTTTGTCCCTTTTTCTATAAAAATGTTTAGTTGTACATTGATTTGTGAGAACTATTAGTATATAACTATATTAACCTTGGATAATATTTGTTTCAACATTGCTTATGGCTTTTTCTTTAAATCTTCAGAATGTTAAAGATGTTATTACATAAAATCTATTGACTTGTTTTGGTTTGGATTTTGTTTGTTTGTTTGTTTTGAGACAGGGTCTTACACTGTCACCAAGGCTGGAGTGCTGTGGCATGATCATAGCTCACTGCAGCCTCAACCTCCTGGGCTCAGGCGATCCTCCTGCCTCAGCTACCTGTGTAATTGTGACCTCAGGTGCATGCCACCATGCCCAGCAATTTTTTTTTTTTAATCATTTGTAGAGATGGTGAGGGGTTGGGAGAGAATCTTGCTATGTTGCCTGGGCTGGTCTTGAACTCTTGGACTCAAGTGATCCTCCTGCCTCAGTCTCCCAAAGTGCTGAGATTATAGGCATGAGCCACTGCACCCAGCCAGACTTCTTTTTTTTTAAAAATGTGTTCTTATGTAATTAGAAAGCTTTTTGTGCTCTGAAGACAGATAAATAATCTCCTATTTATTATCTTCTCATTGTTTGAGATGCATTTTAACTTTTATGGTAAAACTCACTGAGAACTTAATTGGATTGTTTCACTGAGGTCTTGAGCATCAGCTTTCCTCAGCTGTAACTGTAGTGCAAAGCATAAGATCTCAGCTATGGTTCTTAAATGACTTGTCTGTAGTCCTCTTTGAGGATGATGGCAATAATTACTTGGAAAATAAGTTTTTGTTGAAAGATGAGGCAGTGAACTGCTGGCGATGGTGCTGAAGTTCAAGAAATTTTCTGCAAATAACTGAAATAGATACTTAAGGCAAATTATGTTTATATTATAAATATATTATTTATAATTTTGAATATATACTCTGAAGCAGTCTGTTATTATGGCTTAAAGTGTGTAAATGAGTATATTCCAAAGCATTAATGTCATTGAAACAACCACACATTGTGACTGTCTGGAATTTTTTTGCCTGCAAAGAAAGGATTTCATTTCCTCAGAAACATTAAGTTTCTAATCACTTTATTTTTTTGACCATCTTTTCTTTGATAATTTAGATCAATGTTAGTTATTGATTTGCTGAGAATCCTGGGGACCCCCTCACCACTTTTGGAGAAATTTGCAACGGTCATATTTAATTATGTAATTCAGTACAAAATTAAACCTAATTTTTACTTAACACCTGTTTCTGTTTTAAACTTTTTAATATTTCTTGCATTTTATTAGGGCCATTTAAAAAATGTTGTCTTGCTTCCTATTTACACAGTTAGATTTCTGGTGTTTTTGAACTTCATGGGTGGTTTTAAGCTAATCCTCTTCAGAATAGTACAATGAGAACTTCAAAGAAGCTTGTCTTGATTCCTCACACAGTGCCTGGAACATAGTTAGCACTCAGTAGATATTTGGTGTATGGTGTTCATATGAATGAATTTACTTGCTTTTCAGGGTTTCTCCAAAGAAATTAAAATACCTAAAACCAAATATGTTGGCTATATCAAGGATTATGAAGGAGCCACTTTAATGGGATGTGAGCTAAATCCACGGATCCCGTACACAGAATTTTCTGTCATCATTAAAAAGCAGAAGGAGGTAAGCAGGTGGTTGACTCCCTTACCTTCTGTACAGGCCAGTCTTAGCTGGGGTGGGTTGCATTTCCTTGGGTGCTGCGTGTATGTGTTTACTGGATAGCAAACTCTCGGTTTGCTGTGGGTTATCTAGATTTCTTCTCTCTCTCTTTTTTGACACAGAGTCTCTCTGTCACCTAGACTGGAGTGCAGTGGCACTATCTCACTGTAACCTCTGCCTCCTGGGCCCAAGCAATCCTCGTACCTCAGCCTCCCGAGTAGCTAAGATTACAGGTGTGTGCTACCATGCCCAGCCAATTTTTCTTATTTTTAGTGGAGACAGCGTTTCACCATGTTGGCCAGGCTGGTCTCGAACTCCTGACCTCAAGTGATCCACCTGCCTCGGCCTCCCAAATTGTTGGGATTACAGGTGTGAGCCATCGCTCCTGGCCATAGATTTCTTTAAAGGTATCCTTGATCTGTTTCCTTTCTCGGTTACCATTTCTACAAGAGTCATTACTTTTTAAATTTGTGTAAAATACAAAATATGTAAAATACAAAATATGTAAAATATGGTGACATATTTTAACTTCACCTTCAAGCCATTTTGCATTCTGGCCTCAATTATTGTTCCCACTCTTATCTCTTTACTTTCATCTCCAAATACTCCAAGTGCATCTATTTACTATTCTCCAAAGTGTCTTTGTCCATTAGCCACCCCGTTCACTCAGCACACACATAAATCAAACCGTTTCAGGGTGTGTTCCAGTTCCTCTTCTGAACTTCTCTAGCACCAGTTTGATCCACCTATTTGAATTTCAGTTATTCATCTTACATAGACATTTACCTTACTGTATATTAATCTCTGCTTTTACTTGGCAAGTTCTGAAGGCTTATCCTTCTAGGTATTAAGTGATTTGTTATCTGGTATTGAGGTGACTTTTTTTATGCATATGAATGAAAAGAGAAGCAGTAAAAGGGAAAGGTTGACAGAGTTGAATACATAATAATTTCAAATTTTCTAAGGCAGAAAAAAAAAACACTCATGATGAAAAGAACAGAACTGGGGAGTACACAAAGGCCATTTATTGAAAGAAAGAACTTTGTGTGTTAAGTCCAGGATCACCTCCTGGCTGCTCCCAGTTGGGTGGAGTTTGCAGCTGTGTCATCCCACGTCAATTCCACTTGATACTTCTGTTATTCGTTTAGTGCACTTTTCTCTAACAAATAGCTTAGGAGGACATCTGTCTTATACCCATCTTTGTTTTCTGGTTTCTACTAACCTCCTTAATCCCAGTTCTTAGTTTTTTGTTAGGCATTATCTACCTAACAGCCCTAAAGCTTTTTACACAGTGTCTGGTGCATAGTAGTTACTCATTAAGTATTTTTCTTTTACTTAAAGTGGCTCAGTCTTGTTCTTGTGTTTCCTGGGGAAGTGAGCAAAGGCTTTTTTTTTTTTTTGGAAAATACAAACAACTTTTGTTGCTTTTTGTTCAAAGATGTCAGCCTAAGAGAGAATTCCAAGTAGGCACTTGGAAGAGTTAATAAAGCACAGCGGGCTCCTCTCTCTCCCTGTCTCTCTGAAGAGCTGGCTTTCCTCATTGTTCTCTCTGGAGCTTAATGAGCAGGTCTGGATTCAGCAGCACATCGTTCCGCATTAGAGGCTGCTGGCCAACTAAAGCCATCACCCCGCTGTCAGCTGCTCTTTCCTCATTCCTCCTCCCAGCAGCACTAATTCATCCCCACGGTGTTAGCTGAGAGCAGGATTCCCTTGGCAGAGTCTGCAAATTCACATTGTACATGATCTGTTGGCCCTTCAAACCTACAGGGGAACGCCAGAAGCGCAGAGCTATTTTAGATGGCTAACAAAGCAGTCAACTTTTTAGAAGCCAAGGCTCCCTCCCCATTCTTTTTTCTCCTCTCCTCCCCCTCTGCCTCCAGCCTTCCCTCACACATTCCGTTGAATGGGTGATGGAGGTTTGGAGATCTTAACCTAGTTTTTAAAAAAGCTATCTGAAGTCACTTCAATAAAAATATATTTGGATTCATGTAGTATTTTTTTCCACAGAATTCAGTTGATTTTTTATAAGTATTATTTGTTCCAACTGTGAAAAACCCCTCAAGGAAGGTAGGGATTCATGGTGGCAGCAAAGAAACAGTGAATATTCTGAGGCATTTCCTAGCCCCTAAAAGTATACAGGAGCAGAATAAGTTGTAGTTGTCATTAGTAGAGAGAGAGAGAGAAAACTAGTATAGTTGGACAGGTGGACCAAGAGTGGAGAGTTAAGTGCTACTTTGTGAGTGTTGACTCCAAGGGAAAGGTAGGATCTGTAGGGGCCTCATGTCACCTGACAGGGCTTTGTGGGACATTTGTTTTGAACTGGGCAGCCTGGTGATGAAATCTGCATTAGCAGAGGCTCAGAGTCCAATGGAAACAGATTTGTGGGCACATGAACAGGTAGGACCATTGTTATGTCGGTGATGAAGGCACTATTTGAGAAAGCGCGAATAGGCTATGAGCAAGCATAATTGGGTATCTATGTGCCTGTGTGTGTGTGTGTGTGTACGTACATATACCTATGTACATGTATGTGTGGATAGGCTGGGTGGTGGGTGGGGGGATAAGTTCTTAAATCTTAATCTACATGTGACAATACAAGGAATTGGGGTTGGAGAAGCCAAAGTAAGGATGGGGAGACTCAATGCAATTTTTTTATAAGGAGACATGCAAAGACTGGGTGATGTATTGGAGATGGGGAACTACTCCACTGAAATTTTCTGCTTTGGGAGACCCTAAAACTGACAGCAGTAGATCATAGGACTGAGCTGTGGACTTCAGGAGAAGAAGATGAGGACATACTTTCATTTGGAAGGCATTGATTTTATCGTCATGGTAGGGAGTTGAAGATATTTTCTAGGGAGGTGAAGTTAATACACTAGAACACAATGAAAATATCTCCTTTCTGAGATGCAAGTCAAAACCACAATGTGATACTATCTCACACCAGTCAGAATGGCTATTATTAAGAAGTTAAAAAAATAACAGATGTTGGCAAAGCTGTGGAGAAAAGGGAATGCTTATACACTCTTGGTGGGAATGCAAATTAGTTCAGCCCCTGTGGAAAGCCGTTTGGAGATTTCTCAAAGAATTAAAAATAGAATTACCATTCCACACAGAAATCCTATTACTGAGCATATACCCGAAGGAAAATAAATTGTTCTTACAAAAAGATACATGTGCTTTTATGTTCATTGCAGCGCTATTCACAATAACAAAGACATGAAATCAATTCAGGTGCCCATCAAAGGTAGATTGGATAAAGAAAATGTAGTACATATACACCATGGAATATTATGCAGCCATAAAAAAGAACAAAATCATGTCCTTTGCAACAGTGTGGGTTTAGCTGGGGCCATTATCCTAAGCAGATTAACACAGGAACAGAAAACAAAATACTGCATGTTTTCTGTTATAAGTGGGAGCTGAACATTGGGGATATATGCTCACAAAGATGGGAACAGTAGACACTGGAGTTTCCAAAAGAGGCAAGAGAGGGAGAGGAGTAAGGGTTGAAAAACTACCTGTCAGGTACTGTGCTCACTACTTGGGCAGTGAGATCATTAGAAGCCCAAACCTCAGCATCACACAGTATACCCATAATACCCCCTGTATCTAAAATGAAAACAATAAATTAAAAAAGATCTCTTCTCCATACTGATTACTAGAGGTACAGAGAGCTTAGGACGCCTCCCATTCCCATTAACAGTCACTTCTCAGGAGCCCACAATCTTTAAGGTGCTACATGAGGTGAGTGGAAGCCATCTGTAGGTCATTGCATTTGAGAGTCCCTTGGTGAAGAGAAGGAAACTTTCAAATTGAAACAGTCTTCAGCATATTCTCTGAAGGTGTCGATTTAAGAGATTGCCCTTGGGATTCTTTTTTTTTTTTTTTTTTTTTTTTTTTTTTGAGACAGCGTCTCACTCTGTCACCCAGGCTGGAGTGCAGTGGCATGATCTTGGCTCACTGCAAGCTCTGCCTCCTGGGTTCGCACCATTCTCCTTCCTCAGCCTCCCGAGTAGCTGGGACTACAGGCACCCGCCACCATGCCCAGCTAATTTTTTGTAATTTTTAGTAGAGAAGGGGTTTCACTGTGTTAGCCAGGATGGTCTCGATCTCCTGACCTCGTGATCTGCCCACCTCGGCCTCCCAAAGTGCTGGGATTACAGGCGTGAGCCACCAAGCCCAGCCAGGTTTCTTTTTTCTTTTTTTTTTTTAAGATTTGGACTTATAATAAATAAATGGACTTAAAATAAATAAATGGAAAGCACCCATCTAGATCAGCCTTGTCAAAAGTAGCAGTCACTAGCCACATGTGGCTACTGAGGACTTGATATGTGGTTAGTCAAAATTAAGGCATGCTGTAAGTATAAAATCCTCTGATTTTCATTTCTTTCTTTTTCTTTTTTTTTTTTTAAGAGGAAGTCTCGCTCTGTCACCCAGACTGGAGTGCAATGGCACAACCTTGGTTCACTGCAACCTCCACCTCCCAGGTTCAAGCAATTCTCCTGTCCCAGCCTCCTGTGTAACTGGGATTACAGGCGTGCACTACCATGCCCAGCCCATTTTTTGTATTTTTAGTAGAAATGGGGTTTCACCGTGTTGGCCAGGCTGGTCTCGAGCTCCTCACCTCAAGTGATCCACCCACCTCGGCCTCCCAAAGTGCTGGGATTACAGGTGTGAGCCACTGCACCTGGCCAATCCTCTGATTTTCAAGAGTTCATATGAATAAAGCAATGTAAAATATCTTACACTTTTTTCCAATTGTATGTTACAATGACATTTTAGATATAATGGGTTAAATGAAATACATTATTAAAATCAATTTCACCTGTTTCTTTTTGCCTTTTAAAAATGCGGCTAGTAGAAAAATTTAAATTACATGCGTGGCTTGTATTATGTCTCTATTGGACAGCACTGATCTAGATTTACTAGGAATATACTTTTACTAGTCCCATTCATTTTATGAAGTTATTTGTTTAACTGTTAGGATTACATATTCATGCTGCAGTATTTACCAGCTATATGTTTGAAATCAATCAGGAAGTAGATTTTTTTGTTTTCCTTTGTGAATGCAATTAGTGATTTCTATTGTTTTGTTTCGTTTTTCCAAAATTTCGTTATGATATGTTTAATTTCCGGATGGGATTTTTTTAGTTTTTTTTTTTTTTTTTTTTTTTTTATTAAAGGGATAACCTCACTGTCTTGGAAGTAGTTACCTCAGCATATTAATAATTATTTTACAAAACAAACAAAACATCTCTCAAAATTTCTCAGTCAGTGTGATGGCTTATGTCATGGTTGTGTTGCTTTAATAGATGATACTTTAAATTGCATTATTCTTTTCTTTCTTCTCATGACAGCCTACTATTATAGAGCTGCTTTTTTGATGCAGCCAGAATAGGTTGGAGGTCCAGCCTTGAAAAATTTAAATAGTAAAGCTTTAACAACTGTAGGCTTTTGGGACTTTCTGGGGCCCGTTTACCTGCTTCTCTAGTCCGAAGGGAACAGTTCCTAGTTATGGGAAGTGAAGAGGTTCTGTCACTTGACTGAGTAGTGAATGCTCAGGGCTGCTTTCCTGTAATTCTGGCAGAGCCTCCTCAGAGAAGCAGGGCAAAATAATTGGCTCTTATGCTACAGATGACAAGTGGGCCCTAGGGGCTGTGTGTTTTCTCAATATTGGCTTTTCTGGATGTCAGGGACAAGTAACTCAAAGATGTTTTTGTGAATGTCACTAAATAGACATGGTATAATATAATCTGTTCATTTCTTACTTGTTAAATAGCATTCACCCCTTTCTCCCATCTTATTTCATAAAAAAGACTGTTTTGTTAGGAAAACATTTCATTAGGTTGACTGACTTGAACTGTATCCATAGACTTCTTTCCCTAAACACATTTCCTTCCTGTGCTTTACAGATAATTAAAAAACTGATTGAAAGAAAACAGGCACAAATTCGAAAAGTTTACCCTGGACTTTCATGTTTTAAAGATGGAGTTCGACAGATTCCTATAGAAAGCATTCCTGGAATTAGTACGTATAGACCTTCTTTTAAAAGCGAAATTTTTTAGTAATGCCGTGGTTTGTGTTTGAAACAATTTCCAGAATGCAGTAACTTCGAAAGCTTTATTGCCCTGCCCGTCTCTGTGTTATCTCTAGTCTTTTAAGAAGGCAGCAAATGTTACCCTTTTATGTCTTCCCTACCACCCAATACAAACAAACCAAAGGGAGCTTAGATGCCCCCTTGTAATAGCTGTTAATATCCACCACTTAATGAGTCTGCCATTTGTAGCACAGTGCGAATTATTACACATATGCAACCTTGAAAGCAGGGAATCCTATTTTATAAATGGGGAAATCGAGTTCCAAAGCAGTTAGATCATTTACTGTTAAAGGGCACATAGCCAGTAACGGTCAGAATTAGAAGCAGCCCAGTTCTGATGGCCGAACACCTTACTGTTTGCACCATGTCTCATTGCCACCATGGTTGCAGCCTCCAAGATCTGTGCTTGACTAGTCTCCCCAAACTTCTAAAAAATACTATTTGTTATGTGTGGTGGAAATCATATACCTTGTTTCATATTCCCTATTTTACAGTAGTTTTCCTAAGGGTTCTTGTCTGTATGTTAGAGTTGAGTTGTGTTGGGTTAAACCATACCAAATAGTTGTTTTTATAGGTCAAAAGCCATTGAATATCATTGGCAATTTTGTTCAGTTCAAATCCAGGTTCTTTTTAGTATATTTAAGCTTTAATAAACAAAATCAAACAAGCAAAAATTTTCCAGAAAAAATAAGATGTTATTTGGACAAGATATATCACTTTATTACATGTGCCCTCTGGCAGATCTTACTTTTATGCTAAATCCAGAAATTCTACTTCCATGTATTATCTCTATTAATGACATAATAGCAACCATATCATTGAATGCCTACTTGTGCCACGCATTTATCTGTTTTTGTTTTTTTTTTTGTACATTAACTACTCTCAACAGGGATAAAACCACCTAATTTTTAGGGTTCTGTTTTATAGATTGATAAACTGAGAGGCAACTTACTCTTATTTAGGGTGAGTTACCTTTTAAGGAAAGAACAGGAAATCACATCCAGATCTGTCAGACTCCAGGCTGTTTTCTATCTGCTACACTAAACTTTCTTGCATTACAAGCAGGGCCTTAGCCAAATAGAACAGAGACCAGGACAGAGTTTGTTCTGACCTAAAATAACAGCTTAACTCTTTTACAGGGTGATCAGCCCAAAATTTGACTTTCAGTTTAAAAAATACACAGGCCCACAGTACTGTACATATTTATTTTTTATGCTCTCCACTGAAAGGTTGGTGTTCCTGCTTTAAAACACTAACATATGGGGCAGCGTTGTTAGTCTTGGAAATGTTTTATATTGTTAGTGGTATAAGGAAGTAACTAATTGCCATTAATTTCAGTCGTCTCTCAGAAGTAGACTTTTATTGTCATGCCTATAATTTCTTGTTTTTGATAAGTATTAACTATGTTATTCTCTTGACCAAAAGCACTTCTCATTCAGTGTTTCACTTTGTTGACGTATAGGAGAGACAGGCTGGAAACCGAGTGGAAAAGAGAAAAGGTAAGTATGACGGGCAAGAGGATGTTAATGGAAGTGATTTTTTTTTTTCCCCACCAAGCAACTTAAAGAAAAACGGCAAACTAATTGTAATCACTAACACAACAGTTGGTGGGTTTTGAGTTTCCTAAAACATTCTGGAATGGTTCCAATTTCAGGTTTTTGTAAGAATGAGCTGAATAGTAATCAGCTGGCAATAGGGTAAAACTCTAATCATTGCTCCTTGTTTCCCTTTTTCCTTTCAAGTAAAGAGCCCAGAGACCCTGACCAGCTTTACAGCACGCTCAAGAGCATCCTCCAGCAGGTGAAGGTGGGTGTCCTCTTTATTCACCTCATGCAAATATTTTGAAATGATTTCCCACATGGAATTTCCATATTAGATACCTTACTTTTTTCTTTACCCAAGAGCCATCAAAGCGCTTGGCCCTTCATGGAACCTGTGAAGAGAACAGAAGCTCCAGGATATTATGAAGTTATAAGGTTCCCCATGGGTAATACCATTAACATTTTCTAAGTATAGATTTAAAACTCTGGATGGCGGTGTGGGGGACAAATGGTTGCTGAGGTTGATTTGTACTCCTCTGCTTAGGGTAGGAAGTGTATGACGGGTGGTGGGATTCCATGCACCGTGGCGGGTCAGTGATGGCAGAGAAGTGGGTGGCTGTGTTCATTAGAGACATTCTGCAGCTGTCGTTTAGAGCCCACATGAGCTTAACGACACTAGACGCAGAAAATCCACGGTAACTGCAGACAGCACTAGATTTGAAAGCTGGCACTTTAGATATAACTTTGCTTATATTCTAACTCTTTGGTGCAAATAGAAAAACATCAGCTTATCCTCTTGATATGCTTTGCGTCTGTCGTAAATAGGTATTCCTTTGAATAATTATTCAGGATAATAATGAAAGAAGTTAGATTAAAGTACTTGACTGCTGTACTTTCAGAGGGAGAAATTCTACTTACCACAATTCTTGATTTTCCATGCCCTTGATGGGTACTGTTAATGTCACTGTATATACTCTTTATTTTACGCTTTGTCTCATATCCAAAATCAAACAAAAAAGGATGTCTTCAGAAATGTAGAATTGTGCAGTTTGGTGCTGTGCCCACACCACTCTAAAATTAATGATTAATTGAATCATTTGAGGTCGCTCAAATTAAACTAATTTGGCATTGTGTGGGTGACAACCAGTTGAAATGTTTTCTTTTTATCAGCTATGTGGCCATATTTTTGGAGAGAGCCAGAGTCTTCTGTCTCTTTTCTACCTGTAATCTATTCCAGGTGCTAAGAACTGTGAAAGTCCAGCTTGGGTAATGTAGTGAGACCCTGTCTCTACAAAAAGTAAAAAATTAGCCAGGTGCAGTGGCACACGCCTGAGGCCCCAGCTACTTGGGAGGCTGAGGTTGGAGGATCACTTGAGCCTGGGAGTTTGAGGCTGTAGTGAGCTGTGATTGCACCACTGCACTTCAGCCTGGGCACTGGAGGGAGACCGTATCTCAAAAAAAAAAAAAAAAAAAAAAAAATTGTGGAAGTGTTAAAAATGTGAAAAGGAAGAGTGAAAGGGACGCATTAGCTCCTTGAAAACTGAGTTATTTACAGGTGTTTTCTATAGCATTTAAATGTTTCACATGAATATTTTATATATTTGTAGTAATGATTTCAGTAGCCTACACCCTTTAAAGTGAACACACATCTATATGCTTTTCTTTCTCTCTTCTCTCTGACTTACCACTATTTATTTCAGTACAAGAAAATAAAGGGTATGGTTGACTCAGTCTAGAATTCTGAATGGAAGGCTGATTTGGGAATCAATATTGTCCACTATGTGCAAAATATGTTAAAACTCTTTGTGTCCATTTCCAACCATAAATTAACTGATTTTTGCATCCTCTTCCTCTGGACCATCTCAGCTTCTTTTGGGAAACCCCCATGGGAAGCTGTGTGACTTTGGGGCCCTTTCAGCCCCTGTGCACATGCACTCTGATGACGTGCAGCGATAGGTCTAGCAGATCTCGTCGATCATAGCCTACTTGCAGCCTGCTTTCTGAAAGTGTTTTGCTTGGTCCCACCCGTGAAGGTTGTGAACTTCTCCAGTTGGATACCACCTGTATGCATAGCTGAGTCTCACAAGGGGGGAAACTGACCTAATTGAGCAAGGCCAGTGATGGGCTGAAATGTGTGCTGGACAAAGTTAAAGCTATAAATGGTGTTCTTCAGTAGGGCAGTATTTTTTTTCTTGGTATTGTTCAGATGCTGAGTAAAATATTTAGTCTTGTCCCCAAGATTATCTTGTATTTGAAGACAAGATTGACAAATCAGTAATTTTACATTTTCCCACGATTTCCTTATTTGATTTTTCTAATAACATTACTTTTCTTTCCCCATATTCTGAAAAACTGTTTCTCTCATATGGATGGGATCTAACCTGTTTTACTTAGGGAGTCACACACTGGACATCAGCTGTATAGTCTGGCCCAAGCATGACTTCTTGTTACCCATGGATGGCTAGGCAGGGTTTTGCTGCTTACCCAGAATTCCCAAGTTAAGGGGAAAGGACATGAAAACTGAATAATTTAATGGTGTCTCTATATTTGGTACCACCAATATTTAGTCACCTTTTTTAACCCACCTCATTTTGTCAATTGAAAAAACTCTACGAAGGCCAGAGGAAGAAGAATGCTATCTATAGCTTTAGAATAGAAAGGAAGTATTCAGAATTGGTTATAGTTATTCAGAAAAGTCCAGACACCGCCATAATTCTTGCTTTGTTTCTGCTGCATTTTAGGCTCTCTCCATCTTTTCTTACCCATCTCCTAAAAAAGTTCGAAAAGCTTTTGGACAAACTTCTTTGTGTCGTGTCATCCTTTTACTCCCCCTCCCCCTTTTTGGGGGGTACATGTTTCTTCCTTTTAAAACATTATACATATTATATTGGGCAGCATATCTTAAGTGGTAGACATTTAGGTGGAAAAGTGAAAGGAATGTAAACATCTACTTTTACTTAGGGCCAATTTCATTGTTTTTTTCTTCTTTAAATGAGAGAACATTTTGATCTGTTCAGTCACACTTGGATGGGACATTTAGTGTGAGATTTGATGAGTCTTTGTGTTTCTTAGCGCTTTTAGATTTTTATCTCTCTCCAAACTGTTTTAGAGAAGAAAGAAAAGTTGAAAGTTGAATTTACAGATGTGATGACATACACTCTAACCAAGATAGGCTTTATTCAAGAGATAGGCAGAAGCAGCTTTTTTCCATTTCTTCTTTGATGCTTTTGTGGTGGATTTAGGATATTGATGCAAATGAATTCCTTCCCATTTGGGGATATTGTACGTACATTTACTTACCTTATTAAATGATGATCCCAATGTATTTGGTTATAGGTTTCTTTCCCCCTGGAAATTTTATAACATACTTATAATTTGGGATATTGGTAGTCAGAAGTGGGGTTTTTTTTTTCCCATTTGACTTATTTTTCCACACATAGTTAATACAATTATAGCTTTTAACAATAAAGCCAGACTTCAAGACAACCAGGGAACCATAAATAGACAAATGTTAGCGTCTATTCTAATCTGCATAGAATTCCTTAAATTAGTCCTGACAGTGAGGATTGAAGAAACCCTACTTTAGTTTTATCAGTTTAGATGGAGTACTGTTTTCACCTGTAAAATACTACAATTTAAAGCAAGTAGCTATATTGGGAAATATTCTTTGCAATAGTCTCACAAGGCTTACTTGCTTTAGAAAATAGATTATTAAATGAAGTTTGTTATTCTTATTTCATTGATGGAGCTTGAAGCAAATTCATTTGAATCATTTTACATGCAAGGGCACTGGTGTGTTCACAGATGTATTTATTATCAGTTTCTCTATATGACACCAAAACAACTGTGAGTTTAGTGAAACAAATGCAGTCTGATTGTTTTAAGTAATTAAATGATTGAATACAAACGTTCCACCTGCTCTACTCCATATAGATAGAGCCTCTTCTGTATAATTCTGACTGAATAGCTAACAGTAGTCAGTTCATCATACTTATTGTTGCTAATCTACTTAGCTTCCTTGTGCTGAATAGGGGATTGAACCAGATGACTAATAATGGTCCCTTTAATGCTAAAATGGCTGTGATTTTACATTTTTAAAAAACCCACAAAAGAATGAACTTAAGATTTAAGAACTGTTTTCCTTGGTCATAAGAATTTCTCTTAAATAAAAGCATTGGGATGATAAAAATGTAATCAAACCAACAACATAGATTCCTTTCCCAGTCCCAGTTTTGTCAGCTGGTGTTTAAAGGGAGTCAAAGATTGCTAATATTTTTTTTTCCTGTGCAGATCTGAAAACCATGAGTGAACGCCTCAAGAATAGGTACTACGTGTCTAAGAAATTATTCATGGCAGACTTACAGCGAGTCTTTACCAATTGCAAAGAGTACAACCCCCCTGAGAGTGAATACTACAAATGTGCCAATATCCTGGAGAAATTCTTCTTCAGTAAAATTAAGGAAGCTGGATTAATTGACAAGTGATTTTTTTTCCCCTCTGCTTCTTAGAAACTCACCAAGCAGTGTGCCTAAAGCAAGGTGGTTTAGTTTTTTACAAAGAATTGGACATGATGTATTGAAGAGACTTGTAAATGTAATAATTAGCACTTTTGAAAAAACAAAAAACCTCCTTTTAGCTTTTCAGATATGTATTTAAATTGAAGTCATAGGACATTTTTATTTTATGGAATAGATTTTAATCTATTTACTACTATTAAGGTAAATTTTCTATGGCATGTCCATTAGCTATTTCATGATAGATGATTAGGGGTTTCCTCAAAACCTGTGTGTGAGGAAATTGCACACAGTAGCAAAATTTGGGGAAATCCATAACATTTTCAGACCATGAATGAATGTTTCCATTTTTTTCTAATGGAATGTGAGAGTTTACTTTTATTTTATTCTGAAGGACTTTAAGGAAGGGATACATGATTTTAAAAAAGCCTGTAAGAGGTGAAATATGTGATGTTTGAAGTCTCTTTATAGACTTTTTATATATATTTTTTAAAACACTCATCTAGATGAGGTGCTTTGAGCAGTTCTGAAAAATGCAGTTCCAGGAAAGCAACTGCTTTGGTTCCTAAGGAAGAAATTCTAAATAATGCAAACTTTTAAAATAAGCATCTAGGTTTTTGATAATTCTGTCTACTTACAACAAACTTGTTAGTACATAACCACTATTTTAATAATTATTTTCTCTACACAAATGTGTAATATCATATTTGACTTTGCTTATGCAGGCCATAAGTTCCAAAAGATAATTTCCCTGCCCACAAAGGCATAAACTTGAAAACACATGAGATTGAATCAACATGCTTTAATAGGAAAAGATGTATGGTCTATATATGTATCAATCTGGTGAATCCTCGTTCTAATAAAGGTTCTTTTTCTTTTCTATGATACACACAGCCACGCTGATAATATGCAAATGAACATTTTCCTTTATGTCTCTCCAGATAATGTTTATTGTCTGAGGTAAATTAAATTCCCACCAGGGTTTGCTGTCAGTATTTTAACACCCACATTAGTATATGCGTCCAGGGTCATAACCCCCTAAAATCCATCATGCAACCTTATTAATCTGTCTTGGGATTCCAGTTTAGTGCTTGGATTTATTTCCTGATTACACTACATAGAAAAGTGAGACATCTGCCATTCCCAACTCTGGGAAAACCAACTAATATACAACCATATAAATGAAGGCCATCTTGATGGTCTCAACACTAATTTTTATGATGCAAATTTATACACTGATTTTTGTAAAGGACAAAGTTTTAAAAGCGTATTTAACTTGATGTTTTCTATCAGCATAAATAAAATGGTCATGAATAGTCATTAAAAACAGTTGCCAGTGATAATCTGCATGAAGGAAAAAGAACCCTGCAAATGGCTATTGAGTTGGAAGTATTGTTTTTGATATGTAAGAGATATTCAGAATGCTCACACTGAAAATGCCTCAACTTTTTAAAGTGTAAGAAACCACCATGAGTGGTGTCTAGATTTCTAATGAAGAATCATGATACAGTTTGGATTAAGTATCTTGGACTGGTTTTAAACAGTGCTTTGTACCGGATCTGCTGAAGCATCTGTCCAGCTGGTATCCTGTGAAAGTTTGTTATTTTCTGAGTAGACATTCTTATAGAGTATTGTCTTTAAAATCAGATTGTCTCTTCTATATTGAAAGCATTTTTATGTTTTCTAATTTAAAAATTAATATTTTCTTATAGATATTGTGCAATAAAGCTGAAGTAGAATGTGTGGTTTTTGCAAATGCTTTAACAGCTGATAAAAATTTTACATTTGTAAAATTAATATATTGTACTGGTACAAAATAGTTTTAAATTATATTTTAAAAAGCTTCCAATCTTGTGGTGTGTTTTATTCATTCAGTAGGCTGAGGTTAACAGAACAAATTATGATCTGGTTGATAACCATCAATTGAATCCTTAAACCTTAGATCTTAAGCATTCTGTTGCATTTGGGGGAGGTTTCATAAAAAATCCATAGGTCATCAGTAAGAGATTTTCAGGAGAGACACTTACTCTGTCTTTTGAGTTATCCACTGCATCTTACCCACTCACCCGCTAAACAATAACAAAAAAGATTCATTGAAAGAAGAGTGTTGTTGGTTTAGAAATTAAAAGATTTTTGTTTTTATACTTTGCATCTGTGAAATATATATGATGAGAGAAAAATACAGCCGATTTTTAAACATCTCCCATATGAGCTTCTAATGTGATTCAAAATGATGTCTGTAGGAAAGAATACTATATCCTTTTGGGGTTTGAGAGGACCCAACCAAGAGAACCCCTCTTCCCTACTGAAATCTAAACCAACTGAGAAGTTAAAAAAAAAAAAAAAAGGCATATGATGGCCAAAGTATTACCTTTAATACTAGTAAAATGGATATTGGAGAATGTGGCTTCCTTTTATCTGTGGAAAATGAGCTTTCTAAGGCTGAAACCCAGAATGTGATTGACCAGCTGCTCTGTACCACTGTTCTGTACCCCAGAATGTATTGACAAGCTGCTCCGTCCCAGACTAATGGGGCAGGGACTTTCCCATTAAGCTTAGTGCAGGCCAAGAGCAGTGGTGCCCTCTCAAGGCAGGCCGATGCTGAAGAGGCCCAGGTGACAGCGGGATATGTCAACCTGTGTCCATAATCTATGGTAAGTATGTTCTTACTTAACTCCTTAATTAGGCAAGTCCCTCCCAGGGGAAGAATGAATGAGGAGACAGAAGGAAGCCAGGAGATGACGTATGTCCTCTTTCAAGGAAGAAAACTTCTGTAATGGAGAATAAGTCTACTTCAATCAATAATTAAAAATTGGTCATATTTATTAGAAGCAAATGGTGAGAGGGAGACTTTGAGGTTTTCATTTTACCTGGACGAACAATTTATATTTTCAGAAACTAAGAAGTAGAAACAAGATCAGACTGAGGTACTGTGGACCAGTTAATTATTTGTCACCCCTTTAAGCTAATATTCTTTAGACTAACCCTCAGTGTTTATTTAAAAGGATTCTAAGTGCCGCACAAGGAAGGGTAACTGGTGGCAGCTCTTGTCGTTAGAGCTATTCTGCTCTATCCCTTAACTAGCATTCTCCTCTTAGCAAAGTGAAAATGCCAAAGAAAAGCAATCAGCTATTCTGGAATATCAAAGGTCAGAAATGGTTGCAAGTTCTTACTTAAGAGGTAGTAATTAGGTTGATACTTTTTTCATCTGTTGAAATATAGGTTTACAATTCTTGACCATTCAGACATTTTTTCCTGGCAGAAAAAAGGTATCTGTGTAGGGGGTAGTGGAGGGTGGACAGGGAAGGTGGTGGCAGGGACTGAAATAGATGGTTCTGAGTCTTAAAGCTGCTGGTATTAAAGTGGTATTTACTTTCTCCTTTGGGTGTATCAGTGCTATCAATAAGTGATGATGAAGATTGACAGGATGAAAACAATGTTACTAATGTCTCAGGTAAAGAGCTGAAAATGAATTTAAAGAGACAAAAAGAGCAAATGAAAGATTTCCAGGTATACTCTGGAGGAAGAGCTTCAACAAAGTAAAAAAAAGATGCTATAAGGAAGTGAGGAAACAACCATAAGCATTATGAAAGGTCCTCTTTAATGTATTTATGTATATATTTATGTATTTATATATAAATATGTAAATTCATATATATATAAATACATAAATATACAAATATATATATTTATATATTTATTTATGGGAACATCTTTACTTGTGGAAAAAGGAAGCTAACAATGACAAAGCTAGAGATTTTCTTTGGGTTTATTAAAAAGCAGTATTATTTCAACAAAGCAGAGAAAAATTAAAAGTCAAGCTTCCTGCTCCCTCTTCTTATTGGGAAGTCCGACAACTTTCACAGGATCAGGAGTTGAAAAAGATGAGAAATGATACGTGTAATTTGTGTGTGTGTATTTATATACATGTATATACATTTATATACAGTTATGTACCACTTAACGATGGGGATACCTTCTGAGATGCAATGTTAGGTGATTTTGTTGGTGTGTGAGCATCCTAGAGTGTACTTACACAGTCCTGAAGCTCCATAGTATGGCCTATGGCTCTTAGGCTAGAAACCTGTATAGCATTTTACTGTACTGAATACTGTAGGCAACTGTAACACAATGGTAAGTATTTGTGTATCTAAACGTATCTAAACATAGAAAAGGTGCAGTAAAAATATGGTATTATAATCTTATGGGACCACCATAGTATACACAGGCTATTGTTGTCCAAAGATCTTCATTTGACATGACTCTGGGTATGTGTATTAAATTTTATGAGCTGAACCAAGGGTTACCAGTCTCAGTTTATCTAGGTTTGAAGTTCTTTAAAAGAAATCCTGGAGAACTTGGAGGCTAAGGACCTTCTGAAAATAATGCACATGTTTACATGTGTGCACTTTCTGCATATCAGTTCACTTGGTCCTTGGACCCTCCTGAAGTTCATTGGTGAACCCCAGTTTAAGAATCTTTGCTCTCACTAGCCTGGGCAACGTAGTGAGACCGTATCTCTATCAATCAAAAAAACAAACAGAAAACATTTAGCCGAGTGTGGTGGTGCACAGTGGTGGTCCCAGCTACTTGGGAAGTTGAGGGGTGGGAGGATTACCTTAGCCTAGGAGGTCAAGGCTATGTGAGCCTTGATTGTACCACTGCACTCCAGCTTGGGTAACAGCGAGACTGTCTCAAAAAAAAAAAAAAAAAAAAAAAAAATCTTTGCTCTGTCAACCTGCCATCTTCTGCTGTTAACAGATGGACATCTAGTTTCTACTTAAAAACATCTGTGAATGGGAAATTTGCATTTTTATGCAATAGTACTGCCCATCAGTGGGACAGGCAAAGCTTTATAAGAAAGCCCGTAGGTTGGGTTGAAGTCAGCTGTTTATGATCAAGCTCTAATTCAAGTTTCCCACAGAGTACTATTAAGTTAGTGTGCCAGCACTGTTCCTATCCCTCAACACACCCAAGCATACTTGTACAGTTGTAGCTATGTGCACAACTCAAGATCCTGTCTACATTTTTAGGCTGGGCACAGTCGCTCATGCCTGTAATCCCAGCACTTTGGGATGCCGAGGCAGGTGGATCACCTGAGGTCAGGAGTTTGAGACCAGCCTGACCAACATGATGAAACCCTGTCTCTACTGAAAATACAAAATTAGTCGGGCATGGTGGCGCATGCCTGTAATCCCAGCTACTTGGGAGGCTGAGGCAGGAGAATCACTTGAAACTGGGAGGTGGAGGTTGCAGTGAGCTGAGATTGCGTCATTGCACTCCAGCCTGGGCAACAAGAGCGAAACACCATCTCAAAACGAAAAACATTTTTAAAAATTGAGGTATAGTTAACATACAAGAAAATGCACCAGTCAGGCCAGGTGTGGTGGGTCATGCCTATAATCCCAGTACTTTGGGAGGCCAAGGCAGGAGGATCGCTTGAGCCCAGGAGTTTGAGACCAGCCTGGCCAAACATTGTGAGACCCTGTCTCTATTAAAAAGCATAGGTCTTAGGTGCTAAGTTTGATGACTTTTGGCAATTGTCTACACCAGTATAATCACGACCCTAAAGACAGGACATTCTTATCACCTAAGAAAAGTTCCCTCGTGCCCCTTTCAGGTCAATTCTCCTTCCCTGTCTCCAGAAAACCACTTCTGATTTTTGTCACCATAGATTCGTTTTGTGTTACTTGATTTCATATAAATGGGGTCACAGTTTGTACTTCCTGGGGTCTGGCTCATCCACATTGTAATATGTATCAGAAGTTCATTCCTTTTTATTGCTGAAGAGTATACTATTGTAATATTCCACGATTTGTTTATCTTCTCAAGTTTAGTGGACATTTGGGTAGTTTCTACGTTTGGGTCTTACAATAAGCCTGCTATAAACATTTTTTTTGTAGGTCTTTTTGTAAACATATGCTTTCATTTCTCTTATGTGAATACCAAATAGTGAAATTGTTAGGTCAAGAAGTAGATGTGGGCTTAATTTTATAGGACGTTCCCCCTACCCTTGTATTAACCTGTGAGGCATTTTTTATTCCAGTTCCAATATTTACTGTTACCTATTCCTTCTAAGATTTACATTTATAAATTACGAATTTGTCAATTATATGTTTTCTCATATTCATGTTATTGAAAAAAATATTGAACAGGATGAGGGAGAGGATGAAACTTTCCATTATGATGCTGGATACCAATTTGCAAGATGCTAAAGATCAAAATCACTCGAGTGTGATCATGCAGGTGTATGTGAACTCACCTAACAATCCCGATCCAGGCTACATTTCCCACCTTTTCTATAATACCAAGCTGGAATAAATTTTAATTACTCTCTGTTTTACTTATTACATGTATCTTCTTGCACAAATGCTACTTCCCAACACCCTTTATGATGAAACACCATATTTATTATCTTGAGTCTTTTCTCATCAGACACTTTTTTTTTTTTGACAGAGTCTCACTCTGTCGCCCAGACTGGAGTGCAGTGGCGCGATCTCGGCTCACTGCAAGCTCCACTTCCCGGGTCCACGCCATTCTCCTGCCTCAGCCTCCTGAGTATAGACACATGCTTTTCTGCTCAAAGCTATAGTGAGGATGTGTTTAATGTATGTGAAGATGGTCTCAAGTGAATGTAAAACACTATATAAAAATTTTAACTTAACACTATAAATTTAAAAAAGGCTTTTCACCTAAATCAGTATTGAAGTATTGTTAATATGACTATTGTTTTATTTGTACTGGTACTAAGTAGGTTTGAATGAGCAGAAATAATTTAGTGCAGATAGTCAATCTGTGGATGCTGCATAGATTCCCATAACCAAGTAATTTCCTCAGGAATCTACCACTTATCGAGCACTTAGTAAGTGTTAAGCACTCTTCTAAGCATTTGATATGTACTAACTCACTGAATCCTTACAACAATTTACTTATTGAGTACTTAGTAAGTGTTAAGCACTCTTCTAAGCATTTTATATGTACTAACTCATTGAATCCTTACAAAATTCAATGAAAATACTGAGATACAGAGAGGGAATTTTCCCAAAAAGGCAAATGCAGGGATTCTGGATCCAGAGTCAGTGTTCTTCAGTGCTATGCAATGCTACAGCTACATTTAAAGAATGATGGTCCTAGTTTGTTGCAGCATGAAGTATCTGGATATTGAGGCTACCAACCATAGTTCCTATTCCTTCACATTTCCCTGCAAATTCCTATTCCACATTTATTAAGCATCTCCTATGTTTAAAATGATAAAGATTTTATGCTAAGATTCTATTACTGGAAAAGAAAAGTCAATTGGAGAAGAAATGTCACATCAGTGAATTAAGAGATGAGAGATTAATTTCAGGTCAGGGTGAGAGTTGATGATGTGTTGTGGGATCAGGTTGGAAAGAGTCATGAAACACCCTGCTAAGGAGCCTGGCCTTCTGGGCCAGGGGCCTAGGCCCAAGGGCCTAGAACAATGGCCCAAGAGGGCTACTGAAACTTGGAGTGTGTGTAGTTACAAAATGATCAAAGTAGCAATTATATTTTCATGGAGAGGTCAGACATTGAATACTAATTACAGGTATCTTGAGTGCTATAATGAAAGGTAGAGCCTGCAGTGGTGGGACCAAGGGTGGCTTCAACAAAAATACAAATTAAATAAAAATCATACTTTTTAAGCAAATGTAGCTTTAATATACTTTTCCAGGGTACTCCCCTGGTTCCTTGTCCCAATATCTCCTCCATTAAAAAAATCACCACCCTAGGTCCCTGTTTATAGGGAAATTCTGGAGCTTTTACTAGTATAGTGCTATGAGATTATAAAAAGGAAGACAAAATCTGGTAAGCAGGAACTTAGAGAAAGCTTCTGAGAGGAAGTGGCTTTTTAAGCTGAAAGATTAGAATAGGCATTGACTAAGGCAAAATTTGGAAGAAGGCAGGCAGAGACAATACAGGCTAAGATCTCCAAAGAACTGAGAGAATTCAACATGACAAGAGTTGTAGAAGCAGAGGGGTGTAGTGTGAGATGGTGCAGGGCCATAACAGGCCATATTAAGAATAATGGATTTTATTTTAAGAGAAATAGGAAATGGATTTTATTTTAAGAGAAACAGGAAACAGCTGTTAAGCATAATCACATTTTGTGATTTAAAAAAAAATCATCTAGGAGATGGGATTGGAGAATTTCGCTTACACAATATCAAAGACTAAGATAACTTAAAAACTTTGACCCCTGAAAACACCTGGAAATGCTGGGTAAAATGCAATATATTTGAGGACACAGCTGAGCTTACAAGAAAGAAAAGGCAATCTCCAAGTGACACAACCAAAAGGAAACTTAAAAGAGGGGTTCAACACGTACTGATTCCTCGGTCACCCTGGGAAAGTTGCTATCTCTAATTAAAGGGCTTAGATTTTATTATGTATGTAGGCTGAGTGAAACAGACTGTCAACACCCCTCCATCTCTCCCCCAACACATAAAGCTAGAATCTATTAAAGGTCTGCATACATTAGTGAATGCATGGACTAAAAAAGTTTTCTAAGGATGTGAAGCCCGTGGACTTTACCTCAAGCAGATGTGGGTTTCAAGTTTACATTTCCTACAGTCTGGGAATCTCGAAACAAATTCTCGAACATAATATAAAATAAAAATTGCTTCTTTGGCAGGTGATACCTCCAGGGCTCCTGGTAAAAGCAAACACAAAATCAGTCTACAGAGATGTTTCTACAACCTAGTCCACAGATTTTATTCAGAAGGAAAAATAAGTTCCATGAAGGATGAGCTCACAATAAAAAATTAGAAAATATGTGAGCAAACAATCAAAAGTCAGCAGATACAACAAATATCAGAATTAGAGTGCTTATAATTGCTAAAAATAGAGAAAACATTAAGTGACAGGTTACATAGGCTATGATATAACCAAGGATAGAATGAGTGAACTGGAAGATAGAACTGACGAAATGATATGGAAAGAATGTAGCTAAAAAGATGGAAAATATGAAAAAGGAGTTAAGAGACACAGGTTATACACAATGTGAATTCCATCAGGGCAGAATATTGGTTTTGGTCACTGAGGCATCCCAAGGGCCTAGAACAAGATCTAGCACAGTTGTTCCTGAATATTATTAGTTAAATCAAAGCCCAACAATTACGAGATATTGCATAAGGAGAGAATGGGAAAAAGGCAATATTCAACAAGCCAATAATTTTTCATAATAAAAAGCATGAATATTTATAAGCATAGTGAATCCCAAGCAGGATAAATTATTGACTTCCACTTCTGCCTATAAAGTCCTCTACTATGGGACTTGTTCAGCCACTACAAGCAAAAAAGATGGAAAATATTAATCAACTGTTTTCAGAAATTGTGCAATAGCTAGTATAAGATTATAATTCCAGAGAGAAGGAAAATAAGCAGTGAGCCCCATGTTCTTCCTATATTTCTTCCCAACGTAGTTTCAGAATTGTGGGACAAGGAGTGAGAATCCAGAGTCCAGTAATATCATTGAGTTGAAGAGACAGACTGAAGTTTGGAGAGGCCGCAGATGTAGAATTTGCTAGCAGAGTAATAGACGGGAAAGAGCTATGCAGAGAAAGAGCTCCAGAATTCTGTCTCCTGAATGTTGACTGAATACTAATCCATGCATGTGTAGGATGAAACTTCATGTAACTATGGAAAGAACTACAGAGTGAAGAACAATTACAGGGAGTTGTGAGCCAAACAACACTCAAAAGTAATACTTTGAACAGGCTTGGGCAACCAGCAGCCAGAATGGATAGACCTTGTTGAATAAATGAGACATTCAGTGAAAACCCCAGATGCTTCACATCTTCGTACTGGGGGTAAACGAGCATAGAGTAAAAGCTCCCAAAGATCTGCCCCAAAAAACTTAAAAGCAAGCCTAATAAAGATCAAGCTGATCTCTAACAAACTTAATTGCCTGACAAAACGAAGTTAACTCTTTAAAAGAATACAAGAAGATATAGCTTATACAAATGTAAAATTCCCAATATACAGTATCCAATTTAAAAAGTTACAAGATATACAAGGCAGGAAAGTATAATAATCGACTAAAAGAAAAATAGGCCAATAAAAGTTGATCCAGAAATGACAGAGATAATGGAATCGGCAGATAGGGGTGTTAAAATAGTTATTCTGAACATTATAAATATGCTCTAGAATATAAAACATGAACACAATAAAGAGACAAATAAAATATATATATAAAATAAAGAACCAAATGGAATTTCTAGAGGTAAAAAAAAAAATACAATATCATGACAGAAAAAATACACTGGATAGGATTAATAGACGATTTAACAAAGCAGAAGAAACTATCCAAAATGAAGCCCAGAGGGAAGAAAAGACTAAAACTCACAAGAGAAATCAGAAAATACTTTAGACTAAATGACAACATATAAAAATCTGTAGGGTGCAGCTAATAGAGTGCTTAAAGGAAAACTTACAGCATTAAAAATACATTAAAATAAGAGAAGTCTTAATTCATAGTACCTTAAGAAGTTAGGAAAGGGCAAATTAAATCCAAAGTAGACGGAAGAATGTCAAAGAGTAGGAATCAATGAAATAGAGAATGAATAAAAAAGAGAGAAATCACTGAAACTAAAAACTGGTTCTTTGAAAGTCATAAACTTCTATTTAGACTGATCAAGAAGAAAGCACAAATAATCCCTTTTCCTGTTTGGAAAAAAAAAGCACAGCCTGTTGCCAGCACTCGTTTAATTTTACATAAACATGCTCTTTGAGGCTGAAGCAAACCTGACTGATTTTCAATGTGAAAATAAAATATAAAAACTTTTCTTGGAGTTAGTTCTAACAGAACTAACATTGGAATTGTCTGAATCATCAGAATCATCTATTTTGGAAAAACTGGGTTCATCAAATGAATCTTTGACCAACAACTGTTCAAGAATGATATTAACATCACACGTAGGATTGCTATATTTTCTAGGATTTGACATTTTCAGGTTTTGAGAATTACTACATTTTCTAAATGGAAATATAGTACTACTATAACAGAATGCTATAAATAGAATATCTTTTGTTTCCGAAGTCAATATACTAGAGTGTTGGAAAAATAATAAGAGCGAGATTATTTTGTGGCAAAGTTATCTTTGGGTAAACGCTGCAGCTGCAAGTGCTGCCAGTGAATATTCTTGGGGCAAACGGGAAAAAGGTTATCAATATCAGGAATGAAAAGAGAGGAGGATAACTACAGCTCTTACATGTAAGACAAAAAGTACAAGGGAATATTATGAATAACATGTCTAACAATTTGATAACTTAGATGAACAAAGTCCTTGTATAACACAAATTAGCAAAACTGTCTAAAGAAACAGAAAACTTAAAACATCTCTACATCAACTTTAAAAATGAATTCGTAATTTAAAACGTTTCTAAAAACAAAAGTCCTAGCACAAATAGTCTCACTAGTGTGTCAAACATTCAAGAAAGATTATCAATCTACACAAACTGTTTCAGAAAAGAGGAGGTGGAAAGACTTGTGAACCCCTTTTATGAGGCTGGTATTATTACTCTGATAACCAAAGCTAGAAAAAATTTAAGAAACCACAAGAAAACTATAGACCAATAACTCTCACAAACGTAGATGTGAAGATCTTTAACAAAATATTAACAAATAAAATTCAGCAATATACAAAAATGATGTTATGACCGAGTGATGGATTTATCCCATTAACTCAAGGTTGGTTTAACATGGGAAATCCATTTATTTAACTCACCATATTAAGAGAATAAAGGAGAAAAAAATATCATCTCAATAAAGTAACTGACAAAGTTCAACAGTCACTCAAGATTAAAAAAAGAAAAAAGGAAAAAAACCTCCCAGCAAAGAAGGAATACAAGGAAATGTCTTTAGTCTGAGAAAGGTTATTAGTGATCACTTACAGCTAATATCACAGTAATGCCCTAGGACCAAATGCTTCCTCCCAAAGTCGAGAAAAAGGCAAAGATAACTGCTCTTCTCACCCCTATTCAACATTATGGAGGAAGTTCTAGTCAGTGCAGTAAAGCAAGAAAAGACATGCAAAATAGAAAGACAGAAGTAAATTGTCTTTACGTGCAGACTTTAATTAAGATCATATACAAAAAAAAATCCTAATGGAACTGCAAAACATGGTAGTAGAACTAGTGAATGAATTTAGCAAGGTCTAGATATGAAAATCAATTGTATTCCATAAACTAGCAGCAAAATAACAGAAAATTAAAAATAATACATTTATAATAAGTCAAGAATATGAAATGCTAAGGGACAAACTAACAAAATATGAAGAAAAATTAGAATGACTAGACTTCTCAACAACAAAATCAAGCCTGTAAGAAAATTAGTAACTCTTAACCTATACCTCAGGAATGAGGGCAAAATTGAATTCATTTTAAGGAAAACACAGAATTTGACCCTTATCAAAATGACATAAAGAAAAAGCAGAGTAGTTTCTTAGTTCATTTGTGTTGCTATAAAGGAATACCCGAAGCTGGATAATTTATAAAGAAAAAATGTTTATTTGGCTTACAATTCTGGTGGCTGGAAGACTGGGCATGAGGTGAAAGCCTCAGGCTGCTTCCACTCATGGTAGAAGGCAAAGGGGAGCTGGCATGTGCAGAGATCACACGGCAAGAAAGGAAGCAAGAGAGAAGTGGCACTAGGCTCTTTTAAACAACCAGCTGTCTTGGGAACTAAATGAGTGAGAGCTTACTTATCCCCTCCTCCCAGTGAGGGCATTAATTCATTCATGAGGGACCTGTTCCCATGACCCAAACACCTGCTATTAGATCCCCCAGCAACACTGGGGATCAGATTTCAACATGGGATTTGGAGGAACCAAATTGTAGCAGATATAAAGCAAAAAAAATCAATAAAAGCAAAATTATAGCAGTTATCACAATACATGTACACTTAACAATTCCCAAGGGAGAAAAATTAAACAGATTCAAGAAGAATTAGAGAACATGTAAGACTTATAATTATTAAAAAACTAGTACAAAATTTCCCCATGAAAACATAGAAAGATAAGATGGTTTTGGTGTCAAGTTCACCAAACCCTCAACAGGTGCAATTTGTTTCCACAGAGCAAAAAAAGAAAACATTGCTAGTATAGCCTTGATACCGAAAATAGGTGTATACAAGAAATTATATAGGCAAATTTTACTCATGATCATAGATACAAAAAATCCTAAACAAAATTGTTGGCCAGGCGCAGTGGCTCACGCCTGTAATCCCAGCACTTTGGGAGGCCAAGGCAGGCGAATCACTTGATGTTAGGAGTTTGAGACCAGCCTGGCCAACATGGTGAAACCCCGACTCTACTAATAATACAAAAAATAGCTGGGCATGGTGGGCACACACCTGTAATCCCAGCTACTTGGGAGGCTGAGACAGGAGAATCGCTGGAACCCAGGAGGTGGAGGTTGCAGTGAGCCAAGATTGTACCACTGCACTCCAGCCTGGCTGACAGAGCGAGACTCCATCTCAAACAAAAAAAAAGTTAGCAAACAAATCCTACCTATGTATTAAAAAAATTATGACTTAGAAGACAACAGAAGAGAAAATAGACAAATTGGATTCAATAAAATTTCAGAACTATTGTACATCAAAGGACACTATCAACAGAGTAAAAAGGCAACCAACAGAATGGGGGAGGACATTTGGAAATCACATATCTGATAAGGGACTAATATCTAATATATATAAAAACTAAAACACAACAACAAAAAACAACCTATTGGATTTGAATAGACATTTCTTCAAAGATATACAAACTTAAATGTTCATTGATGGATAAAGAAAATATGTATACATACAATGAGATGTTACTCAACCTTAAAAAGGAATAAAATTTTGATACATGCTATAACATGGATGAACCTTGCGATTATTATGCTAACTAAGCCAGACACAAAGGACAAATATCCTATGATTCCATTTCTGTGAGGTACCTGGAACAGTCAAATTCATAGAGATAGAAAGTAAAAGTAGTGGTTACCAGAGGTTGGGAGAGAGGGGAGAAGAGAGAGTGATTGTTCAATGGGTATAGAGTTTTAGTTTGGGAAGAAGAAGTAGTTCTGGAAAAGGGTAGTGATGGTTGCACAATCATGTGAATGTACTTAATGCTACTGAACTTTACAAATAAAATGATCAAAATGGTCAGGTGTGGTGGCTCATGCCTGTAATCCTAGCACTTTGGGAGGTAAGATTGGACGATTGCTTGAGGCCAGGAGTTTAAGACTGGCCTAGGAAACATAGCCAGTCCCCATCTCTACCAAAAAAAAAAAAAAAAAAAAAAAAAAAAAAATTAGCCAGGTGCAGTGGTGCAAGCTTGTAGTCCTAGGTAAAGGGGATCCTTTGAACCCAGGAGTTTGAGGCTACAGTGAGTTATGATTGGCCACTGCACTGCAGCCTGGGTGACAGAGTGAGAATAAAAAAACAAAAATAAAATTTAAAAAGATCAAATGATAAATTCTATGTATATTTACCACCCCTACCAACACACAAAAAAATTGTGACTATACAATATACCCAGCATAAAGCTAAACAAATAAAGCAATGCAAAGAAGCCCATTCTATGACAAAGCTAGGAATATTCAGCAGTGGGGAAAGAAGACATTAGTCAATGAATTGTGCTGGGACAACTGGTTATCCTCATGGGAAAAAATAAAATTAGATCCCTAGTCCTCAAAATAAATGCCATATGGTTTAAAGACCTTAAAGTGAAAAACAAAAATGTACAAATTATAGACAAAATCTTAAGGAAGAAGGTGGTAGACGATACTAATATTTAAAACTCCTAAATATCAAAGGGAATTATAAGCAAGGTATAAAAAAGGGCAGAGATTGAGGAAAGATACTTAGAATACTTGTCAACAGAAAAAAAGGAATAGTGTGTAGACTATATAAAAAATCCATAGTTTTACATTCTATTAGAAAAGCAGGCAAAAGATATAATAATTCATAAAGGAAGAAATGAGAATAATAAACACTTGAATTCTCATAAATAAATCAATCAGATACAAGTTCATAGTAATTAAAACAAAGAAATAATTTCATACTTCCTGGCTTGGCTAATTTTAATGTCTAATAAAACTAAGTGATCGACAGTGTGTGGTGCTACTGGAACTTAGAAACTGCTATTAGGAGAGTGATATACTCCTTATAACAGAATTGGTGGAACCACTGTAGGAAGCAATTTCCTAACTAATAGTAAAGTTAAAGTTCAATATACTCTACAACCAAGCAACTCCACTTCTAGGTATTAACTTTATAGAAAGTTAAGCACTTTAAGTGTACAAAGATGCAGAATATTCACTGCAGCACTAATTTGTAAATAATAAAGTGGAAATGAATTGTGTCTCAAAAGAAGAAATGAATAAGTCTGATTTATATAATAAACTGTACAATGATGAAAATAATCTACATCTGCCAACACGGATAAATCTCAAAAACAATATTGAGTTAAAAGTCAGTTGTAAAATGATGTGTACAATATTCCTATAAAATGTTAAGATATAAAACAATACTTAAAAGCCTATGAACAAATATGACAGCAAGACTATAGGAACACTAAAAATACAAACAATTCAACACTGATTTTAGGATAATGATTGACTTTGGGGATGAAGGGAAGGTAAGGATCAAAGCTAGATCAGAGTGTCAGACCAGAATGATCTTTAAGGCAAAAGTAAAGTACTCAATGGTCTAGAGCAGGAGTTGGCAAACTTTTTTGGTAAAGACCAGAAAGTAAATATTTTAGGATTGTAGGCCAAGAGGCAAACTCAAGAATATAATGTAGGTACTTTACTGGAGTTCAAAGTTAGTGCTTCTATCATTAAAATTGATTTCAAATGTTTGCTTTTTTTTTTTTTTTTCAACTATTTAAAAACGTAAAAACTATTCTTAGGTTGAAGACCATCCAGAAGCAGGTGGTGTGCTAGATTTGGCCCATAGTCCAACTGTACTTTCTGTGATGATGGAAATGTTCAATATTTCCTCAATTGTCTAATATGGTAACCACTAGCCACATATGGCTACTGATCATTTGAAAGGTGGTTACATGGACTGAGAAACTGTTTTTTTTTTTTTTTTGAGATGGAGTCTCGCTCTGTCACCCAGGCTGGAGTGCAGTGGCACCATCTCGGCTCACTGCAAGCTCCGCCTCCCGGGTTCACGCCGTTCTCCTGCCTCAGCCTCCCAAGTAGCTGGGACTACAGGCGCCTGGCTAATTTTTTCTATTTTTAGTAGAGACGGGGTTTCACCGTATTAGCCAGGATGGTCTCGATCTCCTTGACCTCTCGTGATCTGCCCGCCTTGGCCTCCCAAAGTGCTGGGATTACAGGTGTTAGTAGTTTCTCGTGCCTGGCTGAGAAACTGACTTTTTAATGGTCTGTAGTCTTAGTTTAAGATAGCTACTCTAGTGTTTCCATGAAATTAAAGAATAAGTATGAAGGGAGTAGTAAGAAAAAAAAAACTTAAAAATTAAGAGACTGTGATGGAAGACTAGGGTGTATGAATCAGTGATGTGGCGGATAGAAAAATTTGGGATGATGAAAAGGATTTTGGCTCTGACTGACATAGAATACAGAAAGATAGGGAGATAACAGCCAAGAAAATCTGAGATATCAGGATTAGAACAGTCCCTCAATAAAATTATAATTTGTTAATCATGAACTGGGAGATTACACAGAGATAAGTTGGGAGAGAGAAGTGTTAGGTTGAAAGTATGGAGGGGAAGCTGAGAGTTTTATAGCAATGACTACTGAAAATACTAAGGATTAACTCACCTAGAACACCCCCCCCTCAAAAAAGAGAATACCAAGGGGAGGGGAGAGGAAATGTCCAAGGATGAGAATAGTGAAGACAGAGAGATACTCTATTTTTGATATTTAAAGAATAGAAGGAAAGCAATCACTATCTTATACAAACTTTATTGCTCTTTAAAAATGAATAACCTACAAAGTTCTAAAATTTAAAGAGGTATATACAAGTATAGACATCAAACTTTCTAAACTGAACTAATTCGCTTTCATTGGTTGGTCAAAAATATGCAAAAACCCTAAATATTCACACATTTAATCTCTGAGATTTCTGACTAAATAAGGAGCTACCCTGAAAGTACATGACATTTGTAATTTTATGGAGACATCACTCTGAACATACAATTAGAGCTTGGGGTTCACAATTAGTCACTTATCTTGTCCCTGAGCCTAAAAAAGAATCAATTTCTCTAGTCATTTTCCCATACATATTTTATCTGAAAAATTAAATATAACAGTGGTATAAGGAATTCATAAACAACTTAGGGTGTACCCTACTGTAAATGTCAAATATTTATTTTACTCGAATACTACACAGAGTTTCAAAAGATCCACAATAATTTATTTTACTCAAATATTGTACTAAAGAGTTTCAAAAGATCCTCTTAGAAAATCATTCACTTTAGTATCCCCTACTTAAGGGAAAAATAGAGATGCCAGAAGCTTATAATTAAAAGATCTTATTTGAGTAATCATTATTCATTTCTACAATGTTTGTATAAGATACATTTTGGGCTGGGCACAGTGGCTCAGTAATCCCAGCACTTTGGGAGGCCGAGGTGGGCAGATCACCTGAGGTTGGGAGTTTGAGAGCAACCTGACCAACATGGAGAAACCCTGTCTCTACTAAAAATACAAAATTAGCCGGGCGTAGTGGCACATGCCTGTAGTCCCAGCTACTCGGGAGTCTGAGGCAGGAGAATCGCTTGAACCTGGGAGGCGGAGGTTGCGGTAAGCTGAGATCGTGCCATTGCACTCCAGCCTGGGCAACAAGAATGAAATTCCGCCTCCAAAAAAAAAAAAAGATATATTTCGACTAAAATTAAGAGGTTTAGGCAGCATAAGAAATCGATATGATGATAATGCTTAAGCTCAGTTATTTATATTCAAAAGAAAAAATAAATTAAATTTATTAAAGTTTTAATACAAAGCATCCCATTTGAAGTATAGTTCTGAAGAAATGTTTATGAGCTAGGGTCCTGTCAAGAGAATATTCTATGGCAATGGCTCACTCTGTTTGTGTACTCTTACAGATCCTCTCCTGAAGCAACAGAAAGAGGTGTAGATTGAATTTAAACAATATCCAACAAAACCTTCATTGTATTTGTTTCATACTTTTTTTAGAACGTCTCAAATCCTTTTTCTGCTTGAAAATAGGAGAATTCAAAAAACACAAATCTGTAAAAGGGTCCCCTCTTCTCAGTTTCCTGTAAGAGTAAAAAGAGATCTCAGGCATAATGTAAGCATCCCAATATTAACTTACTCTTCCCTACCAAGTTATGGTAAAACACACCAATTTTAAATGTTCTCACTTCAGTTTTTTTAAATCAAATGTTTATATTTCAGAAAAAACTCATTCTTGAACAAAGCTCCATAACCTTATTCCCCCCGACATGTATCATTAAAAATAAGTTCCCACAAACCAAATACTTACGAAGCGAGGGTGGGCTCCTTATAGTTCACGCTGGCTGTGCACCTACGTTTAGGCAGAGCCACTGCTGGGCTTGCTTTATTCTTTTTTGGAGAAAGAGAAAGTCTTCTGATTTTCACAACAGGATACAAGGAGACATTGGTGATATCCTTCAGGCTAAGATGAGGTGACTGCTGAGTTTCAGGTGGTGTAGCTACAAAACAATTTTTACTGAATATGATTTAAAAAAAAAAACCCACACAAAAACTTAAATTGTACTCAATTGTATATATCTTAACTGTACACAAAATCCAGCATTTAATAATAGAATTTTTTTTTAGATGGGCTCTCACTGTGTTGCCCAGGCTGAAGTGCAGTGGTGTGATCTCAGCTCACTGCAACCTCTGCCTCCTGGTCTCAAGCAATCCTCCCACTTCAGTCTTCCAAGTAGCTGGGACTACAGGTATGCACCACCATGCCCAGCCAATAATAAATTCTTTTTTTAGCTTTTTCATCATTTTTTCCTCTTCCTTTCAAACCAGACAGTGTTGAAATATTAATTATAACAGAACACTTTACTAAAACTTAAAATTCTTCTAGGATAGCTTGGGCATAATAACTTTGTTTAACCATGGAATTTCATTTTAGTCATACCTTGCTATTTGGAATCAAGTCCTCTCTCTTTCAATACCAAGGTTTATTATCAAGTCTCTTCCTATAGTCTTATAAAGCCGCTAAAACTCCTTCTATTAAATAAATGAGAATTCTAAATAACAGCCTCTGTGTACACCAGGAGAAAAGCTAGCATGTAAAAAAGTTACTCAGTGTTTTTCCCATCATAAACATCCAAGTTATTATACTTTGAAGTTACACCTATATTGGGAGGCAAATGTCCAACACATAGTAAAGACACTGCAAAACAATCTCCTCAAATAGCTTTAAAAAGCAAACTGTATCCCCAAAAAAGTAAAAACTATAACTGTGAAATGATTGTATACTAAGAGCCATATGCTCCAGTGTTATCTGGGTTTTATAGTCTGTCCTTTTTGTTCCCACATAAATATACTGTACTGTATTAATTATTCCAACTTTCAGTTTGAGAAATATGTTGTTTGGAACAATATCAGATCAGTTGCTATATTCTGGAAAAATGCTTCTCAAACTTTAATGTGTATATGAATCCACAGGAGGACTTCTTAATGGCCAGGCACGGTGGCTCACGCCAGTAATCCCAGCACTTAGGGAGGCCGAGGTGGGCGGATCACCTGAGGTTGGCAGTTTGAGGCCAGCCTAACTAACATGGAGAAAGCCTGTCTCTACTAAAAATACAAAATTAGCTGGGCGTGGTGGCACATGCCTGTAATCCCAGCTACTCGGGAGTCTGAGGCAGGAGAATCGCTTGAACCCAGGAGGCGGAGGTTGGGATGAGCTGAGATCGTGCCACTGCACTGTAGCCTGGGCAACAAGAGTGAAACTCTGTTTCAAAAAAAAAAAAAAAAAAAAGATGCAGATTCTGACTCCACGGTATGGGGTATGGCCTGAGATTCTGCATTTCTTAAAAGACGTCTAGGGATTAAACTCTGAGTAATACCATTTTAGAGTATATTTTTTTCGTTTAAAAACGTATTTTTTATGTATTTTATGTATTTTTATGGATACAGGCTCACACATCTGTAATCCCAGCACTTTGTAAGGCCAAGGCAGGAGGACTGCTTTAGCCCAGGAATTTGAGACCACCCTGGCAACACAGTGAGACCTCATCTTCACAAAAAGTAAAAAAAAAAAAAAAAAAAAAAAATTAGCCAGGTGTGATGGCGCATGCCTGTAGTCCCAAGTACTGGGGAGGCTGAGGTGGAAGAATCACTTGAGCCTGGGAGGTTGAGACTGCAGTGAGCCATGACAGTGCCACTGCCCTCCAGCCGAGGTGATAGAGCAAGACCCTGTCTCAATTAAAAAGTGAACAACAACAAAAAAATCCCAACTTTTTCTGGACATTTTTAAATGTACACAAAGATGGCAATAACAGTATAATAAACTCTGAGTTACCCAGGTCCAATAATTATCAACACTTTGACAATCATGTTTGATTTATTCTAACATCATTATAGCATTTTTGCTTTTTTTTTTTTTGAGACTGAGTTTCGCTCTTGTTGCCTAGGCTGGAGCGCAATGGCATGGTCTCGGCTCACTGCAACCTCTGTTTCCTGGGTACAAGCAATTCTTTTTCTCCTGCCTCAGCCTCCCGAGTAGCTGGGATTACCGGCACATACCACCAGGCCTGGCTCATTTTTTTGTATTTTTAGTAGAGATGGGGTTTCACCATGTTGGCCAGGCTGGTCTTGGACTCCTGACCTCAGGTGATCCGCCCACCTCAGCCTCCCAAAGTGCTGGGATTACAGGCGTGAGCCAACCCGCCCGGCTTACAGCATATTTTTAAAAAAGATACTTGCCTGCTACCACTGACTAACTGGCCGATTTAGAAAGTTGGTTTGGTTTTTAAGGTTTTAATCTCCTTACAAACAAAATAAGCATCATAACACCTATACTTCACAGAATTGTTCTGAGGATCAAATAAAATGATGTGACAATATTTTGAAAATGATACAACTTGACTATAAATGTTAGTTTTACTTGTATTAACTAAAATTGCCAAATGAGAATCTTTGTGGACAGGTGTAGGTTGTATTACGAACATTTGAACTATGCCTACTTTTGATCTAATAAAATATTTTCTGAGCCAGTTTTTAGAGATGTCGTACAAAAGAATACTAAGCCTATCAATTGAGGAAATCTTCACTAACTAGAAGATTATTTTAAATCACGGTTCCTGTCAAATTTAATATAAAACAAGGCCATTAAAATAACAAGTCACTGGATTCAAATTTGATTTCACTTTCAAGGGGATACTTCAGTTAAGTGTATAAAAGCTACTTCAATTCAACCTAAGTCTACAAAAAAGTCCCTCTGTCCCCTTGGGAGTCCTAATTTACTGAAAATAAAAATTCTGTCTCCATAACAAGCAATCTCTGAATTAGGTCAGAGCAATACAACTGTGATTTCCACACCCAGCCCCCCACTGTTTAATCAGACCATAACTTCCACCAAAGAGAGACAGATGGTAAGTCTCCAACCTCCACCAGAGAAACAGATGGTAAGTATAGTATATAAGCATCAGGAGTGATCATTTATCACGAACATTAAAAATACAGGTAAACAAGTAGATCACTTACTGGTAGGAGTTTTTGTTGGCTTAGAACCCTCCGTCTCTTTTTCATCTGTGTATTTCAGTGCTCTTTTAGCTAGAGGCCTGGTGACTGGTCTATCTGAATTGCTCGTGGGATTCTGAATGTACTTGCAAGTGGGCAAATAGAGGTCATCGGAATCATCTCCTGAACCACTTGATTCACAGAGGCTCACTTCAGACTCGTTGTTTTCTTCTCTATTAGAGTCATTGCTCACTTTTTGTCGGAAAGGAGTAAGATGAACACCCTCTTCCAAATTAAAATTGTAAGCATCATTGGAACTGACAGATTTGTGCATTTTTTTTTGGGGAACAGTTTTTTTATTTTCGCTTTTATTCTCTTTATATTTTGACATACGTTTTGATTTTCTCCTGTTAGCTTTTCTTTTCTCTTCTCTTTTTCTTTCTTGTGTATCTCTTTGCTTACTTTTAGTTTGTTCAGATTTAGATTCTAAAATGTCTTCTTTTGTTTTAGTAAACGTTCCTGGCTGAATCAGCTTTGGTGATAAGTTAACTTGGTCCTTGCTCCATTGACAAGCATTGTGTTGTACATTTTCAGGTATGTGCATGTTTACTAGTGGGTCTAAAAATCCAACTCTTTCGAATTCAAAAGACTTCCCTGCCAAATGACTGGTTTCAAAATCATCCAAGCTATCAAACTGACATATACTGTTACAATGTTTCTTTAAACTGCTACGAACAGATACAGTTCTAGGTAAGACATTATCAGTAGACTTAGCTTCACCTGAATCAAAATCAACTCCCAGTGTGTCTTGAGGAATAGTAGGTATCTGATCTGAGAATTTAAAAAATAAATGAGAAAAGTAGTTTTACTTTGTGGAAATTTGAATTTCAAGAACTTTAGAATTCAAACTAAAAAAGTGAATGACCAAAAGGTCATTCTGTAGTTTTCCTACATTATAAAATCTGTAAATAAAAACCTGGGAACTTAAATATTACCATCTATTTACTTGTCAGTGATCAACTGATGGCTTATATCTGACATGTGAAAGAATCTTGTACAGGTTCAGTATCCCTAATCTGAAAATCTGAAATCCAAAACTTTTTTAGTGCAGTCATGATGCTCCAAGGAAATGCTAACTGGAGGGTTTTGGATTTCAGATTTTCAAATTAGGGATGATGAACTGATATAATGTAAATACTCCAAAATTTAAAAAATAAATCCAAAACACTTCTGGTCCCAAGCATTTTGGATAAGGGACATTCAATCTTTATAATCTTTAAAAACATTATAGGCCAGGCACGGTGGCTTACGCTTGTAATCCCAGCACTTTGGGAGGCCGAGGCGGGCAGATCACGAGGTCAGGAGATCGAGACCATCCTGGCTAACACAGTGAAACCCCGTCTCTACTAAAAAAAATACAAAAAATTAGCCAGGCGTGGTGGTGGGTGCCTGTAGTCCCAACTACTCGGGAGACTGAGGCAGGAGAATGGCGTGAACCCAGGAGGCAGAGCTTGTAGTGAGCTGAGATCGCACCACTGCTCTCCAAGCCTGGGCGACAGAGCAAGACTGTCAAAAAAAAAAAAAATTATAACAGGCTTTTATGTGCTCTTGGTTTAAAGAAAATGAATAGTCTATATGTATCATTGAGTACAGATTCAGAGAAGTAGAACCGCATATTCCAAAGTGGGACAAATGAGAAAGTGGGAGCTAAGTTGTTCTTTGAAAAATAAATAAGATTTGAATAACTAGAAAGCTTCTCAGGTAAGAAATATAATTTGTATTTTAAGGAAAAGTGGGGCTATGTCTGGTTTTGCTTATTCAAATACTATCCTTCCTTCGACGTCTGGTTTTGCTTATTCAAATACTATCCTTTCTTCAATGCTTGGTTCAAGTGGAGGAGATTGACACTTGAGAACATGGACATATCAATTTAAAAGTAGTAAGAAAGGGATGGCTTTGGAGTTCAACTTTGATTTTAAATGCTAGCTGTTAACATCTAGACTTCTTCATGTGAGATATTTTACCTTCTTGAGTTCCTATAAAACAGGACTAACTGTACTTATAGTCCTAGGTTGTTGTGAGGGTTAGGTGAGATTATGCACATAAAATGCCTAACATAGAGCTTGACACGTAGTAGCAATCAGTAAATTGCTGCCATAGTTATAGCCAAAGATTCAGATTACAGATTTGACACAATAAATATATTTTAACACTCTATTACTCTGTGTAAAATAAACAGATTTGCTTTGAGCAGAATACCAGATGAACAAATTTAAAAAGTTAAAAAAAAAGAATTAGATAAATTTAATTGTATTATTTGTTCTCAAAGACCTTATTTTGCCCTTAATAATATTTTTAGATTTTCACTTGAATTACCTTCTATTTGAAATGATTCTCCTTGTCCTGGAAGTTCAGTTTCTTCAAGAGGAATTTGCCTTAGAAAATACCAATGAAAAACAGAAATTTAACAATTATGTAATAAAAACAAATTCAGTATTTTCCTAAATTATAATTTTTCTTTCCTTTAGTATCATTTCATAATTCGATTTCAAATCAATACATCTATTCTGTATCAAAGGAAACCAAAGGACACTTATGCTGATTACAGGGAGACTGATTTGTTATGACTGACATTCAATTCCCACTTGAAGAACCAACCTATCAAGTTGGAGAGTTCCACCTGAAAACACATTATATAACTCAATTTAACTACGGAAACAGCCCATGAGAATTAATTTGTTAAATGTTTTTTAAAAAATGTAGTTTGATCACTCAACTCTTTAGGAGCCTGCTTTATCATTAGCAGAGCTGTGATTTGTTGGTAATATATGCTTTTATGGTGCTTAACTATTGAACTCTTCTGAAGTTAACATTGTTCATTTTCTTTACAAATGTTGTTCTTTGGTTCATGAAACATGAAGTGTTCTTTATACTCTAACACTATTACTGGCAGTTTCATTCTAATTGTAATTTTATTCTTTATTCTCTGTAGAGAATTTTCTACTCTAGACATTAAACAGATTTAGGTAAGTAATGGCTGTGGTAAATAATAACTACTTTAGAAATCTTCTACAAATTCAATTACCTTATCTTACCTTTTGCCCACAACAGATCTTAAAGTACAACAGTTTAAAAACTACTAATGATTAAAAGTAATCTATGGTGATAGAAATCATCTTAGTGGTTACTTCTGTGGAGAAGGGGATGGACTTGATAGGCATACGAAAGAACTGTCTATGGCAGTAGTTCTCATCCAAGGGCAATTATGCTCTCCAGGGAACATGCCACAATATCTGAAGTCATTTTTTGTTCTCCTGATGATGTTACTGGGATTCACTGGGTGGAGGCTATGGATGCTGCTAAACATCCCATCATGCACAGACAGCTCTCTACAACAAAGAATTATCTGGCCCACAATGTTAACAGTGAAAACACTATGTCTTCATTGAAATTTTAGTTCCACGATATATACATTAGTCAAACTCATCAAATTGTAACTGTGATCTGTGCATTTTACTGTTTATAATTAAATCTTAATAATTCATAAACAAACAAAGTACATTTGATCCAAGAGAAGGGGAGGAGGGTATATGGGATCTAGAAAAATGAACTGGATCAGCGAGACAATGGGACAACTGTGTTAAATATGATATTTTATTTATTTATTTATTTATTTATTTTCTGAACCAGACTATTCAGAGGGCTGGCAAAACATCTCATTTCAATAGCTAATCCTTCTTAGAATAAAAACATGGTACACAGAAAAGTATGACTGAAGGAAAGTATGAAGTAGAATTAAAAACTGTGGTAAGGCTTCTTTTTCCTAGGCATCAAAAAAGGAGTGAAATATAAGAAAAAGAAGGGTTTAGCTTGGCTATATGTAATAGAATTTCAACACATCAAATTCTCTTAAATATATTCTCAGTAGAGAAAGCAACAGACTACAAATATAAGAGTTGACATGATGCACATTTCCTTTCATAAATGAATCACAGAATTAAACCTTTCTTAGTATTAATAATCATGATAAAGAATTTGATACTAACGGTAAATCCTTCACAAATAAATTTCTGGAGCTGTCATCACTATTGGGGTCCATTCCAGAGGAACATATTTCCTGGTTCTGTTAATGTATTAAAACAAAACACTGTTATAACTGAAGTATTCACAAGAAAGCATTAATTTATTCAACAATATGCACTTGTTGACAGTCTATCATGGTGCCATGCCATGGTTCTAGGAACTGAGACTATAACAGCTCAAAAGCAGAGTAAGTCTTATCCTTTTAAAGCTTACATTCTAGTGCAGGGAAGTAAAATTTTAAAAAGAGAAGATATATGTACAAAATTTCAGATTGCGATAAATGTCATGAAGGAAATACCCAGTGTGAGGTGATAGAGAGTAACTCAGGTTGGATTGCTCTTTTAAATACAGTGAATGTGATATAAATCAGAAGACTGCAAAGGAGCTAGCCACTGAAAGAACAGGAGGAAAAGAAGGCAGTGGAAACAGCAAATACACATAAGAAAAATCTTGCTGTGTTTAGGAAAGAAAGGTTGTTGTGGCTGGAACATAGTCACTGAGAACAGTAGGAGATGTACATGCAGGGGCCACATAATGTAGGGCCTTGAGAGCCATGAGTTTAGATTTTAGTCTAAGTATGATGGGAAGGTACTTAATATTAAGAAAGGAAGTAAACTGATTTAAGTTTTTGAAAGATCAGTCTGAATTGAAAGAGGCCGGGGGTAGAAAGAGCTGAGAGGTCATCATTGCATATCTGGCAAGATATGATATCAGCTAAGATTAGAGTCATGGCTATGGAGGTGAAGCCCAGTGGAAGGCCTTGAGATGACAGGTCAAGCTCAAGGACTGAAAAGGGATGGAGATGGGAACAATGAGGGAGAGGAAAGCCTCTTGTGGTTTTGGCCTAAGCAAACATGTAGGCTACTTTACTGAGTAAGACTTATAAAGGAAGGTAGGAAGTATACAGCATCTGTGGGGGAGACAAGGGGAAGTTGTGCTTTATATAAGGTATGTTTGAGATCCCTTATAAATCTTTAAGTGGAGATAGCAAATGGTGGCTGTGGGTATATGTGTGTATGTGTTTGTTTTTAGATTTTGTACTATTAACTGGGGAGGCATCAGCAGACAGACAGTACATAAAGCTATGAGAGGGTATAAGATGAGTCTACAACAACTGGCATTCATTCATTTTTTTGAAATAAAGTCTTGCTTTGTCACCCAAGCTGAAGTGTAGTGGTGCTATCATAGCTCACTGCAGCCTTGAACTCCTGGGCACAAGCAATCCTCCTACCTCAGCCTCCCAAGTAGCTGGGACTACAGGTGCATGCCACCACAACTGGCTAATTTTTATTTTTTATTTTGTAGAGATGGGAGTCTTGCTGTGTTGCCCAGGCTGGTCTTGAACTCCTGGGCTCAAGCGATCCTCTCACCTCAGCCTCCCAAAGTGCTCTGATTACAGCCACGAGTCAATGTGCCTGGCCAATAAAATGCCTGACATTTACAGGTAGAATGAGGAAGAAATCAGCAAAAGAGACCGACATGGAACAGTCAGAAAGGTAGAATGAAAAGCAGGGGAGCATGATATCATGAAAACTAAGAGATCAAAGTATGTCAAGTAAAGAGTGGTCCCTGTTTTGCATATTATTACTGCAAGGTCAAGAAGAAAGAGAAGTGACCACTGAATTTGGTAACATGGAGGTTTTGGTGACCTTGACATGCAGTGACAACAGAATGGTAAGGATAAAATCTAGATTCAGAGTGGCTGCAGGCCAGGCGTGGTACCTCATGCCTGTAATCCTAGCATTTAGGGAGGCCGAGGCAGGGGTATCACTTGAACCCAGGAGGTCAAGACCAACCTGGGCAACATAGTGAGATGGTCTCCACAAAAAAGTTTTAAAAAATTAGCTGGGCGTGGTGGTGTTCCAGCTATTCAGGAGACTGAGGTGGGAGGATCACTTGAGCCTGGGAGGTCAAGCCTGCAGTAAGCCATGATATGCCACTGCACTTCAGTCTAGGCAATGGAGCGAGACTCTGTCTCAAAGGAAAAAAAAGAGTCGTTTCAAATGTGAATGGAAGCTGAGGAAGTGAAGAATATACTGTTTTCTTTTAAAAAGTTCTGCTGTGAAGGGAAGCAAAGAAATGAGGAGATAAAGAAATATGAGACCAGGAGAGGTTTCATTACTTTTTCTCTAAGGTTGAGAGATACGAAAGCACATCTTTATGATGACTGAAATGATCCAGTGGAGAGGGGGATATATAGAAGAGAGAACAATATTCCAGGAATAAAGTTGTAGAGGAGGTGAGAAGAGAAAATTGGATGCATGGGCTGGGGAGTGGCTGGGGTTGGTGCTTGCCTTTAGTAGGAACAGGGGCCATTCTGCCACTGTAACAAGAGGGAAGATGAAGAACCTAAGTATAGAGGTGGATTTGCAGATCTCTGTTATGAAGATGACAATTCTCACTCAATTCCTAAGAAGCCAATTCTAATTTAATTATCTTTTGAAATTTGATGAACATATGCTGACATTATAATAAATAAGCTAAAAATGTTCATTAAAAACAAAACAACTAGAAATTTAATCCTGTTAAAAGCTTTAGGCCAGGTGTGGCGGCTTCTGCCTGTAATCCCAGCACATTGGGAGGCCAAGGCCAGAGGATTGCTTGATACCAGGAGCTCAAGACCAGCTTGGGAAACATGGCAAGATCCTGTCTCTACCCCCAACAAAAAAATTAGACAGGTGTGGCAGTGCATGCCTATAGTCCCACCTATTCAGGAGGCTGAGATGGGAAGATTGCCTGAGCCTGGGAGGTGAAGGCTGAGTGTGCTTGAGCCTGGGAGGTGAAGGCTGCAGAGAGCTGTGATCACACCACTGCACCCCAGGCTGGGTAAGAGCGAGACTCTGTCCACCCCCAACCTACCCTGGCCAAAGATGAAACTTTAAATTTGACATGAATATAGCTAATGTTCTGAAACTAATATTAATGCAGGTAAATAAAAAAGAACATTTAACTATATACTAATATAACTTAAAAACAAGTCATTGAAAAATCTACTATAAAATTAGGGAACAAAAGGCTGTTAAAAATTACCTAAACGTTAACTATTGCTAGGGCTAGGCAAGAAAACATTCTTGTAAAATTCTTACATTTTAAGCTTCTCCACCACTGCTAAATTGATTTGATAAGCACTGAAGCACGGGTGTACAATGAGGTTGAGAATGAGTGACACAAGCAATTAGTACATAGCAGAAAATAGAAACAATGACCTTCTAAATGCTAAGAATATATTTGCGTAGCAACTAACAATGTTTTTAATAAATACTCAAAAACTATTGAGCTGCAGTAATAGAATTTTTTCCCAACTGCTTTTGTAATTATCTCATTGAGTATTTGCTTCCTACTATTTCTGTTTTTCAGCAAAAACTTTGTAAAGGGAGGAGGAAGATTCAAATGCCTTTAGAGGAACTGTTTCCCCCTACTAGTTGACTGAACAAGGAAAATACAAAATTAGAAAAGATTACATTCTGGAAAAGAAAAAGAAAAAGTAATCTACCACGCCTGGCACAGTGGCTCATGCCTGTAATCCCAGCACTTGGGGAGGCTGAGGTGGGTGGGTCACTTGAGGCCAGGAGTTCGAGACACCTGAACAACATGGCGAAACCCTGTCTCTACTAAAAATATAAAAATTAGCCAGGTGTGGTGGCGCATGCCTGTAATCCCAGCTACTCGGGAGGCTGAGGCACGAGAATCACTTGAACCCAGGAGGCAGGGGCTCCAGTGAGCTGAGATTGCACCACTGTACTCCACCCTGGGTGACAGAGCAAGACTCTGTCTCAAGAAAAAAAAAAGAAAAAAAAACATAAAGTTCCCGTGAAGAAAACATATCTAATCTTTATAGAGGCAGTTCTCAAATATACCATATATGTACTTATTGTCTATGTGTGTATATATGTATATATTACATGTATCTTAATCACATGGAGAAAAAAAAATAAGGAATCAAAAGGGAAGCAAGAACTCTTTCACTGACTTCTCCTGTCAATGGAGAAGTGATGTTAATTTCATTCTCAAGTACCTGCCCACCTCCTCCCACCCCCCATATCCCTCCCCTAATCACAATGTTCTCGCTTTCTTATCTGACCTTCCGGCCTAAGTGCCAACTCAACTGTTTTCACTGGCATAGCGAAGCAATGGCCACTGGGAAGAAATTCAACTTGCTGTACACCTGACACCACTGCTTTTTTTTTCTCTGCCCCATTTCCTTGGCAGTGGCTACTGGAAAAAGGGAAAAATAAACTAGCTCATCATTACTTTTTTCGTAAGTAATGATACACATTACTGTGTACAGTGATACACAATGGTATAGCCAGACACAAAGAATATCCTAAAGCAAACTTTCTCCATATCTGTTATATTTTGGCTAGCAGGACCATATTTGAACACCTTCTTTACAATCTTAGACACAAAGAGAATCAGATTAAAAATTTGAGGCCGGGCGCGGTGGCTCACACCTGTAATCCCAGCACTTTGGGAGGTCGACATGGGCGGATCACGAGGTCAGGAGATCGAGACCATCCTGGCTAACACGGTGAAACCCCGTCTCTACTAAAAATACAAAAAATTAGCCAGGCGTGGTGGCGGGTGCCTGTAGTCCCAGCTACTCCAGAGGCTGAGGCAGGAGAATGGCGTGAACCCAGGAGGCCGAGCTTGCAGTGAGCCGAGATCGCGCCACTGCACTCTAGCCTGGGCGACTGAGGGAGACGCCGTCTCAAAAAAAAAAAAATATTTGAGCAGCAAATGTTTATGATCTTACTTGTCTGGGAGTTAATAGTCTTCTCTACTTAGCCAACAAGTAGGTAAAAATGGTTCTCCAAAAAGCACTTAAATACTCCCTATGTCCTAAATAAAGGTAGTTCTTATAAAACCCCACTGGATAAAGCAAAATGACATAGCAAAACAAAAGGCTAGGTAAAAGCTAAGATAGCATTGATTAAAACTTTTGGATAAGTCCACTTCAACTACCACTTTTACATCTTTAGCTTAGTTGCACTATCTTTGACTCACTTAGTTGAACATTCAAATGGACCAGCAATGCAAAAGGCTAAACTATTTCTTCTGGATCCTGTTTTGCTACCTGCTTTAAGAATGAAACAGGCAGGAACAGGCCTCAATCACCTATATGCTTGAAGCTTTCTTAAATGGCCAAATGCAATAGCTATGCTGGAGCACTAAAGAAGGATGTTTTAAACAATTCATGCATAACTGAGCTATCAGTAATTCATTTAAATAACATAATTGATCTAAACTACTTATTCATGGCTTAACTAAACTAAGAAATTCGGCCTTAGTAATGAAAATACCTGAGCAGGTTCTACTGTTTGTTGTGATGTAAGTTTTCCTTTCAATGCATATAGCTGACATGTGAGATAGTAACATTCTTTTCTCAGCTGTAGGATGATATCTTGGGCTTCTTTCACTTTGGATTTTTCATTTTCCAAAGCTAAAACTAACATTTTGTTGTTGTCTTGGTAATTTTTCAGCAGTGTAGAAGTGTTGGCTAAAAGAGGATAAAAAAATTTATCAGTTATTAAATCTAAACTTAAAAGTGATATAAAAGGACAACATAAAAATCTCTTACTGATTATTTGGCATGGTGCAGCTATAAAAGACCTGCGTTTGCCAATCTCTGCCAAGTTTTTATTCCTTTTCTCTTTCATTCGCTTCTTTATGTCTTCAAGACTATCTTGAAAGGACTTTTTCAGGCATCTTTCCTTGGCCATCTTTTGCCTAAACAATAAAAAATATTTTTTCTCAGAGAGAATATTATCAAATATAAAACTTAAAAAACATAGGCTGTTCATAAAGAATGCATTAAATAGACTAAACTGTAGAATTAGCTCAAAGTAGATAGTTAACCAACTTGATAATATAAATTTTCCCCTTTTAAAATCTCATTCATATTTCTGATATTCTCTCTTCCTCCTCAGGCACTTTATAGAAAAGGTTTATTGAATATAGATTTCCAACCCAAAGATTCCACAATATGCCACTTATTCATTCTTTAACAAATACTCACTGTGGGGTATATGCCAGACACTATTGAAAATGCTTATTATTATATTTTGATGCATTATTTACACTTTTTATAGAAAATGTTTAGGACCAACTTTTACTGCTTAAGCTTACAGCATTAGTTCTGAGGCAATTATATATTTGGGTTTTGTTTTCCAGCTCTTCTCTAATGATTAATTCATCAGATTAGGTCATTCAACTATTTTTCCATACTCTTTAAACGCAATTATCACTTATGATATGCACACAGTCTCAAGAAAGTCAAGGTACTCCTTAGAGGTTTAAACTATGTAGCACTACATACAATTTTAATAGGCTATTGTAACAAGTACAGAGCTAGAGCAGGAACTTGGGCAGAGGAACACTCTAGTATTCTCAAACTGTGGCTAAAAGTTAGGGCTGTTAACTCCCAGTAAATTATGAACATAACAAATCAGACATTAAATATTGTTGTACATACAGTTAAACGTTGAGTATTAAATACATAACTATACTTAATCTTTCAACGTTGCAAATCAGGTAGGCTTTAGCATGCTACTAAACATGTCAAACCACTTTTCACAAACATCTTTTACGCTAGATTGCACTTTGCAGATCTTAAAATTGCAAAAAAAAAAGACTTGTTTCCAATAACAATCTATGCACAGAATTTTCACTACAAAGGATATCTTCATCTCCTCTACGATAGTCAAATATTTTCCTAAACCTTACACTTAATCTTGAGTATTTCCTCCAGGCCTTATTTTCCTCTATGCAGTGTCTGGAATCTTAAATATAGGTATTGTAGATACCACTTAAGAACTTTCTTTCTACCAAGGTATATACAATATGTACTGGGAGGTTCCTAGCAGAGATAGGGTAGCTATTTTTAAAAGCACGAACGGTAAAGGGGTTGTTTTACACAATTAAGTTAGAATTGGAGATGTTTGAGAGTCATACAGATTAAGTAACGGATCTAGTTTAGTTAAGGTATTTTAAAGGCAAAGCCTTACCTAAAAAGCTTTCGTTATTACTTTTAATCAAGTTAAAAATCACAAAAGAAACTTGCCATATCAAAAGTTTTATATCCTGTCTAAATAAGGCGATGGTTATTAGCAGGGGGTGTGGTAGACAGAAGGGATGAAAGCAAAGACAGACCACAGCGCGAGATGACGGTCTCAATCTGTACAGTACTCGTGTAAGCGCTCTGGATTTAAAGAACCTAGCATATTTGATCTCCGTCCATAATTCTCCAATTAGTCCTGCTGCGAAGACAGCCAGGTAGGATACTAGTCAGTGCCGGCCTCTCCAGGGTAAGTGAGGAAGAGAATGGCCTGGACAAGGAGGACGTCAACGGTATCACGCTGCACAAAGAACTGCTGTCAATTTTCTTGTGTCCTTACGTTGAGCCAGGCTTTTAGCTATTGTAAAAGCTTTATTTGCACATCACTTAATCTACACAATTTTGCAAAGTAGGAAATTAGGGTCTCCATGGAAGCCGGAACATCTGAAAGCGCAGATCGAGTGGCTGAACGGCGAAAAGCGCGGCGAGTGGGACTCCACGGCCCGAGCTTTCGGCCACCGAATTTAGAATGATACTGAAAACCGAAGGGAAGTCAAACAGGGATCACTACGCCCTTGTTTCGCACCTTAAAACCTACTTCTTCCTCTTTCAGGGACTCCAGGAAGGCCGGGGGGAGGTGGGGCTGGCGGAAGTGGACGCGGCGACCCTCCTGCCGCAGGCGCGTCCAGAACGATACCTTGGCCACTACTTCTGCAACAGCTATCTTCCTCCTCCTCACATTTCAAGGCTCTTCGAAGCTCTCCAGCCACGGCTAGCCCCGCGCACTGGGCCCTCCAGGACCGTACCACCGTCCGCCGTCGCCTGGAACTACCGCCGCCACATTCGAAATTTTCCGCCTCGCTCCTCCATTGGTTGGCTGGGAGGCGGTCACGTGGCGCAGGATGCACCCAACACCACCGTCGCAGGCAGAGTCCCGCCCCGCCAGGCGACGTCACGTGACGCACATTCGCTCAAGTCCACATCCGGGCATCCACCTGGCCCTGGGGCGGAGCCTGCGGTCGGGTCTCGGCGACCCGCCGGGACTTTCTAATCAGAGTCGTGGGGATTTTACGGGTGGAGTTACTCCGAAACCTTTAAGGCCGAGTGTGATAGGTAGTTCAAAGCTTCCTGTTTCTTCAGTCTGACAGCTTCAAATGTCCCGGGTTGTGCTCAAAGCCTCCCTCTTGTGAGAAGAATCTCTTTGGTTGCCTGTTAAAGCGGTCAGCCAGCTTGCAACACGGAAGCAGCTTTTAGAGGAATTAAAACCAAAACAAGGAGCAAATTCTGGATTAAAAAGGTATTAGGGAAACTGCAGATACCTGAAAATTCTAGCTCCATGTTTCTCTTTGCCGGCTATCTCTGGCTCTTTAACTCTTCTCGAGAAATGGCACCAACATCCATCCAGTTACCGACTAGAAGCCTGAGAAATCGTCCTTAATGATTATTTATCCTCTCTTAACCTTTGCCCGTCCAGTCGGTCACACGATCTTCTCAACTCTGCTTTCCAAGTTTCTCTCATGCCCATCTTTTTCCCCCCAATCCAGCTTCCAGCCTAATCTCATTCCCTAAATTGCACTAGTACCCACTCTGACCGCAGACTCCACTCCCTATATTCTTCATAGATTAATATTTTTACAAAACAAGTATCAAATAGGAAACTTTACAATGGCTCCCTATTGCATTTAAGGTGAATTTCAAACTCCTTTAAGATATTTTGTCCTTAAAGAGCCCCATGATTCCTGGTTCCATCACTTGTACATTTTCTTTAATTTTCTTAAAATTCTTGCCACTTTTGCCAATGCTGTTCTGTCAAGAACACTCTTTCCCTTGGCCGAACTTACTCCTATGTATACTGAAGTTTCACTGTACAGATGAATTCTTCCAGAAAGACTTATCTACCCCTAAAGCCCCTGAGTGTCTGCTTTACACTTTCTTAGTGCCCTGCATTTTCCCCTTGGTATTCCTTGTGACACTGACTTGTCGTTCATTGCCTGTTTCTTGAAGTTGAATAAGGGCAGGAACTACATCTGCTTTGTTCATAGCTAAATTGTCAGCATCTCGTTGCAATTTGAAGTAAGTAGTAAATATTCACTGGGACAATAAAGGAACAAATAAATGAAAACGAAACAAATGTTTTGAATCTAGGCATTCTTTATGAAGGTGTGTTGTTGTTTTTTAAAGGTAGCTAACACATGCTTGCTCTAGTCTGGGTACCCATCCTGGCTTGAGTGGAAGAGGCTGAAACACCCTTCTCCAGCCAACAACTCCCTCGTTTTCCAAGTTAACCAGACCAACTCCATTAACCCTCAGTTTACTGCCACTGGGCAATGTGGCTTATATGTGTAGAAGCATCAAGAAGGAATGGGCAGAGAGGTTTTTTGTTGTTTGAGGTCAGAAAATTATGAAGTGGAACATGAGAGCAGAGAATAGGGCCAGCTTCATGAGCAGGCAACCGGTGCTTAGAAGGGCTGTACATTTGGTTTAATGCTCTGCTGTTGCCGTCTTGAAATGCTTAGGAGTTTATATTTGAACTTATGTTTTGTAAGTGATGTCTGATGAGACAATGGAGCAATCTTGTGAGCAGATGTGATTCATGCAATGTGTGTGTCTGTCACTGTTTCTTGCCCCATGTCATACAATGTTCAGGATGCGCACTAAATGGCCTCCATGAACCACTTATTTTGTAGTTAGGGACCTAAGTACAAAGTGCTCAGAAGGGCTCACCCTTGCCCTCTTGAAATTATTATTATTTTCTTTGAGACGGAGTTTTGCTGTGTCTCCCAGGTTGGAGTGCAGTGACATCATCTTAGCTCACTGCAACCTCTGCCTCCCAGGTTCAAGCAGTTCTCCTGCCTCAGCCTCCCAGGTAGCTGGGATTACAGGGACCCACCACTACGCCCCCTAATTTTTGTATTTTTTTGTAGAGACAGAGTTTTGCCATGTTGCCTAGGCTGGTCTCAAACTCCTGAGCTCAAGTGATCTGTCTGCCTCAGCCTTCCAAACTGGGATTACAGGCTAAGCCATCATGCCCAACCACGTTACTATATTTTCTAACCACTTACACTAAAAGTGATGGCATGAAAGGAAAAGGAAAGATAAGACATTCCACAATTCCTTTTCTTTTCAGTCTTTCTCTACTTATCGGTAAGCTGAAGGTTTTTGTCTTGGATTTTGAACAAGGAGCATCATATTTTCATTTCACATTGACCCACACAGATTATATAGCTGGCCCTGACCAAAGGCTTTGAGGTTCTGACTTTTTGAGGGGTGTCTTCCCCGTTCCCAATTTAAAAATGGGTCAGACTTCAAATCAGGTGTTTATTATAGAGCCCTAAAGAATAGAAATGGCTGAATTTAGGGGCAGTGAGGGAAAATACCACCAGAGTCCTAGCATGAGTAACTTTTGTACATCAAAATGTTCTACTGCCGCTGATTTTAGGGAACTGAATTACTGTTGGAATCAATAGCTCTTTTAAAATTTTGTGGAAACTACAACTCTTCCCAGGAAGAATGCACATATTCCTTTTTGAACAAAAATATGCATATTTCAAAGAGTACTAAATGGTGGACTGGAGTTTGAACCCAGGAAGCCTGGCTCCAAAGTCCATGCTATTAACAGCTGGACTATGTTCTGCGACTTCTCCCTTTTGTTATATCACAGTTGTACCCAGCCTAATTCAGAGATAATCCATGGTTTAATTATATCGCAAAGTACAGTGTAGGAACACATCATCTAGCTGACAAACTGAGAAGAACCTATGAAAGGGTAACCAATTAGTGAAAATTCTTTGTTTAATTTAATAGATGTTTAGAATAGTTATGGTATAATTCAAATCATTTTAACTTCTTAAAAAGCTTGCTCTCAAATGATAGTGAATATTTGTAGCTGCATTACTTTCAAGGTTTTTCAAAATGTGAATGCATGTTATTTCTACTTTCATTGGTTTTAACTTTATGATGTATTTAAAATATAATGAGCACTCACATTCTCCCCTGCAAGTTCCTAAAATCCCAATAAAACTGCTTGTTACTAATCTTTAACTGCCTTGTTCCTAACATTTATTACTATGTGCAGATTTTATGATTTTTATTTACGGAGCTGAAGTCCTGCACAGACTTGATATCTTCTTCTGATTTCTTCTTGGTGGTGGTGGTTGTTTTCTGACAGGGTTTGTCACTCTGCTGCCCAGGCTGGAGGGTAGTGGTGCGATCATGGCTTGCTGCAGCCTCAACTTCCCAGGCTCAAGTGATCCTACCACCTCAGCCTTCTGAGTAGCTGGGACCATAGGCATGCATTGCTATGTCCAGCTAATTAAAAAAAAAAAATCTGTAGAGACAGGGTCTTGCTATTTTGCCTGGGCTTGTCTCGAACTCTTGGGCTCAAACCACTCTCCTGCCTTGGCGTCCCAAAGTGCTGGGATTACAGGCATGAACCACCATGCTTGGACTTCTCCTGAATTTTTATCAATATTATTATTTTGTATTTTATTATTTCTTTCTGGTTCATGTTCTCTTGTGATCTCCTTATTTTTAAAGAAAAAAATTAAACTCCTCTCTGTTTATTTGACAATCAAAAATATATTAATGTGTCTCCTCTCTGGAATTAATATTTTAAAAAAATTTTTTGAGAAAGTTTAATACAATAGTTATCATGGAATGTGGTGCGGATTAACTTGAATAGCAATACAAAAATTAGTAATTTGGTGACCAAAATTTTCAAAACTGAAATACAGCAAGGCATCAAAATGTTTTGTGACTGTATTTTTTTGACGTCTGCTTTTATTAGTTTAGTACTTTCTTCAGCTCAATAGTGACAGGCTTTGGAGAGTTTGTACATGCATAAAGTGGGCAGAAGACTACAAGGAATAGATAGCACTTTATGCTGTTTTTATGTTTCATTTGTGTTTTTCAGAAATATGCATATGTATTGCTTTCATAAGGCTATTATTTATTGTATAGTGGAATTCATGTCTTTTTTTTTTTTTTTTTTTTTAGTGGTTCCCATTTCTCTTAGCATAGCGAGACATGTGAACAATTAGTTGAATTATAACAGCTAACACTGAATGAGGGCATACTTTCTGCCAGGAAAATACTAGTGCTTTATATGAATTAACTCATTTTATCCTTGTGATAAAGCTTATAAACCTATTTTTTCAGATGAAGAAATAGAGGCGTAATGTGGTGAATCTAGTAAGCATGAAGCCAGGTACAAGCTTTGCTGTCAATCTGACTCCAGGGCCTGTGTCCTTAATCATGATACTATATACTTTAAATACATTTACATTTATTGATGTTGCTTTGACCTTTGTCAAATCATTCAAATGTCTAAAGGCCTACCACATACAGATGTGAGGAAGTCTTTGTGATGGCTAATGTGAGTGTAAGTCCCAGAGGAAAAGGGATACATACACACATACCAGAGTTATGTCATTTTTGTTAAGGCTTTATGCTAGAAACACAAATTATTGATGCTATGTTATTTTGTTGCTAATTTTGGTTTTGTGTCATGTGCTGATATCATGAACCAGTAAACACTTATGGATCATTAAAAGGGATATAAGCATTAAAAGGACAATAAGAATAGTCGAGTACGATCAAAATCAGTGTTTAGTTCCATCTCAAGCAGCCTGGTAAGAATAAGGCAGAGAGAAATTTAACACATACGGAGAGAAGGCAATGTGAAGATGAAGATAGAAATTATAGTCATGAGGCCACAAGCCAGGCACAGAGAGGGTGATGTGAAGACTAGCAGAGGGAAAGATGTCACAAACCTAGGAATGCCGACAGCTGCCAGAAACTGGAAGAGGCAAGGAGTGGATTTCGTTCTGAGCCTCCAGAGGGAGTACCACCTGCTGACACCTTGGCTTTGGACGTCTGGCCTTCAGAACTGTGAAAGAATAAATTTCTTTCGTTTTAAGTGACCCCACTTGTGGTAATTTGTAATAGCAGCCCTAGGAAACTAACATACCACCTATCCAACAAAGGACTAGTCTTTATAATAAGTATATAAATATCCAAATTCAACAGGGAAAAAGCAAACAATCCAATTAGAAAATGTGCAAGGCTGGGCACAGTGGCTCATGCCTGTAATCCCAGCACTTTGGGAGGCCCAGGCGGGCGGATCACGAAGTCAGGAGATCAAGATCATCCTGGCCAACATGGTGAAACGCCGTCTACTAAATATACAAAAATTAGCTGGGTGTGGCACAGTGTGTGCCTGTATTTCCAGCTACTAGGGAGGCTGAGGCATGAGAATTGCTTGAACCCAGGAGGCGGAGGTTGCAGTGAGCCGAAATCATGCCACTGCATTCCATCCTGGCAACAGAGCAAGAGTCCGTCTCAAAAAAAAAAAAAAAAGAAAAAAAGAAAATGTGGAAAAGACATGCACAGAAATTTTACTAAAGAGGATAACCCGATGTCAGATAAGCCTGTGAAAAAAATGTTTTGACATGGTTAGTCGTCAGGGAAATGAAAATTAAAACCACAATGAGATAGCACTACACATCTATCAGAATAGCTAAAATAAAAAAATAATGGCAACAGCAAATGCTGGTGAGGATGCAAAGAAACTGGATCACTCAGACATTGCTGGTGGGAATATAAAATGATACAGTAACTGCAAAACAATTGACAGTTTCTTAACAAACTAAATATTTGATTACCATATAACCCAGCAGTTGCACTCTTGGGGATTTTTTCCCTTAGAGAAACAAAAACTTACGTTTGCACAAAAACTTGGACATAAGTACAGGCTTTATTGATAATAATTTAAAACTGGAATAATCCCAGATGTACTTCAAAAAGGGAATGAGAGTATGGTACATCCATACCAAGGGAAATAAATAAAAAGGAATGAACTACTGATACATAAACAGTTTGGATGAATCTCCTAGGAATTATATTGAGTGAAAAGGGTCAGTCCCAAAAGGTTACATACTGTATGATTCCATTTATATAATACTTTTTTTTCAGGGGTGAGTAACTTTATTTTGATAAAATCATAAGCTTTGAAAAAACTTGCTCACACCTGTAATCCCAGCACTTTGGGAGGCTGAGGCAGGCAGATCACCTGAGGCCGGGAGTTCGAGACCAGCCTGGCCAACATGGTGAAATCCCGTCTCTACTAAAAATACAAAAATTAGCCAGGTGTGGTGGTGCACGCCTGTAATCCCAGCTACTTGGGAGGCTGAGGCAGGAGAATCACTTGAACCTGGGAGGCAGAGTTTGCAGTGAGCTGAGATTGAGCCACTGCCCTCCAGACAGAGCGAGACTCTTGTCTCCAAAAAAAAAAAAAAAGAAAGAAAGAGAAAATACTTGCATGAGTAAAAAGAACTATTTTTTTAGTCAAAACAACCTATTGTGAAAGTTTTGCCTCATTTATTTCATCATGTTTATTTCTTTATATATAAACATAGTTTTTTTTAAGCCAGTCAAATTTAGTGGGGGGTTATATATCAACCTTAGTGACACTAATATTAATAAGTTCTGATAACCCACTACCATCAGACCAGCCTAAACATAGTTTTTTCCCCATGAATTAGTTGAGAGTAAGTTGTAGACATTATGTACCTGTACCCATAAATATATAGTCTTTGTTCCCTAAGAGCAAAGATATTTTTTACGATATAATGATCAAAATCAGGAAATTTAACATAGATATGATATTCCTACCTAAACAACAGTTTGTCTTTAAATTTTGTCAAGTTTCCCAGTAATGTTGTTTATGGCTTTTTTTTTTTTTTTTTTTTTTTGGCCCGGGATCCAATTCAGGATATTGCATTACATTCAGTTGTCACATTTCTTTATTCTTTAATCTGATCATCAAATCTTTCTTTTATCTTTCTTGGTATCAACAGTGTTTAAGAGTATAGGCCAGTCACTTTGGGAGGCCAAGGCAGGTGGATTGCTTGAGGTTGAGTTCGAGACCAGCTTGAGCAACATGGTAAAATCCTGTCTCTACAAAAAAATACAAAAACTAGCTGGCAACAGTGGTATGCACCTGCAGTCCTAGCTGCTTGGGAAACTGAGGCAGGAGAATCGCTTGAGCCTGGGAGGCAGATGTTGCAGTGAACCAAGATCACACCATTGCAATCCAGTTTTGGCAATGGGAATGAAATTGTCTCAAAAAAAAAAAAAAGTATGGGGCAGTTATTTTGTAGAATGTCCCCCAGTTTGGGTTTCTCCAGTGCTTCCTTGAAGTTAGATTCAGGTTATTCATTTTTGACAGGAATACAAAGTGGTGTTTGCTCTTTCTGTGCATCATATCTAGAGACCTATGCTATCTATAGGTTTAATTACTGGTGATTTCTTTAAATAAATGAGAATTAATTTAATCACTTTGAACTATTACATCAGTTTCAGAGGCAAACCAACTTCTGAGCTTTTTCATTATATTCACTTATTCCTTCAGTCATCATCTCATTTATATAAGTTTTTCTTCTTTTTTTTAACTTTTATTTTAGGTTGGAGGGTATATATGAAGGTTTGTTACATAGGTAAACTCATGTCACAGGGGTTTGTTGCACAGATTATTTCTTCACCCAGGTAGTAAACCCAGTACCCCTCAGTGTTTGTTGTTCCCCTCTTTCTGTTCATGAGTCCTCATCATTTAGCTCTCACTTATAATTGAGAACATGCGGTATAAGGTTTTCTGTTGCTGCATTAATTTGCTAAGGATAATAGGCTCCAGCTCCATCCATGTTCATTTAAAAGCCATGATCTTGTTCTTTTATATGACCGCATAACATTTTTAAAATGACAAAATTTTAGAAAGGAGGGCAGACTAGTGTTTGCCATGGAATAGAAATAAAGATAGGGAGTGGTAGGAAGAAGGTAGGTATGATTTAGGGCAACCTGAAGGATCCTTGTGATATACCGTTTCCCCCCAACCTCTAAAAAATAAATAACAGATTAATTGAGATATAATTCACATACCATAAAATTCACCAATTTAAAGTGTATAATTCAATTTTTTTTGTATATTCACAGATATTTGCAACCATTCTTCCAATCAATTTTAGAAAATTTCCACCACCTCAAAAAGAAATCCTGTAAGTATTAGCAGTAATTCCCTATTTCTCCCTCTACAGCACTAGTCTACTTTCTCTCTCTAGATTTGCCTACTTGATACATTTCATATAAATGTAATCATGGAATATTTGGGCTTTTGTGACTGGCTTCTTTCACTTAGCATAATGATTTTAAGGTTTATCTATAATGTATCACATAACCATATTTCATTCCCTTGTATTGTCCAATGAAATATGCCATTGTATTTTTCTGCCACTTTGTATTTATCCATTTATATGCTAATGGATATTTAGCTTGTTTTTTTCTTTTTAACTATTATGAATAATGCATCTATGAACAATTGTGTACAGGTTTTTGTATGGACATATATTCTCATTTCTCTTGGATATATATTAAGAATGGAGTTGCTGGGTCACATAGTAACTCTATGTTTAATCATCTGAGGAATTGCCAGATTGCTTTCCCAAGCAGCTGCACCATTTTACTTTCCCACCAGCAGTACATGAGGGTTCCAATTTCTCTGTTTACGCACCAACACTTGTCATTATCTTTCTTCTTGATTCTAGCCATCCTAGTGGGTATGAATGGTATCTCACTGTGGATTTCATTTGCATTTCTCTGATGGTTAATGATATCAAGCATCTTTTCATGTACTTATGAGTCATTTGTATATCTTATCTGGAGGAATGTCTATGAGACAGTTTGCTCATTTTTAAAAATTGGGTTGTCTTTATTATTGAGTTGTAAGCGTTCTTTACATATTTTAAATAAAAATCCTTTACCAGATAAATGATTTACAAAAATTTTTTCCCATTCTGTGGGTTGTCCTTTCACTTCCTTTCTTTCTTTTTTTTTTTTCTGGGGTGGAGTTTCACTCTTGTCGCCCAGGCTGAAGTGCAGTGGCACAATCCTGGCTCACTGCAACTTCTGCCCCCACTTTGGATTCAAGCGATTCTCCTGCCTCAGCATCCCAAGTAGCTGGGATTACAGGCATGCACCACCATGCCTGGCTAATTTTTGTATTTTCCGTAGAGACGGAGTTTTGCCATGTTGGCCAGGCTGGTCTCGAACTCCTGACCTCAGGTGATCTCTCCGCCTCAGCCTTCCAAAGCGCTGGGATTACAGGCGTGAGCCACCGTGCCCAACCTTTTTTGTTTTGTTTTGTTTTAGAGTCAGAGTCTCCCTCTGTTGCTTAAAGTCCTGGCTTCAAGGTATCCTCCCACCTCAGCCTCCTAAGTAGCTGGAATTATAGGCTCAAACCACATGCCTGGTTCTTTCACTTTCTTAATGGAGTACTTTGAAGCACAAAATTTTAAATTTCCATAACTTTATTGAAAATTTAATTCTCAATTACTACTGATTTATTTATTTGCTGTTCCTTGTGGTTTTAATGTCATCTCTCAGAAATCATTGACTAATACAAGGTTGCAAAGATTTATATCTATATTTTCTTTTAAGAGTTTTATAGTTTTACTTCTTACATTTAGACCCTTGTGTTTTATCTCCACTGTGGTAGTGGATATATAAGCTTACACAGGCAATAATATAACTTAACACACACACACACATACACAAAATACACAAAACAGATGAATGCTAGTCAAACTGAGGAAATCTGACTAAGATTTCAATGTCAATATCCTGGATATGATATTATATGATAGTTTTGCAAAATGTTACCAACAGGGTAAATTGGGCAAAGTGTGAGAGGGATTTCTTTGTATTATTTTTTACAGCTATATGAGAATCTAAAATTAGCTCAATAAAAATTTTAATTAAGAATAATAGTCTGTGGAAATTGCTACTTTTCCTTTTCTTTATTCAAATTGTGGGTAGTAACCTTTTGAATTTTTTTTTTCCATCTGAAGGGGAACACTGGAGTAATCATTGCTAGGCAAATTAAGAGCATTGTGTGGGTATAGATAATTCTTGTCTTTAAAAGTAAACAACAGGCATATAATAGTTATGGTGTTAATTCTAAATATACACCTAGCACTGTTTTAATGTATAGTACTGATTTTGATTTCTACCAATTGCTTTATCACAATGGCATATGTAAGTGCAAATTTGGTAGGGAGGAATAATTTTAGGTGGACCAATAACTTATACAAGTAATCGTATGTTGTAGTATATTATGCTTAATGTAAAATAAGAAGTAAATAAAGACACAAATGATCTAATTAATTCTTTAAATTTATGAGTTTTCTGGTATATAAACACTTATAGAAGGGTATACCATAATCCTCTATGTAGATAGCTTTTGCTGACATTATTAAAAATTAGGTAATAATTTACTTACCTATTAGCATATAATAAACATACATAGATTTAGCAAGAAAAATTGTGAAAAAGTTTAAAGTAGTTAAAAAATATTACTATGTGTCATCTCGAGTGTGGTCTTCCAGCTTATCTCAGCTTCTCATTGTTTTGGAGCTATTTTACAACTTTATATATTGTAGAAAATAGGGAATAATGCAAATGATTTTTTTGTCCATAGAAATGCAGATGATTGTGTCCAGTAGAATTCAATTAATTGTTGTCCTGAGGATAGATCTATTTTTCAGCTATTTACAAATTCATTTTAGTATTCCTGATTTTCCATATTCATGTGATTCTTCAAATTCTCCTTTGAACTGGTTATAACATCTTACTGATTTTCTCAATAATTGATGAGTTAAATCAAATTCTGACATCAATTCATTTTAATTTGTATGAGTCATGATTTTACCTCTAAAAAAATCCTTTAATAGATGGCTACAATATTCAAACAGTACAAAATAGAATAAAATGAAAAGTGAAAATCTTCTTCCCAGCTGGTGTCATCTTCATGGGCCTTATAGTCCCGTGGTGAAGACAGATGTTTATCCGAGAATGTAAGATAAATGTAAAACTATAATTCTGATAAATGTGATGAAAAAGAGGAACACAGTACTGCGAGAGCATACATAACAGGGTGACAACTTAGCCAGGGGGATCTGGGAAGTCTTCTCTGAAATAATAACAAGTGGCCTGAGATGTGACTATAGGTAGAGAGAACCATTATTTATTAATATAAAATGAGACCCAATTGCTTCCTCCATTAATGCTTGGTGGTAGATTGTAGGCATAAAAAAAAAAACAAAGTACCTGGGTTGATGCAGGCCTAGGAGAGAAGGATAGAGGGTAATTTTAGGGTACTGGCAAGAATATTACTAAAATAATCGTTCATGGAATTTAAGATAGGTAAGTAAGCAAGTAAAAAAAAAAACAAAGCTGATGGGTGGTTAAGACTAATGGCTTGAAAGAAAATAGAAGTATTCATAAACTTGAAGTTCTGATAAAGTTAACAATACAAATTAGAAGGAAAGACTCTTATTAGAGGAGCCTGGGTTGTTTGAAGAGCAGTTACAGAAAATGAAAAGTTCAAGGTGTCCCATCGGAGTGGGTGGCGAGGGTAAAATCAAGGACATTGGAGATGAAGAAGACAAGGATCTAGGAGGTCATTTATTTGATTGCTTGCCTATATGGACACTGAGGTACCCTGGCATTTATGGCAGGGATTGACGGTGAGTCACTTGACAAGTCACAGCTGAATGTGGGGAGTGACTTGAAAGAGTTATAAACAGGAAAAGGTAAGGGGAGGAGTAATGGCCTGGAGGAAGTCCAAAGGTGCAAGGAATGAATCTACCACCACCTGAGAGGGCTACAGGGCCTGGAGTGCCATTGGGAAAAATCTCAATTTAAGTTGATTCAAGCTGTCCTTTTATTTTCCTTTAAACTGCTTGTGTATGTCTCTGCTGATTTAAAAGTGGACTGTTTGTCTTTTTCTTATTTACTTTTTTACTAGCTCTTAGTAAATTAAAGAAATTAGCTATTTGTCTGACATCCATGTACATTACAAATAATTTTTCCCATTAGTTGTGTTGGACTTTGTTTATGGTATTTTTGCCATGTAGCAGTTTTAAATATTTATGTATTGGTTGTATCAATCTTTCATTTTTGTGCTTCTGGATTTGTGTTTCTGGGTTTCTGCTCATAAAGACCTTTCCCCTCTAATATTATAAATAATTCCACTTGTGATTTGTTCTAGAAATTTGATGGATTCACTTTAATAGTCAAATCTTTGCTCTACCTGGAATTCAATTTGGTATAAGAGTGAGGAAGGGATTTAGCTTACTTTTTCTTTTCCAGATGTGTGTTCATTTGTTCCAACACCATTTCTTTACTGGTATGAAATCTCACATTTGTCATAATAAAATTCCAGTATGTATTTGCATCTATATTAGAAGATAAAAAGGTTCATATGAGACTGCATGATATACTCAAGAGGCATGTCTCAGAGTTAAACAGACTTTACATCCTGGCCTTTCCTGTTGACCTTGGCCAAGGAGCTGAACTTTTCTGGGCTCTAGTTTCTTCATCTTCAAAATGGGAATAATAATAGCCTTTGAGGATTAGTGACAATACATGACATATATGAGCCACTGGGCTAGAGGAGAGTTAACTTCCATTAAAACAAGCCTCTAGAAACCAGGAGTCTTCCTAGTTGGTGATGGGGATCCTGATACCCACCTAAGTCTGGCAGGCCTCCTTCCTGAGGCTGGACATCTCCTTCCTGTAACCCAGCAGAAAAGTGATGGTCTGACTTCATCTTCATCTTCATCTTCAAGGACCTTTGCAATCTAGCTCCTTACCTGACTGAAGTTGAATTTTCTTTCTCAACCTTTCTGTAGAATACTTTCCATCAATATTTCTCTATTCTTTTCTTCCCATTACTTGTCTTCTTCAAATCCTTTATTTTGATGTTGGACTATATTGTCACATTTATATATTGGAGTCTGTAGGAACATTGAAAAGCTAGACCTGGACTAGTGCCTAGGAAGGGGGCAACTAAGCTGCTATGACAGCTGGTGCAGGCTAGGAGAGCCAGGCAGCTCCAGGCACAATGTCTTAAGATTACAATAACCATAGAATCAGCTCACGTGGTTGTCGGAATAAGGAGGTCAGGCCTGGTGATTAGGACATAGCAGCAAGCGCTTCCAGGTAGCAGTTCATTAACAACCAGGCAGGGAAAATTATTAAAGGAAGGAAATTTGCACATACTCAGTTAGACCATCACTTTTCTGCTGGGTTACAGGAAGGAGATGTCCAGCCTCAGGAAGGAGACCTGCCAGACTTAGGTGGGTATCAGGATCCCCATCACCAACTAGGAAGACTCCTGGTTTCTAGAGGCTTATTTTAATGGAACAGACTTGGCATCAGAAAATCTGGATTTTAATCCTAGCTTCATCTAGCTTCATCTAGCTATGTGGCCTCAGTTTCTCATCTATAAAATGGTGATAATAATTTCCAATAATTATTAATTAATTAAATTAATTACATATGAAAAGAACCTTGTATAATAATGAAGAATATTGATTATAATACTTTAATTATTAATATAGTTAATAAATAAAAAAAGAGTAGAGGATCCTAACAAAGGGACTTTACCATAAGTCAGGGCTTGGGCACAATAACCTGAATTATGGTCAATAATAGTGTAAGGTACTATATTATCTTAAGTCATTGGTGGAATGAACTGGTGATGTAAATCTATATGTCAATCAACCAATACCATGAAATGGCATTATTATTTCTAATGTAAATGGGACCTATGGGGTCCTGGATAAAATTCTACTGCCGTATTCAGAATGTTAGGCCACTTTTAAATGGTATTTTTAGTTTCAAGGATAATGTGTAGAAATTGAAGAGGGCTCAGGCCATAAATTATTAAATGCATTTGGTCATTTGTTTAGCAAATGTTTATTGAATGCCTACCCAATGAAATCACTTCCCTAAGTGGGCCTTGAGGAGATGGTAATGAATGGGATAGGGGCTGTCTCTGTCTTTTGGAGACAAGCAACTCACATGTCAATTAGTTAATTATAACTGTAATGCATGCTAGATGAAGTACAGGATGCTAAGAATGCGTCTAATAAGGGGAACCGGTACAAATCTAGGGGTGGTTGTCAGGATGTTTAAACTGAGATCTGGAAGATGGGGAGAAGTCATTTGGATAAAGTAGAAGGGAAAGCACATTCCAGGAAGGAGGACAATGGGCTGAGGCCCTGAGGTTGAAGGAGCATGGATTTCCCAGAATTAAAAGATGTTTCGTGTGGCTAGAGTGCAGAGAGGGATCAGTGTTGGAGAATTTGACTGGTGGAAAATCAGGAAGGCAGGACCTTCTGGGTGAGATTAAGGAGTTTAGATTTGCCTTTTGAGAAATCGGGGAAACTTATGCGCATTAGTGAAATGAACTGAGAGATCACTCTGGCAACAGTGTGGAAGTGGGTGGGCAGCTGTTCCAGGAGGGATAGGGGAGACCACTTAGGAAGTACTGTAGTGCCCCAGATAATAAGTGATAGGGGCTTACACTAAGGTGGTGGCAGCAAATGGAGAGATGCAGACCAATTTGAGAGACATAAAATAGCTCCCTTGGGAAAAGAGGCTACTTTTTTCCAGAGAAGAGAAGGCAAAGGTTTTGTATGTTTTAAAGTGTTACCATGAAGAGGGTATTTGGCTGGTTGTCATCTATCTCCACAGAGAAAGAAAGAAGAAATTACCTTATCATTTAATGAGGCAGAATTTGAGATCTTTATTATCATAACAGACTTGCCAATAGAAACTGTATAATTTTTATATGAGGTACTTTTAAGATGCAGAAATCAACCCTGGAGGCAAGGAGATGAATGCGATGATCCCTTGAATTATTTCCTACTTCAAATTATATTATTGCTCAGTAAATTTGCCTGGAGCATCATAATGTCTTAGGAATAATGGAATATATTCTATGTAAAACTCATCTCAATCTTGAGCACTGAGTATTTCCAGAAGTTTTGCTGAAGTATTTTCACATTTTATAAGTGTGAGAAAGAGAAAAGCAGACCCTGACAGCTGGAAAGTGTCCTGGCACACACAGCTGGACCATGGTGTTGCTGAACATAAACACCAACACTGGACAAGGCCACTCTGTGACCATGGTGGACCAAGACCAAAACAAAACCACTCTATAGTCAGGGTTGAACACAGACAAAAACATGAGCATTATCCAAACCACAAAAATGGCCAAACATCTCCATATCCTGGCTGATATAACTGACTGCCACTTTAAAAAAAAAAAAAACAATGACAGCTTTAGCTTCACCCCAATCATCTCATCATCTAAAACAGACAAGAATTAAGGACCCAATCACAGAATTACTCCACTTCCTGATAATGTCCAATCCAGAGCACAGCCCTGCTTTCTGGAACTCTTCCCCAACTCACCTAATCAAACTCTAATCCTAATAATAAGCTCTTTCTAATACCTCTTACTGAGATTGCCCCATAGTTCCCTGCATGGTTCTCCATTGCTAGAAGTCAAGGATCCCAAATTTGTTCAACTGCAGATGTGTTCCTGGCAGTCTTTGGCTGGAGGTCATTGGCAAGTGTAAGGAACAGACTGTAGGTTTTGTTCTTTTTCTCCCCCTTTTGTTATTGGAATAAACATTTTGAATTTTCTATGTTCTGCTGTATCATATAGCTGATTATCTTTTAATTTCCTCTATGATTCCTTGATATGTGTAAGGTCACAACATTCTGGCTTTTTAAAAACCTTGTAACCCACTTCTTTGCCTTTCTATATCATCAAGTTCTTATATCATGGGAAACATAATCATTGACAAAAAATCTTTGACTTTTTTGTTACCACTTTCAAATAGAAAAACGATTAAGGAAATGATATAAAAAGTATAACAATTTTAACAACTCAGCCAAATCATACTGCTTGTTTTTGTAATTATAGCGTCTTCCCTTATCCTCAAGGGATATCTTCTAAGCCTACTAGTGGATGCCTGAAAACTCAGTTAATACTGAATGCTACATGTACTATGTTTTTTCCTATGCGCACATTTAATTTATAGTTTAGACATAGTAAGAGATTGATAAAGGTAACTAATAATAAAATAGAACAATTATAACAATATACTGTATTAAAAGTTATGTGAATGTGATCTCTCTCTCGCTCTCTTTCTCAAAATATTTTACTGTACTGTACTCACCCTGCTGTTTGGCCACTGATACCTGAAACCATGGATAAGTGAGAGACTACTGTGTAAGGTTATTCTATTTGAAGCAAAAGTGGCTTTGTGTATGTGTGTTCAAGAGTCTTAGTTTGCCCTTGTTTGTGGGATATTTCAAAGATACTTCAGTCTTCTGTATCCGTGTATGAGTATTCGTTGATGATGCTCATTATTCATTATTTGTGCATGGGCAAACTGCTGAATAGTGACTTCGTATACATAGCTTTCTCTTTTAGCTACCTCTCTATGTAGGACACAGTACTCAGCAACGTCTTGTTTATAGTAGATTTGGGACAGACTTTGAGAGGAATTTGGCCATCTGTAGGTACCTACATTAAATGGCTCTCTGTGTTTGGGGAATGTTGCTGTTGAGAGAAATACTGCAATGTCAAGGACTTTATTTCAGAAATACACAAGTCCTCACTGCAATTTGTATCACATTCCGGTGAAATATAAATGCTCAAATAAAAGCGTAATGTTTATCTGCATGTATTTTTTGGTCTGCTTGTGTAATTAAAGTGACCATGTACTCATTATTCACATGCTTTTCTTAAGTCAGTGAACACTCCCTTCATACCCCTGTGTTTTTCTTGATGGAATGCTTTCCCTTTTATGAATCAGAAGCAGTCAGAAAAGGTGAAAGAAGGAGGTAGCTGAAAGAAGGAGGCAGCAGGGAATTATTATATGACACTGGTTGCTAAATAATAACTCTACTGCATCATTTTACCATGCTTTTGGGATCAGAATGAAGATGAGGTAAAGGAGGCGGTCTAAGAAAGAACAATTCTTTTTGCAGCCCAAACTGTTAATCACATTCTACTACATAGTAATTAGTATCTTGAATACTCCTAGGATGTTACTTCTATTTTGACAGAAAGAAAGGACACCAAGAATGTGGAAAATAATTAGATATGATCAAGATTTGGAACACCTAATAGAAAATCATTTCTATTTTATTTCTTGAGAGAATATGAACATTGCTTTTTTTTTTTTTTTTCTGAGATGGAGTCTTGCTCTGCTGCCCAGGCTGGAGTGCAGTGGCGCGATCTCAGCTCATGGCAACCTCCGCTTCCTGGGTTCAAGCAATTCTCTGCCTCAGCCTCCCGAGTAGCTGGGATTACAGGTGCCCGCCACCATGCCCAGCTAATTTTTAAATTTTTAGTAGAGACAGGGTTTAACCATGTTGGCCAGGCTAGTCTTGAACTCCTGGCCTCAGGCAATCTGCCCACCTTGGCCTCCCAAAGTGCTGGGATTATAGGCGTCAGCCACCGTGCCTATAATTTTTTATAACATTGCTTTAATAAATTAAATAATTTAAATCTTTTGAACAGCCATGAATAGCAATTAAATGTATTTGTTAAATTATTTATAATTCATTAATTCTCAAATATTAAATGTTAGCCTACAAAAAGTCACTTTTAAATTATTAAATCTAACGTTTTAAGAGTGGAGTTGGTTTTACAATTTGGAAACTTTTTTTAATTAATAAAAAGATCACTAAAGGTTTTCTTCTGGAATAGTTTCATAAGGAAGAAGAATTACACAATCACTCTGTCACCCAAGCTGGAGTGCAGTAGTGGGATCATAGCTCAGTGTAGCCTTGAGCTCCTGGGCTCAAACGGTCCTCCTGTCTCAGCCTCATGAGTAGCTGGGGCTACAGCTTCATGCCACCACACCAGACTAATTTTACTTTTTATTTTTTTGTAAAAATGGTGTCTTGCTATGTTGCCCAAGCTTGTCTCATCTTTTTAAAGGATGTTTCTGTTTTGTTTGATTTATGTTACATTGTTTACCTTTTTTGTTTTAAAACAATTTGAAATTTACAGAAAAGTGCCAAAAGTAGTACAAAGGGCCAAAGAGCTGTTTATATCCTTCAGCCAGATTTCCCAGTTGTTAGCATTGTCCATATTTGCATCCTCTTTCTCTCTTCCTCTACACACACACACACACACACACACACACACACACACACACACACACATCACATCACATCACATCACTGTAGGTTTTTCCCCCTGTGCCACTTGAAAATAAGTTGCAGACAAAATCTCTTAATATTTGGCACATATTTACAGTTCCAAAATCAAAATTATGAAATCAACATTTATCTAACACTACCATCTAATCCACAGATCCCATTCAAACATTGCTTATTTTCTCCAAAATTTTCTTTGGAGTTTCAGAATCCAATCAAGGGTCATACATTTGTTACTCCAACTTGGAACAGTTCCTAAATCTCCCTTTCTTTCATGATGATGACATTTCTAAAGGGTAATGCCACTTACATTGCAGAATCTCTCATGACTTAAAATTTTGACTTTTGTATATGTTACATAATACAGATGATTTGTCCAAAGAATAGCACGTGTGTAACTTGTAAACAAATAAATGGAGGTACATATTCAATTTTTTTTTAACCACTGGTGATACATGTAGATAAAGGGTTGGAGATCACTTGCTAGGTGATCAACAAGAGTAACCAGCCACTGTCTAGAAACTGGATAATAGAAAGAAGAGAATGGGCAGTTCATCTTGAGAATTGTTTTGGGAGACCAGGAGCCTTGAGCTGCTGAATCTTGGTTCTGGATAAGTACATTATTTTAAGCCTTGAATCATTATGTGTTCGGATGCTTCATTCTAATATAAAAACTTGGTGTAGCATTTTGTGATATAGAAATTTGAAACCTATGTTTTAAATTATTTGAATAGTACTTGATTCTAATGGCTGTCATAGTTGAAAAAGTTCTTCTAAAGACATGTACGCCCAAATGGAAAAAGTGTACCTTTGAGTATGCATTCCAAATTGTAATACTTATTATTTTTTAAAAAAATTTATTTTATTATTTTTTAAACTTTTATTTTAGATTCGGGGGTGCATGTGAAGATTTGTTACATAGGTAATCTTGTGTCACAGGTTATTTCATCACCCAGGTATTAAACACAGTGTTCAGTAGTTATCTTTTCTGCTCTTCTCCCTCCTCCCTGCCCTCAAGTAGACTCCAGTGTCTGTTGTTGTTCCCTTCTTTGTATTCACGAGTTCTCATCATTTAGCTCCCACTTATAAGTGAGAACATGTGGTATTTGGTTTTCTGTTCCTGCGCTAGTTGGCTAAGGATAATCATCTCCAGCTCTATCCACATTCCCGCAACATACTTGATCTCATTTCTTTTTATGGCTGCATATTATTCCATGGTGTACATGTACCACATTTTCTTTATCCAGTTGGTCATTGATGGGCATTCAGATTGATTCCATGTCTTTGCTATTGTGAATAGTGCTGCAGTAAACATTCACATTCATGTGTCTTTATGGTAGAATGCTTTATATTCCTCTGGTTATATACCCAGTAATGGGATTGCTGTGTCGAATGGTAGTTCTGCTTTTAGCTTTTTGAAGAATTGCCACACTGCTCTCCACAATGGTTGAACTAGTTTACACTCCACCAACAGTGTATAAGTGCTCCCTTTCCTCCACAATCTCACCAGCATCTGTTACTTTATGACTCTTTAATAATAGCCATTCTGACTGGTATGAGATAGTATCTCATTGTGGTTTTGATTTGCATTTCTCTGATAATCAGTGATATTGAGCTTTTTTCATATGCTTGTTGGCTGCATGTGTCTTCTTTTGAAAAGTGTCTGTTCATGTCCTTTGCCCACTTTTTAATAGGGTTGTTTGTTTTTCTTTTGTAAATTTGTTTAAGTTCCTTATATAAGCTGGATATTAGACCTTTGTCAGATGCAGAGTTCACAAATATTTTCTCCCAATTGGTAGATCTTTTTCCTCTGTTGATAGTTTCTTTTGCTGTGCAGAAGCTGTTAAGTGTAATTAGATCCACTTGTCAATTTTTGTTTTTGTTGCAACTGCTTTTGGTGACTTTGTCATGAAATCTTTGCCTGTATCTGCGTCCCAGATGGCATTGCTTAGGTTTTCTTCCAGGGTTTTTATGGTTTTGGGTTTCAAATTGGTTTTTAATCAAGTCTTGAGTTGATTTTTGTATATGGTGTCCATATGCAAAAGTGTCCAGCCTCAGTCTTCTGCATATGGCAAACCAGTTATCCCAGCACTACTTATTGAATAGGGAGTTGATGTGGTTTAGCTTTGTGTCCCCACCCAAATCTCATCTTGAATTGTAATTCCCACGTGTTGAGGGAGGGACCTGTAATTCCCACATGTCGAGGGAGGGAAGTGATTGGATTATAGGGGCAGTGTTCCCTGTGCTGTTCTCATGATAGGGTGTGAATTCTCTCAAGCTCTGATGGTTTTATAAATGGTAGTTTTTCCTGCACTCTCACACTCCTCTCTCATCTGCTGCCATGTAAAACGTGCTTCTTTTGCCTTCTGCCATTATTGTAAGTTTCCCGAGGCCTCCCCAGCCATGTGGAAGTGTGAGTCAGTTAAACCTCTCTTGTTTGTAATTACCCAATCTCAGGCAGTCCTTTGTAGCAGTGTGAGAACGGACTAATACAGGAGTCTTTTCCTCATTGCTTGTTTTTGTTGGTTTTGTTGAAGTTCAGATGGTTGTAGGTGTGTGGCCTTATTTCTGGGCTCTCTGTTCTGTTCCATTAATCTACGGGTCTGTTTTTGTACCAGTACCATGCTATTTTGGTTACCATAGTGCTGTAATATAGTTTGAAGCTGGGTAATGTGATGCTTCCAGCTTTGCTTTTTTTTAGTTAGGATTGCCCTGGCTATTGGGGCTCTTTTTTTGGTTCCATGTGAATTTTAAAATAGTTTTTATTTTTTTCAGTTCTGTGAAGAATGTCATGGTAGTTTGACAGGAATAGCATTGAATCTGTAAATTCCTTTGGGCAGTATAGCCATTTTAATGATATTGATTCTTCCTATCCGTGATCATGGGATGTTTTTCTGTTTATTTGTGTCTTCCATGATTTCTTTGAGCAGTGTTTTGTAATTCTTATGATAGAGGTCCTTCACCTTTCTGCTTAGCTGTATTCCTAGGTATTTTATTCTTTTTGTGGCAGTTGTGAATGGCATTGCATTCCTGATTTGGCTCTTGGCTTGGCTGTTGTTGGTGTATAGGAATGCCAGTTATTTTTGTGCATTAATTTTGTATCCTGAATCTTTGCTGAAGTTGTTTACTAGCTGAAGGAGCTTTTGGGCTGAGACTATGGAGTTTTCTAGACATAGAATCATGTTGTCTGTCTGCAAACAGAGATAGTTTGACATATTCTCTTATTATTTGGATGACCTTTATTTCTTTCTTCTGCCTGATTACTCTGGTTAGGACTTCCAATACTGTGTTGAATAGGAGTGGTGAGAGAGGGCATTCTTGTCTCATGCTGGTTTTCACAGGGAATGCTTCCAGCTTTTGCCTATTGAGTATGATATTGGCTATGGGTTTATGACTTTTTTTCAATATCTAGTTTATTGGGAGTTTTTAACATGAAAGTGTGTTAAATTTTACCAAAAGCCTTTCTGCGTCTGTTGAAATAATCGTGGTTTTTGTCTGTAGTTCCCCATTGAGTATGATATTGGCTATGGGTTTATGACTTTTTTTCAATATCTAGTTTATTGGGAGTTTTTAACATGAAAGTGTGTTAAATTTTACCAAAAGCCTTTTCTGCATCTATTGAAATAATCACGTGTTTTTTGTCTGTAGTTCTGTTTATGCGATGAATCACATTTACTTGCATATGTTGAACTAACCTTGATTTGCATGTATTGAACCAGCCTTCATCCCAGGGATGAAGCCTACTTGATCATGGTGAATTAGCTTTTTGTGCTGCTGGATTTGGTTTGCAAATATTTTGTTGAGGATTTTTGCTTCAATGTTCATCAATGATATTGGCCTGAAGTTTTTTGTTGTTATTGTGTCCCTGCTAGGTTTTGGGATCAAGATGATGCTGACCTCATAAAATGAACTGGGGAAGAGTCCCTCCCCCTCAGTTTTTTTGGAATAGTTTCTGCAGGAATGGTACCAGCTCTTCTTTGTACATCTGGTTGAATTCAGCTGTGAATCCATCATGTCCTGGGCTTTTTTGTTGGTGGTGAGCTATTTATTACTGATTCAGTTTTGGAGCTTGTTATTGGTCTGTTTATGGAATCAGTTTCTTTCTGGTTTAGTCTTGGGAGGGTGTGTGCATCCAGGACTTTATCCATCTCTTCTAGGTTTTCTAGTTAGTTTGTGTAGAGGTGTTTTTAGTAGTTTGTGATGGTTATTTTTATTTCTGTGGGGTCAGTGGTAACATTCCCATTATCATTTCTATTTATTCGGATCTTCCTTCTTTTCTTCATTAGTCAAGCTAGCAGCCTATACAGCTATTAATTTTTTCAAAAAATAAATTCCTCAGTTCATTGATCATTTGAATTTTTTTTTGTGTATCTTCATTTCCTTGAGTTCAGCTCTGATTTTTGTTATTTTTCATCTTCTGCTAGCTTTGAGGTTGATTTTTTCTTGCTTCTCTAATTCTTTCGGTTGTAGTGTTAAGTTGTTAATCTGAGATCTTTCTAACTTTGTGATGTCAGCTAATTTGTAATACTTGTCTTTCAAAGCAAATCCAAAATTATGTAAATATTTCTGTTGGAAAAATAACTAGAAAATTTTTGCTTATTCAAGCTCTATACTTTAAAAATTTAACACGTAGGTTTAACATGCACTAAAATTTTAATATTCTTAACAAGTTATAATAGTTTTCCAGGTTTCTTTTTTTTTTTTCTTTTTGAAACAAGGTCTCACTCTGTCACCCAGGCTGGAGTGCAGTGACATGATCATGGCTCACTGCAGCCTCAACTTCTCAGGCTCAAGCAATCCTCCAGCCTCAGCCTCCCTAGTATCTGGGATCGCAGGTGTGTGTCACCACACCCATGTTTTTATTTTTTATTTTTTTGTAGAAATGAGGTCTCACTGTGTTGCCCAGGCTGTACTCGAACTTCTGAGCTCAAATGATCTTTCCACCTCTGCCTCCCAAAGTGTTGGGATTACAGGCATGAACCACTGCACCTGGCTATTTTCCAGATTTCTTAAGTGTGCAAATATTAGAATTTCTATAGTCTACATAATTTTTAACAACAACAGCATATAATGCTGGAAACACTTCCAAAGTTTTGTTTTTAAAGAGCTCTCTCCATAGCATAAATATCTTTCAAGAAGTATTTTCTTATTTTTTTGTTAGATTCAATTTTTTTATGGTGTGTCACATTTTAGTGTCAGTTAATTATCATTAGTAAAATCCAGCATATTTAAATCACTTGATTTTTTTTTGTAAGAGAAAATGAATAACTCATGTGTAAGTTTGCCAACTATATTAAGGACTCTATTACAATATTACCTGCCATCCTCTGTGTGATTATTTCATTGAATGTTGTGGTACACTCTCCACAGCCCTTCAGGACTATGTTGATGGCTGAAGTCTCTCAGTTGCTTCATTTTCTAGGTATTGCACTCAGGGAAAGAAAGCTGTCTCACCCAAAGTCACACTGCTTCCCAGAAGGCAGCTCTCCTCCAAAGACCAGCCTATGGTAAATTTAAAGGCTTGAATCCTCTTACGCTGTTGGTGGAAATGTAAATTTGTAAATTTATAGACAACAGTGTGGAGACTCCTCAAAAAACTAAAAATAGAACTACTATATGATCCAGCAATCCCATTTCTGGGTACATATCCAGTGGAATTGAAATCAGTTTGTTGAAGAGATATCTGCATTCCCGTGTTCACTGCAACACTGTTCACAATAGTGAAGATGTGGGAGCAACCTAAGTATCCATCATCAGATGAATGGTTAAAGAAAATGTAATATATATGCACAATGGAATACTACTTAGCCTTGAAAAATAAGGAAATTCTGTCATTTTTGACAACATGGATGAACCTAGAGGATATTGTACTAAGTGAAATTAACCAGGCACAGAACAACAAATGCCACTTGATCTCACTTACATAGAGAATCTAAAAAATGTTGAACTCATAGTAGTAGAGTTTAGAATGGTGGTTACCAGAGGCTGGGAAAGCAAGTGAATGGGGAAAGGAGAGATGTTGACTGAAGAGTAAAAGATTTCAGTTAGGAGGAATAAGTAAGTTCTGGCACAGCATGGTGCCTATATTTAACAACAATGTATATTTCAAAATTGCCAAAAGAGTAGATTTTAAATGTTTTCACCACAAATAATAGATATGTGAGGTGATGGATATGTTAATTAACTTGATTTAATTATCCCACAATGTATATTATATATATTGTGGGATATATAATAACATCACATTGTACTCTATAAATACATATAATTATTATTTGTCACTTAAAAATAAAATAAATTTAAGAAAAAAAGGCCTGGCTAGCTTGCTGCAAGGTGAGACAATACTGACAGGCTGTCTGAGCTCCCCATGGGATTGGTTGAGGACACTGTGGTAACTGCATCAGAGTTCATCTTCTTCCTCTGCTCATTCCTGCTTCCTTCACTTTTCCTTGGCTGTTGAGCCTGAGGGCACTCCCCGATATAATTTTTTTCTTTTTTTCTTTTTTTAATCACTGCTCATTGCAGCCTCAACCACCCCGGCTCAGGTGATCCTCCCATCTCAGCCTCCTGGGTAGTGGGGACTATAGGTACCCACTACCACGGCTGGCTAATATTTTGCATTTTTTTTGTAGAGGCAGGGTTTCACAATGTTCATCAGGCTGGTCTCAAACTCCTGGGGTCAAGCTATCCTTCTGCCTCGGCCTCCCAAAGTGCTGGGACTACAGGCATGAGCCACTGCCCCCGGCCCCAATATCATTTCTATATGCAGCTCTCCATGTCAGAATTTTCTTTCCAAAAAACTTGATCTAAATTAGTTACATTCCATAAGAGAGTGCAAAGAGTCCTCTAAAATTTTAAATGTCTTGTTTTTATAAAACTAACCTCACCCATAACATCCTGTAGCACTTTGCTGTCTTCAGGCTTCACCATATTTTTCATGACAGCTCACTTGTGAGTGAGAAAGAAAATGTATTTCATGTGGGGTATTTTATCTATATCCTTGCTTGGGAATTTAAAAAATTCCAATTCAAATAGTTGCCCCACAATTTTTTTTTTTTTTTTTTTTGAGACGGAGTCTCGCTTTGTAGCCCAGGCTGGAGTGCAGTGGCGGGATCTCGGCTCACTGCAAGCTCCGCCTCCCGGGTTCACGCCATTCTCCTGCCTCAGCCTCCCAAGTAGCTGGGACTACAGGCGCCCGCCACTACGCCCGGCTAATTTTTTGTAGTTTTAGTAGAGACGGGGTTTCACCGTTTTAGCCGGGATGGTCTCGATCTCCTGACCTCGTGATCCGCCCGCCTCGGCCTCCCAAAGTGCTGGGATTACAGGCGTGAGCCACCGCGCCCGGCCACAATTTTTCATGTATCATAGTTTTTCTAAAAGAAACCATTTATTATTGAAGGAAAATATTACTTGTTTTTTTTTTAACAGCTCACATACAAAAAAAAGCAGTTATTCATGTGTTTTATTATTGGAAACAGAATCCAGAAAATACCATAGCTAAAATGTGTTAGAAACATCAGTGCTTCATCTAAATATATAGCAAACTTTCAACACTACATAATTTGTTCCAACATTTGTTTCTGCAATCTACTATAATGTTTTCTATATATCATCTAACAATATTTGCTGACAAAGGAATGCATTTAGGCTTCATCATATGCTCTTTCTTTTGTATTGTTTCAGCCATTTTTACCGTGACAGAAAGAACAAGTGTTGCCCCAATGGACGTGGCTGTGCTTTTTACCTTTGCTTTAAAATGATAAATCTCTAAAGAAGCTTCTACATTTTTATTACTATATTTCATGATACTTTGTAAGATTCTATATTAGTGTTGTGTGACTTTATAAATCCCTGAATAATTGTAGTAGTTTTTCTTTAGATTTGAAATGCTTAGTTTGCTTTTCTTTTTCTTTTTTTCATCAGTTTGGTGAAAAAAGGGATGCTTAGTTTTAACACATCCTGCTAAATTTGTGGCATCATGCTACCATTTTCTACTTCTATTTCCGGCAATATGGCAAATTATTTTACCCAGAAAGCTTCCTGATTTCCTTTCCTTTCCCTTTTCTTTTTCCCTTTCCTTTCCCTTCTCCCTTCCCCTCCCCTCCCCTCCCCTCCCCTCCACTCCCCTCCCCTTCCCTTTTGCAGACAGAGTCTTTCTGGGTCACCTAGGCACAATCTCGGCTCACTGCAACCTCGGCCTCAGTTCTCCTGCCTCGGCCTACTGACTAGCTGGGACTACAGATGTGCACCACCATGCCCGGATAACTTTTTTTTTTTTTTGGTATTTTTAGTAGAGACAAGGTTTCGCTACGTTGGCCAGCTGGTCTTGAACTCTTGGCCTTATGTGATCCAACCACCTTGGCATCCTAGAGTGCTGGGATTACAGATGTGAGCCACTGTGCGCAGCCACCAATATCTTTCTTTAAAGCCTGTAAAACCCTGAGCATTGGCGAAGTAAATGTAAAACCTCTTTGAAGGAACATCTTCAATCCCGATAGAATTACTGCCAATAGAATCCTGCTGCTGAAGATTTCATAATACAAAATTGCAAAATACAGAAGAAAACAACATGCCACAATTGAGAATCAGCATACATGATAAGCTTTAGTAATATACTATCAAAAACATAAAAGAACTATTGAATAGCAAAGAGAAAATAAATATGCATAAATTGGTTAAGGATATAAATAGGAAATCCAAAGCATGAAAGAAAAAAAAACACTATCAAAAAGACCAAGAAAATTTAAAAAAAGAAATACATACAACCAAATTGAACTTTTAGAAATAAAAAATATAGTCACTGATATTAAAAACTCAGCAGACAGATTGAAAAGATTTGACTCAGCTGAAGATGGAATTAATACACTAGAAGATAGATCTGATTGGAAATGAAATTGTGATGCAGTTTATTTTATTATTCCTTTGGACATTGTACCTTGCTCATCTGGCCACTTCTCTGAAGTGAAAGCCTGTTGCCTGTTTTGAGTTAGCATCCCTTTCTCTTTTCTGCTTTAGTGTGCCAATCTTGTATTTCTGGCTCCTTCTCCTCATGAGTGAACCATTTGCCAGAGATATTCCTACTTGTAGCATATATGAGTACTCTTAATGAATCTGCTTCCTTTTTGATAAAGTGTACATTTTTTTCCCTTCCCTTCCTTCCTTCCTTCCTTCCTCCCTCCCTCCCTCTCTCTCTCTTTCTCTCTTTCTCTTTCTTTTCTTTTCTTTTCTTTTCCTTTCTTTCTCTTTCTTCCTTTCTTTCTTTCTTTCTTCCTTTCTTTCTTCCTTCCTTCCTTCCTTCCTTCCTTCCTTTCTTCCTTTCTTTTCCTCTCTCTCTCTCTCTTTCTTTCTTTCTTCTCTCTCTCTCTCTTTCTATTGACAGGGTCTCACTCTGTCACTCAGGCTGGAGTGCAGTGGTGTGACCTTGGCTCGCTGCAAACTCTGCCTCCCAGGCTCAAGTGATCCTCCCACCTCAGCCTCCCAAGTAGCTGGGACTACAGGCATACGCCACCATACCCAGCTAATTTTTGTATTTTTTGTATAGACGGGATTTCACCATTTTGCCCAGGCCGGTCTTGAGCTCAAGCGATCTGCCTGCCTCAGCGTCCCAAAGTGCTAAGATTACAGGTGGGAGCCACCGTGCCTGGCCTAATGGTACATTTTCATAATATTGAAAGAAGTTGCACTTTACATCACTGAGCCAGTACTAGTCATCAGGGAGGAAAGTAGGAAATCTAGAGTTAGGCAAATAGTCTTGGTTTTTATTAATAATAAATTATTTATTAATAATAAAAATAGATAAAACATATTCTATAAAATAGGTATTCTAAATTTGCTTACTAACCTGAAAATATTCTAAAACATAATCAAAATAATTTTAAATAATTATATTAAAAAGTGTGGCTTTATGAATTAAACTTTTCAAAAGAGAAAGTTACCCGAACTATCTGTGTCATACACACACGGATATGTATGCATGTACACAGACATACATATAATTTACTCATAGATCAGAGGAATACTATAGACAGAATGTATATAAATTATTCTGGGCAAGTTAGATTAATGTATGCTATATTAGCCAAGGTTCAGTGCAAGAAGTAGAAACAATTGTAGATATTTTAGGCATAAAAGAATATTTCATAAAACTTCACCAACTATCAGGTGCACCCTTATTTCTAAAAAATGCTAAGTGCTATTAAGCTATGCCAAACTGCCTTAATAATAGTCTTGAATTAGTTGGTCACATCAGCCTTTTATTATTTGAAGTTATTTTACCTATTTTGTGGGATTTGGTTATTTCTACTGCTTTTGGTTGCATTACTTGACATGAGATAGGCAATTCTTTTGCACATATTTAAGTAATGAAATTGGGAATCTCTGTTATAAAGCAGGGGCTGGCAAACTATGGCCCATGGGCTAAACCTGTAAATAAAGTTTCACTCCAACACGATCATGCCCTTTTGTTTATCTACTATCTCTAACTCCTTCTACAGTGGCAGAGTTCAGTGGTTGTAGCAGAAAGGATTGTATGACTTGAAAGAAAAGGTGGGCCCTTTACAGAGAAAAAGCTTGCTCAACCCTGCTACAGGGAAATATATATCATAATAGGAGCTATCATCTCGATATTGTGGTACAACTATGCTAAGTACTTTATGTGCGATAGAAGTCTCTTATCCAAGAGGGAAACAAATGTTAGTTGATTGACTGATCCATTCAATCAGTCAACAAATATTTATAGAGTAACTACCATCTGATGAGAGACATATTCAAGGAATTTGAAATATAGGGCATTAAAAGACAAACAAAAATCATTGTTTTTATAGAGCATACACTCTAATTGCCTGTGAGAGGCCAGGATAAGGGTCGATAAAGAGGAGTTAGAAAATGACTGAATTAATATGTAAAACAAGTATTATGACAGATCATGATAAATGCATGTGAAAAGAAATGCAGGAGAGGTAGTGCTAGAGGCAGGGCTTCAAATTACAAAAGAGAAATCAGTTATGACATTAGTCTGGGCAAGGACTTTTTGGAAAAGATGTCAAAAGGGCAGGTAACAAGAGCAAGACTAGACAAATGGGACTACATCAAACTGAAAAGCTTCTGCACAGCAAAAGAAAAAATCAACAGAGTGTGAAGAGATAACCTACAGAAATGGAGAAAATATTTATAAACTATGCATTAACTAAGAAGTTAATATTCAGAATACCTAAGAAACCCAACTCAATAGCAAAAAAAATTCGATCAAAAATGGGAAAAAGCTCTGAATAAATATTTCCTAAAAGAAGTCCTACAAATGGCCAACAGGTACATGAAAAAATCCTTAACATCACTAATCATCAAGGAAATACAAATCAAAACCACGATGAGCCATCACCTCACCCCAGTTGGAATGGCTATTATCAAAAAGACGAAAAATAGCAAATGTTGACTCATATATGGAGAAAGGGGAACTCTTCCTGTACGCTGTTGGTGGGGATGTAAATTTGTACAGCCATTATAGAAAACAGTATGGAGATTCCTCAAAAAATTACAAATAAAGGTGGATGTGGTGGCTCATTCCTGTAATTCTGACACTTTGGGAGGTTGAGGAGGGAAGATTTCTTGAAGACCAGCTTGGGCAAAATAGTGAAACCCTGTCTATGCAAGAAACAGAAAAATAAGAAAAAACTAAAACTAGAACTACTATGTGATCCAACAGTCCTACTACTGGTGTATATCCAAACGAGATGAAATCAGTATGTCAAAGAGATATCTGCACTGCAATGTTTATTGCAGCACTATTCATAATAGGCAAGATATGGAATCAATCTAAATATCCAAATATCCACCAATGGATGAATGGATAAAATGTGGTGTATATACCTAATGGAATACGATTCAGCCATAAAAAGAGTGAATTTCTGTCACTTTTAACCACATGGATCAAACTAGAGGACATTAAGTGAAATAAGCTAGGTACAGAACAACAGATACTGGGCCCACGCAGTGGCTCATGCCTGTAATCCCAGCACTTTGGGAGGCTGAGGCGGGTGAATCACGAGGTCAAGAGATCAAGACCATCCTGGCCAACATGGTGAAACCTCATCTCTACTAAAAATACAAAAATTAGCTGGGCGTGGTGGCATGTGCCTGTAGTTCCAGCTACTTGGGAGGCTGAGGCAGGAGAATCGCTTGAACCTGGGAGGTGGAGGTTGCAGTGAGCCGAGATCGTGGCACTGCACTCCAGCCTGGCAACAGAGCGAGACTCCGTCTCAAAAAAAAAAAAAAAAAGAAAGAAAAGAAAAAAGAACAGATACCTCATGATCTTACTCATATGTGAGATCTAAATAACTTGATCTTATATAGAAGTAGAGAGTAGAATAGTGGTTACCAGAAGCTGGGGAGAGTACAGGGAAGGAGAATGGTGGGAGATTGGTCAACAGGTACAAAGTAACAGGTAGGAGAGGAGAAGTTAGTTCTGGTGTTCTATTGCTTAGTAAGATGACTATAGTCAACAATAATGTATTGCATACTTCAAAATAGCTAGAAGAGTGGAGTTTGAATGTTCTTACCACAAAGAAATGACAAGTGTTTGAGGTGATGGGTATGCTAATCACCCTGATTGATCATTGTACAATATATATACACATTGAAACATCACACTGTAACTCATAAATATGTGCAATTATTATATGTCAATTAAAAACAAAGAGAATGGAAAAGTCAGAAAAGTCTCACAAAGGCAATGGTATTTGAGTGAGGACCTGAGGGAGGTGAGGACAAGCCATGAGGATATCTAGGAGGAAAGCATTCCAGGTAGAGGTAGCAGTCACCTCACAGGCAACAAGGAGGGGAAACGTCTTGCGGTTTTGAATAAAAAGTAAGAAGGCTTGTATCTTTAAAGTGAAGAAATAAGTAGAAAATAAGATCAAAGAGGTAAAAAGAAATGGTGCAGGGTCCGTGCAGATTATGGACTATTGTGGAGATTTTAGTTTTTGTTGTGGGTGAGTTGGGAAGCCATTGGAGAGTTTTGAGTGGAGGAGTAATATGAGTCTACTGAACTGGATACCTCTGTTGCTTTGTGGAGAAGAGCTGGAAATGGGGCAAGACAGAAAGCCATTAGAAAGGGCTTAGGAGGCAATTAAGGAGCATTTGCCATAACCCACCCAAGAGCTGGGAGTGCCTTAGACCTTTGCAGTAGTGACAAAGATGGTAAAAATCCATATGCAAACTTTTCATGGTGGAAAACATAGAATATGTATGGAAGTGAAGAGAAGAATATAAGAAACCCCTCCAACTTCAAAAAAATTAGTAACTCAGGACCAATTTTCTCTTGTTTATTACCTATTCAATCCTCCTACTATATTATTTTGAAGAAATCTCAGACAGTTTTGGATGTATTTAGAAGGTAAAGCTGATAGGATTTACTGCTCGTTTGGAGGTGGGGAGTAGGCTTTAAGGAAGACTCCTTGAGTACCGGGAAGGAAAAGCTGAGATTTACTGAGATGGGAAAGACTAAACATGGGGCAAAGCTTTTTATGATGTTTATGTTGGGGGAGTGAAAATCAGGAGTTCGGATTTTCATGTTATAGTTTTGAGAATTTATTAGCTATTCAAGAGATGAGATATATATCTCCAGACTTCCTAGTGTGATAATTTGGGGGATCTTTTTGATTGGCACCTGCTGACCTCACCCATTATATTTCCTTCCAATTCCCCACAGGAATTGGATCCTCTTTTGTTTTTTTGAATGTCAATGATTCCCAAATGTTGCTGCATGATAGGACCACCTGGGAGAGACTTAAAAAGCTCTGATGTGCAAGTTGCATCTCAGATCCACTGTATCTGAATGTCTGAGGGTGGATCCAGGCATCAGTACTTTTAAAAAGTCTCCAGATGATTCCAATATACAGCAAAGTTTGGAAACACACTGCTCTAGTTCCAGTATTGCAAAGCGTGGTCCCCATCCAGCAGATGTGGTCCTTCAGCCAGCAGTGTTGGCAACACCTAAGAATTTGTTAGAAATGCAAAATCTCAGGCCTCACCCTGACCTACTGAACCCAAACCTACATTTTAACATCTTCTAGCGATTTATATTCACATTAATGTCTGAGAAACACGTCTGTCTTTTGTTTTTATGCCTTTGCAGAAGTTATCTTCTCTGCCAAGTTGCCTGCCCACCCATCCTGCTGCCTCATTCCCATTTATCCTTTAAGATTGACCTCAGCCATTCCCTTCCTGGAAGGCTTTCTTATCCTTCCCACACCATGCTCAGGCTATTCTTCTGGGGACACCCTCTATTTACCTTTATTATATCTTTTATTACAGCTTACTGTAATTGTTGGTTTAGCAGATAGTCTCTTAGATTTTGGGTCCACAGCGGCAGAGATCCATATTCCTGGTAATATGTGCTCAGTCAGTGTTTGTTGAATGGAGCAGCTAAGGCAGGAATTGGTCAGGTGGGACTGTCACAGGCCTACATGGCAGGGCACTGAGTCTGTCAGATGAAACCACTGGAGACACTGGCTCTAATGAGCAACAGCCCTAGTGTGGGTGAGCTCTGATCTTTGAGCTGCATGAGACTATTGATTCTCTTTTATCTTCTGTGTTATGGGGAGAAAGACTGTGGCTTACAAGATGTGTGCTCATAGCCTGAACTTTTTTTTTTCTTTTCTTTTTTTTTCTTTTATTATTATTACACTTTAAGTTTTAGGGTACATGTGCACAATGTGCAGGTTAGTTAAATGTGTATACATGTGCCATGCTGGTGTGCTGCACCCATTAACTCATCATTTAGCATTAGGTATATCTCCTAAAGCTATCCCTCCCCCCTCCCCCCATCCCACAACAGTCCCCAGAGTGTGATGTTCCCCTTCCTGTGTCCATGTGTTCTCATTGTTCAATTCCCATCTATGAGTGAGAATATGTGGTGTTTGGTTTTTTGTTCTTGTGATAGTTTACTGAGAATGATGGTTTCCAATTTCATCCATGTCCCTGCAAAGGACATCATTTTTTATGGCTGCATAGTATTCCATGGTGTATATGTGCCACATTTTCTTAATCCAGTCTATCATTGTTGGACATTTGGGTTGGTTCCAAGTCTTTGCTATTGTGAATAGTGCCACAGTAAACATACATGTGCATGTATCTTTATAGCAGCACGATTTATGGTCCTTTGGGTATATACCCAGTAATGGGATGGCTGGGTCAAATGGTATTTCTAGTTCTAGATCCCTGAGGAATCGCCACACTGACTTCCACAGTGGTTGAACTACTTTACAGTCCCACCAACAGTGTAAAAGTGTTCCTATTTCTCCACATCCTCTCCAGCACCTGTTGTTTCCTGACTTTTTAATGATTGCCATTCTAACTGGTGTGAGATGGTATCTCATTGTGGTTTTGATTTGCATTTCTCTGATAGCCGGTGATGGTGAGCATTTTTTCATGTGTTTTTTGGCTGCATAAATGTCTTCTTTTGAGAAGTGTCTGTTCATGTCCTTTGCCCACTTTTTGATGGGGTTGTTTGTTTTTTTCTTGTAAATTTGTTTGAGTTCATTGTAGATTCTGGATATTAGCCCTTTGTCAGATGAGTAGGTTGCGAAAATTTTCTCCCATTTTGTAGGTTGCCTGTTCACTCTAATGGTAGTTTGTTTTGCCGTGCAGAAGCTCTTTAGTTTAATTAGATCCCATTTGTCAATTTTGGCTTTTGTTGCCATTGCTTTTGGTGTTTTAGACATGAAGTCCTTGCCCATGCCTATGTCCTGAATGGTAATGCCTAGGTTTTTTTCTAGGGTTTTTATGGTTTTAGGTCTAACGTTTAAGTCTTTAATCCATCTTGAATTAATTTTTGTATAAGGTGTAAGGAAGGGATCCAGTTTCAGCTTTCTCCATATGGCTAGCCAGTTTTCCCAGCACCATTTATTAAACAGGGAATCCTTTCCCCATTTCTTGTTTTTCTCAGGTTTGTCAAAGATCAGATAGTTGTAGATATGCAGCGTTATCTCTGAGAGCTCTGTTCTGTTCCATTGATCTATATCTCTGTTTTGGTACCAGTACCATGCTGTTTTGGTTACTGTAGCCTCTGTTGCCCAGGCTGGAGTGCAGTGGCGTGATCTTGGCTCACTGCAAGCTCCGCTTCCTGGGTTCACACCATTCTTCTACCTCAGCCTCCCGAGTAGCTGGGACTACAGGTGCCTGTCACCACGCCTGGCTCATTTTTTTTTTTTTTTGTATTTTTAGTAGAGACGGTTTCACCGTTTTAGCCAGGATGGTCTCAATCTCCTGACCTCATGATCCACCCGCCTTGGCCTCCCAAAGTGCTGGGATTACGGGCGTGAGCCACTGCGCCCAGCCCATAGCCTGAACTTTTAAGGTATACCATCTTCATAGCAGTGATAGGGAATGAGGGATTAGCATAACTTGAATTTATTCTAAATTTTATTAAAATTGTTTCTTATGATAACTTCTTTTCCTAATTTTTAAAGTAGTACATAGAAAAGAACAATGAAAATATAAATTATTTGCAATTCTAAAACAGCAAAAAAGAAAATTATTTTAGCTTGTGCCTTTCTAGTATTAATATAAAAAAATACTGCATTTGTCATATAAGGACCCACATCATCTGATACCTTTAGTACCTATCTAACTTTTTTTTCTCTCACTTGTTTCCTCTTCTTTAGACACAGTCACCTCATTGCTGTTGCTTATGCACCTCAGGCACACCCACCTTCAGGCCTTTGCTCTGGCTGTCTTTTCCAAGTGGGGTAATCTCCCTCATACCTCCTCGCCTTCTAGTCTGTGCTCAAATCCCACATTCAAAAATTGCCTATCCTGACCACACTATTTAAAACTGCAACCCATTTCCACATTTCATCCCCACCTCCAATGCCTGCTTCCAATCCCCATTGTCCTGCTTCACTGTGCTTTTCTTAAGAGAATTTAGGATTTTCTAATAGACTATGTAATGTACTTATTTTATTACATCTATTATTTATTGTCATTGTTGATTCTCTACTTCCTCCCCATTTAATCTTCAAGAGCAAAAGATTGTTATGAATTTAATAGTGACAGGCATATAGTAGAAGCTCAATAAATATTTGTTGATGGAATGAATGAATATATAATTGTATCTAAAATAGTAACATAGTATAACTATGTTTTGTGTACTGTTGTTTTTAATTTAGCAATATACGATTGTTGTACTGTATTGTTAATTTAGCAATATACTGTGTCTATCTCTTCACATAAATTAATATTCTTTGACAAATCTACATCCCTGAATGTTTTTACAACTCCAAACAATTTCTGTAAGCATTATTAAGCTCCAGCATCAGTAAAGATTTGAAGCATTAGTAGGGAGAAGCTGACCACATCCCATTCATTTATTCAATGTACACACACATGGCCTACTGTATGAAAAAAATAGTGGTAGAGAAACTGAGAAAATAAAAACCCAAGTTACATATATTGAAATAAGATTCTTGCAGGCAAGATTCTTGAAGCTACTTGTGACTTTACTTTTCTTTATTTCTTTATTTTCTTGACTTTATTTTTCTCTTGTCATTAGTACATGGTAGATTCTCTCTCCAGCTCTGTTTGGAGTCAACCCTTTCACTGCAGCTCTGTTTGGAGTCAACCTATTCTCACTTCCAACTTGCCTTGGAGGTGTCTATAATGAAGCTGCCCCTCTTCTGCACAGGACAGCAAAATCAGCAGGCTTCTCTTTTTCATAGCTGCTGATTCTGGGCAGCTGTGAGAATCTGGCAGCCCCTGTTTCTGTGGGTGACTGGTCCTCTGGTTGGTGGCAAAATAACTCCAGACTAAAATGCACTTTTTATTCTTAGATATCAGTCTCAGATTTAGGGGGAAATTGTATGTCATAGAGAAGAAAGAGGCACAAAGTCTTGTGATTAATGGAAAGAAAGAAGTTCATTTTGCCTCTAGTCCCTTTCTTTGTTCCCTGATCCAGCTTATTCTCCCTTATTCATTGTCCTGCCCCTGACCATTGTGATTGTGTGGCCACCTATGGCTTTTTCATTTATTTACCAGCATGGTTCACACATTCCAAATGACAGCAGAGACATTAGGAGCCATAACTCACCCAGCAAAAATGGCCAGTTTTCTTATTGTTCTTCTTTGGCATTTGTGTTACTTTAAATTACTTGTCTAGCTAATTATCCCAGGAGACAGTGAGCGTTAAGGACCTTATACTTGACTACAAACGAAGTCAGAGAAGGCTAGCATCTATTTTCAGAAATGAATTTTTAAAAAGTGAACACTTCTGAAGTGCACGTTACTCTTTTCCTTAGGATGAAGAAACATCCTGAGAAGGTTGACATGCTGAATGCCTTAAAGAACTTCAATTGGGATGCCAGATGAAAGTGTAACTAGAATTTCTATGGCTTAAATAACGAGAGTAAGAGACCTCTATTGTTATTATTCTGCCAGTTTTTTTCTCTTTCTCTTTTCTATGTTGTGTATTTGTCATCTTTTTTTGAAATACTGTATTTCAATAACTATTACTTCTTTCAGTCCAAGGAGATTTCTGAGAAGTCCTACTTGGGATGAAAAGATGGACTTACATAATAAAATATAATTTATAAAGATAATTTGAACATAAAGTAGATCACAAAACTATCTTTCCTAGAGTTGGAAGATGAATTTGGTAAGTCTGACGTGTGGATAAAAATTATATATCACATATTTCTTAGAAATCAGAGTAGATATCAGTGTTCTTTCTGATTAGTCCAGATAATTAGGAAAGAAGTAGAGGGAGAAAAACTCTAGAAGTAAGAAAGTTTGATTTCATGTGTAATCAGAAGAAATATTCAAGTAATTTATCACTAATTCAAATAGTCAAGAAAATTCTAGGAAAAGCCCTAGGAAGCATAATTAGCTATGCTGAGAGTTGAAACATTTGCAAAATGTCCCTGTTATAATTTGCTATTTTATTCCCCCTGAGACCTGAGCAATGCTTTATCAACAAATCCCTAAAGACTTTTTAGCAAGTCTTAACATGAAATACTTGTACTTGATGCAAGACTTTTCACCTAGAAAGAAAAGTGGCCGGCTTTGGAAGGTTAGCTTCTTACTTTTTGAAAAGCTTTCTGGAACTCTGCCACCTACACTTTCTGGGCTTCATTTACGCTTGGTGAAAAATGGAGGGATTGTACCTGTCACCCACTTGTCTCCCAAGGGTGTTATAGAGTATCTAGAGAAAGTCCATTTACCCACAATCCTGTGCTGTGAATGACAGGCCGATGGGCCTCCCTGGCCCAATAATGTGTTCTTGGTCTCTGCTGCTTCAGGTAAGGGAATGTCTTACTATCCCCCAATCTCCTATTGGTAATATTTATTTGCTACAGTTCAGACGGCCCTTGATTGAATACTGAACTCAAATACTTACCTTAGACAAGAACCTTGACCAGAGCAGTCATTTCTAGGCCTGGTTGCCATAGGCTCTCTTCACAAAGCATACTGGGAATGGATGAAAAGTTCTGATATTGCAGCTTCTGGGTGTGCTCAGGACTCTTCTTCACTATCATTGGTTGTGTCTGAGACTGTCTAGCTGGGCAGATTTGGTTGGGGTAGTGGGTGAGGGAGGGCTAGAACTGTGGGATGCTTTTTTATTTCCTAAATTTCCTTCCAAGAACCTCTAGAGTCACTGGAATTCCAGCCCTGTGGCTTTGGTTAGCATGTGGGGGAAAGTTTACCTTCTCATTCCTAGAGCTACATTAGGGGAAACAAGCACTATGCTGTTTGGGGTGAAGTTGGTATTAATTTTCCCTGAGAAACAATACTGTTGATGATGGTTGGGTTCTGTGGGCCTGTTAGTTAACAATATAATTCATCTATAGTATGAGTTAAGTGGACTTGTGTGGGCTATTCTATTAATACATTGTCTGCAACATTATTTCTATGAGAATAATGTATCCTGAGTTCCAAAAAATTGACTTAAAACATTTGGAATACACACCATTACTTAGTGGGGACTCATCTGGGGCACCCATAATGGATGGTTCAGAAAATATGGTCCCTGCTGCTATTCACTAGTGCTTATCAATTTCAGTCTCCTAGCTTTAAGTTTCTTGAGAACTCTTCATTTCTTCACATGATTTAGGAGGTAGAATGTGTGCAATTTTCTAGTCAGCTGAGAAGGTTCATTCTCAATCCATTTATTTTTGTAGTTTGGTAAAAGGATATCCTTTTACTTTTTAAAATTTAAATTATGAAATAATAAATGAACATTGAGTATATATATAAATTTTCTACATTCTTACCATTTTGAGGGTAAGAATATACTCTTACCTAGCAATAATCAAAAGTGTAAAAATCCTTATATAATTTCCTATATACGTAAAACTCTCTGTATGAATTCCTTATATAATGTCAACATCATTTGGTTCTGTCAATTTTTGCTTTTAAAGTTATGCTTTAGATGTAGACAAGTTAAAATTTTTCTGTTATTTTGGTGAAATGACCCTTTTAAACATGAAGTAGTAATTCTTTTTTGTTAATAATGCTTTTTGCTTTAAAGGTACTTTAATCTGATATTAATAAAACTATATCATGCAAAATTGTATATTCAGAGTTGCCTGTTATAGAGGAAAACTGGCAGCAACAAAAAAGTTTAACAATTGGACATTGGATATACAGTAAGAATATGTTCATACATTGATATACTATGCAGCTGTGTAATACCATATTATACATTATAACCTTCATGAAGAAAAAAGCTCACAGCTGTGCATGTAGAAAAGAAAATGCAAAAAAAGAAAAAAAAAGAAGCATACTACAAAATAGCTTGTATTATAGCATGCTATTTTTGTACCTCCCGATACATATGTAAATATATGTTTAGCAAATAACCTGATATTATCCACTAGAATATAATATTGGATACTTTTGGGTGAAGAAATTATGAATAATTTTAAATTTTTTGTTCTCTTTTAAAAATATATTCCTGTGTCATAAGTTAATTATTTATTTCAAATAATGAACATATGCTACTTTTAAAAGAAATGTAGCCTTTTATTTGACAAAAAAGCTCTCCTATTATTCTGTAGCTTATAAACAAGAATTCTGAGCCAGAAAATTACTGTTCTTTAAAAATGTCCATGATTCTTACTTGTTTTCTTTGTAGATTTTTAAAGAAAGATAACTACTTTGAATTACATAAACTTTAATTTCTAAAACGCAAATGTCTGTGTAGAATAGTAAAATTGTATCCCATACTTTTTCAACAAAAGTAGTCATAAACTTGGAATGGAATGTGACATAATAAATTGCAAATAATTATATAAGATTTTCGATTTCAAACATACATATTAGGAAGGCCAAACTGAGACTAGAATTTTAGAAGTACAAATGCAATTTTTTTTGCATCATGATTGAATAGGAAAAAAATCCCCTCAAGTCTGGCTGGCTGAATGAGCATGTTGTAAGTAGAATGTATAATTTTGTTAGTGTACCCCTCAGAGGTTGGCCGATGAGTAGCAGCAATGCAGTAACAATATAAAGCTGTCACTTGGTGGAGCTAGAATACTATGTAATTCCAATATCCTCTTTCGGCAGATTTCTTGGAGAAAATGGTTTCATGGCAAAATGTAAGACTATTGCCCCCAGTTGCCAAATATTGAAGTACTTAGCCTTTGGGGAATCTGGTTTTATGGTTTTCTTTATTATTGTGCCAGAGTATGAGTAAATGCCAAACTTATGGGCATTTACTGATTACAGTTAATAAATTACAATCTTTTCATCATGCTGAATTCAATGCCTTCCCCCCACCCTGCCCCAGGAGTTAGTTTAAATGAATATATCATCTATTGATTCAGTGACGTTTTCACACATTTCATATGGCACTTAATAGCCCAGTATCATTTCACTTGCTATGTCAATTACTGTAAAATCAAGATGGGCTTTTAGGTAGCTTATGATGCCTGGAACAAAATGCTCAATGGATATTATACAAGTGTTTGGTGATGAATACCAGCTTCTGGGATTCCCTGGGCAGGGTGGAAATTTTAGATCAATTCAAATATTGACCAAAACTTTTTAGATGAAATTTTAGGGTGACCAGTAAATGAAGACTGCCATAGACTCAGGCAATCCTTCCCTGGAATGAATTTAACGCTTTTGGAAAATTCTGGATTGTAGCCGTTCTTACTTTGGTCTTCCTAAAATTGAAAAATTGAAGATTTTTGCATTTGTATTTATACATGGGTGTGTATAGTTTTGTGCCTTTATCAAGGTTAAATTGTGCCAACCTTTTCTCTCAGGTACTAGGCATATTCCAAAAAGACTAATTTTAAAATTAGATTAATATCTTTCATACTTAAAAGGTGTTAGCTCAGATAAAATTATTGCATACCTTGACTATGTGAATGGATGCTGAAATTAATGTATTTATGGATCATTATGTTGACATGTGAAGAACAGTAATTGAGTTTTTTATTTTTTTAACTTTATAAATTTAAATTAATTTTTTTTTTGAGACAGGGTTTCACTCTGTCATCCAGGCTGGACTGCAGTGAAGCAATCACAGCTCACTGTAGCCTTGACCTCCAGGTTCAAGTGATCCTTCTGCCAGACCTTGAGCCACTGTGCCCAAATGAGGATTTTTAAAGATTTCCTATTCCTAATTTGGCTGGGTTCTGATTCTCTTATACTTTTATTTTTTCATAGAAGCCTTTTTTTTTTTTGCAGTGAGAAAGATTTTATTTGACCTTAAGATAATTCTATTTGGGAAAAGTGGGGAAATAGGATAATCAGTCTTCTATTACATATTATGGTCAAGGTAGATCCAGGTTTTGTGGGACTAAAGCCTATGTGGTTTGAGCTCTTTTATGTAAAAGGATACAAAATTACAAATGCAAAGTTAAGCATAAAAGTCCACATTTATTTAAAATTAGAAAAAAGTAACCGATTGAATAGTTTAAAAAGCTGGGACAAAACCCTCAAACAGTGAAAGATTCAGAGAAATTATATTTTTATTAAATAACTGCCAACACATCTGTATAATTATTTTCCACATATCAACTTATGGTTCCATACATTCACAATCTAATTTCTTCTCACATAATTCCAGTTTTGACTACCATAGGCATATTCATATCATGATAGGACTCTGTCTCTCACCTTTGCAAAAAAAATGCTGGATAACTCACCACAGTGGGCATTAGGAGTATTTTTGGAATCCATTTCTATACTAGGAAAGCCAGCAATAACTTAACTATACAGGGAAGTGACTGTGAGCCACATAAATAATGCACATTAAACTCAAACCAAATGCATCTCCCACTCAACATCCCAGGGTCTTGGAAGGACCCCATGCAAATGAGGGACCCTGAAACCTAAAACTCTTTAGTATCACAGTAATTCTACCTTTTTGAAATCCTTTTATCAATAATGTACCTCACTTGATTAAAATCGTCATCATCTTTAGGGTGATTTAAAGTTTGGGAACCACTAACAGTAACATTCATAGATGAAAGGATAGTAAATTTGGGTAAAAATATTCTTAAAAATATTTGCCATATAGACAAGGAGGACATAACCATAGGGATGTTATTTCAATACCTTATTTTCTAAGTATCATTTATTGGCTTTTAGTAGAGAGTACTAAAGACAGTGTTAGGACTGTCTTACAGATTTTTACAAAATTCTTACAAAATATTTCTGATTCACCATTATTCTTATATACCATTAAGAAGTACTGTTTTTTTTAAAACAACAGCTTGAAAGGCATAGCTACTTCCCTATTTAATTTGTATTCTTAATCTACCAGAAAAATCTGCAACTCCAGCAGTAAGATCATTGATTATTTATTTCATGGATAATATCCACATTGTTGAAAGGCTCCCTGTTTTAGTGTTTAAACAAACAAAAACAAAAACAAAAGCAACACAGCCTTGTATCAGACATGAAATTGTGTTTTTATTTGATGATTCCTGGAAGTCTCTTGACTCCTTAAAAGAGCACCTTATGCATGCACTTGAACACTAAAGCCATAGTAATAGTTAACATCTATCGATTGCTTTCTATGAGCCAGACATTTAGTGAAGTGCTTTACTTGCATTCTTTGTTTAATTTTCTGAACAGCTCTATGAGGTACGTACCATTTTATGAATGAAAAACTGAGGCTTAGAGAGTTTAAATAACAAGCCTAGATCCATGTAGTTTGTAAAGTGGCAGGCATGGTGGCTGAATATATACTTATTTTAACTACTTTGCAATAGTGTCACAGAAGCAGTCATTCAATGAATGTCAGGAAGGTTCAGAACTCATAGATAGCACTTGAATAACTACAACTTCAAAAAGGGAGAAGCTCTGAATTTAGGAGACAGTATAGCATAGGAAAAGATGGTGGAAGTCCAGGCACTAGAGTCAACTGTATTCTGGCTCCATCATTTACTAGCTGATTGACTTTTGACAAGTTACTTAATCTTTCTGTGCTCCAGTTTCCCCTGTTAAAAGAGGATAATCCTAATAAGATATGAGGATTTAATGAGGTGGATGAAACATTTAAACCAGTGGCGGGCACAGTAAATGCTCAAAAAGTTGTATCATTATTGTCTATTAACATTTATGCTTATTTGTCCTTTGAAATAGAGTATATGACTTGTGCAATGATAGGTAAACAGTATAAAAAATTTTGTTGTCTTTCTTTTCTAATACATGTATTATTTAGTTAAGGACCCTCTAGGTATATTGGAGAATGTGTTCATAGAAATATTATAATATCAATACAAAAATGCATCCTAGTTTTAAAAAATAAAAACACTTCCCAGGAAAATTAAATTTTAAAAGTTTATACCATATTTGTATTTTTACGTTGATTTAAAGGATATTGCCACTATGTGGAAGAATTTCCGGTCCAGGTATGTTCCTGTAGATGTTATGACTTTTCAAAACTTAATCTACTATTTATGTTATAAAATTATTACTATCATGTAGCTGAGCAGAAACATTAATATAACATAATGAGAAAAGTTGCATCTCTGCTCCTGAGACTCCTAATAAACACATTATTCATTTTTTATTCAATTTAACTGCAAATAGCTTTGGCAAATGTTGAAAACAATGCCAAAGGGTATATTTCTATTTTAGGGTGATAGGAAAATAACTCCTGAAGAGTCTTAGAAGTGAGAAACAAAATATGAATTATATAGTGGTGGGAAAACATAAAAGATTCTGATGTCTATGAATAACTATATTTCCCAAAGGAATAAACATTAATGACTTTAATTAGATTTTAATTGCTCATGAGAGCAAGCTCTTGCATGAGATAAAAACACCTGACAATACATTATGACTGAGCTTTTCTGTCAGCAACATAAGATGAATTAATATAAATGCCATTTAAAGGTAGAGAATTGTCTAAACGTAAACTAAGCCCTTAATCAGTGCTATTGTGATGGAAAGATACTGTCATAATTAGGTCAAGTTCTATCTTGGTCTTGACAGTTGTACATCATATTGAGATTTAAGACAGGACTGTAACTGTGGAAGACTCCAGAATGTTACCTCTTACTAACATTTCTTCACAAATGGTGTAAAAATAAACAAATGAGAGTTTTTTTGAAAGTTGCAATTTATATTGTTTCTTTTATTTACTGGAGGAACTCTTTAGAAGTAATCTGTTTGGGATTAGATTTAGGGATTTCCTTTCCTTTCTTGGGCACACTTTTGGAGTCTGTATTTGCTCCATCAGTCATTTTTGGTTCAGAGGACTCTGCTAAGAATAGAAGCATTTTGCAGTTTCCTTAGGTATTAAAATGACCCAGTTGTAGGTGGAAAAGCCCACTTCAGTCAAGGGTTTCTAGACCTTTGGAAAAACAGCGAATATTTATTGACATGCTAAAAACCTAAGTTCTCTAAAATTTCTTAATTTATCTTGTTTTTGATACTTTTGTTGAGGGGAAAAAAATCTCAGGTGGGGCAAATCTGTTATTAATATTATAGAGCTTTCATGAATTATGATGCTTTAGATCTATCTAGTTGTCCAAGGCTCGGCTGACCAGTGCGTATAATGCATTTTATTGTGGTTTTGTTAGTAATGAGTTAATCTGTCACTGGCCTCACCATACTTCACTGTATTGAGTCAATTTTCCTGTGGCATCTTTCAGAGTCCATTAAGTTCTTACAGAGCCACAAATTCCGTCTTCAACACAAGTTAGGAAGGTAATACAAATCAGTGAAGCAGGCGAGGGGAGACAACAGCAAATTGGAGGTCCATCCTCTGACTAAGGGACAGCAGAGACTCAGCTCATGGTAATCAGATCTTACGATAAAAAAATGCTGGAAATCTGGGTTTTCACATAAGCATTTTGATAGTTAAATATTATCAACTAATTAAACAAAAACTTAGTAAATGAATTAAGCCATGTCTGTTACCCTTTTATGATGTCTATATAAGGAATTTTTAAAAATCTGTCAGTTTCTATTTTTTGTACACCTTTTCCACACTACAGACCAAATGCTGCAATACATTTGAAGAAAAGCCATCTAACCAACATATTATAGTGTTCGAGCATATTTCTCCCATGCATTTCACTTCCAGGTATTTTCTAAAGTGAATGCAGTTGTATTTTAGCTACATATGACTTTATATGACTAATACAGTACAACACAGCAGTGATAAAGTGCCATATTCAAAGGTAAGTAGAAATTTAGCCCAATGGATAAATATTTGGCTGTCTATTTAAACCTTTGGCCTCCATGTTGCAAGGGTATTAAGAAACAGATGGGGGAGTTTTGATTTAATAGCACAGAGTGCCAATTCTGTCTCTAATTCCAGGTGCCTTTTGGAAAAAAAAAATCCTGGCTGTAGTATCTTGTTTTGAAAAGCCACTCAAAACAATTGAGATATTCTGCAAATATAAAATGGCTCCTGAAAGCTTTTAAATTGTAGAGGATGTAGTTCTGAATAAACCAATGTTCTGTTTCTTAAGAAGAATTTTATATACAGCTAGAGAGGATGTATATACATAGAGAAAGGGAGGCACATAATCATAATACATATAAAGATCTATCTCCACTTGGAATTAAATTCTACATCACTGTACCATGAATACCTAATGTAGACTTAACGGGTACAAAAAGAAAAGAAAATAGAGGTCACAATGAAACACAAAATTGAAAAACAATCAGGAAACAATGGAATTAAATGAAGAATAAATTAACATAGGATAAAAGTGAAAGACACTGACCAATTATTAGTAATATATATTTTAGTAATTTCCAATATTAAGGGATAAGTTGCTCATCAAAAGCAATTATCTTCTTTTAGGCCAGGCATGGTGGCTCACACCTTGTAATCCCAGCTCTTTGGAAGGCCTAGGCAGGTGGATCACTTAAGGTCAGGAGTTTGAGACCAGCTTGGCCAACATGGTGAAACCCCATCTGTACTAAAAAATACAAAGATTAGCTGGGCGTGGTGGCCCATGCCTGTAATCCCAGCTACTCTGGAGGCTTAGGAAGGAGAATTGCTTGAACCTGGGATGCAGAGGCTGCAGTGAGCTGAGATCACCCCACTGGACTCCAGCCTGGGCAACAGAGCGAGACTCCTAAAAGAAAAAAAAAAAAAAGCAATTTTCTTCTGTTAAATCAATAATATCTACCTGTAGTTTACTGCTTGATTAATATTATTTTTGCAACATATGACCTTAGAATAAAGCTTTTTTTCCTCACCTTCTGTAAGACTAAATATACATCAAACAAAAGGCCCTACCTTGTTAACTTGGCAGTGTACAAGCATGGTATTTAAGGATTTGGCTTGAGATCCTGGGCTTAAATCTCAATTCTGCTTCATATGAGATATGCACAATTGGGGAAATACTTCACTTTTCCGACCCTGATTTCCTTATCCATAACTGGAGACAATAATAATATTTACATCATGGGGTCGTTGTAATGTTTATAGAAAATAGTCTATGTTTTCATATTTACAAGACACAGACAAATAGCAGGTGTGTAATAAGTGGTGGCTGCAGATACTATTACAAAATAAGAAGTCTAGGCAGTCCAGGCTCATTATATGAAACCTAATGGGAAAAATCTGATGTCGATTACTTCCCTCAATAAGCACTTATTGTTTGGATTAAGGCAAAAAGCTGTCAAATTACTGTAAAATAGTATCAAAGGAATATTCTTTATTTAGCTAGGAAAAGAAAGCCTTATATGCATCCTAATATTTTAAATAATATTAAAAACAATATAAAGATTTTAAAAAGATGGTTCTATTTATTTGCAGAGTGATTGAAAAGATTGACACTTTTAGCATTAGTAGATACTTGGAACAAGATTGAAAACTGATGTGACACACTGAAATGAAATTAAGATAGTTTTAAGACTCTTTTTCTTTGCAGAATTTGTAGTTTATCTTTCTTGGGTGGATTGTAGACCTTGAAAGATAGAATTGTTAGCCTTGAAGTCAATAATTCCACCATTATTTTATTTTTGTCCAATAATCAAAATGTTGTATCTATATTAAATATATATTTTGAATAAGAAGAGAAATACTGTTAAAAATAACTGGATTACAAATAAAATTAGCTGTGGCACTTTACACTTGAAATAATGTGAGCAATGCTTGGACTCCCACACAGTTTTAAACTTTAATCTTTGTGGAAACATATAAAAGAAGCAAAGGCCACTTCGCAGTAGTATGGTTATAAGTTCACAGTGCAGGGTTTGTATAACTAAATGCTTCCAACCTGGGATTTGAAAAAGCAGCCTCTGGGTCAAAGATCAGAATTTTCTGTAAATGGATTTGGACATTATATTTGACTGATAATTTGATATAGAAATATCAGGTAACAGAATACAATACTTATGGAATATATTTTGGAACCAAATTCAAATCCAAAGCAATTTGAGGTTCATAACAGAGTGTTTTTGAAATCACTAAAGAGCATACTTTGCAGTTACTTTCCTTGGTGAAAGAACGAAGGAAAGTATTGCATAGGCATGCTTTTTTTTTTTTTTTTTTTTTTTTTTTTTCCTTAAGTAAACTTCTTATCTAGGTTCACAGGGCAAGACCACATCTAATATGGTTCATATGTTTTGTGGAAACATGTATTTTTATTCAGAATAGCTATGTGGAAAAGGAAAGATAAAATGAATCCCAAGGGCATCTTAAACACACTAAAGATATATTACAGGCCACATAGTTCAACTCAAGAGTGTTTTGGCAAGCAGAAAGTGGCAGACAAATTGTAAGTCCAGCAATGTATATAAAAACCTATGAAACATGTCTATGGATAGAATTCAATGATGCAATTACTTGGGAAAGCTTGAATAAACATGTTAAGTAGTCAGCATTTATCAAATACCCTTTGCTAGGCATTGGGGAGAAGGAAAACAAGAGTTACCATGAGGCAGAGTAAGAGGTCAGCATAATCTGTGAGTGAGGGTGAAATCACCACGCAAAGACATCTGAGGGTACTGTCATTTTGAATAAGGTTAAAGCTGTCAAACTAGTTATAAAGAATGACTTTGAGCCAGGTGGTACTCAATGAGAGTGGAGGTACCTGTTCCTGTAACCGTAAAACTATTTAAACATACTAAAACTATAGAAGTAAATCAGATGTTTTAAAATGGTTATACACCTCCCACTCTTCGGTCTCCTGTTACAGGCAGTCCAAGGAAACCATTAGCAATCGTAAGTCTTTCCACATTTAATCATTCAAATACTACCTTGATGCACCATCTTTAATATTTATATAAGAAATATTTTAAAGACTTGCTCACTGTTTCACTAATGTCAATAAGGTTTCTATAATTTGTATAAATGAACAACTAATATCGCTAGTCATAAATACTCGATAATCTTACTTAAAAGTAAAAACAAATGAAACGTTGTTAAGGTCTAGCTAGACACTGTGGATTGTTGAAGGCTGTAATTCTGAGGCATACTCTCTTTTTGTCAACACAGATATAAAAAAATGCCCGTATCCATTTACTTAGAAATTATACAATTAGGAATGTGGCCTGAAGATTTGTTTATGACTGTGTCAAATGACCTTATGTACAAGGTGATTTGTTGAAGCATTGTTTGATGTAGCAAAAGACTACAATAAAATAAATACTCCTCAATAATGATTAGCAAAAGTTACTGTGCATTCATATATATATGAATATATATATATTTATGACAAGGTTTTGCTCTGTTGCACAGGCTGGAGTGCAGTAGCATGATCATGGCTCACTGCTGCCTCGACCTCCCGGGCTCAGAGATTCTCTTGCCTCAGCCTCCTGAGTAGCTGGGACCACAGGTGTGTGCCACTATGCCTGGCTAATTTATTTTTATTTTTTGTAGAGACAGAGTCTCCCGGTGTTGCCCAGGCTGATCTCGAACTCCTGGGCTCAAGCAATCCTCCCATAGTGGTCCTTCCAAAGTACTGGGACTACAGGTGTGAGCCACTGCACTCGGTCCATAGAATAGAATAGAGCTGCTAAAACTCCATGGCCGGTTTCATGGGAAGTGGATCGTTATATGAGAAAAGTTTCATTTGTAGGACACATTCACACACACAATTTTTTTTTTTTTGGTGTATTTTTTTTTTTTTTTTTTGAGATGGAGTCTCACTCTGTCACCCAGGCTGGAGTGCAGTGGCACAATCTTGGCTCACTGCAAACTCCACCTCCTGGGTTCAAGGGATTCTCTTGCCTTAGCCTCCTGAGTAGCTGGTATTACAGGCACGCACCACCACACCCAGCTAATTTTTTGTATTTTTAGTAATGATGGGGTTTCACCATGTTGGCCAGGCTGGTCTTGAACTCCTGACCCCAAGTAATCTGCTGGCCTCGGCCTCCCAAAGTGCTGGGATCACAGACGTGAGCCACTGTACCCGGCCCAAACACACATATATATTTATTTATTATACATATGGAATATCTCTGGAAGTGTTTATAAGAAAATAGTGACAGTGGTTGTCTCTGTGTGGGGAAGAGGGTGGGTGGATGGCTGAAAGTAGAGCAGTCCTTACTTTTCACTGGTTATCCTTTTGGACTCTGAATCATGGAATGGTATTTAAAAGCATAGGCAAGCTTGCCTGGGTTCAAATCCTTGCTCTGGTGCTTACCAGTTTGTGGCCTTGAGCTGGTTACTGAATTTCTCTGAGTCTCAGTGTTTTAATTTCTACCATGGGAATATTAATTGTACTTAACTTACAGAGTTATAAAGAAGATGAGATAAAATATGTGAAAAGTTTTTTAAATAGCTCATGGCACAAAGGAAGGCTATATAAACCTTTGCCATTATTTTAAATTATAGTTCCATGTGCTTATTTGATCAATGCAAAAATAAATAAGAAGAGTTTTCTGTAGCCAGAATTAACAATTATGGCCTTCAGAATGAATGGAATACGACTAAAATAAGAATAGCAATCTCATTCTTTATTTAATGTCAGTTCTGTATAACACATCACATTTTAAATCATCTTTGCTTTTTTTTTTTTTAAGTCACCACTTCCAGAAACTCTGTATAGGGGACTCATATGAACTGAATACCCCATTCTGCACAGATCAGTCCTTTGCTCCATTTCTGAAAACCTGACTGTGATCATTTCTGAGTTTTGTTCAGCTTCTTACTTTCGTTTTTTGTCAGCTAGCATCCTCCACTCTTCCCCCTCCCCTCCCCTCCCTTCCCCTCCCTTCCCCAGTTTCGCTCTTGTTGCCCAGGCTGGAGTGCAATGGCGCGATCTCTGCTCACCGCAACCTCCGCCTCCTAGGTTAAAGCGATTTTCCTGCCTCAGCCTCCTGAGTAGCTGGGATTACAGGCTTGTGCCACCATGTCTGGCTAATTTTGTATTTTTAGTAGAGATGGGTTTTTTCCATGTTGGTCAGGCTGGTCTCGAACTCCAGACCTCAGGCAATCCGCCCACCTCGGCCTCTCATAGTGCTGGGATTACAGGCGTGAGCCACCGTGCCCAGCCTGCAGCCTCCATATTTTCTGGCCCAGTGATTTTCACCCTTAGGATTAGGACCAACTGGAAGCTCTTGAAATGAACTAAGTGGTTTAAAAAAAATAAATGAAACAGAACAGAACAGAAAAAAATAAAATAGAAAATAATCAGAGTGTTTACCTCATAGTAAAGGTAAGTATCATTTTATGAAACTCTCTCTTCCCCACCCCCTAAAAAAGTCTGAAAGCTGTTATCTGTTTCTGAAAATCCAGTAACAATTCCTTGATGTCTGGAGGGATGATTGTCTCTAGCATTGTGTGTTTGAGGACAAAAGTCAGATCAAACTAGGAACTGCCAGGAAAAAGTTCAAATCACCAGGACCAAAGCCGTCTAAGTTCCAGAATAATCCTAGCTGTCTGTGGACTCTAACAGCCTCAGGTGAAAATGGACGGACTGGAAGCACATTTAGAACTTATTAACCAGAAGTTTGGCTCTATGACTAGGAAATAAGAAGATAAAGTCCCAGAGACTATGTACAATCGACTGGTTCACTTCTGAAATGGGAACATGCCACATAGCCCACATGTTCTCCTTGTGCAAGTCAGGTTTAATATAGCAGCCTTTTTTTTGTTACCTTCTATGGATTATCAAAATATCAGCCAATATTAACATTTCTTATATATTTTGAATGCTTAAAAATCTAGATACAACAGAGCCCTCAGAAATAACGCCGCATATCTACAACTATCTGATCTTTGACAAACCTGAGAAAAACAAGCAATGGGGAAAGGATTCCCTATTTAATAAATGGTGCTGGGAAAACTGGCTAGCCATATGGAGAAAGCTGAAACTGGATCCCTTCATTACACCTTATACAAAAATCAATTCAAGATGGATTAAAGACTTAAACGTTCGTCCTAAAACCATAAAAACCCTAGAAGAAAACCTAGGCATTACCATTCAGGACATAGGCATGGGCAAGGACTTCATGTCTAAAACACCAAAAGCAATGGCAACAAAAGCCAAAATTGACAAATGGGATCTAATTAAACTAAAGAGCTTCTGCACAGCAAAAGAAACTACCATTAGAGTGAACAGGCAACCCACAAAATGGGAGAAAATTTTCACAACCTACTTATCTGACAAAGGGCTAATATCCAGAATCTACAATGAACTCAAACAAATTTACAAGAAAAAAACAAACAACCCATCAAAAAGTGGGTGAAGGATATGAACAGACACTTCTCAAAAGACATTTATGCAGTCAAAAACATGAAAAAATGCTCACCATCACTGGCCATCAGAGAAATGCAAATCAAAACCACAATGAGATACCATCTCACACCAGTTAGAATGGCAATCATTAAAAAGTCAGGAAACAACAGGTGCTGGAGAGGATGTGGAGAAATAGGAACACTTTTACACTGTTGGTGGGACTGTAAAGTAGTTCAACCACTGTGGAAGTCAGTGTGGCAATTCCTCAGGGATCTAGAACTAGAAATACCATTTGACCCAGCCATCCCATTACTGGGTATATACCCAAAGGACTATAAATCATGCTGCTATAAAGACACATGCACATGTATGTTTATTGCAGCATTATTCACAATAGCAAAGACTTGGAACCAACCCAAATGTCCAACAATGATAGACTGGATTAAGAAAATGTGGCACATATACACCATGGAATACTATGCAGCCATAAAAAATGATGAGTTCATGTCCTTTGTAGGGACATGGATGAAATTGGAAACCATCATTCTCAGTAAACTATCGCAAGAACAAAAAACCAAACACCGCATATTCTCACTCATAGGTGGGAATTGAACAATGAGAACACATGGACACAGGAAGGGGAACATCACACTCTGGGGACTGTTGTGGGTTGCGGGGAGTGGGGAGGGTTAGCATTGGGAGATATACCTAATGCTAGATGACGAGTTAGTGGGTGCAGCGCACCAGCATGGCACATGTATACATATGTAACTAACCTGCACATTGTGCACATGTACCCTAAAACTTAAAGTATAATAATAATAAATAAAAAATAAAAAAAATTAAAAAAATAAAAAATAAAGTGTCAAAAATAAAAAAATAAAAAAAAATCTAGATACATTTAAATATTTCTTATATTCCTTAATTTTAAGCCCTGTTTTCTCTGTGTAGGAAACTGCATTTCTCTAAGAAAAATCAGAGAAACTCCAGCAAACAGAGAAAAATATGAAGAAAATAAAATTATGTAATAGATACTACCAGAAAGATTAGAAAATTTAGGGAAGTAAATGGAAGAAAAGTAAAATTTATCCATAATGCTCTGATCTAGCAATACTGTTAATATTTTGCATGTTTCTTTCTGGTCTGTCTGTGTATGTATGCTTGTGCATATGTGTAGATAATTTCAATCTTTTTCTATTATTAGCAACACTTTGACAAATAACCATATACATAAAACTTCACCTGAATATTGGGTTAAAGGAAATGCCCATTTTAAAGGCTCTTTTTATATACTGACAAATTGCTTTCCTGGAAGCTTATATAATTAACATGCTCATCAGTGGTGCCAGGAGTATAGAGTCTATTCCAACATATTCTCATCAACACTGGTTATAATTGCCTGTCTGAATATTTGCTAGTATAATGGCAAAAAGATTTATCACATTATTCTTTTACTTTTTGACCACTAAAGAAGTTGAATTTAAAAGTGGATTTAAAAGTATTTGTTAGCCAGTTTTATTTCTTTTGGGAATTGTTCGTTCATGTCCTTTGCCCCATTCCTATTAGAGTATTAATGTCTTTTTATTAATCTTATATTGATGATTAAGAAAGCAAGGGTTTTTATCTCTTATATTTGTGGCAAATACTTTTCCAGACATATTTTTTAAACTTTCAATTGTTTTGAAGTTTTTAAATAAAAGCTTAAATTTTTTTTCCTGTCAAATCTTTTTTTTTTTTGGTTATTCTTTGTGGTTTGTTCCATTGTTTTTATGTTTAGAAATTCCTCTTTCATTCTGTGACCAGATAGGCATTTATTTATACTCTTGTTTGGTTTTCAGAAGAAAATAGTTTTATTTTTAATTTTGAAGCCTATGCTCCAGTTAGAGTTTTCTTTTGTGGATTTAGGTAAGGATCCAAACTTGATTTCTTGCCATTTCCATAATTAACTCACTGATTTAGCTCCATTTAAAAAATAGTTCTCCTTAATTCATGTAGAATACCAAATTCATTTGTTTCATTCTTTTTAATTGCTTTGTCTGTCACTATTTTGCTGTATTATTTAGATTACTGTAGCTTTATTATGTGTTTTGATATTTGTTTAGAACACTTTATTTATTTAAACTTTTTATTTTTATTTTATTCTCAAGATGGTGGATTAGAGCTTTTGGCATGCCTTGGCCTCATGGAAATGGTAAGATGGTACATAAAGATCAACTCTCTGAGCTGTAATTCAGGAAGGAAAATGGGAATCCACAGGAATCATGAAGGACGCCCCAGGTGCCAGGGAGGAGAATGTGGGCAAACAGTCCCCATGATGGTGTTACAGCTGATAGAAGTGAGTTAAGCCCCAGTAAGTGAGAGAAGCAGAGAGCCCCCCTTTGTGACTCACCTTTCCAGTTGGGATCTGAATAACCCAAGCCGAGGGAGGGCACTTAGTTTCTCCCAAGCCCCAAAGCTACCTTGGGAAGAGGCTTGGAGGTGCTGAGAGGGAAATACACTGGGAAAAGCTGCAGGCATTCCCAGACCCATGACTAAGAGTAAGACACCATTTTCAATCTGGGTGCATACAAAGTCAGCCAATTGCCAGGTACCCAGCAGCATGGTCATGCAGGCATCATTGTCTTGGGCCAGATATTGGAGCACTCGCTCTGGAGTGAGGTAGGGGCCTCCACAGCTAGAATTGTGAAAAGCACCTCAGTAGTAGGCACTTCAGTTGTGCTCTCTGTCATCACAGGCCTGGGTGGGAGGAGAGCTGCTACAGCTGCAGTTTCTCCTAGGTGACGAGACAGGCAGCCAGGGCCAGTTTGATGACCTGGAACCAGTCTGTGTGTGTCATTGCTGGGTGCCTCAGCCTGCTCCTCTGAGATCAGGAAACAGTGAAACTTTCTCTGCTACACCCCTAGACAGAACTCCAGGTATTTGGAGCACACATTTGCCTGGACTAGCAGCCTGAGCTACCCATCCTTCCTGGGCATACATTGAGGTGCAGCAGGGCCCTCTCTGCTTCACTCCCAGGTATATCTCCAGGTATTTGGATGACCTGCTTACCCAAATCAGCAGTCAGACCCACCCAACCCTCCCTGTACAGAAATCCTGGTGCAAGTTGGCTCTCTCTGCTTCAAGTCTAGGCAGAGATCCAGGCATATGGAGCTCCTGCTTGCCTGGTTCAGCAGCCTGAGTCACCCCAACTTTCCTTGGCAGAGATACTGGCTCAGAGGGGATCACTGTACTCCATACCTAAGCAGATCTCCAGGCATTTGGAGCACCTATTTACATGAACTGGTAGTGTGAGCTGCCTCAACCTTCCTGCACAGAGATTGTGGTGGAGCAGGGTCTTCTCCACTCTATGCCCAGTAGTCAGAACACTCACATACCTGGATCTGCAGTGTGAGCTTCCCCATGATTCCTATGCAGAAATGGTGGTGAAGTGGGGCCATCTTTGCTCCACACCTAGTCATATCTCCAGGCATTCAGGCATTCAGAGCAACAGGTCCTCTGAATTACTGGCCTGAGCTGCCCACCCTTCCTGTGCAGAGATTGTGGTGTAGTGGGGCCCTTTGCACTCCAAGTCCAGGCAGATCTCCAAACACTTGCTGCACTAACTCTCCTGGGTTAGGAATTTAGGCTGGCCCTCATGCCAGTGCAGAGAACTGGCGGCTAAGGGGGTTTCTCAGCTCCATGCTTAGGCACACCTCTGGGTACTTGGTGGATACCCATTGAATTCTTGCTTAGCACTAGTGCTTGTGGCTGCCTCAGGGAACCAGTAGGAGGGTCTGCTGGGTCTGGGCCTGCCCATCTTGATTTGTCACCTTGGGGCTCATTAGGAAGCTCAGACCACTGTGCACTCCACAGATCAGACCACTACCTGAGGCAACAGAGAGCTTTTCTCAGGAAACAAGGATCAAGTATATATCCATCCACATTGGCTTCACTTGGCTCTTACTTATAATCACCATCTATTGACCTGTAGGTCAAAATAAACAGCCCAATATAAACCTGCTGACCAGGGTGCACAGGACTATAGAAGCAAAGCTAAATGATTCTGCTCAACATTCTCTACAGTCACAACCCCTAGGGTGGGGGAAAGGGAATAAAAACAACTCAATATGGTAAGAAAAGAGAAACAGAAAAAAAACCTATGAAAATAATTACAAAAATTAGAAGTGCCAGTATCTCCAGATGAGAAGAGCTGGCAGAATAATTCTGGTATCACAAGAAATCTGAATGTCATGACACCAACAAAGGATCACACTAGCTCTGTAGCAATGGTGAATAATAAAAATGGAAACTCAGAAATGACAGGTAAAGAATTCAAAGCATGAATTGGAAGGAAGCTCAATGAGACCCAGGAGAAAGTTGGAAATCAACACAAGGAAACTTCTACAGCAGCTCAGAAAATGAAAGAGAAAATAAACATCTTAAAAATAAATCAGAGCTTCTGGAATACAAAAAACTCACTTAAGGAATTTCAAAATACAATCAAAAGCTTTCCCAATAGACAAGACCAGGAAAAATAAGACCTAGAAGAATTAGAAAAACCAGAACAAACTAACTCAAACTAACTACAAAGCTAGTGGAAGAAAATGAATAACTAAAATTAGAGCAGACCTAAACAAAATTGACACTCCAAAATGCATACTAAGAATCAATGAAACCAAGAGTTGATTGTTTGAAAGGCTAAACAAAATTGATAGACTGCTAGCTAGATTAACAAAGAAAAAAAAAGATCAAAATGAGCATAATCCAAAATGACAAAGATGACATTACAACCAATCCCACAGAAATACAAAAGAGACTAGTATAAATACCCCTATGCACACACACTAGAAAATCTAAAGGAAATGGATAAGTAATTGGAAACACACAACCTCTGAGGACTGAATCAAGAAAAAATGGAAACACTGAACAGATCAATATTAAGTTCTGAAATTGAATCAGTCATAAAAAACCCTACCAATAAAAAAAAAAAAAAACACAACCCTGGACCAGATAGACATACAGCTGAATTCTACCAGATCTACAGAGATGAGCTGGTACTAACCCTACTGAAACTATTCAAAAAATCAAGGAGGGACTCCTCTCTAAATGCATTCTATGAAGTTTGTGTCACTCTGATACCAAAACCTGGCAAAGACACAACAACAAACTACAGGTCAGTATCCTTGATGAACACTGATGCAAAAATTCTCAACAAAACATTAACAAATTGAATTCATCACTACAGCAAAAAGATTATGATCAAATAGGCTATATCCCTGGGATGCAAGTTGGCTTAACATAAGCAAATCAATAAATGTGACTCCCCACATGAACAGAATTAAAAACGAAAACCATATGATCATCTCAATAGATGCAGACAGCTTTTGATAAAATTCAACATGCCTTCATGATAAAAATACTCAACAAACTAGGCATCAAAGGGATGTAACTCAAAATAATAAGCTCTATCTATGACAAATCCACAGCCTACAGGATACTGAATGGGAAAAAGCTGGAGGCCTTCCCCTTAAGAACTGGAACAAGACAAGGATACCCACTCTCACTACTCATATTCAAAATAGTATTGGAAGTCCTAGCCAGAGCAATGAGACAAGAAAAATAAAAGACATCCAAATAGGGAAAAAAATCAAATTATATCTCTTCACTGACAATATGATTCTATGTACAGAAATCACTAAAACCTTCACCAAATGCCTCTGGAACTGATAAATGACTTTGCTAATGTTTCAAGATATAAAATCAATGTACAAAAATAAGTAGCATTTCTATACACAAATAACATTCGCGCTGAGAGTGAAATCAAGAACAAAATCCCATTTACAGTAGCTAAAAAAAAAAAAAAAACCACCCAGGAATACCCCTAACCAGGGAGGTGAAAGATCTTTACAAGGATAATTATAAAACACTACTTACATAAATCAGAGATTACAGAAATAGAAAAGCATTCCATTCCCATGGATTTAAAGAATCAATATCATTTAAATGGCTATACTGCCCAAAGCAATCTGCAGATTCAGTGTTATTCCTATCAAACTACCAATGTCATTTTTCATAGAATTAGAAAAGTTTATTCTAAAATTCCTGTGGAACCATAAAAGAGCCTGAATAGCCAAAGCAATCTTAAGCACAAAGAACAAACCTGGAGGCATCACATTACCAAACTTCAAACTATATTTTAAGGCTATAGTAACCAAAAACACATGGTGCTGGCACAAAAACAGACACATAGACCAGTGGAACATAATAGATAACCCAGAAATAAAGCCACATACTTACAGCTATTAGATCTTCAACAAAGTCGACAAAAATAAGCAATGGGGGAAGGACTCTCTATTCAATAAATGGTGCTGGGATAGTTGTCTAGCCATATGCAGAAGAATGAAACTGGACCCCTATCCTTCACTATATATAAAATTAATTCAAGATGGTTTAAATATTTAAGTATAAGATCTCAAACTATAAGAATCCTAGAAGAAAACTGGGAAATACCATTCTGGACATTGGTTTTGGCAAAGAGTTTATGATTAAGTTCTCGAAAGCAACTGCAACAAAAACAAAAACTGACAAGTGGGACCTAATTAAACTCAGCAAAATAAATTGTCAACAGAGTAAACCGCCCACAGAATGGTCAAAAATATTTGCAAATTATGCATCCAATAAAGATCTAATATCCAGAGTCTGTAAACAACTCAACAAGCAAAAACAACAACAACAACAACAAAAAACCCATTAAAAAGAAGGCAAACCATCAGTGGTAGACTGGATAAAGAAAATGTGGTACATATATACCACGGAATACTATGCGACATAAAAAAGAATGAGATAATATCCTTTACAGTAACATGGATAGAACTGGAGACCATTATCCTAAGCAAACTAATCTAAGAACAGAAAACCAAATACCGTATATTCTCACTTATAAGCGAGAGCTAAACAATGAGAACACAGGGACACAAAGAGGGAAGTAACAAACACTGGAGCCTACCTTAAGGTGGAAGGTGGGAGGAGGGAGAGGATAAAAAAATACTTATACTATACTTATTATCTGGGGGGCTGAATAATCTGTACACCAATCTCTGCAACACACAGTTTACCTATATAACAATCCTGCACATGTACCTCTAAACCTAAAATAAAAGTTAAAAAAAGTGGGCAAAGGACAGGAACAGATACTTTTCAAAAGAATATGTACAAGCAGCCAACAAACATATGAAAAACATGCCCCACATCACTAATCCTGAGAGAAATGCAAATCAAAACCACAATGAGATACCATCTCATACCAATCAGAATGGCTTTTATTAAAAAGTCATGGCCGAGCGTGGTGGCTCACGCCTGTAATCCCAGCACCTTGGGAGGCTGAAGCAAGCGAATCACCTGAGGTCAAGAGTTCGAGACCAGCCTGGCCAACAAGGTGAAACCCCATCTCTACTAAAAATACAAAAATTAGCCAGGTGTGGTGGCACATGCCTGTAGTCCCAGCTACTTGGGAGGCTGAGGCAGGAGAATCGCTTGAACCTAGAAGGTTGCAGTGAGCCCAGATCGCACCTTTTCACTCCAGCCTGGGCAACACAGCAAGACTGTCTCAAAAAAAAAACAAAAAAAAAAACAAAAAAAAACAAAATAAACCCAAAAAGTCAAAAAACAACAAATACAAGGGAACACTTATACACCGTTGGTGGGAATGTAAATTGGTTCAGCCACGGTGTAAAGCAGTTTGGAGATTTCTCACAGAACTTAAAACAGATAAGATAATATTTGGCTAACAATATCTTTTGTAGTCTCTCTCAATTTCCCTTTAAAATACTTACAAGACACAGGAAAGACAGAAACACAAAGCAACGCCAGACTAGATGGATATAGCTTATACAATCTGCATTAAACATCTATAATCATAACATAAATAGTACTGAAGTTAGGGTCTCCCTGTACTCTCTCTTCCTCATAACCAAAAAAGGAGAAAGTACATCCTCCTTTTGGAAAAGAAGATAGTTCATGTTCATCGATCCAAGTGTCATCAAACAGAAAATTAGATAGGTATCTTTTACTGTGAGACATATTCTCTCTAATCAGTGGTGTGAGAACTGTATTTACCCTTATATTTCAACACATATTCCAAACAGAAGAAGAATCAAAGACATAGTTGCTTATTTGATGAGTTGATCAACTGGGAATCTATTGATCCTCCTCATCATTGTTTCTCAACCCCCTCATGTTTTCACTTCTCCCCTTACCTACCTTAAATTACATCATCAATCTTTATAATTGCTCATTTGTCCTTTTGTTCTATTTTATTGTCTGGAAAACCTCCAACCTTGATTAAACGTACTGACACGAAACCTGTCTTGTGCACCTGAAAGTTGATGGAGAAAATCACTCAACTAGACTGACATGAGTTAGCTTAAATTCCTCCCACTAACTCTAGAGGGCCCTTCATGGTGTCTATAAATATTGCCACATGTCCAGTTTGTTCACACTCCTGCTTTCCTACCAACTACTTCTCCCTCTAACCCTAAAATATGTCATGTTTCTCCTTATGTTCTTCTCTAGCCACAGTTCTATTTCTCTTGTTCCCCTAAAGCTTCAAAACTCCCGGAACTGCTTTTCTATATGTCTCCAAGTTGTCTCCTCTCATTTCCTCTTAGAGCACTGCCATCACCTCAAGCACCCCACCAAAATTTGTCTTTGACCTTTACATTGCTAAATCTAAAGAAATTTTTTTTCCTTTTCTTGTTTGAACTATAACGAGCATTTCACACAGTCTATCCCTCCTTTCTTCTAGAAATTTTTTCTTCACTTGACCCTCTGGTCAAGCATCAGACTCTCTGGTCCTCCTCTTGTATCCCAGGAGTATAAGCATAGTTCAATAAGGGCATGACAAGGTCACTACTGCTATTTTCTATTGTCTTGGAAATTCTAGACAAGGCAGTAAAATATAATAAATTAGAGGTAAATATATATACATGGAGACAATAAAATTATTATAAAGTATAGAGGATTATTTTCCTAGAAAATTTCAAGAGAATCAGTAAGAAAACCCATGAAAATCAACAAGAGTTCAGAAAGGTGGCCAAATGAATAATAAATATATAAAAATCAGTAGCTTTTCTCTATTCCAGCAATGACCACTTTAAAATATATTGAAAAAGAGATACATAATAGTAACAAAAATTTTAGTTTTCTAAAAATTTCAACACAAAATCTAGAGTTCCTAATTGAAAAGAACTGCAAAAGATTACTAAGAACATGAAGGATGACTCAACAAAATCAAAAGACATAATTGCAAGAATCTTAAAGTGGAAAGTGAATAGCTTATGCAAATGTTGGAGACTGCCTCTGAAACCCTCATTACCAAAATAGATACCATGGTCCTGAATTAGAACTCTAAGTATCAGAGAGATGTCAATCTTGGCAGATTAATCTACGTGTTTAATAAAATTCTAATCAAAATCTTAATATGACATTTTCTATAGTGTCAATGTTGTTCTCAAGTTCTCCAAGAAGACTTTACAAGCAGGACAAGAGAGAATCATTGCAAAAACTAGGGAAATCCAAATGAAGTCTGATGTTTAATTAATAATGTGCCAACTTTAATTTCTTCATTTTGATACTTGTCCAATGGTTATGAAAGGTGTTAATATTAAGTGAGGCTGAGTGAAAGGCATAAGGAAGGCTGAGTGAAAGGCACTCTCTATGTTATCTTTGTAAACCTTTTGTAGATCTAAATTTCCTTCAAAATAAAAAGGTTATTTATTTTTTGTGATTTTAACTCTTATTTTAGATTCAGGGGGTACATATGTGGGTTTGTTGCATGGGTATATTGTGTGATGCCAAGGTTTGGGATACGAGTCATTCTGTAACCCAGATAGTGAGCATAGTACCCAAAAGTATCCTCCACCCTCTACTGGTCCCCATTGTCTATTTTTGCCATTGTTATATTCATGAGTGACCAATATTTAGCTCCCACTTATAAGTAAGAACATACGGCATTTCATTTACTGTTCTTGCTTTAATTGGTTTAGGATAATAGCCTCCAGCTGCATAATTGTTGCTACAAAGGACATGATTTTCTTCTTTTTTATGGCTGTGTAGTATTCCTTGGTGGATATGTATTACATTTTCTTTATCCAATCCACCAATGATGGGCACCTAGGCTGATTCCATGTCTTTGCTATTGTGAGTAGTGCTGCAAGAAACATATGTGTATCCATGTCTTTTTTTGTAGAAGGATTTATTTTGCTTTGGGTATATAGCTAATAATGGCATTACTGGTTTGAATGGTAGTCCTGTTTTAAGTTTTCTGAGAAATCTCCAAACTGCTTTACACAATGGCTGAACTCATATACATTCCCACCAACATTTTATATGCATTCTCTTTTCTCTGCAGCCTTGCCAGTATCTGTTGTTGTTTGACTCTTTAATAATAGCCATTCTGACTGGTATGAGATGGTATCTTATTGTCATTATGATTTGCATTTCTCTGATAATTAGTGATGTGGAGAATTTTTTCATACTTTCTTTTGGCTGCTTGTATGTCTTCTTTTGAGAAGTGTTTATTCAAGTCCTTTGTCCATTTTAAAATAGGGTTATTTATTTTTTGCTTGTTGATTTATTTAAATTCCTTGTAGATTCTGGATTTTTGACCTTTGTTGGATGCATAGTTTGCAAATAATTTTCCCATTCTGTAGATTGTTTGTTTACTCTGTTGACAGTTTCTTTTGCTGTGTAAAAGCTCTTTAGTTTAATTAGTTCTCACTTGTCAATTTTTGGTTTTTGTTGCAATTGCTTTTGAGGATATGCTGATAAATTCTTTGTCAAAGCTGATGTCAAGAATGGTGTTTCCCACGTGTATGAGTCTGTTCTCATGCTGCTAATAAAGACATACCTGAGACTGAATAATTTATAAAGGAAAGAGGTTTAATTGACTCACAGTTCAGTATGGCTGGGGAGGCCTCAGGAAACTTACAATCATGGTGGAAGGAGAAGCAAGCACATCCTTCCTCACATGGCAGCAGCAAGGAAAATTAATGAGCAAAAGGGGGAAAAGCCCCTTATAAAACCATCAGATCTCGAGAGAACTCACTCACTATCATGAGAAGAGCAGCATGGGCGTAACCACCTCTGTGATTCAATTACCTCCCACCAGGTCTCTCCCATGACATGTGGAGATGATGGGAACTAAAATTCAAGATGAGATTTGGGTGGGGACACAGCCAATCCCATATCACTAGGTTTTCTTCTAGAATTTTTGTAGTTTGAGGTTTTGCATTTGACTCTTTAATCCATCTTGAGTTAATTTTTGTATGTGGTGCAAGGTGGGGGTCCAGTTTCATTCTTCTGCATATGACTAGCCAGCTATCCCAGCACCATTTATTGAATAGGGAGTCCTTTCCCCATTGCTCACTTTTGTCAACTTATGTCAAAGATCATATTGCCATAATTGTGTGGCTTTATTTCTTGGTTCTCTATACTGTTCTATTGGTCTATGTGTCTGTTTTTGTACCAGTATCATGCTGTTTTGGTTACTGTAGCCTTATAGTATAGTTTGAATTGGGTAATGTGAGCCTCTTACTTTGTTCTTTTTACTTAGGATTACTTTGGCTATATGGGCTCTTCATGATTCCATATGAATTTTAGAATAAAATTTTCTAATTCTACAAAAATAACATTAGTAGTTTGATAATAATAGTGTCGAATCTATAGATTGCTTTGGGCAGTATGGCTGTTTGTGTAAATCTGTTTTTGCATTACTATACAGGAATACCTGAGACTGAGTAATTTATAAAGAAAAGAGGTTTACTTGGCTCATGGTTCTGCATGCTGTACAAGAAGCATGGTACCAATATTTGCTTTTGATGAGGGCCTCAGGAAGCTTACAATTATGGCAAAAGGTAAATGGGGAGCAATGTAGTCACATAGTAAGAGCAGAGCAAGAGGTTGGGGGGAGGTGCCACACTCTTAAACAACCAGGTCTCACATGAACTACCAGAGTGAGAACTCACTTATAACCAAGGGGATGGTGCTAAGCCAATCTTGAGGGATTCACCTCCATGACCCAAACACCTCTTGCTAGGCCCCACCTGCAACATTGGGGATCACATTTCAACATAATTAGATTTGGAAGGGACAGACATCCAAATCATATCTTTTCACTCTGGCCATGAAATAAATGTCATGTTCTTCTCACAATGCAAAATAAAATCGTCCTTTTTTTTTTTTTTTTTTTTTTTTTGTAACGGAGTCTTGCTCTGTCACCCAGGCTGGAGTGCAGTGGCACGATCTCAGCTCACCACAACTTCCGCCTCCTGGGTTCAAGCGATTCTCCTGCCTCAGCCTCCCAAGTAGCTGGGATTACAGGTGCCCACCATCACCCCTAGCTAATTTTTGTATTTTTGTAGAGATGAGGTTTCACCATGTTGTCCAGGCTGGTCTCGAACTCCTGACCTCAGGTGATCCACTTGCCTCGGCGTCCCAAAGTGCTGGGATTACAGACATGAGCCACTGCGCCTGGCCCAGTCATCCCTTCTTAATAATCCTCCAAAATCTTAACTTGTTCCAACATCAAGTTCAAAGTCTCATATGGGACTCAAGTTATTTCCACCTATGAGGCTGTAAAATAAAAAACAAGTTATTTAACTTTCAAGATACAATGTTAGTACACATATTGGGTAAACATTCCTGTTCAAAAAGGGAGAAATCAGCCAAAAGAAAGAGGCTACAGGCCTCATGGAAGTCTGAAACCCAGCAGGCAGGCATTAAATCTTAAAACTCCCAAATAATCCTTGACTCTGTGTTCCACATCCATGGCACACTGGTGCAAGGGGTGAGGTCTCAAGGCCTTCAGCAGCTCCACCCCTGTGGCTTTGCAGCATTCAGCCCCCATGGCTGGTTACACCGGTTGGAGTTGGGTGCCAGTGGTGTTTCTGGTACAGGGCACAAGCTGCTGGTGGATCGACTATTCACAGCTGTAGAGGACAGCGGCCCCATTCCCACAGCTCCACTACACAGTGCTCCAGTGGGGAGTCTGCAATGGGACTCCAACCCCACATTTCCCCTTGTCATTGCCCTTATAGAATTTCTCTATGTGGGCTTTGCCCCTATGATACATCCTCTGAAATATAGGGGGAAGCTGCCAAGTCTTCTTCACTCTTGCATTCTGTGTTCCTGCAGGCTTTAACACCATCTGGATGCCACCAAGCCTTACCACTTGTGCCCTTTGGAGTGGTGGCCAGAGCTGTACCTGGGCCGCTTTGTGCTGTGACTGGAGCAGGAGAGGCTGGGATGCAGGAAGCAATGTCCTGAAGCTGTGCAGGGCAATGGGGCCATGGACCTGGCTCCCCAAATTATTCTTTCTTTCCAGGCCTCTGGGCCTGTGATGAGAGAGGCTGTCTCTAAGATCTCTGAAATGCCTTTGAGGCCTTTTTCCCATTGTCTTGGATACTAGCACTGGACTCCCTTTTAGTCATGCTAATCTCTTTAGCAAGTGGTTTCAATGCAGCCTGCTTGGATTCTTTCTTTACCACAGGACCAGGCTGCAAGTTTTCCAAATGTTTACATTCTGCTTCCCTTTTAAATATTAGTTCCAACTTTAAGTCTCTTATTTGTCCTTATATCTAATTTAGGCTGTTAGAAGCAACCAAGTCATCTTTTGAATGCTTCGCTGCTTAGAGATGTCTTCTGCCAGATACCCTAGCTCATCAATCTTAAGTTCAAACTTCCATGGATTCCCAGGGCATGGACACAATGCAGCCAAGTTCTTTGCTAGGGTGTAACATGGGTGACGTTTGTTCCAGTTCCCAAAAGGTTTCTTATTTCCATCTGAGACCTCAACAACCTGGACTTTATGGTCCATATCTCTATCAGCATTTGGTCACAACCACTTAACAAGTTGCTAAGAAGTTCCAAACTTTCCCTCATCTTCCTGTCTTCTTCTGAGATCTTCAAATGTTTCCAACCTCAGCCCATTACCCAGTCCGAAACTGCTTCCACATCTTTGGGTATGTTCATAGCAATATCCCACTCCTTGTTACTAATTTTCTGTGTTAGTCCAATTTTGCCTTGCTACAAAGGAATACCTGAGACTGGATTATAAACAAGGGAGGTTTAATTGGCTCACAGTTCTGATTGCTGTACAGGAAGTGTGGTGTCAGTATCTCCTTCTGGTGAGGGCCCCAGGAAGCTTACCACCATGGTAGAAGGTGAAAGGAGACCTTGTGCATTACATGGTAAGAGTAGGAGCAAGAGAGTGAGGGGGGGAGGTGCCACATTCTTTTAAATAAGTAGATCTCATGTGAACTAGCAGAATGAGAACTCACTCACCACCAAGAGGATGGCACTAAGCCATTCATGAGGGATCAGCTCCCATGATCCAATACCTCCCATTAGGCCCCACCTTCAACACTGGGGATCACATTTCAACATGACATATGGAGGGAACACACGACCAAACCATATCACCATTTTAATAATATTGATTCTTCCAATCTATGAACATGAAATGCTTTTCCACTTGTTTGTATCATCTCTGATTTCTTTCAGCAGTGTTTTACAGTTCTCCTTGTAGAGATCTTTCACCTCTACAAGGATTCTAAAATAAAGATATTTTAAAAGGTATTTTAATTTTTGTGGCCATTGTAAATGGGATTTTGTTCTTAATCTGGATATCCTTGTTAATTTTCTGTCTCGTTGATCTGTCTAATATTGACATTGGGGTGTTAAAGTCTCCCACTATTATTGTGTGGGACTCTAAGTCTCTTTGTAGGTCTCTAAGAACTTTCTTTATGAATCTGGGTGCTCCTATATTGGGTGCATATATATTTAGGGTAGTTAGCTCTTCTTGTTGAATTGATCCCTTTACCATTATGTAATGCCCTTCTTTGTCTTTTTTGATCTTTGTTGGTTTAAAGTCTGTTTTATCAGAGACTAGAATTGCAACCCCTGCTTTTTTTTTTTTTTTTTTTTTTTTTTTTGCTTTCCATTTGCTTGGTAGATCTTTCTCCATCCCTTTATTTTAACCTTTGTGTTTCTTTGCATGTGAGATGGGTCTCCTGAATACAGCACATTGATGGGTCTTGACTTTTTATCCAATTTGCCAGTCTGTGTCTTTTAATTGGGGCATTTAGCCTGTTTACATTTAAGGTTAATATTGTTATGTGTGAATTTGATCCTGCCATTATGATGTAAGCTGGTTATTTTGCCCATTCGTTGATGCAGTTTCTTCATAGCATCGATGGTGTTTACAATTTGGTATGTTTTTGCAGTGGCTTATACCAGTTGTTCCTTTCCATGTTTAGTGCTTCCTTCAGGAGCTCTTGTAAGGCAGGCTTGGTGGTGACAAAATCTCTCAGCATTTGCTTGTCTGTAAAGGATTTTATTTCTCCTTCACTTATGAAGCTTAATTTGACTGGGTATGAGATTCTGGTTTGAAAATTCTTTTGTTTAAGAATGTCGAATATTGGCCCCGATTCTCTTCTAGCTTGTAGGGTTTCTACAGAGCCATCTGCTGTTAGTCTGATGGGCTTCCCTTTGTGGGTAACCTGACCTTTCTCTCTGGCTGTCCTTAACAATTTTTCCTTCGTTTCCACCTTGGTGAATCTGATGATTATGTGTCTTGGGGTTGCTCTTCTTGAAGAGTATCTTTGTAGTGTTTTCTTTATTTCCTAAATTTGAATGTTGGCCTGTCTTGCTAGGGTGGGGAAGTTCTCCTGGATAATATCCTGAAGAGAATGGAACTAACTTGGTTCCATTCTCCCAGTCACTTTCAGGTACACCGATCAAATGCAGGTTTTATCTTTTCACAGAGTCCCATATTTCTTGGAGGCTTTCTTCATTCCTTTTCATTTCTTCTTTTCCTAATCTTGTCTTCATGCTTTATTTCATGAAGTAGATCTTCAATCTGTGATATCCTTTCTTCCACTTGATCGATTCGGCTCTGATACTTATGTATGCTTCACGAAGTTCTCATGCTGTGCTTTTCAGCTCCATCAGGTCATTTATGTTCTTCTCTAAACTCGTTATTCTAGTTAGCAGTTCCTCTAATCTTTTTTCAAGGTTCTTAGCTTCCTTGCTTTGGGTTAGAACATGCTCCTTTAGCTTGGAGGAGTTTGTTATTATCCACCTTCTGAAGCCTACTTCTGTCAATTCATCAAACTCATTTTCTGTCCTGTTTTATTCCCTTGCTGGCGAGGAGTTGTGATCCTTTGGAAGAGAAGAGGCGTTCTGGTTTTTGGAATTTTCAGCCTTTTTGTGCTGGTTTCTCTTCATCTTTATGGATTTATCTACCTTTGGTCTTTGAAGTCGGAGACCTTTGGATGGGGTCTCTGAGTGAATGTTCTTTATGCTGATGTTGATACTATTCCTTTCTGCTTGTTAGTTTTCCTTCTAACAGGTCTCTCTGCTATAGGTCTGCTGGAGTTTGCTGGAGGTCCACTGTAGACCCTGTTTGCCTGGGTATCACCAGCCGAGGCTGCAGAACAGTAAAGATTTCCGGCTGCTCCTTCCTCTGGAAGCTTTGTCCCAGAGGGGCACCCACCAGATGCCAGCCAGAGCTCTCCTGTATGAGATGTCTGTCAGCCCCTACTGGGAGATGTCTCTCCCAATCAGGATACATGGGGGTCAGGGACCCACCTGCAGAGGCAGTCTGACCCTTAGCAGAGCTCAAATGCTGTGCTGGGAGATATGCTGCTCTTTTCAGAGCTGCCAGGCAGGGATGTTTAAGTCTGCTGAAACTGTGCCCACAACTGCCCCTTCCTCCAGGTGCTCTGTCCCATGGAGGTGGGGATTTTATCTATAAATCCGTGACTGGGGCTGCTGCGTTTTTTTTCAGAGATGTCGTGCCCTGACAAGAAGGAATTTAGAGAGGCAGTCTGGCCTCAGCACCTTGCTGAGCTGAGGAGGACTCCGCCCAGTTTGAACTTCCCGGGTACTCTGTTTACATTGTGAGGGTAAAACTGCCTACTTAAGCCTCAGCAATGGCGGACGCTTCTCCCCCCACCAAGCTCTAGCGTTCCAGGTCAAGCTCAGACTGCTGTGTTTGTAGTGAGAATTTCAAGCCAGTCGATCTTAGCTTGCTGGGCTCTGTGGGGGTGGTACCCACCAAGCCAGAACTACTTGGCTCCCTGGTTCCAGCCCCCTCTCCAGGGGAGTGAACGGTTCTGTCTCACTGGCATTCCAGGCGCCACTGGGGTATGAAAAAAAAACTCCTGTGGCTAGCTGGGTGTCTGCACAAATGGCTGCTCAGTTTTGTGCTGGACACCCATGGCCCTGGTGGCATAGGCATCAGAGGGAATCTCCTGGTCTATGGGTTTCGAAGACCATGGGAAAATTGCAGTATCTGGGCCAGAGTGCACAGTACAGTCCCTAATGGCTTCCTTTGGCTGGGAGAGGGAATTCCCCGACGCCGTGAGGCTTCCCAGGTGAGGCGATGCCCCACCCTGCTTTGGCTCGCCCTCCTTGGGCTGCACCCACTGTCCAACCAGTCCCAGTGAGATGAACTGGGTACCTCAGTTGGAAATGCAGAAGTCACTGCCTTCTGCGTTGATCTCACTGGGAGCTGCAGACTGGAGCTGTTTTCTATTTGGCCATCTTGCCAGCCACTTTGTTCCTGGGGTTTTTATTGTTGTTGTTGTTGTCGTTGTTTTTTAGTTCTTGTAGGTGTGATGTTAGAGCATTTAACAAAGATCTTCCTAACTTCCTTGAGCACTATAAACTTTCCTCTTAACACTGCTTTTCCTGCATCCCATAGATTTTGGTATGTTATGTCTGTGTTTTCATTTTTTTTATTTCTGCCTTAATTTTGTTGTTTACACAAAAGTCATTCAGGAGCAGTTTCTTTAATTTCCATGTAATTGTGTAATTTTGGGAGATCTTCTTGGTATTGATTTCCATTTTTATTCCACTTTTTGCTGAGAATATGGTTGGTGTGATTTCTTTGTCTTTTTTTTTTTTGCATTTTCTGAGACTGGCTCTGTGACTGAGCATAATGATCAATCTTGGAGGATATTTCTTGTGCAGATGAGAAGAATGTGTATTCTGTGGTTAATGGGTGGAGGAGTCTGTAGATGTCTATTAGGTCCCATTGGTCCAGTGTCGAATTTAAGTTCAGAATTCTTTTGCTAGTTTTCTCCCTTTATGATCTAATGCTTTCAGTGGGGTGTTGAAGTCCCCCACTGATATTGTGTCGCTGTCTAAGTCTTTTCATAGGTCTAGAAGTACCTGTCTTACAAATCCCAGTGCTCCAATATTGGGGGCATATATATTTAGGGTAATTAAGTCTTCTTGTTGAATTGAACCCTTTATTATAATTTAATGCCCTTCTTTGTTTTTTTTCCTTGTTGTTGGTTTAAAGTCTTGTTTATCTAATATAAGAATAGCAAACCTTGCTCTTTTTTGTTTTCTATTTGCATGATAGATCTTCAACACTTTACTTTGAGTCTATGAGTGTCATTACATGTGAGATGGGTCTTTTGAAGACAGCAGACAGATGGGCCTTTTTATTTTTTAATCCAACTTAAAATGCCTTTTAAATATGGCAACAATTTACATTCAAGATTGATATTGATGTGTGAGGTTCTGATCCTATTGTGAAGTTTTTGGGTGGTTACTTTGTAGTTTCTTTCCTGTCGTTGCTTTGTAGAGTCTGGGCTATGCATAATACCTAAGTCTGTTTTTGTGGTAACAGGTATTATTCTTTCATTTCCACATTTAGAACTCTCTTGAGAGTACTTGTAAGGTTGGTCTAGTGCTAGCGAATTCCCTTAATGACTGCTTGTCTAAAAATGATTTTATTTTTCCTTTGCTTATTAAGCTAGGTTTGGCAGGATATGACATTCTTGGTTGGAATTTCTTTTCTTTAGGAATGCTGTAAATAGGCCTCCTGTTTCTTCTGGCTTGTAAGGTTTCTGCCAGGAAGTTTGATATTAGCCTGATAGGGTTCCCTTTGTACATGACCTGACCTTTTTCTCAGCTGCCTTTAAGATTTTTTTCTTTAGCGTTGACTTTGGATAGTCTGATGACTATAAACCTTCATGATGTTCATTTTGTATGGTATCTCTCAGGTGTTCTTTCAATTTTTTTATATGTGAATGTTTACCTTTCTAGGAAGATTAGGGAAATTTTCTTTGGTTATTCTCTGAAATATGTTTTCCAGGTTGTTTACCTTTTCTCTTTTTCTCTAGAAAAAGCCAATAACTCATAGGTTTGGTTGCTTTACATAATCCTGTACCTCTTGAAGACTTTGTTCATTTTTAAAAATTCTTTTTAAATGTTCTGTCTGACTGGGTTAGTTCACAAGACCAGCCTTCAAGTTTTGAAATTCATTTTTCTGCTTGATCTAGTCTATTGATAAAGCTTTTCATTGTATTTTGAAATTCCTTGAGTTTTTCTGTGTCAGAAGCTCTGATTAATTTCTTTTTATGTTGTTCATCTCTTCCTTCATTTCCTCGGTTGCTTTATAAGTTTCTTTGTCTTGGCTGGGCTCAGTGGCTCAAACCTGTAATCCCAGCACTTTGGGAGGCCAAGGTGGATTGCTTGACCTCAGAAGTTCGAGACCAGCCTGGGCAACATGGTGAAACCTCATGTCTATAAAAAAAATACAAAAATTAGCTGGGTGTGGTGGTGGATGCCTGTGGTCTCAGCTATTCGGGAGGCTGAGGTGGGAGGATTGTTTGGGCCCAGTAGGTTGAGGCTGCAGTGAGCCAAGATCACGCCACTGCACTCCAGCCTGGGTGACAGAGTAGTGAGACCTTGTCTCCAAAAAAAAAAGAAGTTTCTTTGTGTTAATTTTCAACTTCATCTTGGATTTCATTTAGCTTCCTTGCAATCCATGCTTTGAATTTTTTGTCTGTAATTTCTGACTTTCTATTTTGATTATCGACCATTGCTGGGGAGCTAGTGTGATCCTCTGTCAATATTGCAACATTCAGATTTCTCATACCAGGATTCTTCTTCTGGTTCCTTCTCATCTGGAGACACTGGTACTTCTAATTTTTGTAATTATTTTTGTGTGGATAGGATTTTTTTTCTTTCTCTCTTTCCTTATCATATTATTGAGTTTTTTTCCCCCTTTCCCCCTACTCCCTAAGGATTGTGATTATAGAGAATGTTGGGTAGAGTCTTTTGGCTTTGCTTCTATAGCCCTATGCACCCCTGTCAGCACGTTTTTATATTGGGCTGTATTTTTGACCTACAGGTTAGTAGATGGTGCTTATGGGTAAAAATGAAATGAGGCCAATGTGGATGGGTATATACCTCATCCTTGTTTACTAGGTGAAGCTCTCTGTTGCCTCAGGCAGTAGGCTGATCCATTCAGTAGACAGTGGTGTGAGCTCCTTGCTCAGCACCATAGTGGGACACCAAGATGGGTAAGGCTGAATGAGGCAGGGCCATGTGCAAGTTACCCAATGGCAGGCACAAAGACCAGCACCAAGGAGGGGGTCCGGTGAGCAGCCACCAAATGCCCTAATCTGGCAATTTTTTATTTCAATTGGTAACAAATATGATTTTCTAAAATTTTGAAGCATTATTTATGCTTTAAATAATGCTTACATGAGAAAATGCTTAAATGGAAAATTAGAAAATATAACAAGGTTTAAATTCCTTAATACATAGGTAGCTCTTAAATATCAATAAGAAAAATGTACAAATTCTTATAATTGTAATTGTAATTCTCTAACAAGAGATTTACAACTTCTTGACTTTATTACAAAAATAAAATTAGATAAATATACAGTAAGGTCCAAAGACAATCATTATAGCATTGTCTATGATAGTGAAATATTTGAATCAATCTGAAGATCTGTAAATAGAGCATTAGTTAAATATATTTGGGAATAGGTGTATAAATGAAATAATATGCAGCCTTATGCAAACCTAGATTTATTTTGGGGTATGCAGTTACTCAGGCTTCTAGTAAGTTTGTTTATAATTCCACAGTTTGGAAGCTCTGAGTCCCAGGGTTAACAAGCCAAGGGAACATGGGCCGTGAATAGTCAAGTATAAGGAATTCCTAGCCCTAAGGAATCTGCCTTATACCACTGGGAGGAAGATTGTAATTAAATGCTTGTCAGTTGATGTGTTGCCAGTCACCAAAAAGTTTACTAAATTATAATGTTATTCCTTGAACTTGACTGACATGGTTTTCTTGGCCTCACAGTTTCATTGACTAAGCCAAGGTAACCTTGTTCAGTAGATTGGCCCTCTTGCCTAAGGATATTAGTAATTTAAATTGAATAAGTGGTAAAATTGTGGACAATTACATTCTGAGGTTGTCTCTTGGTTGACACGTGGGCTGGTAAAACCACTTTAAAGGCATACATCTCTTTAGCAGTGCTTGCATGCATGCCAGGGAAAAGAAAACTGCACATTAGGATGGATGAATGTTGGCATACTTTCAAACTCAAGCTATTCATAATTTAGGAATTAATGTGTATACTGTTGCTTGGCATCTTTCAGAAATGTTCAAAGCTTCACTTTTTTATTTTATTTTATTTTTTTTGAGACAGAGTCTTGCGTCTTGCTCTGTTGCTAGACTGGAATGCAGTGGCGCGATCTTGGCTCACTGCAACCTCCGCGTCCTGGGTTCAAGTGATTCTCCTGCCTCAGCCTCCCAAGTAGCTGGGACTACAGGCACGCACCACCACACCCAGCTAATTTTTGTATTTTTAGAAGAGATGGGGTTTCACCCTGTTAGCCAGGATGGTCTCAATCTCTTGACTTCGTGATCCGCCTGCCTCAGCCTCCCAAAGTGCTGGGATTACAGGCGTGAGCTACCACACCCAACCAAAGCTTCACTTTTTAAGAACCAGTATCAGTGTGTTTGTATAAATTATTGTATGACTAGCAGATCCTATTAAGTTAGTAGATTACCAACAGAAAAAAAAAAGAAAACTGAAAGATTATCTTTGAAGTAATGTAATAGAGTTTTGCAAATAAGATGGTGGGGAAATCTCCCTTCAATCCAGTATGATTTCTTTGTTGTCAGTGTATACATTTTTCTCTAAAGACATTACAAATATTAAATATAAATATAAATATATTCAATTATTTGGAAATATTGTGTGAAAAATCTGGCTTTGACGTCTTAGGATTCTATTTCCCTAATTTTAATGCCACAACCTGTAGAATCAATAGATCACAAGGGAAATAAATCTGGGCATTCATCCATCAATGTAAACCATTTCAGTATAATTTATTAAGAAATAGTTCTCAGACATGATCAACAAATGGTGCAGACATTTCAGCTCTCCAAGATAAAAGAGTGAGACTTTGATTACAGAAAGTCAGAAACAGAAAGAAAAGTAGAAATTTAGAATAAAAAATCAGGCTATGGAAACTAAGAAACAGAGGTAAGTATGCCATATATATTTGCAGCTAGATCTTTTTTTTCTCTTGCTAAGTGGTAGGAAGAGAGTGACCAAGGGTGTGTGCAGGATGGTGAAAGGATCCACCAGGGCAAATAGAGTGAGCAGAAAATACATCTTACAGGGGGACCTTACCTTTAAGAACTCAGGCAAACTACTTATTCAAGTTTCAGTAGCATGTTACCTAGTATATCTTGTGTGTCTCTCATATTCTCATATGAAGAAAGCTGGTATTTGGGAGCTAGCCAGAAAACAGAATTATTTATTTTTTCCTTTCATTTCTTAGCTTTTCCAGGTTTTCTGGAATTTTAATTAAGATTCCAGACATCTCAGCCATAATTTTCAGACAGCTTTTGTTAACAATATCAATCTGTATGTTTAGTTCAGTGTAATCAAACCTGTTTCTTTAAAAAAAATGCCTGTTTATACTCAGTGCTTATGTTCTGAGTATAGACGTGATCAATAATCATGATAAAATATTTTAATTGTGAATGTCACTGGCTCCACTGAATAATAGAAAAGTTATCTAATTGTCTAATAATAGAAAAGTTACCTAATTGTTGTAATTATTCCCGAAAAGGTTCTCCCACACCCCCATCTTCCCTGATGTTTTTATTCCATTGAATTCTCCAGAATGCATGCTAGTTATTTCTGTTTTAAATCTTGATTTGGTAATTTTTTGGTATTGTATATAGATTCTAACTAGCAAAGTATATAGCATTTTGTGACTTTTACATTGATCTTTTATCTTTAGTTTATTTTCATAATTTTATGTAAAAATCATTTAAAAAACAATTATCTATATGTGCTTAAATATTTTAAGTGGACAATTGATGTATAGAACAAAACAGATGGCATATTTTTCCAGGGAAAGTTGTGTGCCTTGTATGTTTTTAATTCTGTAAGGTCCAACAGGCTAAAATCATCAAAATTACACTTAAATAATAAAAATTACAGTCAAATATAGATGCATTTTTTTATACATGAAGATATTTTATTTTATTTTATTTATTTTTGGCATTTTTAAATTATTATTATTATTATACTTTAAGTTTTAGGGTACATGTGCACAATGTGCAGGTTAGTTACATATGTATACCTGTGCCATGCTGGTGTGCTGCACCCATTAACTCATCATTTAGCATTAGGTATATCTCCTAATGCTATCCCTCCCCCCTCCCCCTACCCCACAACAGTCTCCAGAGTGTGATGTTCCCCTTCCTGTGTCCATGTGTTCTCATTGTTCAATTCCCATCTATGAGTGAGAACATGTGGTGTTTGGTTTTTTTCCTTGCGATAGTTTACTGAGAATGATGATTTCCAATTTCATCCATGTCCCTACAAAGGACATGAACTCATCCTTTTTTATGGCTGCATGGTATTCCATGGTGTATATGTGCCACATTTTCTTAATCCAGTCTATCATTGTTGGACATTTGGGTTGGTTCCAAGTCTTTGGTATTGTGAATAGTGCCGCAATAAACATACGTGTGCATGTGTCTTTATAGCAGCATGATTTATAGTCCTTTGGGTATATACCCAGTAATGGGATGGCTGGGTCAAATGGTATTTCTAGTTCTAGATCCCTTAGGAATCGCCACACTGACTTCCACAATGGTTGAACTAGTTTACAGTCCTACCAACAGTGTAAAAGTGTTCCTATTTCTCCACATCCTCTCCAGCACCTGTTGTTTCCTGACTTTTTAATGATTGCCATTCTAACTGGTGTGAGATGGTATCTCATTGTAGTTTTGATTTGCATTTCTCTGATGGCCAGTGATGATGAGCATTTTTTCATGTGTCTTTTGGCTGCGTAAATGTCTTCTTTTGAGAAGTGTCTGTTCATATCCTTTGCCCACTTTTTGATGGGGTTGTTTGTTTTTTTCTTGTAAATTTGTTTGAGTTCATTGTAGATTCTGGATATTAGCCCTTTGTCAGATGAGTAGGTTGTGAAAATTTTCTCCCATTCTGTAGGTTGCCTGTTCACTCTGATGGTAGTTTCTTTTGCTGTGCAGAAGCTCTTCAGTTTAATTAGATCCCATTTGTCAGTTTTGGCTTTTGTTGCCATTGCTTTTGGTGTTTAAGACATGAAGTCCTTGCCCATGCCTATGTCCTGAATGGTAATGCCTAGGTTTTCTTCTAGGGTTTTTATGGTTTTAGGTCTAACGTTTAAGTCTTTAATCCATCTTGAATTAATTTTTGTATAAGATGTAAGGAAGGGATCCAGTTTCAGCTTTCTCCATATGGCTAGCCAGTTTTCCCAGCACCATTTATTAAATAGGGAATCCTTTCCCCATTTCTTGTTTTTCTCAGGTTTGTCAAAGATCAGATAGTTGTAGATATGCAGCGTTATTTCTGAGGGCTCTGTTCTGTTCCATTGATCTATATCTCTGTTTGGTACCAGTACCATGCTGTTTTGGTTACTGTAGCCTTGTAGTATACTTTGAAGTCAGGTAGTGTGATGCCTCCAGCTTTGTTCTTTTGGCTTAGGATTGACTTGGCGATGTGGGCTCTTTTTTGGTTCCATATGAACTTTAAAGTAGCTTTTTCCAGTTCTGTGAAGAAAGTCATTGGTAGCTTGATGGGGATGGCATTGAATCTATAAATTACCTTGGGCAGTATGGCCATTTTCATGATATTGATTCTTCCTACCCATGAGCATGGAATGTTCTTCCATTTGTTTGTATCCTCTTTTATTTTATTGAGCAGTGGTTTGTAGTTCTCCTTGAGGAGGTGCTTCACGTCCCTTGTAAGGTGGATTCCTAAGTATTTTATTCTCTTTGAAGCAATTGTGAATGGGAGTTCACTCATGATTTGGCTCTCTGTTTGTCTGTTATTGGTGTATAAGAATGCTTGTGATTTTTGTACATTGATTTTGTATCCTGAGACTTTGCTGAAGTTGCTTATCAGCTTAACGAGATTTTGGGCTGAGACAATGGGGTTTTCTAGATATACAATCATGTCATCTGCAAACAGGGACAATTTGACTTCCTCTTTTCCTGATTGAATACCCTTTATTTCCTTCTCCTGCCTAATTGCCCTGGCCAGAACTTCCAACACTATGTTGAATAGGAGTGGTGAGAGAGGGCATCCCTGTCTTGTTCCAGTTTTCAAAGGGAATGCTTCCAGTTTTTGCCCATTCAGTATGATATTGGCTGTGGGTTTGTCATAAATAGCTCTTATTATTTTGAGATACGTCCCATCAATACCTAATTTATTGAGAGTTTTTAGCATGAAGGGTTGTTGAATTTTGTCAAAGGCCTTTTCTGCATCTATTGAGATAACATGTGGTTTTTGTCATTGGTTCTGTTTATATGCTGGGTTACATTTATTGATTTGCGTATATTGAACCAGCCTTGCATCCCAGGGATGAAGCCCACTTGATCATGGTGGATAAGCTTTTTGATGTACTGCTGGATTCGGTTTGCCAGTATTTTATTGAGGATTTTTACATCAACATTCATCAAGGATATTGGTCTAAAATTCTCTTTTTTGGTTGTGTCTCTGCCTGGCTTTGGTATCAGGATGATGCTGGCCTCATAAAATGAGTTAGGGAGGATTCCTTCTTTTTCTATTGATTGGAATAGTTTCAGAAGGAATGGTACCAGTTCCTCCTTGTACCTCTGGTAGAATTCGGCTGTGAAGATGCATTTTTAAAGGTGTGATTGATTGCAATTTCAGGTAAAGACCAAATGTTATTTTTTAAAAATTTCCTCTATGAAGGGCTTTATAATATGCTTATTTGAAGTATTATTCAACTGTGGTCAAAACAAGAAAAATATAAATCAGGCTTTATTTAAGTGTATGACACTGCAGCAGCAATGAACAGAATTCTAGAAATGTGACAATTGACAAATTGTTGTCACAGAGTTCCAGGGATATCTGTGAGCAGGCAAGTTATGGGCAGAATTAAAAACATGCAGTGGATGTTTCTGTACAATTGTATTGCTGAATATTGCAGAGTCAAATACATTTCCTAGTATACTTTTACTTTGTTATTCTCCTCTCTTCAATATACAAAATCATTTGAATGCAGTGAAGATGCTGTAAGAAAGCCTTTAAATGAGATATTGCTATAACAGTGTCTAAAGGTGAAAGGAATTTGAATTCTCTCATTCTTTTTATATGTTTAATGATGCTAAAGTTAACCAGGGAAAGAACTGTGCATCTTGACCTTCCTCAAGCTAAGTTTATCCTGAATCTCTGTGATGGCTCATAATTTCTCAAAAGCTCCCACAATCTATATGGCTCTAATTTTAGTGGAAAATTCCCAAATCTTAGAACAATTTCATTTAAACAATCTTTCAACTATTTATTATACTGGCCATCACTATATATCTTAAGATCTTACATGGAAATGTTATTTTCAGAATAATCACCTTGGAAGATTCTATATTCATGTTAGTGTTGCAAAAATAATTTTTGGATTTGTGTGTATGTGTGTGTGTGTAATTATCTTTTGTATAGATTCAGGAATGGAAAATTTTTATTCTGAGGATAGATCCTTTTGTTCCTTCCTTTTTATGTATAAATTTTCCTCTGACATGAATTTTAAATGTCTGCAGAATATTCTGTTGTATAGTCATGGCCGTATTTAGGCAGTTTATAATTTTCTGATAAACATCCTAGTTTTGATAGCAACAGGAGGCAGATAAATTCTAGTCAGACAGGGGCAGGTCCCTGGCAAGACCCTACCTTCGAGCCAAAAAGTCTGAAACCTGTGGCCCAAAGTGAGAACTTCCATTCCTGTGTGCCTGCTGTCTCCTGATTTGTTCTTTCTGAATAATATTTTTTTTTTTTTACCAATGGAATGTTGCCTTTTCCAAAAATTCCTATGTCCTGCCCCACCCACATCCTGTGCCTATAAAGACCCCAAACGCAGCAGGCAGAGAGGAGAAGTGGCTGGATGTTGGGGAGAAGCAGCTAGACGTTGGGGAGAGGTGACTTTGGCTTCAGAGATGGTGGCTGGATGAGGCAACTTGACTTCAGAAGAGAAAGGCAGAGAGGCAGCTTGACTTTAGGGGAGAGCAACCTTTCCTTTCTGTCTCCTTTCCAGCTCTCCTCTCCACTGACAGCTGCTTTACTCACTCAAAATTCTCCACATTCACCGTCTTTCAATTCATCCGCGTGACTTCATTCCTCTTTGGCACTGGACAAGAATTCAGGACACACCAGGTATGGGTACCTGCTGGCCCTTTGCCCTTACTGCCAGAGGGCAGCCGCCTCACACAACAAAGGAAAGGGCTCACTGAACTGATAACACACTGTTGTCTGCAGACAGCTGAGCTAGGAGAGCATTGTAACATGCCCTCTGGGGCTTTGGGGTCGCAGGCACCCCCACATAGATGCTGCTGTGGGAACTCCATGGAGTTCGCTCCGTTGCTAAAGCAGCTGGGTCCTGCACTCGCTCACGTGTGTGCTTCTTCCTGCAAGGGGTGGAGCACAGCAGACCCAAGTGAGTGGAGTTTGCTCCTACCAACACCAAAGTGGCTGGCCAGTTCCTGCACTCATTCGCTTACATGGTCCCTCCTGCGAGGGAGCCTGAGTAAATGAGGCACCCCTGTTGCAAGTCCCATGAAGGGGTCAAGAAAATATCCTGCATCAGTCTGATGATTATTGACCACTTCTCTGTATCTTATGATAGAATTCTAAAAGTGAGATTGTTGATCAAAAGGCTATGAAAAAATATGAAGTTTCCAGACATTGCTTTAGAGTATTTTAATAAGGACCTAGTTCAATTTGAATCACAAAAACTGTTCGGATTCCACCAGATAGAGGTGGGCAGGTATTGGAAGATTAAAATATTTTTCCACTTCCACTTAGAGATTAGGTGAGGTTGTAGCCATTCACTTATCTATTAAACAGAGTCATTGTTTATGCTTCCTTGTTATCATAGAATCACTATTTTTCTCCTAGTTGATGTGTATGATTTACCTAATTTGTTCTTCTTTTTTTATTATTATACTTTAAGTTCTGGGATACATGTGCAGAATGTGCAGATTTGTTACACAGGTATACATGTGTCATGGTGGTTTGCTGCACCCATGAACCATCATCTACATTAGGTATTTCTCCTGATGCTATCCCTCCCCTAAGCCCCCACCCCTGGACAGGCCCCAGTGTGTGATGTTCCTTTCCGAGTCCACATGTTCTCATTGTTCAACTCCCACTTAGGAGTGAGAAACCTGGTGTTTGGTTTTCTGTTCCTGTGTTAGTTTGCTGAGAATGATGGTTTCCAGCTTCATCAATGTCCCTGCAAAGGACATGAACTCATCCTTTTTAATGGCTGCATAGTATTCCGTAGTGTGTATGTGCCACATTTTCTTAATCCAGTCTATCATTGGTGGGCATTTGGGTTGGTTCCAAGTATTTGATATTGTGAATAGTGTGTCGAGAAACATACGTGTGCATGCATCTTTATAGTAGAATGATTTATAATCCTTTGGGTATATACCCAGTAATGGGATTGCTGGGTCAAATGGTATTTCTAGTTCTAGGTCCTTGAGGAATTGCCACACTGTCTTCCACAATGGTTTAAGTAATTTACGCTCCCACCAATAGTGTAAAAACGTTTCTATTTTTCCATATCCTCTCCAGCATCTGTCGTTTCCTGACTTTTTAATGATTGCCATTCTAACTAGCGTGAGATGGTATCTCATTGTGCTTTTGATTTGCATTTCTCTAATGACGAGTCATGATGAGCTTTTTCTCATGTTTGTTGGCCACATAACTGTCTTCTTTTGAGAAGTGTCTGTTTAAATCCTTTGCCCACTTTTTCATGGGGTTGTTTGTTTTTCTTGTTAATTTGTTTATGTTCTTTGTAGATTCTGGACATTAGCCCTTTGTCAGATGGATAGATTGTAAAAATTTTCTCTCATTGTGTAGGTTGCCTCTTCTCTCTGGTGGTAGTTTCTTTTGTTGTGCAGAAGCTCTTTAGTTTAGTTATATCTCATTTGCCTAGTTTGGGTTTTGTTGCCATTGCTTTTGGTGTTTTACTCATGAAGTCTTTACCCATGCTTATGTCCTGAATGGTATTGCCTAGGTTGTCTTCTAGGATTTTTATGGTTTTAGGCATTACATTTAAATATTTAATCCATCTTAAGTTAATTTTTGTATAAGGTGTAAGGAAGGGGTCTAGTTTCAGTTTTCTGTATATGGCTAGCCAGTTTCCCAACACCACTTATTAAACAGGAAATCCTTTCCCCATTGCTTGTTTTTGTCAGGTTTGTCAAAGATCAGATGGTTGTAGATGTGTGGTGTTATTTCTGGGGCCTCTGTTCTGTTCCATTGGTCTATATATCTGTTTTGGTACCTTTACCATGCTGTTTTAGTTACTGTAGCCTTGTAGTATAGTTTGAAGTCAGGTAGCGTGATACCGCCAGCTTTGTTCTTTTTGCTTAGGATTGTCTTGGCTATATGGGCTCAGTTTTTGTTTCATATGAAATTTAAAGTAGTTTTTTTCTAATTCTGTGAAGAGAGTTAGTTGTAGCTTGATGGGGATAGCGCTGAATCTATACATTACTTTGGGCAATATGGGCATTTTCACAATATTGATTCTTCCTATCCATGAGCATGGAATGTTTTTCCATTTGTTTGTGTCCTCTCTGATTTCCTTGAGCAGTGGTTTGTTGTTCTCCTTGAAGAGGTCCTTCACATCCTTTGTAAGTTGTATTCCTAGGTATTTTATTCTCTTTGTAGCAATTGTGAATTGGAGCTCACTCATGATTTGGCTCTCTGTTTGTCTGTTATTGGTGTATAGGAATGCATGTGATTTTTGCACGTTGATTTTTTATCCTGAGACTTTGCTGAAGTTGCTTATCAACTTAAGGAGATTTTGGGCTTAGACAATAGGATTTTCTAATATACAATCATGTCACCTGCAAACAGAGACAATTTGACTTCCTCTCTTGCTATTTGAATATGCTGTATTTCTTTTTCTTGCCTGATTGCCCTGGCCAGAACTTCCAATACTATGTTGAATAGGAGCGGAGAGAGAGGGCATCCTTTTCTTGCACCGGTTTTCAAAGGGAATGCTTCTAGCTTTTGCCCATTCAGTATGATATTGGCTGTAGGTTTGTCTTAAATAGCTCTTAATATTTTGAGATACATTCCATCAATGCCTAGTTTAATGAGAATTTTTATCATGAAGGGTATTGAGTTTTATCAAAGGCCTTTTCTGTATCTATTGAGATAATAATGTGGTTTTTGTCATTGGTTCTGTTTATGTGATGGATTACATTTATTGATTTGCACATGATGAACCAGTCTTGCATCCCAGGGATGAAGCCAACTTGATCAGGGTGGATAAGGTTTTTGATGTGCTGCTGGATTCACTCTGCCAGTATTTTGTGGAGGATTTTCGCATCAATGTTCATCAGGGATGTTGGCCTGAAACTTTCCTTTTTGTTGTGTCTCTGCCAGGTTTTGGTATCAGGCTGATGCTGGCCTCATAAAATGAGTTAGGGAGGAGTCCTTGAATAGTTTTAGAAGGAAAGATCCTCTTTGTACCTGTGGTAGAATTTGGCTGTGAATCCATCTGGTCCTGGGCTTTTTTTGGTTGGTGGGCTATTACTGCTTCAATTTCAGAACTTGTTATTGGTCTATTCAGGGATTCAACTTCTTCCTGGCTTAATCTTGGGAAGGTGTATTTGTCCAGGAATTTATCCATTTCCTCTAGATTTTCTAGTTTGTTTGTGGAGAGGTGTTTATAGTATTCTCTGATGGTAGCTTGTATTTCTGTGGGATCAGTGGTGATATCCCCTTTATCATTTTTTATTGTGTTTATTTTTTTCTTCTATCTTTTCTTTATTAGTCTGGCTAGTGGTCTTTGTATTTTGTTGATCTTTTCACAAAACCAGTTATTGATTTTTTGAAGGGTTTTTTATGTCTCTATCTCCTTCAGTTCTGCTCTGATCTTATTTCGTGTCTTCTGCTAGCTTTTGAATTTGTTTGCTCTTGCTTCTCTAGTTCTTTTAATTGTGATGTTAGGGTGTCAATTTAAGATCTTTCCTGCTTTCTGCTGTGGGCATATAGTGCTATGAATTTCCCTCTAAACACTTAAAATATGGAACACTTCATGAATTTGTGTATCTTCCTTGTGCAGGGGCCGTGGTAATCTTCTCTGTATTGTTACAATTTTAGTATATGTGCTGCTGAGCGAGCACCTTATTTGTTCTTCTTATCATAGAGGATCCAACATATAACTTTGTGATATTATCAGTATGTAAATGATAGCTGAAGCCACATATATATAAATGACATGATCGGGAAGAATGTGTGGTGGAGAAAGAAAGAGTTGAAAATGGAACCCTGGAGAATAACAACGTTTAAGGTTCAGGCCTTTAAAGAAGTCTTTTTCCTGCAGATTGGGAAAGAGTAGCTAACCAAGTGAGAGATAACTCCAGGAAAATACAACATTTCAACTGTGATGGAGATATCAGGGATGTCAAATGCATCAGAAAGGTCTAGGAAGATAAGAATGGAAAAGTGCTATGTTTATCAACACAATTGTTCTATTCCTTTTGAAAGGTGAAGCCGGCTGGGCTTCTGGGTTGGGTGGGGACTTGGAGAACTTTTGTGTCTAGCTAAAGGATTGTAAATGCACCAACCAGCACTCTGTGTCTAGCTAAAGGATTGTAAACGCACCAACAGCACTCTGTAAAATGCACCAGTCAGCAGTCTGTAAAATGGACCAATCAGCAGTCTGTAGTATGGACCAATCAGGGCTCTGTAAAATGGACCAATCAGCAGGATGTGGGCGGGACCAAATAAGGGAATAAAAGCTGGCCCCCTGAGCCAGCAGCGGCAACCTGCTCAGGTCCCATTCCATGCTGTGGAAGCTTTGTTGTTTCGCTCTTCACAATAAATCTTGCTGCTGCTCACTCTGCGTCCGCACTACCTTTAACAGCTGTAACACTCACTGCGAAGGTCTGCGGCTTCACTCCTGAAGTCAGTGAGACCACGAACCCACCGGGAGGAACAAACAACTCTGGACGCACCAGCTTTAAGAGCTCACTGTGAAGGTCTGCGGCTTCACTCCTGAAGTCAGCAAGACCACGAACCTACTGGGAGGAACAAACAACTCTGGACGTGCCACCTTTAAGAGCTGTAACATTAACTGCGAAGGTCTGTGGCTTCACTCCTGAAGTCAGCGAAACCATGAACCCACCAGAAGGAAGAACCTCTGGACAGATCTGAACATTTGAAGGAACAAACTCCGGACACACCATCTTTAAGAACTGTAACACTCACCACGAGAGTCCGCGGCTTCAATCTTGAAGTCAGCGAGGCCAAGAAACCACTGGAAGGAGCCAATTCTGGACACATTTTGGCAACCACGAAGGGACTGTCACCTATAGCCAAGCGGTGAGTACCATCAGACCCCTTTTGCTTGCTATTCTGTCCTATTTTTCCTTGGAATTTGGTGGCTAAATATCGGGCACCTGATGGCCAGTTAAATATGAGTAGCACAGCTGCTGGACTAAAGACACGGGTGTCAGGCTTTCTGGGAAAGGGTGCTCTAACAACCCCGACTCTTCGGAATTGGGAGCATTGGTTTGCTTGGAATCAGCTTCCGCTTTTCCTGTACTTCTGGGCTGAGCCGAGGGTCGGCAGAGAGGAAAGCCATTCAGCTCCAGGGTCCTGACAAGTTGTTGGTTGACCCTGCAGCCATGAGCGGAACTCTCAAAGTTACGTCGCCCAAGCGAGACTCACCCATGTGTCCTATCTATCCTGACCCTTGCCTCTTGGGTCCTAATGCTTGTCAGACAAACTTCCTCTGGCCTCTCTTCTCTGAGGCTAGTCCCACTTCTAAAAACCACTCCCTGTCTCTGGTGCTTTTCTAGTTTCTCCTATAAGAATGATTTCTAGTATAAACTCCAGGACTCTATTCCCTTCTTTAGGCACCCGGGCTCACCAATCAGAAAGACATAATTTTTCTCCAAAGCCCTGTTGTAGGGGGACTATCTGGAATTTTAGGATCCCTCCTCATACAAGCAGGCCTAACAAAAGCTATTCCTGAAGCTAGGATATGGGGAGCCTCAGAAATTTTATCCTTCCTATTCATATAAGTGATGACAAAAGGCATCACTCTTCCAACTCTGGAGATCCCGTCCTTCTCTCAGGGTATGGCCCTCCACTTCATTTTTGTGGCATACCATCTTTATAAGATAGGGGAAAAGTCCCAATACTAACAAGAGAATGCTTAGGATTCTAACAGGTTTTTGAGAATGCTTCAGTAAGGGCCACTAAATCCGATTTTTCTTGGTCCTCTTTGTGATCTAGGAGGACAGGCAAGGGTGCAGGTTCTCAAGAATGCGTCGGTAAGGGCCACTAAATCCGACATTCCTTGGTCCTCCTTGTGGTCTGGGAAGAAAACTAGTGTTTCTGCTACTGCATCAGTGAGCACAACTATTCAGATCAGCAGGGTCCAGGGACTGTTACGGGTTCTTGGGCAGGGGGAGAAACAAACAAACCAAAACTGTGGGAGGTTTTGTCTTTCAGCTGGGAGACACTCAGGCATCAACATGTTCACACTTGAAATGCATCCTAAGCCATTGGGACCAATTTGACCTGCAAACCCTGAAAAAAAGGCCCCTGCACTATAGCTTGGCCCCACTATTATCTCTCTGATGGGGAAAAATGGCCACCTGAAGGAAGTATAAATTACAATACTATCCTGCAGGTTGACCTTTTCTGTAAGAGGAAAGGCAAATGGAGTGAAATACCTTATGTTGAAGCTTTCTTTTCATTGAAGGGGAATCCACAACTATGCAAAGCTTGCAATTTACATCCCACAAGAGGACCTCTCAGCTTACCCCCATATCCTAGCTTCCCTGTAGCTCCCCTTCCTATTAATGACAAGCCTCCTCTAATCTCCCCCGCCCAGAAGGAAACAAGCAAAGAAATATCCAAAGGACCACAACCCCCCCCCCCGGGCTATCGGTTATGTCCCCTTCAAGCTGTAGGGGGAGGGGAATTTGGCCCAACCTGGGTACATGTCCCTTTCTCCCTCTCTGATTTAAAGCAGATCAAGGCAGACCTGTGGAAGTTTTCAGATGATCCTGATAGGTACATAGATGTTCTACAGTGTCTAGAGCAAACCTTCTATCTCGCTTGGAGATATGTCATGCTATTGTTAGATCAAACCCTGGCCTTTAATGAAAAGAATGAGGCTTTACCTGCAGCCTGAGAGTTTGGAGATACCTGGTATGTTAGTCAAGTAAATGATAGAATGACAGTCGAAGAAAGGGACAAATTCCCTACCGGTCAGCAAGCTGTCCCCAGTATGGATCCCCACTGGGACCTCAACGCAGATCATGGGGACTGGAGTTGCAAACATCTGTTGACCTGTGTTCTAGAAGGACTAAGGAGAATTAGGATGAAGCCCATGAATTATTCAATGATGTCTACCGTAACTCAGGGAAAGGAAGAAAATCCTTCTGCCTTCCTCAAGCAGCTACAGGAGGCCTTAAGGAAATATACTCCCCTGTCACCTGACTCCCTTGAGGGTCAGTTGATCCTAAAAGATAAGTTTATTACCCAATCAGCTGCAGATATCAAGAGAAAGCTCCAAAAGTGAGCCCTGGGCCCTGAACAAAATCTGGAGGCATTATTAAACCTGGCAACCTCGTTATTCTATAATAGGAAACAAGAGGAACAGGCTGAAAAGGAAAAGCGAGATTAGGGAAAGGCCACAGCCTTAGTCATGGCCCTTAGACAAACAAACCTTGGTGGTTCAGAGAGGACAGAAAATGGAGCAGGCCAATCACCTGGTAGGGCTTGTTATCGGTGTGGTGTGCAAGGACACTTTAAAAAAGATTGTCCAATGAGAAACAAGCTGCCCCCTCGCCCATGTCTGCTATGCCGAGGCAATCACTGGAAGGCACACTGCCCCAGAGGTCTAAGGTTTTGTGGGCCAGAAGCCCCCAACCAGATGATCCAACAACAAGACTGAGGATGCCCAGGGCAAGTGCCAGCTCATGTCATCACCCTCACTGACCCCCAGGTACATTTAACCATTGAGGGCCAGGAAATTGACTTCCTCCTGGACACTGGTGTGGCCTTCTCAGTGTTAATCTCCCGTCCTGGACGACTGTCCTCAAGGTCCATTACCATCCGAGGAATCCTGGGACAGCCTGTAACCAGGTATTTCTCCCACCTCCTCAGTTGTAATTGGGAGACTTTGTTCTTTTCACATGCCTTTCTTGTTATGCCTGAAAGTCCCACACCCTTATTAGGGAGGGATATATTAGCCAAAGCTGGAGCTATTATCTACATGAATATGGGGAACAAGTTAACAATTTGTCCCCTGCTTGAGGAGGGAATCAACCCTGAAGTCTGGGCATTGGAAGGAACAAACTCAAGCTCCAGCCTTAAGCCTTCACACAGGATGAAACTTTTCTTTATATGTCACAGAGAGAGCAGGAATAGCTCTTAGGGTCCTTACTGAGACTCGTGGAACAACCCCACAACTAGTGGCATACCTAAGTAAGGAAATTGATGTAGTAGCAAAAGGCTGGCCTCACTGTTTATGGGTAGTTTTGGCGGTGGCTGTCTTAGTGTCAGAGGCTATCAAAATAATACAAGGAAAATATCTCACTGTCTGGACTACTCATGATGTAAATGGCATACTGGGTGCCAAAGGAAGTTTATGGCTATCAGACAACCGCCTGCTTAGATACCAGTTGCTACTCCTTGAGGGACCAGTGCTTAAAATACGTACGTGTGCAGCCCTCAACCCTGTCACTTTTCTCCCAGAAGATGGGGAACCAATCGAGCTTGACTGCCAACAAATTATAGTCCAGACTTATGCCGCCTGAGATGATCTCTTGGAAGTCCCCTTAGCTAATCCTGACCATAACCTATATACTGATGGAAGTTCATTTGTGGAAAATGGGATGTGAAGGGCAGGTTATGCCATAGTAACATTACTCGAAAGTAAGCCTCTTCCCCCAGGGACCAGCGCCCAGTTAGCAGAACTAGTGGCACTTACCTGAGCCTTAGAACTGGGAAAGGGAAAAAGAATAAATGTGTATACAGATAGCAAGTGTGCTTATCTAATCCTACATGCCCATGCTGCAATATGGAAAGAAAGGGAGTTCTTAACCTCTGGGGGAACCCCCATTAAATACCACAAGGAAATTATGGAGTTATTGCACACAGTGCAAAAACCCAAGGAGGTGGCAGTCTTACATTGCCGAAGCCATCAAAAGGGGAAGGAGAGGGGAGAACAGCAGCGTAAGCAGCTGGCAAAGGCAGGGAAAGACCAGCAGAAAGGAGAGAGAAAGAGACAGAAAGTCAGAGAAAGAGAGAGAGGAAGAGACAGAGACAGAGGGAGTTAGAGAGAAAGAGAAACACAGAAAGTCAAAGAGAGAGAGGAAGAGACAGGGAGTCAGAAAGAGAGAGACGAAGAAGTCAAAGAGAAAGAGAGATGGAAGTAGTAAAGAAAAAACTGTTTACCCTATTCCTTTAAAAGCCAGGGTAAAGTTAAAACCTATAATTGATAATTGAAGGTCTTCTCTGTAACCCTATAACACTCCAATACCACCTTGTTGTCAGTTTAAACAAGGGTGTAGCCCGAAAGCACTGAGGCCTCTGACAACCTATAGCCTTCCTATCAAAAATCCTTAACCCTGCAGGTTTCCTAACAGGGGATCTAAATCTTAACTAATTACCATACAAAGTTCAGACCAGATCTAGGAGGGACTCCCTTCAGGACAGGAGGATAGATGGTTCCTCCCAGGCGATTAAGGAAAAAAGACACAATGGGTATTCGGTAAGTGATAAGGAAACTCTTGTAGAAGCAGAGTTAGGAAAATTGCCTAAAAATTGGTCTGTTCAAACATGCGAGCTGTTTGCACTCAGCCAAACCATAAAGTACTTTTAGAATCATGAAGGAGCCATCTATACCAATTCTTAGTTAATGTGGACTGAAAGAGGTTTTATTAATAGCAAAGAAAAATTAAAATCCTAAACTTACAAGGTTTTCAACAAAAGTAAAGTTTGCTAAAAGTTAACCATGTAAAATGTATTATCCTAACTTCTAATCTTATGGAAATCAGACCCTATCAGTGCCCCTGAAAGCTCAAGTCCATCACTGCAGGGCCATACAACTAATACCCCTACTTATAGGGTTAGGAATGGCTACTGCTACAAGAACTGGAATAGCCAGTTTATCTACTTCATTATCCTACTACCACACACTCCCAAAGGATTTCTCAGACAGTTTGCAAGAAATAAAGAACCCTATCCTTACTCTGCAATTCCAAATAGACTCTTTGGCAGCAGTGACTCTCCAAAACCGCCGAGGCCTAGACCTCCTCACTGTTGAGAAAGGAGGACTCTGCACCTTCTTAGGGGAAGAGTGTTGTTTTTACACTAACCAGTCAGGGATAGTGTGAGATGCTGCCTGGCATTTACAGGAACAGGCTTCTGAAATCAGACAATGCCTTTCAAACTCTTATACCAATGTCTGGAGTTGGACAACATGGCTTCTCCCCTTCCTAGGTCCTGTGACAGCCATCTTGCTATTATTTGCCTTTGGGACCTGTATTTTTAACCTCCTTTCAAGTTTGTTTCCTCTAGGATCGAGGCCATCAAGCTACAGATGGTCTTACAAATGGAACCCCAAATGAGCTCAACTAACAACTTCTACCAAGGACCCTTGGACCAACCCACTGGCCCTTTCAGTGGCCTAAAGAGTTCCCCTCTGGAGGACACTAGAACTGCAGGGCCCCTTCATAGCCCCCATCCCCCAGGAACTAGCTAGAGTGGTCATCACCCGATTCCCAACAGCAGTTAGGGTGTCCTGTTTAGAGGGAGGACTGAGAGGTGAAGCCGGCTGGGCTTCTGGGTTGGGTGGGGACTTGGAGAACTTTCGTGTCTAGCTAAAGGATTGTAAATGCACCAATCAGCGCTCTGTGTCTAGCTAAAGGATTGCAAACGCACCAATCATCACTCTGTAAAAATGCACCAATCAGCACTCTGTAAAATGGGTCAATCAGCACTCTGTAAAATGGACCAATCAGCCCCCTGTAAAATGGACAAATCAGCAGGATGTGGGCGGGGCCAAATAAGGGAATAAAAGCTGGCCACCTGAGCCAGCAGTGGCAACCTGCTAGGGTCCCATTCCACGCTGTGGAAGCTTTATTCCTTTGCTCTTCACAATAAATCTTGCTGCTGCTCACTCTTTGGGTCCACACTACCTTTATGAGCTGTAACACTCACTGTGAAGGTCTGCGGCTTCACTCCTGAAGTCAGTGAGACCACGAACCCACCGGGAGGAACAAACAACTCCAGACACACCATCTTTAAGAGATGTAACACTCACTGCGAAGGTCTGTGGCTTCACTCCTGAAGTCAGCGAGACCACGAACCCACCGGAAGGAAGAAACTCTGGACACATCTGAACATCTGAAGGAACAAACTCCAGATACACCATCTTTAAGAACTGTAACACTCACCATGAGGGTCCGTGGCTTCATTCGTGAAGTCAGCGAGATCAAGAACCCACTGGAAGGAACCAATTCTGGACACACTTTTGTGACACTAGAGTCAGTAGAGAAATGTGTGAGATGATGGAAGGGGGAGACTGACTGGAAGATGAGGATGCCAATGTAGAAACCATACATGAGACACCTTTTTCAAAAAGTTTGAAGGGAAGAGAAAAAGAAAGGTACAACAGAGATGGTTATTACTTTTAGCTTTTATCTAAGTGGGGTTTTCTTTTACCTGAAAACGACTGCAGCCTGTTTAAACAGGAAGGAATCTGTGGAAATAGAATAGTCGAGGGCACAGGAAAGGGGCATGAAGATAGTTGAATAGAGATTTCTGAGGAAGCCAGGCAGTGGTATCAGATTGATCTCAGAGGCAGGGAAAGACACCTCTTCTAGTTTAACAGGACAAAAGAAGCAAATTTGCCCATATGTTGTAATTGGGAAGTGAGATAATATTTGAATAAATTCCTGAGTGATGATGCCTCTTTTTTTTCTGTAAAATAGGAGATGATGCCATGGCTTAAGAGTAAGGAGTGTGGTGGAGAAGGAGGAACTTGCTGTGAGTGAAGGTGTTTTTAAAAGGCCACTGTGGGCTGGGCATGGTGGCTCACACCTGTAATCCCAGCACTTTGGGAGGCTGAGGTGGGCGGATCATGGGGTCAGGAGTTCCACACTAGCCTGGCTAACGTGGTGAAACCCCGTCTCTACTAAAAATACAAAAATTAGGCCAGGCACAGTGCCTCACGCCTTTAATCCCAGCACTTTGGGAGGGCGAGGTGGGCGTATCGTGTGGTCAGGAGATCGAGACCATCCTGGCTAACACAGTGAAACCCTGTCTCTACTAAAAATACAAAAAATTAGCCAGGGGCATGGTGGCACTCACCTGTAGTCCCAGCTACTTGGGAGGCTGAGGCAGGAGAATTGCTTGAACCCAGGAGGCGGAGGTTGCAGTGAGCCAGGATCACGCCACTGCACTCCAGCCTGGGTGACAGAGCAAGACTCTGTCTCAAACAAAATAAAACAAAAAACCCCAACAATTAGCCAGGCATGGTGGCGGGCGCCTGTAATCCCAGCTACTCAGGAGGCTGAGGCAGGAGAATCGCTTGAAACCAGAAGGCGGAGGTTGCAGTGAGCCAAGATCGGGCCACTGCACTCCAGACTGGGCGAAAGAGCGAAACTCTGTCTCAAAAAAAAAAAATAAAATAAAATAACCACAGTGCAGCAGCATGTGAGAGAAAACTGTCCGCAAACACATAGGATGGTAAGATAGAGCCAAAAACTCATTTATCCTAGAAATTATGAATTCGTAGTGAGAACAATCCATGAAAAATGGGCCAACTGTGAACCCCGTCAGGACTGGATCCACATCTGTCCTGTTCAGCAAAACACCTTCCAAATCTACCAGGGAATCTTACATATACTAGAAACTCTATAAATATATTTGAATGAATAAATGTATTTTTTTCTGATAATAGCCTGATATGGAGATGAGATAGCAGAAAATTGGCATGATCTAGAAGATTTCTTTTCCCCTTAAACCTGAGTGTTTTTTGTTAGTGAATTCACTCCAATGTATTGCTAAAGGTGGTCGTATAAACCATTCTGTTTGCAATCTCCTTTTTGTCCTTCTGTTCAAAGTGAGTAAAGAACAACCTGTTTGAATCAGACATCAGATCATGATAGTTATGTGGGGAGAGGGCAGGCAGGGACTCAGTAAAAGGACCTGGTAGAGAAAGCAGAATCTACAGGTTTGAACGTAACATTATGGCTCAGGGTCAGTCATTCTAGGAATTGGTCTCATGACAGATGTACCCAAAGCTGCATTTCAAGTCGTGAGATTAAATTTTGGAGGAGAGATCTTGAGAGACATGAAAAGGATTCTCTAAAATCTGAGTAAGATTCTAAGGTGAAGAATATCAATACAGGGCAGCATAGAAAATAATCTGAGCTTTAAGTAATAGGAGCCATTCAGATGGTGCCTTCAGACAAGTACTAGGTATTAGAAACTCAGAGATGAGCAGATAATCCAGTTTCTGAGGGATTGTAGCATGAAGCAGGGACTCTAGATAAGAATGGGGCACCTAGGAACTTGAAATTGTTTTATTCATCCATACACTTGACTAATATTTATTGATAAATGTGTAAGGCACTGTGCAAGGCAAGGAGAAAAGGTAGGCACTGGGAATTAATACCACAGCACAGTAATTAAATAATTGATATGTTAAGTTTAGAAACATAACTGCAAGAATTCAGCTGCAAGAATGACCCAGAGTTGATCCACTATCAGGGGTGGACTGAACCCTCAAATAGGATTTACCTGCATCAGCCCAGTTGCTGAAGTTGTGGACTGCTAAGCAAGCTAGTACACTCACTTCTTTTAGATTGCTTTGGCAGGAGGGGTCTTCCAAATTTGCTTTTGGTTTAAGGCGGTCAAGACAGTTGAGTTGAGCAAGGAAACAAGCTTTTCTTAAAGGACTGTTTTCCAAACAGGCTTGGTTCTGTGGACCTAAATGACAAGATAGTTTCTGGTTAAATCTCACAGATAAAATTCTAACCCTCTAAAAAGAAAAATGTTTTGCAAAAAGATTTAGGTCATTCTAACAGGTAAGAACAACCTTCCATATACATGACAGCCAAAACTTTGTTATCACATGGGAAAACCATCTTCCCCGACCTAGTCTGCCAAATATTATTTACAAATTTCTTTATGATGGGTAGAAATACCCAAAATCCCACCATCACTCTTTATTAGTATAGATGGGAACATAAGGAACAGTGGTGTGACTCAGTTCTTTAAGATCTTTGTTACTTTTATCAGTGAAAGGAGGGTAGGGGGTGCATTTAAAAAGAGTGTATTTCTGAGAGAGGGAAGGGAATGTTACAAATAGATGAGTAAGTCAACAAAAGGAGAAGGATGTAGAATGCCTGCAAACTATCTGATTATTTTAAAAAAGTCTACCTTTTAAGGGAGATAGAATCAAAATTCTTGAGTGGACTCTAGTTATCCTATGCTCTTTGAAATGATAACTATATTTTTGCATTATGCCAATGGTGTTTCTGCTCACAGATTCCAAATTCCCTGGTTAATGTGCTGAAAACTTGTTGTGCTGAACATAAAACCGAATAAAATCATTGATTTCTACAATATTTGTATGGTGAAGCTCAATTCAATGAATAAATTAATAAAATGAATACATGATAAATGAATTGAAACATAATAAATTAATAAAACCTCAATATAATATGCCTTTTAATATACTCAGGAGGGAGTGTTTCAACTGTTAAATTGATTGCAGTTAAATGAATTAAAAAACAAAATAAATTTTAAAATGCTCCATTATTCATTAAAGTACTTTAGTGCCTCATTAATCTATTTTAGATCACTCAGGCCCATAAGTGCCTATTGTCAAAAGCTGATAGAGTGTGAGGAATTGCTTTTCACACCCTGGAGCCAACTGAATACAGTAACGCTTCTCAAAGTGTAAAGATCAAGTCTGTTGGGTATAAAGCAAGTGTCTTTGAAGCTTGAAAAGTTTTTGAAGGGAATATTGGGAGGCGTTTTTTTTCCATGTTTAGATAGTCACATTTTAAAAATTGTTATAAAAAAAGGAAATAAAAGAAACTTCTGGATTTTAAAGTATCCTGTTTCTCCCCTTTCCAAAGCACTCTTAAGATGAGACACATCAGTGCGCCAACCTAAAAGACTTCCTGATTTAAAACGCAGTTGCAACTTTTTCTTTTTTTCTTTTTTCTTTTTTTCAAAGGTGTTGTTCTTTCTAGTGGCTTAATCTCTATTCCTGTTAGTCACTTGCATCTTCTTTCTTAAGTCTCAGCTTCCAGAGGTAAATTCCCAGTGACTTTCTGCTAAGTCTTCTCCTGTTCTGCTGAGTCTTATTGACAAGATCAAGTCATCCCAAGTGGGCTGGCTCTCTTCAGAGCAAGCTCCTCATCAATGTCCTCCAAAATCTACTCCCTAGCCTCTTTTTTTTTTTTTTTGCCTTGGTATTTCCAAGATGCCGGGGGAGGTGTGAGAGCCTCAGCACCAGGAAGTGGTGAACTCGCGGGTTGTAGTTTACCAACAACAGTATAGGTTTGAAAAAGGGAAGTTTATTAGAAAGGAGGAACGCTGCAAAAGGGTACAGTGGAGCGCCTCAGTGAGAGGACTGAGCACCGTGGTGGATTTTCCTTAGGGGTATTTATGGACCTTAAGGCGGGAGCTTGGCATTGTAAAATGAGTTTCAGCATGACATTCCAGAGAAGTATAGAAATTTTAGTTACTTATAAAAGTTGAAAGAGACCTGGAACCAGATGCGACCAGGTGGTCTTTGTTCCCTTCTAAATTCCTCAGATAAGAAGTTTTGCCTCCAGATGGTGTTTGATGGTCACCAGGTGATTACTGCTCTCCTCACAAGGGTTCTATGAGTCATGAAACAAGCTTGGTTTGTTATTTTATAAATTCTATATATGAAGGGTGGGGTTTGTCTCACTGACTTTAGTATCCTACTGGCAGAACCCACTCTAGCTTTATTTAATGAATGCATTACACACTTATAATTTATATGACACTTAAAGTCTCCTGATGTGTACTTAAAAACCTATAATGAAATACATTGAAAATGACATTGCTTAGTGATGTCTGTTATTGAGTTTTTTTTTGTTTTGTTTTTTTAATTTGAGGCAGTCTTGCTCTGTCGCCCAGGCTGGAGTGCAGTGGTGTGATCTCAGCAACCTCCACCTCCCTGGCTCAAGCAGTTCTCATGCCCCAGCCTCCTGAGTAGCTGGGATTACAGGCATCCACCACCATGCCCAGCTAATTTTTGTACGTTTAGTAAAGAGGAGTTTCCGCCACATTGGTCAGGCCAGTCTCTAAGTCCTGGCCTCAAGTGATCCACCTGCCTCAGCCTCCCAAAGTGCTGGGATTACAGTTGTGAGCCACCGTGCCTGGCCGATAGTTGAGATTTTATATGAAACTTGTTTTTGTCTTTCTACAAGCTTGTAGATTTTTTTCCCCTCCCAATTTTTTTCTCGAAATTTTTCAAAATTTTACAATAATGTGGGTTGGTGACGATGTTTTAATCCATTATGTTGGATATTTTGTGGGGCCTTTTAATTTGGAAATTTTCAGTTCTGAGACATTTCCTTGAAATAGTTCTTGAAAAACTGCCAGACCAACCTCTGCTTTGTTTTCTCTTTTCTTTCTGGAAATCTTGTTTTTAAGGTATGGGAACCCCTAGACTAGTCCTCCAATTTTGTTGCACTTTTTTATTTTCAACTCTTTATCATTTTGTTCCACATTCTGGGATATTTCTTCAGCTTTATCTTCCACTGAATTTTTTATTACTTCCTATTCTGTTTTTAATTTTGAGAACTCTCTCCTCAACATAGTGTTCCTGGCAAAAAAAAAAAAAAAAAAAAAAAAGAGGACTTTCTTTTAGTCCTCTTTTTTTACAGGTGTGCACCACCACACTGGCTAATTTTTCTATTTTTAGTAGAGACAGGGTTTCACCATGTTGGCCAGGCTGGTCTCGAGCTCCTGAATTCAAGCTATCCACCCACCTCAGCCTCCCAAAGTGCTGGAATTACAGGTGTGAGCCACCACACTCGGCCTATTATTGACTCAAATATCATAAGTTTCTACATGATAAAGTTTTCTTATAATCTCATATTATGGTCTGTTTTGTTTTATTAGAGAGCACTAATTTGACAACCACTTGTTTTCTTTTTCTTTTTTTCTTGCCTTGGATGTAAGAACTTGAGCTAAAGTTTTGTGATCCATCGCAGCACGTTCTTTTTCATTGCTTTTATTTTTCTGGGTTTAACCTTCTCTCTCTTTCCCACCTGACTTGATTCTTATCTTTCACTTTTCTTCAGAAATTCTTTTAAATTTGTGTCTCTTTATTTTAAGCTGATTAAAATTATTTCTTCAAATAGGTTGTTCATATTGGGTATGGCAGTTTCTGCATATGAAACTGCTCTAGAATTCAACTTGGAAATTAAATAATATACTGTGCAGTTTTGAAAAATTCAATTCTAATGTGCTTATTTAATCAATCATCCATCTGTCCATGTATACCTTTGTTGCGGGAAGTCAGGGACCCTGAATGGAGGGACCGGCTAGGAGCCACAGCAGAGGAACATAAATTGTTAATATTTCATGGACATTTTTCAGTTCCCAAATAATACTTTTATAATTTCTTATGCCTGTCTTTACTTTAATCTCTTAATCCTGTTATCTTTCATAAGCTGAGGATGTACGTCACCTCAGGACCACTATGATAATTGTGTTAACTGTACAAATTGATTGTAAAACGTGTGTTTGAATAATATGAAATCAGTGCACCTTGAAAAAGAACAGAATAACAGTGATTTTTAGGGAACAAGGGAAGACAACCATATGGTCTGACTGCCTGCGGGGTTGGGCAAAAAGAGCCATATTTTTCATCTTGCAGAGAGCCTATAAACGGATGTGCAAGTAGGAGAGATATCGCTAAATTCTTTTCCTAGCAAGGAATATTAATGTTAATACCCTGGGAAAGGAATGCATTCCTGGGGGGAGGTCTATAAATGGCCGCTTTGGGAATGTCTGTTTTATGCGGTTGAGATAAGGACTGAGATACACCCTGGCCTCCTGCAATACCCTCAGGCCTACTAGGGTGGGGAAAAACTCCGCCCTGGTAAATCTGTGGTCAGACCGGTTCTCTGCTTTTGAACCCTGTTTTCTGTTGTTTAAGATGTTTATCAAGACAATACATGCACCACTGAACATAGACTCTTATCAGTAGTTCTGCTTTTGCCCTTTGCCCTGTGATCTTTGTTGGACCGTTATAATTCTGCTTTTGCCCTTTGTCCTGTTCCCTCAGAAGCATGTGATCTTTGTTAGACCCTTATTAGTAGTTCTGCTTTTTGCCCTTTGAAGCATGTGATCTTTGTACCTACTCCCTGTTCTTTCACCCCCTCCCCTTTTGAAACCCTTAATAAAAACTTGCTGGTCTGAGACTCAGATGGGCGTCACCGTCCTACCGACATGTGTTGTCACCCCTGGTGGCCCAGCTGTAAAATTCCTCTCTTTGTACTGTCTCTATTTCTCAGCCGGCCGACACTTATGGAAAATAGAAAGAACCTAGGTTGAAATATTGGGGGTGGGTTCCCCCAATATACCTTTCCTGATTTCCTCAAGGATATAAAGTGGCTATCAGAAAATACACAAAGCAAGAAAGCACAGTGTTTTGCAAACTATATTTTAAGATATTAATATATATCATGACAAAACTGTTCCATGTTCAAATTTCTCTGGAATTTTTGGGATTCCCTTAAAATTCAATAAAAGTGACTTTTGGGGATGATGTGGGGCTATAGTTATTATGCAATATTTCCCTAAAACCTTTTAAAGGGAATTTTTTTCATAAAGGATCTATTCATATATATAAAAGTAGTGTTAAAGGAAACCCAGCTAGAGAAATGCTTAACTAGTTACATATAAATAAAATCAGTAGCAGGAAAAAACAAAATGGAGTAAATTATACTAGAAGGGGGGGAAAAAAAAGCACTGTAAAGTTTCATATGATTAAGGTGTAAATTTGCTTCTGACCTTCTTGGAGGTCAAAGCAAAAAAGAAACATGGTTTACTACATAATTCTCACTGTACAGGAAGGAAAGATAATACATTGTTTTCTTGGGGGCAGCCACACTGCTACTGAATTATGACAAATATGTTTCATCTGGATCTTACCAGGTCTTTGGGTCTTTTTTTGTAGTTCTCATAATGTCAACGTGCACATATGGAACAGGAGAATATGCTGGGTGAGTTTTACCAGAACCAGTTTCTGTCAGTCATTGGAGGTGAGGTCTAGTGAAACAGCTGAAGTGTGGAGGAGCACACGGGAAAGAGGCAGAGTTTGAAAATCAGGGAGGTCCAGAAAAGTTAACAGACAATCTCACATAACCATGCTTTTGCCACGCTCTTCTTAGGGCTCAGTTTTAAAACAAAGTCATCAGAGTCAAAAACAAATGTTTATCTATCTATGTATCTATGTATGTTTCTATCTATCTATCTATCTATCTATCTATCTATCCATCCATCCGTCTTCTATTTATTCATCTATCTAATCATTGATTTAAGGGATGTTACATCTTTTTTAAAGTGTCATTTAAATTTTTAAAAATTAAAGTGGGATTTATTTTTTGCATGCATGCAGGTGTATGTGATATGTATTTCACTGAAAAAGGAACCCTTAAATAAAACTGTGACCCAATCACTAAGTTGACAGAATTCTTCATTTGTCCAGAATGTGGGAGTCAGAATATCTTCTCATGGAAAAGGTAGCTTTCAAAACAAATCACTTTATGAAACTTGTCAACTTTCTAAAAATACTGGGTTGACCAATCCTAATTTTTTTCATGGAACTTTACCACTAGTTCAGTAGTTTATTGATGATATTGTGGAAGGATAATTATGTGCTATATTTCTTTCTGTCATGAAAATAAATAATCCCTCATTTATCATCCTTCATGAATTATGGCACAGAAGTACAAATGAAAACTTCAGAAATTAAAGCAAATGTTTAATATTAAGAAATATTAGACTAGGATGGGTTTTAGCCCAGCCATACCATCAACTTATAATGATTGTGTGAATTTAAGTAATAAATGTCCAGGTTGTCATTTTCCGTATTTGTAAAATGGAAAAATAATAGTATTTAGCTTACAAGGTTGTGGTGAGGACTACATAAGACAATACAAGAATATTATGGGAGCCTGGCACATAATAATTCATAATTTTAGGTATTATTATGATAATGGTCAGGTTTTTTTTTTTTTTTTTTTGACAAAGTCTCACTCTGTTGCCCAGGCTGGAGTGCAGTGGCACCATCTCGGCTCGCTGCAAGCTCTGCCTTCCAGATTCACGCCATTCTCCTCCCTCAGCCTCCCAAGTAGCTGGGACTACAGGGGCCCGCCACAACACCTGGCTAATTGTTTTGTATTTTTAGTAGAGACAGGGTTTCACCGTGTTAGCCAAGATGGTCTTGATCTTCTGACCTCGTGATCTGCCCGCCTCAGCCTTCCAAAATGCTGGGATTACAGGTGTGAGCCACTGTGCCCGGCTGGTCAGGTATTTTATGATGAAACATAGACTCACTAATGATGGTAGCACTGTTTTTTTTTTTTTAAATGGAGTGGGGAGAAGTTTTTATTTGCAAATGCTAGATATAAGACTGAAGGAGCCTTCTAAGGTAGGAAGAAGAGAGGAATGTTGTAAAGGGCTTTAGCAAGGGTGTCCAGCTGGAGTTCAGCTAGTTTCAGAAAGAGTAGATTAAGAATGATTCTCAGGGAGGGAAGAATTGTTAAAGATGAGCAGCCACTGTTGGACAATTTGTATTTTACCAAGAGCAATGGAGAGGAACAGTGAGGAGTCAAGTCATGTGCAAGAGGGAATGGAGAGGAACAGCAGGAGTGAGTGGGGGCACTGTTGCAAGGGCTGCACTGGAAGGTGCTCTTTCTTTCAGTGTCTCTCACACTTATACTGCTGTCTCTTGATATTTTTCTCTTTATGTTTATATTTTATCTCCTTAGTTATATTTTATTTTTAATTGACATGTAACAATTATATGTATTTAGGGGTACAAAGTGATACATTGATGCATATAAACAATGTGTAATAATTAAATCAGGGTAATTAGCATCTCTGTCACCTCCAACATCATTTCTTTGTGTTGGGAATATTCAAAATCTCTCTTCCACTGTAATTTCATAGTGAGAAAAAAAATCCTCTCCTCCAGGTATTTGAAAATATACCATAGGCTGGGCACGGTGGCTCATGCCTGTAATCCCAGCATTTTGGGAGGCCAGGGTGGGTGGATCACCTGAGGTCAGGAGTTCAAGACCAGCCTGGGCAACATGGTGAAACCCCGTCTTTACTAAAAATACAAAAATTAGCTGGGCGTGGTGATGTGTGCCTGTAATCCCAGCTATTAGGGAGGCTGAGACAGGAGAATAGCTTGAGCCTGGGAGGCGGAGGTTGCAGTGACCCAAGATTGCACCATTGCACTCCATGCTGGGTGTCAGAGCAAGATTATGTCTCAAAAAAAAAAAAAAAAAGAAAAAAGAAAGAAAAATATACAATAAACTATTGTTGACTATAGCCATCCTACAGTGCTACAGAAAACTAGAACCTATTCCTCCTGTCCCGCTGTGATTTTGTATTCATTAACCAACCTCTGTCTTTCCTCTCCCTCCTACCCTAGAGTAGAGAGTTCTACTCTCTAATTCTATGGGTGCAAACTTTTAGCTCCCACCAATGAGTGAGAACATGTGATATTTATTTTTCTGTACCTGATACTTCACTTAACACAATGTCCTCCAGGCTCATTCATGTTGCTGCAAATGATAGGATTTTATTCTTTTTTATGGTTGAATAATATTTCATTGTGTATATATAACACATTTTCTTTATCCCACTCATCCGTTGATAATAGGTTGATTCCATATCTTGGCTATTGTGAATAATGCTGCAATAAACATGAAAATGCAGATATATCTTAGATGCACTGATTTCCTTTCCTTTGCATAAATACCCATAGTGGAATTGTTGGATCACATGGTAGTTCTATTTTTAATTTTTTGAGGAAACTCCATACTGTTTTCCTTAATGGCTGTACTAATTTATAGTCCTACCAACAGTGTATAAGAGTGCCCTTTTCTCTGCCTTTTTGCCATCATTTGTTACTTTTTTCTTTTTGATAATAACCATTCCAACTGGGGTGAGAAGATGTATCATTGTGGTTTTGATTTCTATTTCCCTGATAATGACATTGAACTTTTTTTTTTAAATATACTTGTTGGCCATTTGTATGTCTTCAGTACTAAGCTATTTTTGTGTTACTATAAAGAAATACCTGAGACTGGATAATTTATAAAGAAAAGAGGTTTAATTGACTCACAGTTCTGCAGGCTGTACAAGCTTGGCTCCAGTATCTGCTTCTGGTGAGGGTCTCAGGAATCTTCCAATCATGGCAGAAAGCAAAGGAAGAGCAGGTGATGTCACATGGCAAGAGTGAGAGCAAGAAACAGAGAGAGCTATAGTGATGGTACTGGCATTGGATAAACATTCCCATTCCAAAAGGGAGAAGTCAGCCCATAGAAAGGGGCAACAGGCCTCAAGCAAGTCTGAAACCCAGCAGTGCAGTCATTAAATCTTAAACCTCCAAAATAATCTTCTCTGACTCCATATCCCATATCCTGGGTACACTGATGTAAGAAGTGGACTCCCAAGGCCATGGGCAGCTCTGCCTCTGTGGTTTTGCAGAGTGGATCCCCCATGGCTGCTCTCACAGGTTGAGTGTCTGCAGCTTTTCCAGGCTGAGGATACAAGCTGCTAGTGGCTCTAACATTCTGGGTCTGGAGGGAGGTGACCCTCTTCCCACAGCTCCACTAGGCAGTGCCTTGGTGGGGACCCTGCACAGGAGATCCAGCCCCACATCTTCCCTTGGCATTATGCTAGTAGAGTTTCTCTGTGGGGCTCCACCCCTACAGCAGGCTTCTCCCTATGCACCCAGGTTTTCTGATAGATCCTCTGAAACTTAGGTAGAAGCCACCAGGCCTCTTTCCCATTTGTATTCTGAGCATCTGCCACACTTAACACCACATGAAAACTGCCAAAACTTATGGCTTGCACACTCTAGAGCTGTAATCTGCACTTTACCTGGACTCCTTTGAGCTGAGGCTGAAGCCAGAAGAGCTAGGATGTGGAGAGCAATGTCCCAAGGCTGTGCAGGGTAGCAGGCCCTTGGGGTTGGCCCCTGAAACCATTATTTCTTCCTAGGCCTGTGGGCCCATGGTGGAAGGAGAGGCCTGGAAGTTCTCTGAAATTCCTTTGAGGCCTTTTTCCCATTGTCTTGGATATTAGCACTTGCCTCCCTTTTAGTCATGATAATCTGTTTAGCAAATGGTTGCTCTGCAGTCCTCTTGAATTCTTTCACTGAAAATGGGCTTTCCTTTTCTACCACCTGGCCAGGCTATGCTCTGCTTCCCTTTTAATTATAAATTCCAACTGTAAGTCATTTATTTGCTCCCACTTAAAATTATAGGTTGTTAGAAGCAGCTATGCCACTTCTTGAAGATTTTGCTTCTTAGAGATTTCTTCTAAGTCATTACCTTAAGTAATTGCTCTGAAGTTCAAACTTCCACAAAGCCCTAGAACATGGAAACAAGGCAGCCAAGTTCTCTATTAGGGAGTAACAATTGTGACCTTTACTCCAGTTTCCAATAAGTTCCTTATTTCCATCTGAGACCTTATTAGCCTGACCTTCACTGTTCATATCTCTATCAGCATTTTGATCACAACTATTTAATCAGTTTCTAAGGAGTTTCAAACTTCCCCTCATCTTTCTGTGTTCTTCTGAGCCCTCTGAACACTTTTAATCCCTGCCTATTACCGGGCTCCAAATCTGCTTCCACATGTTTTTTAATTTAATTTTTTATTTTTTTGAGATGGAATCATGCTCTGTCACCCAGGTTGGAGTGCAGTGGTGTGATCTTGGCTCACTGCAACCTTCTCCTCCTGGATTCAAGTGATTCTTCTGCCTCAGCCTCCCAAGTAGCTGGGACTACAAGTGCGCGCCATCATGCCTGGTTAATTTTTGTATTTTTGGTAGAGATGGAGTTTCACCATATTGACCAGGCTGGTCTCGAACTCTTGACCTCATGATCCACCTGCCTCGGCCTCCCAAAGTGCTGGGATTACAGGCGTGAGCCACTGCGCCCAGCTGCTTCCACACTTTTAGGCATCTTTATGGCAATGCCTCTCTCCTCAGTATGAATTTTCTATATTAGGCCCTTTTTTTATTAGTATAAAGGAATACCTGAAATGAAGTAAGTTATAAAGAAATTAGGTTTTTAAAATTAATTAATTTTATTTCTTGTTTTCTTTTCTTTCCTTTTTTTTTTTTTTTTTTTGTAGAGATGGGGTCTCTCTGTTGCCCAGGCTTGTCTGGAACACCTGGGCTCAAATAATCCTCCTGCCTTGGCCTTCCAAAATGTTGGGATTACAGGCATGAGCCACCACACCCAGCCAGGAAAGAGGTTTAATTGGATCATGGTTCTGCAGGCTGTATAAGTACAACTGCAGCATCTGTTTCTGGTGAGAGTATCAGCAAGCTTCCAATCATGGAGGAAGGCAAAGGGAAAGCAAGCAATGTCACATGGCAAGAGTGAGAGCGAAAGAGGGAGAGAAGTGGGAAGTCTTAGACTTTTAAACAACCAGATCTCATGTGAACTGATGGAGAACTCTGCTATTACCAAGGGGATGGTGCTAAGCCATTCATGAGGGATTAGCTCCTGTGATCCAATAATCTCCCACCAGGCCCCAACTATAACGTTGAGGATTACATTTCATCATGAGATTTGGAGAGGGCAAACATTGAAACTATACTATGTTCTTTTGAGAAGATAGAAGATTCTTTTTCCATTTTCTAATTGGATTTTTTTTTTTTTGCTGTTTAATTGTTTGAGTTCCTTGTATATTCTGAATATTAGTCCCTTGTCTGATGAATAATTTGCAAATAATTTCTCCCATTCTACAGGTTGTCTCTTCACTATGTTAATTTTTTTCCTTGCTGTGCAGAAACTTTTTTAGTTTGAAATAATCTCACTTGTCTATTTTTGCTTTTGTTGCCTGTTTTTTTGAGGTCTTAGCCATAAAACCTTTTTCCAGACAAATTTCCTGATGCATTTCCCCTGTGCTTTTTTTTCTGTTAACTGTATAGTTTTGGGTCTTACATTTAACTCTTTAACCCATTTTGAGTCGATTTATTGTATGGTGAGAGATAGGAGTCTAGTTTAGTTCTTCTGCATGTAGATATCAAATTTCTCAGAATCATTTATTGAAGAGATTGTTCTTTCTCCAACATATGTTCTTGGAGTTGTTGTCTAAAATCAGTTGACCATAAATACATGGATTTATTTCTGAGTTTTCTATTTTGTTCCATTGGTCCATGTGTCATTTTTTAGGATTTTTAAAAAATTTCTACGAAGAACGTCATTGGTATTTTCATAAGAATTGCATTGAATCTGTAGATGGCTTGGGACAGTATTGTCATTTTTACAATATTAGTTTTTTGAATTTATGAACATCTTTCTCTTTGTGTCTTTTTCAATTTCTTTCATCAGTGTTTTGTAGTTTTCATAGTAGACATCTTTCACCTTCTTGGTTAAATATATTCTTAGGTATTTTATTTTTTTTGTAGCTATTGTAAATGAATTACTTTCTTGATTTCTTTTTCAGCTAGTTTGTTATTGGTGTTTGTAAATACTACAAATTTTTGTATGTTAATTTTGTGTCGTGCAACTTTATTGAATTCATTTATCAAATCTAAGAGGTTTTTTGTTGGAGTTTTTAAGTTTTTCTATATGTATAAGATTATATCATCTGCAAAGAGGGACAATTTGATGATTTTTCAATTTGGATGCACTTTATTTATTTATTTATTTTTGAGATGAAGTTTCACTCTTATTTCCCGGGCTGGAGTGCAATGGCACAATCTCGACTCACTGCAACCTTTGCCTCCTGGGTTCAAGCCATTCTCCTGTCTCAGTCTCCCTAGTAGCTGGGATTACAGGCACCTGCCACCATGCCCAGCTAATTTTTTGTATTTTTAGTACAGACAGCGTTTCACTATATTGGCCAGGCTGGTCTTGAACTCTTGACCTCAGGTGATCCACCTGCCTCAGCCTCCCAAAATGCTGGGATTACAGACGTGAGCCACTGCACCCAGCCCACATTATTTTTTCTCTTGGCTAATTGCTCTGGCTAGGACTTCCAATACTGTGTTGAATAAGAATGGTGAAACTGGGTATCCTTCTGTTCTACCTCTTAGAAGAATAGCTTCCAACTTTTCCCCATTCAGTATAATGTTAGCTATGGGTTTGTCGTATATGGCCTTTATTATACTGGAGGATGTTTCTGCTATACCTAATTTATTGAGAGCTTTTGTCATAAAGGGATGTTGAATTTTATCACATGATTTGTCTGCATCTAGTGAGATGATCATATGGTTTTGTCTTTCATTCTGTTGATGTGATATACCATGTTTATTGATTGTGTATGTTATGATTTCTGTATGTTGAACCATCTTTGCATCCCTGAAATAAATCCCACTTGCTCATGGTGTATACTCTTCCTGATGTGCTATTGAATTTGTTTTGCTAGTATTTTGTTGGGGATTTTTGCATTTGTGTTCATCAGGAATATTGGCCTATAGTTTTCTTTTTTTGTTACGTTCTTGTCGGGTTTTGGTATCAGGATAATGCTTGTCATGTAGAATGAGTTAGGAAGACTTCCCTCCCTTCATTTTTTTCAAATAGTTTGAGAAGAATTGGTATTCATTTTTCTTTATGTATTTGATAAAATTCAGTAGTGAAGCCACCTGGTCCTAGGCTTTTCTTTATTGAGAGACTATATTACTGATTCAGTTTTGTTGTTTGCTATTGTTCTTTCGGGTTTTCTATTTCTTCATGATTCAATCCTGGCAGGTTGTATATGTCCAGAAGTTATCCATTTCTTCTAGCTTTTCCAATTTGTTGTCTCATAGGTGTTTACAATAGTATCTGTGATCCTTGCATTTCTGTGGTATAAGTTGTAACATCTCCTTTTTAATTTCTGATTTTATTTATTTGGGTTTTCTCTCTTTTTTTCATAGTTTAGCTAATGATCTTTTGATTTTGTTTATCTTTTCAAAAAGCCAGGTTTTTGTTTTGTCAATCTTCTTTTTTTAGTCTTTATTTTGTTTAGCTCTGCTCTGATCTTTATTATTTTCTTGTACTAATTTTGATTTGATTTGTTCTTGCCTTTTTAGTTCCTTTAGGTATATCATTAGGTTGTTTATTTTAAATCTTTTAAATTTTTTTGGTGTAGGAATTTTTGCTGTAAACTTTCCTCTTAGTACTCCTTTGCTTTATTTCATAGGTTTTAATATGTTGTGTTTTCATCCAGCAAGTCTATACCTTTTAATTATGGAATTTAAGTCATTTACATTCAAATATATATTTTTTATTTTCTTCTTAATTACTTCTTTCACTCACTGGTCATTCAGGAGCATGTTGTTTTATTTCTATGTATTTGTACAGTTTCCAAAGCTACTGTCGTTATTATTTTCTAGTTTTATTCCATTGTGGTCTGAAAAGGTACTTGATATAACTTCAATTTTTAAAAATTTGTTGAGACTTGTTTTGTTGCCTAATGTATGATCCATCCTGGAGAATGTTCCATGTGCTGATGAGAAGAATATATATTCTGCAGCTGTTGGATAATATGTCCTATAAATGTCTCTTAGGTTCATTTGGTCTATAGTATAGTTTACCTGTGATGTTTCTTTGTTGATTTTCTGTCTAAATAATCTGTCCAATGCTGAGAAAGGGGTTCTCAACTATGATTGTACTGGGGCCTATAGTTGGATTTTTTTCCTTTAGCTCTAATAATATTTGCTTTATATATCTGAGTTCTTCAGGGTTGGGTGAATACATATTTACAATTGTCATAGCCTTTTGCTGACTTGATCCTTTTTATCATTATGTAATGAACTTTTTTGTCGCTTTAAATGTTTTTTGTTTTAAAATCTATGCTGTGTGATGCAAGCAATAGCTACTCCTGCTCACTTTTGGTTTTCATTTTTGTGGAATATCTTTTTTCATCCCTTCACTTTCAGTCTATGTGTCTTTATAGGTGAAGTGAGTTTTTGAAGGCAGCATATACTTGGGTCTTGCTTTTAAAATTCTTTAAGCAAGTCTGTATATTTTAATTGTGGAATTTAAACTGCTTACATTCAAAGTTGTTATGGATAGGTTAGGACTTACTCTTATGATTTTGTTAATTATTTTCTGGTCACTTTATATATTCTTTGTTCCTTTCCTCATCACTTATTGTTTATCTTTGTTGTTGGACAGTTTTCTGAAGTTATAACATTTGATTGTTTTCTCTTTCTCATTTGTGTATCTGCTCTATCAGTGAATTTTATACTTTCATGTGTTTTTATGATGGTAGTTATAGTTCTTTTGCTTCCAGATGTGAGACTCCCTTAAGCATTTCTTGTAGAACTCATTTATATGTGAATTCCCTCAGTTTTTGCCTGTCTGGGAGACTTTATTTCTCCTTCATTTTTGAATGATGACTTTGTTGGGTATAGTATTCTTGGCTTATAGTTTTTTTTTTTTTTTTTTTTTTTTTCTCTTTCACCACTTTGAATATATCATCCTATTCACTCCTGGTCTGTAAGGTTACTGCTGAGAAATCTGCTGTCTGCCTGATGAGGATTTCTTTATATCTGACTTGACACTTTCACTGGTTTTTGGAATTCTCTTTTTGTTTTTGACTTTTGACAACTTGACCAAAATATGCTTTAGGAAGGACTTTTTGAGTTGAGTCTGTTTGGGAATCTTTGAGCTTCCTGAATCTGGATGTCCATATCTCTCTCTAGACCTGGGAAACTCTCAGCTATTATTTCATTAAATAGGTTTTTTAAGAAATACCTTTTCTCATTTCTTCTCCTTCTGTAATTTCCATAATGCATTTTTTTGTTTGTTTGTTTACGGGTGTCCCATATGTTCCATAGGCTTTATTTATTTATTTATTTTTTGCTTGACTAGCTTATTTCAAAAGACTTGTCTTCAAGTTCAGAAATTCTTTTTTCTGCTTGATCTAGTGTATCACTGAAGCTCTCAATTCTATTTTTTATTTCACTTGTTGAATTATTCAATTTTAAGACTTCAGTTTTTTAAAAATGATATCTATCTCTATTGAATTTCTCAGTCAGAGGAATTGTTTTCCTGATCTTATTGAATTGTGTATATGTGTTATCTTGTATCTCTCTGAGATTTCTTAAGTCATTATTTAAATTTCCCTTTTAGGCATGTTACTGGAAAATCATTGTGTTGTTTTAAAGGTGTTATGTTTCCTTGCCCTTTCATAGTTTTTGTGTTATCCCTTTATATCTGCACATTTGATGTAATTGTCACTTCCTCCAGTTTATGAAGTAGCTTGAATAGGGAAAGACTTTTTGCTGTAGATGTGTCCTGTAGTTTCAGTTGGGTAGGCTGCTTTGGCTTTGACTCTTGGAGGGTAGAGTAGTGTAGTTTCCATTTGGTTTCTTTGCTGTAATCAATGTCGGTGGTGACTACAAGTACCTCCATGGCCTAGGCTGCAGTTATTTTTGGAAGTTGTGGAATAGCTTTTCTGGGTGCTGGGATGACAAGCAGGCCAGTTCTTTGCTCTGTTGGGGGGTGCACATGGGTGTGTGGCACTTTGTTTTGTAGGGAATTGGGTCACTGGTGGAGGTGGCAGGCACTCGGTGGGCCAGTCTTCAGGCCAATGGGGGGCATGCATGTGTCTGGGTGTAGGACACCTTTGCTATGGAGGAGGAAGGGTTACTAGTGGTGGCAGTGGGACCCAGTCTGATGGGTCTCAGGTTCTGGGGAGCATACACATCAGCTCCCTCTTTCCTGGGGGCCTGTCTTCCCACTGTGCTGGACTGCTTGCACCCTGATAGGGCATTGTATAGGCTTGGGTGCTGTAATCATGACCACACTGCTGGGTTCAGCTGTTTTCTTGTTGCTTCAGCCTCAGGGTGGATGTGGTAGGATTTTGGTGAGGCCTCAGGTATGTGGAGATGCAGGGGCTATTGGGCCCCAGGGCAGGATGCACTCTGATGGTGGCTTCACTCTCAAGGTGGTGATGTTCTGTGGCAGCCTGAATAACTGAGTGTGTGTATGGAGGGGGAGTGTAAATTTCCTCTCCAGAATAATGCAGTCAGATGGACTCTAGGCAGCTCTTTACACCAGGCTTAGGACTAGCAAGGGCTATGGGGCTCTTGTGAAGCTAGGATACCAGGCATCTGTGGTGGAAATGCAGACTACTAAGGATCTCCTGTTTGCCCTTTTCTTAGGGTGGGGAGCCTCTCTTGACCCCAAGATGATCCTGGCCCATGTGGTTTGCTTCCTTCTTTATGCTGCCATTCTGAATCTCTGTGCTGCAGAAGGTCTTTGGCACTTCTTTGCTGAATTTCTGTGTTCTCCCCTAGATATTCCATTTGATGTGTTGTCATATGTTTGTTTTTGGATCTTTGTTGGGGGGCAAGTGTTGAGCACCTTTAGTCATCCATCTTGATGATTGTAGCGCTGTTTTTCAGATTGTATAAACAGCAGACTATTTGTTTGTACCCAAATGAGTCAAGGTAAGATCAGTTCTCCTCTTTAATTATTATTTTGAGGAACAGTTGGTTATTGTAAAATAGCAGAATATGTATCTACATGAAAATAGCTTATTTTTAAAAGGCCCTCTATCCTTAGATCTGACAGCCCCAGAGGATATTGGAATTCAGCACTAAAATTCCAAAGTCAAACTGTGTTCCTACTATTTATTTAGTGAAGATTTGGGGTTTCTCAGATATTATAGTTTCATTTTTCTTGTATCACATTCGACTAGGAATGTTCTCCTAATCTTATCTTTTAGAACTCATTATTATATTTGAATTTTGGAGAGTATTTATTAATTGAATTGAGGAAAAGGTAGCAGTTTTCGCGTAGTACATAGAAAATGTTAAAAATAAAAGGAACATTGAGAAAGGAAAGAAACACTATCTGTTGTGGCTTCAAGGCATTTTACTGTGAACATTTACAAGAACATGGTTGTCACGTAAAATAACCTTACTCTATGTGATTTCTTTTTAGCAGATGTGAGAGACATTCATGATAGAATGAATCCCTAAAGAAGAAATCATGTTAAATAATTTATTAGAGTCATTATTTTCATTGCCAATGGCTTATAAATGAAAAAAATCAATAAATTCATTTTATTTCAAGAAAAGATTATAAAACAGAATGTCATGGTCATGTAATGTTTGAAGATTGTTTATCCAGAGCATGAAGGACTGACCAGCTCCAGGTTAATATTGTTTCTGGAGTTCAGTGAGCATAAATTCTATAGAGCACAATAATTGATGAAAGGTGTTTTAGCATATTGTATATGTGATTGTATTTTCACCAATATCAGCACCATCTATGTAGTTGGCATCTCAGAGTCTCAGAAAGAAATGTTATGCTACAGTTTTTAGTTACTACAAAGTTTTTTGAAAGACCCCACAAAATAATGAGTTACTTTCATTAATTGATGTATTTACTGATTGATAATTTCTAAATTAAAGCTGAGTAAAAATAAAAAACCCCAACAAAGTGATAAGAAACCAATTCTTTATGAAATCATGGTAATAATTACCCTGATTGTGAGCAAACATTGTGCATATATGTTCACAATAGGACATTTTACAGCTCCCTATTTGTTCTGTAGAATATTATTAAAAGTAATAGTTAATCAACAATTTTTTAATGTTAGCATTTGATTAAGAGCAGGAATGATTAGTGCTATTGTTTCATAGAGACTCAGACATATCATTTAGGAAAGCCTAATTTACCTGACTTCATTGATCTTTTCCTTTCTTTTAAAAATTTTAAATGGAATCTCAAGTGAATAAATTAGTAAATTTATCATTTTCTCTACAATACTGTCATAAGGACAGTTTGATAAAATAGCTCATTATAGTCAATGGTATGAAATATGAGTTCCATCAGCATATTTTCATCAAATGCAGCTACAGAAATTAGTTTGCTATTATCAAGGACTGTGGAATGCAAAAATAAAATTAAGCATGCTATTATATTGGTTAAAATTGGGGATTGACCCAAGTGAATTAAAAAAAAAAGTCTTTTAGTGACAAAAATATCAAGAAAACCAAATGAATCATCAAAAATTAATTGACAAGTGGCAATCCTAGTCATATAATGAATATGTTTGAGATAAGTTGTCATCCCCTTCAAAGGTAGCCTTCAGGTCTACCTTTTTAGGCAGCCATGGTTCTAAAATGTAATTTTTTTTTTTTTTTTGAGATAGAGTTTCGCTCTTGTTGCCCAGGCTGGAGTACAATGGCACGATCTCAGCTCACGGCAACCTCTGCATCCCGGGTTCAAGCGCTTCTCCTGCCTCAGCCTCCCGAGTAGCTGGGATAACAGGCATGTGCCACCACACCCGGCTAATTTTTGTACTTTTAGTAGAGACGGGGTTTCTCTGTGTTGGTCAGGCTGGTCTCGAACTCCCAACCTCAGGTGATCCACCCGCCTCTGCCTCCCAAAGTGCTGGGATTACAGGTGTAAGCTACCGCGCCTGGTCTAAAATGTAATTTTAAAATCTTCTTTTGGTAAAGAAACTCAAAGCCTATACATAATAGGATTAGTTATTATTTATAATGGTTGTTTATGTGAATTAAGCAATTGGCAGTACCTATTGCATCTAGATTTTGAGGCTTCTTTCTTAAAGGAGACATTTAAAAAGGGGAGGCAGTAATGGAGAAGTAGTCTTGATTTTGACTGGTACGTACTTGGAATATGGTAAAAGTACATACATCTAGTATGACTGATGATTGCTAACAGCACATTTTATATCCATAAATATCTATGTCAGTTACTTATTGCTACAAAGTAGCAGATTGTCAATCACCTTAGAACTTTGTGGCATACAATAATAAGCATTTATTTAGCTCATGGGAATGTGGGTAGCTCCTGGAAATTGGGTGTTCTTGGCTGGGGTAGCTGGTTATGTTTATAAATTTCACATTCTCCTGGAGAATGAGCTTTCTAGCATGTTCTTATTGCAGCGGTAGAGACACATGAGAAGAAGTGAAAACATGTAACAACTCTTAAGGTCTAAGCTCAGAGATAGCTCACAGTTGTTTTTGAAATATTGGTCAAAGCAAATTATATGACCAAACCCAAAGTCAAGGAGTGGAGAAATACTGTACACTTTGAATGGGACAAAATGCAAAAATCACATGTCAAAATCACAGCATGGATATAGTGAGGGGGTGAAGAACTGGGGCTGGTGATGCAATTTACCACAACATCAATTCCTTTAAGGTAATAGTTTTTTTTAAAAAGCTACTTTATTGAGGTATGATTGATTCACAAAATGTTGTACATATTTTAATCTGTATAACTTGATGAGATTGGAGATAAATATATACCCCTAAAACTATCACCGCAGTCTATGCCATAGACCTCTTCATCACCTCCAAAAGTTTTCACCTGCTGCTTTCTTCCTCTCCTCCCCCTCTTCTTCCTCATCCTTCTTGGAATAACACTTAACATAAAATCTACCCTCTTAACCAGTTTTTAAGTATATAATACGATGTTTTTAAACTATAGGCACTATTGTATGGCAGATCTCTGGGAATTATTCATCTTGTATAATCAAAACTTCATCCCTTTGACTAATATCTCCCTGTTTCTCTCTCCCCCATCCCCTAGAAACCATCATTTCACTCTCTGCTTCTGTGAGTTTGACTGCTTTACAATCGTTATATAGGTGATATTATGTAGTATTTGTTCTTTGTGACTGGTTTATTTCACTTAGCAAAATGCTTCTCCTCCATGTTCACCTATACTGTTACAAATGGCAGGATTTTCATCTTTTTAAAGGCTGAATAATATTTCATTGTATGTATATACTACATTTTATCCATTAATCTGTTGAAGGACTTTTGTTTTGCTTCAATGCCTTGGCTTTTGTGAATATTGTTGCAATGGACATGAAAGTACACTATATCTTCACGATTCTGATTTCAATTCTTTTGGAAATACACTCAGAAGTGGGCTTGCTGGATCATATGATAGTTCTATTTTTAATATCTGAGGAAACTCTGTACTGTTTTCCATAGTGATGTCACCAACATACATTAGCATCAAAAGTATATAATGGTTCCCTTTGCTTCACATCCTTGCCAACGCTTCTTATCTTTTTAATTTTTTTAGTAATAGCCATCATAACAGGCATGAGGTGATATCTCATTGTGGTTTTGGTTTGCATTTTCCTGATGATTAGTGATGTTGAGCATGTTTTCATATACCTGTTGGCCATTAATTTGTATGTCTTCTTTGGAGAAATGTCTATTCAGTTCTTTCGATCACTTTATAATTGGGTTATTTATTTTCATGCTATTGAATTGCAAGACGAATTAATCAGAAAACACATCGAATCAATTCATCATGAAGACTAAGAAGATAAAAGGAGATAAAAAGTTGGTGTGTCTGTCCAGTTTTTTTCCACATACTTGTAGAGTTGTACAGTTGTAACCTGTAATTTAAATTCCTGGTGTATCAAAACTATAAATCAATCAACAGTAGAAACTAGAAAATAAAATATTTTTATAACATTTTGTGAAAAGCTTGACTATTTAGATAGGCTTACAAATAAAATTTTTTTATTATATCAAAAGGAAATTCACAGGCTGTTATTTGATTTAATTTTCCAACTTAGCTCCTCTAACCTGGTCCAAATGTACATGTGACAGATAAACTCTTGCAGAGAATAAATCATAAATAAAAGTGAAAATGAAAACATTTGTAGAGATACTTTGTTATTTAGTGAGCAGGAAACCTGACATCTCATCTGAAATCATGTCATATTTGAGTATAAAAAAGGTTACTCTATTTATTCTATATAAAAGCTAAGAAAGTAATGAGAGGAGAACAGAAGAATGAATCAAAAGAGGGAAAAATAGTAGAGGACCTAAGAGAAGGGGACAGGCAATAGCAAATACAGAGTAAATATTAGAAGAGTCCTGACAATTACAAGGATTTAGGGATTATGTGCCAAAGTTTTCTGATAGCAGTGAAAGGGAAGTTAGTATTAAAAAGTCAGAAGATAGACATAAAAGTCAAAATGTAATTTAGATTTTAGTATTTTGTAACGGCAACTTTGTGTCCTTATAAAAGCACGTCAGGCAGGGGATAGCTCAGTAGACTGGAATATGGGGTATTTTATGAAAATGTAAGCTAAGCATCATTGGACGCTAATGTTTTTAGGTGGGGAGGAGAGGAAGAAAGCAGCAGTTATTATGAAGACACATAAGCTTATACAGTTGAACTGTGAAGAGGCTTTTTGTATGAAGTAAAGTGGCAACGTAAGTCACAACAAAATAGAAGAATGTAGCCTATACAATAGTGTAAAGTTGAATATATATAAGCAACAGAGTGATCATAATATTTGTCTATATCTCAGTATATCGTCTATCTCCCTGGAAAGACAAAAGGCAGAAGTATAAGAATGTTGTGCTCAGTTTAACAGAAATATAAAGGTCTGAGTGTGACTTGAAAATTAAAAACAAAGGGAAATATTGGCAGATCTATAAAATATTGACTGACATGTATTATATGATTTAAAAAACTCAGAAGGAGTTGCTATAAGAATCTTTGTGAAATCAAAGGTCACTGAAGCAGTAGAGTGTTGGGGTTAGTAAAAGCATGAACTTAGAACATGAATAGAACTGGATTTAAATCTTAGGTTTGCTACTTCTTACCTAGCATGAGTGACATTGGGCCAGTAATTCAAATGCTTTGATTCTATTTTAGAGATAACTTCCCTCTAGGAGTTACTCCTGGAGTGAATAACATATTTATTTTTTATTTTATATTTTTTTGAGAAGGAACCTTGCTCTGTTAGCCCAGGCAGAAGTGCAGTGGCATGATCTTGGCTCACTGCAACCTGTGCCTCCTGAGTTCAAGCAATTCTCCTACCTCAGCCTCTTGAGTAGCTGAGATTACAGGTGTCCGCCACCACGCCCGGCTAATTTTTGTATTTTTACGAGAGATGGGGTTTCACCATGTTAACAGGCCAGGCTGGTCTTGAACTCCTGACCTCAGGTGATCTGCCCTCCTTGGCCTCCCAAAGTGCTGGGATTACAGGCGTGAGCCACCACACCTGGCCAAGGTTTCCTTTTAAAGTAATTTTTTAGTAAAGAAGAATCCATTTAATACAATAATAAGAAAAGGGCCGAGCATGGTGGCTCATGCCTATAATCCCAGCACTTTGGGAGGTTGAGGCAGGAGGATCGCTTAAGCTCAGGAGTTTAAGACCAGCCTGGGCAACATAGCAAAACCCTGTCTCTACTTAAAAAAAAAAAAAAAAAAAAAAAAAAAAGAAAAGGAAAATAAAGCTGGGTGTGGCACAGGCACCTGTGGTCCCAGCTACTCCTGAGGCTGAGGCAGGAGGATTGCTAAGCCAGTCCCCTAGTGCCAAAAAGGTTGGGGACCACTGTGCTACTGTATAGCGAATCACCCCCAAACTTAGTGGCTTAAAATGGCAATAAATATTTATTATCTTGCTCTTTCTGTGGGTCAGGAATTCAGAAATAATTTAGTTTGAATCTTCCGGCTTGGAGTCTCTCATGAAGTTTTAGTCAAGATGTTCCCTGTGTCTGCAGTTATCTAAAGCTTGACTGGAGCTGAAGGATACACTTCTGGTCAGGCTTTCCAGAGTGCCTCACTTATTAGGCTGACAAATTGTTGGTATGAGGGCTGTTTCTCTCCATATGGGCTTTCCCACACAGCTGCTTGAGTGTCCTTGTGACATGGCAGCTAACTTCCCCCCAGTGGAGCAATTGAAATAGAAAGAGCCAGGTGAGAGTAATTTTTAAATTTTTTTTTATGACCCAGCCTCAGAAATAACATGACATCACTTCTATCACATTCTATTTACTAGAAGAAAGTCATGAAATCTGGTCCTCATGCAAGTGGTGGAGAATCAAACTTTTATTTTTTTTTTTCAGATGGGGTTTTACTATGTTGCCCAGGCTTGACTCAAACTCCTGGCCTCAAGTGATTCTCCTGTGTTGGTCTCTCAAAGTCCTGGGATTACAGGCATGAGCCACTGTGCTTGGCATAGGCTCCTTTTCAAGAAAGGAGTTTCAATGAAATTACTAACAAATTTTAAATCCACCATGTGTATGAGTAACTGTAACTCATCTTTACCAGTTATTTATATTACCATAGTTGTATCAAAACCGTGCACACCCACACTTTTTGATTAATTCTAATTGGAGCAAGGAATGAATATTTTAAAATTGCTCCCCACTACATGACCACTGGGGTTGACACAGTTACAAGCTGAGTTTTATTACTGTACCCACATAGAGCAATATCCATATTGTGTTTATATACATCAGTGCATAGGAAGAGGCCACCCTTTTAAAATTTACGCAAGTGACAGGTTTATTGGCATCAAGCTTCAATTTAGAGTGCACTGGAGATTTCCAACTGCACTCATCCACCTTCACATGCGAAACTCTCAGAGAATCCATCAAATCCACAGATTTGTCTTTTTTATTTTATACTAAAAATATTGCTGGCATATGACTTGTAGTATATATTCCTGTAAGTTAATAAAATGAACATACCTACATCTAGATATTCGTTCCTGGATTTTGCCTAACTGGCTTCCATTTTGCGTAAATGTTAATGCTTGAATCTTAACCAACTACCTGCTGACCCTGTGCGTTTTCACTTTCGATGTTTTCAATGTTAATTTCACAAGCAAAGTACTCTTTGGAAATAAGTTGCATCTGTTTAATATACAGGGTTGTGGCAAAAAGGCAGAAGAGTTACTTTCCACTTGCTCGAGGGAGCAGGTAGCCAGCCAATATTACACGTCGTCCCACTGGCTGTGCGGGGCCCTGATGACAGGTCCCTATGAGCTTGTTGACAGCAGTTTCCTGCCAAGAAACAGCCCCCTATACCATATGTTTATTTTTGGCTGAGAAAATCCCTCAAGCAGTGAATTCTAACACTCTCGGGTACCTCTAATTATCTGAAGGGATACGGGAAAATTCTCAGTCTAGTTTCTAAAACTAACATCAATTTTAATTCATCTTTATTAAAATTTGTGAAACCAGTAATTGATTTCAGAGAAGAAGGATGATAGAGGGAGTAGCTGTTCAGAAATTGAAGAAAGAGTAGCTGGTCAATTCTAAAACTTGAGAATCAGGGCCTGAGAAGCAGAGAGACAAGTAGTCTTTTTTGAAAGTATTCAGATCTCAGACCTTGCTTGTCTTGGTCTCTGACATGCCTTTTGTGTTATATTCTGGAAAGTGCTAACTTCTCTAACCTGACCAGGAAGTTAGAAATAGTTCTATATGGCCGAGCACAGTGGCTCACACCTGTAATCCCAGCACTTTGGGAGGCTGAGGTGGGTAGATCACGAGGTCAGGAGATCAAGACCATCCTGACCAACACGGTGAAACCTTGTCTCTACTAAAAGTACAGAAAAATTAGCTGGGCCCGGTGGCACGCGCCTATAGTCCCAGCTACTCGGGAGGCTGAGGCAGGAGAATCTATTGAACCTGGGAGGTGGAGGTTGCCGTGAGCCGAGATCGTACCATTGCACTCCAGCCTGGGTGACAGAGAGAGACTCCATCTCAAAAACAAAAACAAAACAAAACAAAACAAAAAAAACAAAAAGAAATAGTTCTATATGGTCACTATTAAAATTTGAGCAATAAACTTTGTTTAATAGCTTTGCTTAATGTTGGTTTATGAATCAGGTATAATGTTGATTGATTTAATTCTGCAGCACAGTGGAAATTACGTTGAAATGTCCTTCTGATTTCATGTGTAAAAAGCGGGCAACTGCATGATAGAATTCAAGCTGAACTCCCTGTCTGTGTACTCACAAGCAAGCACTCTTACTGAGATGTAATATTAAATGTGCCTTACAGTTTTATAAATAGGTAGTGATGGAGGGATTTGATTTAAAAGAAATTTTGATTTTTAAATACATTTAAAAATGTATTTGTTACTATGTATTTCAAATATAAGGAGCTTACTCTCCACCTTTTATTTTATTTTATTTTTGAGATGGAGTCTTGCTGTGTTGCCCAGGCTGGAGTGCAGTGATGCAATCTCAGCTCATTGCAACTTCCACCTCCTGGATTCAAGTGATTCTCCTGCCTCAGCCTCCTGAGTAGCTAGGATTACAGGTGTCCGCAACCATGCCTGGTGAATTTTTGTATTTTTAGTAGATATGGGGCTTTGCCACATTGGCCTGGCTGGTCTGGAACTCCTGACCTCAAGTGATCCACCTGCCTCGGCCTACCAAAGTGCTGGGATTACAGGTGTAAGTGACTGCACCTGGCCTCCACCTTTTATTTATTAGAGACAGGGTCTTGCTGTGTCCTAGGCTGGCACTGAACTCCTGGACTCAAGTGATCCTTCTGCCTCAGTTTCCTGAGTAGGTGGGCTTACAAGTATGTGCCAATGTGCCCAGCTTCCACCTTTATTTATGTCCTAATTTAGATATGAATTTAATTAGATTTGTCCCTGACAGTTGATTTTGTATCTTCTTATTGTCCTTGTTAATGATATTAGAGAGATGATGATCCCCAAGAACATGTGAAATGGAAACATATTTCTTAACCATATTATTTTCTGAGAGCCTTGTGTATTAACATGTCTGATGCTACCTTCTGTTTCTTGAGAGGTTCTAAGAACCACTACCCTCATACTAAAACATGTCTCTTTTAATGCTCTCTGAAATCCCCCCAAATAACTTCTCACTAAAGGATCTCTTATTGTGTCACTGTTTAGGGCATTTAGATATTCAGGCAATGCACTAGAGTTTTTCAGTGTATTTGATTAATCCAGGATTGCCCAGAGATTTAAGGAAACAAGATTTAAAATAGATCTACTTTTAGTGTTTATTAGTCCATTTTCATGCTGCTGATAAAGACTACCCGAGACTGGACAATTTACAAAAGAGAGAGGTTTGACTGGACTCACAGTTCCACGTGTCTGAGAAAGCCTCACAATCATGGCAGAAGGCAAGGAAGAGCCAGTCATGTCTCACATGGATGGCAGCAGGCAAAGAAAGAGAGCTTGTGTAGGGGAATTCCTCTTTATAAAACCATCAGATCTTTTGAGACTTACTCACTATCATGAGAACAGCAGGGAAAGACTTGCCCCCATGATTCAATTACCTCCCACCAGGTCTCTCCTACAACAGCTGGGAATTCAAGTTGAGATTTGGGTGGGGACACAGCCAAACCATATCACAGTGTTACAAAAAAAAATACTATAAATCAGCATCACATTATTTACCTTTAAATGTAGGATGTTGGAAGACCTTAGACCTTCTATATTTCAGAGTTCTTGTACTCTTTTTTCACCATTCAGTGAGAAAAATGTTTGATGGATACTGTGTTGAGTACAATGGGAACTGTTTTATTGAGCAGGCAGCTCTGTCTAGAATCGTCACATTTCAGCCTTTGGATAGAGGCTCATGGACAGTGCTATTCTAGGTTGTAAAACCATATAGATTAGACCACCGTAGGCAGAGAGGATGCACCACATTTTGTTTATCCATTACTGATTGATGTTTTTTCCCCCCAGTTTTGGGCTCTTATTAATAATCCTGTTATTGCTGAGAGAGAAGGAAGAAAGGAACTAGCTAGGCAGATAGTTAGGGCAAAGAGTCCTTGGCAGAATTCCTTCTCTAACAAAGAGCAGCCTGGAAGATGGGGCTGCAAACGTAGATAAGGAGCAAGTTCCAACACAGAGAGGGACCCTCCTGTGTAATCAGCAATCTTCACATCCATTTGGTGGGCCCCAGTAAGCACAGTGGGCCCTAGTGAGCACTTTCCTTTCCTTTTTGGACATTCTCAGATAAGGAAGCTTGCATGAGGCAGGGGTGCCTGCATCTGCACCTGTAAGAGGAACTACTTTTGGCCAGGCATGTCCACCGTGGAGGATTCTGCCCCCTTAACACATGCACAGTAAAAAACATAAGCAACATGAAGTTACTTAGGCCAAGAACCTGCCTGTGCAATAAAAGGTTGGGGTAGGGGCTGCCAGAGACTCTCACCCTATGCAAATGACACACCTAGTTCTAACTGGTTTTTCGTGCCTTATGTAGATGAGATACCCCCTCCCCACTAGCTTGTTTATAAAAACCCTTGTATTTCACTGTGAAATGGCAACCATTTTTTGGGACCCCTCTCTGTGGCAGAGGGCTTTCTCTCTTTCTCTCACTTATTAAACGTCTGCTCTAACCTCACCCTTGGAGTGTCTGCATCCTTGATTTCCTTGGCCACAAGACAAAGAACTTTGGGTGGCACCCCAGACAATGAGATGGCTTCATTGCCATTTGGATAGAAGTCTTTTTTGCCTTTTATTTTCATTCTGAATTTTTACTGTGGCAAATTTCATATATACATAAACCAAAGTAAGCAAAACAATGTAATAAATTCTCCTGAGCCCATGATCCAGGTTTAACAATTATGCATTTATGGCCAATCTTGTTTCTTTTCTACCCCACTCACTTTCCCTACATCAGTATTATTTTCAAACAAATCTCTGACGTAATATCACTCTATTCATAAATATTACAGTACCTGTCTCTAAAAGATAAGCCCCTCTTCTAAAAACATTACTGTAGACCATCAGCATATTGAAAAAATTACACAGATTTTAAAAATTTCCTTATTAGATGTCATCTGTATCCACATTTCCAGTTTTCACATAAATATTATTAAGTTTGATGATTGCTTGAGTTAGTATCCAAATAAGATTCACATACTATAGGTGATTAGGATAAGTATTCTACATCTTTTTAAAATCCATAAGTTCCCCCTTCATCTCTGTCTCTTTCTCAGAATTTATTTGTCAAAGAAACTGGATCATTTATCTCTTAGAGTTTCCTGCAGTTTCACGTTCCCTGACTGCGTTCCTGTGGTGCAGTTTAACATGTTTCCATGTCCCCCGTATTTCCTATGAAATGGTAGTTGGACCTAGAGGTTTGATCAGATTCAAGTTTCATTTAAAAATTTTATATGGTGTGTTGTTTTCCCATCTGCAGGAACATAATGCATGATTTTCTCTTCGTTTTGTGATATTAGCCATCTTTGAACATCATTAATTGATCCTCAGTTCATTAAGAGTTGCAACAGAATGATATTTCAATGCCTCAATAAAGAGAAACTCCTCGCATCTACTATTTGGTTATCAAATGGCAGAGTTAATAAAAGAGAGGAGGATGAATTCTCATTTCTTTTTCTCATCAGTTTTCAAAATAGTAACTTTCTCTAGCATCCACAAAAGGTGACCAGTTCACATCTTTTTAAACATAATGCTCTAGATTTAAATTTAATTATGCTTGATCTAATTCCATTTTAATATTAGACACATATATAATAATTTATGTTTTGATTCAAATCTATTTCTATGTCCTCATAGTGGCTAAGCTTGCCCAGTACAACACAGAGGGACACCAACATCCTCTTCTGTAACCATTGTTTCATGCATCTCCCTTTGCTGGGACAAGGAAAACAATTGTGCAACCAACTGGGTATAGGGTAGAGGAAGTTGGCAGAAAATTCTGATCAAAACTGCTTTCAAAGGGTCATAAGAGAATTTTCTTAGGGTGATGAAACTCTTTTTTTTTTTTTTTGAGACAGGGTCTTGCTCTGTCACCCAGGCTGGAGTGCAGTGGCATGCTCACAGCTCACAGCAGCCTTGACCTCCTAGGGTCAAACAATCCTCCCACCTTAGCCACCCAAGCAGCTGGGCCCATGGGCACATGCTATTATGTCAGGCTAATTTTTCTATTTCTTGTAGAAATGCGGTTTCACAATGTTGCCCAGGCTGGTCTTGAACTCCCTGAGGTCAAGCAGTCTATCTGCTTCACTTCCCAAAGTGCTGGGATTAGACGCGTGAGCCACCATACTCAGCTGAAACTTTCTTACACCTTGGTTTTAGTGTTGTCTGTATTTGTCAAAACTTATAGAACTGTACATTTAAAAAGACGAATTACACCTAAAAGAAAATTATACCTATGTAAATTATACCTAAAAGAAAACCACAATTATTACTTGACTTTAACAATGCATCTAGTGTAATACATATTTTTTCCTATTTTCAATTTATTTGTAATGCTTAATTAAAAATTATTTTTAAAATGTTTGAATTTGAAAAAATACATTAATAACTTTAACTTGATTATGATGACTTTATGACTTCAGGTAAATTGCTTTTAAAAAACATATAATGTGAAAATTTAAGTTAGGCCGGGCACTGTGGCTCACGCCTATAATCCTAGCACTCTGGGAGGCCGAGGTGGGTGGATCACTTGAGGTCAGGAGTTCAAGACCAGCCTGGCCAACATGACAAAACCCTGTCTCTACTAAAAATACAAAAATTAGCTGGGTGCGGTGGCAAGTGCCTATAATGCCAGTTACTCAGGAGGCTGAGGCAGGAGAATCACTTAAACCCTGGAGGTGGAGGTTGCAGTGAGGCAAGATCACGCCACTGCATTCCAGCCTGGGTGACAGAACAAGACTCCATCTCAAAATTAAAAAAAAAAAGAAAAAAAAATTAAGTTAGCTAGGATTCAGTGGTTTCCAAATTTTGATGCACATTAGAATCAGTCAAGAACTTTTAAAATCTTTCTTCCTGGAATGTTTGGGAGTGGAAACCTGGCATTAGGATTTAAAAATGTTTCCCTGATGCTTCCCTGGTGATTCTAGGGAAATAGTCAAGGTTGAGAACTATTGCTATAGGGTCTTTTCTTGTTTTCAATTTTGGCTGTATGTTGGAATCACCTAAGGACTAAGGGGCCTTTAAAAGCTATTGATATATGGGCTGACCCTCCCCAAATTAGGATTTGTGCTGCCTGGGTTGGGGGCCTGAGTGCTGAGAGTTTAAAAAGCTCCCCAGGTATTTCTGCTATGCAACCAAAGTTGGGAACTACTGGTCTATACAGTGTACCTTCTAAAGCTATGTAGAATTTGCTGCTCCCCTGCCACTTCCATTGGTCCCCAGACTAATAGCATCAGTGTTACCTGGAAATATATTCTCAAATCTCACCCCAGACTTACTGAATGAAAAACTCAGAAGGTGGGGCCGAGAAATATTTGTGTTTCAAGCTCTCCACCTTCATCTGATATACAGTACAGTTTGAGAAGCACTGCTTGGGGAGATTTGGTGGCCATTTTTTAGTTATTGATGGCAGAATTGGACTCTCACTGCTAGAACCTGAGGGAGGCTCCTGTGTGGATTTGGCCATTCTAGCATCTGAAACCCAGGTCAAAGATACTGGAGAATTATTTTAATATTGTTTTGACATATTTGATTGCTCCTGTGCTGAAGTGGCATGAATGTTGTGGAGCTCTAAGAATGGCCATCCCATTCATGTAGAGTTATTTTAACAAACCAGGGAAAATGCAAACAATAGTATCTTTTAGATGCACTCAATTACACTGCATTGCTATTAATATGGCCCAGTTCTCTGTGATTCTGTTTTAGAATCTGCAGGTCTTTCTTTGTTAGATCTCCTTTGATTTTGTTTTTTTTTTTTTTTAAAGTGAAAGCTCATCTTGAAAGAGAACCACTTTTATAATAGAAAGTCCAGAGACTTCAGTGATTCTTTATCACAGTGTCCTCTCTTTTAGTATTGCTCAGATTTTAGGTTTTGTTGTGACAAGACTTCATAAAATGTTTAAAAAGATAATTTTCTTCAACTGCATTTTATACTGATTTAGAAAGACCTAAACACGTGCATCTTAGAAAACAGTGCTATATGAAGGATGTTTTTTTCTTCATATAGGCTGGATAAGACATGTATCCAATCACTTAAAGTCTATGGTACAGGGTGGCAGTGGAAACAGATAACTTTGAAATGGAGCTATCTTATGGTTTGTTGTAAACAGGCATAAAAAGTAAAATCGACTAAAAACTCTTAATAAATAAAACCCGAAGTGAAGATAAAAAATTTTAGTATCTCCAGTAATATCTGACACTTGAATTCTTTCTCCAACAATGGAAGACCTGCAAATTCTAAACAGAATCATACTTTACCTCTTTCTCTCCACTCAAATATTTTAATATTTCAAATATCTAAATAGAAGGATGAAGCAGTAAAACATTTTTCAAAGTAGTACCAGCCACCATGCTGTTTGCCACCTAAATATTTGAACTTGAGGTTTGAATTGCCCTAACATAATCTTATGCTTTTTTTTTTTTTGCATTTCATCTCAATCCAATCTGCTTGTTTGTAGATCAATAACAATAATTTGGGAATAATGATTTAAATAAGAAACTTCAGTGAATGAGCTGATGATTACAAGGAGATTAAGATTTTGAACTGTTACTATGAAACTTTTAAAAAAGATCCTGAAAGGTTAATGTGTAAAATTTAAATCCCCATGTCCTAAATAGTTTAATCTGAATATTACCTTTAGGTAAATAGGGGAAATAACAATTAGACTACTTTGTTAGAATAATTTGGGTTTGGGATGGCAGCTGGGGTTAAGAAATAGAATTGAATATTTAAAAAAGTTGGTGGTAGTAGAACTGAATTTAGGCTTGGTGTCTATGAGTCAGAAGAAAATCTTTGTTGGTGAAAGTTTCTATTCATTTCTTACACTGAAAGGATATTTTCCAAACTAAATTGTGGGCTGCAGTTGTCATAGAAACTAATAAGCACTTTGTAGCAACTTCGCAATACCTTCTCTGTAAGTGAGGCTCTAAGATAAGCTGCGCCAGCTGCAACTTTTGGAGGGCCTATGGGAGAATTCTCCAGGGTGGCTCTGGGCTTTGACACAGTGATGGGAATGTGGCTGTGTGAACAGCAAGTACAGGATTAGCTAAGTCTCTTGGGATGTGCACAACTAAGCAGCCTCATTCTGTAAACATGGAAACCAGTTTAAAAAGAACCAAAGGGATGCGTGTTCTCTTGTGAGAACTAAAATAAGGCCACTTACAGTGTTTGTATTGGGTGATACAGATTTTTGCTTAAATTTAACTTTAGACTTAACTTTTGCTGACTGACATGCTGACTTTGACCAAAGAATTTGGATTTTCCCGCTTTCTTTGTTGAGATATGGAAATTTATAGGTATTGCAAAGAAGGAAAAGGGTATGTGCACACATAAGGTGTGTATGGATATGTAGGTAGATGGAATATGCAGAGGGCTTGAAAATAAAGTACAAAAAAAAGAAGAGAATAACGGAAGAACTTGAGAATTATGACTTTAATCTCTTAGAATTTAATGGAAAGCTAAATTTAGCTAAACAGATATATGTTTATGGAAAACTGTGTTTATTTCACACGATTCCACCCGTTTTCAGATTCTTTAATTTCAACTTTTAATCTCTGTCTTTCATGAAGATAAAGTCTGTGCCTTTTAAATTTTTTGTGCCCATATGTTTATCAGATAATATTACGGCATATGAAAAGACTCAGCTACCAAATGCATGGAGTTTCGCTTGCAGAAAGAAAGCAGTGTTTTTTGGTGGGCTATTTTGTATTTTTACTTCAGAAAGAGTCTATATTGTATCTTTTGAACTTCCTAAAACCAAAAACTGCATTTCTGCCCTATTTCCTGGTGAGATAATAGATTACATTTACAAGGCTGGGGCTAGTTCCTTGCAAACATTTCTAACATTTTTAGGTCCTAGTTTTTCATGATCAGTGTGTCCCTTTTTATTATGCCACTAGTTTTGTGTCAGTAACGCATAAACCAAAGCCAAAAAGAAAAAATAACAACAACAAACTTCTATGAAATAAACTCCTGGGCCAGGTGCGGTGGCTCACGCCTGTAACCCAGCACTTTGGGAGGCCGAGGCGGGCGGATCACGAGGTCAGGAGATTGAGACCATCTTGGCTAACACGGTGAAACCCCGTCTCTACTAAAAATACAAAAAATTCGCCGGGCGCAGTGGCGGGCGCCTGTAGTCCCAGCTACTCGGGAGGCTGAGGCAGGAGACTGGCGTGAACTCGGGAGGCGGAGCTTGCAGTGAGTCGAGATAGCGCCACTGCAGTCCGGCCTGGGCGAAAGTGCGAGACTCCGTCTCCAAAAAAAAAAAAAAAAAAAAAAGAATGTCGACTCCTGAATTGTGTTGGAAAACAGGAGACATGTCTTTGCATCACGTATTTCAGCCTGTGAAAAACACTTGGCTTTTTTCCATTTTTGGCTTTTCACCTGGACTATTACATATGTACTACATATCTATTGATGAATAACAAACAAGTTACCCTGGAACTTAGCTTAAAACAATAAACATTTCTCATCTCACACAGGAAGTGACTTAGCTGGGTGGTTCTGACTTGGTCTCTCATAAGGTTGCTGTCAAGTTGTCTGCTGGGCTGAAGGACATTCTGGGACTAACGGATCTGCTTCTGTGTGGATGACAGGTTAGTGCTGGTTTTGGAAAGGAGGCCTCAGTCCTTGCCATGGGGACTCTCCATAGGGCTGATAGAGTGTCCTCATAACATGGCAGCTGGCTGCCCCCCAGAGCGAGTGATCCAGGAGAGAGCAAAGTAAAACCCACAATGTTCATGACCTAATGTAGGAAGTCACACAGTCATTTTCACAACATTCTCTGGTTACACAGATCAGACACATTTATTATATGACAAAAGGTGTGAATGTCAGGAGATGGGGATTGTTAAGAGCCATCATGGAGGCTGGTTACCACCACCACATAAATGTCCAAAAGTCATGAAGGAAAATGAGACTAGGGCTGTGGGTCTGGAATCTTCCAAAAGACTATAAAAGTAGATTTTCTCTATTTTAGGAAACATGCAATCTAATTATTTTAAGTATCATGTTTAGAATTTTGCACTCTTCTCTTGGCTTAAAAAAGAGAAGGGGATTGAGGACAGGTCTATAATTTTTAGGTCAAATCACATAAGGGTCAGAAAGGAACTAACACTCTACCACTGGTCAGGCACTTTACATGAATTCTGTCACACCTCACAACAGCCCTCGGAGGTGAGTGGTATTAGTCCCACTTGCAGATTCAAAAATTATGTTCCAGAGAAGTTTAGTAATTTTCTAATCGCCACACAGGTACTACGTAGTTGAGCCCTCATTCAAATCCTGGTGGCTTTGGTGCTAAAGTTTGTGAGTTTCTTATTACATCATACAGTAATGGGCAGTACACTCCAGGTGGGTGGGCGCCAGTGCCCGCCACCTTCACTGGTGAATACAGAGCACCTTGCATGCACATAATAGGCAACTTATAGATATTTGTTGAATATGTGAAATTAATTAATGTCTGTATATACTGAAATTACTACCTGAGATATTTATTTTGATCCCCAGAGTTGGTCTTTTAGATAAACTCAAGACTTCAGACTTAGTGGAATTATATTGCAGCACATTTGGAAAAGCAATCTGCTTAAAACTAGATGAAATGGCATGTACAAATGTGGCTAGTAGTGTCTGACAAATATTAGGTGCTCAAAGACTATTTTACTCTCCACTTTGCAATTGTGGAAATTTTGTTCAAGTCATTGCATAATTAAGAAAACTTACAAATTTTCAAAAATAATGAAAAAAAGAGAAACATCCTACTTTTCCATAAAAAGGAAAAATATGGATTCTGAAGACAGCTAACTTTGTCTGCAAAGAGCTGATTGATAAATGAGTGATTTAGCTGCTCCTAGAAAACAGTGAGCATTTGGTCTACTGGCGAGCCAACCTTGTCCTGAATTGCCTGTTTTGTTTTCCCTAACAACTTTTCTATATTTATCTCCTCCATCCTGCTTCTTCCCCCGGTTTAGCAATGTGATTTATGATGGGGTGTTTAGGAATCCCCCAAGGTGGCTTGGCCACTAGAGGGGCTTGAGACTAAAGGTCAGCAACATGGACAGTCCCAAGCCCAAATAAAAACTACGGACCAAGGCTTAGGTGAGTTCCCTCATTGGCAATGCTTCATGCATATTGTCACAGATAGTTGCCAAGAGAATGTGGTGTTGCCCTTGACTCCACTGCAAGGCTACAACTGGAGAGTCCGTGAGTGGGACTTGCCTGGATTCTTCTCCATGTGTCTCTTCTCTTGGTTGATTTTAATCTGCATCTTTTAACTCTAATAAAATACAACCTTAGTATAACAGCTTTCAGTGAGTCTGGTACGTCCTTCTAGTGAATTATTGAATCTGAGGGTTGTTTTGGGAACCCTGAACTTGTGGTTGGTGTCAGAAGTGAGGGTGGTCTTGGCGACTTCCCTAACCCCTGCAACTGATCATCCAATTGCACTTTTAAGAAAACCTGAACACCTTACAGTGGCCTTTGGGATCCAAAGCAGTAGTCTTTATCCACCTGTCTGACGTTATTTTGTACCACATTCATTCTCCCTCATTACCTCCGATCCCATTGTTCCTCCGTTTGGTTTTCAAACATGTCCGCAAGTGTCTTGGTACGTAGTTTCTTCTGTTGCATCTCTCTGGCTTCAGATATTTACGGGACTGATTGTTTTATTAAGGTATTAATTAAAATTATCACTTCTTCCAGTAAGTCCCATAGAAGGCAAAATCCTTGACTATTTTGTTCATTGTTGTGTCCAAGTGCTTAGAACAGCCACTAGCATGCATTGGGCATTCATTAAATATTTGTTAAAAGAGTCACAAAATGCATTTCCTTTTGAAAAAGCAGAGTAAATAAGCTGTCAGGTCAAGAAACTATTAGAAGCCATAGTGTATTTTATATTAAAAGATGTAAACAAACCACCTCTCAATATACTTGGACTTAAGCATAGCTGGTAGAGAATTGATAAATGAATCAATTTTCACTTGGTGGCTTACCTTAAGAGTTTCTCTAGCATTTTAATTAATGAGTTGGTAGAAAGATATGTACATCAAATTTTTAGATAAAAGAAAACAACACTTGAAAGGGTCAGAACAGGTAGAACAAAGGAACAGAGACTATTAAACATAAAATTGAATTAGGATAAATTTAAATTATCACATTCAATTTAAAAAATAAAGTTGGCTGGGGGCGGTGGCTCACACCTGTAATCCCAGTACTTTGAGAGGCCAAGGTGGGTGGATCACCTGAGGTCAGGAGTTCAAGACCAGCCTGGCCAACATCATGAAACCCCGTCTCTACTAAAAATACAAAAAATTAGCCGCGCATGGTGGCGGGCGCCTGTAGTCCCAGCTACGTGGGAGGCTGAGGCAGGAGAATCTCTTGAACTCGAGAGGTGGAGGTTGCAGTGAGCCGAGATTGCACAATTGCACTCCAACCTGGGTGACAAGAGAGAAACTGCATCTCAAAAAATAATAACAATAATAAAATAATAAAAAAATAAAGTTGAGGAAAAATCTTATAAGTCCCAATTCTGTAAAAATGGCTAAGGAAACTGGAGTTATTAAATTTAAAAAAGAGAAGATTTAGGTAGATACGATAATTTATATTTAAAAGCTATCAAGTGGAAGAGAGATTGGATTTATTTTGTGTAATTCTACAGATACTAATAAAACAAAGACTTGGAACTTTTGAGGAAAGATAGACTTTGATAAGGAAGAATATTCTGGCAGAGCTGTTCACAGTAAAATGGGGAGTGTGAGAAGGTACTGACCTATTTTGTTGCCATATAATGCATTTAAACCTTATCTAGGTAACCATTTGCTAGGTATACTGATGGAAAGATGAACTCCATGCTTGTTTTTTTTTTTGAGCCTTGCTCTGTCGCCCAGGCTGGAGTGCAGTGGCTCCATCTCGGCTCACTGCAAGCTCTGCCTCTCGGTTTCACGCCATTCTCCTGCCTCAGCCTCCCGTGTAGCTGGGACTACAGGCGCCCGCCACCACGTCCGGCTAATTTTTTTGTATTTTACTAGAGACGGGGTTTCACTGTGTTAGCCAGGATGGTCTCGATCTCCTGACCTTGTGATCTGCCCACTTTGGCCTCCTAAAGCGCTGGGATTACAGGCGTGAGCCACGGCACCCGGCCGAACTCCATGCTTTTTAAAGACCTTTACAGGTCTCTGAGTTCTTGTAGTTTAGGAAATCTAGGGACCATTTTCCAAGATCTTAGGGAATCCATGGATCAGATCCTTAAGACAAGATGATATGTCAAAGTCAATAATGGCAGATTCCTCAAAGGATAAATACTCTGTCCACAAATTCTTTGACATTCCTCTCAAAATAGAGGCCAGCCTTAGGGACTCATGTCTAACAGGTGGAATGCAGCGTGCTCCATGATTTGTGAGGCTAGAGAAGGTTAGAGAAGGTGAAATAGCTTTCATCTGACTTTTTCTTGGAACACTCTCCTTTGGAACCCAGCCTGTGTTCATGTCCAGAATTATATTTACTGAGTGACTTTGCCTAAGGCATTTAATTCTCTCAAATTTAGCAGTCACATGGCAAGATCACATGTTGGTATTTCCAGCCACGTCTCCAGCTAAGGTCTCAGCTGAGAGCCAGCATCAACTGCCTGGCATGTGAATGAGTAAGTGAGCCTTTAAATGGTTCTATTATCCAGCCTTTGAGCCACTCCAGCTGGGGCCATTTGGAGCAGAGACAAGATGGCACTATCAAGCCCTGCCAAAATTGCAGGATTGTTCTGTGTTTTAACCATTTTACCTTAGGTGAGGTATGGTGAGGCCAGGCAGAGATCAAGAAAGAGAAGCTGGAAAGAGTTTTACAATTTTGTTACATTCATTGTTCCCTGAGAACACAGTATGCCATGCAGGGCCACTCAGCAGCAGAAGCACTGGGATTGGTGGTGCACAGAGAGAGAGGGGAACTCTGGGAAAGTGCTTTTATTGCACTGTGGGGTTTCTGTGGGAGAAAAAAAGGTGAGATAGGGCAAGTAGGCTTTGGATAGGCCAGTTGAATATTAGGAATAAGTGGGCTGATTGAATTGAGGAATCAGGGGCCTCTGAGGCATAAAGACTGTCCTCAGTTTTCTGGTATGTGGTTCTGAGGTGGTTAGGATGGGTGTACAGTGGCCCAGAACGAGAGAGCCTAATAAGGGAGATGCTTGAAGATGGATATAATTGACTGCTCAAGAAGGGGAACTGACCAGCCTGTAGCCTGAGCCTCAAAACTGGGCTAAGACAGCATTTATAAATCTATAATGCAGTGAGCAAAATAAATATTGGCATCATTTTAAGCCATCACTTTGAGTAGTGTATTATGTATCAATAGATAATTGGAGCTTTCTGACTGTTGGTAGTTGTAGAAACTCACAAGATGAAGAGTCTGTTGTGCTCTTCTAGACATAGAGAGAATGTAATATCCCTGTCAGCTTCTAGGACCCTTCTGGGTCCCTGAGTTAGAGTTCTTCCCTGGATATGATTTACTAAGTCATCACATGGGCCCTAAAGCCTGGCCCAAACTGCGGCTCTTGTGAAGCCCCGAGGATGGGCTTTCTGTAGGTCTTCATGGGACAGCAGTGAGAGAGGAGCTTCCTGGATGTCAGAGAAAGAAGGTCTGTCTTAGCTCACTCTCAAGAGTAAAGGTTTCTGTCTTAGTTTGGGTTCACCTCAATGTAAAGCTTGAGAAATGAATTTGGGTGCTTATAATTTATTTGGGGAGGATCCCAGAAAGCAGTAGTGAGGGTATGAGAAGAGTTAGACAAGGATGGAGGAAAACCCAATGTAAGGGAGTGAAACAAAGACTTGATTCTCCTGGGGTCTTCTGAGAAGCATACTTTGCAGAAGCATCCACCTGTAGGATACGAGTCAGAGACATTTATCTGGCCCCCCTCATTTCCCCGTAGGTTGAAGGCTATCTCTGAGAGCAACCTTTGAACTATGCTTGTCCTTGGTCTGAGCAGGCTTCTATGGCATTGCATCAGAAAAGGCCTTTTGGCAGAAAGCAGAAAGATGGGTGACATGCCCTTGATGCCCTCAACCTGAGGGTAGTCTGAGCTCATGTGGATTTTTGCTAAGGCTGAAATTCAAGGTGTCCAGGGTGATGTGCTATGAAACACCGAGGTATCTGCCACAAAGTCAGGATAGGAAAATTTACTAAAATTGGAGTTAAAGGTCTGAGTTCCAGACCATAATTATACTAAGCAACCATGGCCAAGGCACTTAGCTTGCAGATTTAATTCTCTCATATATAAAATGAGGATAACATTATTAGGTGACATTTTTGTGGAAGATACAAAGCCAGGGACAGTGAGTCACAAGGAGAGGTGAACTGGCTGGCTGTCAAGGGGCCTCCGGAGGAGGTGTTACCATGGGGCATTTGCCATAACCTATGGCGACTAGGGTTTTCTGTATTCTCAGAGTGGCATCTTCTTTCAAGACAAGGCTTGTAACCAAATTTGTAAAGATTGACCTATAAATCAGCATAAAAGTTTATTACTTTAGAATGATAAATGTGAAAGTCACTGAGCATGAACAGTGCTATTCTTTGGCTAGGCCATACTGTCTTTGAAGGCAAGGAATTTTGGAAGTTCAAAGTCAGAAAGTTATTAAGTGAGAATAGGATCCAAATAAAGATAATTAGTTATGTGGTTGAATTTTGGAGCACCAGGGTAAGGGTAGCCTGATGTATCGTTTTCTATTACAGGAATATTCCTCTCCCTTGAATAGGCATCAGCTTCTCTGACTTGTCCAGTGATTTTTTTTATAAAGTAATTATTTATTATAAAGTCATTATAATGACTGAGGTATTGGCAAATATCTTCAAACTTGTCTTATGCGTGTCTGGGATTCAACTGACTTATAAATCAACTTTGCATGTCTCTATCACTATGCATTGTATTGATTTTGCAGTGCAACTCTCAGAGGGAAAGGGTTTTTTTTCTTTTTTCTCTTTTTTTTTTTTAACCAAACTCTTCAGGGGACAACTCATCCACTATACTGCCTGACAGGGTTATTGTAGAGATTAAAGGACATTGTTAAACTGATAAATACTGTGAGTTACTCTTGACATTATTAGATCATGGACTCCAGTAGGCAGTAATGGGCTCTGGTAAGTAGAAGAAAAGAGTTTTATAACCAATGAAATAGAAAAGTATTCTTAAACATTTTTTTTCATTGAAGAGTTAAAGGACTTTTGTAATCATGAATAAAAGAGGTTGTGTTATTTTTTCATTAGCCGAATACTGCACTTAAAACTAGACTACTGTTGATCAAATTATAAACTGATATCCAAAGCACTGTGACGGATTTTATTAGGAATTGTCAAATACAGTGAAGGGGGAAACGACATGTATAAGTCTGGGTTTATGGAACATAAAATATAATTTTTAACCTATTGGAGATAGACTAATTTTTAAAAGCTCAGTGTAAGAGGAACATTACTAACCTGGAAACTGGGAGACTAGAGCACTTGCCTTGTTCTGCTGACTAAAGAGCTGTATGACTTTGGCCAATTGTCTCATGGGAACTCAAGTTTTCTCAACAGTAAAAAGAGGACTAGTTTAGCTAATTCTATGTGCATTTTAGCTCTAAAACTTTCTGAAACAAGTAAAGATTCTTGCGGGTAGGAGCAATAGGAGTCAGATAACTTTAAAAAAGTGTGAATATTTTAGAGGAAAGTAAGAGATGGGAAGAGCTTCAATTGTTGTAAAAGGGAAATTGCTAACCTGTATTCCAGAAAGTTGCAGTCTAACATTTTCAATTTTCTGACACTAAAATACAGAGATAATACTTGAAGAAAAGTTCATAGGAAGTCCCTAATTATGGTGACCAGCCATCCAAGTTTGCCTGGCACTAAGAAATTTCTCAGAAAGCAGGACTTCCTCTATTAAATTGGGGAAAGTCCTGAGCAAAACAGGATGAATCAGTTTCTTCCTTACTCCTAACATGCAGTCTGTGTTATTTCAGTATAGCTTCCAAACTGCCCCCTATGATGATGGCAGCCAAGTGGTAAGAAAAGTTGCTACTAATAAACTTTAAACCCTACAAATGGTGCTTCTGAAAGGCATATAATACTTAGGTGATGAATAGAGTTTTAAAGTCACAAGCTGGGGAATGTGCATAAAGGAAAGCAGACTAAGAGACAAGAGGCTAGAAACAAGCTTTTTTCCCAGTGTTCTGTATCCAGTAATTTGTTCATTCATATCTTCAGTGTTGTGAGTATACCCTCTGTGTGAAATTCAGTGCTTGTTGCTGGAAATGAAAACAAATGAACAAAAAATTCATCTCTCATGAAATTTATTTTAATCTACCTTGTTGTTATTAAATGTCTCTTCCCATTCGTCTTCCAGAGCACTGTCCTGTAAGTACTCACACATCTCGGTTCTGAGTCCAGGGCCTAGTACTTGGCAGGCACTTGATAACTATTTATTGAATTGAATTTCTGTTGTTCCCTTTGTTCTTCTACCTTTTAAAAAAGAAACTCTCTTTTCCCTTCTTTGTCTCAAATAATTCCACTAATATTTTTTCTCCAGGACTCAAAGCACTTGGCTAACATTTTCTGAAATCTTTATAGCCTGTCTCTGAAATAGGTAAGAAGTACAGTGATAGCAATTGTACCTATCACTGGCTATGGTCTCTCTTGGTTCTCTTATATCCTATTACTGATGGTTCATTTGAGCTTCCACAGAAGGTCAAGACACAGTTTAATAGTTCTCATGGCTCATTTTGGGCATCTGCAGGGCAGCAGACTCAGAAAAATATGTGGACTTCAAAGGTACTTATCAGAGGAAATTCAGATCAAAGCAAATAGCACGGTAAATACACCTAGTGTGGGGCTCATGTTCTACAGCACAGGGCCTATAAAGGTCTCCTGAGGACGTAAGCCAGAAACAGCCACCTGGAGTTGTAATTTTCCAGTCCTTCTGGAGATTTAGGTGAGGTCATTGCTGTGGATTCCATTTTGAAGTTTGGCAGCAGGAAGTGATCTTGGGATTTAACTCTGTCCGAGTGTCACTACACTGAAAATAGGACAGAATAATAAGACATTTATGACAAGGCTATTTGCTTTTTGCATAATGTATGGAATTGAAAAGCTAAAAATATTACTAAATTTAAAAAATCCCTAATTAATTCCTATCACATTCCAGGGAGAAGATGAGGGTTACGCTAGTTTTTCTTTTTTTATAGAAAGGACAATTGGATTTTTTAAGTAACTATTAAGGTTCACACATCAAATTAACAGCAATATACTCACATAGACATCTAATGTGACCACCACAAAACATTTCTTGGTATCAATGGGTTGTGCATGTTTGAAACTATCTAAATTGTTGGACTTCGCTCAGATTCTAGGATTACAAGCCGTATAGTAGGTGTGCTGTTTAATTTAATTTAATTATCTTCAATCAGTGTGACCTGGTATTTGCATTATTAATAGCCTTTATGTTTAGATCTGTCTGGTTGCTCCAATTTAGACAGACAATTTGTGAGTAGATACGCCTTTCTGCAATTGGATAAACTCCTGCACATGGGTAAGAAATGTCTTAAATTTGGAAATAAGCAATTGGAAAATTAGTTATCTTGTTAACAAGGCAGCCAGTCCTTCCTTAAGTGTGTGTTTACATGCATCTGAGTGTCTGTCTGTCTGTGTGTTATCTACCTGATTTTATTACAGATCATCAGTAACTCTTAAAAAAGAAAAAAAAAACAGAACTGTTTATAATTCTGCAGGGTCTTGATAAGAAAAATGCAGTAGGAAGGAGTTAGCTCAGTTAGTAATTCTCTTTCACTACACTTTGGAGATATACATAATTAAAACAAGTCTGTCTGTCTATCTGTCACCTACCTGTCTATCTATCTATCCATCTATCTATAATCTATCTGTCAATCAAGGAGTTAATATATTCATGTGGTTCAAAAATCACAAAGCAAGGCCAGGTGTAGTGGTTCATGCCTGTAATCTCAGCACTTTGGGAGGCTGAGACGGGTGGATCACTTGAGGTCAGCAGTTTGAGACCAGCCAGCCAACATGGTCAACCGCCCCCGCCCGGCATCGCTACTAAAGTTACAAAACTCAGCTGGGCATGGTGGTGCGTGCCTGTAGTCCCAGCTATTCAGGAGGCTGAGGCACGAGAATCTCTTGAGCCCAGGAGGTGGAGGTTGTAGTGAGCTAAAGTGGCGCCACTGCACTCCAGCCTGGGCAACAGAGAGAGACTCTGTCTAAAAAAAAACAAAAAACAAAAACAAAAAAAACTCACAAAGTATAAAATAAAGTTCATAGTTACAAGTCTCTCTCCTATTTCTTGTTACCCCTCTGCCAAGACACTGCAGTCATACATAATGATTCTTCTTAATTTCTTGCGTCCAGATTTTCAGTTTAAAAAATTTATTTAAAAGCCAATTAAAATATGGCTTCTTTCCTTCTTTCTTTTACAAAAAGGTAACATATTACAGACACTCTTTTGCAGTTTCTTCACCTAACAAAGTGCTGTGTAATGGTGATCTTGCCTTAGCAGCACATAGACAGCTTCCTCTTTTTTACCTAGCTTCATGGTACTTCATTTTATAGGTGAATGTTTTTCAAATTTTAATATATATCAAAGTTACATAGAGGGCTTGTTAAAATACAGATTGCTGAGCTCTACCCTCAAGTGTGAGAATTTGCATTTCTGATAAATTCCCGGGAGATGCTGATGCTGTTAGTCTGAGGACCATACTTTGAGAACCACTGCTCTAGATATATTATAATATGTTTAGCCTGATGATAGACAACAGAGATTTCTCCAACCTTTTGCTACTACAAACTATGAAGGAATGAATATTCTTATTCATATAACCTTTCAAACTAGTATAGGAGTTTTTGTAGGATAAATTTCTAAAAGTGGATTTTCTGGTCCAAGTGTTACATATATTTGTAATCTTGATACAAATTTCCACTATAGTGTCAAATTGGTGGTGATTCCAATGTACACTTCTACCAACAATATATAAAAGTGCCTATTATACCATACCAAAAAAGCTTATTATAAAAACTATATCTGCCAGTCTAATAGATAAAAAATGGTTTTAATTTGCATTTACCTTTTCATGTAATGGAGAATTATTTGTATTTGTTTTTTGAAATTTACTTTCTGGAGTAAGTTTCCTAATTTTTCTAGAATTCCAGTTTCTTTATTTGTAAAATGAGAATATTGGTAATTTTTAGGAGTTAGGCAGTTCAAACTGCTGTGGCCTCAGGACTTTATTTTTGGTCCCAAGTAAGTGAATGAATTCTACTTCATCTCATTACACAATTTCATTTATTTGTCCATTTATTTACTCATTAATCATTCAGTATCTATAATATGCTAAGTACAGGACATAAAGAGATGTAAACCTTATTTTTGAGGCATTTACTGTCTACTAGAGGAGACCAACATGCAAATGGTTATGTTACAATAAAATGATGGCTGTTAGGATGGAGAAAAGAGACAGAAACAAGGGGATGCAGGTCAAAAGCAACACAGGTTTATTGGACGAAGAAACCTGTGGAGGGGGACACCAGCTATGTGGCTGGAGCTCGAGCTCCTTTTACAGACTGGGGCAGTTACAGGTCTAGCTGGGAGAGGTGGAATTGTTGCAAAATGGGATGGGCGGTGTGGTTAGCTGCTGATAAGGGAAGAATTTCCTATGGCCAGGCAGTTGGGCCTGAGACCTGCCCGACAATGTGTTTCCCACTGCTGGGAAATTTCCACTCTGGCCAGGGTGTACAAAACGGTGGGAGGTTGACAAAATGGCGCAGCTTGGGCTAACAATGGCTGTAACAAAGGTCCCTACAAAGCCCGGGGAAATGAAAACCTAATTGTCTCTGGGGGAATCAGGGAAAGCCTCATGCAAAAGATAGCTTTCAAGTGACACTTAATGATAAGGAGGCGTCTGCCAGGTGGACAAGTGGAGGAGGGTATCCAAGGCAGAAGAACAGCTTATGCAAAACCAAAGCAGCATGGGGAAATATGGGTATTCAGGGAACTAATGTAACATTGATTCTTGAACAGAAGGGATGGGAGAAGGGCAACTCTGGTTTTCTAGTTCCCATTTGGGGTGGGAAAATGGTCTCAATTCCTTCAAATTGGCTCGTTCCAAACCCCAGACTATAATATAAATGTTTCCCTCCTATTTCCAGTAACCAATTTTCTCTCTATTAGATCTCTCATCTAGTCCTCTTTTGACCATGGCATTTGTGGTTTGAACTCTTCTTTGTCTCAAATGAAGATTTATTTGAGGCCTTGCTGCATGAGCTTGCCAATTTAATGTTCCATCCTCTGCCACATAATTCTTAATGAGAGAGTCAGAGGTTAATAGAAAAATAACATAGAAAGGAATATATCTTATGCTATAATTTTAAGAGTGTATATTCTCAAGGACTATTTGTGCAAATGGGGAGATGCTCAGAACATATTATACAGAAAAGAGAGAGGATGCACAATGTCTAATGATAAAGCAAGAGTTGTGTTTGTTATTTTTCATATATAAATCAGTCTATCAATCATCTATCTTATTTATTTGGCTATAAAATTCTATATTTTTTAAAATTAATATATTCTGATATATTTCTACATTATTAAAACTCTTCATAGACAACACATTTAGGCTGCCTTGACTGTCATCCTTGCACCATTTGGTGGATGACCACAACTTGGTTCTTTATTCTTCTATTTTTAGACATTTGGGTTTGTGCATTTTATTCATATAAGCAGAGATAAAAGAAAGAAATTATTAACAAAGTTTGTCTTAGTCCATTTTCTGAGCTGCACACAGGTCTACTTGGGCCACAGCTGGGGTGGCTGAGGAGCACTGTGCTGAAATGCAGAGAGCAAGGTGGCCCTGGTCAGTAGAAGGTGCCCTCAGCCATATCCTGAAACCATTCTGCCCTTTTGGAGCTCTAGGCCCATTATGAGAGGAGCAGCCTTGAAGATCTCCACAATACCTTTGAGGTTATTCTCCCATTGTCTTGATGAATGACATCTGGCTTCTCTCCAGTTATACTAATCCCCTCATCGAAAGGTTGCTTGGCCACACCATTGCATGCTTTACATTCTTTTTGTGGACAGGCTACAAATTTTTCAAATATTTATATTCTGTTTCCCTTTTAATTATAAATTCCATCTTTAAATACTTTCTCTTTTCTCTCATTTCACTGTATATAATTAAAAGAAGCCATGCAGCACTTTCAATATTTTGCTCAGAAATTTCTTCTGCCAGATATCCTAGTTCATTGCTCTAAAGTTCTGCTTTCCATAAAGCCCTTGGGCATGAACAATTCAGCCAAGTTCTTGGCTATTTTTTTTTTTTTTTAACAAGAATGGCCTGTACTCCAGTTTCCAATACCTTGTTTCTGTTCCTCATTTTTGTGTGAGACCTTATCAGAATTGCCTTTACCATTCATACTTTGGCCAGCTTCCTGGTCACAATGACTTAGTAATGTCTAAGAAGTTTCAGACTTTCCCTACATTGCCTGTTTTCTTCTGAGCCCTCACTAGAATGATACTTAAAGCTCTGTTTATGACAAAATAGGCTTTTTCTAGCCTGCTCCTCCAAATTCTTCCAGCCTCTGCCTATTACCTAGTTCCAAAGTTGCTTAACACATTTTCAGGTATTTGTTAAAGCAACAGCCCACTTCTCCTGCACCAATTTTCTGTCTTAGTCTGTTTTGTGCTGCTGTAAGAGAATACTGCAGACTGGGTAATTAATAAAGAACATAAATTTATTGGTTCACAGTTCTGGAGGCTGGGAAGTCCAATATCAAGGTGCTGGCATCTGGTGAGGGCCTACTTGCTGTGTCCTAATGTGGCAGAAGGCATTACATGGCCAAAGGGCAAAGTGGGTGAGAAACAGCAAGTGGAGGATGAAACTACTCCTGTAATAATGAACTCATTTCCATGATGATGACATTAGTCCATTTGTAAGGGCGGAGCCTTTATGACCTACACACTTCTTAAAGGTCTCACTTTTTAATACTATTACAATGGCAACTAAATTTTAACATGAGTTTTGGAGGGGATAAACATGCAAACCATAACTGAATTTATCTTGGATAATGGGTTAATGGGCAAAGATGATCTCTGTAGTTAATTAAGAAAAGCCAAAAAAAGCCTGGTATAAGAAAGATATTTTGGCTATAGAAGCATCAATGAATAATGGAAACAGTGATATTTCTCATCTATTTAGCATTGTACCAGCATCGTGTTAAGAGTCTAATGTGTTTTAGATTTGGGCTGCTTAGTTCTCCAAAGACCACACTATGAAATCTATGCTATTATCAACTTAAACTTCAGCCCCTCTACCCAGTCCTTCCACCCTAGGTTTGGGGGAGCATGCACTGAAAGCCCCAACCCTCTAATTATACCTTGGTCTATCTAGTGACCAGCCTCCCTTCTGAGGCTATCTAGGAAGCCCCAGCTACCAATCATCTCATTAACATACACAACATACTCTTATGACACTGAAGATTCCAAGAGTTTTAGGTTCTATAAGTCAGGAAACTGGACAAAGAAAAAATACATACAGTCATGTGTTCCTTAAGGATGGGGATACATTCCGAGAAATGTGTTGTTAGGTGATTCTTCATTGTGCAAACATCATAGAGTGTACTCACACAAACCTCAATGGTATAGCCTACTTCACAGCTAGGTTCTATGGTATGGACTATTGCTCCTAGGCTACAAACCTGTATAGCATGTTACTATACTAAATTCTACAGGCAACTTTAACACGATGATAAGTATTTGTGTATCTAAATATATCTCAACATAGAAAAGGTACAGTAAAAATATGCTGTAGAAGATACAAAAAATGGTACACTTGTCTAGGGCATTTACTATGAATGAAGCTTGCAGGACTGGAAGTTATTCTGAGTGAGTCAGTGAGGGAGTGGTGAGTGAATGTGAAGGCCTAGGACATTACTGTACACTACTGTGGACTTTATAAACACTGTCCACTTAGGCTACACTAAATGTATTTTTTAAAATTTTCTTTTTTAATATTAAACTTAGCTTTCTGAAACATTTTTACTTTATAAACTTTTAAGTTTTTAAAAAACTTTTTGTTTCTTTTGTTATAACACTTAGCTTAAAACACAAATACATTGTACAGCTGTACAGAAATTTTTCTTTATATTTGTATTCTATAAGCTTTTTTTAAATTTTTTAATTTTTAGAAAACTTTTTAACATTTTTTGTTAGAAACTAAGCCATAAACATACACACTATCCTAGGCCTACACAGGGTCAGGATCACCAATATCACTGTCTTCCACCTCCACACCTTGTCTCACTGGAAGGTCTTTTGGTATAATAGCATATATGGAGCTGTCATTTCCTATGATAACAGTGCCTTCTTCTGTAATACCTCCTGAAGGACCTGCTTGAGGCTGTTTTACATCTAACTTTTTAAAAACCATAAGTAGAAGGAGTATACTGTAAGATAACAATAAAAAGTATACTGTAGCAAATACATAAACCAGTAACATAGTCACTTATTATTAATTACTGTACATAATTGTATGCACTAGACTTTTATATGACTGGCAGCACAGATTTGTTTACACCAGTATCACTACAAATATGTGAGGAGTGTGTTGTGCTATCATTTTATGACAGCTATGATATCACTAGGCAACAGGAAATTTTTGCTTTATTACAGTCTTATGGGACCACCATTAAATATGCAGTTCATCACCAAAATGTCATTAGACAGAGGATGATTGTGTTTCACAGTATCACAACTACCTTTCCCCAGGTGACTTAGATAAGACTCAGAGATGAACCCCTTGTTTACCCAGGACAAGGTCATGTACAGAACCTCCAAATTTTCATTCTTTATCTCACAAATGATTAGCTAAAATATTTTTCCCTATTGACCAAACTGAGAACATGCCCATTAATTTGACTTGACCAAATTTTGATCAGGGTTCTCTCCTTCCCCCAGACCCTGAACTTTGGCCTACCCTTGAGCACTGGAACATGAAACAACCCCTGCTTAATTGACCTTCCTGAGAATCAGCTTACTTCAGGAAAACTCATTCCCTGATCAACTGTTGAATCAGGCCATGCATCGATCCCATGTCTCCACAACTGGTTCTTTCTAGTGTTATTTACTCCTCCTTAGAAAAGAAACACCCCTTTCTGCCAGACCTTTGGGATTCTTGCAGATCTCATAATCAGAGCATTCTTCCTATTGCAATAGTTCTCCCTCCTTATGCAATAGTCCTTCTCCCCTTATTGCAATAATCTTTAAATAAGGTCTTTTCTTACCTAAGTCTGGATTTTTATTTTTAATATACTTTCTCTAGAGCAGTTTTGGGTTCATGGCAAAATTGAATGGAAAGTACAGAGATTTCTAGTATAGTTCCTGTCCCCACACAGGTATAGAAGCTTCTCACATTATCCACATCCCCCACCAGAGTGGTACATTTATACCACTTGATGAACCCACATTTACACATCTTCACCCAAAGTCCATAGTTTATATTAGGGTTCACTGTTGGTGTTGTACATTCTATGTGTTTGAAAAAATGTATAGTGACCAAATAAGTCCATAGTTTTACCTTTTCCAGTATATAATATATTTGGAATCATACAGTATGTAGTTTTTTCCCATTTGCTTCTTTCATGAGTAATATGCATTTAAGTTTCATCCATATATTTTCATGGCTTGATAACTCATTTCTCTTTAGTGCTGAATAATATTCCATTGTCTGGGTGTAGTAGAGTTTATTCATCCATTCACTTACTGAAGGGCATCTTGGCTATTTCCAAGTTTTGACAATTATGAATAAAGCTGCTATAAACATCCATGTGCAGGTTTTTCTGTGAACATAAGTTTTCAATTCCTTTGGGTAAATACCAAGAAGCATAATTGCTGAATTGTATGATAAGAGTATGTTTAGTTTTGTAAGAAACCACCAAACTGTCTTCCAAAATGGTTATACCATTTTGCATTTCCACCATCACTGAGAGTTTCTGTTGCTCCACATCCTCGTCAGCATTTGATGTTGCCAGTGTTCTGGATTATGGACATTCTAATAGGTGTATAGTAGTAACTTATATTGTTTTAATTTGCATTTTCCTGATAACATATGATGTGGAGCATTTTTTCATATGCTTATTTACCACCTGTAAATCTTTGATGAGGTGCCTGTTAAGGTATTTGGCCATTTAAAAAATCAGATTGTTTGAGTTCTTTGTTGAGTTTTAAGAGTTATTTGTATATTTTGGACAACAGTCTTTTATCAGATATGTCTTTTGCAACTATTTAATTCCAGCCTGTGGCTTGTCTTTGCATTTTCTTGATGAATTTGTTTTTCACTTGATAGATTTTTTAGAAAAAAATTGTAAAAAACTTTGAAATGGCAAAACAAAAAAGATTGTCTTGCTAGTGCACTTTTCAGAATTATCTTTTTTTCATTGTCTTTGAGCTAATTTGCCATGTTGTAAGCTTTAGAATACCAATAATCATGGTTCTTCTCCTTAGAAATGCAAATAAACTGCATCCAAAATGTAATTGATTATTGCCCAAGGATAGATAGACCCGTGTGCTTCCACTTGTAAAATTCAATTTAGTATTCTTTATTGCCTAGATGTGTATGGTTCTTTGAATTATCTTTTGAACTGGTTATAACATCTTACTGGTTCTCTCATTAATTAATGCATTAAATAAAATCTTTGATACATATTTATTTTTGTATTCATTTGTATAAGCATCATGATTCTACCTTTTTTAAAAAAATTCTTTAACATATAGAGAAGTTGGTATACCTTGGGCTACAGAGGTAGTGGAGAATTGTCTCAGATACAGGACTCTTGGGCCACAAATCAAATGCTCTTGCTTGCCATGTTATACTTGGAAGCAAAAAGTTAAAATAGAGAAGCAGAAGCATGTTGCCTATTAGGACCAATGTGCGAATAGTTAAAGCCATTGTTTACTATGAGGAACTCCAATTGAAAATAAAAATGAATAAATAAGTTCATTTAGAAAAAGCTGAAAACCTACATTTCACCTAGAGTAGGTTCTGCCAAAAAGCCTCTACTAGCATTTGGGAATCAAAGCAATTAGCAGAGAAATTAGGCTGCTCTTCTGGGCTTAAGGACATTCCCAAAGCTAACTCTGATTATGGAATTCTTAATTAACATTCTGAGAGGGTGGTCACATGGGGCTCTGTGCCCAGGGTGCCTTAGCAGTTGCTTTGTTTGAACGAAGTCCCCTAGTGTTAACAGTTGGATATCTGCAGATTAAGCGCAGACAATACTTGGACAGACAATTGAAAAAGTAATTTTTTGATGCTTTCCCCAGCTGCTGCTGAAAGATTAGCTGGGATGTTATCCAGGTTCCTTCACTGTAGCTGATAAAACTTTCTGAGAGAAGCACATGAGTTTCTACATTATTGTTGATTTAGCTGAGGAAAGAAGTTAGAAACACATTTGCACTTCTTTTATGGGTCGTGAGTCAACTAATCTAGATTTTGCTTGCTAGACATTGCTCCTGTTGGGAGGAAACACATTACTATATACAGACAATCGGTTAAAAGGAAACTATACGGCTGGGCGCGGTGGCTCACGCCTGTAATCCCAGCACTCTGGGAAGCCGAGGTGGGTGGATCACGAGGTCAGGAGATCGAGACCATCCTGGCTAACATGATGAAACCCCGTCTCTACTAAAAATACAAAAGAAAAAAAAATTAGCCAGGCATAGTGGCGGGCGCCTGTAGTCCCAGCTACTTGGGAGGCTGAGGCAGGAGAATGGCGTGAACTTGGGAGGCGGAGCTTGCAGTGAGATCCTGCCATTGCATTCCAGCCTGGGCGACAGAGCAAGACTCCGTCTCAAAAAAAAAAAAAAAAAAAAAAGGAAACTATACAAAGTGGTTATTCTATTTGTCTTTCTGTCATCCATTCTACTTCATCCCATTTTTGTGGCCACTATGATTCATGTCTCCTGCACTGGATTGTGAACAGGCAAAGCTCCTTGGGGTTACCCGGTTTCCTTTGCCACAAAGGATGGAGATTTCTGACCTGGGCAGATTTTAGTGTGCAGATGATACTCCCTTTGGTTACAGTGGTTGTTTGGGGGTGGACTAATTAGAGTAAAGCTTAGAGTTTTTGTTCATTAATTATGGAAAACCCTATCTTCTTGTATGTTGGGTATGTTTGAAAAAGAACTGTAGCCCCACTTTCTGCTGGCAGTGCTCTTATGTCCATAAGAAAAGCCATCTTGAAGATCAAGTGGATCCAGAGAGGACTGCCTCAAAGAATCACAGAGAAAAGAAATTGGAGCTGTAATGAAATTGCTCTGAAGGCCCATTCAACCTCTAGATTTTTCAGTAACTTGAACCTGTAAATTCCTCTTACTGTCTGAATCAAGTTGATTTGGGTTTTCTGTCACTTGCAACGGAGGCAGGCTTCTTACCACCAAACGTTGGATTTTTCTGTAGTCCCAATTGCTTCCTACTCATTATATGGGGCTCTAGTAACTGTGCAGAGGGGATTTTAGAACATGACCCTGGCTTGAGTCTCATCCTTGGGGAATAGCTGGGATTATGTTCACTAATCCCCCCTGGGAGCTCTTAGAAACTATTCAATTTTAGGAGCTTTTCACCTTTTCCAGACCCAGCAGTTAGAGGTATAATTTTTGACAGACTTCTTGTTGCCTTCCAAGAAAATGAAACGTCTGAGGAGAAAATGAGATCAGCCCCAATCTGGAAAAGCTGGAGATCTCTGGACAGATAGTGTTTCATGGAACTTTCCCTGTGAAACACAATTCTACAGGTTGGTAGGAGATTATTCTCTTATTTGTGTGTCTTTAAGACTACAGGAGTCTTAAAGCCTACTGCACCGTAAACTCTCTAAAGAGCAGGAACCATGCTTGTTTCATTCCCTGTTGTGTCCCTGGTGCCTAACATAGTGTCTGGCCCCTAGGAAGCATTTGGTAATTATCTAATTATAATAAGCGTTCAATAATTAGAAGGACAAACAAATGAGGAAAAGTCCAATGCTACAGAGTGTTTGGTGGGTTTCTTTTTATACTATACCAGTAAGGGGTTTTCATTTCAGATCCGTGATTATAGTTATAGGTTGCAGGGTTTTTCTGTTTTTTTTTTTTTTTTTTTTTTTTTTTTGAGACAGAGTCTCACTCCGTCGCCCAGGCGGGAGTGCAGTGGTGCAGTGGCGCCATCTCAGCTTACTGCAAGCTCCGCCTCCCAGGTTCACGCCATTCTCCTGCCTCAGCCTCCCGAATAGCTGGGACTACAGGCGCCTGCCACCACGCCTGGATAATTTATATATATTTTTTAGTAGAGATGGGGTTTCACTGTGTTAGCCAAGATGGTCTCCATCTCCTGACCTCGTGGTCCGCCCGCCTTGGCCTCCCAAAGTGCTGGGATTACAGGCATGAGCCACCGCCTGGCCAGTTGCAGGGTTTTTCTAAATTAAATTTAGTGTAAATTTTATTTCCTCCCTGAATTTTTTGTTTAACCTATTCTTTCCTCTAAGTTAAAAAAACACCCATCATCTGAATTTCTCTAAGAAGAAAGTTGTTTCATTTGTAATGGTTGAACAAATGTTGGGTTGATGAAATCTCTCTGTGTCATGGGTAAAGAAATGAACAGTATACAGATACCCAAAGAACTATGTCACATTGTTTTTTTTTTTTTTTTTGAATCATGAAATAACTTGCAGAGTCATCCATGTTTTTGGGCAGTCTCTATGCTTTTGATATTACTGATTCAGTAGCAGAAAGCTGAGCATAGTAAATATAGAGGAAAGAAAAATGCCACTGCTAGCTCCTTTTTTCGTTATAAGATATTAATTGAAATATTAACTTTTTCCATAGGTAAAGGGACAGAAACCATTAATTCAATTCTGCTAACTTCCAGGGAAGACTAGATAAGAACCATTCAATTACAGGTTGCTTATTTATCTAATTCTCTTGGCAGGATTTGCTTTTGGTGAAACAAATCACCTGTTGAAGAAAAAAAAAGCCATTTAAGTGATTAAAATCTACTTCAACTAATTTCCTCTTTAACCTATTTGTAAGCCAGCAAGAGCTGATAATTGTAATGAATAGTTCTTCTGGGAAGCTTTAATTGACATTTGGATCTCATTAGACTTTGAAAAACTTCTGCCATCTTATTCTTTTAGAGCTCTTTTGCTGGGATTACAGTGTTCAAGATAGTCTTCAGTGCATGGAATTTAATGATGAGCTTTGAAGCTTCAGGGTTTGGAACTCAGCTCTGCCATTCCTAGCTGTGTGAACCAGGTCAATTCTTAATTTTGTTTTAAACTCAGTTTTTGCGGTTGTAAAATTATTGTTTTGATCGGTTGTTATAATGCGTGAATGAGCTAATATAAAGAGCTAAGTTTATGGCTATAAAGGATGTAACAGTGTCCAGCATATGGTGAGCATGCAATAACAGGTAGGATTCATTGTGAATAAGAAGCTCTAAAATGAAAAAGAAAGAGTACTAGAAAAATGAAGATCAATTCCTCTTTATAATTAACTTATCAATTGCTAGAAAATTTAGCATATAGTTAATAGATACCTGCTCTATTATCAATAAAACACTCTAAATAGAGATTTTCAAGTTCTGGTACCATACACTTCTGTGTTATATGTGTGATGCTTTCAGAATTCTTCTTTATAAAGGGCGTCTTATCTTGGGGGCACAGTGTACAAAACTTCTTGAACAAGAACACCTTAGTTTCAGTGAACAATTAAAATCAGTTAATGTGAATGTCAACTCATCTCTTCTTCTTGGTGTTTTTAAGTATATATCATTAAAGGTGAAGAAAGTGTAAAATGGAAAAAGAAGTGACTACAAGGCCTGGTGAATGTATACGGTGTAAAAAGATATTAGAGAAAAAGAGAAAGGAGATGGATAAAGATTAGTAGCTTTTTGATATGGAATGTTCATGGGGTAAAATTATATACATCATTTCTGTTTTATAAGCATATTATTAACCTCAATTTTTACCATTTTTTAGGCTGGAAAGTATAAATAATATTCTTTAGACAAATAACTTTTGATTTTCTGAGCAGAGGAAATTTGGAAGTTTGTGAAAACCTGATTTAGGACTGCACTAGAAATTTTAGTGTGTATGTACACTAGGGGAACAGTTTGGTTTACTATCTTGGAGGTATTTTATTCAGACTAACCTTAAAATTAATTTGCATTTTGAACACACATCAATTGTTTCTGCCATAAAGAAGATTATTTAAGGCCATTTTAGATAGATTTAAAAGTATGCAAATAATTCATACTATAAATAATCTATATGCAAAGAGAAATAATACCACTTTTATTTATTCAATATTTTGCTTTAAGTTTAGATTTAATCTCTTGTTTATAGTGAAAAGCTAAGGAATTATTCCCTAGTCTAGAAGTGATTTAGCCTAGAGATAAAAAATAGCTTCATGTTGCTGAAAGAACAGAATTTGGTACCTCTGCTCTCACTTTTAAAGTCTACCTTAATTTCCTAACAATGTGCTGATTACACATAATGGAAGTTTGTATTAGAAAATGAGGAAACATTTAATCAGACATAAAACTTAAAGCAATCAATGGAATAGTTGGTGCCTCAGAAATTGACCCTTTTGTATTTCTCTTTATTTATAACTTCCATTTTTATTGCTCACACTCACTTTTAGCTGTCATTTATTGATGACTAACTTTGTATTTATCAGTTTTCTTTACCCTAGCTCCCTCAGGATCAGTTGCTGAAATAGCCTCCTTAACACCATCTTACGCCTCTGAATGAGCAGGGGTAGAAAAAGAACAGGAGAAAGCAGAAAGCCTTTATTGTTCTTTGTTCAACTAGAATTAAAGTAGGCTTGAAGAAGCCTCGGAGAAGCCATTTACTCTTGTGATCTGAATTCCAGGGTCTCCAGTCTATTCAAGTAAATGCATTTCCATTTGGGAAAGAGTCCCTTGATACCATTCTCCTTCTAGGAGAGATAGTCATTTAACTCCTGCTGAATCCATATTGTCAAGGAACTTGCAGAGTGGAACTTATTTTGGTTCTTTTTGCTTGTGTTGAGAGTACTCTATTGGAAGGTATTATAAGGCGTGGGGAGAAAGAGAGTTAAAAAGAGAAAAAGATTAGTTGGTGTCTGCAGTTTTCATAAACAGGTGGGGCTATGAGCAGAAACTCTCTAAACTGCACATCTGGAAGTAGCATCTGGCATAGTGGAAACAACAAAGCTCCAGTGACTACGAAAGAGATAAAGTAGCAGAGCTTGTTAGGTGTCTTGTAGTTTTAATCCCAGACCTTAAGAACAGAATTACCAACAAGGAGTAATGAAATGTGTTCTAGCATCTTAGGAAACATGGTCAATAGGACTTTAGCCTGAGTGAAAAGCATGTAGACTGTGATAGAAGCAGGAATTGGAGATTGCCGTAAATTAGCTTGAAAGCAGTGGTTCTCTAAGTGATTCCCAGACTGTCATCATCAGCATTACCTAGGAAATTATAAGATATGCAAATTCTTGGTCTCCAGCTCAAAGCTATGAAATCAGAAACTCTGAGAGCAGGGCCCAGGAGTATGTGTTTTAACAAGTTCTCCAGGTGATTCTGATGCATGCTAAAATTTGAGAACCACTATTTTAGGGCATTAGAGCCACTTTTCCTTACTAAGCTACCTTATTGAGGAGCTACCTTCATCTGTCTGTTCCTACAACTGATTGTTCCAGGTCTGTGAATTAATAAATGTGTGGATAGCAGATTCAAAATATGATGGAAAAACTTGGCAAAGCTTTGCTGTTACATTTCATTATTCCAAGACATGAAGTGACCCCTTTCTTGGGTGCTCCTCTTTCTTTTAAAGCCTTATCTACCTCAGTCCCCTGACTCTTGGAAGATGCCATCACTTGTTATATTATGGTGGAACTGCAATGTCCCAAACGGTAGCCACTAGTCACATATGGCTATTAAGATTAAAAATAAAATAAAAAATTTAGTTCTTTGGCCATACTAGCCACATTTCAACTACTCAGTGGTCACATGTGTATAGTGGCTACTGTGTTGGACAGTACAAATATAAGATACTTCTACCATTGCAGAAAGTTCCTTTATTTTTATTTATTTTTGTAGAGACAGAATCTTGCTATGTTGCTCAGACTGGTCTCAAACTCCTGGCCTCAAGCAGTTCCTCCCACCTTTGCCTCCCAAAGTGCTGGGATTATAGGCCTGAGCCACCATGCCCAGCCCCATTGCAGAAAGTTTTACTGGACAGAACTGCTGTAGAATTCCTCTCCTATCACTGATACTAAACTTGTAATCCTATCTGATAATTTTTAGTGTTTCCCAATTTCTTTGGAGTAAATACTCCTATCATGGCCAATTTCATGCTACTAACCTGATGCCACTGAATGTGGAGTTGGGAGGAGATGTACACAATCAACTCTTGAGAGCCAGTATTAAGTGGTTCCAGGTCACCACTGGTTTTGTGAGAGGAATTCTTCCTTGATGGCAGAAAGTGCTGGTTCTGTTCTTTACATTCAAATATCACTTTACAATAAGATTGGCTTTCCAAAAACAACATTAACAGCCTACTAAAAGTGGCCAATAAGTCAATCACCTTAATTATATTTTGGGTGTAAAGTAGGAATATACAATCTACAACTTAAAAAGCCTTTTCTGTGGCAGTTGGAAAACTGCTCAAGTGAATTGGGGCTAGTGTCCTACAGTGCCTGTGCACATGAAACTAAACCATACAAGGTGTTAAGATATACATGTTCTAGTCTGAATTCTATATTGAGTCAATGGTGGTGCTCTAGTGATTAGTTCTATTAGTGGAGGTGTTTATAGTCTATATGGGTTGTGCAGAGTAGGCTGATAAGAGTGACCTGTTCCCAGTTGAAAATGGAAGAGTTGGCTTTTATCTATGAAGTCATGAATGACTTGCAAATATACTATCAAAGATAAGCATGTACTTAACTTTAAAAATATTTGCCATTTGAAAGTGCTTTGAAATTCTTTTTGAAAGATGGAAAATTTTATTTTAATTGCAAGCTAAACAAAACTCAATTGATATGCAGCCAGGGCTAGTTTTTTTAGAATCACAATTAGACTTGGCAGACTTTTTTTCTTTTTTCACCAGCGCATTATCTATTTTTTTTGTTTTGCTTTTTTTTGGGTGATGATGGGGGTTTATGGTCATGAATAAAGATCCTACATCATTAAGCTAACAACTCATCTGTTAGATAAAAATAGATTTTAGTCCATAGATTTTACTCCCCAAATACTTGGAAATGAGAAAACTAAATAATTCTTATCCTATTTCCTTTCCTGAAAAGGAAAACCCCTAACTCTGAATGCCTCTGTTACTAAAACTGTTTCTTAATTGTGACAATCATAACTGGATGAGAGTTATCAGTTAAACTGATGACTTAGTTGAACCCATTTGTTTCTGCAGAAAGATTATCCACATTTGTGTCAAACCAGGTCATTTTCAGGCCCTTGGGAGTCTGCCATTCGAATGCTTGTCCAGCTGAAGCTGGATGTCCTTGAATGACAGCTGCTAAAAATTCAATCAGTAACTGGTATCCAAATGTCAGGGGGAGCACTGCAAAGTGGGGACAGGCTGAGACAGTCTGTAGGGTTTGATTTTGGGTAGTCAGAGTTTAAATTTGACTTAGAAAAAAAGTAAATCAGCATCTTTAATCCCCAAACATTACGCATCATCTAGTCAGTAGACTTCGTAAAGGTCAAGCAATCAATATGGTTGGCATCAGCAGAGATAGGTTACAGGAGTTGATTTTTATTTCTCGAAATTGTTTTTTATATTCCAACATACAAAAAGGTAGGCAGACTGTCAGGTAGAGTAAAAGAATTTGTACTAATAGTGAGATGAGCTGGTCCTTGGTCAAGGGGCTACATTAATAGATGCAGTGGACTTGGAAAGAAATGGGGTTTCTCAAATTGCATTTATATTTGTCTTTGTTAAGGGTTTAATATTTTGAATGCACACCTATCCTTTGGGGGAAAATTGGGCTGCCTGGTATATCATCAATCCAGGAAGATGGAAATGCCAGAAGCATATGTTTCATCATGTTGTTGCTTCTAGTCTTGACTTAGACTAGGAAAAGAAAAAAAGAAGAAAGAAACAAGATTAATTTTTTGCCCTTGCTGTTTGCAAAATCTCTTGGAATATAGTAAAGAAAATATAATTATTGAAAATATTAGGTTCTTCCATGAAGTTACATTTATTTATTTACAAACTGAGGGAAGAGGGGCCTTATAATATTTTCAATTTGTGTATTATTTCTAGAAAAGTAACTGAACAGTTATGGAATGAAAAAATTATTTAAAAATCTGAGAAGGAAGGAAATAATGACAGGTGGTTAGAACCTTGTCATTGGAGAACTATATAGTCATGATATAGGCCAAGGTTTCAGCATGGGCATTTCCAAGCCAAAAAAAAAGTGTTTGTTAGTTCCTTCTTACAATTAAAAAAATGTCCACATAGTATGTGTGTTTTAATTTTCACCTAGAAAGATGCCTATTGCAATTGAACAAAAAATTAACCTATAGTGGCCTAATATTTAATCTTATTTTATTGATCAAGAAATTAACCTAGAGTACCCTAAGTTTTAATCTTATTTCAGCACACATTACTAGAAAAGTTCTTAAAAATATAGATGAGAACTGTATATATTTCTTGACCAAAAATTGTGATATAGTAGGAGAAAATATTAGGGAAAATTTCCTGCTTTTTCTTAAACTCTAGACTGCTCTTGAATGAATTTTGTACAAGAGAGCAATGAGAAACTGATAGCACTAGATGGAAATTTATGTCTTATCCAAAGGCTCTGGTATAACATCTTCAGTTAGCTGGGGGGCTCCAGGTCTCACAGAAACAAAAGTCCTTAAGGTTTAAGAATTTCTTCTTTCTTAAATATTTCCAGGACAACCTAGAGACCACTGTTAGTAGATCATCCATTGAGAAGGGTATATGTGAAATGTGAGAAAGTGGAGAGTTACCCATTGGATTTCAATGATTTTCTGGGCCTGTAGTAAATTACAGTTGTGGCCTCAGTTCTTTACCCATCACTGTATGCACATGTTTTGCTCTGTGGCTGCATTTTCTCTCAATGAAAAGATAGAGTCTCTTTCCCTTGAATTTGGGCTTACTTGTGAATTGCTTTGCCCAACAGAATGCAGCAGAAATGACAGCATGACATTTCTGAGCCTAGGTCTAAGAAGGCATTGCATGTTTCTGTCGTCTGGCTGAGAACACTGCTATGAGAACGTTACTGGCCTAGCTTCTGCATGATGAAAGACACAGTCTCATCAGCCCCAGAGTAGTATCAGCGGAGCCATGTAGTTGACAACTCCAGACATGTAAGCAATAAATGCTTAATGTCGAATGCTGCTGATGTTTCGTGGTTGGTTGTTATGCAGTGTTATTGTGACAATAATGCCACAATATAGCTTAGGGGATTAGTTTCCAGATGGATTATACATATAAAGTTCTGATAATTTTTCATGGAAATCTTGATACTTCATTAAAATAAATAAGAAGTCGTTGCTTAGCTCAATCACCTACCATGGGACATTTATCTACTGATTTGATTTGATCTGGGGGCAAAGGTTTCAGCCTTCAGCCTGGTAGTAGCCATATGCAAATGTATTTGTGTCTCTCCCAACCTGACAGATAAACAGACAGGCATCTAGAAGTTATCAAGTAAATACTTAGATGGGATTCTTGTGTTCAGTGTGAGTGTTCTCAAAATTTCAGTAAAGAGTTCTTTCCCCTGGGACATTAGATGTGGCTTAATAATGGCCACTAGTATATTTGTATTTGCAATCAGGCACAATGAACAGAATTGCTCCCAGGTTATCATTTGGGAATTTAAACACACTCTTTTTCTTTTGCCAGGTCCATTTCTGGCATGTATGGAATGAATCAGTGTGCCATCCTTTTAAGGCCCATTCATTGTCTTCTGGTTTTATTTTACGTCCATTTCTTCCTCTTACTAGAGAAAACAATTGAATTTTGTGGAAGCCCCAGGGGTTTGTGAATTTCAGAGGGACAGGGTTTTACCTGGAAAGAGAAAGGATTTTTGATTGAAAATAGAGGCTACTTATGACTCATTCAAAGGAGTTTTTCCTCTCCTTCATCTTATTTGCCTAGTGATTTTGTCTTATATGACACTTTGGAGCCTACTGTGAGATGACTGCTTCACACTGGATCTTTTTCAAATATTTTTCAAGGACAAACATCCTTCCTACAGGTTTTCTCATCTGTAATGATTGTCTTGTCTGGGGATTGTATTCTGATTAATTCAACGTTAGCTTTCTCACTGCTTCAGTGGATTCCAAATTTGTCATAGTTAAAAAAAAATTCTCCTGGGAAGTTTTATAAAAGAAGTTGGTGAAGAGAGGGCTTAGGATTTATTCTGCTGACCAATCTTTAGAATGTGGTAGGGGACTGAGGCACACAAAAAAGAAAAATGGAAGGAATGCCCAATTCTTATGCATTCTCATAGGTCAGGCATAACTCAGGAGTTTTGCAGAAATTTCAGTGATTGTTGCTCACATGGAGGTTTTACCCTGCAGTCACCATCCAATTGAGCAAAAAGCAGTTAAAAGGATGCAATAAGGGATTCAGCCAGCAGAGGGCGGGAGAGCCACACCCAGTTGCTTGGACCAGTTACACACCTCCAAGCCAACTCGTTCTGAAGACACAAGCCTTTTTTTTGGTAAGCGTTTTGCTTTCACTAAGTCCCTTCTGACAGAATGGGCAAGAGTCAATCTGCCCGGAATTGAATACTGGCTGCACCATGCGCTAGCTTCATCATCTTTTTGTGCCTGATTATTTCTCATTGGAAAAATGGGAAAAGCATAGTCATGGTGAGGATGTCATAAGGGTGTTGCGAAGATGATGAAGTTAACTTATGTAACACATTCCAAACAGTGCTTGGTAACTACTTGATAAATATTATTTAATAGTATTATAGGCTATCCCTTTGCCTTCTGTCTTCCATCCTCCCAAGTCTGAATGCAAAAATAAATTAATATGGCAATAGGTTATGTGGGCTGATTCCTCTTCACTCTTTGAAACTCATCTCAAAAAGCGCAACATACCTTCGTGATATTTCTGCCAAAAATGCTTATGCCAAATCTAACCGCGAGAAACAGTTTAGAGTAGTTCCAAACCAGAGACATTCTACTAAATTCAGGGACATTTTTTTTTTTTTTTTTTTTTTGAGAGACAGAGTTTTGCTCTTGTTGCCCAGGCTGGAGTGCAATGGCACAATCTCGGCTCACCACAACCTCCACCTCCTGGGTTCAAGTGATTCTCCTGCCTCAGCCTCCCGAGTAGCTGGGATTACAGGTGTGTGCCACCACGCCCGGCTTATTTTGTATTTTTAGTAGAGACGGGGTTTCTCCATGTTGGTCAGGCTGGTCTCGAACTCCCGACCTTAGGTCGTCCGCTCGTCTCGGCCTCCCAAAGTGCTGGGATTACAGGCGTGAGCCACTGTGCCCAGCGTAAATTCAGGGACATTCTACTAAATAACTAGACTCTGCACTTTAAAAATTACAAGGTCATGAAAGACAAAGAAAGAATCTGAAACTGTTCCAGATTGTAGGATACTAAAGACACATGAAAGCTGAATGCAGCATATGAGCTGGGGATTTCTTCTGCTGTAGAGTACACATTGGGACAATTGGTGAAATTTGAATAAGGTCTGTAGATAAGATCGTAGTATTGTATCAGTATTGATTACCTGATTTTGTTACTTGTAGGCTACAGAAGAGAATGTCCTTGCTTTTAGGAAATATACACCAGAATCTTCAAGAGTAAATGGGGCATCATAATTTCTGTAAGTTACTCTCAATTTTTTTTTTTTTTTTTTTTTTTTTTTTTTTTAGACAGAGTCTCTGTTGCCCAGGCTGGAGTGCAGTGGTACGATCTTGGCTCACTGTAGCCTCCACACCCTGGGTTCAAGGGATTCTCCTGTCTCAGCCACCCAAGTAGCTGGGATTACAGGCGTGCACCGCCATTCCCAGCTAATTTTTGTATTTTTGATAGAAACGGGGTTTCACCATTTGACTAGGCTGGCTGGAACTCCTAGTCAGGACTTCAAGTGATCCACCCACCTCAGCCTCCCAAAGTGCTGGGATTACAGGCATGAGCCACCGCGCCCAGCCCCAAATTTTTTTTGAAAAAAGAAATGTATATTTGTGTGTGTGTGTTTGTGCGTGTATGTGCATATCTGTATGTAAGCATATTTGATATAATAGCATTTAGTACATCTGGTTAAAGGGCATATGAGAATTCTTTGTAGTGTTCTTGCAACTTTTGTTAGCCTGAAATTACATCAAAATACAAAGGTAAAAAATAAAACCATAAATAAAAAATACAATCCCAGCTCTCAGGATGCCTCCTTCTTTAATAGTTTTCCCTGATGTCCCCTGCCTTACCCTTTGCCTTAGGTGGGTTAGGAGCCCTGGCCCTGTGTGCCCTCAGTCTGTAGCTTCTCTCTCTGTCACAGCACTGTATTACACTGTATTGTGACCACCTGATTATGTCATTAAACTATGAGCTGGGACAAAGAAGGCAGGGGTGCTATCTCATTCAACTTTGTATCACCTGAGCTTAACTAACACCTGGCACAGAGAAGAAACATATTAAGGATTTGCTGAGAGAATAAGATAGTATAACTTGGTCTTATATCTAAGGTTTGATTTTCTAGGAACCTATAGTGAATTTTAGGCTTGCTTTTCAGTTTTTGTAGCAGGGATGTAGCACAGGTTTGGGACTCAGCACACCTAGTCTGAAAGCTGATTTCTGTCACAGCATGCATGAGGGACAGTCTCTTCAGTTTATTTATACCTTAGTGCTGTGATTCTCGAGCTTATAGACACTGTGAGGACAGAATTTTAGCTCTTTAAACAAAGGGGGGCAAATATACAGTGACCTCTATCTATGTAGGTATTTAACTGAAAGGAATTCCAGGGCCAAGTGTGTCTACTATTAAAAGAAACGTACTTTTCTTACAATGTAGTCCCTGAATGCAAATCATGGTTTTATCTGGTGGGCAACTGAAGAAACAGCAATCTGAACTGATATGGGAGGCAGACCTCACTGTAACAGGATTAGTGAGAAACAGTGTTTGTGGCTCTTAATTGCTCATTTTTTTTTTTTTAATGGGGGATGTTAGGGATTTTCTAAGGGCAGGTTTATCCATATGCAGAGTTGATGTTAGGATGTAATACCACAAAGATGTAATTAACTCCTCTGTTTGTGGTCTCCATGTTAATTCACTCTCATAAGAGGGTATGCAGTGTGGTCACTATTCTACCACCATTTTTAAGAAAAAATTTAAAACTATTTTTTATCTTCCAAATTAAATATTTTGCTATTTGATAAGTTAACAATGCAACAGAAAATCAATATAACTTTTATCTTTACCAGAAGCCATAAAAGTCTATCTAGGAAAATTTCAGATGTGTGAACATGGCTTTAGAGAAGGAACTCAACTACAGACTATAAGAAATGTAAAACCAAGCCAGGTTCCTGTTGTGGTCCTTTATTATGACCTGGTGACCTAAGCTAGAGAATCACAGCACTAAGGTATAAGTAAACCAAATAGCATGCATTGGCTTTAGTTCAGAAGGGGATTTTTGTGCAGAAAATAAATTGAAAGTAGGGCCTCTGGCCAGCATAAACAGATAAGAAAAAAGTATGATTCCCTACGTCTCAAAAATGACTCCTTCACACATCCCACCAATCAAAGATCCATTTGGAATAACAGGTCTTCTAAAAGCTGCCATAGAAGTTAAGCCTCCTACCACCTATACTTCTGTGTGAATTGATTTAGTCTGGAGGCATTTTGATTGCTTTTCTCCTAACACCTAACTTAGAAGGTGAAATAGAGGTCTTGTTTGGAGGGAATTGAAGAAGGAAAAGGAAAGGGCAATTTCAGATCAAGGGATATGTTGGAATGGTGGAAAAGTAGGATCATTAGGACAGCTGGGAACAGTCTTTTAGTTCTTGGAAGCCAGGAAAAAGATGTAGAGAGAAGGGCAGAAGTGGTCAAGGCTCCATGAAAAGGAGGATGTAGCAGTCAAATTGGATGTCGACCATGCAACAATGACGTCAGGAACCCTGCTTGGTATACCATCTGTACCTGTCTGTACAGGTCAGTTCTGTAACTGTCTGCCTCGAAGAATTGCCTGGCTTGTTTCTCTCAAAGAATGGACTCTAGCTTATCTATAATAGAATATACCTATGTTGGTGGTCAATAAACACTAATTTAATTAAACCTGTAATGCTTTTGAGACTTTTGCCATATCTTCTGTTATTTGGGACCTCACCACCTGGAACTTGATTTTGCAACAAAATTCAAAAAATACTTGGCCAAAACTAACTTCCCCTGAACTTGACAAATAAAATGAACAATTCAAGAACAGCCAACTGAGTAATTCTGGTATATAAACTGTCACTATTAAATGGCTTATTTATCGAAATAGCATTCAATCTTACATGGGCATTCAAGAATTTTAGGAGAGACAATGGATATTTCTCCAAACCCTAAAAATCCCATAAAGCAGGGGCAGCAGGACAGAAAGCTTTTATTCTTGTCAAAATCAATCTTGACTTTGGTACATCACAATGGCTGCATGACAATGTCACATTCTTGTCCACTTAGGTAAATGTGTTTGGCTCACTTGGCCATCATTCTGGAATTAAGAGCCTTTGCAGTATAAAACCAAGATTTGAATAACAGTAAAGGTCAGAGCTCAAAATTAGAAAGAAAAAAGACAAGAAATGGCTGATAGGAGGTTGGCACAGACATGAAACCTGATCATGCTGAAAGCACTTGGGGAGGGAGAGAAAAGGGAAACTTTGAATGAGTAATAGAGAATAGCATGGTGTATATACCATATTTGTAGATTTCTTAGTTATCTGTTGTATGGTTCCTTCTGACACCACTATAAATAACTTCCTGAGACTGGGTAATTTATAAAGAAAAGAGGTTTAATTGACTCACCATTCTTCATGGTTGGGGAGGCCTCAGGAAACTTACAATCATGGCAGAAAGGGAAGCAGGCATGTCTTACATGGCACGTGGAGAGAGAGAGTGAGTGTGAAGGAGGAACTGTCAAACACTTATAAAACCATCAGATCTTGTGAGAACTCACTATCATGAGAACAGCATGGAGGAAACTGCCCCCATGATCCAATCACCTCCCACCAGCTCCCTCCCTTGACACGTGGGGATTATGGGGATTACAATTTGAGATGAGATTTCGGTGGGAACACAGAGCCAACCAAACCATATAATCTGTCCTCTGCTCCTAGATTTTTCCCTTAAAAATGCTCAGGATAACTTATTAGAAGAAATGCCCTTTTAGGGAAAAATAAAAGTTTAAATCAGGCTGGTACATTCATTTATGGATCAGTCCAATTCACCTTATTCAGGTCTGCATCTTCTCTCCTTTGAATAGCTATGATCATCCTGTAACTGCTGATGCTGCCTCATTGCTCTGCTCCATTGCCTCACCCCAAGCTTTCAAAGTCATCTCCTACTCTACTCCAGGGTAATTTTTCTAAAATGCAAATACTGTTGTTTGGCAGCTCTACTTAAAAGCTTTTAGTGACTTTCTATTTTCTGTGGAGTAAGTCTCAAAGTACACAGCATTAGAACCTTTATATTCTACCCCTCCTACCTTATGTCTTACGATTTCCCATTGTTAATTTTAGCTTCACACAGTTTTACTAATTTATATCTCCAAATCTTTTTTTTTTTTTTTTGAAACAGAGTTTCACTCTTGTTGCCCAGGCTGGAGTACAATGGCATGATCTCGGCTCACTGAAACCTCTGCCTCCTGGGTTCATTCAAGCGATTCTCCTGCCTCAGCCTCCTGAGTAGCTGGGATTACAGGCATGCACCACCACGCCCGGCTAATTTTGTATTTTTAGTGGAGATGGGGTTTCTCTATGTTGGTGAGGCTAGTCTCGAACTCCTGACCTCAGGTGATCCACCTGCCTTGGCCTCCCAAAGTGCTGGGATTACAGGCATGGGCTACTGCGCCTGGCCTGTATCTCCAATTCTTTACATATGCCTGACGAACTGCTATTCCATCTTGTAGGGCTAAAATCAAATTTTTTTTCATTTTTGGGAAGCCTCCTCTACATACCTCCACCTTCTAACTCCAAGAAGTCAAAGTGAGTATATCATTGATGTTGCCACTTAATCTAGTATATATGTGTGTATTTGTGTGTGTGTGTATATATATATATGCACACACACACAGAGAAATATATTTCTATATATATTTCTAATATATAGTAGTTAGAAATACATATTTAATAAATATACAGTAGTTAGACATATATATATGTTAGTCATAATCTAACAGGAGATAAGTATATAAGCAGCTGCAATTAGGTTATTTTTCAAAATGTAGTTAGAAATATATATATGTCTACTATATATTATACATATTAAATATATATTTCTAACTACATTTTGAAAAATAACCTAATTGCAGCTGCTTATATACTTATCTCCTGTTAGATTATGACTTTCTTCAAAGTTGACACCTAATTTATTTTCATAGATCCAGGACATGGCATATAATAGGTGCTTGTTAATTGCTTTTTGGATGAATGAATGAATGAATGAACGAATGAAGGTTTCATGCCTAAATCTCTGGATTTAGTTAGTAGCTCAATGAGTAAAACTAAGGACTGTTTACTAGATATCAGCCTTTGCTTAGTTCTGAGCTATGGTAGTTGGAAAGTGAAGGAAATATTGGTTGGAAAGGAGAGTTTGGGTCAATGCAGACCTGAATCCATTTTTGAGAGAGATTAAATTTAGAAAACAAGCTGAATGGCAGAATGGTAGTTATTACTGAATAGGGGAGATATTCATGTTAGTATCAAAAAACATTGTTCAGTTAAGTAATATGAACGGGAAATTACTCTATTAGAGGAGGTCATGCTCTTGTTTTTGGGTAAGAATTAAATGTATTGAAATAGCAGGATTAGAGGAATATGAATTGGTCAGCAAGAAAACAAATGTTATGGTCAACAAGGTGCTTGAAGCTGCAGATATGGTGAAGAGCAAGGGACTCTGTGGCTGTGACATTCTGTTAACTATACTGAGAGGGAAAGGGAGACAGGGTGGGATCTGGGAAGAGTTTGTGCAGGCAACCAAGACTGCGATCACATTTTTTACTACACCAGGACTCCCCGTTCCCTAGTGTGGGGAAACCTTCCCACTCCATGCAGCAATGCCTGAGTGATGATGAGCAATAAAGGTTCATGAATTTTCTATTTATTGGTGCTATAGCAGCTGCTACAGTTAGAGGCTCACAGCTTGATACCTCAGCTGTACACAAGTTTCTGACCTAGTGTGTTGCTCTTTTGAAAAAATATTTTATAATGAAAATTCTCAGATATACAAAATAGATTTTGCTCATGTACCCATGACCTAGCTTTAACAAATATAAACATTTTGTGATCTTTTTTTCTGGCATTTTTAAAAGCAAATTTTAGACTCATTTTATGCTGTACATCAATATATCAGTATGGATCTCTAACTGATAAGGATATTAAAAATAATATAACCACCAAGATATTACCACATCTAGGGTTGCTCTTAATATGCTCAAGGACCCTGCTTCTCCCACCTGTCTTCCCTCTATCAGGCCGTATGTACTATTATTGGTTATGCCTATGTCATTGCCTTTCTGAGAGAAGAGTCTGCCACTACACCCATTTTTCTTGTGTTTGTAGACTCATCTTCCATTTGCAAAATATAATATATGAGGAATGAAGTTTTCTGGCTATTACCTTTGTCTAGCCTATACCTGATATCTGAATCAGCAGAAAGATGTATTCAATTTGTAACCTAATCAGGCTATTTCAAGCCATACCCCTCCCTGCCATGTAAAAAGGGTGCTCCTGACCTTTTTCTTTGAGCCAGGATCTTGCTCTGTCACACAGGCTGCAGTGCAGTGGTACGATCATAGCTCACAGCAGCTTCAAACTCTTGGGCTCAAGGGACCCTCCCTTCTCAGCCTCCTCAGTAGTTAGGACTACAGGCACATGTTACCGCGCTTGGCTAACTTTTTTTTTTCTTTTTATAAAGATGAAGTCTCACCATATTGATCAGACTGGTCTTGAAGTCCTGGCTTCAAATGATCTTCCCTCCTCAGCCTCCCAAACTGCTGGGATTATAGATGTGAGCCACTGCACCTGGCCAAAAGGGTTCATTAAAAAAAAAAAATCTTAACTTTTTTTAGAGTTTTCAGAGACTTTCAAGCAGAGTAAATATGCCAAGTGTTTATAGTTGTGGAATTGCCTGTTCTGCCTGTCAGTTTTGGGGAGAATAAAGGAAGTTCATTCTCCTAGTGGCTTTCTGATGCAACCCAAGATGCTGGTGACCATTTTGATTGTTCTCTTTGCCCCTCTTTGCTACCAGAGAAGGTCAAATCCACTTATATGGGGTAGGATAAATCAACAGAGTGGATACAAAGAATTCTGGCCATCATGTGGCCAGGATGGCCAGATCTACTTGGCAAGCTAAAGCATGTATGTAAAGATTTAACTGTCCATAAGGCATTGAAGTTAAGTGTCCAAAGTTAAGGGTGTTCATGCTGTAGGCATTAAGAAGAGTGGAAGGCACTTCTAACTGGAAATAGTCCTAGGTTCTTGAAAGGAAGTGAAATTTCACCAGAACTTTGACTGCTGGTCACAACTCATAGATAATAAGGGGTTTGGGAGTGCGATGGGAAGAAAAACAGAGCAAGCAAAGCATAGAGAGGTGAAAGCACAAGGCAGGTGTAGGGAAGCACGGATAACATAGTGTAGCAGTCATTTGCGATGACTTGCATGGCATATCACCCCCTTCCCACCTAATTTAAGGTCAGGTGACTTAGACAATTCCATGCACATTGACAGTGTCCCAACTCAAGTGTTGACTATGATATTGCTCTGATTTTTGGCCTCAGGGCTTCCTCTGATGCCTACAAAGGCTGCTTAGCACCACAAAGACTGTCCATAAGAATGGCAGAGTCCATGTTTGTGGTGACAGCCTTCAACTAACGGAGGTGGAAGACAGTGGAAAATGTCCCAGAGTTGTCACAGGGACAATTCTGACATGCATTTTACATGGCTTCTCAGAGAGACCCACTGGGACTGAGTCTCATTGCCCACAGTTGTTACTAGCTCCACCATGCATCCTTGCATTGGCTGACCCTCTTCCCCTGTTCCACTTCTGTGACCCACGCTTCTGCTTGCTGAGAATTGTGAGAACCCAAACTAAGACATCGATTTTGGTAGAAATGAGAAAATATGCCAGGGAAACAGTGAAAAACAAATCCAGAATGACAGGTTTATAAAAAGACTTTCTTACTAATTAAAAAAAAAAGTCTATTTCCCTATTTGCTTTCTGCTTGCTTTTTTCTTGCTGTTATTTAGAAAAGTGAAAACGAAAACAATACTTTTAGATTACAATTCACATGGAACTAGGCTTGTCCTATAGTTTACAGTCCTTATGGATTCTGAGTTTAAGGATTCTGTCCCATTATCTTTCCTTATTGCAGTAAATGACAATCTATTCTTCCTGTTATTCAGGACAAAAATATTGGGGGGTAATCTCTGATTATTTTCTTATTCTTGCAACCCACTTCTGATCTGTCAGAAAATCCTGTTGGATCCACCTTCACAATACATGCAGAAGCTGGATGGCCATTTCTCAGTATCTTCACTACTACAGCTCCGGTTAGGCCACAGTTGTCTTTCACTGGGACTGTTGCAAGAGCAATCTGTTTAGTTTCACTGCTCCTGCCCTTAGGTCCCTACCATCTATTCCCAACAAAACGGGCAAAGTGATTCTCTTAAAATATAAGTCACACCACACCTTTCCAATACCCTGCACCCTCCTTTGATTCAGCTTTGAGTAAAAGCCAACGTTCTTACAATGACTGAGTAAATGCTGAAGTTTTGGCTTGGTCTTTCATCTCTTTCCTTCCTTGACCCTTTTTATTACTGCTTATCCCCTTGATTATTCCACTGCAGCCCGTGGGTCTCATGACTAAACTCCAACAGGCCAGCGTCCTCCCCACCCAGGCCAGCATTCTCCCAACTCGGGTCAGTGTTCTCCCAACTCTTTGCACTTATGTAATCTCACACTGGAGGGCTCCTCTCATCTCCCATAACCACATAGCTCACTCCCTCACCTCCTGGGCTGTTTGCTTACCTGTCATATTTTTAAGACAGTCCTTCCTTGGCTTACCTATCTGAAATTGAAGCACCTACGTGAACATATCCTTTCCTTTTCCCCTGCTTTATTCTTCCCTTTAGTATGTTTTACTATCTAATAAGCATGTATTTTATTCATGTACATTTTTTTCTTCCTTCCAGGAGGCAATCTCCATGAGGGCAGGTGTGTTTTCTTTTGGTGGGATCGGGAGAGGGGAGGTGTCTCTATTGTTCATTGTTCTCTTTCCTGTCCAGAATAGCATGTATACACCATGACGGCTAATTTTAGGTGTCAATTTGATTGGGGTAAGGGACGTCCAGATAGCTGGTAAAACACAATTTCTGTCTGTGTTTGTGACAGTGTATCTGGAAGAGATCAGCATTTGAATTGGGAGTCTGTGTAAAGAAAATCACCCTTACCAATGTGGATGGGTATTATCCAGTCTGTTGAGGCCATGAATAGAACAAAAGGGCAGAGGAAGGGCAAATTTGCTTCTGTTTAGTTGGGACACTCATCCTTTCTTGCCCTTGGACATTGGTGCACCTGGTTCTTGGGCCTTTTGACTCAGACTGAATCACACCACTGGCTTTCCTTGTTTTCCAGCTTGCAGACAACAGATCATGGAACTTCTTGGCCTCCATAATCTCATGAGCCAATTTCTGTAAGTCTCTCTGTCTCTCTGGAGAACCTTGGCTAATATACACACACACCATGATTGATAGTGGATGCCCAATAAATGCATTCCAAAATATATGGATGCCCAATAAATATGTGTAAGTATGAATACTCAATAAATAAACAAAAATGAAAGAACGGATATGTGACCTTACTTAGCTTCTCTGGGACTCTATTTAATCTCTCTGAAGCTCTGTATTTTTCAGCTGAAGATGGGGATCCAATACCTAACTCACAGGAGCAAATCAAATAATGTATTTAAAGACCTTAGGAGGGAAAAAAACCTCTCTCCTAAGGTCTTTGGATAAATGGCTGAACTACTACTTGTCAGAAGTTATGTTCTGATTTTTAGTTCAGAAACCGAAGTCCTGAGATTTCTATCTTAAACCATGGAAGGATACTTTTAGAAGCTTTATAATTGAAGTCTAAGATCATAAAAATAACTTATTTTCAATTTATTTTTCTAAGAAAAGCATGTGGGGCTCCCTTGGCATCTTTGACTTGTAGAAAGTGTAATATGGAGTTTCCAGACTAGAACACAAGCTCCATACAAAGAGGTACCTAATTATCTTGTAAGTTCCTAGTGACTGCACCTGTTGTATAATAGGTTCTCAATAAATATATGTTGAATGAATAAACAAAGAAAATGTAAAGTTTTTCCTCCATTTAAGGTGTCCCAATAGTGAAGCTGAGACCTAGCAAGATCTATGAACTGTTTCTTTCCTCTAATTTCAATTTTTAAACATTTTTGTGGGTATATAGTAGGTGGATGTATTTATGGAGTACATGAGATATTTTGATACAGGCATTCAATGTGAAATAAGTACATCATGGAGAATAGGGTATTCACCCCATCAAGCATTTATCCTTTGAGTTACAAAAAGTCCAATTACACTCTTTAAGTAATTTTGAAATGTACAGTTAAGTTATTATTGACTATAGTCACCTTATTGTGCTATCAAATAGTAGGTCTTATTCATCCTTTCTATTTTGTTTGTACCCACTAACTATCTCCACCACCCCACCAGCCCCCAACTACCCTTCCCAGCCTCTGGTAACTATCCTCTACTCTCTTTGTCCATGAGTTCAATTGTTTTGGTTTTTAGACCCCACAAATAAGTGAGAACATGTGGTGTTTGTCTTTCTGTGTCTGGCTTATTTTAGCTAACATAATGATCTCCAGTTCCATCCACGTTATTGCAAATGAAAGGATATCATTCTTTTTTTGGCTGAGTAGTACTCCACTGTGTATATGTACCACGTTTTCTTTATATATTCATATCTTGATTAACACAGGTTGTTTCCAATTCTTAGCTGTTGTAAACAGTGCTGCAACAAATATAGGAGTGCAGATATCGCTTCAATATACTGATTTCCCTTCTTTGGGGTATATATGCAGTAGTGGGATTGCTGGATCACATGGTAGCTCAATTTTTAGTTTTTTTGAGGAACCTCCAAACTGTTCCCCATAATGTTTTTACTAATTTATCTTCCCACCAACAGTGTATGAGGGTTCCCTTTCCTTCACCTCCTTTCCAGCATTTGTCGTTGCCTGTCTTTTGGATATAAGGCATTTTTACTAGGGTGTGATGATATCTTATTGTGGTTTTGATTTGCATTTCGAATGCAAATCAAATGGTGATTTGATATTGAGCACCTTTTCATATGTCTGTTTGCCATTTGTATGTCTTCTTTTGAGAAATGTCTATTGAAATCTTTTGCCTATTCTTTGATCAAATTATTACATTTTTTTCTATAGAGTTGTTTGAGCTCCTTACATATTCTGGTTATTACCCTCTTGTCAGATGGGTAGTTTGCAAACACATTCTCCCATTATATGGGTTGTCTCTTCACTTTGTTGATTGTATCCTTTTCTGGGAAGAAGCTATTTAACTTGCTGTGATCCCGTTTGTACATTTTTGCTTTGGTTGCTTGTGCTTGTGGGGTATTGCTCAATAAATTTTTGCTCAGACCAATGGCCTAGAGACTTTCCCCAATATTATCTTGTAGTAGTTTAATAGTTTGAGGTTTTAGATTTAGGTCCTTCATCCATTTTTATTTTATTTTTGCATATGGCAAGAGATAGGGGTCTAGTTTCATTCTTCTGCACATGGATATCAGTTTTCCCAGCACCGTTTACTGATAATGGACTGTTTCTTTCCCTCCAGCAAGAAGCCACAGATGTTGACTTCCTCCAGCGTTGCTGACTCACCCCTTCCCTGATCTTTCATTTGGGTTGTGTTCCTCCCTAGCAACTTTTCTGATGTGTTAATGTCATTCATTCTTAGCACATGACTGACCCAGCATCTGTTCTTTTCCTAATAGATGAAGTGCTGGGAGAGAAGGGTAGGTATTTACTATTTCCACTATATAACAGGCTTATCTTTAGGGAGTGATTGTGTAGATATCAAGAGGGAGAAAGAGAATGAATTTAGTGGAGGTTTTTGAGTTGTTTGTATAAAAGATTGAGCCCATTGAGCAGTGATTGCAAATGAGAGAAATGGTTATGTATACAGTTCTCCTGAAGAATAGAGAGCACCATCTACTATAAAATTTTAAAAAATCAAGTATCCCTCCCCAGGTGATGTTTCTAATTTTTAGAGAATAGTTGTTCTTACTCATGAGTAACATGTAGTATACAAATGCAGAAGTCTGTTAGTTTCGATGGTTGAATCTGGATTAGTTTCTTTTGCATTCCTAAGATTATAGTCTTAGTAAAACCAGCACAAAAATGTCTATACTGATGAGCATCTGACACTTCAGATCATTTGGATTTTTTCTGGGGCTGTGTGATGGTTGGAGGGTAAGGGGGTGGAAGTGGCTTTTAAAGAGGACCTATTAACTATAGATTTTGGAAAAACATATAATGATTTTGTTGTTTCATTTAATGTATACAAATTTACAAATAAAATATGGTTTCAAGTAAGCAGAAAAAAAACCATGACTTTCAAAATTAGCACTACACCTTTTTTTTTATTATTATACTTTAAGTTTTAGGGTACATGTGTACAATGTGCAGGTTAGTTACATATGTATACATGTGACATGCTGGTGCGCTGCACCCACTAACTCGTCATCTAGCATTAGGTATATCTCCCAATGCTATCCCTCCCCCCTCCCCCAACCCCACAATAGTCCCCAGAGTGTGATATTCCCCTTCCTGTGTCCATGTGTTCTCATTGTTCAATTCCCACCTATGAGTGAGAATATGCGGTGTTTGGTTTTTTGTTCTTGCGATAGTTTACTGAGAATGATGATTTCCAATTTCATCCATGTCCCTACAAAGGACATGAACTCATCATTTTTTATGGCTGCATAGTATTCCATGGTGTATATGTGCCACATTTTCTTAATCCAGTCTATCATTGTTGGACATTTGGGTTGGTTCCAAGTCTTTGCTATTGTGAATAGTGCCGCAATAAACATACGTGTGCATGTGTCTTTATAGCAGCATGATTTATAATCCTTTGGGTATATACCCAGTAATGGGATGGCTGGGTCAAATGGTATTTCTAGTTCTAGATCCCTGAGGAATCGCCACACTGACTTCCACAATGGTTGAACTAGTTTACAGTCCCACCAACAGTGTAAAAGTGTTCCTATTTCTCCACATCTTCTCCAGCACCTGTTGTTTCCTGACTTTTTAATGATTGCCATTCTAACTGGTGTGACATGATATCTCATTGTGGTTTTGATTTGCATTTCTCTGATGGCCAGTGATGGTGAGCATTTTTTCATGTTTTTTGGCTGCATAAATGTCTTCTTTTGAGAAGTGTCTGTTCATGTCCTTCACCCACTTTTTGATGGGGTTGTTTGTTTTTTTCTTGTAAATTTGTTTGAGTTCATTGTAGATTCTGGATATTAGCCCTTTGTCAGATGAGTAGGTTGTGAAAATTTTCTCCCATTTTGTGGGTTGCCTGTTCACTCTGATGGTAGTTTCTTTTGCTGTGCAGAAGCTCTTTAGTTTAATTAGATCCCATTTGTCAATTTTGGCTTTTGTTGCCATTGCTTTTGGTGTTTTAGTTGTGAAGTCCTTGCCCATGCCTATGTCCTGAATGGTAATGCCTAGGTTTTCTTCTAGGGTTTTTATGGTTTTAGGTCTAACATTTAAGTCTTTAATCCATCTTGAATTAATTTTTGTATAAGGTGTAAGGAAGGGATCCAGTTTCAGCTTTCTCCGTATGGCTAGCCAGTTTTCCCAGCACCATTTATTAAATAGGGAATCCTTTCCCCATTTCTTGTTTTTCTCAGGTTCGCCAAAGATCAGATAGGTGTAGTATGTGGCGTTATTTCTGAGGGCTCTGTTCTGTTCCATTGATCACTATCTGTTTTGGTGCCAGTACCATGCTGTTTTGGTTACTGTAGCCTTGTAGTATAGTTTGAAGTCAGGTAGCGTGATGCCTCCAGCTTTGTTCTTTTGGCTTAAGATTGACTTGGTGATGCGGGCTCTTTTTTGGTTCCAGATGAACTTTAAAGTAGTTTTTTCCAATTCTGTGAAGAAAGTCATTGGTAGCTTGATGGGGATGGCATTGAATCTATAAATTACCTTGGGCAGTATGGCCATTTTCACGATATTGATTCTTCCTACCCATGAGCATGGAATGTTCTTCCATTTGTTTGTATCCTCTTTTATTTTATTGAGCAGTGGTTTGTAGTTCTCCTTGAAGAGGTCCTTCACGTCCCTTGTAAGGTGGATTCCTAGGTATTTTCTTCTCTTTGAAGCAATTGTGAATGGGAGTTCACTCATGATTTGGCTCTCTGTTTGTCTGTTATTGGTGTATAAGAATGCTTGTGATTTTTGTACATTGATTTTGTATCCTGAGACTTTGCTGAAGTTGCTTATCAGCTTAAGGAGATTTTGGGCTGAGACAATGGGGTTTTCCAGATATACAATCATGTCATCTGCAAACAGGGACAATTTGACTTCCTCTTTTCCTAATTGAATACCCTTTATTTCCTTCTCCTGCCTAATTGCCCTGGCCAGAACTTCCAACACTATGTTGAATAGGAGTGGTGAGAGAGGGCATCCCTGTCTTGTTCCAGTTTTCAAAGGGAATGCTTCCAGTTTTTGCCCATTCAGTATGATATTGGCTGTGGGTTTGTCAGAGATAGCTCTTAGTATTTTGAGATACGTCCCATCAATACCTAATTTATTGAGAGTTTTTAGCATGAAGCGTTGTTGAATTTTGTCAAAGGCCTTTTCTGCATCTGTTGAGATAATCATGTAGTTTTTGTCTTTGGTTCTGTTTATATGCTGGATTACATTTATTGATTTGCGTATATTGAACCAGCCTTGCATCCCAGGGATGAAGCCCACTTGATCGTGGTGGATAAGCTTTTTGATGTGCTGCTGGATTCGGTTTGCCAGTATTTTATTGAGGATTTTTGCATCAATGTTCATCAAGGATATTGGTCTAAAATTCTCTTTTTTGGTTGTGTCTCTGCCTGGCTTTGGTATCAGAATGATGCTGGCCTCATAAAATGAGTTAGGGAGGATTCCCTCTTTTTCTATTGATTGGAATAGTTTCAGAAGGAATGGTACCAGTTCCTCCTTGTACCTCTGGTAGAATTTGGCTGTGAATCCGTCTGTTCCTGGACTTTTTTTGGTTGGTAAGCTATTAATTATTGCCTCAATTTCAGAACCTGTTATTGATCTATTCAGAGATTCAACTTCTTCCTGGTTTAGTCTTGGGAGAGTGTATGTGTCAAGGAATTTATCCATTTCTTCTAGATTTTCTAGTTTATCTGCGTAGAGTTGTTTGTAGTATTCTCTGATGGTAGTTTGTATTTCTGTGGGATTGGTGGTGATATCCGCTTCATAATTTTTTTTTGCATCTACTTGATTCTTCTGTCTTTTTTTCTTTATTAGTCTTGCTAGCGGTCTATCAATTTTGTTGATCCTTTCAAAAAACCAGCTCCTGGATTCATTAATTTTTTGAAGGGTTTTTTATGTCTCTATTTCCTTCAGTTCTGCTCTGATTTTAGTTATTTCTTGCCTTCTGCTAGCATTTGAATGTGTTTGCTCTTGCTTTTCTAGTTCTTTTAATTGTGAAGTTAGGGTGTCAATTTTGGATCTTTCCTGCTTTCTCTTGTGGGCATTTAGTGCTATAAATTTCCCTCTACACACTGCTTTGAATGTGTCCCAGAGATTCTGATATGTTGTGTCTTTGTTCTCGTTGGTTTCAAAGAACATCTTTATTTCTGCCTTCATTTCGTTATGTACCCAGTAGTCATTCAGGAGCAGGTTGTTCAGTTTCCATGTAGTTGGGCAGTTTTGAGTGAATTTCTTAATCCTGAGTTCTAGTTTGATTGCACTGTGGTCTGAGAGATAGTTTGTTATAATTTCTGTTCTTTTACATTTGCTGAGGAGAACTTTACTTCCAACTATGTGGTCAATTTTGGAATAGGTGTGGTGTGGTGCTGAAAAAAATGTATATTCTGTTGATTTGGGGTGGAGAGTTCTGTAGATGTCTATTAGGTCCGCTTGGTGCAGAGCTGAGTTCAATTCCTGGGTATCCTTGTTGACTTTCTGTCTCGTTGATCTATCTAATGTTGACAGTGGGGTGTTAAAGTCTCCCATTATTAATGTGTGGGAGTTTAAGTCTCTTTGTAGGTCACTCAGGACTTGCTTTATGAATCTGCGTGCTCCTGTATTGGGTGCATATATATTTAGGATAGTTAGCTCTTCTTGTTGAATTGATCCCTTTACCATTATGTAATGGCCTTCTTTGTCTCTTTTGATCTTTGTGGGTTTAAAGTCTGTTTATCAGAGACTAGGATTGCAACCCCTGCCTTTTTTTGTTTTCCATTTGCTTGGTAGATCTTCCTCCATCCTTTTATTTTGAGCCTATATGTGTCTCTTCGTGTGAGATGGGTTTCCTGAATACAACACACTGATGGGTCTTGACTCTTCATCCAGTTTGCCAGTCTGTGTCTTTTAATTGGAGCATTTAGTCCATTTACATTTAAAGTTAATATTGTTATGTGTGAATTTGATCCTGTCATTATGATGTTAGCTGGTTATTTTGCTCGTTAGTTGATGCAGTTTCTTCCTAGTCTCGATGGTCTTTACATTTTGGCATAATTTTGCAGCAGCTGGTACTAGTTGTTCCTTTCCATGTTTAGTGCTTCCTTCAGGAGCTCTTTTAGGGCAGGCCTGGTGGTGACAAAATCTCTCAGCATTTGCTTGTCTGTAAAGTATTTTATTTCTCCTTCACTTATGAAGCTTAGTTTGGCTGGATATGAAATTCTGGGTTGAAAATTCTTTTCTTTAAGAATGTTGAATATTGGCCCCCACTCTCTTCTGGCTTGTAGAGTTTCTGCCGAGAGATCCGCTGTTAGTCTGATGGGCTTCCCTTTGTGGGTAACCCGACCTTTGTCTCTGACTGCCCTTAACATTTTTTGCTTCATTTCAACTTCGGTGAATCTGACAATTATGTGTCTTGGAGTTGCTCTTCTCGAGGAGTATCTTTGTGGTATTCTCTGTATTTCCTGAATCTGAATGTTGGCCTGCCTTGCTAGATTGGGGAAGTTCTCCTGCATAATATCCTGCAGAGCATTTTCCAACTTGGTTCCATTCTCCCCGTCACTTTCAGGTACACCAATCAGATGTAGATTTGGTCTTTTCACATAGTGCCATATTTCTTGGAGGCTTTGCTCGTTTCTTTTTATTCTTTTTTCTCTAAACTTCCCTTCTTGCTTCATTTCATTCATTTCATCTTCCATCACTGATACCCTTTCTTCCAGTTGATCTCGTCGGCTCCTGAGGCTTCTGCATTCTTCACGTAGTTCTTGAGCCTTGGCTTTCAGCTCCATCAGCTCCTTTAAGCACTTCTCTGTATTGGTTATTCTAGTTATACATTTGTCTAAATTTTTTTCCAAGTTTTCAACTTCTTTGCCTTTGGTTTGAATTTCCTCCTGTAGCTCGTAGTTTGATCGTCTGAAGCATTCTTCTCTCAACTCGTCAAAGTCATTCTCCATCCAGCTTTGTTCTATTGCTGGTGAGGAACTGCAATCCTTTGGAGGAGGAAAGGTGCTCTGCTTTTTAGAGTTTCCAGTTTTTCTTCTGTTTTTTCCCGATCTTTGTGGTTTTATCTACTTTTGGTCTTTGATGATGGTGATGTACAGATGGGTTTTTGGTGTGGATGTCCTTTCTGTTAGTTAGTTTTCCTTCTAACAGACAGGACCCTCAGCTGCAGGTCTGTTGGAGTTTGCTAGAGGTCCACTCCAGACCCTGTTTGCCTGGGTATCAGCAGCGGTGTCTGCAGAACAGTGGTTTTTCACGAACCGCGAATGCTGCTGTCTGATCGTTCCTCTGGAAGTTTTGTCTCAGAGGAGTACCCGGCCGTGTGAGGTGTCAGTCTGCCCCTACCGGGGGGTGCCTCCCACTTAGGCTGCTCAGGGGTCAGGGGTCAGGGACCCACTTGAGGAGGCAGTCTGCCCATTCTCAGATCTCCAGCTGCAGCACTGTACCTTTTTAAAGGCCCTGATCTTTGCTAATTATAGTTATTTGCCTTAATGACAACATAGTTGTATTAACCAGGGTATGATGATTACTGTGATAAATAGACCTCACATATATATTGGTAATAGAACCTCATTTCATGTTCATGTAATGGTAGTGGGAATGTGAACAAGTCAGCAGACAGCTCTCATCTACTCAGAGACCTAGGTTAATAGAAGTTCTACTACATATAGGCTTACAAGAAGGCCTTGTTTTTTTTTTTTCCTTTTAGATATTCCATAGGGGAAAGAAGGAGAGCTGAGAATGCACAGAAATTTTCATGTGCCAAGTTTGGAAGTGGTATGTAGAATTTCTCTTTATATTCGATTGGTTGGAATCCTATTGCATGTTCCTATCTAATTTCAAAAGAGTCTAGGTAAAGTAGTTGTTTAGCATGGGTTTCCTAGAAAATAGAATCTGAGGCAAGGACTAAGTGCTAATGCTTTGAGAGGTATACGTCCAGAGTGAGAGGAAGGCGAAGTGAGGCAGGTAAGGATGGTAAGCCATACAAGGTACCATATTGGTTGTTACTTCACAACAATCTGGAAGAAATAGCAGGTCATGCAGCAGGTCAACCACTCAGGCTGTATGGCAAAATCAGTAGTTAGAACATTCCATTGGAGTGAGGGAAGTAAGAAGAATTTATCTACCTGGCCCTCCCCCACTTCTTGATTCCTAATGATCGAAGTTTGTCCTACAGGGAGTTAACTCCTCAACACTACGTGTTTGTATCATCAAACATCTTTAGCAGCTTCTCAGAAATTTACACCAATACTGTCTGGTGTATTTCACCTGAATCTGAGTCAGATGGAAAATGGCAGAAGATAGAGACTCTGGAGTGTGGCTGGTTACCCTCAGACAGCAAAACTTCATGAGTCTACACTGCATATGATGGTCATGGTGGCAACTGTCTCAAAGACAACTGAAAACAATACAATCTGAAAATTTGGCAAAAAGCCTTACCTTATATAGTCCACCCCTTGCAACATTCGGATCCATCTGTGCCCTCCAATTATATATGTTTCTTAATCTAAAATATGGAGCAACTTTTTTTTGTTAGAACAAGAGATGTCACATTCTCTTGGAAAGTGGAGATACAAGTTCAATGGTACATGGTTTGAAATTCCTTCAAAACTCAGGTTGAAATGTAACTGTCATTATGGTGGTATTAAGAGGTGGGACCTTCAAGAGGTGATTAGGTTATGAGTGCTTCAACCTCATGAATGGGCTAATACTATTATTGGGGAGTGCCTTAGTTATCACAGGAGTTTAGTCTCTTTTTTCTGTCTTGTACTTGCACTTCCTCACCATGGGATGCCTTCTGCCATGTTACGATGCAGCAAAAAGACCTTTAGGTGCGGGCCCTCTGTCTTGGACTTCTCAACCTCCAGAACAGTGAGTCAAATAAACTTACGTTGTTTATAAATTATCCATTCTGTGGTATTCTGTTAGAGCAACAGCAAAACAGTCACAGAGTTACCTTCAAATTGCATTTTTCTTGAAGAGTGAAGGCAAGAGAATCAGTGAAAAACAACTAAGGTGTTGCTACAGGTGGTCTTGAGGCTATAACTGATATCACTTATTTCCTCCTCCATCCATTACAGGTTTCACTTACCCACTGTCAATACTTCCACCGATATGCTTGCTTTCGAGGGTAATCCAGAGCCTCATTCTGAGGATTCTAAGCCTTCTGTTTCCCTGCTGTTATTGGGTTGTGGTTCTTATAATTCGCCAGTGACAGTTATTATGAGTCTTGAAAATACTAAGAGATGCCTTAGTGAATCTCCTGCATTCATAGACATGTTTCTCCCTGCGCACATTGTGTAGATATACTTCTTTCTTCTCAGGATTTGTTATCTAACTTCTCAAGGTTGATTATCTCAGCCAGTACAGTAACTCCTTTCTTTCACTACTGCTGTCAGGCAGAGTTTAAATTAGCCATATGGTAGATACAGCTTCTAGTTCAGTGGAACCACCACTGTGTCCCTGGCAAAAGTGTTCCTTCTCTGAGAATCAGGACCTGCAACTCAGCAGAAACCTAGGGTTGTGGTACAGAAAGCGCAAATACTACAAGTGGGTTATTGAGTGTAATAATGAGAGGGGGCATTTCTATTTCTGCCTCTTTGTTCTTGGCTTTTGTATTCAATTATTGGAGACATAGTACCTTAGTCTAATGTCTTACTCTATCTAGGCTGCTATAAAAGAAGTACCCTAGACTAGGTGGCTTGTAAACAACAGATATGTATTTCTCGCAGTTCTGACGGCTAAGTCCAAGATCAAGGTGCTGATAGGTTTAGTGTCTGGTGAGGGCCTGCTTCCTTGTAGATGGGGCCTTATTTCTCTGTCTCAACATGGTAGAAGGGACAAGGGGTATCTCTCAGACCTCTTTTATAAGGACACTAATCCCATTCATGAGGACTCTACCCTCATGTCCTGATCACTTCTCAAAGGCCCCACCTCCTAATACCATCACCTTAGGGGTTAGGATTTCAACATATGAATTTTAGGGGGTGAGGGGACACAAACATTCAGACCATAGCAGTGCCATATGCCAAATATTAGTTTAGCACATATATACATACACGAAATCCTCGAAGTCGGTGTCTTAAATCTCAAGTGTGTTGTTTCTGAGCTGGCACCATAGCTTAGCCTTTAACACATCATTCCTTTGTTCTTTTAGGTTGGCTGCTTCTAAGTGACAAACTCATTTGTTAAAAAGGCATGGTCGATTTTAAAAATGTACTCCTTTAATCAACAATAAAATAACACAAACAGGGTGTGTCAATAATTTCATAAGCCTTGAGATTCATGTGGAGAGTCTGAATATGATATTCTTAGCAGATAAAAATATTTACATTTGAATAGAAATATAAGAAACCAACAAATTCAACTGCCCCATTTTACAAAAGAAAAATAGAGGCCCAGAGAGAAAGAGCGACTTGATAGCTAATTAATGACTGAATCTGTGCTAGATCCAGGCTTTCTTTCTAGATCCCTGAAAATATCATTATATCAAGCCACTTTTTAAACCAAAAACATGGGTTTATCTGTTGAAAATTGAGTAGATTTCTAGATGCAAATCAGATTAGTTTCAAGGTAGCAAATAGCTTTGTTCCCCCTTTGCCACTATACATAGTAGAATTATATTGTACGTTCTGTGAAGTGGTTGCAGTTTTTTGTGTAGAAGCAAGGGAAACATTCATCTTTGTGTAACAGTTGCCTTCTATTCCTTCAGGGCCTTGTTCAAGCCTCACCTCCTCCAGCAAGCCTTCCCTAAATTCTTTAGTTTATGGCAACCTTTTCTTACCTCTCACAGAAACTATTGGTCACCTTTTTATTACTTTCACCACAAAACAATTTTTACAAGTGAATGAAACAAATACATAAAACCCTGTCATTTCAACATATGAAACCAGTTTCATTTTTCAAAATTACATCTCACCTTTGTATGCATATATAATTTGTATAGCATTGGAGATTTTTGTAATCATGGCATAGATATATATTTGTAGTCATTTCCCCACTTGACATTAATGCGTGATCACCTTGTAAAGTTGCTACATAATTTTCATGATTTTATTTTTAATGGTGTTTCTCATCACCTCTTAGGTATTTCATACGCATTTTAAAATTAACATGTTTTAAAGTGAACTCAGCTTACCATTTAACACTACACAACTTTAGGTGGAAAAAGTCTTCAACCTGTCTTTCTTTCGTTTACTATCCCTATAAGTCTATAAGTCTAGTCCTTCTACTGCCTAAATATTTTTATAATTATAAACTCTTTTTTCCAACTTTGTCACTGGATCGGGCTTCCTGAGGCTCACTAGTCCAATTGCAATAGGCTAATTCTGGCTACTACTAGTAGGCAGTCTTTATGGTCGGTTTTTCGGATGGATGCCCAATAATTTGTTTTTAAATTAAAATTTGATCCTATTCTCTGCTTAAAAACTTTCAGTGGTTTTCCTTTGTCTGTGAAGAGGTTGTCAGTACTTAAAACTAGGGTTATTTTACACGAACATGTAGATTTCTGGTTTCTCAAGGAATTAAAAATCTGGCTGCAGTGTGCCTGCATTCCAGGATGGCAACAGAAGGGTAAAGATGAGTAGAGGCTGTTCCTGCAGAAAGGGCAAGTGCTGGCAATTTGGCAAAGAGCCCCCCAAATCTGTTCTGCATGGCACACAAGATTCTTATCAGAGACCTTGCTGAGTTCTTTAGCCTTATTCTCCTATTAATCAAGAGACAGAGAGTGGCTCTTCAAATGTGCCTTGGAATGCTCCTCTCTCTGTGCCTCATGACCTTCACGTCTAGTGGAATCTCTTTTTTTGTTTTCCTTGAAGACTTTACTGCAGTGTCACCTCCTTTATGAAGGCCTTCCTGACTTCCCAAGCCTTCCAGGTAGCAGAAGGATCTAGAAAACAATTCCACTTCTCACTCTATTCTACAACTAGTCTTTCCCTCCCCAGGCTAGGAGGGTAGGCCAAGAAACTTTTGCTTGCTGCTTTTCAGTGTTTCCCCTTCTTGCTTCATCAACTGCCCCTTTTTGTCAGGCTCCCTTCTCTGCTTTCCATCTTCCTAATCCTTCCTTTTCAGTTTAATTCAGCAAACTCATAAAGAGGGGCTGATAAAGGCACTGGATGCTGGAGGGGAATTAGTGAAGAGTGAAGGGCTCCTGTAGCAGGACAAGCCATAGACAAAACTCCTCAGACACCTAGTTAAAGAAGGAAGGGGTTTATTTGGCCGGGGGCATCAGCAAGACTCCTGTCTCAAGAGCCGAGCTCCCCAAGTGAGCAATTCCTGTCCCTTTTAAGGGCTCACAACTCTAAGGGGGTGGCCATGAGAGGGTCATGATTGATTGAGCAAGCAGGGGGTATGTGACTGGGGGCCGCATGCACTGGTAATTAGATAGATCGGAACAAAACAAGATAGGGATTTTCACAGTGCTTTTCTATACAATGTCTGTAATCTATAGATAACATAACCGGTTAGGTCAGGGGTCGATCTTTAACTACCAAGCCCAGGGTGTGGTGCCGGGCTGTCTGCCTGAGAATTTCACTTCTGCCTTTTAGTTTTTACTTTTTCTTTCTTTGGCGGCAGAAATTGGGCATAAGACAATATGAGGGGTGGTCGCCTCCCTTATTCCCCTCACTTTGAGACTCTCACTCAATAGTGGGAGTTCTCACTTTCATTTTTACTACCCATGTCTTCTTGCAAGACAGATCAATAGTGATTCACATAGTACACTTTTGCCAAAGCATTTTGGTGAACTAAGGTAGCGATGAAGCTTTTTACCATTTGAAGAAGTACAGATAGCAAACAATGGATCAGTAAGCAGGTTCCTATTACTATTATAACTCTTATTATAAGAGTTTTAAATCCTCCTAGCGCTGGGAACTATTTTCCAAACATGGCCTCAGGATCAAATCCATGCCACACTTGCACAGGCACATGTGCCAGTTTTGTCATATCTCTAACTGTGTCTTCAACTACTTGCCCTTGACTATCTATGTGTAGGCAGCAATTAGCAAGGTTAAATTTCCTACAGACCTCTCCTTCAGCTGCTAGCAAGTAGTCGAGAGCTGATCTATTTTGATAGATAGCATTCCTCATCTGAGTTTCTTGCCAGGCCAGAATAGTCAAGGCTCTGCTGGATTTATTAGGGATTATTTTTAAGACAACTTGTAACCGTATGATTTGGTTGATCATGTAATTGGGGGTCTGGTATCCCCATGAGCCATCTTGTGCCCAAGTAGCAGGCCCATAATATTGTATGATTCTCTCAGGGGGCCATTTATAATTTTTTCAATTTCCTATAGCTATGCTTCTCTTTTCGCAGGAAGCATAGACAGGGAAGCCCAGGAGTTCACCTGTTTTTATGGGCAGTAGGAAGAAAGATGGTTTAATAGTGCCAATAACACAACTACCTGCCCACTGGTCAGGTAATTTGGCATAAGCTCTATGCCCACATATCCAGTATAATCCAGTGGGGGCTGTCCAGTCCCGGTGGGACTTCAGTTGGGTCCACACGGTTTGCAACTTTGGGAATTTACTAAATGGATTTCTCTCGTGTGATTTGAACTCCACTAAAGTGACTGTCTTTGTGGTACCATTATACAGTTTCTGTCTCAGACAACTAAGTTGTCCTATGGGGTGAGTGAATTCTTTTCCTTCCCTAGCTATGCAATATTGTCCAATAATTGAGGCTTTTAGGACCCAGAAATTATCAGGGTGATTCTTTTGAGCTGGGAATTCATTAGGAACTGGGTCTGTAGTTACTAATTCTTGGGCTTCCCATGGCCACTGATCTCCTATTACAGTTCCTCCACATACATAACATGAAGTGACATTGAGAGACTGGGCTACATGCTTGGCTAACTGCAAATACAAATTTCTTGTTTTTCCTGGAATTTCCGGTACTGGCACATTTAGTTCATCATAGAAAGTTTGAAACACTGGCTCAGGAGAGCGTTTGTAAACTTCTTCTCGAACCAAGATATTTACTCGAGGATCCAGTCTGGCCCCATTGATTCCTAAGGTCACACGCTCCTCTTTTTTCCAGCGAGGATCAAGGGGATTGGTTAATTACTAGCTCTAAGGGATTACATTGTCCTTTAGTACAGGAGGGGCCATTTTTTCCTTTCTGAAGGTGGACTGGATCCTTTTCATTTTTTTTTTTTAATCCAAGTGGCCTAAACAACGCAAGACCAGTGTTTACATTTATTTCCACACAGTCTTAATTTATGACAGATATACTTATTTTCTGCCATATAGCCTCTTTTCTAATTAAGAGAACCACACCTTATTCCTAACTTATTACTGTTAATAACAGCACAGGCATCAACTTTTAAGGTGACTTGTTTGGGCACCCCTTTTTCTTCTGTTTTGGCTAACACTTTACTCATATCGTTTATGAGCCCCCACCAGTCCTCAGTCCTTAATCTTATTTTAAAAACTGTGGTCATGGGAGGCTCAGGTGGGTCATAACACACATCAGGCTGGTCATTTTCTGGGCTACATACCTTGTATAGAATAACATTATACCACCAAGTTCTTTTTAGAGTTCCAGTACACTTATAATAACCATAAAATAATAGGACCGTAGCAACCTTTTGTCCCACCTCAGTGACTTGATGTATACACTGGGAGCAGTCCTCAGTCTGAGGAAGGTCAGTTGAAGTCCTTACTGTAAACATCTACATTTTAAGGAAAATGAGTCCCTCGATGAGTTTTCTCATGCTTTGGCCGTGTGTTGACCAGTCTGCTTCCGGGTGTGACTGGAGCAGGGCTTGTCATCTTCTTCAGTCACTTTGCAGGGGTTGGCGAACCTGCTCCTGTCCACATACCGCTCACAGTCTACTGATGTTTAAGGATGGTCTCAGAGGTTGGGCCTGCTAGAATAAACTGAGTCCAACACCTCTACACAGTTATGTTCCACTGGGCTCTCTGATACCAGCAGCAAGGTGGTGGGGTTTAGGGTGTTGCAAACCTCATTGGTTATGTGGGGATTTTCACATAGCAAGCTTTGGTACTTGGTTAATCTAGCATTGGTTAACTAATGATGTCTTTTGGTAGTCATCAAAGTTACCACAGTATGGGGGACCTTTATATTCAGGTTTTGCCTAAGGGTTAGTTTATTTGCTTCTTATGCTAACAGGGCCATTGCTGCTAGGGCCCTTAGACCTGGGGGCCAGCCTTTGGAAACCCTGTCTAGTTGTTTTGAGAGATAGGCCATTGGCCTTGGCCAGGGCCCCACAGTCTGGGTTAAAACTCCAACTGTCATTTTTTCTCTTTCTGACACATAGAGTGTAAAGAGTTTTGTCAAGTCAGGTAGCCTCAGGGCTGGGGCCAACATGAGTTTTTCTTTTAACTCATGAAAAGCTCGTTGCTGTTGGTTGTAATAGATGTAGTTTATCTAATCTACATTTTTATTAACTGTCACCTACCAAAATATTGACTCAAATCCTGCAGCTATTTGATTTCAAGCTTTAAATTGATCTGGTATTCCTCATCGGACTCCAGTTGTGTCTAAATAGAGATGAGAGTCGAAAGACCCATAAGGGGCTTCTCTCGCTTTATGATGTCTTATTTTTTTCCCTTCTGGTTGATGAAATGCCAGGGTGAAAGGGATAGCCAATTGGACTAAAGTACAAGTGTCACTCCAGTTATTCGGCAGAGTGCCCAGTAAAGGTCCACCACAATACCACCGCACGTCTGCTCGAGGATGAACGAGGGCTGACCAATCAATAAGCTGTTGAAAATTTTTATGCTCACTGCATCCTTTCAGGTCTCCAAGGAATGCTAAGTTTCCTCCTTGTCATGAGAGACATGAAGTGAACTTAGTGTTGGGAGATGGAGGCTGGATGGCCCTTGGGGGTTGACCTGCAGGGTGCCGGACTTTGGGATATAGCAGAGAGAGCTTGGCATGACTTATTACTCCAGGTTGTAGAATCCTGGAAAAGAGCTCCCACGCAGCCCACACCTGGTCGACTGGAGGACCACCTTAGTAGAAAGGGGACAGTCTGGGCCTCTGGCCTGCCATGTGCACAAGCATAACAATTGCTTTTGTTTAACATGCAGATGGAATATTTGATCCATTTTAACCAGGCATTTGCATCTTGGTATCCTGTCTTAATTGCTAAAGTTTGTTTTAAGTATTTAACTTCTATGATCCTCTAGTAAAATGAATGTATGGTTTCAGGAAATTACAAAAACCGGTTGGGGCAGTCTATCCTTGCTCTGTAGTGGTCCACAGAACGTTGGACCAACTATAGCATGAAAGCTCTACATCGGGGGGCAAGACTCCTGGTTGGCTCTGGGGTCTTTATCGAAATCTCCCCGGATTAAATGGTCCTAATTTACTAACACCCAGTCTGAGGAGAGTCAGGAGGGACAGAAGTACTTTTCTGAAGTAGAAAGCTGTGTTTGACTTGGCAAGTCCCCACAGGGTATAACAAGGCAAGCATTAAGTGCAATAGTTTGAGGGGAAATTGACTTGGTTATGTTAATAACTAGATGGTCAGCAATAGAATGAGGAAAGAAGAAAGAGTAATAGAATAGATGAAAAGAGTTAAATTTTTCTTAGCTTTAGTTTGATAGGGTTTTCCCCTGGGACTATGGCCTACAACTCTGGAGGGGGTGGCGCTTTCTTGACTTGGGTGTGATGAGTCCATCCTTTTTTTTTTTTTTTTTTTTCTGTACAAACAGCAGTCTTGGTGATTAGCAGCACAAGGTAGGGTCCTTCCCAGGCTGGCAAGAGTTTTTCTTCTTTCCACCCTTTGGTGAGAATGTGATCTTCAGGCTGGTGCTGGTTTACCGGAAATTCTAGGGGTGGTACATGTGCTAAAAGACTTTTAGTTTTTGAGAGAAAGGAAAGTGGAAGATAAACCAAGTATATAATTTTGAAGAAATTTACCTTTTGTTTTAAATGTGGGGACCTTGGCAGTGGACTTTATAGTCCTTCGTGCCTTTTTACTGAGAAATTTCCTTTAGCACCTATTTTTATTAGTTTTTAAACCAAAGAAAGCTAAATACCATTTTACATTTAACAATGCTTCTCATATGATTTTTATACCAGATAAGCTAAATTTTATCTATATTAGTGTGTTATTAATGTTAAACCTAATTTTAATAAAACCTTGTAGACATATTTATCTAATTTTTAATGTTTGACCATAAGGTAAGATTTTATAGACTCTTTTCAACCTTTTGTAATTTTTGCTAAAGAGCAGGTTGGTGCTTTAAGAAAAACCTGTTATGTTTTTACTTTAATGTCCAGTTCACAGAAAAACTGGATGATACTTCTTTAACTTTAGCTAATATGTTACACACAGAATTTTCTTTACAATTAATATTTTAAAATTTGCTTAAACCTTCAAAACAATAATTTTTTTAAATTTTTTAATGTAGGTAAAAATGTACATTCTTATGCCTCCTTATAATCTTTTTACCAAAGGTATTTTTTACTTTTCTTATACACCTTGCACATAAACTGGTTTTTTTTTTTTTTTCAGTAGTTTTACATTCAGGAGGCCTAGTTACTTTTAAATTATACAACATTTTTTGCATAAATTCTTTTTTATAACATTTTTCTCTTTCATGACTTTCACAGACAATTCTTCGACATACCTCAACTTTCTGACTTACTACAAATGTTTCTTACTTTAACCAACCAGTTAATTTATTTCAGGACAAGAATTTACCATATAATACTCCTTTTATATAAATTCTGCCTCTCCTTTTTTTTCCTTAGGATACTTCTGAACTGGTGAGGTCTGCTCACATTGAGGTTTCCTCTAAAAGTTATTTTTGTTGTTGTTAGCAAAGCAGTTGCTGCTACAGATTGAATGCATTTGGGCCATCTGCAGGTTACTGGGTTAAGGATTTTTGATAGGAAGGCCTCAGTGCTTTCGGGATAAGCCCTTGTTTACACTGACAACAAAGTGGTATTGGAATGTTACAGGGTTACGGAGAATACCTTCAATTATCAATTATAGGTTTTAAATTTACCTTAAATTCCTTTAAATTTCTTTAAAACCTATAGGTTTTAAAGGAATAGGGTATACTTTTTTTTCTTAACTGCTTGTATATCTCTCTCTTTGTCTCTTTGACTTTGTCTCTCTCTCTTTGACTTTCCTTTTGCCTCTGTCTCTTCCTCTCTCTCTCTGCCTCTCTCTTTCTTTCTCTCTCTCTGCTAATCTTTCCTTGCCTCTGCCAGCTGCTTATGCTGCTGTTCTCTCAACCACTGTGTGTTGGGGGCGGGGGGTCTAAAACCAGCTGTAACCAAGTGTCTATATATGGGAATTGGTCTGGGTTCCCTGGCTTACAGGTTACCTTGTGCTATACTTTTGAAACAAGGGACCTGTCCAGGCTTCCTTCTAATGACCAACCTACCTCTAATGCTGGCCAGTCTTACACGAAGTTTTAAGTTTTCCTGATGTCATAGTACTCCATAGTCTCTCTTAAATTCTGTTTTGAAAATTTTCAACATAGTTCCTAGTAGGGTGGGCTTATTTGTGCCTGACCTATGCTTCTTCCAGACAAAACACCATGCTCACACTGCACGCACACCACAAAACAAAGAACGGGTGAAAAGGGCACACACACACTTTTGCAGTTTGCACCAAACCGAAATCAAAACCCAAATCAGAGTATCCAGAAATCCAAGCCAGGTCAAAACCAAAACCAAAGTATCAAGCAATCCAAGTCAAGTCAAAAATAAAAACCAAAGTGCCAGTACAGGCATGCCGTGGGTGATGAGGCCACGCTTCCACTCAAATGGAGTAGGCAAGTTCCCAAGACCGGTCCTGTCAAGCAGTTCAAACCAAGTCAAAACCAAAACCAAAACTGAAGTGCTGATAAAGGCATGCCATGGGTGATCAGGTCACGCTTCCACTCAAACGGAGTGGGCAAGTTTCAAAGACTAGTCTTACCAAGTTTTAGATGTCCAGACTCCAAGTGCCTGTTCCTTCCCGGTGTTCAGCCACTGCGTTGATCCTCCACGGGGGCCTGCCACACACTGCTCTGGCGAGGCATCCCACCGGGGCAAGTGCCTACCCGGGGGCGCTCTCAGGATCCGCGTCACTCGGGCTGTTGGGAGTTCCCTGCAGGGATGTTCCACAGGGCAGGCTTAAGCCGCCTAAGGAGCTGCCTCGACCATCTGCCAATCACCTCGCTTCCCTGTCAGGGAACCAAGAAATGTAGCAGGATGAGCTGCAGACAAAACTCCTCAGACACCGAGTTGAAGGAAGGGGTTTATTCGGCTGGGGGCATCAGCAAGACTCCTGTCTCAAGAGCCGAGCTCCCCAAGTGAGCAATTCCTGTCCCTTTTAAGGGCTCACAACTCTAAGGGGGTGTGCGTGAGAGGGTCGTGATCGATTGAGCAAGCGGGGGTATGTGACTGGGGGCTGCATGCACTGATAATTAGATAGATCGTAACAAAACAGGATAGGGATTTTCACAGTGCTTTTCTATACAATGTCTGTACTTTATAGATAACATAACCAATTAGATCAGGGGTCGGTCTTTAACTACCAGGCCTAAGGTGTGGCGCTGGGCTGTCTGCTTGTGGATTTCATTTCTGCCTTTTAGTTTTTACTTTTTCTTTCTTTGGAGGCAGAAATTGGGCATAAGACAATATGAAGGGTGGTCTCCTCCCTTACTCCTTGTGTGGCTGGGTTTAAATCCTGGTGGGACAAATGAATGTCTGGTAATGACAGCATGACCAGGTGCTGTACATGAGATATATAGACAATGTGCTCTAAAAGGCTAGAAGAAGGAATTCTTTCTAGTCATCTTTGGCAAAGGGAAGGAGGAGGTGATTGCTTACATTTAAAAGGATTTCTTAGGAGGATAATGGAACCAGGTGTTCCTCATGACTTCATTTTATGCATTCTTTTCATCTCTACATAGCCTTCTTATCCACTCCAATATTTCATTTTAGAGTGTGGGAGTCAGGTGTTCTCTGGGTTTGAATTTTACTTCATTATTTTATATCCTTGTGAAATTAACAGGCTACTTAACCTCTCCATGTCTCAGTTTCTTCCTCTTCAAAATGAGAGAAATAATAGTACCTACTTCATAGAACTGTTGAGAAATTTAAATGAGATATTCATATAAAGCGTTCAGAATATTGCCTTTCAAAGAATAAGTATGCAATGAAATTGAGGTATTATTAGCATTATTGTTTGGTAACTTCCCAATTTCTTATAATAATAGACTTGGAAGTCACCAGAACATAATGTGGGAGCACATGTTCTAATGTTCTAGTGACTTCCAAATCTATGATTGTAACAATTTCAGCTGATATTATTAAGAGAAAGTCTTGTGCAGTGGTTAAGTATGCAGACTCGAGCCAGACTGCATGGGTTCAAATCTGTTACTTCCTGCCTTTGCAAGCTGCTTACCTTTTCTGCATTTGTTCCCTCATCTGGAAAATGGAAACAATAATAGTATCTATGATATAGGGTTGTTATAAAGTGGGTAAATATATATAAAGTGTTCAGAGGAGTGTCTGGCACATAGGAGGTGCTACTTTTTTTTTTTAGTTACTTATTTTTATTGAGATAGGCTAAGAGCTTCATATGTGTTATCTTAGGAATCCTGAGCTATCTTTACACTATAGAAGTATAATAGTAATCCTTACTGTACAGATTAAGAGACTGAGGCATGGAGAGTTTAAGTAGTTGCTAAAAGCACATACCTAGGAAGTGGGAGAACTAGGACTCGGAGCCAGATATTTGTGAATATCTCTTGCTTCCACTTTCCTGACTGCCAAACACACACATCCAACTGTCCAGAGAGCACCTCCTACAGGTTCTTTCATGGATACTTTATATTCAACATTTCCAAAACTGATATCATCGTATCCCCTTCTGAATCTGCTCCCTCCCAGGGCTCACTATCTTTGTAAATGGGGTGCTACACGCTGTAGCTGCCCAAGCTAGAGAACTTGGGGTTGTGCTCGATTATTCCTCTTCATCCTCACCTACTCAATCTACCACAATACCTGTTCCTTCTAACTCCTAAGGGTCTCATATCTGTCCATTTCACTACACTTTCACTGCTACCACCCTAGTCCAAGTCACCATCATTTAGAGTAACTCAATTATCCTCCAAGTGAGTTATATAATTGCTTAATGAGGCACAGAATATTATTTGCACCTGGATTCCTTTCAAAGCACGCTCTATCTTAATTGGAAGAATGATTGAAATAGAGAACCCTCCCTCCAACACAGACCCAACACTGAAGTTGTATAACCGTTGGGAATACTAGGTAATATTGAGACTTCAGGGTGGAGGGAAAGGTTTTTGTTTTCGTTTTATGAGTATAGGGGAAAGAATTCTGTGATTAAATACCCAGTGAGGAAGAGGAGGTTAAATACCCACTTGGATAGGAGGAAAGAGAAGGGAAGAGGAGCAAGGGCAAAGAGCCAGAAAATGGTAAGAAGATGGGGGCCAGTAAAAATTCAAGGGATGGAGAGCCAACAAATATTTTTAAGAATGCTTCAGCTTAATTGTTACTATTATTTGCATTGCTATGAAATAATCATTCTTCTCCCTTATACAAATTTTCAAAATATTTTAGCAACTTTTCGAGACTACACCTGTTTTGTGGAAACTAAAGAGTGCTATGTTTGTGTGTGGGTTAGTGCAGTATGTCACAGAGGAATCATGAGCCCAGATGGCAAAGGAGGCTATGAGAAACAGGCCTGCGGGAATTTGCAGAAATTTTGGCGTAAAACCTTGGCCTTTTACTAGGCCATGGAATTGTTGCGGGCTCAAGGCAATTATTCCTACATCTCTGAAGAGACAAGGGGCCCCAAGCTGACATCTAATTTACATTTGATGATACCCCAAAGTCAATACTTTGTGTATGATGAAATGATATCCAAAAGGGGCATGTAAGTTCAGTTTCTTTTCTTTGTGAAGACATAGCCGAACAATTAGTTGTATTAATTTCAGGATTAATGACCTTTGAATAAATTAGAAACTGATTTGAAAATGGCATTCCAATGAACTAGATTTTATTCAGAGGTCTACCTCTAACTGGGTTCTAAGAGACTTGCCAATGGAAAATATTTAACTTTTCTTTGACCTCATGTTCCTCACCAGTAGAATGAGGGATTTAGATCAATCATTGTTTCCTAAACTTTGATCCATCTAACAGTAGTTGTGGGAATTTTGATTTTTCTATCCACTTGTAAAGGATGTTCATAGACAGGATGGCTATATGTTCAGGTTCATCTGGTATAGTCCCAGTTTATGTTTGTTTTTGGTATAGTTATTAACAGTGTCTCATTTTACTGTTGAAAATATCCAGATCTGGATAATAACATTTATAGTTACCTTATTAATAGGAGTTCCTTCCTTGAATAGAAAATTTTAGGTTAAATAATTTTAAACAGGTTTCTTGACTGCTAAACTTTGCAAATCCTTTATTATGCTAATGTGCCGTATGATTCTCCAAAAGAGGGGGTACGCTTTCTAGCATTTTGGCTTTGGAATTCTTATTTTGCTTCTTAGGGGAATTAGTTAATGGAACTTTTGGCTTTGGAATTCTTTTTTGCTTCTTAGGGGAATTAGTTAATGGAACTTCTTTCAGAAAGAGTACGAAATCATCTGAATTCAGCAAATACTTATGAAAGTACTATGTGCCAAGCCCTGAAAGAGGCAATGAAAAGATACAGTGGCAATCCAATCTGCCACAAAATCACTTATAATCTGATCCATAAGTGAGGTGAATGGCAGTGGGGATTGACAGTACATAAAGAGTTGCAACTCAAGGTCACATTCTAGCTTTCATATTGTGCTATGATACTATGTAATTAGAGTCCAAGATAAGGCACAGTAAGTCCAAAGCCCAAATGAGTAGTATAATTTGTTAGCACTAGGTCAAGCAAAGTTTTCTTAGACTCAATACTGAATGAAAATGCTTGATAAATCTTCCAGAATATTCATACAATGGCCCACAGAACCAATATTTTCATGACTATGCAAGACCATCTTATTTTAAAATTTAGTCTTAACAGTTCCCAAGAGGAGATGACTGGTAATGTTATTTCTAAAAAGATATTAAAAATATTACTTTGCTATAGGTGGAGATTGTGATTAGAAATTTACTCAAAGATTCTTTTTCTTTTTGAGATGGAGTCTCACTCTGTCACCCAGGCTAGAGTGCAGTGGAGTGATCTCAGCTCACTGCAACCTCTGCCTCCTGGGTTCAAGCAATTCTCTTGCCTCAGCCTCCTGAGTAGCTGGGATTACAGGCGCGCCATCATGCCCGGCTAATTTTTGTGTTTTTAGTAGAGATGGGGTTTCACCATGTTGGCCAGGATGGTCTTGAACTCCTGACCTTGTGATCCACCCACCTTGGCCTCCCAAAGTGCTGCGATTACAGGTGTGAGCCACCGCACCTGGCTGGATTAATTTTCTAGTAGAATTGTTTTGGTTAACAATGATAGCACTTAATGATACATAATTTTTTTTACATATTAGTTTATTTCTTATAACAACCAGATTGTATTAATATTTCCCCATTTACAAAAGAAGAAACTGAAACCTAGAGATGCTGAGTAATTTATCAAAGTTTTAATTGCTGATTAATCTCAGAACTAAGTTTTAAACTCAGTTTTTCTTCAGAGCGTTCATCCTTCTTTGCCACTAAACACAAATGTCATCAGACATATGAGAGGGCTGATTGTGAACATATCTTCCCCCCTCACAGCTTAGTGATCTCACATTAATACCCCGAAATCAGTCATGGGTACTTACACCATGGAAATTAGTAGAGTCTACAAATTAGAGCTCCTGTCACCACCCCCCAGGGCTGATTGTGAAACAGTTACCAGCACATCACTGGCTGTATACACATTTGGAAAGCTGTTTGACTGAGTATTGGAGGTATTCACTTGGGGAATTGTTGGTACTGTTTATGTGTTTTATTAATATCTTTATCAGATGAAGATCCCTTTTGGCTTGAATTGGAAGAGGAGATACAAATGAGAATTCTCATGATTATTAAATTATTGGATCTGGGAGTTTTTCAGAAAATTTAGTACTTCAGGCATTTTTTAAAAGAACCTTTGGGTAGGGTTATTTTCTAACCACAATTCTGCTCATGCTTCTTAATTTCCAAAACCCATTATTTGCATGTTTGTGATGACAATTATTACACTTTGAATTCATGTTCTAGTTATTTATGTATGCATATTTCCTTCCTGTTAGACTACAAGATCCATGATAGAATCCGTGCTATTCAGTACTACAACCCCAGAGAGTGTCTGGCACAGTGCTTTTTCAGTGATTGAGTTCAATGTTGATTAAATGAATAACTTTTTTTTTTCTGTTTCAGACACTATGTGATGATTTAGATAGAATAGTGAAGAAAATAATTTAATAAAACACATAATATTCTGAATCATAAAGATTTTCTTAGAACAGACCATCCAGTGTATCAATCTACTGAAATCATGGATCCATTTATGATGTTAACTATTCTACACTTGAAGATGTAATTTAGAACAGACCATCCAGTGTATCAATCTACTGAAATCATGGATCCATTTATGATGTTAACTATTCTACACTTGAAGATGTAATTTATTTATTTTTTCTTGCTATAAGTACACCTGAAAGACTGACTTCTTGAGGGAGAGGGTACTTTTAAAACCTGTACTAAAGTTAAGTACCTATTAGTTTGTATTTGTACTGTTAGCTGGAGACATATCTTTTTGGCTGTTTTCTACTATTAACATGGACTTTATTAGCATTTAGTAAACCATTGTTTTTTTTCCCCAAATAGCCCTTTTAGTTTCAGGTTACAGATTCTATTTTGTCAGTTTTTTATGTTTTGATGATTTAGAGTTATTCAATTATTTTACATTAAAATTATTTTATTAAAATTTTTTTCCTTAAATACATTAGGGATATTGTTTATAATAGATATGCTTTAGAATTGGTGAAGGGACAGATTTAATCTTTTCCCCTTGCCAATAACCCATCTGCTTGCTACTCAGCTGTAGACCAACCATCATCAGTGTAACCTGAGAATTTGATAGAAATGTAGTGTCTTGGGCCCCAGCCCAGACCTACTGCATCAGAATCTGCATTTAAAAAAATATCCCCAGAAGATTTGTATGCACATTAATGTTTGAGACAAGCCAATCAATTGAGTCTTTTTCTGAAATTCACCCTGCTGCAAAAGCAGCTGACTGTAATGTATTCTTCAATGCAGACCACAATTTGAAATTCTGATTTATTTGATGGCTTAATGTTTATTGACTGCACCTGGTGTGCTAGGTACTGCAAGGAAAATACAAACCAACCAGTCATTGTTCTGCACTTACTTTACTCTAAAATAAGAAGATACAGACAATTTGCTATTTTTTCATTCCTTTGTACTTTAAAAACATATGCAGATACATTGAAAGAAGAGAAGAGTTGAGTAGGAGAGACGGTCTGGTTAAAATCCCACTCAAGAAGGATGTAGCTCATTGTTAAAATAAGCGTAGATGAGGGATGTTTCACATACAGATAGAAATGGAATGAATTTTGCCAATTGTCTAGTTGTTTGGTCTCGGGAAAGCACATCTGTATGGCTGAATTTTGTGTAGACAAAATATCTGGACAATTGCTTGCATTTTCCACTTCCCCTCCAGATGTTTAGCATTGTGTTGATGTAGCTCAAGCTCATTGCTCTCAGACATTCATGAATTTTTAGTAGAAAAAGTTCAAAAGCATTGATTTCATGTGGACATTCCATTCCTCACGAAAATTATAGTGTTTAAAACTAATATTTGGTCAAGTTTTTCCACCTTGAGTTAAATTACCATTTATATAGTGAATTTAGAAGACATTCTTAGTCACTGTCATTAGGATGTGATGAAATAAAAAGGATTTTGAAAGTGTTCAGAATATGCCACCCCCAAATATGCCCCCAAATATGCCATTTTGGCATAAGGATTATTTTAGACTGAAGTCAATTGAGAATCAACAAATGCAGGAAGAGGTCTCTGTTCCCCTTCCTTAGCTACGACCCAAAAGGCACAAGTTTCCCTTTGTGAAGGTGCTCCCTACCTCCTAAACCAGGAAGAAAGGAGCAACTGTTATTACCGGAGACAGAGTTTGCATGGAGATGAGTCTGCACTAAGAAACCTTACTAAAATAACCCCTATCTTCCATTAGTTTCTCCTATATATTTTCCGGTTACTTTCTCTCAACTTGTTCCTTGAAGCCCAAGCCTCTTTCCATTGTTGAAATGGCATGTAAGTCCCCAAGTCTAACTGCTTCTTTGAGTTTCACTTCTTGTCTACGAACTCCCATGCTTGTAAAATGGTAATAAATCTATACAGTTTTCTCCTGTGAATCAGTCTTTTGTCAGTTAAATTTGCAGAGTCTCGGATATTGAAACTGAGGGTAGAGGAAAACTTTTTCTTCTTCCACAGTTTGTACTCTGCTAGTACTTCCTTTAAAAAAATTTAATAACTCATTTGAAAAGAGGAAAGGAAGAAATAGAGAAGGAAGGAAGGAAAGATAAAAAGAGAGATATGAAGCATGTTGAAAGTCTAAAGCATCAATAGAGATGGAATGAGAGTTTTTTGGAATTAGCTGTTTATTCATCTGTTTCATCTAATCGTTACTCAAACTGTCAATGACTACAGGCCTACTATATGCAGAGATTATTATTGTCACACTCAAAGCCTGCAGTGAGGTCAGCTGTTGGATCAATAACAACTCTCCTCCCTCAGATAACGAATCTAAATGAGAATTGCCACTGTTAATCAGGTATCTTGAAATCCTTGAACCAGGGCACAGTGATAAATGATTGCTGACTATTGTTCTCCTTTTAACCTCAGTGGACTTTGCTCACCCATATTTTTAATTAACTAATTTAGTTCAGGACATTTAAAATGCTCAAATCCTTTCAAAATTCTCCTGAGGGAAGTTATTCCTGGAGTAGACATCAGGACAAATGCCCTTCCTTTCTTTGTAGAGATATATTTAGCACATTTTTATTTTTTCTCAGAGGAACACATTTCCAAGGAAGACTTTGGTTTCACATTTCACTTAGCACTTAGTTCTTTACCTCACAGAATGACAACATTTTAAAATTCAGCAAAAATATACAATGTGCTTTATGGAGTATTAAACAAAAGTCAAAGCTTTGGAAAATTACAACCTTCAGTGCAAAAGGATATATCTTCTGCTTTTTTGAAAGTCAATTAGTAACGAAAAATCTTTTAGAAAAAATGCTGAGTTAAACTGAGATTATGAACAAGTCTTAAAAGTCTTAACAATTAAAAGATATTCTGAATGTTAAGAAGACTAAGATTTTAGCAGTTACTATTTTATTTTATTTTATTTTATTATTTTTTGAGATAGAGTCTCACTCTGTCACCCAGGCTAGAGTGCAATGGTGCGATCTCAGCTCACTGTAACCTCTGCCTCCCAGGTTCAAGTGATTTTCCTGCCTCAGCCTCCTGAGTAGTTGGGATTACAGGTGCCCACCACCACGCCTGGCTAATTTTTTTCTGTTTTTAGTGGAGATGGGGTTTCTGGTCTCAAACCTCTGATCTCGTGATCCGCCTGCCTCGGCCTCCTAAAGTGCTGGGATTACAGGCGTGAGCTACCATGCCCGGCCAGCAGTTATGAAAATTATTTATTTTTACATTTTTTTGTGTGTTCCTTGTCCTTTAACAAGTATTAAACAAAAAATTTAAAACAAGTTAGCATCTTCTCTACAACATTGAGAACATCTCATGATCTTATTGCTGTCAAGTAATTTTGTAAGGCTAGGATTGATTTTATAGTTAACAGAGGTAAAGGGCATTCATCTGCATTTTCACTTTCTAATGCATCTCTCTCATATTTAGAGAATGAGACTGTGACCAAGACAACTGAAAACAGTTGATTATTTTGTCTTCTTTTTTTTTTTTTTTTTTTTGAGACAGAGTCTTGCTCTGTCGCCCAGGCTGGAGTGCAGTGGTGCAATCTCGGCTCACTGCAAGATCCGCCTCCTGGATTCACACCATTCTCCTGCCTCAGCCTCCCGAGTAGCTGGGACTACAGGTGCCCACCACCACGCCCGGCTAATTTTTTATATTTTTTTAGTAGAGACGGGGTTTCACCGTGTTAGCCAGGGTGGTCTCGATATCCTGACCTCATGATCCGCCCGCCTCAGCCTCCCAAAATGTTGGGATTACGGGCGTGAGCCACTGCGCCCGGCCTATTTTGTCTTCTTAACTTGATTGGTAAATTAGCAAATGTAGTTAAAACACTATGTGGAATGTGGGGGGAAAAAAAGAACAGTCACAGCCTCTCACTGAAAACTTCTGGGTATCGATTCCCGCCTTCCATCTCTAGAAACCTTCCTGTTCATATGAGGTCTGAAAAAACATTTTCATCCCTTTTGGTTAACTAAAAGTAGGATATTTTTGTTGTTACCATTTATAGCATGTATGAACTGCCATTTCTAAAAAAAAAAAAAGCACTCCAAAGTGTAGTATAAAATAACAACTGTGGAATTCAGACAGAATTCTACAGAAAAGGTTTATCTCTACTGCATGAAGTCTGGGGCTTCAACTGGGGAGACTCAAAGGGCTGGTCTGTGGCTCAAATGAATGGGGGCTTGAATTATTTGGCAACCTCTTTGCTCACATGTCTGGCATGTCGGCCAGGATGGTGCAAAGGCTGGGCTCAGCTGGAGCTGCTGATAAGAATGCATACACATTGCTTTTCCATGTGGACTGGGCTTCTCATTCTCATAGTGTAATGGCTGGGTTCTGAAAGGAAGAAGCCCAAGACAGGGCACCAGGAGAGTGAGAGCTCTTAGAGAGACAGGTGAAGCTGCATGAGTTTTTGTGACCCAGCCTTGGAAATCACAGAATGTTACTTCTATTCTATTCCATTGATTAAAACAAGTATAGGCCTGCCCACATTCAAGGGAAGATGATACAGGTATTAAAGCAAACTAAATATGTCCTGAGAAGGACTCCGTACTTCTGTATTTGAGTCCTTGTGGATGAATTGTAACCTAGCTTAATAGTCAGACAAAATTGAAAACCTATCTTAACAGTATGCACCTGTAACAATGGCTGAGTGTTGGCCAATCCCAGCGGCCATACTTCAACCACTCATGGACTGTTGAATGTTCAAACTGCATTCAAATATGGTTACACCTCAGGTTTCCTATCTCACTGTTTCTGTACCTCATTTCTGATTCCTGTACGTCACTTTACCTTTTTTGTCTATGAATTTGTTCTTACCACGAGGTACTCCTGCAGTCTCTGTGAATCAGCTGTCATTCTGGGGACTGCCTGATTCGAGAATCGTTTGTTGCTCAATTAAACTCCTTTAAATTTAATGCAGCTGACGTTTTTCTTGTATCAGATGGTGTCAGAAGCAGGATCCCAAGCAGAGCTTCTAGTGACCTCCAGGAGCGCTGAGTGAACACTCGAGGTACCAGCACTCGAGGACCCACTTGTGTCCATGGATCTCTCAGAGCGGCTCCGGATGGTGGGTAAGCTCACTCTCAGATTTTGGAGCTCCATGGATTTGCGTTTTGAGCTCTCTGAGTTTCTTTGAGCAAATTTCTAATCCAAACTGGGTTTGGAGTCACGAAACAAACTGGACTGGGTCCAGGAACAGATTTGATCTGGGAATTAACTGGTTTGGATCCAGGTAGAGGCCTCTTACATCTGACTGGGTCAGAAAGGAACTAGTAGTAAGCAGTAATATTGCACTGGTTATAATTTTGGCTTTTGAAAATTCACAGGGATTTTTGTGTTCTACTGCTTTGTTTCATTTTTCTTGTGTGCTTAGGTAGAAACAAAATTATTGGCTAAGTTAATCAAGAGAACCTGAGAGTAAAGCCAATATTTTAGGTAAGAATGGGATCCTTAATTTCTGGAAAACTGAGTTCCTTTTGGTTCATACATTAGGCCTTGGAGGCAGCGAAGTCTTATAGAAATGGCAAAACCTTACTAAAGATTTAACTTACAGTGGCACGTTCTGAATGAACAGCAATGCATTGAAGTACATTTAAAAAGGAGGGTTCTTGGTAAAGTCCCTTTTGGCTAAGAACAGGTTTGGCACTACAGGATGTTAACTGCTATTCCTTTTGGAATAATCTGCCTTGCACTCTTTGCTGATGGCTGTGGGTGACATGATTCGGCATGTACAGGATTGTGGGACATGGGGAGCTTTTTCCTCCCCAAAAGGGGAATCTTGAGAGCTGATGGGATGGCTGGAAAAGATCCCTTTGCTACTGAGAAGCAGCCACCTCAACTTTTCAGTGTTGCTGCAATGGGTGGGTCTCTCTCTGGCCTCCCTGACCACTTCACCTTCCCCACCCTGCCGCAGACAGTGCTTTTCTCTCTCTCCTTTCCCTTTCCTATCTTTTCTGTTACTCAGGGCAACCATCTTGCCCAGAGACCACATGTTGAAACTCCTGGTCAGAGGTTGGATTAATGATGACGGGGCCCAACCAGGGGCAAATATAAGCACTGCCAGTTTGATATTGGGTGCTAAGCAGAGTGGCTAATGTTTATGTTTTATTGCACATATTTTACTCTGGCCAGAACAAAAAGAGATAATTTTCCTTTATGATGTGGCTTGGCCCCAGCACGATGGTGCGGCAAGCTAGGTCACTAGGGCTGCTCAGGGAAAGGGAAGCCAGAAGCCTGGGATGCTGGCAAAAGGGTAATTTTTTACCAGTCATATTTCTGGCATCTCTCTCTTTGGGCAAATGGTTGAATGAATGGTAAAAATCACTGTTTATCTCTTCTGTAAAATTTTGATTAATGCAAAAAAGAATTCTGAAGCTAGCCTTAAACTGTTGTATTTGTGCTATGAATTCATTTTTCTGGGTCGAGGGGTAACTTAGGGTAAAACATGGGCTTAGGACCCCATAAGCTCTCTGCTCAAGATGACCCAGCAAGCTGGTCAATAACAAACTTTCCTGTAGGTCCCTGAAACAAACAAAAAAACTGGGTGGAGTCTCCATCTTGTTTTATGTCCTTGGGAACTTGACCTTGTAACCACATGGCAGTATGTTCTCTTGGTCTCCGACTTCCAGGGAACAGGAATTTTAGGGTTTATGTCATAGTTAGCTCTAAAAATTATCTTGAATAGTTAAAAGGCTTTGCAAGCTCAAAATGAACTACTCTAGACTCCTTCTGGGAAGGACAGTAGAGACTGCACTGTGCTGTTACTCAGTAGCTACGATTTTGGCCTTTCACACTGGCTGTCTGGGTTTGAGTCCCTGCTTAGGAAGTAAGTCCTTTTGGTTTAATATCTGCATAATCTTGTGTAGTCTCTTCTCCTCCATGGATTATCTTAAATTTTCCTTTCTCTTAGCACCTGGGAGGTTACCTTTGGTAAAGTTAAAAAGCCAGAAATATCGGCTGGTTGGCCTGGCTACAATCAGGTTAATAAGAAAATTTTAAAAGGACTTTATTAAAGAGTGCTGTGGTTAAAAATCCGTGTAATTAAAAGTGGATGTTCAAGCTTTAACAGCCTGGACTCCTTGGGAATAACGGAGGCACCAGAAACCCCTTTTCTGGCTCTGTTCTTCCAAGGTCTCCACCCTAAAGCCAATAACCAATTAAGTAACTTAAAAACTGGCAAATGAAAAATCTTATGACTACTGTAGTAATCTTCTGTCTGCCTATGTAATTGTATATGTGTTGTGTGTAATGTTTATATAAAAGAGCTCTAACTAATTGGCTTAAACAAAAATAAGCATTTAAATCAAATATTTTGAAAGCAAAATAAAAACTGTAATGCCTTTTAGTTCATGTAAATTTAGTAATCTTTGGGAAATAAAAATAGCTTTAAAGATTATTGATAGGTTGGGCACGGTGGCTCATGCCTCTAATCCCAGCACTTTGGGAGGCTGAGACAGGCGGTCATGAGGTCAGGTGATTGAGACCATCCTGGCCAACATGGTGAAACCCTGTCTCTACTAAAAATACAAAAAAATTAGCTGGGCGTGGTGGTGGGCACCTATAGTCCCAGCTACACGGGAGACTGAGGCAGGAGAATGGCATGAACCCAGGAGGCAGAGCTTGCAGTGAGCCAAGATTGCACCACTGCACTCCAGCCTGGGTGACAGAGTGAGACTCCATCTCAAAAAAAAAAAAGAAAGAAAGAAAGAAAGAAAAAGATTATTGATAAAATAAAGACATTTTGTCTAAATTATGCAGGTTAGATACTAGGTTTGCTAAATGCTTTAAGGTCATAAACTACTTTGACTTTTGAAAATCATTCAATTTGTTTTGGAGACATTAAATTCTAAATAAGGCCTGGGGATATATGGAGTTAGCCGTGCCTCCTAGCTATGCAAACAAGGTAACAAAGAAAAAGTATTTTACATAAAAAAGGATGCTGTATGGTAAATTCTTGTTCTAAAATAAAATGACTGGTTGTTTTGAAAGAGGGATGTTTACAAAAAATTAGCTGGGTGTGGTGGCACGTGCCTTTAATCCCAGCTACTTGGGAGGCTGAGGCAGGAGAATCGTTTGAACTTGGGAGGCAGAGGCTGCGGTGAGCCGAGATTGTGCCACTGCACTCCAGCCTGGGTGACAGACTGAGACTCCGTCTCAAAAAAAAAAAATAAATAAAAAATAAAAAGAGGGATGTTTAGGGCAAGTCAGAAAGTCTAAACATGTTATACATGGTCTGTGTAAGTTGTGAAATAATTTATGAAAAGAAATTTATGCCAGAAATATTGTATAATTTAAAAGTGATTAGGTCTCCTAAATGCTTCATAAAATGCCACTATGACTCTTAACTGTACAGCTTGTCTGTTTTACAGCTAGGCAAGGCCTGGGAGATGTGGAGTTAGACACTGGAAAGACACCTTATTTGCTTTTCTGTCTAGGCCTTAGGCTCCACACCTAGTACATAATTAAAATCCCTTATTTACCAAGGTTTCACCAAAAATAAAAGTCACTAAGAGTTAACATTGTAATATGTAATTGAGACTACTGGAAAAAATAGGTTTACATGCAAGGTGTGTAAGGAGAATGAAATGTGTTTTTTGTAAGAGATTATATGAAAGTATGGGAATGTAAATTTTTGCCTAGGTTAGAGGGTTAAAGGATTGTTTTAAATCAAATAAAGTTTGAACAGTTTGTAGAAGGTTTATAAAAATTAATTATGAGATATTCTATGTGTGAACATATTGGCTAAAGTTAAAATGGCATTATTCAGGTTTTTTTCCCATAAATTGGATATTGGAATAGAAGCACAACAGAGTTTTCTTAGAACATTGTTCTGCTCTGAGAAAAAAATTGTAAAGGGTTATGAAAGGTTTATAAAAATCTGACCTTATGGTCAAACTAATTAAAACTGAATAGATTTATAAAATGTTATTTAAAAAACTAGCTTTAACATTAAAAACACACTGATGGAAACATAAAATTTGGTTTTCTCTTTTAAAAAGGATTTTTATGTAATGTTAAAAGATAATGAAAGGTTTTTGTTTTTCTTTTAAGTAAACTATGAAAGAAAGTGTAGGTGGAAGGGAAGTAAAGGAGACAGAGTCAGTTGGCCTCATGCTACCTTCGTTGGGTCTTGTTTGGAAAACTGAGTCTCCTCTCTATCAGACTAATGTTTTTTCCTTTTTAAAATTTTTGAGTTATCATTTTGGCTAAATGAATGACTTACGGTAACCTAAGATTCTATTTTATAATATCCAATGTTTTAAACCTTTGGCATTTAGCAAACCTTTCAAAATCAAGCTCTGGATTATCATGCTAAATCAGCCAATACTAAAATTGTTTAAATATAGAATTTGAATGAACTCCATGGTCTAAGTCACATTACCTATGATAACCCATTAGTTATCAGTGCTATGTACCTAAACTGGAGAAACAACTGGTATTGAAGAGAACATAAGTCCACTGTTAAGCATGGACTCATGAAGAACCAGGACAGCTGCCTTGTCCTTCCTGAGTCCTTAAGCTTTTGTTATTAAAGGTTTTGCATTCCATGACTCATCATGGAACAGATAAAATAATCCAAATTGAATATGTTGATGTAGTAACTTATAAATTGTGGAAATAGTTTAAAACCAATGTTTGGTTCCATATTCCTGGGAAAACAAGCAAAGCTTCAGGTACATTTGGCTACCTAATGGGCCATTTAAACATTTATAAAGGGATTCCATTCAATTGTCATTTTCAACGCATGTTTTATGGTTGTATAAAAGCTTTTCCGTGCAAGAGGGTTGATGTTATAACAGTAGACTGTTATGCTACAGTGTATTTTCACCAGGTAAAGAAAGGTTTTTTTTTTTTTTTTTTTTTTTTTTTTTTGAGACAGAGTCTCACTCTGTCGCCCAGGCTGCAGTGCAGTGGTGTGATCTTGGCTCACTGTAACCTCCACTTCCTGGGTTCAAGCTCCTGCCTCAGCCTCCTGAGTAGCTGGGATTACAGGTGTGTACCATCACGCACAGCTAATTTTTGTATTTTTAGTAAAGAGGGGTTTCACCATGTTGGTCAGGCTGGTTTTGAACTCCTGACCTTGTGATCCACCCGCCTTGGCCTCCCAAAGTGCTGGGATTACAGGTGTAAGCCACCATGCCCAGGCCAAAGAAAGCTTTTCATGGCTCACTGAGGACAACAGCTTCACAATCTAGAACCCGAAGGTTGAATTTTCTGAGAATATCAGAGAAAGAGTGTCCTTGCCATCCACACTACAGCAAAACTTTGGAGGCTTGAACCTTGGGTTTGTAATCTCACAACTGAGAGGGGTCCCTTCACACTCTTGGAACTCTACACCCATTGGAACCCTTAAGATGAAACTAACCAGGAAAATTTCTCCCCAGAAGAAGATGGCATCCTTGATGTGAATGGCTTTTCCCAAGGTCACGGATCAATACTTCTACTATCACAAGAGTCTTATCTTTGAATACTTTTTCCTTGTTTATGACTCTATGAACAATAGAAATGGAAAGGGGGTCCATTATGTGCACTTATAGGGTATACTTTTATTTGTGAAGGATTTTGCAGCCAGCCTTATACATGAATAATCTTATACTTTAGTAGATAAAAGATAAAGGCCAATGTATGTGAGAAACTTTAGTGGTACATAAGTTGCCTCATAATCAGTCAAAACTCTTCTTAACCCACATCTTGGATTAAAGAGAACATTGCCAGGAGGCCTTCACTCTTCTAGAAGGACATCATTTGTTAGGTCCTTTTTCCATGGTTTAGAATAAAAGAGGCAAAAATTATGAATGTCTCCCTCATAATAGCCTCTATAGCAAATGATACTTCAAAGGCTATCATTACAGAACAGACTTTAAATTCTCTTGTGAAAGTTATGCTAAATAATAGAATTGGCTAAACAGAAAAGTACCTGTGCAGCTGCTGACACTTGTGGCCTATGAGAAATACATCAAATGTATATTATAAAAATTGAGTTGTAGGGGATTAATGAAAAGACCACTTAGTCAAGTGAGTAGACTCTTCATTTAGCTCATTCTTGAATCTATTTAATTTTACATGGTTTGGTTTATAGGGACCCCAGGTAAGGAGCATACTCAAAACTCTTGGTCTCATCCTCCCAATAGTCATAATAATAGTCTCCCTGGTGCTCTGTATTCTCTCAAAAGTTTTATTTTTTATTTTATTTATTTATTTATTTTTTTGAGATGGAGTCTCACTCTGTCACACAGGTTAGAGTGCAGTGGCATGATCTTGGCTCACTGCAACCTCTGCCTCCTGGGTTCAAGTGATTCTTGTGCCTCGGCCTCCAGAGTAACTGGAATTACAGGTGCCCGCCATGCCTGGCTACTTTTTGTATTTTTAGTAGAGATGGGGTTTCACCATGTTGGCCAGGCTGATCTTGAGCTCCTGACCTCAAGTGATCCGCCCGCCTTGGCCTCCCAAAGTGCTGGGATTACAGGCGTGAGCCACCAAGCCTGGCCTATGCTCTCAAAAGTTTTAAATATTTGCATGCAGCCATCTCTAGAATGTGAAATTGTGTCTCTTCAACTGGAATGACAAAAGCTGAAAGAAATGTGTGACCATGAGGACATCGTAACCTATGAATGACATGCTGAGATGGGAAACCCAAAATGATGGTAAATGAGACTGGTGCTAAGGCCTTATGTGTTGGTCATATTCTCACCTAAGTGAGAACCTGGCCAAAAACGGGGAATTTTTTTTAAAACAAAATTATGTGAGGCCATTATTTTGGACTGAGCTCATACATTAGGCCCCAATAAACCAAACCAAACTAAAATAGAGTCACTTGTGCTAAATGTGACATAATCAAACTAAGGCTTTAAGAAAACACATAGATCCTAGAACAGATCAGGTTTTGTTTTTGTCCTGTAAACAGGATATTCCAGCATAAGGAGGTACCCTCTACTTAGTCCTTATTCTCTCCTTGCAAAACCCACTGTTATACTGTTTCCCAGTGGGTTTCAAAACCATATAAATACAATAGTGATAGCAACATCAATGACTAAGGTTTTGGTCAATCTCTCAAAATTGAGTAAATGTCCAAAAGGGGGGAATTGTTAAGGCAAACTAAATATGTCCTGAGAAAGCCTCCATCCTTCTATATTTGCATCCTTGTGGATGAACTGTAACCTAGCTTAATAGTCAGACAAAACTGAAAACCTAACTTAATAGTATGTACCTGTAACAATGACTGAGTGTTGGCCAATCCCAGTAGCCATACTTCAACCACTCATAGACTGCTGAATGTTCAAACTGTGTTCAGAAATGTTGAGCTGTAACCATTCTTACTGTTTCTGTACCTCACTTCAGATTCCTGTATATCACTTTATCATTTTTGCCTATAAAATTGTTCTTTCCACAAGATACCCCTGGAGTCTCTATGAATCTGCTGTGATTCTGGGGGCTGCCCAATTCATGAATCATTCATTGCTCAATTAAACTCCTTTAAATTTAATTTGGCTGAAGTTTTTCTTTTATCCCAGGTCTCACCTCTTTATAGGAGTGGTATAAAAAATTTGTAGTCATTTTTTAAAAGCACCATAGCACCCAATTCATAGGTTTTTTTTTTTTTAGAGTTTTTTTTTTCTTTTCCTAATTATCTTACAAAAAAGAAGATATCTGGCACTTTATAGGAGGAAACCAGAGGCAAGTCCTGTGTTTTACTATAAAGTCAGGTGCAGGAATACTAACCAATTCCTTTATATTTCCCAATATTACCCAGTTCATTCGTTGGTACACAGTAGGTTCCAGAAAAATGTTAAGGGGAAAAATTGATTGCTATGAGAATTTCACATGAATTATGTTTCTTCCAAGGCTCCTTGCAGTCAATCAGGATGGATGTTGCATTAGTGTTTTCTCTGATGTAACAGTCATTAACTACAGCTCTATTAGCTGTTCATTTGTGGCATGAAATAGATCCAAATACAGAGGACTGTATTTGAACTGAGCCATTGTTTCATGAATATTAGAACACAAATCAATGCATATTGACTGGGCTTGTGTAGATGAATGTGATAGCATTGCCCTCAACAAAATATGGTTCATTTCTTCAGAACAGTGTGTAAAGCTTAGAATAAAAATAAGAAGCACTTAAGTTTTTCAAGATATTGAACTCTAGGCACTGAGTTAATAAGTTCATTTTTATAGATGCTTGATGCTGTATGAACAGATACTATACTTTCTAAAGCAGCTACTTCTGTGTGGATGGTGGTGGGTAAGAGGCCAGAGAAGGATGGTAACTATAGGTAACACTCTTATGGCACTTTAACGAGCATCTATCCTCTCTATTGGCACTCAAAAGAAACTTGTGAGGCAGGCACTATCATCCCAAATTTATAAACAAGCAAATTGATACCACAGGTTCTATGCAGTATGCCAAAAGTCACTGTCTTGCAGTGGTGGAATTGGAGATTTAAATTCCTCAGATATGATTGCCTCTGGAGAGTCACATCTGATCCTCCTCAGACAAATAAGTACTCTTTCTCTGTGTTCTCGTGATATCTTGAAATATATCTATATCCACCACTTTGTGTTGTAATTATCTTCTTATGTGTTTATTTCTCTCCACTTGAGTTCAAGAAAAAAGAAAGGTCCTTGTCTCATATATGAGCATCCACTAAGGATTTAACCCAAAGTGACCAGTGAATGCTTGCAGAATGAAAGAATAAATTATTGAAGATCCTTTAACTCTAAAAATCTCTACCAATCCATGATGCATTTTAAGAAAAAAGTGTTCTGTTAGAATAGGGTGAAGAAAAGCTGATATTTGTGAGTAGGATGCAAGGGAACCATAGACATAGAGACCTGCAAATCATCTGTGGCCTTGTTTTATCTTATTCTCTGGAATATACTGGGAATAGTAAGGAGGCATGTGTGCCTGAGCAGAATGATTAAGGGGAAAATATTAGGAATTGAGGTCAAAGAGTTAATGAGGTGGGGGTAAGATCATATATAGCCTTGTAGGACAGTTAAGAAATCCCGAGTGACCTGATCAGAGCAGACAAAGTGATCCTTTTAAAACCTACAAGGAAAATAGATGGGGGCTGAGCAAGAGTGGAAGTAGAGAGACCTATCTTGATTGATTTACTGAAGTGATCAAGATGAGAAGCATGGTTCCTTGGACGAAAGTGAGAAGTGGTTGGATTTTGGATGTATTTTGAAAGTAGAGCCAAGAGGACCAATTAGATATGGGGTGAGAGCGAGAGAGAGGAGTGAAAGTTGAAACCAGTATTTTTGGCTTGTGCACTTAAAAGGAAGGAATTACCATTAGTTGAGATGGGAAAATGTACATAGATGAAGCAGATTTTGAGAGGGAAGATAAAGAGTTAACTTTTGGACAATGTAAGGCCTGAGATTAGTATTAGACATCCAACAGGATAATATTTGATAGGCAATATGCTTGCAGCTCTTGATTAAGTCAGAAATATGATTCTAGAGGTTAGCAGAGAGATGCAGTTATGGTTAACATAGCATAGAGATGATAGTAAAAGCCAGGAGGTGGAATGATATCACCAAATTACTGAGTACAAACAGAAGAGGTTCAAAGATTGAGGCTTGGGGTGTTCCAACTAACAGGTCCGGGATAACTAAGGAAGTCTGTAAAAGTGACTAAGAATGAATTAACAGTGAGAGGGGAGGAGAACCAAGGAGTATGATGTCTGAAACCAAGTGAAGAAAGAATATCAAAGGAGGAGGTATGGCCACATATCAATGCTATTAATATGTCAAATGTGCTGGAGACTGAAAATCAATTGTAGGTTTTAGCAATACTTAAGACATCTATGACTTTGAAATAAGGTTTGGTGGCATGTTGGGGGTAAAAGTCTGACTCAAAATTGTTTAAGGGAAGCTTAGTAGGGAGTAATTGAAATCAGCAATTACACATGGGGCTTTCAGGGAATTTTGTTACAAAGGAAAACAATGAACCAACTGGAAGAGGAGGTGGGGTCCAGAAAAGCTTTTCAAAAAAATTTTAAGACTATATATATATCTGTATATATATTATACAGATATATATAAACACATATATGTATATACACACATATTAATATGTATATATGATATATGTAGATGTGTGTGTGTGTGTGTGTGTGTGTGTGTGTGTGTGTGTGTTCGTGTTAGCAGTAGAAGAGATCCAAGTTACCCTGAGTTACTGGTGGCATATCCATGTGGGACTGCAGCAACTTCAGTCCTTGTCTCCTCGGAAGAAAGAATTTGACAGAGCAGAAAAAGAGACCAAGGCAAGTTTCAGAGCAGGAGTGGGTTTATTTAAAAGGCTTTAGAACAGGAAAGAATGGAAAATTCACTTGAAAGAGATCCAAGATAGTACCCAAAGGTTAAAAAGAACATTTAACTTTGATCCTAGGGCTTTATAGGCTTGCCTCTTTCCCATGCTTCTTCCCATAGGATGGGCTTTCTGCATGCACAATGCCCTCCTTACCCTTAGGCAGTGAGCACACGTAATGTGTTTAGGGAGTGACATGCATGCTTATCTGAGGCTTCTTCCCATTTTCTGGTGGCGTGTACCTGAAAGGTCATATTTCACCATTTTGTCTCTTAATGCGCATGTCTAGGAGGTTTCTTCTCCCTGGCATCTGCATTCAATGAATTCTTTTAATGTTAATAGCTGTGGATCATCAGGAGATTGTCTCTCCCTGCTGCTGTTGAATTACCATGTTTAGAGAGGCAGTGTGATAGTCATTGAACCAACACCTCATATTCTTAATGGGTGGGGGCAGACCCCTCTGCTGCCCCTCTCATGCCTATGTAACTACCTGTAACATACATGTGTGTTTATATCTATATATATGTATGTATGTTCTGTACATACAAGTCTAAAGGCTTGATTAGATTTAGGTTAAATACTTTTGGCAGTAACACTTTGTGAGTGATATTGTGTAGTTCATATTGTATTTCATTGCGGGGCATGACTATCAGGTTGTCTTAGTGATTCTACGTTTCTGTGTATCTATATTATTTGTTTAGGGTTTGTCCAACAGATCTTTTCAACAAAAAGGTATATTTTCTCTTTTGCATTTAGCAAATCTGTGTAGTGATATTCTAGTGCTGTATAGAGATATTCTGTTTGATTTAGTGCCTAAATCAATTATATAATTGGGAGACTTTAAATGATGATTTCCAAATTTTAATATTTATTTTTAAAAATTCTTAGCAGTTTCTTTTGGAAAAGGAGAGCTTTTTTTCCCCCATCAACTGGGGTTGAACTGTACTTGCTCTTAAAAGGATAATTTTCCCTTTAATTACTAATTATCAAAATAAGAAGTTGGAAACTCTCCAGGACATTGGTCTGGGCAAAGATTTCTTGCATAATATCCTAGAAGCACAGGCAACCAAAGCAAAAATGGTCAAATAGGATTATATCAAGTTAAAAAGTTTCTGCACAGCAAAGGATACAATCAAGAAAGTGAGGAGACAACCCACAGAGTGGGAGTGAATATCTGCAAGCTACCCATCTGACAAGAGATTGATAACTAGAATATAGAAGTAGCTGAAACAACTCAAAAGGAAAAAAAACTAACAATTCAATTAAAAAATGGACAAAAGATCTGAATAGACATTTCTCAAAAGAAGACATACAAATGGCAAACAGATATATGGAAAAGTGGTCAACATAATTGATCATCAAAGAAATGTAAATCAAAACTGCAATGAGATATCAACTCACCCCAGTAAAAATGTTTTTTATCCAAAAGACAGGCAGTAACAGATGCTGGCAAAGATGTGGAGAAAAAGAGATCCTTGCATATTGTTGGTGGAAATGTAAATTAGTACAGCCACTATGCAGAACGGTTTGGAGGTTCCTTAAAAAACTATAAACAAAACTACCATATGACCCATTAATCCCATTGCTAGGTCTATAATTAGAAAAAAAAGAAATCAGTATATCAAAGAGACCTCCGTACGCCCATGTTTATTGCAGCACTATTAACAATAGCCAAGATTTGGAAGCAACCTGTATCCATCAACAGATGAATGGGTAAAGAAAATGTGGTACCTATACACAATGGAGTACTATTCAGCCATAAAAAAGAATGACATCCTTTCATTTGCACCAACATGGTTGGAACTGGAGGAGATTATATTAAATAAAATAAGACAGGCACATAAAAATAAACTTCATGTGTTCTCACTTATATGTGGGAGCTAAAAATTAAAACAATTGAACTTATGGAGATAGAAAGTACAATGATGGTTACCAGAGGCTGGGAAGTGTAGTAGGGTGTGGGGTAGGGAGCCAGTGGGGACGGTTAATGGGTACAAAAATATAATTAGATAGAATGCATAAGTATTTGATAGCACAATAGGGTGACGGCTGTCAATAGTAATGTATTGTACATTTTAAAATAACCAATAACAATGGATTGTTTATAACACGAAGAAATGAGATATGCTTGAGGTGACAGGTACCCCATTTACCCCAATGTGATTTTTATTTTTTATTTTTTTTTTGAGATGGAATTTTGCTCTTGTCACCTACGCTGGAGTGCAGTGACGCACAAGACCAGCCTGGGCAACGTGATGAAGCCCTGTCTCTACTAAAATACAAAAAATTAGCTGGGCATGGCAGTGTATGCCTGTATTTCCAGCTATTCAGGAGGCTGAGGCAGAATAATTGCTTGGACCCTGGAGGTGGAGGTTGCAGTGAGCTGAGATTGTGCCACTGCACTCCAGCCTGGGTGACAGAGCAAGACTCCATCTCCAGAAAAAAAAAAATAAATAAATAAATAAAATAATAAATAAAAATTAAGTTTGTATAATAATTCCAATTATGGAAAATATTTTTTAAAGATAATATTTTAATGTGTGCTTGACTTCAGGGGAGAGTGACCTCTTTCTGTCCCTGTTTTAGCTCCCCTCTCCACTGAAAGCTGCTTTCACCACTCCATAAAATTCTCTGCATTCACCATCCTTCAATTCATCTGCATAACCTCATTCTTCTTGGGCACTGGACAAGAATTTGGGATGCACCAAGTGCAGGTACTCAAAAAGACTGTCACATTGGCCCTTTGCCATCATTGGACGAGGGCAGCCACCCTACATGACAAGGCAGAGGGCCCACTGAGCTGATAACACACTGCTGTCTGTGGATGGCAGAGCTAAGAGAGTATTGTAACACACCCTCTGGGGCCTTGGGGTCACAGGCACCCTTACCTGGACACTGCCACGGGAACCACACAGAATTTGCTCCTGCTGGCACTGAAGCGGCCAGCTGGTTGCTGCACTCACCACCCCCTGTGCTCCCTCCCATGAGGGGTGGAGCATGGTGGACCTAAGCAAACAGTGTTTGCTCCTGACAGCAGGTTTCTGCACTTCCTCACTGTAGTTCTTGCACTCGTTCCCTTTTGTGAAGGATTGAGCAGGGCAGGCTGAGTACATGGGGCACCGCTGTCATGAATCCCACAAAGGGGTCAAGAAAATATCCTGCGTCACCTTCAGGCACAGTAAAGTGGACTGTGGGAAGAGAATTTCTTCAGGGGAGAGGCAAGTTTCTAAAATAATCTTTTAGCAAATAATTATGATCTGCTTTTTTTTGGTTTCTTAATTTTGCTTTGTTCTTGGGGTTTTGGGAGCTTCTTGAATTTGTGTGTTTGTAGTTTTTGAAATTCAGTTTACAGAGTATTTGGCCAAATGTTTTTTCTTTTCCCATCATCTTCCACTCCTTTTACATGTGTATTAGGCCTCTTAATGTTTTCCCACAGCCTACTGATCTCTGTTTTCCATCTTTTTTTCCCTTGGTCTTATTTCTTTCTGTTCTCCTTTTGTGTAGTTTCTATTATTATGTCTTCAAGTTCACTAATCTTTTTCTGCAATGTATAATCTGCCATTAATCCCATCCAGTTTACTTTGCATCTCTCACATCACAGTTTTCATCTCTCCAATTTTGATTGGAATCATTTTTATATCTTCTAGTGATAGAGACAAGAGGCAGGGAAATTCTGGGAAGAAGAGGGCAGGTCCCTGGTGAGGGCCCCACCCTCAAGCCAAAAAGCCTGATACCATGGCCCAAAGTGAGAACTTACATCCCTGTTTCCCCCCTCAAATGTTGCCTGCTCTGCCCCCACATCCCATGCCCCTAAACACCCCAGGCTCAGCTGGCAGACAGAGAAGCAGCTGGACATCCAAGACTACAGTTGGACATTGTAGAGAAGTGGCTTGACTTCAGAGGGACAGCTTGATGGCATAGCTTTACAGAGGAGACTTCAGGGGAAGATTATCTTTCCACTCCATCCCCTTTTCAGCTCTTCTTCCCACTAAAAGCCACTTTCAGCAGCAATCAGATCTCCTGCATTTACCATTTCAATTTGTTTATGTGATCTCATTCCTCCTGGATGCTGGACAAGAACTCAGCTGCCACAAGTGCGGGTGCAAAAGGCTGTCACACTGACCCTCCACTGAGCTTGAGCCATCTGCAAACAGCCATCTGCAAACAGTAGAGATAAAAGAATACTGTAACATTTCCTCCTGGGTTGAGGGGTTGCGGGCACAGCCCCCTTTAGATGCTGCTGTGGGGCTGGTATGGAGTTCACTCCTGCCAGAGCCCAAAAGCACTCACCCCAGCTCCGGCATCTGCCCACCTGCCCTCACCCTCTGGTGAGGGTGGAGCAGCGAATGAGTGGAGTTCACCCTTGCTGGGCCGAAGTGGCTGGCTAGTTCTAGTGCCTGTGCACTCCAGTTCCCACCCATAAAGGGGTCAGGGAAATATCCTGCTTCACTAGCATATATTCTAGTTTATTGAACATGTGGAATACAGTTAAAACAAGTGTTTTAATGTCCTTGCCTTCTAATTCCATCATTTGTGCCATTTCTGAATCGGTTTGGATTGATTGACTTTTCTCTTCAGTATGTGTCATATTTTCTGATTTTTGAATGTCTGATAAGTTTTGATTATATGCTAGATGCTGTGACTTTTACTTTGTTTGGTGCTGGACATTTTTCTATTCTTGTAAATGTCCTTGAGTTTTGTTCTGAAACATGATTAAGTTACTTTCAAACAGTTTGAGCTTATCAAGTCTAACTTTTAAGGTTTGTTAGATGATACCTGAAGAACATTTTGTGTGGGGTTAGTTTTTTCCACTGGTGAGGCAAAAAAATCCTGAGTACCCTATTTAATGCTCAGTAAGTTATGAGCTTTTCCAGTACAGATGGAGGGATCAGGCACTGTTCCTGATGCTGTGTGAGTACCAGGCACTGTTACTTGGGTGGTTCTTTGCCCAGCCTTGGTTAGTTTCCTCACATGCATATGCTGATTAGTACTCAGCTAAAGACTGGAGAAAGCTGGGCGTGGTGGCTCATGCCTGTAATCTTAGCACACTGGGAAGCTGAGGCGGCAGATGGCTTTGAGCTCAGGAGTTTGAGAGCAGCCTGGGCAACATGGCAAAACCCTGTTTCTACAAAAAATACAAAAATTTGCCAGGCATGGTGGTACGTCCCTGTGGTCCCAGCTACTTGGGAGGTTGAAGGTGGAGATCACTTGAGCCCAGGAAGTGGAGGTTGCAGTGAGCTGAGATCACGCTACTGCACTTCAGCCTGGGTGACAGAGTGAGTGAGACCCTGTCTCAAAAGGAAAAGAAAAACAAAACAAAAAAAAACTGAAGGAAGAAACCTCTGCACATCTCCATAGTTATCTCTCCTTGTATTTCTCTCCTCTCTGGTATTCTGTTCTGTAACTCCAGCTACCTTGATCTTTCTCACCTTTATTCTTCAACTCAGGGAGACCAGTGCTCCCTTACTCCCACTGCACCTGGCCTGGAACATTACTGTAGGCAGTGAGCTGTTGTTATTACAGAACATACTTCTCTTGTTTTCCATCTTTCAGGGATTACTGTACTTTGTTGTCTAATGCCCACTGTGTTGAAACCCACTGTTTTATATATTTTATGTTGTTATTTTTTCAGACAAGAGTATAAATCTGATCTCTGACACTCCGTATTTGCCAGAGCAGAAGCCCAAGTAAATTTGTTATAATTCAGCTTTTTGTTATTGTTGGAACAGTATATTAATACTGTATGAATTAGCTAATTATATTATCTGACAGAAAGCAGGAGTATGAGGGAATGGGGCTTGGAAAGGGTAATTCTGGGGAGGAGAGGTGTATGTAGTTTATGTCAGTGTGAGAGCACTGGTAGTTGGGACAGGGCTGATATTACCTATTTCAATACTGGTAGGCTAGACTGAAGAAAAGTATCTATCTATATGTAGGTCTTTAATCATTTGAAAAGATGAAATTATTATTGTGGCAAATGAAGTTGTTTATCTTAAGATACTCAGGTATCTTTTACTTGACCACCACAAATCTACGGAAAAAAACAAACAGTCTATATTTTTCTTGTTTATTTGATTTTTGTAGTGTCCTGTCTGCAGTATGGTGAGGAGAAAGCATTGACTTTATAATCAATATAATACTAGTATGATATATCTACCAGTAAGAAGCAATTCTTATGAAATGGGACAAATGAATATTATAAGAGTATAAGAAAAAGGAGGTTGGATTTTCAGAGGTAGAATCACAGTATCTTAATAGAAAAATAATTACTAGTAAAAGTTCTACTGACAAAGATAAACTCTACCACCAATGTACATGAAGTGTTTCTAATCAATTGTTTGTGCTGTGATAAAGGATCCTTGCCTCCTTCCTTACACCTCTAGCATTACCATCAAGCAGTAAGCTTAAGAGGAAGATCTGATCAATTATAAAAACAAATAAGCTACATTTTCTTTGCAGACCTCAATGTTGCACTAAAGGATTTTGGACTCTGTTACATTTACAGAACCAGAAGTCTACTCCACTCAGGGAAATATACAATGTGTATTCTCTTCATTCTTCTGTGCTCACATTCTCTTAAAAGCAGGATGTGCTACTCATATGTTATATTTCATAAGTGAGATTTGGGAGCCGGCCTCATCCCTCTGAGACAAAATGAGCTATTCAGTTTACTCTTTCCATAGAGGAATAAAAGAGAAGAAAATAGATATCAAGAGAATGAATTGAGTACGCCACTACTCAATTTTACTGACACACCAAAAATTAAAAGTAAAAAAGTAAAGTTAAAAATTAAGGGAAATGGGATTGGTTTTCCAGTTCATGGTTCCATCCTTGGTAGACAGGACCAAGCAGTACTTGAACTAAGCAGATTGCGACACACTAGTGGATTGAATTAGTGGGTGTCACTGAGTGGCACATATCTGGTTGAAGCTGGATACCTCCTTGATTTTATTTTTATTTTTTGCAGAAGTGGGGTCTCACTGTGTTGTCCAGGCTGGTCTCGAACTCCTGGGCTAAAGTGGTCATCCCACCTCAGCCTCTTAAAGTACTGGGATTACAGGCATGGACCACTGTGCCTGGCCTGGATACCTCCTTTAAATTTGGTGATGCAGTATTCAGTGGTCCTGGTAGAGGCCCTATTCTGAAAAAGACTTGCAGGGAGGATTTTCTAATGCAAAGGTGGCCAGATCTATTCTGACATCATCCTGCACTACATATACAAGACGTTTTTATTCCAGGTGGGTCTAATGAGGGCCACATCTGTATTAATATACAGCATATACTGTAGCATTCCATGGAACAGATGCTGGGTTTGAACACTGTAAAAATTGTGTACTATCTGATTTTCTGGCATGCTGTAATCATTATTCATTATGCTATCATAAGAAATGTTAAAATTTCCAGCATGAGATCCTCTTTAGGGACTTGGGTTCTGAGCTGACCTGATGAATAGTTGGTGTTATAATACCCCATAGTTAGTGGCCATATTGGTATCAGTGCCACAGCCAAGGTCTGTGTGTTTGATATAGAGTAAGATCCAGTTTACAAAGAGTAAAATTCAAGCATGAAAAGTTGAAGCATGCTGAAGTAATCAACATGATTAGTGTTTATTTTCCTCTCTGTGTATCAAATATGTCCAATGAAAATTCTTGACTCTGTTAAAATATTTCACGTTTGTAATAAGGATGCTCATGCAAGTTCTAGAAGGAGTGAGAGTTCAGTCTTGGGCAGAACTTAAATGTCTAATGATTATGAAATATTGCCAAGGATGTATATTTGGTTGCATGCCACACTTGCACCCATACTTTATATATATTCATTTAGTCACTAGTTCAGCAATTATTTATCAGCTTCTATTTTTGAACTGTTATAAACAGTGGGGATGAAAGATGAATGGGATATTCCCCATCTTTAGGATTCTTATATCTAGTAAAATGTAATTGGAGTGGTAATTTTTATGTTATATAAATTTTGAAATTAGCTGCATTGATCAGAGTCATATAAAAGACAAGTAGAGGGTGTGAATTATGAAGCGTTTCAAACTGTCTTTGAAGAACCAATACTGAGGTAGTTCTGAGAAAGTTAAAGGTTGGAAGTCATCTGTTTCATTAAGAAGTTGAGTTCTGACTTACTTTTTGCCTTTGGGAACACAAGTAATTTGCTTTCCAGGAGTGGTAACAGATCCACTTTTCTCTGCTCTCCTAAATTTTGTCTTCCAGGCAGTTGAGATCATTTTTAGGTTATAAGTATTGTACGGGTGGTGCCTTCACATCCCTGATGTCCTCTGGCATTCACACCCTTCCTGTGCAGAAGGCTAGGCAAGCAGTGATTTTATTTCCAAGCTATAAATTGACATCCAAGCAGACTAAGCCACTTGTCCAAGGTCACACAGCTACCAAGTATTGGAGCAAGGACTCAGCTTCTGTGCTCAAAGCCAACTAACCTTATTCACCAAACTAAAGTTTTCTCAAGTAGACAACTTTCTACTGTTTCCCCTGATGATTTCTGGAGCAGCAAACAAGTGTTCCTCTTGCAAACATTGCCACTTTTCCCCCTTCTACAGTGGGTAGAGTGAGCAGGATAAGTGACAGGAAACATATAGCATTCCCAATATTCTTTGTTCTCCACTACAAATTTTGATTTTGAAAGGGGAAACTACTTCCTGAGCTGTCAGCACCACAGAAGTGTTTTTTTCTCCCTTTATTATCTCCTAACAAAGTGATAGATATAAAGTTCTCCATTTACAAGTGAGGAAACTGAGTCTTAGAGGGTTGGAATATTTTTTTTGTAGTTACACAGCTTGTAATTGGTTGTGCTTATTGGGATCATATCAGCCTTCCGTTGTTTTTTATCCTCTGACACCCTAGGCCCTCAGGCAGAAGTGTGGGAGGAAAATGGTAGGATGGCTGGGTTATACAATGAAGTAAGAAGAGCTGGCTGAACTAGTATTGATACAGCACACCGGGAGGAAGGCAGTAGGTGGAAAAAGAGGGACAGGAGGTGGCTTGTGCAATGTCTTTGGTATATATAAATATTTTGCACACTCTGCCTTCTCCAGGCAGAAAAAATTTCTCTTCATGTCCTTCCTTCACCTCAGGGATTATATAATTCTGTCTGTGTTCTTTTTATAGATACAATTACAGAAAACTTGAAAACACAATTTACTAGAAGAAAAATTATTTTAACTTGTATATTTATAGAACACATATTATCTTAGTGATTAAGTCCTAAAATTAAAATTCCAGTGAAGACTTTTTATTCACAATTATATCACAGTTTATCACATGGCTGATCTTGCTTCTAATGGCTTGGGCCCACATAGTGCCTTTTTAATAGTACCTCAAATTATTCCAGTGGGTGGTTGCTTAGCAGCCCAGAGGTGAAGACAGATGGCATTTGAATTCTGACTCTTGCATAGCTATTTGACCTTGGGCAGGGTTCTTAACCTCTTTTAACTTACATACTTAGCTACAAAATGGGAGTAATTTCTACCACGCTGAGATGTTGTGAGGATTAAGTGACACATATAATATGGTGTCTAACATGGGGCCTTGTGTGAAATAAGAGGTCAGAAACCATTATTTTTTTTTTTATACTTTTCTCTCCACAGAATGGCAGACTGGCTTCAAACTTGTTGCCTCATTTTGCAGATAGAGAAATAGAAGCAAAAGTGAAGGATTTACCAAATTTCCCAGCAGAATCTAGTCCTGTTAATTTCCAATTTGCTGTTCAAACTATTGACTCCATTAAACTTGAATCTACAGGCAACTCTATAAGGGAGAATGATTGTATTTTGGGCTGTTGAAAGATGCTGATTCTGTGTCATGTGACATTTTCTGGGACTCAATGGGAAAAGTACTTTCCCTTCCTGTAACTCACTAATAAGTTATGTGACATTGATGAAATCATTTGACCACTCTGGGCCTTAATGCTTGGAGATTGCGCCACTGCACTCCAATCTGGCAACAGAGTGAGACTCTGTCTCATAAAAAAAGGCGGGGGGGAATAACACGATCAGTACGGTCAACTGTGTCCTTCCCAAATGAACTTTAAAGGTGACATCTTCCAAGTCTCCTCATGAACATTGTAAAAATAGCCCTTGTCTGATTTGTTTGCTTATTGTTTCTCTTCCTTACTAGTACGTGAGCACCTCAAGAACTGGAACCGGTTTGTCTTATTCTCTGCTGTAGCCACTGTGCTTGCGTAGTTCTTAGACATAAGACTTTAGCATATGTTGAATAAATTTTAATGAATAAGCAAAAAGTCATAGCTTCCTTTGTCCTGGTTGCCTGCCAGGTAAGAGCTCCAGGAAGTGACATGGCTGCAGCTCTTGTCCTGACCAGGTCACTGGTACAGGCAAATTACTAGATCCCCTGTGAAGTAAGAGGTGACTGTTAGGACTTCTTTGGGTACTGGAGTCCGTAGCATCTGTGAGTGGCCACTCAACAGGCTGGGGAATTCCCGTAAGATTCGGGTTATAGGGACCTCCCATAGTAACACAAAAATTTATGGAAAAAGAGGCTTGTGGTAATAACTCTAAATCAGTGTAACGGAAGCTAGATTTAGTAGCTCTAAACCAAGATGGCAGAAGTAAGATGTTTTTCTTTGAATTTTATTCACAATTTGCCTCTACTCCTCACTGGAACTAGGTGATCATTCTTCTTACTTCAAGCCTTTCTAGCCTTCACACTATAGTCATTCATGTTATCTCTCAGATCTTTTGATTTACTTTTACCCATTTATCCAAATGTTCTCCTCTTTTGGCCCCAGGTCACATTCCTGACTCTTCTATTCATCTGTTGAAAAGGAGAGATCTCACACCGAGGATTACACCTTCTTTCTACTCCTAACTGTTCAAGGCCCAGCTTGCACCCACTAATTCTAAGGGAAATACTTATTCTTTATTTTCTCTATCCAAGACACCTAGGAATTTTGTAAAATGAGTTTCTCCTGCTTGGCATTTAATTTCATGTTAGTGATACAACCAGCTTTTCTAGTGGATGCAAGTTTGGGATAGATGCAGTGCCACCAGGGAACCAAAACTTGTCTACACTGCTATCCTGGAAAATTTTTACCCGCTGTACAAAAGAAAGTGTTTGTAGCTCTCCTGGTTTTCTCTCATTTTTCTGTCCTCCCCACTTGTAAAGTAGATTTTACATTCCTCTTAGTTTCTTGGAATGATTTCAAATTTACTGCATCTGTATTTGTTGAAAAGGTGACTGCAGCCATAATGTGATCTGAGTGGTTCTGTGGACAGATAATCTACCCCCAAATAGGTCTTTCTTATTTCACAGGGCATTCATATTGCACCCTTAAGGATTCATGACTTTGAAATCTTTAGGAAGTCACCGTTGAATTAAAATTGAGGGGGAAGGGAAAGTAATAATGAGGATATGAAGCACTGGAGCATTATAAACAATATTTACATTTTATGCTTCTCTAATATACTTTACACACAATTTTTGTTTGTATTGTTTTACTTAACATTGTAAATATAAAGATGCTGCTACATAGAACTTCATAGTGATGGCCAGGTGCGGTAGCTCATGCCTGTAAACCCAGCACTTTGGGAAGCCAAGGCAGGCAGATCACCTGAGGTCAGGAGTTCGAGACCAGCCTGGCCAACATGGTGAAACCCTGTCTCTACTAAAAAAATACACAAATTAGCTAAGTGTGGTATCGCGCATCTGTAATCCCAGCTATTTGGGAAGCTGAGGCAGGAGAATAGCTTGAACCTGGGAGGCAGAGGTTGCAATGAGCCGAGATCGCGCTGTTGCACTCCAGCCTGGGTGACAAGAGTGAAACTCCATCTCGGGAAAAAAAAAAAACAAAAACCAAAAAACTTAATGGTGATAATTTTTTGATGCATACATAATAGTCCATTGAATAGATACAGCATGATTGATGTAACTATTCCCTTGATATTTGTTGCCTTCAAATTTTCATTACTGTTTTAGCTATTTTTATGAATATACTGTTCTTTATGTTTTGTTTTTATTTTCTAAAGATATTATTGGTTTTATAAAAAATAATAAACATTAATTAGAAAAAGATAAGTAATGTTGAAAAGTAAGAAGATGAGAGTTAAAATGTCCCTTCCAAATTACACTGTCATAGAGCAATCATTAATATTAGCTGAATATTATTCCAGATATTCTTCTAGGCCAATGTAGAGATCAATGGAGACGCTATTGTGTGAATATTAATTCTAACTGCCCTCCTAAAATGCTTCCATGTAACTCTCTACCTCTAGATCCAGGAAGTTCAGGTTTCCAGGGAAGGAGGGGCTGAGCTCAGTGATGGATCAGCACTGGCTCAGTGCTGGAATCACCTCAGAGCTTTAAAAAATTAATACTTATGTCAAGGCACTTTATTTGGAGATTTCAAAAGCCTCCAAGCTGAATTGGTCTTGAATTTCAATGCTTATATTCCTTTTAAAACCTTTGTAGCAAAAGAACAGTTTTTAAAGCTAGGTGCATTGAGAGAAGAATTTTGTAATATGTCAAAATTCAGGCCTAATGGACTTGATCATTCAAGTAGGTTATGGGGAGAGAAACAGTAGCTTATTGAGAATGAAAAGGCAAATGCACTATGTATTCCCTGACACACCCTTTGAGATGGGATCAAAGAGTATGAATGCATAAGGGAGTGAATGGCTTTAGAAACATTCAGAGAAGTAGCAAACCCCTGAAGGCATAGGATAAAGTGGGCCACTTTCCTGAGAAAAGTCAGCAGGAGGCTCTTAGCCCCTGTGAGAACATTAGCCTTCAGCTCAGTGTTACTAGTGTTACTGCAGTAAGGCTGGGAAGCAATGGTACAGTGGTGACAGCAGAAGGCAAAAAAGTGGCTGAGCCTGAATAGAGCTCCAGTCCCATGTGCTATGCTTGAAAACCGAAGAACAGGAATATTTCTGAATGCCCTGGGAAGAGGATGCAAAAGGATCAAGGAAGCTAAGAGACTTCCAGGAGGAGAGGCTGACCGGAGGTTAATGGTCAGAGCCATGGACTCTATCTAGGGATGCCTGAGTATTAGCCCCTCCCCTATTCAAATGCCAGTCTCATGGTGGCTCAGTGGTCATAGTCCAGAGAAAAGCTCAGACCAGCTCCCTATAGGAGACAGTCTTAAGAGATCCCTAAATATTTGAGGACTTCGTCTTTCTCCACTCACACTGCCACAGAATCATATAAGCCATACTTTGAATATATCCAGATGCTGCTTGGAGAACAATAAAGGGAGAGGAATACAACTTTAAATATTTATGCATTTACTTGGATTTTCTAAGCTGGGGCTACATACAGACAAGCAGTTTTCACTGTTGAATCTCACTGAGATGTCTGGGTTTTGGCAGTGAGACTGTAGAAGGCATGTGTTTCCCATCCCAGAGGCTGGCAAACTCTTTTCACATGAAAGGTGTTCATTCTGTCATATAGTAATCATTTTTAACCATCAGCAAGATGACTTCTGGGCTAGCTTAGAATCAGTACATGTAAAGGTCAAAGAGATTTATAAATTATATATCATGACTATTTCCCTGGGCCATTCTATATCTGTTTATTCACCATTTTTAAAATGTTTAAGCTTAAAGTATTCACTAGAGCTGAGACAAATGGATATTTTTGGCATCTGACCTGTATAAACGCCACAATTTTTCTTAAACAGGCCTTCTTTATATCTAAGTCTGTCACTTTGGGGTGCAGTTTCCAATATGCTAATGATCTTAATAAAAAATAACCACAGAACTACCAAAATACATGAGCTTTATGTCTAATGACATCCTTGTTTTATTATAACTATCGAGAACAAGGGTTATTGCCTCAGCTACCTTGGGAAGTTTCAAAGAGTTAAAGAGATTGGACTTTGAAACATTTTTTTCCCTTAATCCTTAATTGGTTGCAAACATCTATGGGCCATATAGTTTTTTTCTTAACATTATCTAGTGGATCAATATGATGCTTTCACGCCCTTTAGATTAGAAACGTCTGGTTTTAAATCCCCAACATATACTTTAGGATTAGAGCTGAAGTTTAGTGCACAGCCCCTGATCATCCAGGGCTGGGTCACACTTCACAGGGTCACATCAGTGATCACTGAGGTGCAATAGGAATCTGGCGACTTTAAAGGAAGGGTAAACCACAGGACCTCTCCATCTGCTCAGTGGTACCTGCCCTTTCTCCCTCACTGAGTCAGGTATAAAGTGTGTATCAATGTAACAGCAGCGTGGCAGACGAAAGGCTGTCAGGCAGGCATTAAATTTAAACCTTCAGGGAGAATGGAGGGGAACAGTGCAGTACAGTGGCAACAAAAGCTATAATGCTCTTTTCTTGCAAGTCTCTGTTTTGTTGTAAAAGAATCCAGGCTGGCCACATATGAATCATCCTGTTCAGCGCAGAACACTGTGGCAATGTGAACTGTGGCTGCTCTTCTGATTATGGCTTTTGGTCTCTGGTTGCAAAACGATCCCAGAACATTTGATGATGAAACTCAGATCAGTTCAGTTAATGACTATGGAGTACACTAAAGGAGGGTAATTTGTCAACAAGTTAATCAGGCAAGGGACCAGAAGGCTGATCATCTAGTCTCTGAGATAACAATACTTTTCTGGTCATAAGATCTATAAAATTGGACCCTGGGTTATCATTGCTTTGTTTTATTGCAACACGTTTTAGAACATGCTGGGCACATTTTCTTCTAATTTTTTAAAACTCAAGTCTCTGAAAGATATTGTATGATGGGGTCTTAAAAAATTGTATTTATACATATAGATATGGCATAAGTGTTTGAAGACATGGAAAAAAGATAGAGGAGAGTTGGCTATGAGTCTCATAAATAACAAATCTTATTACTACCTAGATGTAATTTGTTTGCTGACATCTTCTATTGTATTATTTTTATATGTTGAATGGCACTTAAGCTGGATAATACAGAATTTTCTTTATATTAGTAATCTAGAAGTGGCATATTATGCTTTCCAAAGATGCTGTGTGTGTATCTCACATATATTTCCCATCCACATGTCATTCTTTAAATATGACTAACACTCCTCTCCCCCACAAGGAGGTCTATGTTACCTTTCATTGTATCTGGGTGAGGAGCTTGTGACTGCTCTGACAAACAGTGTGTGTTAGAAGTGATACTATGTGACTTCCAATGCTAGGTCATAAAAATAATGCACTGTCTTCCTGGCTTTCTCTCTTGGGATGCTTGCTCTTGCAACCTAGCCATCACACGGTGAGAAAACTCAAAGTCGCCCAGGCAGAGAGACCACATAGAGAGTCTGTAGGGAGAGGAGCTAATGCCCTGGGCTGTCAGCCAGCATCAACTTCCACAGCTGAGTGAATGAGCCTTCAGATGATTCCAGCCTCAGCCTTTAAGTCTTTTGACTGAGACCCCAGGCATTGTGAAGCAAAGACACCTTCCTTGCTGTACTCCATTCAAATTTCTGACCCACAGAAAACATGACAGAGTAAGTGATTCTTGTTGTTTGAAGCCACTGTGTTTTGGAGGTGATTTGTTATGCAGCATAGTAGCTGAAGCACCAGAGCTTTGTTGAGGCTTTTTTTGTTTGTATTCCACCTTGGAGACCTGTGAATTACTCCTGACCTGACTTGCATAAACGTCCCTCTTCATATGGGCTGCGTATGCTGACAAGTCTTCTGGCTACCTGATCGCTACATGTCTAGGATGTAATTCCTTTTTATGCTTTGCAGACAGGGCCTTTTCAAGAAACTTTTCCTGAAACTCCTGGGTTGATTTAGATGCCATTTTTCTGGACTCTCTCAGCAAATCTGTCAACAGTGATCACAATGTGCTATCATGTTGATATACTTGCCTTTTGTTCCTACTAGCCTGTGAGTCCAATGCAGCATGAGCCCTTCCTCCTCATTTTTCCATTTATCATGCTAGCATTATTTCTGGCACATGGGAGGTGCTTAATAAACTCTCACTATAGAATTGGTCAATTAGAACTTAATCTACCCAGGCCTTGACTCAGACAACAATGAGAGGAAAAAGGGTTTCCAGAAGTGGGATACATGAAATTATATGTCTATGTGAAACTAGGTAATTTTTGACGATGTCTTAAAGAGAAGTTTTCCTTCTTAGAAAGTGTGTAAAACTTTAGCGGGCTTTATAGGACATAAAAGAGTAATCATTGTGATCTAGAGGGGCAATAATCTGTTCAACTCTTAGTGGACTTCAGAAATACTGGGTGTCTGATAAGAGAGCATCACTGGGAACTGGAAACCTCAGATAGGTTAGTAGATAAGGGAGATTTTATTTCTCACTGTTGTTTTCTTAATGCTAGGGTCAGATGGAAGGGAAGACTTAGTCTTCAGTTCTCTGTTATCTCAATAGTTCATAAATTTAGTGTGCCTCATGCATAGGGAAATTTTGTCATGAATGCAGATCCCCAGGCCGCAGGGTTCAGAATTCTGAAGCACTGGATGTTGGATAAGCTTGGAATGTGAATTTTTAATAAATTATCTAGTTGACTCAGATAAAGAAGATCCAAGGGCCATACTTTGAAACAAAATAAAACAAAACATGGTAAACTGAAGAATAAAATTCCCCTCCAGGATACTTGTGGAAATTGTGCCCCAGAAACTCTGTAAGGCACTTGACTCAATTACGAAACTGTAGACAGAAACTTGATTTTTGAATTTCTAGATGTGAGTATGTTAAAGATCATTTTAGAAATTACTATGAATAACTGACATTTCTGGGTTGTATTTAGGATTTAAATCTAGTTTTGGTTGAATCCAGTCTTTTGATGATGTTTGCAGTGGGAACAAAGGATGGATCCTGGGTACATTTCCTTTCTTGATTGCTCAGTATTTATCTTCCAGTTCTCCGTTGCATTACCTCTAGTCTTGTGTAATTATTTCCCTGTGCCCCTCTCCAAATTTCTAGCCTCCGTCTTATATTTCTTCACAATCTTATGTCTGCTTTATGTGTTAAGTCCTACCTGACAATTTTCAAGGGAAATTTATCACCAGAAAGATATGACTGTGGTTTCTGCAATTTTGACCCCATTCTAGAGGATATAAATAGATTTCTGAGCTAAAGGATTGTGACATTTACAGGATAGCTACTTTATTAACTTTTGGCTTTTAAACACAATCATTGAACATATGATGAAAAAATTATCCAAGTTAATGTAAAACTAATACCATACTTTGGCTTTGTTTTGTAACTTCCATGGAATTTGCCTTCCGTGTTGGTGGTCAAAGCACTCATCAAGTGTTACATTTTCAAATGGCATGATTCCTAAGTGGCTGTGTTACCTCAATATGATTTCTTGCTTTTATTTAATGTAATAAATGTTTTTTTTTTCTCCAGGATCATCTGAGAAATGTATTGCAAACAGCATTTGGTTATTACACCCAAAGAGGCCTGGGACTCATATTCATCCTTCAGTGCAATATTTACTTAAGATTGTCATATATGAGGGATATAAGAAGTTTCTTCACCTAAAGAGATAAACATGTTAAAATTGTGTAATTAAACTTTCTATGAAGAATGAAAAAGTGAAGTCATTTTAACAGTCTAATAACAAGTGGCTGTGTAGAGACAGTGAAAAAGGGCTAGTTCTTTCCTGGACCTGGGGAGAAGCTTGTGAACAGTTATCTGATAGATGGAAAAAGGCTATGGAAACAATAACAAATAGCGCACCAGAGACAATATAAGATCAGCCAACAGATGGGACAGTTTGTCTTTGTATTCATGTCAGGCTGTTTGTTCTAGGATGTGTACCGTATGATATAATAAAAATTCAACTTTATTTTTGTCTCCTACTTTTAGGTAGGTTCTCTAGAAGAGTGTCTTGAGTTGGAATTCTCGTATAAGTGATGTACTGAAAGGCTATTCTTAGGAGAAGGGGAGTGAAGGAAGCAAGACAGGCCAGAGAAAGAAGACAAAGTAAGAATGTGGTCTTGACTGAAGTCTATCTGCAGCCTTGTCCTGTGGGGACCTGTGCTGCACAAATTGCCCCAAATTTGGGTCCAACCTGAAGTTCTACCTTTTGTACCTAGAGTCGGTCACTGGCCACTGTGTGTTTGGGGGGCATTGGTGGATATTTACGTAATTTGGGTGAGGTGGCTTCTGTTCTGCTTAAGGTAACTCTCTGGTGAAGGAGGCCGCAGTGAGCTGTGAACACTAATGGGTAGAGTGGCCTGCTGAAGGGATCTGGGTGAGGTATTAACAGTGTCCACTGCATCTATTTTCTATTTAAAATTTATTTAGTGTGGAATTTTTTTTCCCTGCTGTCATGGTTCATAGCTTTTGTGGTTACTCTTGGACAACTGATAATCCTACGGTCTTTTAAGTTGAAAAACAGTGTTTTGATTAAGAAGTTAGAGTGTTCAATCTAATCTATTAAACAATACTTATCATTTTATTCTAAGATGTCTTATCGCTCCTCCTTCCCTACCACTCATGCCAACTTTCTCAGGTATGGCATAGTAAGGCTGGCCATATGGCTTCAGGAGCAAAAAGGTGGGATGACTTATTACTTGTTCATCACTTCCTCAGAGCAAGCTGCTGTTATTGACCTTTCTGGGATTACAGTGTGTCAGAAATAAGGGAAAATGTAGCATATGGTCTTCCTTGACCAGTAGGAGTATAAGATGACTTTGCATCCCCTGGGCCTGGCAGGTGGTTCTTTCTGTCATGGATACTTATGTGGAGTTTCAGAGGATCTCTTACTGGCTCCTTGTGACTCCTCATGGCATTATCCTCCTGTTGTGGATAATGCCTTCTGTTCCCCTAGCTTTGCCCATCTATATGATCTTCTTGGGCAGAAGTCACAGTAGTGCTAGGCTAGTCTCTTTTCTTTAGAGCCCATATCTGCTCCACAAGCAATACACATCCTTTGTTCTTGCAGGCTGAGCAGGTGAGGGGGGAGGCAAACTCATCTCAGCAGCAAGCTTTTTTCCACTGCCAAAGAGTCTGCTAAGCCTTTCTCTCTTGCCCTTTGATTTCTCAGACCAGAAGCAAGCACCAGTCCACTGTGTTTATCTAATTGCAGGAGACTGATACCAAGTTCTACATATAGTCCTGTTGAAGCCACTGTCTTATTATGCTTTTCCTCACTAGTTCATCATGACAATTTTCAAACATGCAGTAAAGTTGAAATAATTCCCTGTGAACATTGGTATACCCACCACCTACCATTACATTTTACTATGCTTATCTTTTAAGGTATATATTTATCTATCTGTTTATCCATCCACCAATCCATCTTATTTTTGATATATTTCAAAATAAATTACAGGCACCTATATACTCTCCTGTAAATACCTCAGCATGCATATCATATATTGAACTAGAGTTCAATATATGTTTATATTTTTCTTTAGATATAAAATTTACATACAGTGAAATGTACACATCAAGTGTACATTTGCTGAGTTTTGAGAAATGTACTCACCTATGTAACCCAAAGTCCTATCAATATACAGACATCACTTTGTCCATATGAAGGTAGTGTGGAAAAATAAAAAGATATAGCCATCACCCCAGCAAGTTCTTTCATACTTCTTTCAAGTTAATTTCCACACCCTTCCCCACCAGAAGCAAACATTGTTTTATTTTTCCACCATGGTGGATTAGATTTGCCTATTCTAGAACTTCACAAAAATGAGGTCATCCAGTGTGTACTCCTTTGTATATGGTTTCTCTGACTTATTCTATGTTTTTTGAGACTATTCTACATTGTTGTATGCATCAGTAGTTCCTTCCTTTTTAATTGCTGAGTAGTGCTCTCTTCTGATAACAGTTTTAAAAATTCATTCAACTGATGGGCAACTAGACTATTTTTAGTTTTTGACTAATATGGATAACGTGAAGCCACTGTCTTGGTTTGAGATGAAAAGAAGGGCTCCTTTTGGGAGGGTAAAGTGAGGTTTGAGAATTGTAGTAAGGAAACAGTCCACTCCAAGAAAATTTCTTCACAAATTCTCTATAATCTCTAATTTTCTTGATTCTTCTATATCTTCAATGAGGGACAGTCATCAAACTGATTCTATGCTACCTACTTTGTTTGTTTTTTGTTTTTAGAGATGGGGTTTCACTCTGTTGCCCAGGCTGGTCTCAAACTGGCCTCAAGCAATCCTCCCACCTCGGCCTCCCAAAGTGCTGGGATTACAGGCGTAAACCTCCTTGCCCAGCCCCACCTATTTTGAAAAGAAGCTTTTTATTCCGTTTGACAGCACCCTTTAGTCTTTAATATCTATGGTATCTTGGAGTCTCAGCTGAAACTTCCAATCTAGCAAACTCTGGTATTCATTATTCTTTGAATTTCAGCAGAAAGAAGGAGCTGCTTTGGTAGAGAGGGACTAATGAGGCTATATATGCTGAACGCTTCAGAGAAGTTGAAGAGGAGAAATTTGCTCACAAATAGCTTTGGCTGTCAAGTGGTTCTCCAGGCATGTGTTTCTCACACAATGTCAAACAGCAAAACCAGCTACCAGGCTGCTCTTAATCCCAGTGTCTTGCTGAAGGAGGCTCTTGAATTCCTGGCATCATGAGTTTGTTGATGAAAATGACCTCCATCAGTCACTGCTAGTGAAGCTAGCCATGAACAATAAAATAATGGACTTTTTTGATCACCTTTGGCCTTTGACAGACATCGGGTGGTACCCTTGCAGCACTCTACATTATTACTGCCCTCATGACAAGTTATTACTGCCCTCATAACAAGGAGATTAAGATCTCTGGGAGCACAAAAGGAGGCATCCTCAAGGATGATCTATACTAATGCACTCATGGGAAGGTAGGCACTGCATGAGAAGAGGTAGTTCCGTAAGTTATTATCTTATTTTAAGTGCAGTGAAAAGAAAAGTAGAGATGAAGAAAGCTGAAAGGCAGCTTTATACAATTATACCTTTTCTGTGGTAGGATAAAGGAAATAGAGTGAGTCTTCAAAGCTTCTTGAGGATGGGAAAAGAGACTTAACATATTTGTTATCCACAAAGAAGAATGTGGTTCTCTTTAAAGACCAGGTACTATCAAGAAAATAACTCAGTAATTTTCTCCTTACTGTAGTCCCAATTCAATCTTGAGAACATTTTATTAAAGCTTGAGACTCTTGTCTCTAAAATGTTCCCTGAGTCATTGTGGAATAAGATTTGACTTTATTTATATAAATTATTATTAACTAGTTGTATAAATATGTAATCAAATATAATTTACTTAATTTATTAGGAAGATAGGCTTTTACTGGCTTTTTTTTAGGGAAAAATAATAAGTTTAAACATTCACAATATAGACCTCTTATAATCTTGAGAATCCTTAGAGGGTTTCTTATCTGTTTTTACTATTGTTGAGTGTTTTCCTGGGCTTGAGTTAAATGTTCAGATCCCAGTTAAAGTATTCGGATCAAAGGATAAGTTATAGACAAAGTGTCATGGTGCCTAAGAAGAGGCCATGCAAATAGTAGATGCTTAGTTAAGTGAATTAAATTATTTATAACTATCATCTTTATGAAAAAGGATTGACAAAATACTGTATAATAGATGAAAGTGACTAATCAAACAAAGCAGAACATTGATAAAATAAAGGTATAAACATAAAGTAAAGCTAATGGTAAAATTAGACTGTAGAATATATACTGTAAAATCCTGAGGGAATGTTCCCACTATTTGCCTCTGAACTTTCTGGCAATCAATAAAAGAGGAAAGCAATCAAGATACACAGCCCAGCAGATGTCTGTAAGATTAAACAAACCAATTGTTCAAAGGAAGTAATCTATTATTAATTGTTGAGAATAATTTTACCTGTAGGTCATACTTATGAGGACATAGGATAATGTCTTCAATGATGTTCTCAACAATATCCTCATAGAATATTCCTCAATGTGTGTGGATGGTATAATGCCAGCATGAGTCAGTAAAAGCAGTTTTCAAATTTTTCTTTGGGGAAAGATGGTGCATAGATAAAGGTGCCCCATGTAAACAACTTCGTAGTGGTGTGGTTCAAACTGAGGTTAAATTGTTTTGGATGTTAGAGGAGTGGCTGGACTACTTGTACTTTAGGAATTTTCCAGAAATATTATTTCTTTTGACTAAAATTTGGTAAGTCCTGAGTGTCAGTGAGTTTGAAATTTTTCTGTCTGATAAGCACCTGGACTGAAGATATTCTCTCATACTTATAGCTATAGTTTTCTGCTGCTCTGAGAATAATAGTGACATCCTCTCATGAAATTTGAGGACTTGATAGGAGAGAACTCCTCCTCACGAAGGTGGGTTGACAAAGTACCCAAGGTCAATGACATGATTTTCCTTGGAAAAGAAAATGAAATCTACTCTAACTTATGAAAAAATGGCTACCTGGGACCTCTTAATTTGATGTCATAGAGTGTGGCCATTCTAATTTTTAATCCAGAAAATGTTTTTACATGCTTACTCTAGCCATTAAAAAAATGTTAAAGTTCTCATAGAATGTTTAAATTTTAGCAGTGAATTTCTCAGTTGAATTTCCCAAGATAAAGTAGTTTGCAAACTGTACCTGTTAGTAACTGAATGGGTTGATTCGTTGTATGAAATCAGTAGCTTTTAGTGTTGAAGATGATTACCTTGGCCCTTTGGCTTTGAGGAACTTGGTAACATGCCCTTCTTCCCGACAGCTGTTATAAATCAGGCACAAATGTCTCTGGAAGTCATGTCTAGATTATAATGAGGAAAAGATCATATTCAGATGGAGACTTGACTACTTATATGCAAAAATTTTCCACCAAAAATCCTTATTTATATACTTTCATTCTTAACAAGAATAGCAGGTAAGCTATATTCATTTTTATGAAGAATCCATTTAGGGAATAATTCTAAAATGTGTCTTCCTCTTGGACACAGAAGAATAACAGAGTCAGGTTTAGAACACGTTTCTGACATGCCTCAATCTTGCTACAAGACTGAGGGACACTCAGTAATCATTCAGCTAAACAGTCAATCCATTAACCTGTCCTGGGTAGCTTGTTGTCTCTTTTTAGTGGTTTCTGTATATGTCACAGATGAGCAATCCTGCTACAATTTTTTAAAAAATGAGATTAAAAATATATCCACGAAGTATATCTATTTTGTCCTTTCTTTATTTGACAACTCTACCAGCTTACAGTAATTGATATTAATTACTCTAGGATTAACTATTAATTATCAGGAATTGACTTTAGAGAAAACACAGAATGGTTTCTTTCATTTTCCTACTCCCCTCCTGAGTGGCCTATGCTTTTATTCCAGGCCCTTTTAGTCACAAATGGACTTGAAACCAAGGGAATTTTAGCGTAGTAAAAATTTTAGAATTTCACTGAAATGACCATCAACTGTTGGTTGGAAGTAGTTTTTTCCCCCCCTGTCTTATGCCAAAGGGAAGCTGCTAGATGATTCTAAGAAGGATGATTTGGCCAAGGGACCAACTGAAGCTTGCCATTATGAGGAGCTCAGTCTCCCTCTTCTAAGCCTACTGACCTGGGGTGGCTTTATCTACTTCACTGCGGGTCCTTTGTCTCTCTGATCCCCATGTTCAGTCTTTGCTTCAGATGGAGGGCTGTGCTAACAGCTGCTATCTGCACCAACCCATCTAACAGCCTGCCTATGCCCTCATTTGACAGTATTCCCCATTAGGCTTGGACTTGTCCCAAATAGGAAGATCCAAACCCATGGATCTTCAAACACAGGAAGGGCACACATGTACAGTCAGGGACCACATAATCATATTTTGGTCAATGACAGACCACATATATGATGGTGGTCCCATGAGATTATAATACCATATTTAATACAAATACTACTGTGTTACAATTGTCTATAGTATCTAGTCCCATAACATGCTGTGGAGGTTTGTAGCCTAGGAGCAATAGGCTATATACCACAGAGTCTTGGTGTGTGGCAGGCTGTACTATCTAGGTTTGTGGAAGTATACTCCATTATGCTTATACAACCACAAAATCACCCAATGATGTATTTTTCAGAATGTGTCCCTGTTGTTAAGCAGTGCATGGCTGCGTATGTGTATGTGTTTGTGTATGGGTGTTTGTGTTTACCAAAATGAAGTCCAGAAAGAAGTGGTAGCTGGGGACATATGAATCTTATATGTAGACATCAGTGGTTATTGGTAAGTAATTATCGTCTGAAAAACAAGATGTCTGCTGTTTTTAGATAATACGAACCAAAGGTAAACCAGTCAAAAGGCAAACTGTACTCCGCATTGCTCTTCTGTCCTTGCAAAACCCATCCCAGTAACTACCCAGAAACCGAAATGAATATATTAAGAGAAAAAATCATCTGGGAGCTAAAAGCCCACACTTAAAGCCTGAAGATTTCCATGACCCAGAGAAAGATGACTTTATTAACCTCTGGGGCAAGGGTGAGCAGCTGGGAAAGACAGGAGAGGTGGGGACTTAGGGATGGAAGGCAGGAAGATAGGAGCTGCCTGTTAAAGAATCCGAGGCGAAGGAGAGCGGGCATCTGTATGGGACATTCTCTTGTGGCCCATGGAATGTCTGGCTAGACAAAACAATTCTGTGCAGTGAGACCTCAGACTTTTCTACAGGCAAAAGCACCAGTTAGAAATTTTCTCACATGGATCCACCTAGGGAGAGCACCCAGCAAGGGAAATAGGTTTATTCTGTGGGCTATCCTTTTCTCACCGCCAAATTCAAACAAACAAAAAAACTCAGTAACAGTCCTTAGAGAAAAAGAGACCAATGCCCAGGTTACCTAGAGATTGGAAAAGAGAAGGGATCACCACTACCCCACATTTTCCATATTTCTCTGCTCATTGTTGTCATTATACTAGATCTCCCACATGTCAAGTGCTGATTTACTAAATTGGCTGAACTTTTCCAGACAGTTTCCAAATTAATAGTCACTCTGCATTAATACGACTTGCACTAGTCAGGCATCCCTGTGCATTCTATCTCTTTTACGTAGTGGTGCCATCTGTCATTGTAATACCTGTGTCATCAAGTTTTGAACCATAATACTTCATCAGCTTCCAAATGGTTCCATGATCTGTAAGCAGTGATCAAGGCAGTTTAATGAGACATGACAGGGCATTTTCAAGCAATTTCTTAGGGAGGCCCAGGAAGGAAAAAGTTGAAGCCAGGGGACATTTGAAGTCATTCCACCTTGAGTCACTCTTGTGAGTTCTCTAATATTCTAAAAGAGGGGTTTTTTTTAATACCCTGAAGCAAAAATTTTTATGTATCACTTTAATTTGGTATGACAGACATATAGAAGCATACTGTATAAAACCCTAATACATGTACTTCCATATATCCAGCAGATTGTCCATATAGGTGGGACAAAGCAAGAGAAGAGTTAGGGTGAGAAATAGGGTATGTAGTGAGAGTGGGAATGGACATGTTGTTCTCTCTCTCTCTCTCTCTCTCTCTCTCTGTGTGTGTGTGTGTGTGTGTGTGTGTCTGTGTGAGAAAGAGAGAGAGAGGGAGGGAGGGAGGGAGTCAGAGACTTGGAAGGTAGTTCATGTTGAATGGCAGAAAGCCTCAGGGATGTGGATAGCAGAAAGTTACTGACAATTTATTTAGAATCTGTTATCTTTCAGGTGTTAGGATAATGATCCGTTAAGATAACTCCATGAGATTAACTAGGAGTAGGGTAAGTAGCAGGGTTCCCATTGTTTTCTATAGATAAAAATGTAAACATTTTTTATAGACAGAGATTGGACCTTGATCAAGTTCACATATACAATCAGCAGACCAGTGATATGACCTTGGACAACTTCAGATGTGTCAGATTCTAGGCTATCTGCTATTTGCATAACAAATCAGGGATGTGGGTATTAGGAATTTTTTAGCTATCCTTTTGAACTCCATATCCCCTAGAACAGTTTTGGGATGGCTCCAATTCTCAGAAACTATTATCTAAATCTGTCTAGCAAGATCTTTTTCAGCCTTATTTCCCATCATTTGAAAAACATTTATTCTCTCTTTACCACTGTGGCAGTCTGCCTGGAAATAGATGCAATGTATCATTTTCCACAATAGTGGAAGGCGGGCTAGGAATTACCTATAATTTGTTTCTCCATCCAGGCACGTCAAACTAAGTGAGTTATGATGAAAGTGGAGCAGCAACCTTGATCACCTACCGTTTTATAGCTGATGTGATTGTTTTTATGAAGGCTATAACACTTTTAACGCTATGGCTGTGATGATCCTGATTCTTGTCTCAGCAGAATAATATTACAAGAGTTGAATCAATTCTGATTGCAGAGGACTGGAGAATGGCTTCCTAGTGTCTGGGTTTGACAGAGAATTACCCAAAATGTGCTCCTGTTGTTCCTCCATGGGCTGACCATGTAGGAACCTTCATCCAGCATTCTGCTACCTCCATGAATTATTCAGTTTTCCTGTTGGGCAGGGAGGACATGTGTTGTAACCAAGTCATTCTCAGATAAGTAGGAATTTAAGATGAAATTCCTTCTAACTATTATATTTAAAAAGAAGACATGAGTCAACGGTATTAGTGGAACCAGCCTCATGGTTTAGGGAGATTTTGGAGCCAGATACTATAACTGTTTTCCCATTGCTGAAGCTCTGTAGTAGAAAGAAAAGGCATGAAGGGAAGTATGGAATAGCAGTAACATCTCAGTCATGGTTCTTAGTATCTAGTTTTACTTGAACAAATATTTACAGAATATTCACAATTGGCCATACTTCTGCTAGGTTGCATGGAGAAAAGTAAGATGACACACCATCCCTACTAAAGTTCTGAGATACTGACCCTTAAAATAGTAATATATCTTGATAACTGCTATAAAATATTATAAAAATGCAAATGATGAAATTTCCAGGAGATGTGATTAGGAAAGACTATAAAGAGGTGATATTATTAGGGCTTATCCATGAAGATTGAATGAAGAGTGTACAGGGTAAGCCACGGGATCGGGAGGGTACTGTGGGTGTAAAAGCCAGTATAGCAATGAGCATAGAGGCGTGACACATGGTGGTGAGGACATATGGCAGGTATTTATGGGACAGGTGTGTCCAAAAATTGTACCTGGCAAATTTAAGCTGGAACAATATTTTGAAGGGCTAGGAATGCCATAATAAAGAATTTGGACTCAATGCTGTAGGTCATGTCACAGACTTAATTGTCTAGAGGGGCTAGGAAAATAATATAAATGAGTGGCCATGTAGTGACTGTGGTCACTTGGTTAGTAAGGTGCCTTCTAAGAAAGGCAGCTGGGACTCCATCCCCACAGATGGTGGTTTTTCTAGTGTGTGAACACTGTATTTCCAAATAATACCAATTTCCCAAGAGAAGCCTGGAAATGAGGCTTATTTTTTTATGTGAACTCTCATGATAATTAAATCCTGGTAACTAATAAGAAATTTTTTTTGAAACACCTGGGGGCCAAAAACAAAGCCATTTTAAAATTCGTGTCTGTCCATATTCCAGTGGCTTGTAACTGCAACTGGAAACTAATGGAAACCACAAATATTTATACTTAAGCAGCAACTCAATCCTGTGTGCTTTTTAGAGAGCCAATTCTGGGAGCAGATTGGGAGAAGGAAGATGACACTTGAGGCAAGATGGACAGCTGGAGTCAGAAAGATGATGAAGGCTTGACCTCAGGCAGTTGCAGGGGGGAAGGAGAAGCCTAAGTGGAGGTGAGAGCCTTGAAGCACTTTGTGACCGCTAGATGTGGGGGTGAGGATGTGACGGCCACCAAAGATGACACCAAGGAGGTTGGGAGACTGTTAACTATAGGAAGAAAATGAAAGGAGCTATTGTCATGTGTCTACTAGGTAGTGATTCTATTTTGCTTTTTATCTATTTTACATTTGCTCTTTATATGTAGTTTATACTTGCTTTCTACTATCTGTTCCATAATTCTGGAAGAAATTATTTGGGGTAAAGACAACAGATTTTTTTCTTAAACCAAATAAGTAACCCTTTTTTCTTCCCATTTATACCCTAAGATGAACCGTGGGCATTAGCTGCTAGATTTCAGACGCTTTCTCTGTATAGTATTAAATACATTGATATGGTTGAAGCAATGAGCTGAAAGTTTTTAATCCTTGATGGACAGCAGAAGAAAAATTTATGAGTCCGATTCTTTTCAAGTTTGAAGATAATGATTTTTGCCTTTTCTGCCTCTGCTTTTCCCTTCTGCATTTTACATTTTGTGACGGTGAGTCAGACATGCTATCATTCTATTCAGCAGCTTTGACATCAGCAGCAAATATGCATGAGCTAAGAAAGTGAGGTTTCTATATATTGTCTTCAAGTTTAAATGGTATTTTTTGTAGCGGTGATTTTAGGTATCTCTCCATTAGAACTTCTAAATTTGTAGGGGCCTTCTATATTGTCTGTTGATTTGTTTTTAGGGCCATTGGAATAGAAGTGAACCAGGTTTCTTGGATGGTGGGGTTGTGACATGGAAAGGTGAATGAATTAACTGAACACTGTTCAGTGCACTTATGGGCAAGGTGAATCTACAGCATGGTCTTGCATAACATGCTGAATTTACTAGAGAAGTGCTTCCCAAATGTCTCCTCTGCAGAATGTTTTAAAAATTATCTCACCAAACTTAGGATCCATACTGTGTCTGAACAAATGGTCAAAGGTCATGCCTATTTTCCTTTTCCACACTCAGGCATTTATTTCTCACCAAATAAATTGTGTAAATTCTCATTAGTTTGAGCAAATTCTCATTATGCTATGATGTGGTAAACTTAATAGGGCTTTTAGGTAACTTGCAACACTAGAAGTAAGTGGATGCTTCAGTTGTCTTCATGTATCCCTAGACAGTCATCAACAGTTGAGGATCCTGCCCCATCTCATTTTCTCCAAAATGATCTATCAGATATCCATGAGATAGGAGGGAATTTCTACAATATATCCCAGCATTATCTTCCCTGTGTCTTAGCGGGAAATAATCATTTATATAGGAACGATGTGCTTAGAATTTAATAGCTCCTGCTTATACCTGAAAAGACTGTCAGGTAGTAGATGGCTTTGAAGCTTTTGCTGCTGGGTCATTGGCAAGTTGGCAGAGAACTGGCAGGACAGTCTATTCCTTCCCTTTTAATGAGACTACATATTCCCTTAACATCTTTTCATTTTTTATTTTAAAATGCGTCAACATTAATATATTTTGATCTGGTAATATATGCACATGGTAAAAAATTTAAATAGTATAATTTATTCTTTAACATTTCTTAAATAGTGGCAAGGACCCTAGAAAGGAAGAATAAAAGAACAATTTTATTCCCAGTTCTGCTACTGACTGTTTTGGTACCGTTGGGCAAATTACGGCATCTTTCTGCATCTTGAGTTCTTTACCAGACACCAAGAAGTGGGAATCCTTGCCTAATAACACTAGAGGATTGTTGTGAGACTCTAATAAATCTGGTATGTAAAAATTCCTTAAGTGTATAGATAATAAAATGCTTTCGTTATAGTTTCCCCTCATCTCAGTTGATTGCCCAACTAACACCTACTATGTGCTTCTTATAGGCTTAGAGAAAATGAAAGAGCTTTCAATTAACTCAATCCTCAAAATAGTTCTATTAGGTAAGTACTATTTCTCAGTTTTACAGTGAGAAAATGGAGGCACAGAGAAGCTAAGTTCACACAGCTAGAAAGTGGTAACAAAGTTAAGATTTGAACCTAGTGTCTTTTCTTATCCTCTCTTCTTCTCTTACTTTTCCTCTCTCTTTGTATATGTGTATGTAAACTTATATGCATATATAGGTTTATTTCTATGTGTATACATTTATATAATATATATATAAATCTATATGTCAATCATGATTGTAACCGCTCTTAATATTTTATGCTTTGCATTATATTTATTCCATTAAACATTGTTTTACAACATTTTCTAATGATTTCAAAATATATCATATGTCTGAAGAGGACTTACTTAACCAATTCCTATCTGTTAAGTATTTATTTTTACTTTTTGGTCATTATACATAAGATAAATTTCCTTGCTCACAAGTCTTTTTGGGCATCTGAATTATTTCCTTAGAAAAAAACCCGGAGATGTCATTGCTATGCCCAACAGTATGGTCATTTTTAAGGCTCTTGGTATATATTACCACACTTTTATTTGGAAAGTTTATGGCAATTTATTCTGTCTCCAGAATTTCCCAAAGATGACAGAGCAATTATAAAAGGCTAGATTAGGACAGGACCTTAAAGATAAGCGTGAGCGTCTGGGAGTGGACTTGTTCTCGTGCACTACAGACAAGAAAACAGAAGGTGGATATCTTGTCCAAGGGCATAAAGCAAATTAATGGTGAAATCCAAATATCCTGATTTCTGATCTGGAGCTTTTTTTGGCATCATATGAAAAATAGTCAGTGATATTGGTTAACAATAAGCAATGAATGAGGTATGAAATGTCTATGTGGGAGTGGGAATATTATTTCAGTCATCTTACAGTCCCATTACCAACTGTCACTCTCACATTTTCTGGTTGCTTTATTCTGATGACCCTAGAAGCTAGTCTATATCATTAGAACTAAATCAGTCTTGTACCAAGTAACAGTTTCAAATGGCAGTGGGAAAACTGAGAGGAGGGGAATGAGAAGAGTTCAGGCCACATCTACAAAGCTCCCTGCAGTTGTTTTGGGGCTGCATATCTATAGGGTGAACACCACTTGTTTGCAAAAGACAATTTGTTGCACAAACAACTTAATAGCAGTAAGAATGAAAATAAAAATTAAACATACAGTTTAAAATAAAAAAGTTATTGCACTACAAATAAAATTGTTTTAAAAACACTTTTACATGAAGTGTGCTTTTTATGTAGTTTTATGTCATAAATACAATTTTGTATTTTGCTTTTTTCACTTCTGAAATCACATTTAAAAACCATTTGGCTAAACTTGCTTGCAAAATTATTTTTAAATTTTAGCCTCCCAGTCAAGTATCCTGCCATATTTAATTAAACATCCTCCCTAACTTGTTTTAGTCCAAGTCAACTGTAGCTTTTGCCTGGGGAGACATGGCTGCCAGCCTTGTAGAGAGTTTGCTCACAGCCTATTTGTTCAGGTGACTTTGCCATTTTTCTCGTCTTAGAAGGAATGCTGCAGGATGAATGGCTGTTTAGCCAGTTCTACTCCCAGATTTGGCTGGATGTTAGCTGACCACTGTAAGTTTTGGCCTGGACTTTTACTTCCTGGGCTTCCTGATTTGTAAAGATTGCGGGAAGGCTAGCTCAATTTATATACTTATTTGTCTTCCTTCATTTTGGACATATTTTTGAGTCCCTGTGTTATTTGAGTTGGAATTAGTTTGAAGCTTCCTAGGGTAGTCTTGAAGTCAATAAACAGCCAACAACTAGCTTTCTGGCTACAGCACTATTCTGATTATTTCTTTCATATTAATTAATTAGTTTTGATGAGACCCTATTTTTGTAATAAAATAACACAGTAGTTTTTCAAGCATATTTTACACAACTACCTCATTAGGTAAATACTATTAATGAAAGTTGGAATGTAGAGAAATTAGGGAGAAAAAATGAGCTTAATTTTGTTATTCAATTTGAAGTGCTAGGAGGATATCCCAAAGATGGCTTGCTATCCTAGAAAGCTGTGAAAAAAAAAATGGAATTTGTACTTCGAAGAGAGTTGGTAGTATAAGTACTGTGATCCCTAATAAAAGAGAGAAAATAGATATTATAGTATAGATCTTAAGAATGTAAGCTCAGAGTTCAGAATAATGTGGGTTAAAATCTGAATTCTACTTCTTACTCTGAGTCCTTGGGCATGTTATTTAATTTTCAAGCCTCAGTTTCCATATCTATGTAACGGAGGTTCTAACATCTACGTTGTAGAGTGGATGTGAGAATTGAATGAGATAATGCAACTTATTAAGAATCAATAATTATCACCTATTGTTATAACCGACAGAGGGAAAAACATTTGTAGGTAGTCATAGGAAAAGTCAGCAGAAAACATAAAGAATAAATGGTCAGAGGTAGAGAAAAGGAAAACTAAGCTAGTCCAGGAAGCCAGGAAAAGAGAAAATCTTAGGAAGGAAGAAATGAGCAAATATGACACAGAAGCCAAGGAATGTCAAGATCAGAAAAGGCCTTCGAATTTGATGAGCACTATGTCTCCTATCACTTCCAAGAGAATGTTGTTTGCTAGAAAAATTTGGCAGAAATCACATTATAGCACATTAACAGTGAGAAATGCTTCTTGGGACCCATTGAACTTAAAACAGCTAAGGTGTGTTGCCAAAGATAGGTTATGCTATCTTTGGATTATCTATGAACTTGGATTTCACATGTGCTTTCTTGTCCTACATACACCAAAAGGTGACTTCTGTGGATCGTATGAAGCTGAGATGTGCTACTGGTTGTAGCCTTTATAGGCTGGCTTATATGTCAACTTCAGATTTAGCAGCAGGTAATTTTCCTTTCTTTGGCTACATTTCAGCTGCTTATAGGAAAACAGAATGAAATCAGCAGGCATAGGTTGGGTTCAGCACATTTACAAAGAGCTGATGACATTTAGCTGTTAGGTGCCTACCGCACATGCTCCTTCTAGAGTGAGTTCACCTGCAATTAAAATAAAGTTAAATCCAACCAGTCTTTCCATTCTATGAGCCTGTTTAAAAAGTTATTTGTTGGGATTATCTTTCCATCCTGTTTTGCCTTTGGTTTTATTATTGCTCTGACAGTCACAGAGATGAGTTTCTTTCTGATGTTTTTGCTGAAAATTCTGGCAGGACAAGCCCATTCAACCCTAAATGGAAATGAGAGCTCACTGAAAAGTGCAGATTTTCCCAAATGACACAAAACTATGGCAGGCATACCGGTTTTTATAAGTTTAGAGAATCTGATTTAACCGCAAACAGAAAAGAAACCAACCAGAACCATTTCATGTTTGGAAAAATAATTAAAATGGATTCTTCTCTCTCTCATTTTAGAATCTTATTCTTCACAGAAAATATTTCAGACTTTGGGTACTTGTTTGTACTAACAACATATTTTCTAATGATTTCAAAATATATCATATGTCTGAAGAGGACTTACTTAACCAATTCCTATCTATTAAGTATTTATTTTTAAATGTTTTAAAAATGTCCCTGTCTTAGGTTGCTCCCGTTGCTGGTTCAGCGTTTGTTGCTAATGACCCAGAACATTACAGATGTTTTTGCTCAGATGCTAAGTCACCTAGTACAGTGAAGGGGTTTGATACAGATGAAGTATAATTAATATCTATCCTTGGGAAAAATGCTGTTCACATTTTCTGCATGAGATGATTGGCACTTTAAAGGGAGGTTTTACCTCCTTTAAAATACAGAAAAGGAAATCTAGGTGTTCTGGGAATAGCCCTCTTTATGTTGCTGACAAAATGTTTTGATTTGCAGGCTGTATGCTATCTTTGGCTGTGTTCTAGTGCTTATTGGTTTAGTAAAAAATCACTTTACTAATTTTCTATTCACATATAGAACTATAATCTCAAAGCTGCTATCATAAAATGGTTTACTGGTGAACCCACACATTCTTTTTCCAGAAGGAAATTTAAATAGTTTTGGGAGACATTGATGAGTGACTCTTTTAAAGGTAGATTTGAAAGTGATCATAATAGTTGAAATAATGAACTAATTAATTGTTTATAGAATCCAGTCTTTGTGCTGAGTATTTTTAGATGTTTTGTGGGGAGATCTCTCTTGATCCTCAGCAGAATTAGAAAAATAGATATTGTTTGAAATTAGTACCAGGAACCTTTTCAGTAGTCAAGATTTCTCCAGTTTCCCTGGAGAGAAGGAGGCAATTCTGCTCTAAGCATATGAGAGATTTATGGCCCTTACAATGCATACTGACATTTCCTCATATCCAGCTCAGGAGAGTAAATCTTTACAATTAATATGAGAGGTAGAAACAGTGGTACCAGGCTGAGTTTGACTTGCTGGCATAAGTGTTTGGTTCTCACAGAATTAAAAAAAAATTATTTTAGATGGCTTCCTGTATTTAATAACTTGAAGATTTCCCACATAAATTTTGATTCGTCCTGTTAAAAAGTGGATGATCCTATAATGTCAGGTTTATATTCCTTTAGGTCACCAATAACTGGAGTTGAATACCAGCTATTTCATTTGATAGCCCAAGTGTCTTCTACATAGCATTAGCATTGGAACTCCCTATTTTTAAAAAATTGTCATTTTTTTTTTAACTTTTAAGTTCAGGGCTACACATGCAGGTTTGTTATGTAGGTACACTCATGTCATGGGGGTTTGTTATACAGATTATTTCATCATCCAGGTCTTAAGCCTAGTTCCCATTAATTATTTTTCCTGATCCCCTTCCTCCTCTCAACCTCCATCCTCTGATAGGCTCCATCATGTGTTGTTTCCTTCTATGTGTCCATGTGTTTTCATCATTTACCTCCCATTTGTAAGGAGGACATGTGGTATTTGGTTTTCTGTTCCTGCGTTAGTTTGCTGAGGATAATGGCCTCCATCTCCATCCATGTTCCTGCAAAGAACGTGATCTCATTCTTTTTTATGGATGCATAACATTCCATGATGTATATGTACCACACTTTCTTTATCCAGTCTGCCATTGATGGGCATTTTGGTTGATTCCATGTCTTTGCTATTGTGAATAGTGCTGCAATGAACATACATGTGCATGTATTTTATGATAGAACAATTTATATTCCTTTGGGTATATACCCAGTAATGAGATTGTTAGATTAAATGATATTTCTATTTTTAGGTCTTTGAAGAATTGCCACACTGTCTTCCACAATGGTTGAACTAATTTACACTTCAACCAATAGTGTATAAGAATTTCTTTTTTATCCACAACCTCATAAGCATCTGTTATTTTTTGACTTTTTAGTAGAAGCCATTCTGACTGCTGTGAGATGGTATCTCATTGCGGTATTGATTTGTACTGTTTTAAAGATTGTGATATTGAACTTTTTTTCATATGCTTGTTGGCCACATGTATGTCTTCCTTTGGAAAGTGTCTGTTCATGTCCTTTGCCCACTTTTTAATGGGATTGTTTGCTTTTTTTTTGTAAATTTGTTTAAGTTCTTTAAAGATGCTGGATATTAGACCCTGGTCACATGTATAATTTGAAAAAATTTCCTCCCATTCTGTAGGTTGTCTGTTTACTCTGTTGATAGTTTATTTTGCTATGCAGAAGATCTTTAGTTTAATTAGTTCCCATTTGTCAAGTTTTGCTTTTGTTGCAATTGCTTTTGGGGTCTTTGTCATGAAATCTTTGCCTGTTCCTGCGTCTAAGATGGTATTGCCTAGGTTGTCTTCCAAAATTTTTATAGTTTTGGGTTTACATTTATGTCTTTATTCTATCTTGAGTTAATTTTTCAATATGGTGTAAGGAAAGGGTCCAGTTTCAATCTTCAGCATATGGCTAGCCAGTTATACCAGCACCATTAATTGAACAGGGAGTCCTTTCCCCATGGCTTGTTTTTGTCAGCTTTCTTGAAGATCAGCTGTTTGTAGGTGTGGTGGCCATATTTCTGGGCTCTGTGTTCTTTTCCATTGATCTATGTGTCTGTTATTATACCATTACCATGCTGTTTTGGTTACTGTAGCCCTGTAGTATAGTTTGAAATTGGGTAGTGTGATGCCTTAAGCTTTTATTTATTTATTTTTTAATACTTTAAGTTCTGGGATACATGTGCAGAACATGCAGGTTTGTTACACAGGTATACACTTGCCATGGTGGTTTGGTGCACCCATCAACCCATCATCTACATTAGGTATTTCTCCTAATATTATCCCTCCCTTAGCCCCCGACCCCACCAACAGGCCCCAGTGTGTGATGTTCCCCTCCCTGTGTTCATGTGTTCACATTGTTCAACTCCCACTTATGAGTGAGAACATGTGGTGTTTGGTTTTCTGTTCCTGTGTTAGTTTGTTGAGAATGATGGTTTCCAGCTTCATCCTGTCCCTGCAAATAACATGAACTTGTCCTTTTTTATGGCTGCATAGTATTCCATGATGTATATGTGCCACATTTTCTTCATCCAGTCTATCATTGATGAGCATTTGGGTTGGTTCCAAGTCTTTGATATTGTGAATAGTGCTGCAAGAAACATACGTGTGCATGTGTCTTTACAATAGAATGATTTATAATCCTTTGGGTGTATACCCAGTAATGGGATTGCTGGGTAAAAAGGTATTTCTAGTTCTAGATCCTTGAGGAATTGCCACACTGTCTTCCACAATGGTTGAACTAATTTGCACTCCCAGCAACAGTGTAAAAGCATTTCTATTTCTCCACATCCTCTCCAGCATCTGTTGTTTTCTGACTTTTAATGATCGCCATTCTAACAGGCATGAGATGGTGTCTCATTGTGGTTTTGATTTGCATTTCTCTAATGACCAGTGATGGTGAGCTTTTTTTTCATGTTTGTTGGCTGCATGAAAGTGTTCTTTTGAGAAGTGTCTGTTCATATCCTTTGCCCACTTTTTGGTGGGGTTGTTTTTTTCTTGTAAATTTGTTTATGTTCTTTGTAGATTCTGGATATTAGCCCTTTGTCAGATGGATAGATTGCAAAAATTTTCTCCCATTCTGTAGGTTGCCTGTTCACTCTGATGATAGTTTCTTTTGCTGTGCAGAAGCTCTTTAGTTTAATTAGATCCCATTTGTCAATTTTGGCTTTTGTTGCCATTGCTTTTGGTGTTTTAGTCATGAAGTCTTTGCCCATGCCTATGTCCTGAATCGTATTGCCTAGGTTTTCTTCTAGGGTTTTTATGGTTTTAGGCCTTAGTTTAAACCTTTAATCCATCTTGAGTTAATTTTTGTATATGGTGTAAGGGAGGAGTTCAGTTTCAGTTTTCTGCATATGGCTAGCCAGTTTTCCCAACACCATTTATTAAATAGGGGATCGTTTCCCCACTGCTTGTTTTTGTCAGGTTTGTCAAAGATCAGATGGTTGTAGATGTGGGGCGTTATTTCTGAGGGCTCTGTTCTGTTCCATTGTTTTATATCTCTGTTTTGGTACCAGTACCATGCTGTTTTGGTTACTGTAGCCTTGTAGTATAGTTTGAAGTCAGGTAGCATGATACCTCCAGCTTTGTTCTTTTTGCTTAGGATTGTCTTGGCTAGACAGGTTCTTTTTTGGTTCCATATGAAATTTAAAGTAGTTTTTTCAAATTCTGTGAAGAAAGTCAATGATAGCTTGATGGGGATAGCACTGAATCTGTAAATTACTTTGGGCAGTATGGCCATTTTCATGATATTGATTCTTCCTATCCATGAACATAGAATGTTTTTCCATTTGTGTCCTCTCTTATTTCCTTGAGCAGTAGTTCGTAGTTCTCCTTGAAGAGGTCCTTCACATCCCTTGTAAGTTGTATTCCTAGGTATTTTATTCTCTTTGTAGCAATTGTGAATGGGAGTTCACTCATGATTTGGCTGTTTGTCTGTTACTGGTACATAGGAATGCTTGTGATTTTTGCACGTTGGTTTTGTATCCTGAGACTTTGCTGAAGTTGCTGTATCAGCTTAAGGAGATTTTGGGTTGAGACAATGGGGTTTTATAAATATACAATCATGTCATCCACAAACAGAGACAATTTGACTTCCTTTCTTCCCATTTGAATACGCTTTATTTCTCTCTCTTGCCTGATTTCCCTGACCAGAACTGCCAATACTATGTTGAATAGGAGTGGGCATCCTTGTCTTGTGCCGGTTTTCAAAGGGATGCTTCCAGTTTTTGCCCATTCAGGATGATATTGGCTATGGGTTTATCATAAATAGCCCTTATTATTTTGAGGTACATTCCATCAATACCTAGTTTCTTGAGAGTTTTTAGCATGAAGCGCTGTTGAATTTTATCAAAGGCCTTTTCTGCATCCATAGAGATAATCGTGTGGTTTTTGTCATTGGTTCTGTTTATGTGATGGATTACATTTATTGATTTGTGTATGTTGAACCAGCCTTGCATCCCAGGGATGAAGCCAACTTGATCGTGGTGGATAAGCTTTTTGATGTGCTGCTGGATTCGGTTTGCCAGTATTTTATTGAGGATTTTTGCATTGTTGTTCATCAGGGACATTGGCCTGAAATTTTCTTTTTTCGTTGTGTCTCTGCCAGGTTTTTGCATCAGGATGATGCTGGCCTCATAAAATGAGTTAGGGAGGAGTTTGTCTTTTTCTATTGTTTGGAATAGTTTCAGAAGGAATGGTACAGCTTCTCTTTGTACCTCTGGTAGAATTTGGCTGTGAATCCATCTGGTTCTGGGCTTTTTTGGTTTGCAGGCTATTAATTACTGCCTCAATTTCAGAACTTGTTATTGCTCTATTCAGGGATTTGACTTCTTCCTGGTTTAGTCTTTGCAGGGTGTATGTGTCCAGGAATTTATCCATTTCTTGTAGATTTTCTAGTTTATTTGCCTAGAGGTGTTTATAGCATTCTCTGATGGTAACTTTGTATTTCTGTGGGATCAGTGGTGACATCCCCTTTACCATTTTTTATTGTGTCTATTTGATTCTTCTCTCTTTTCTTCTTTATTAATCTGGCTAGTGGCCTCTCTATTTTGTTAATCTTTTTAAAAAACCAGCTCTTGGGTTCATTGATTTTTTTGAAGGGTTTTTCATATCTCTGTCTCCTTTAGTTCTGCTCTGATCTTAGTTATTTGTCTTCTGCTGGCTTTTGAATTTGTTTGCTCTTGCTTCTCTAGTCCTTTTAATTGTGATGTTAGGGTGTCGATTTTAAATCTTTCCCGCTTTCTCCTGTGGGCATTTAGGGCTTAAATTTCCCTCTAAACACTGCTTTAGCTATGTCCCAGAGATTCTGGTACATTTTGTCTTTGTTCTTATTGGTGTCAAAGAAATTATTTATTTCTGCCTTAATTTTGTTATTTACCCAGTAGTCATTCAGGAGCAGGTTCAGTTTCCATGTAGTTGTGTGGTTTTGAGTAAGTTTCTTAATCCTGAGTTCTAATTTGATTGTACTGTGGTCTGAGAGACTGTTATGATTTCCATCTTTTGCATTTGCTGAGGAGTATTTTACTTCCTATTATGTGGTCAATTTTAGAATAAGTGCAATGTTGTGCTGGGAAGCATGTATATTCTGTTGATTTGGGGTGGAGAGTGCTGTAGATGTCTATTCGGTCAACTTGTTCCAGAGCTGTGTTCAAGTCCTGAATATCCTTGTGAATTTTCTGTTTCATTGATCTGTCTAATGTTGACAGTGGGGTGTCAAAGTCTCACACTATTATTGTGTGGGAGTCTAAGTCTCTTTGTAGGTCTCTAAGAACTTGCTTTATCAATCTGGGTGCTCTTGTATTGGGTGCATATATATTTAGGATAGTTAGCTCTTCTTGTTGCATTGATCCCTTTACCGTTATGTAATGCCCTTCTTTGCCTTTTTTGATCTTTGTTGGTTTAAAGTCTGTTTTATCAGAGACTAGGATTGCAACCCCTGCTCTTTTTTTCTTTCTTTCCATTTGCTTGGTAAATATTCCTCCATCCCTTTATTTTAACCTATGTGTGTCTTTCCCTGTGAGATGTGTCTCCTGAATACAGCACACTGCTGAGTCTTCACTCTTTATCCAGTTTGCCAGTCTGTGCCTTTTAATTGGGGCATTTAGCCCATTTACATTTAAGGTTAATATTGTTATGTGTGAATTTGATCCTGTCTTTATGATGCTAGCTGGTTATTTTGCCCGTTAATTGATGCAGTTTCTTCACAGTGTTGATGGTCTTTACAATTTGGCATTTTTTTTGCTGTGGCTGGTAGTGGTTTTTCTCTTCCGTATTTAGTGCTTCCTTCAGGAGCTCTTGTAAGGCAGGCCTCGTGGTGACAAAAATCTCTCAGCATTTGCATCTCTGTAAAGGATTTTATTTCTCCTTCGCTTATGAAGCTTAGTTTGGCTGGATATGAAATTCTGGGTTGAAAATTCTTTTCTTTAAGAATGTTGACTATTGGCCTCCACTCTCTTCTGGCTTGTAGGGTTTCTGCCGAGAGATCCACTGTTACTCTGATGGCCTTTTCTTTGGGGGTAACCCGACCTTTCTCTCTGGCTGCCCTTTTACATTTTTTCCTTCATTTCAGCCTTGGTGAATCTGATGATTATGTGTCTTGGGGTTGTTCTTCTTGAGGAGTATCTTTGTGGTGTTCTCTGTATTTCCTGAAATTGAATGTTGGCCTATCTTGCTAGGTTCAGGAAGTTCCCCTCAATAATATCCTGAAGAGAATGGAACCAAGTTGGTTCCATTCTCCCCGTCACTTTCAGGTACACCAATCAAATGTAGGTTTGATTTTTTCACATAGTTCCATATTTCTTGGAGGCTTTCTTTGTTCCTTTTCATTCTTTTTTCTCTAATCTTGTCTTCATGCTTTATTTCATTAAGTTTATCTTCAATCTGTGATATCTTTTCTTCTGCTTGATCGATTCGGCTATTGATACTTGTGTATGCTTCACAAAGTTCTTGTGGTGTGTTTTTCAGCTCCATCAGGGCATTTATGTTCTTCTCTAAACTGGTTATTCTAGTTAGCAATTCCTCTAACTTTTTTCAAGTTTCTTAGCTTCCTTGCATTGGGTTAGAACATGTTCCTTTAGCTTGGAGGAGTTTGTTATTACCCACCTTCTGAAACCTACTTCTGTCAATTCATCAAACTCATTCTCTGTCCAGTTTTGTTCCCTTGCTGGCAAGGAGTTGTGATCCTTTGGAGGAGAAGAGGCATTCTGGTGTTTGGAATTTTCAACTTTGTTGCGCTGTTTTTTTCTTATTTTCATGGATTTATCTACCTTTGGTCTTTGATGTTGGTAACCTTCCGATGTGGTTTATGTGTGGACATCCTTTTTGTTGATGTTGATGCTATTTCTTTCTGTTTGTTAGTTTTCCTTCTAACAGTCAGGCCCCTCTGCTGCAGGTCTGCTCAAGTTTGCTGGAGGTCCACTCCAGGCCCCATTTGCCTGGGTATCACCAGTGGAGGCTGCAGAACAGCAGCAAAGATTGCTGCCTGTTCCTTCCTCTGGAAGCTTTGTCCCAGAGGGGCACCTGCCAGATGCCAGCTGGAACTCTCCTATATGAGGTGTCTGTCTACCCCTGCTGGGAGGTGTCTGCCAGTCAGCAGGCATGGGGGTCAGGGACCCACTTGAGGAGGCAGTCTGACCCTTAGCAGAGCTTGAGTGCTGTGCTGGGAGATCCACTGCTCTCTTCAGAGCCAGCAGGCAGGAACATTTAAGTCTGCTGAAGCTGCTCCCACAGCTGCCCCTTCCCCCTGGTGCTCTGTCCCAGGGAGATGGGAATTTGATTTGTAAGCCCCTGACTGAGGCTGCTGCCTTTCTTTCAGGCATATCCTGCCCAGAGAGGAGGAATCTAGAGAGGCAGGCTGGCTACAGTGGCTTTGCTGAACTGTGGTGGGTTCTGGCCAGTTCGAACTTCCCAGAGGCTTTGTTTACACTGTGAGGGGAAAACCACCTATTCAAGCCTCAGTAATGGCAGATGCCAAGCTGAAGCGTCCCAGGTCGACTTCAGGCTGCTGTGCTGGCAGCGAGAATTTCAAGCCAGTGGATCTTAGCTTGAACGGCTCCATGGGGGTGGGATCCACTGAGCTAGACCACTTGGCTCCCTTGCTTCAGCCCCCTTTCCAGGAGAGTGAACGGTTCTGTCTTGCTGGCATTCCAGGTGCCACTGGGATATGGAAAAAAGCTCCTGCAGCTAGCTTGGTGTCTGCCCATATGGCCCCCCAGTTTTGTGCTTGAAACCCAGGGCCCTGGTGGTGTAGTCACCCGAGGGAATCTCCTGGAATGCAGGTTGTGAAGACCATGGGAAAAGCATGGTATCTGGGCTGGAATGCACTGTTCCTCATGGCACAGTCCCTTATGACTTCCTTTGGCTAGGGGAGGGAGTTCCCCGACCCCTTGTGCTTCCCGGGTGAGGTGATGCCCCACCCTGCTTCTGCTCGTCCTCTGCGGGCTGTACCCACTGTCTAACCTGTCCCAGTGAGATGAGCCGGGTACCTCAGTTGGAAATGCAGAAATCACCGACCTTCTTCATTGATCTTGCTGGGAGCTGCAGACCGGAGCTGTTCCTATTTGGCCATCTTGCCCAGGAATCCCCAGCTTTGTTCTTTTTGCTTGGGATTGCTTTGGCTATATGGGCTTTTTTGGTTCCGTATGAGTTTAAAAATAGTTTTTTTCCTAGTTCTGGGAAGAATGTCATTGGTAGTTTAATAGGAATAGCATTGAATCTATAAATTGCTTTGGGCATTATTGTTATTTTAAGAATATTGATTCTTCCTATCCATGATCAAGGAATGTTTTTCCATTTCTTTGTGTCATTCATCTCTGATTCTTTGAGTAGTGTTTTGTGGTTCTTATGGAGATATTTCGCCTCCCTGGTTAGCTGTAGTTCCAGGTACTCTATTCTTTTTGTGGCAGTTGAGAATGGGATTGTGTTCCTGACTGGCTCTCGGCTTGACTGTTGTTGGTGTATAGGAATGCCAGTGATTTTTGTACATTGATTTAGTATCCTGAAACTTTGTTGAAGTTGTTTATCTGCGTACAGAGCTTTTGGGCAGAGACTATGGAGTTTTCTAGATATAAGATTGTGTCTGTAAGCAGGGATAGTTTGACTTCCTGTCTTCCTATTTGGATGCTCTTTATTTCTTTCTCTAGTCTGATTGTTCTAGCCAGGACTTTCAATATTATGTTGAATAGGAGTGGTAAGAGAGGATATCCTTGTCTTATGCCAGTTTTCAAAAGGAATGTTTCCAGCTTTTGCCCATTGAGTATGATGTTGACTGTAGGTTTGTCATAGTTGGCTCTTATTATTTTTATGTATGTTCCTTCAATACCTAGTTTATTGAGGATTTTTAACATGAAGCGGTTTTCAATTTTGTTGAAAGCCTTTTCTACATCTATTGAAAAAGTCACGTGTTTTTTTTCTTTTTGTATTTATGTAGAAAAATCTTTCCTTATATATATATCCTCCTAATTAAGCTTTTTCCAATCATCTTATTATCCCATATCTCATAACAAGCAGTGGAAACCATAAGTAAGTGAATGAAAAGGGTTAATTGTTTAATTATTAGTTTAAGGGTTTCATTTAGGATCTTATTTTTAGGTTCTTGAGATATTAGCATATTTGCTCTAGACAATCAATGCATGAAATCATTCCTGTCTTTATCAAAGTGCTACTTATATTATGGATTCAGGGATATTAGAGCACTAATATCTACAGTATCAATACGGCAAAGATAAAGCTAATGCTAAAATCACATTAATCCTACAGAGCAAATACTTGGACCAGAACCACAAGTCATATTCTAAGCTCAGAAATCTATAAAACATCATGAGATAGAAGGGAATATAGGATGTCACACATAGTGCAGACTAAACTTGTAGGTCGGGTTTGGGTTAGCTAAGAGAAGTCTGTGCTCCTATGGTTAAACTCCAAGTATCTCTATTTTAAGCCCTCTTAATATCATAGTTATTATAGTTTCCATTTTACAAATTAGGAAGGTTATGTAGTACATATAACCTGACCTGGAAGCTGTAAGCTGGGTTTTGAACCCTGACAAAATATATTTATATCTATTTATCTATATCTATGTCTATGCCTATGTCTGTCTATATTACATTCACACACTTTTTATCTATTTAAATTACGTTCATTGTCAGAGTTAGACTTAAAAGTAGTATCACCCCTAGCAATATTTTCACCTACATCAGTATCTGTAGATGTGTAGTCTCTCCTGGATCACCAGGGAAATGTTGAGAGAGCAGCCACTAGAAGACTTTATTAAACTTGATGCCCACTGGCATCATGAGAGTAGGCAATGTGACCTAGATAACAGTGCAAAGAGAAAAACTTTAACAAAATGCCAGAAATGAGCCTGAAAATGGGGACCCTCCCACCCCCAATGTGGATGAGTTATTAACAAAGCACCGAGTCATCTCATGAGACCTTGACATGTTCTGTCCCATCAGCATTTTAAACTCCCATTTGTGTTAGGAGTTCTGCTCAGGGTCTCCTGTGTCTACAGTGTAATGAGCAAGAGAAAGAATTCCAGCTTTATTTACTATAACCTAAAGTCAAAGGAAATCTAAAATAGAAAGAACGCAAAGCCTTAGAGAGCAATAACAGCACCATCCAGGGTAATTAAGGGAAGGGAAAACAAGCTGGCTGTAGAGCCTTGGTCCCCATGTTGGGTGCCCAATAGAGCTTACTTCAATTTGTTAAAATATCTTTTTTTAAAAATAAGCCTTTTAAAGAGTAGGACGTCAAGCTGTGTCTGCAAAGAGGACTGTTTTTGGCAAAGGACAGTGTTTGAGTTTTAATGTTGCCTTTATAAGCAATATAACATTTTGCTTATTGCCTTAACCTCTTTCATTCTGAGTTTTCATATCTAGAAAATGAGAATGATAATAAAACCTACCTAACTTACAGTTTTTGGTTGAAAATTAATTGAAGTACACAAAGAATCTGAAACAGTGTCTTATAGTTGATGTTAAAAAATTGTTTTAATTCTTCTCTCTATGGAGCTATGTGTCTCTATAATTGGTTTCAGCTGCATGCAACAGAATTTTTTTTAATGAAATGAGCTTTTACAATGAAGAATATTTATTATTTCTCATAGTGAATCCATAGGAAGACTGTTTCAGGGTTAGAAAATTCAGAAACTCAAGGTTGTCAGGATTGTTAAGTCATATGCTGTAGATGGCTGCAGCAACTCCAAGCATCATAGCCCTACTTGAACGAATTGATAGGTGGAAAGAAGAGAGTGTTTGAATTGTATTTCTTTTTTTAAAAAAGGTAAACTTTTCAGGGACTTTATTTTGTCTCATTGACCGAGGTAGAGTCACATGCTCATGTCTAAACCACTCGTTAGTAAAGGAGATTGAATCAACATGATTAGCTTAGATTGATCATCTTTTAGTTCTTGGAGCTGGAGTATGAGTCACCTTTCCCGATCATATGGAGAAAAGAAAGCAGTAGTGGTGATGGGGAATGGCTGTAGAGTTGTCATACTGCAGTATCTTCGACATGCTTTTATAAAAAGTAATTCTTTTAATTACAAGTCATCTTTTAAAGCAAATTCTAAATAATCCTCTCCTTTGTTCTTCAAGATGTATTTGAAAAAGTTTGAGGGGCATGTGGACTTGCACACCTGCATTTCCATAGCAGCATATGATTGCTACCTTTGAACTGAATTGTTTAAATGTCAGCTTTATTTTTAGAGACAACAAAAGAGAAAATTCAGTAGAGTTGTTGTAGTAAAAAGAATAGAAACTGTGTTGTAAGAAGCACGTTAGCAAACCTAATAGTCAGATCTGAACAGCTAAAGTTAAATATTTAATGGTAAAGATAGATGAACTATGCTAATATGTTCTGGAAGCCCATCAGAACCTATTTCTGGATTTTGGATAATTTCTTCCAGTATCGCAAAGTGATTCAGCTATCATTTTTCTATGTTGCTAAACTGGAAAGGGTAAAGTTGAAATGGAAGGAGAATGTTGCATTTTCAGAAATGATCGTATCTTTAACTAAACCATAATCTATACTGGGGACTAGAATAAATGAGTAGAAACCATATATGTCTAAGAAAGGAGGACTTTTTAAAAAAGTGTTATAGGAAAGCAAGAACTAAAAAAATAAGTGTAGAGTATATTATTTTGTGTGATTGCAACAAAGATGCATTGTATTTCCCAGCAGAGGTTGATTTTAAGGATATTTCACTTTCTTTCTTTTTTTTTTTTTTGAGACGGAGCCTTGCTCTGTCGCCCAGGCTGGAGTGCAGTGGTGGGATCTCGGCTCACTGCAACCTCTGCCTCCTGGGTTCACGCCATTCTCCTGCCTCAGCCTCCCGAGTAGCTGGGACTACAGGTGCCCGCCACCACGCCTGGCTAATTTTTTACATTTTTTTTTTAGTAGAGACAGGGTTTCACCATGTTAGCCAAGATGGTCTCGATCTCCTGACCTGGCGATCTGCCCGCCTCAGCCTCCCAAAGTCCTGGGATTACAGGTGTGAGCCACTGCGCCTGGCCAGGATGTTTCACTTTCAGTGCATACTTGAGCCAAAGAGATTAAGCATCAAACCTGAGTCCAGAGTTCTCAAGAGGTCTTAGGGACAAATCAAACATTTAGTAAGCAACTGCTGATTCTAAGGTAGAATTTTCAGCCAGGCCAGAAATTTTACTGAAATCCAAGCACTTCTCAAATGTGAAAAATGAGAGTTAGTGTGTTTAGACTTATATAGTACCAGGTATTATCGAGGTGACTAAAAATGTTCTGTCTCAAAGAGTCGGGATTAAAATACTTTCTCACAGAACTACTGTAATCTTAAAAATATTTTATGCAGGTACAAGAATCATTAGCCTTTGTACAAAAAATGAACCTGACTTTCCTTCTTGCTTCTCATGGTTTCTAGAAGGGTTGGGTGTCAGTTTATTAAGAGAAATCACTGGTTTACTTTGTCAAGACTGTTGATGGGCCTGTTTCCCAGAAAGGTTCAGAGACATTTCCTTCCCTCCTACCTTTTTTCTTTTTATTTATATTGAAGCTTTGATATATTTAGGGAATACAGGAGAAGAAGGAAGACATATGGTAATGTCATTTTCTAGCAAAGATTTAGAATATTATCCAATAAATCTTCTTAGCCTGGTTTTGAACTGCCTGTATTTCCTCAGCAGGAGTGGACATTCTCAAGAGACAGAAGCCAAATGTGAACACTTTGGTCCATATTTTATTCCTTCATAGGATCTCCTTTTAGCTTTAATCCAGGCATAATTTAATACTTTCTTACATTCAGAGTGAGCTAATGAGTATGGAAAACAAGTCTGCAAATTGTTACTTTGTGCCCTGGTCATATAAGATTGTAATTTTTATTTACAGTTAGTTTAAAGAACTAACTGTAAGGTACAGAATTGTTTCTTGGGAAGCTATCATTTCTTGCTCAAACCAAATTTTCCAGGGATTGGATTAATAGGTCAATATATGAAAATGAACTACTTTGCAGGGATAGAAAGGAGGAAGTTGGGAGGGAAGTAGATTAAGACAGAGGGAGAATATGAGACCTGAAGGCAAGATGAATATTTCTATTTTGGGGCTGAACTGTGTTCTAGGTTTGGTTGAATTAGCCCTTAAACTCTGGTATTCTATGAAGGATAGAGAAAGATAATAAAAGTGGATTTATTGATTGTGTTTACAAAGGAGATAGGAACATGGGTCCTCATCAAATATTACTCAGAATAAACATAATAAATTTTGGAAAGCTGGAGCCCGAAAGAAACTAGGCATAGTCAAAACATAGCAGGAGGCAGATGGAGCAAGATGGCAGAATAGAAGCCTACACCATTTGTACCCCTGCAGGAACATCAAATTTTAACAACTATCTGCACAGACAGAAGCACTGTCACAAGAACCAAAAGTTAGGTGAGCTATCACAGTACCTGGTTTTAACTTTACATCACTGAAAGAGGCAATGAATAGGGTAGAAGAGACAGTCATGAATTGCTGACACCACCTCTCCCCTATTCCCTGGCAGGAACCATGCAGTACAGAGAGAGAATCTGTTCATTTGGGGGGAAGGAGAGGACAATGACTGGGGGACTTTGCATTGAACTCAGTGCTGCCCTGTCACAGCAGAGAGCAAAGCCATGCTGGGCTCAGCCAGTGCCCTTGCACAGAAGGAGCATTTGGACCAGTCCTAGCCAGAAGAGAATTGTTCATTCCAGCAGTTAGAATTTTTTGCAAACCTTGCCACTGTGAGCCAAAGTGCTCTGGGGTCCTAGGTAAACTGGAAAGGCAATCTAGGACACAAGGACTGCAATTCCTAGGAAACTCCTAGGACTGGACTTACAGCCAGTGGACTAGGGTAGCATGTGATCTAGGAAGATACCAGCTGGCACAGCTAAGGGAGTGCTTGTGCCACCCTTCCCCCAACTTCAGGTACCAGGGACCAGTCCCAGAGAAAGAGAGATATGTTACCTCAGACAGAATTCAAAATAGCTGCATTGAAAAAACTCAAATTCAAGATAATGGCCAGGTGCGGTGGCTCATGCCTGTAATCCCAGCACTTTGGGAGGCCGAGGTGGACAGATAACAATGTCAGGAGTTCGAGACCAGCCTGGCCAATATGGTGAAACCCCGGTCTCTACTAAAAATACAAAAATTACCTGGGCGTGGTGGTGGGTGCCTGTAGTCTCAGCTACTCGGGAGGCTGAGGCAGGAGAATTGCTTGAACCCGGGAGGCAGAGGTTGCAGTGAGTGAGAATGCACCACTGCACTCCAGCCTGGGTGACAGAGCAAGACTCTGTCTCAAAAAAAAAAAAAAAAAAAAAAAAAAAAAGAAAGAAATTCAAGATAACAAAGAGAAGGAATTCAAAATTCTATTAGATAAATTTAATAAGGAGATTGAAATAATTTTAAAAAAAACAAGCAGAAATTCTAGAGCTGAAAAATGCAATTGACATGCTGAAGAATGCATCAGAGTCTCTTAATAGCAGAATTGATCAAGCAGAAGAATTAATGGGCTTGAAAACAGGCTATTTGAAAATACATAGCAGAGACAAAAGAAAAAAAAATGAAAGAAGTACACCTACGAGATCTAGAAAATAGCCTCAAAAGGCAAATGTGAGATTTATTGGCCTTAAAAAGGGGGTAGTGAGAGAGATGGGGTAAAGTATATTCAAAGAGATAATATCAGAGAACTTTTAAAACCTAGAGAGAAAGAGAGATCAGCATTCAGATAAAAGTAGGTTATAGAACATCAACCAGATTTAACCTAAAGAAGACTGCATTAAGGTATTTAATAAACTCCCAAAGGACAGGGATAAAGAAAGGATCCTAAAAGCAGCAAGAAAAAAGAAACAACATACAGTGGAGCTTCAATACATCTGGCAGCAGACTTTTCAGTGGAAACCTTACAGGCCAGGAGAGAATCATATCACATATTTAAAATGCTAAAGGAAAAAAATCTTTTACCAGAGTATAGTATATCTGGTGAAAATATTCTTTAAGCATGAAGGAAAAATAAATATCTTTTCAGAAAAACAAATGGTGAGGCATTTTATTTCTCAACCTGTCCTACACGAAATACTAAAGGGAGTTCTTCAGGTTGAAAGAAAAGGATGTTAATGAGCAAGAATAAATTATCTGAGGGTTTAAAACTCCTTGGTAATAGTAAGCACACAGAAAAATATAGAATATTATAACACTGTAATTGTAGTGTGTAAACCACTTTTAAATAGAATGAGTACATGATAAACCAATGAAAAATAAAGACCACCACAGCTTTTCAAAACATAGATAAGACATAGATAAGATAAGAAGACATAAAGAGAAATAACCAAAAGTTAAAAAGTGGGGGATGAAGTTAAAGTGTAGAGTTTTTTATTAGTTCATTTTTGTGTGTTTGTTCATGTGTTTATGCAATCAGTGTTAAGTTTTCATCAGTTTATAATAATGGGTTATAAGATGGTATTTGCAAGACTCATGGTAATGTCAAATAAAAAAACATACAAAAGTTCCACAAAAAATAAAAGGCAAGAAATTAAAGCATAACACCAGAGAAAATCACCTTTTCCAAAAGGAATACAGGAAGGAAGGGAAGAAGGAAGACAGGAAGGAAGGAAAGAAGAAAGAGAAGGCTGCAAAACAATCAGAAAACAAATAAAAGATAGGAGTAAGTCCCTATTTATCAATAATAACACTGAATGTAGATGGATTAAACTCTACAGTCAAAAAACACAGAGCAGCTGAATGAAAAAACAAGACACAATTACCTGTTGCCTACAAGAAACACACTTCACCTACAAAAATACATAGACTAAAATTAAAGAGATAGAAGAAGGTATTTCATATCAATGAAAAGAAAAGAGCAGGAGCAGTTATATTTATATCAGACAAAATAGAATTCAAGACAAAAACTGTCAGAAGAGACAAAGATGGTCATTATATAATGATAAAGGGGTCAATTCAGCAAGAGATACAATGATGATAAATATATACACACCCAACACTGGAGCCCTCAGTTATATAAAGCAAATATTATTAGAGCTAAGGAGAGATATATTTCCCAATACAATAATAGCTAGAGACTTCAACACCTCAAACTTCAGTATTGAACAGATCTCCCAGACAGAAAACCAATAAAGAAATGTTAAACTTAATCTGCACTATAGAACAAATGAACCAAGTAGCTATTTACAGAACATTTCATCCAATGGCTACAGAATATACTTTCTTCTCCTCAGAAAATGAATCCTTTTCAAGGGTAGACCATATGTTTGGTCACAAAACAAGTCTTAAAACATTAAAAAAATTGAAATAATGTCAAATACCTTCTTTGACTACAGTTGAATAAAACTGGAAATCAATAATGAGGAATTTTGGAAAATGTACAAACAAATGGAAATTAAACAATATACTCCTAAATGAGGAGTGGGTCAATGAAGAAGTTAAGAAGGAAATTGAAAAATTTCTTGAAACAAATGACAGTGGAAACACAATATAACAAAACCTATGGGATACAGTGAAAGTGGTACTAAAAGAGAAATTTATAGCTGTAAGTGCCTACATCAAAATAGAAGAAAAACTTCAAATAACCTAAAGATTCAACTTAAAGAAATAGGAAAGCAAGAGCAAACAGAAACCAAAATTACAAGAAAGAAATAATAAGGGTCAGAGCATAAATTAATGAATTTGAAATGAAGAAAATTAAAAAACAAACTAAAAGTTGTTTTTTTAAAAAAGATGGATAGAATTGACCAACTTTTAGCCAGACGAACTAAGAAAAAAAGAGAGGAGACCCAAATAAGTAAAATCAGAGATGAAAAAGGAAACATTAAAACGAATTCTACAGAAATCCAAAGGATTTGTGGTTACTATGAATGTGGTGGTTACTATGAATGACTATATGCCAATAAATTTGGAAATCTAGAAAAAAATGGATAATTTCCTAAACACATCTAACTTACCCAGGTTGAACTGTGAGGAAATTCAAAACCTGAACAGACCAATAACAACAGACTATCAAAGGAGTAAAAGTCTTCTGGTAAAGAAGAGCCCAGGACCTGATGATATCACTGCTGAATTCTACAGAACATTTAAAGAACAATTAATACCCATCCCATTCAAACTGTTCTGAAAATTAGAGGAGGAGGGGGTAGTTTCAGATTTAATCTATGAAGCCAGTATTATCCTGATACTACAATTGGGCAAAGACATATCAAAAGATAAAACTACAGACCAATATATCTGGTGACTATTGATGTAAAAATTCTCAACAAAATACTAACAAACCAAATTCAACAGTACATTAAAAAGATCATTCATCATGACCATGTAGTATTTTTCACAAGGACGTAAGGATGGTTCAACATCACAAATCAATCAATGTGATACATCATATTACATCACAGCATTAGGAACAAAAACCGTATGATCATATTCAATTGCTCTAAAAATTGAAGTTTGCTAAAAAATCTGGATATAGGAGGAACATACTTCAACATAATAAAAGCCATATGTGACACACCCACAGCTAATATTTCAAATGGGGAAAATCTGAGTCTTTTCTCTTAGATCTGGAAGACAAGGATGCTGACTTTCACAACTGCTATTCCACATAGTTCTGTAAGTCCTATCTAGAGCAGAAAAGAGAAATAAATAAAGGGCATCCAAATTGGAAAATAAGTCAAATTATTATTGGTTGCAGATGATAAAATCTTAACATTTGGAAAAACCTAAAATGAAGAACCCATAAAAAAACTATTAGAACTGAAAAACAAATTTAGTACAGTTGCAAGATACAAAACAAACATACAAAAATCAGTAGCATTTCTATATGCCAACAGTGAACAATCTGAAAAAAATTTTAAAAAGTAATCCAATTTGCAATAGTCACAAATACAAGTAAATATATAGGAATTAACCAAAGAAGTGAAAGATCTCTATAATGAAATCTATAACATACTGATGAAAGAAATTGAAGATGATACCCCAAAATGGAAAGGTATCTCATGTTTGTGGATGTGAAGAATTAATATTATTTAAATGTCCATACTACCTGTGATGGTTAATACTGAGTGCCAACTTGATTGGATTGAAGTATACAAAGTATTGATCCTGGGTGTGGCTATGAGGGTGTTTGTCAAAGGAGATTAACATTTGAGGCAGTGGACTGGGAAAGGCAGACCTACACTTAATCTGGGTGGGCACAATCTAATCAGCTGCCAGTGTGGCTAGAATATAAGCAGGCAGAAAAATGTGAAAAGAAAGACTGACCTAGCCTCCCAGCCTACATATTTCTCCCATGCTGGATGCTTCCTGCCCTCCAATGTCGGACTCCAAGTTCTTCAGTTTTGGAACTTGGACTGACTCTCCTTGCTCCTCAGCCAATAGGCAGATGGCATGTGAGTTAATACTTAATGAACTCATATATATATATATATATATATTCATTCCATTATTTGTGTCCCTCTAGAGAACCCTGATTAATACATTTGGAACTTGGACTGACTCTCCTTGCTCCTCAGTCAATAGGCAGATGGCCTGTTGTGGCAACTTGTGATCATGTGAGTTAATACTTAATGAACTCATATATATATATATATATATATATATATATATATATATATATACACATATATATATATATACACATATATATATATATATATTCATTCCATTATTTGTGTCCCTCTAGAGAACCCTGATTAATACATTACCTGAAGCAGTCTACAGATTCATGGTAATCCCCAATGACATTCTTCACAAAAATAGGAAAAAACAATTCTAAAATTTATATGGAATCACAAAGTACTCAGAATAGTCAAAGCTACCCTGAACAAAAAGAACAAAACTGAAGGAAGCACATTACCTGACTTCAAATCATACTGCAGAGCATTAGTAACTGAAACAGCAAGGTACTGGCATAAAAACAGACACATAAACCAATGGAACAGAAAAGAGAACCCAGAAACAAATCCACATACCTGGAGTGAACTTATTTTTGAAAAGGGTGCCAAGAAAATACGCTGGGGAAAAGACAATACCTTCAATAAATGGTGCTGGATAAATAAATGAAAAACTGGATATCCATATGCGGAAGAATGAAACTAGACCCCTATTGCTTGCCATATACAAAAATCAAATAAAAATGGATTGAAGACTTAAATCTAAGACCTCAAACTATGAAACTACTACAAGAAAACATGGAGAAACTCTCAAGGACATCAGTTTGGGCAAAAATTTTTTGAGTAACACCCCACAAGTACAGGCAACCAGAGCAAAAATGGGGAAATGGAATCACATCAAGATAAAAAGTTTCTGCACAGCAAAGGGTACAATTGACAAAGTGAAGAGATGACCCACAGAATGGGACAAGATATTTGCAAACTACCCAACTGACAGGATTAATAACTAGAATATATAAGGAACTCAAACAGGAAAAAAATATAATCTGATTTAAAAATGAGCAAAAGATTTAAGTAGATATTTATCAAAAGAAGATATAGAAATGGCAAACGGACACATGAAAACGTGGTCAACAGGCCAGGCAAAGTGGCTCACACCTATAATCCCAGCACTTTGGGAGGCTGAGGTGGGTGGATCACTTGAGCTCAGGAGTTGGAGATCAGCCTAGGCAAAATGGTAAAACTCTGTCTCTACTAAAAATACAAAAAATTAGTTGGGCATGGTGGCACGTGTCTGTAGTCCCAGCTACTTAGGGGGCTGAGGCAAGAGGATTGCTTGAACCTGGGAGGCAGTTGCAGTGAACTGAGCTTGTGCCATTGCACTCCAGCCTGGGCAACAGAGCAAAACCTTGTCTCAAAAAAAAGAAAGAAAAGGTGGTGAACATCATTGGTCATCAGAGAAATGCAAATCAAAACTACAATGAGATGTCATCTCACCCCAGTAAAAATTACTTTTATCCAAAAGCCAAGCAACAACATATGCTCTCAAGGATGTGGAGAAAAGGGAACCCTTGTACACTGTTGGTAGAAATGTATATACAACCACCATAGACAGCAGTTTGGAGATTCCTCCAAAAACTGAAAATAGAACTACCATACAATCCAGCAATATCACCGCTCGGTATATACCCAAAATGAATCAGCATATCAAAGAGATGTCTGCATTCCCATGTTTGTTGCAGCACTGTTAACAACAGCCAACATTTGGAAACAAGTGTCCATCAGATGAATGGATAAAGAAAATGTGGTATATTAACACAATGGAGTGCTATTCAGCCATAAAAAGAATGAGATCCTGTCATTTGCAACAACGTGGATGGAACTGGAGGTCATTATGTTAAGTGAAATAAGCCAAGTAGAGAAAGACAAGCATCACATGTTGTCACGTATTTGTAGGGTCTAAAAATCAAAACAATTGAACTCATAGAGATAAGAATAGAACGTTGGTTACCAGAGACTGGAAAGGGTATTTGGGTGACGGGAGGTGGAGATGGTTAATTAATACAAAAAAAAGTTAGAATGAATAAAACCTATTATTTGATAACACAACAGGGTGACTATAGTCAATACTAATTTAATTGTGAATTTAAAAATAACTATATAGATAAATTATATTATTTGTAATAAAGGATAAATGCTTGATATGGTTTGGCCATGTCCCCACCCAAATCTCATCTTGAATTGTAGTTTCCATAATCCCCACGTGTTGTGGGAGGGACCAGGTGGAGATAATTAAGTCATGGGGGTGGTTTTCCATCCTTTTCCGTGATAGTTAATTAGTTTTCATGAGATCTGATGTTTTATAAGGGGCTTCCCCCTTCACTGGGCACTCATTCTTCTCTTTCCTGCTACCATGTGAAAAAAGATGTGTTTGCTTCTCCATCTGCCATTATTGTAATTTTCCTGAGGCCTCCTCAGCCCTGCAGAACAGTGAGCCAATTAAACCTCTTTTCTTTATAAATTACCCAGTCTCAGGTATTTCTTCATAGCAGCATGAGAATAATAAAATGCTTGAGGGGATGAATACCCTGTTTTCCATAATGTGATTATTACACATTGCATGCCTGTATCAAAATATCTCATCTACTCCATAAATATATACCTCACTGTATCTCCAAAAATTAAAAATAAGATACTAAAGTAATGAAACAAATGAAGTGATATTAAAAAATTGCACATTTTAGGTAGCAAAAAATTAATAGGTGTAGAATATGTATTCTGGATCTGAGTATTTTTTTTCTTTTATATTATGGTACTTTTTGCCATGATCTACATCCAAGCTCTTATGAAGAAATATCCAACAAGCTGGGGAACCATATGGCAAATTATGCGTCATTATTATTATAATTTTCTGTGCCATATTCTCAGCCCTATGTCTTACTCCAGACACTACTGTGGTAACCAGCTCTAGCAGGCTTTGTCTGGTTACATGTTGGTGCAACCTGACAGTGTCTTGCTTTAGGGCCATACTACATACCTCTTGCTTCCTTCTCTGTATATTCTTTGATATCAAGGAAAAGAACATCTTCTCAGCATTCACGTGTGTGCAACATGGAAGCATGGCTGAGTCATTGTTGATATGATCACCAATGAATAATGAGGGACAGGAACCCATGGCTAAATGCTTTCCTCCTTGTACACCAAGTGGAGTATTCTGAAATGCATTTTAGAAATGTTCTTAGGAGATCCCAGAGAATTGAGTACCAGTTGCCTGTAATGATGGACAGCTCAGCATCATCACATTCTTGTATTTGCTTTCTCTCTCCTTTCTTATCCCCCACACCTATCTTCCTCATGCTCTCTGGAATTACTTCCCAAATATATTATACAGCTTTGCCTTGGGCTCTGCTTTACGGGGAATCCAAGTTAAGATGATGTATGAATAGTGACTTTTTAGTATATCTTGTGCTCCAGGTCCTTTGTAAACGTTTTCTCATTATGTCTTTGTAGAAATCCTGTGAAATAATGTAGTTTGCCCTGCAGAAACTGAGGCATAAAGAATTTAATCCTTTGCCAATTAGGACACAGCTAATATGTGAACTTAGAATTCAAATCTTTATTTTTATAAATATAATGCTCATTCTTATTCTTTCACTCAGGAATTTCAAACTTAAATGCCTTCAAGGACCAGGTAATTTAAATGCATGGAAACGATGCAGGATTTTTTGTTGCCACTTTGCCAACCGAGGACCTCCATGGCTGGTGATGCATCCCCCCTGCCTGGGCCTCACTTGGCCCTGGGCCTGCTGCTGGAGGTGCCTTGTCCACTCAGATGGCCTGTGCTATAGCTTGTACTTGCATTTGGTAGTTCCTGAGCTCTTGTTCTGCAACCAACTGCACCCTGCAGTTGGGTGGTTTCTCTCTCAGTGTGACTGAGTCTGGGGCATTTCATGGGCTCAGAATAGGGGAATGCATGCTGATTGGTTAAGTATGCAAAAAGGTTAAAGGCACCACTCAAAGGAGGTCATAACAGTGTTAAAAAAAATAACAGAGAAAGGTAGATATATGTGAAATAGGTGAAGTATGGGGATCAATCAGAGGAAAGTGCACCAAACAGGAAGACAGTTTCTCAATCTGGTGCAAGGATTTACTTGGGACTGTGTTTGGCTTGAAAGTGGGGTTTCACTGGGGACCCAACCCTATCTGCCTAGGTATTTGTCTGCCTCCTATTGCTATCATTTTCCCCCTCTGAAGAGGTACATCTAACTGTTGTTAGAATAGAGATAAAAACCGATCTTGACTGCTTCCTGCTGACAGGGTGCTGTTTTGGGAACATGGTAGTCAGATCTCCTTCAGAGGACTATCTAAGGGTCCACAGTAAAAGGGAGTCGTAGTCTGAGACTCTGGTTTCATGACCATTTGGAGTTTGGTGGCCTGAAGGCAAGAAGAGACAAACCAGGTTATTAGAAGATATGTATCAAAATGAAACAAGAGGGTAAGGACTTAAGGGGGTAAGCTTAAGAATCCTGAGGCTGTTGGGATGCCCAGATAACTGGTGGTGATAGTTATGCCTGCTAAGATTTGGGCTCATGGGGCTTGGCTTTGGTTAGCTCCCTTGGTCTTATTTTCGCATGCAAGGAAACCTCCAGGTTATGACACCTTATTTACTATTACCTGGCAGGATTTGTAGGATAATTGCTCAGAGTTAGAATAATGATCCAGATTTTTACATTATCCATACCTTTTGTTTCTTTTGAGCTATAGTCAAAGATCACTGGTTGGTTCACAGGAATAATCAGGGTTAGTCTAAAATGTATGTCAAAAACTTAAAAACAACTAATGTAACTAGAATTTAATAAGTGCATGATAAGTTTTGAAACATAATTTTTCTCTCTCCAGTCCTCATTTTTGTCAGAAGCAAATCATGATAGGACTGAGTTGTTTTCACAATGAACTTTAGTCTTATACTTGGCCTGATTATTTGCATAAAGTGCAGCAAAAATAACTATTTTTCACATAGGCTTTTAAAATTGCTTTGATGGAACTCTGTGCCACAAGAAATCTCAGGTGAGACCTTTTAAAGCTAAGCCCATCTGTGGGTTTGTACCCTCAAATACCTATGAGTTAGGTAAATTCCTCTATTCTTAAGGTTCCAAGATAGCTTGAGGCTCCTGGACCTGTTAGAAAGTGACTTTCTTTACTCATCACAGGTTAGGAACCCTGTATGGGGACTGTGTAGATAAGGTGTGAGGCCAGTTTTCCAAAAGGACTTTTATTGGCTCTGCAAGTCAAGCTTGATTTCCTAAAAGAAAGCATGCCATTCCAGTCAGAGCCTCAGTAAAACAACCAGTTTCTGCAATTCTGTCCTGTTGCAAAAGAAAATTCATTCTTATTGCACTGATGCAAATAACTATATTGCCATAAGTTAAGAATACTCACATAGTTTCTGAATTCTGGGGAAGCCAGGCAGAGAGAAACAGATATGTTCCAAATTTTGTTCACAGGATGATACCTTACTCAATTGCTAAAAGGTGGATAGCTCAAGAGAAAACTTTCTTTGACTCTGAAAAACAAAAAAAGGATCAGCAATGTTTTAAGCAAAAAGCTAAAAAAGATTACTTCAGTTTTCTGTTAGTTCAGTCCACTCAATTAACTCTTGTTCTGCTTGATATTCATGAATATTTCAACCCTTCATGGGTCCTGAATGATTTTCCATTATTCCAATGTCACAATCCCCAAAGGTATCAGGAACCTACATTTAAGAGCACCTCTCAAAGTCCTATAGCTGATTATAAACCATCTTTTGAAAAGGATCAAAGCAAGACAACAATTGTCTGTGAAAGAAAAAATGTCCAGGGTATTTACAGTCAAAAACATGATTGACAAAGAAATTTGGTTATTTCTGTTGTTTACAATAACAACATACAACAACATAATAACATTAATTGTGATTAATAGCATATACTCAGATGTTAGGATTTTAGAAATTCCATAAAATTTTGGAACATATATTAGTATTATTAACTAAAATATAACCTGAAGAAGATTAAACATTATTTTTATTTTGGCAATCCATGTAACTAAACATGTCAAATAATCCTGTTTAACTCTCTTTTGGATGCTCCAGGGACCCTCTGTGGCATCCAAAATTAGGAGTAAGAAAAGACAATTTTTGAAGCTGAAATTTGATTTGGGGAAGGCTGTTAAACATATTAGAGGTTTAAAACACTTGACATTATGAAATAGAATTCCAGATTACCATAAGTTATTTAGCCAAAATGATGACTCAAAGATACTTTAAAAAGGCAAAATCCTTTACTCATTAAGAGGAAGACTTAGCTTTCCAAACAATCTGTCTTCTGTCTTCTTCTTCTTTTTTCAGTATTTACAAGGCAAATGAAAAATTTTCATTATCCTTTACTAGTACACGTAAATCTTGTTCATAGGAGAGAAAGCCAATTTTCCCCCTTTCATTAGTCAACTATTAATGTCAACCTCAGTTTTTAAAAAATAAAACATTATAGATAATTCTGTCTAATCTTAACCAGTTTGACCATGAGGTGAGATTCTTATAAACCCTTTATAACTCTTTTCAAATTTTTGTTAGAGAAGATCAGTACCTTAAGAAAACCTTGTTGTGCTTTTGTTTCATGCTCAATTTATGGAAAAACCACATAATGCCCTTTTGAATTTAGTCAGTATGTTCACGTAAAGAATTTCTTGTGCAAGATTAATTTTACAAACCTTCCACAACTTGTTTAAACCTTTAGCTTTATCTTATCTAATTTAAAACAATTCTTTAACCTTCTAAGCTAGGCACAAATTTATATTCCCATGCCTTCTTATAATATTTTACTAAAAACACATTTTACTTACCTTACACACCTTGCATGTTAATCTGTTTTCATTAGTCTCAATTATGTGTTATAATGGTGACTCAGCAATTTTTAATTTTAATGTAAAACCTTTTAGGTTATTTTAATTAAATACTAGGTGCAGATAAGGTTTGGCTCTTTCCAGCATAGCTAGGGGAATGGTTAATTCCATATGTCCCCAGCCCTCACCAGACTGTAAAGCCGGCCAGTTGAACAATTTTCAAAAGACAAAGGAAGCAGTTTATGACCTTAAAGCATTTAGCAAACCTAATATCTGAACATAATTTAGACCACATATTTACATTTCGAAGACATTTGTATTTTACCAATCTTTCAAACTGTGTTTTTATTTCTTAAAGATTAAAGTCACATGAACTAAAAGGCATTACAGCTTTTATTTTTTCTTTAAAAATATTTGATCTAGTGCTTATTTTGTTTAAACCAATTCATTAGAGCTCTTTTTAATGTAAACATCACACACATAACACATATAAAACTACACAGACAGACAGAAGAAGATTCAGTAGTTGTAAGAATTTTTTGTTTGCCAATCTCCTAATTGGATTACTGGCCTCAGGGTAGAGCTCGTCAAGCAGCAGGGCTAGGAAAGCATGCAGTTTCTAGGGCCTAATAAGCAGGTATAGCTGGAAGATAAAAACAGATTTTGAGAGGGATATATCCATTTTTCATTCCTGGGATTCCATAAGAAAAACAGAAGTTTTTTCCAAAACAGGGTCAGTGGCACCTCCTTTGTTTTTCCCAAGGAGTCCCATGCTCTCAGAAGTTATCTTAGGGCCACTTGTGTGCAGTAAGAGTGGCAAAACAAGATGGAGAAAAATAATTCAGTTGACCGAGAAGAAAAAAAAAAACATTTTTTTTTCCAGCAAAACAAAAATCCAAGGAGAGAAAAGACATAAAGGAATTTTAGATCTACCTATATCTTGGATATCCACTTTTAGTTAAGCTGACTTTTAACCATAGTGCTCTTAAAAAATCCTTTAAAATCCATTATTACCTGACTTTAGCCATGCCAAGTGGCCAATATTTCTGGCTTTTAGACTTTACCAAAAGTAACCTCACAGGTGAAACCAACAAGTCTCAACTAAGGTTATGACTTAAGTGTGAGTGTAGGAGGTATTTTCAAAGAGGTGGTAAGGAGTTTCTACAAAATCTAGAATCTTTAAAGGTAGCTCAGAGAAAGGAAGATTTAAGAAAGGAAGCTAGAGGTTGTTCATGGAGGGAAAGAGAATCAGCACATGGTGAAAGTCACACAGATATTAACCAGAAGGTACTCATTTCCTAAGCCAGGATTGAACCCAGGTCTCCACTGTAAATTGGCATAGACCAGAAGAAAGTACTGCCACATGGTTACAAGGGCAAGCTCCCAAGGACATAAAACAAGATGGAGACCTCATCCAATTTTTTTTCTTCAGAGACCTGTGGCAGAGTTTTTTACTGACCAGTTTTCCAGGCTGGCTTAAACAGTGGGCTTATGGGGCCATAGGCCTGCATTCTCTCCTAACGTACCCCTCTTTCTGATAGAAAGATACAGAAAGACAAGTTCTTAGCACACAGTACAACAGATTCACTACAGCTTAAGACTAGCCTCACAAATCCCTTTGTCCATTAATTAAAACTTTACAGAGGATATAAATAGTGATTTTTACCATTTCTTTTACCAGTTTTCACAGGGAGAGAGTGGCTAGAAGTCTGACTGGCAAGAACTTTTACCCTTTTGCTGGCATGTCAGGCTTCTCTGTTCCCTTCCCCCAAGCTCAATTTTAAGCCAAGTAGTTTAAGGTTTGGGAGAATTGAACTTTTCCCAATTTGGGGGATGCATCCAAGGGGAGTGTTCTGTGGTAATGGGACACAATTACTCATCTGTGAAAAGATAACAGAGGAGAAAAAAGGAAAAAGAAGGGCTTTTTTTTTTTTTTTTTTTTTTTAAAGGAGTCTCAGTGATTCAGGATGGATTCAAGAGATATGTAGACTGAAGATGACTGGTTACCCATCTGGAAAGAGGGGAAAAAGGCAACCCTTAGTTCCCTTTTCTTCCCAGCAAATACCCAGGGTACAAGAGGGAGAGGAAAAACGGTATCCCCCTTTTCCTTTCATCCTTATGTCCCCGAGTCCCAGTGACCTCAGCAGGGTGCCTCCCATGGGTGCCAATGAGGCTTTCACCTGTGTAACAGGGAGGCCTAGAGGGTAGGAATTATCTGCACTCACCTACATGCTGGCTTATCCTTTCTGCTGTCAGTAACCTCGTCTATGCCATGGATACAGGCAAGACCTCCATTCAGGCTCCTCTCCTCCTCCTAGCCTGGTTATGTCTCATTATCTTTACAGAAGTGGTTGAGTTTTGAGGAAGGGCTATTATCATTTAAACTATCTTAATTCCAGGAATAATGAAGGCAGCATGAAGGCAAAAGGCAAGAGGTAGGTTTTGGGTTCCCTAGATCAGATCTCCTCATTGCCATTATTTTCTCACTGTTATAATACTTTTTGAAAAGGCAGTTTCTACATTTTCTTTTCCCTTTCATGGGATTTTTAGGGTGGTGTTTATCACTTTGACATTCACACTGTCACTTGCTTTGGGAAGTACCTCCTAGGAAACTGGATAATTTACCTCTGTTGGGATTCCAAGGACTGGTTTTGTTGAATATAGTATCTCCACTATTACAAAGAAGAATGAGTAGCCGCATATAGTCCCCGTTTTATATACAACTGTGATCCTGAAATCTCTGCACATTTTAAGTCTTTGTTTTACAAAAATTATCTATCCAACTATTCATTCTTTTGTTTTAACATTTCTTCTAAACATGAACAGAACCAATGTAGAACTTGATTTTCTCTTAATTTGTTGTATTTTTTTGTGTTTTAAACAAATTTGATTTGGAGGATGTGAAGTTTAAAAACAATTGCAAAGGCAAAGGATACAGCTTCACTTTTTTGGTCACTTTGCTATACTTATTATTAGAATCCTAAAACAAAAGTCGTAGCTTAGTTAGTGTTATGGTTTGATTGGGTTCCCCAAAGTTCATGACTTGAAAACTTAATTCCAAATGCAGTATTTTGGGAAGTGGGGCCTAGTGGGAACTGTTTAGGTCATGAGGGATCTACCCTCATGAAAAGGACTAATGTCATTATTGTGGCAGTGAGTTTCCTATAAAAGTAAGTGTGATCCCCTCTTGTTCTCTGTTGTTCTTGCTCTGTTTTGCCCTTCTGCCTTCTGCCATGGAATGACACAGTAAGAAGGCCTTCTCCAGTTGTGGCCCCTTGATTGTGGACTTCCCAGCCTCCAGAACCATGAACCAAAAAAATTTAATTTTATTATAAATTACACAGTCTCAGATGTTTTGTTATAGCAATACAAAACAGGCTAAGACAGTTAGTTGTAAAAAGTATCTGTCATCAACAATTGTATGGTGTGTCCTCAGAAAATCTTTTCCCCAAGATTAAACATAAAAACTTCAAACAATATGGACAAAGCTCTGGCACTTTCTAGTGACTAATACTGCATCCTTACATTCGACAGATATTCAGGTAGTTTTTAATATGTATTAGGCACTGTGTTAGAAGTTGGGAAAATAGAGGTGATTATGACACAGTCTTGCCCTTCAAGAACTGTTATGTTTTGGGGGAGGAGAAAGGTATACTCATGTAAATGAAGCAAAGTTAGATAGAATATACATTCCAAAATGAAGGGATCATAGGTTAAGTTTTATCTGTACCTTGTTTGACATGCAGACAATTAAATAAAATTAATGGCAGTACTTTATTTAGGCACTTTCCCCAATTCGTTACAGTCTCTTATTTATTTCTTTTAACCTTGCTGTGTCCCTCACCTCCATTAGTTGCCTGGAATGTGTGAGTCTGTAAACTTTGGGTGTGTGACAGAAGCCAGTATAGGATATCATGGAGGAAGACGAGATAAAATAGTCATTTCTTTTATTGTAAATAAAAATTGGCTTCACTGATGAGGCAACTTCTCTAGTTAGAAGTGTTGAAAGTGCATAGGGTAAAGGTATAGGTGGAAAAAATTAGAAGGGTATTCTTGAAGAATTGGCTGTGTAAATGGTGTCATAGAGACTTGAAGTAGCACAACTTTTTGGGTTAATTATGAGTACTCCTGTATTCACAAAGCATAGATATAATGCTACAGTGAAAGATAGAGTCGGAGCAATGGGTGGAAGCCTCATCCATCTGTGTCTTTGTTTATAGAATCAATTTATTAATTTATTACCAGTATGATATTATAAGTTCTTTGAATGCAAGAACTGTATTTTATAACTGTTTTAACTTTACAATGGCAAACACAGCATCTTGAGCAGGAGGAGGCTCATCCAAATCAAAATCAGGTTGCTTATCAATGCTATGAAGATATCTACTTATTGGATGAATACAAATCAAAGGGTCTAGGAATGGCAATATGAGTCATTTGGCTCAATTAAAAAAATACAGAAAACTGAGACTAATACAAAAATATTGTCCAGATATTATAATTATTGTTAATGAATACTTGAAGAAGTTCTCTTTAAAATTTAGCACATAGTAAAACAGTTAAAGAATTAGCTAAGAAGAACTTAATCTATTCTAATAAACTGCAATTTTTTTTTAAACAGTCAAACTGAGAACACTTACACATAGACCAATACATTCATCCATTCAATCTACTTTTATTCCGGAAGACATTTAAGTACACTGAAGTCCTTTCATGGACCAGCATGTCCAAGGTAGAGTATTGGTTTGGTGTTGACTAGCAGCCCCTTCTCATTAGGTTATGGATGCAAAGCTGTCAGGTGGCAGATAGAATATGTGCGTGGAATAGGTCCCTCTTTTGTCCATTTTGTTTAATACCCCTTGTTAATATATTTCAATTATCCCATATTGGTATTTATTGAATGAAGCTTTTTTTTTTTTTTTTTTTTTTTTTGCATCAAAACTGACACATACTAACTGCAGTGTGTCCTGGTATGTTTTTATGCAACTAGTTGTAATTAAAGTTCAGTGATGAGTGTTACTCTACTATAAGAACTAACCAAATAGATTCCATTAATGTTAACTATTTTTATTTCTTTTTATTACGGTACACAATTGTCTAATGTGGTTGAGACTTCTTAAAGGAAAATAACTTGTAAACCCTGTTATTGCCTGTGACTGCCTTCGGCAAAAGACTTTCTACCATTGTAGTGAGGATGGGTTTATGAACTCCTAAATGACTTTTATCTTCCCATTCTCCAATTTTAGGTAGGGAAATGTACTTTCTGAGGTGAATAGAGCCTAGAATGTATTTGCCCATTGCTAAACTCTTTCTTTCTTTTTGGCTCATTCTTGCCTTCTTCAATTAAGCATTTGTCCTCAACTGTTAGAGCAGAGTTAAAAAAAAACTTAGCACTTACTGAAAGTTGTGCTCTGTTAGTGTTTCAAACCTATTGCAATATTGTGAATTATACTCTTCCCAAGTCTGCACTTACTATGTTTTAAATTGTTGGGTAATTGACTGAATAATATACATAACAATAACATTTGATAATCACTTATGTAAACTAAATAAGGTCAAATAAAGCTTCAAGGAGTTGTTTGGAAAAGAAACACCATAAATTGGTTTTAGTGACAATAATAATTACCGGTAAGATGAGACTAAGTATATACTTAAAGTCATTTATTCTTTGTCATTCAGTGGACCTAGTATCAGGTAGTAATTTTTGGGATTTGCATGCCAAAGCCTCAAATGTTTCAGTGTTAAGAATAAAAATAATGGTTATTATCATCATGATAGCTTAATGAATCTGCAGGATGCACAATAGAGCATTTTACAATTACAGAGGTGGTAATTTGAAGCCAGAAATATTAGTGTTGACACTTCTGCCTCTTTTAAAACATGTGGAACTTGTATAACAATTGTTTATTTGTCCTCTTTTGAACTGGCAGGTTTACAGATGACAATACATAAATATCCTTGCTTCTGTCTTAATTTGAAGACTTTCATAGAATATAGAAAACAGCTGGCATGAGGAAATACGAAATCAAGGGGAAGCAGAGGAGTCAACAGAAGTGAAAGCACTCTGCTTATTTAACAACATATGGATGACCTCCTAGTGATTCCAGGGCAAATAGATTCTACTTGTGCCATTTCAGAAAAATGGAGATTTGTCCTTATATTTTTATGTAACTTATAGAAATGGTGAGTTATAGCAGAAAGAGTATAGATTTTGGGATCAGATGGCCTTAAATTCAAAACCTGGATCTACCAGTGACTATTCATTGGCTCTTTAAATCTACTTCTTGAGTTACTGTCACCTCTATCTCCTTAGTTTCTCTTTTTTCTCTAAGTTTATTAATACTCTCAGAGTTTTCCTTCAGTTGTAGTTTAGCCAGGACCTCATGGTGGGTCACTTTAGCCACTCTTATTAACACTCTTAGCATCCTGACCTTTTTCTGTATTCAGCCTGCAAACTCTGGCCCGTTCAAACATTCACTTCTCATTCATGTGATGGTCGTTTGGAGGGAAGGACCCGAGTTCATCATACTCATGAAGCTTGATATTTCTCTGTTCTGCTCCCTAGCTTCAGTGGGGCTCCCCAGATCATGTGAAAATTCATCTAAAGCTTTGATCAGTTCCTGTTCCTGTTACCCACTGTGGGTTGCTGTTCTAAATGTTCACCACTCTTCTGAAATTCCTGTCACTACCACTTTACTCTCAGCAGATGATCTTGCCTGCAACTGTGTGGAGAGTATTGAGGTTCTCAGACAGAAACTCTTTAGTTTACCTGTGAGAACCTGAACAATTATCTATATCTGAGCACACCTCACCATTGTATCCTTCCTCAGAACAAGACGTGGGCTAAGTCCTTCTGTGATCTTGATATCATCTTTTTTCCCCCAGAATTATGTTCCCTTTTTCCCCTCTCTCTCCCACATTAACACCCTCTTACTTTTTGTTAGTATTTATTTCACAGCCAAAGACATATTCAGAGTTTTCCCATCAACTCCATATTCCACCTTTGCCAACCAGCTCGGCTGGGGAGACCCTAACCCAGCGGCGCTAGAGGAATTAAAGACACACACACAGAAATATAGAGGTGTGGAGTGGGAAATCAGGGGTCTCACAGCCTTCAGAGCTGAGAGCCTCGAACAGAGATTTACCCACGTATTTATTGACAGCAAGCCAGTGATAAGCGTTGTTTCTATAGATTATAGATTAACTAAAAGTATTCCTTATGGGAAACAAAGGGATGGGCCGAAATAAAGGGATGGGTTTGGCTAATTATCTGCAGCAGGAGCATGTCCTTAAGGCACAGATCGCTCATGCTATTGTTTGTGGCTTAAGAATGCCTTTAAGCAGTTTTCCACCCTAGGTGGGCCAGGTGTTCCTTGCCCTCATTCCAGTTAACCCACAACCTTCCAGTGTGGGCATCGTGGCCATCATGAACATGTCACAGTGCTGCAGAGATTTTGTGTATGGCCAGTTTTGGGGCCAGTTTATGGCCAGATTTTGGGGGAGCCTGTTCCCAACACACCTTAGCTGCTGTCTTGTTTCTCTCTCTTCAGTCCTTGTTAAATTTCCATAAAGCAGAGTCAGTTCCAAGGGTAGCAGTCTCAAATGTCTGTTTGAGACTAGAAAGGTAATAATGACAATGGGCAAAGAGGGCTGAGCGAAAGGTAATTGTGGGCTCACCTTTGTCTGAAACTGACAGTCTATCCTGTTCTTTGTTCTTATATGTGAATATGGGTCCAGTTTGGCCAAAACTTCTGATTTTTTTTCCAAGGAAATCAGAAAATCTGGATTTTTATTTTAAATTTCTCAATATTTAAAACACTGTGCAATCCTAATAAAGGACATATGTGGGCTGAGTTTGGATTATGGGCCTCCAGTTTTTAATTCTTGGCCTACACTAGCTATCTTGATGTCTCATGGTATTTGATCAACTTACTGCAGAAAGTTTTCTGCCTCTAACGCTCTTCTAAAACTTATTTAGACCAGTGTTTCTTAGAGGTTTCAGATTAAAGGTTTAAGATTCATGTGCCCATGAATCTTTTGGGGATCACGTTAAAACACAAGATTCAATTCTGATTCAGTAGCTCTAGGATGAGGCCTGAGTTTTGCATTCTAGCAAGCTGCAGTCCAAGGACCACACTTTGAGGAGCAAGGCTTCTGAGGACCTGCTTATCTTTAGAGATTTATCTCAAGATAAGCTGTTTAAGCCTTCTCCCTCCCCTGATACCACTAATAAAAGGGCCCTTTTTTTTTCTGTGCACCTGATGTACCCTAATCCAATCTCTATAAATATACCTATAATTATTTATTTTATGTATGTGTTTATGTGCCTGCTTATAAGTGCTTTCATGGCAAGAAACATGTCTTAACTTTTTCCCCCTCAAGCACTACTGCAATATTGGAAATAAAGTAAACTTTGTCCATCTGTTCTCATTTCATGTAATACAGTCCGTAAGACTGCGTGCATGTGTTTCTTTTTGTAGGAGTTAGGTTGCATGTGAAGGGTTCATTATGTTGAAAGAGAGGGTCTCTTTTGACAAAGACTTCTGGCTTATAACAGATTCCCAAAGAAGTATTAAGTGCCATATTTTGATAGATTTTTCTATTCCATGTTCAAATTGGTCTCATGATGTCATCTTTTCAATTTCTGTTGCCAATTTTGGGGAAAATAACTGAATTCCTTCAGTTTTAATCTTTCGAGTATGTTCAACACTTCCGTTTGCCAATACAAGGGACATCTGGAAGTTGTATGTTATCTCTTATTACAGCTTGGTAAATATCACCCAAGGCTGTTCTGCCTTAAAGGCAGCCTGACAGCTGTTTGAACAGATCTGATCTCATTTATAGGAAGGAAAGCACAGATAATGGAGGATAACTGTGCATGGTAAGGAGTGGGAAGATTACTCTATTCACAGGCATTTTTCTTTTAGTGGCAACAGGCTTAAGCTTTTCTCATCTTTCTCAAGTGGTTCCATACAGTGTAGTGAGGTCCAAAGGACTGGATTCTCTAACTCTGCCTCAGTCTTACTCATCACACCAGTCAATCCATCAATCATCGAGTATTTATGAATTACCTTGCATGTGTCAAACACTGTAACAAACACCCAAGATGGTGAGAAATGTCTTCACATAACTCCCTGCTTACTAAGCATACACGAGGGATCTTAAGGAAACCAGCACTGATCCAAGGAAAGGGGATTAACAGTTGTGGAGGATCTAATGTGTGCATGGTGATACATGGAGTTAAATATATTGACACTTTAAAACACTGACATATTGGTATCTTTAGCCTCATTCCATAGTTGAAGAAATGGAAACTCAAAGAAGTTCGTTTATTCAAGGTTCCAAGTTAGTAAGTAGTACAGCTAGAATTTCAACACAGTTCTATTTCCAGATTCTGGACATTTTCAATCACAACACCAGGCAAGGATCTTAATAAAATTTGACAAGGGCAACCCAATAAAGGTTTTGCTACCTTTCAGCTTCTTTCCGTGTTTGGTTTCCAGAGGCATCTGGGCTTAGAGGGGAACTAAGTCTCTGCTGTTTGGAGAATTTTAAATAGCTTACTCTGATGGTAGAGATAAATGTAGGAAAAATGTTTTTTGTTTTTGTTTTTTTTGTTTTTGAGACGGAGTCGCCCAGGCTGGAAGCTCTGCCTCCTGGGGTCATGCCATTCTCCTGCCTCAGCCTCCCGAGTAGCTGGGACTACAGGCGCCCGCCACCGCGCCCGGCTAATTTTTTTTGTATTTTTAGTAGAGACTGGGTTTCACCATGTTAGCCAGGATGGTCTCGATTTCCTGACCTCGTGATCTGCCCACCTCGGCCTCCCAAAGTGCTGGGATTACAGGCGTGAGCCACTGCGCCCAGCAGAAAAAATGTTAAAGATAGAATGAAGCTGGGAGATTTTAATTTTTGAAGGGTGCATAATATTCTAGCTCAGTGCTTCACAAATCTTAGTGTACATCAGAATCATCTGGAGGGCTTATTAAAATATAGTTTCCTATGCTCCACCCCCAGAATTTATCAATTAATAGATCTGGGCTAGGGTTTCAAAATGTGTATTTCTAGCAAGGTGACATTGGTGTTGCCAGACTGTGGGCCTCATTTTTACGAGCACTGGTTTTTCAAATAAATGTTCACTTATGTATTAAATCAGTTAACAATTTTTTTACGTTTTTACTTTTGTGCTAGGTATTATGTTGGATATAGTGTCTGCTCTGGAAAGTCCCTTATTGTTGGTTACTATTGTAATGTCTAATTTATCAGGAATTTAAAGATGATATAATTAATACCCTTGGAAATCACATGTCGGCATTTTTGAAAAATCCATGCCTGATATTTTTTCCCCTTCTTTGGGTAAACACCTAGATGTGAAATTGCTTCAACATAGGGTAAAATATTTTTAAGGATTTTGATATGAAGTTACCAAATTATTTTCCAGAAAGTAAATTTTCTAATTTACTGCCCAATAGCAAAGGATGAAAATGCCTGTTCTAACAAACCTGCATTGCCACAAGGTATTATAATTTCTATTTGGCTGCTTGTTTTGTCCTTGTTGATTTGTAAGTGTTTTTTAATTTATCAAAGATATTAACCCTTTAAAAAGCTTAATATTTTTTGAAAATTATATTGAAGTTTGTGCTAAATGACCATGAAAAAATTGCTTTGAGACTTCCTGTATCACAAAGGAAAGAAGATCTTGGCAGTAATGATTTGCCTTCTTTTAGAGACAAGTTACTAAATGATTTTTAAAACATGAACTCTTCAAGAATGCACTAACAAACACTAAATAGGCTTCAATAGTTGTTCTGATATTTGAGTTGCATCTTTTGTACCTGCAGTGCTTTGAATGGAAGATGTAAAACCTTAATACAGGGCAGAGTGGAATACAAATAGGATCTCACTGACAAATCTAAACACAAGAAGGGTTCTTTTCTGCTTATATTCGGTAATGCAAGCGAACTGAAAGAGACAGCGAGCGATGACACTAATACATCATTGAGCTGTTTTGTATTCATAACTTTTCAATGATAGCACCTTTCTTTAATGCAGTATTGATTCAGCCAAGAAATGTTACTCTATTACTTTCTTGGGTTGTTGAATTAGGTTAAAGGACACTGTTATGGTTTTAAACTGGAGATAGACAATTTTTATAAATTAGTATCCCTTACAATTTTCTAAAGGTCACTGACCAGAAAGTTGACAATTTTTTTTTGTTGTTAATAAAATCTTTTTTTTTTTAATTCAGAAAAAGAAAACCCCATACAAAGAAGTTTTCCAGCCATTCACCTTCCCATACCCCTCCCGACCCAGAAAGAGTATGGGTAGGAAGAGGTGTCTGTCTTGCTCTGGCCCCCATAATTAAGGGGTGTGGGGTCATGACTCCCCAAATAAAATGGGTGTGTATGGGAAAGAGGGGGTACAAATGCTGTGGGGAGTGGTGGATGAAAGCAAGAGATGAGGTCAGTGCTGGCATTATAGCAAATGAGAGAGACAGTTGGGTTAGCTGTAGAGTTAGCTGTAAAGTTTCACTGGCATTTCAGTTAGAAGCTTAATGAAGGTAGAAATGCTCAGGAATCAGAAAGCCTGTTGGTAATCATGAAATTAGCATTAGCAAGCATATGCTAATTCTGTCCATTCTTTAGTTTGACTCATTTTCTTATAGCCATGACATGTGCCAGAAGAGGCAGACCACAGAGTTCAACACTCAGCACTTCTTTATGTTCCAAGAAGCAGAGAACTGTGACTCCTCCTTTTTCCACTGAGTGTTCCTTTTTCTGGATCATATTCCCTTAGGTATCCAAGGTGAAAGAGAAGTATACACTAACGTAGTTATGAATGCTCAGAAGAAAAGTGGGCTGTTAGTGTAATAATCTTTCCTATAATGGGATTTGACCTGTAGTATATATATATATAGTCAAAGCAGTTCCAAAAATGTAATTTCTTGATGGCTAAATCACACTTCCAGACACTTCTCTTTGCTGACCATCACAATAATGGATCTGTATGTAGACTGAACCCTGTCTTTTCTAGGGCAGGCCTCTTCTTCAAGCCAAATATTGTATGCATCTATTTCCTCTTAAAAACAAGAATTACTTCCTTATTTTATGGGGAGACAATTTCCAGAGACTCAGGAAGCTTGTTGTGCAGTGATTCATTGCCATTCTGTGTTGCTGCAATAATAACTTGTGATGCTTACAAGTCATTTTCACAGCTTGACCCACCAGCATTCCCTGTGGGCTGCAAACCTTATTCTCTTTCCTCTCACTTTCTCCAGTGTCACCTTTGTCTGCCACAATGATAGGACAAGAGAGTGTAAATATGTTTCTGGAGCAATTTTCCACAAGTAGGATGGTTATCAATAGGAGGCCCCCTATATATCTATGTTTTCAGGCTCGTCAGAAAGACTTTTCTTTACCAAAATATGTCTCGATGTTTGCCATGAGGGTAACATTCCTCTGTGTTATATCTTAAAATCAGACATCTTAGAGAGATGTTTATTTATTAAAATTTTATTAGACATTTGTATCTTTATATAAAATCCATTTCTCAGAGTCTTTTCCTGAAAGGGGTTTTGGAAGGTTGAGAAGAATGTTCCAGGTGTGTGATTTGCGATAAGATGAAAGGGCTGAGGTTGGAGTTGTTAATTGTGGTGGAGTAGAATGTACTGTGACGCTTGGAGGAAAAAGTAAACTGTAGGACTTGAACACAAACTTCACATACTTTAATTTCACCTGAAATAATTCCTGAAAGGAATGACATAGATTAATAGATATGTTCAAGGCGATAGGTTAATAGCTTTGATTTTGACTCCTTGCTCTATCATCCACAAGTCTTGAGGCACATCATTGACTCTCTCAGTTGACTCATCTGACAAAATTAAATAATTTGTTTACATGACCAGCCCTTCTTCCCACTTAAAATACCCTCTTTTCTACCTGTATGCTCTTTCCAAAGAGTTTTCTAGAAGTTCTTCAACTATGGCATTTTCCCTCACTACAATCTTTAGCAGGTTTTTATTGCCTAGAGATCAGAGTCGGAACATTTTAAACATTTAGAGTCCCTCCACCCCTATTGCCCTATTGCCAGCTTTGCCACAGCCTGCCTGTTCAGGCGTGTCTCCCTTGACTTCTTTACAAAGAAACCCACATTCTCAGCTTCATTACATGGAACCACTCTGTCCTATCAATAAGCCTGTTTTCTTTTATTATTATTTATTTTTAATGTTTTTTAATTCTTAATTTTTTTACAGTACACTTTTTAAAACAAAGACATTTCCCTAAGTCTCTAAAGTATACTCTTTCTTAGTTTTTTTCTTCACCTTTTATTCTAAGTTCTGGTGTACATGTGCAGAACGTGCAGGTTTGTTACATAGGTAACTGTGTGCCATGGCGGTTTGCTGCATGGATCATCCCATCACCTAGGTATTAAGCCCAGAATCCATTAGCTATTCTCCTGATGCTCTCTCTTTCCTCCCATGCCCCCTTTGACGGGCCCCAGTGTGCGTTGTTTCCCATCATGTGTCCATGTGTTCTTATCATTCAGCTCCCACTTATAAGTGAGAAATGCAGTGTTTGGTTTTCTGTTCCTGCATTAGTTTGCTGAGGATAGTATCTTCCAACTCCATCCATGCTTCTGCAAGGGACATGATCTTGTTCCTTTTACATGGCTGCATAGTATTCCATGGTGTATATGTATCACATTTCCTTTATCCAGTCTCTCACTGATGGACATTTAGGTTGATTCCATGTCTTTGCTATTGTGAATAGTGATAAGCCTGTTTTCTAACTTTTCCTTTAGTACCCTGTCTCAGAATGCCTCCTTCCTATTTATTACAGCTTCATCTACCATTCAAGACCCCATCAGTTCCCCCTGTTATCAGAGGACTTCATCTTGAAATTATCTTTTTCCACTCTAACTCTGATTGCATTCCCACATTACACAATTAATACTTTATTGCCTTTTGTGGAGAGTTGTTTTATTATAGGTAGGCCTTAATACATCATCCAGGCTCTAGGTTTCTTAGGAGAAGGGAAATATTTTATATTTTACTATAATAACTTTATCTAACAATTGGTAGCTGATAACACTGTTTATGGGTTCCTATTGGGGATACTATTTTTAAGGCTATTTTTTAAGAGTAGTTTTAAGTTCATATCAAAATTAAAGAGAAGATGCAGCGATTTCCTGAATACCCTTTGCCACTGTCCACCCTGCATGCATAGTCTCATCCATTGTTAACATTCTCTACCAGAGGGGTATGTTTGTTATAACTGATGAAACTACATTGATATATCATCACCCAGAATCTATAGTTTACATTAGGGTTCTCTCGGTGTGTTACATTCTACGGTTTTAGACAAATATATAATTTTGTGTATCTACCAATATAGTATCACACAGAATATTTTCACTGCCCTAAAAATTCTCTGTGCTCCACCAATTCATCCTTTCCCTCACTCTAACCCTTGGCAACCACTGGTCTTTTTCTGCCCCCATAGTTTTGCCTTCTCTGCAATGTCATATAGTTGCAATAATATAATACGTAGGCTTTTTACATTGGCTTTTTTTTAAAACATACTAATATGCATTTAAAGTTCTTCAGTGTCTTTTCAAAGCTGGAGAGCTCATTTCCTTTTAGCTCTGAATGATATTCCATTGTTAGGCTCTACCACAGTTTATTTATTCATGTACCTACAATTTTGAATCAAGCTACTATAAACATTCATATGCAGAGTTTTGTGTGAACATAAGTTTTCAACTTATTCGGTTAAATACCAAGGAGCATGATTCCTGGATTGTATGGTAACAGCATATTTAGTTTTCTAAGAAATCGCCAAAATGTCTTCTGAAGTGGGTGTACACTGTTGCGTTCTCATCAGCAAGAGTGAGAATTCCTGTTGCTGCACATTCTAATGGACATTTCCTGTTGTAAATATTCTGGATTTTACCCACTTTAATAGGTGAGTAGTGGTATCTCATTGTCCTTTCCGTTTGTATTTCTCAGATGGCATAAGATGTAGGGCGGCATCTTTTAATATGCTTATTTGTATCTGTATATCTTTGGTGAGGTGTCTAGTCAGGTATTTGGCCCATTTAAAAAAAAATTGGGTTATTTGTTTTATTATTGTTGAATTATTTATATAATTTGGATAACTTTCATCTATTGGATAGGTCCTTTGCAAATATTTTATCCCAGTCTCTGGCTTGTCTTCTCATTCTTTTGACATTGTCTTTTGCAGAGCAGAAGTTTTTAACTTTAATAAAATTCAGTTTATCAATTATTTCTTTCATGGACTATGCCTTTGGTGCTGTATCTAAGGACTAATCACCATACCCACGGTCATCTCAGTTTTCCCATATGTTATATTCCAGGAGTTTTACTTCTGCATTTGACATTTAGGTTTATGATCTATTTTGAGCTAACTTTTGTGAATGGCATAAAGTCTGTGTCTGGATTAAATTTTCTGCATGTAGTTGTGCAGTTGTTCCAGCACCACTTATACTATATTTTTACTTTTAAAGTGATTCCTATAGAGTTTGCAATATACGTCGTATACATTTACCATGAATATAAGTCCACTTTAAAATAACACTCTATCACTTTATGAGTTATGAAAATACTTTATTGTGAAATAATTCTAATTTCTCCCTCTCCCCCATTTATATATACACATACCTGCATGCTTATGTGTATGTATATACACACATTAGATATAAGCATATATAACTGAGTACATTGTTGGTATTATATTTTTAACAAACTGTTACCTGTTCGATCAACTAAGAATAAGAAAAAGTAAGATGTTTTACTTTACCTTCACTTTTCCTTCTTTGATGGTCTTCCCTAATATAGATATGAATTTCTGAGCTGTATTATTTTCCATTTCTCTAAAGAACTTCTTTTTACATTTCTTGGAAGGCAGGTCTACCTGCAAAAAGTTTCCTCAGTTTTTGTTTGTCTGAGAATCTTTATTTCTCCTTCTCTATTGAAGGGTAATTTTGTATGTTACAGAATTCTAGGTTGATGATATTTTCTCTCAACACTTTTAATATTTCACTCCAGTGTCTACTTGCTTGGATGGTGTCTCAGTCTGTGCTGCAATAAGATACCACACATTGGGTAATTTATGAACAGAAATTTACTTCTCACAGTTCGGGAGGCTGGGAAGTTGAAGATCAAGGTACCAGCAAGTTCAGTGTCTGGTGAGGGCCCCAGTTTCTGTCTTCAAGATGGCAGCATGAATGCTGTGTCCCAGCATGGCAGAAGGGAAAAAAAGCAAAAGGGGATGAATACTGTGTCTTCACATGGCAGAAGAGAAAATGAGAGGCAACTCACTCCCTCAAGCCCGTTTGTAAGTGCCCTACTACATGGCACTTGTAATCCATGGCTCTGCCCTCATGACTTAATCCCTTCCCCAAAGGCTCTACCTGTTAGTACCACAAGAATGGGGATTAAGTTTCAACAATCTCATTTCAAAAATATGAAATTTGGGGGATATTTAGCTCATAGTAAATGGTTTCTCAGGAAAAGTCAGATGTAATTCTTATCTTTGTTTCTATATAGGCAAGATTGCTTTTTAAATTTTCCCTGTCTTCTTTCAGGATTTTTTCTTGATCTTTGACTTTCTGTAGTTTGAAAATGATATGTGATATGGTTTGTCTGTGTCCCCACCCAAATCTCACCTTGAATTGTAGTTCCCATAATCCTTATGTTTTGTGGGAGGGACCAGGTGGAGATAATGAAGATGGGGCGATTTCCCCCATCTGGTTCTTGTGATAGTGAGCTAGCTCTCATAAGATCTGATGGTTTTATAAGGGGATTCCCCCTTTGCTGGGCACTCATTCTTCTCCTTCCTGCCATTATGTGCAGAAGGACATGTTTGCTTCCTCTTCCACCTTGACTATAAGTTTCCTGAGGCCTCCCCAGCCATGCAGAACTGTGAGTCAATTAAACCTCTTTCCTTTATAAATTACCCAGTCTTGGAACAGGCCTAGATGTAGGGTTTCTTTGTTTCATTGTTAGTTTGTTTTGGCATTTATTCTCCTTGGTGGGCTCTGAGCTTCCTGGATCTGTAGTTGGTGTCTGACATTAAGTTTAGAAAATTCTCAGTCATTATTGTTTTAATATTTCTTTTTCTCTTTTCTTTTTCTTTTACCTCTGGTGTTCCTATTACATGTGTGTTACATCTATTTTAGTTGTCCCACAGTTGTTGGATATTCTGTTTTTTTTTTTTCCAGTCTTTGTTATCTTTGCTTTTCAGTTTTCAAAGTTTCTACTGTTATATGCTCAAGGCCAGAGATTCTTTCCTCAGCCATGTCCAGTCTTCTAGCAAGCCCAACAAAGAAATTATTCATTTCTGTTACAGTATATTTGGTCTCTAGCATTTCTTTTTTGTTCTTTCTGGAATTTCCATCTCTCTACTTACATTGCTCATCTGTTCTTTCATACTGTCTACTTAATCTGTAAGAACCTTTAACATATTAATCACAGTTGTTTTAAATTCCCAGTATGATAATTCCAATATCTTTGCCATGTCTTATTCTGATGCTTGCTCTAGTTCTTCAAATTGTGGCTTTTTTGTCCTTTAATATACCTTGTAATTTTTTCTTGTTAGCTGGACATGATGTACTGGGTAAAAAGAACTGCTGTACATAGGCCTTTGGTAATGTGGTGATGAGGTGTAGGGGGAGAGAAAGCGTTTTATGGTCCTGTGATTAGGTCTCAGTCTTTTAGTGAGCTTATGCCTCTGGACTGTGTGAACGTCACAAGTGTTTCTAATTCATTTGCTTTCCCTCTTATGTGGAACAACATAGCTAGAATGAGCTGGAGTTGGATATTTTCCTGCTTCCAGGTGGAAGACTAGAGCTGACTAGAGTTGAGAATTTCTGTTCCCAGGTCAATTAGACTCTGGTAATACACCAGTAGGTTAGGCTCTGATTAATGAGATTCTTCTGAGGGCGGTCCTTATTAAGAGGAAAAGAGTGCTTTGATGTATTTCAAAATGGTTCCTTTTTTTCCTTCCCCTGCTGGAAGCATGGCAGGGGAGTGGCGGTGGATTTTTCTCTAATATTTACTGTGGGAACCTGGTTGAGCTCATGGAAGTAAATCTCACAAGACTGTGAGAGCTCCCCTATGATTGGAGTTTTTAACTCTCAAAACTGTTCACACTGAGCCTCTGGCAATTTATCACTTACAGTTCAGGTTTTCCTACTTTGGCACTGGTACCCATGGCAGTTTCTACTTGTGAGTCTCTGCTCAGTATGCCATGACTCCCCATATTTGTCTACCTGTCTCTCCAATTTGGGGGCAGCCGTTTGCCCTGTGTCCTCCATGTCTTATGGATCCAAGAAGAGTTGTTGATTTTTCAATCTGTTCAGTTTTTAACTTGTCATTAGCATAGACCAGCAACTTCCAAGCTCCTTACATCTGGGAGCATAAACTGGAAGTATAGGAGTACTATTTTTGAAAATATTGAGCCCACGTATATTTTATACCTCCCTAATCACAGAGTGCATGGTTACTTCCTTTATGAACAAGGGGATTTATGGCTTCAAAGGTAGATAGCTTCTGATTGGTAGAAAAATATCATGTCTCAACTTTGAGTATGGAACTAAAATTCCCAGTCAGGGAATAATTATGATGGCTAAACTTTGTTGAAAGGTAAAAACAGTTTTTTGAAAAATTATTTAATTTTCTAATTACTGTAAAGAAAAAGCCTTGGATGATTTTGAAAAGATTATTTTATTTTTTGAGACACGGTCTTGCTCTGTCATCCAGGCTGGAGTGCCGTGGCGTGATTATAGCTTACTGTAACCTCAAACTCCTGGGCCCAAGGGATCCTACTGCTTCAACCTCTTGAGTAGCTTGGATTACAGGCATGTGCTACCATGCCCAGCTAATTATATATTTTTTTTCTTTGTAGAGATAGGGTCTCACCAGCCCAGGCTGGTCTTGAACTCCTGGGCCCAAGCAATCCTTCTGCCTTGTCTGCCAAAGTGCTGGGACTACAGGCATGAAAAGAGTCTTATAAATTATAAGTGTAAATAGTATCCAAGACATGATGTAAAGGAAGTTCTCTTTCAATATGAAGAAGGAAAATTCTTATGGCTGCTGGGGATGGAGACTAAAGCAAATAAAGTAGACTCAGAGTGGATGAGACTCCATTGAGGATGTTACAAGGGGGAAAGAGACTGAAGTTCCATCTCCTTCCTTTTGAGTTTTGATGTTCTTGGAACTCTGATTGACCAAGTTGGTCCTGCCTGTGGTCTGTGAGCAAGAAAAAATTGTCAAAATGTGAATAATTTTTCTTGAAATATCACATTAGCTTCATCCGGTAGCTATTGATAGGTACTGCTATTATCATTCTGCTATTACAACTTTCCTAACTTCTATAGTGCTTTTGTTTTAATTCATGAGTTATTTAGTAGTATATTAAAAAAACTTGCAAGTTTAAACTTTTCATATTAATTTATATTTTAATCATGATCAATTATATAATTTAAGTGATATTTAAAAATATTTTAAGAAGTACTTTGGGACCTAGGGAATGGATAATTTTGTAATTGTTTCAGTGGCTTATGCCTATAATACCAGCTCTTTGGGAGGTAGGAGGATTGCTTAAGCCCAGGAATTTGAAGCTCCAGTGCGCTATGACTGTACCCCTGCACTCTAGTATGGGTGACAATGTGAGACCCTGTCTCAAGAAAGAAAAGAAAGAAACAAAGAAAGTGTGAACTATGAATTTTGGATTGACCTGTGTTAAAATATCCTGAAACAATTTGGATGTGTAAATTTATCCTTCTAATTATGTCAATTAAAAAAATATATGTATTTCTCAAACTTTTTGTTGGGTACACTGTATATTGATGAATGATTGTTATATCTTCTTGATGAATTATTATTGTTCTTATTATGTAGTGTCCCCTCTATTATCAATGATTTTGCCTTAAATTCTATTTTGTCTGCTATTACTGTTGTCACTCTAGCTTCCTTTTGATTATTATTGCAAAACGTATTTTTTCTTTCTCTTCAAATCTTCTTTGTTGCTTGTTTTCTATATGATTTTAAGAAGTAGCATAAAGGTGAGTTAAAAATCCAAACCAAATAATATCTACTTTTAAACAGATATATTAATAGTTTTATTTATTTATTTATTGAGATAAGGTCTTGCTCTGTCACCAGGCTGGAGTGCAGTGGTGTGATCTCGGCTCACTGCAACTTCCACCTCCTGGGTTCAAGTGATTCTCCTGCCTCAGCCTCCTGTCTCCTGCCTCAGCCTCCTGAGTAGCTGGGACTACAGGTGCATGCCACCATGCCCAGCTAGTTTTTGATTTTTTAGTAGAGATGGGATTTCACCATGTTGGCCAGGATGGTCTCGATGTCTTGACCTTGTGATCTGCCCACCTCGGCCTCCCAAAGTGCTGGGATTACAGGCATGAGCCACTGCAGCCAGCCACTTTATATTTTTTAATAATTGATATTTTTTACATTTTTGTGCCTTCTGGTTACATTCTTCTATTTCTGCTGAATCTTATTTTGCCTTACTTTTCTGCCTTTGATTAAAAGCATTTTCTTTATTTCTATATGTTTAAAACTCTCCACTGGTTTGGGAGCTGTATATCTTATTTCTATTCATAATTACTCTTAAATTTATAATATGTATACTTAACTGCATATATGTATATATGCATGTGTATATTTATATGTTGATATATACATATATATTTATTTTTACAAATTCTAAGGTTATTGCTTCTGAGTATAAAAGGGATGTTTGTACATTTTCATTACTCATTTTATCATTTTATATACTTTTTCTTCTTTTTGTTGACTGGGATCTTGTATAACTAAACAGAATAAAAATCCATAAATATTAGCTATCATTTTTACAATTAATCATTATAGTTAATGATTAATTCAGCTCACCTGGTGGCTCATGCCTGTAATCCTGGCACTTTGCAGGTGGAGGTGGGAGGATCTCTTGAACCCGGAAGTTTGAGACCAGCCTGGCCAACATAGTGAGACCCTTATGATGCAAAAAGTTTTAAAAATTAGCTGGGCATGGTGGTGTGTGTCTGTAGTCGCAGCTCCTCAGGAGGCTGAAGTGGGAGTATTACTTGAACCTGGGAGTTTGAGGCTGCAGTGAGCTATGTTCATGCCACTATGCTCCAGCCTGGATGAGAGAATGAGATCCTATCGCAAATAATTATGATAATAATAAATTCAATTTACTAATGTGCTTTTTGCTATTTGATGTTTCCTTCACCATGCCTCCTGGACTCTCAATCTAGTAACATTTAATAGTACAGCCTGGTTAAAATTTTCATCTAGTTGTCACTTTGGAGTTTTCAGATTTAGTCACCATGACTGTTACAGTAGGTAGCTAGTGAGGCATGAGGAGAGTAGGAGAGGGCTCCACTTTCCCCCACCAGGAATGTCTATCTGGTGATGATCAGGTGGTTGTTAACTGCCTTTCTAAAATAATAATCAGTCACAGCTTGTGCCAGGGAAGGGCTGTCTCCCAACAGGTAGAAAACACCTGAAACTGGTGATCAGCAACTTCCCAATAAGATCTCAGCAGTTGGGCGAATGGGTTCAAGCTTAAGAGGCAAAATGGCAGAGTTTATTTTTTAAATTTTCCCTTTGTTTTTCAACTCAGAATTTGCATGTGTGTTGGGGGTCATTCCATTGAAAGGAAAACGTGAGTGGCTTATTTATTAGAGCTTAAATGGATCATCTTACCAAAAGGTACAGTTTTTCCATCTTTGTTTTTATTCCTTTTCAATCTGGAGTTTGTTCTTTCAACTGCTGCTTTTCTACTGCTGCTTCATTTAAGGGTAGATCTGACCATTTTGATTAATCAGAACTACCATATTAAAGGGATTTTCTACTTTGGTTATAATGAAAGCAATCAAGGATAGGCCTTCGAAGTTCTCATGTAATGAATTCTTTATTGTTATCTCTTAAAAGTGTTTTATAAAAATGATCATTTATATTAATGGAACATCTTTCAAAATACAGGAAATGAAAGAATATCAATTTATATTCTAGTACTAAATATCATGAAACATATCATCATCTCATTCAAGAAACCATCTCAAACAATTGAAACACATCTTTCAATTCACACTTTTCTCTTTTGGATATAGTCACCTGTTGCTACACATAATAACAGACATGTACTCAACCTAACAGATACTGACTTCCATTTTAGCATCAGCAAATTTTTTAGTAGTCCCAGTGAAGGACTGCAATAAGAACATGACCTGACCTTGCTTTATGAGTTGTATCTGCTCTATATAATGAAGTGTAAAATGAATATTTGTATATTTAAACATGAAGTTAATTTTTATTGTAATTTCAGAATGTGTGCCTAAAAAATTGGCTTCAACACTAATAAAACCGCACACATAAGAAACTGAATAATCAGGTCAAGGAGTAAGAGACATTTGTCAAGGTACTGCCTAAGTGCACTTATTTCTCCTTTCAACACCTTTAAGAAGCCAGTCAGATGAATAATTAGTCCGTATAATCTTTGCACAGTTACTTATTTAAAAAAAAGACTCAGTTAATGTCGTTTTCTATTGGGAGTCCTTAGTGGCTAATGGGACTTGAAAGTTTAAGCATCACCCTGGTAAGGTCTATTGGTTTCAGAAAAACATCTTTGAAATACTTTTAGACCACGGAAGCAAACAAAAAGATGACCAAAGTCAAGGAGCTGCTAAATCTCAAATTGCAATAATACTGTTATCAGTAACGGTTTATGACTTCAAAAACTGAAAATCATGTTTGATTAACAAAGGCAACTCCTCTTCATAGTTAAATTTCAAAAGGTTGTCAGGCAACTGTTGGGCTTGGTAATTGAGGCTGGAAGGATGGTTTGTTGATGGACTCTTGCAGAAATAAGTAGTTCTATACTTTGTTGGTGGTATGTCTTTGAATTCTGGTCAAAGACTGAGGAGGGGAGAAAGAAGCAAAGAGATTTGTCCTTCTCTAATGTTTAAAATAATTGGATATTCGATTTAGTTGAAATATGTAAATAATCAGGCATTATCTTCTTCAAGTCACATTAACTTTCTGTATTTTGTATGTGTGTTTTAAGAAGTAGTACAAAGAAGATGTTGGATGAAGGTTTGCCTTTACTGTCTCAAATCCTGGGTTGAGACTCTGTCTCAGTTAAACTGTCTTCCATTAAACTAATTGCTGTAATGGGGAAGGGGCCAACAGATTGCTTGGCCTTGGGGCGATACATAATGTGCAAGACAAAGTCAGTGGTTTCAGGCAAAATAAGTCTCTTGAACTGGAATGAATATGAAGTAGCCTGAGGGTAGATAAGGGAAATAAGAATTTACTATAATTTAAAACACATAGAAAAATATTATTTTCCCTGTCCCTATATTTAAGGTAGATTATATATGTATAAAGAGCACTGGGTTTCTTCAGTGTTGGGATCTGCTTATAAGACATCTTGGAGATAAGAATTGGAACAAGTACGTTGAGTTATGGAACCATCACTGGTAAGAAAGATTCTATTTTGGTGCATTGGTCAGTTCACCCTCATAACTTCTTTTGTGCCATTTCCATGGACTTGGCTATTTCTTCAGTTCTTTGCTCTTCTTCCTTATGCTTATCTACTCAGTTCTGTTTCTCCTTACAACTTTCTGGTACTCAGCAGGATTTTGGACCAGGTTGTTATTTACTCCCTCTTTTCTGGGGTGTAGTCTGCACAACTCTGACTTCAATTCTTTCTTGTCTCCACATTCCATCTCCATTTTTGGTCTTTGAACCGACACTGACAATACATGGTGATATTATATTCATGATAACTAAAAAAAAGGAATGTGATATCTTTATGAAGGTCTAAGTAAAGATTTCTTAAGTTATTGCCATTATAAGTTCTCCAGCCTAGGTGGACCCCTTATTTTTTAGGGTCAAAATTTGGTACTCAGAATGAGCAACACCAGCAACACCAGTGGTCCTTTTATCAGAATTATCTAAATAAGGCATATACTATGTTTGTTTCTACATGCTACAAATGAATTCCTTATTTTTGGAGCAATTTGAGTAAATACTGGCCTATCATATCATAAAAGAATGTTTGAGTTACATAAGCTGTCATTGAACCATCTATGAACCACATTCTCCTTTACCTTCAACTTGGACTGCCAGTGTTGAAACTATAGAGAGTGCTAATTAATTGAGGGCATGCTCGCATGACAGAGTACAACTTGCAGTGTTCTTTCCTATCCTAGAAGTTTTCTCTTTTGAATGACTTGAATATCTCACCTGGCCTACTGCTGTAGCCTCAAACTGTGTTCCCTGCCTGCATTCCTTGTGGGCAGTCCCCACATAGCAGTCAGAATGATCTCCAAAACATGGAAATTATACCAAACCTTTAATGCCTTCCTTTTGCACTTATATTAAAATAGAAATTCTTACCATGGTCTAGAATGGGGTGGGAGAGGGGAGGGATAAACTTTGTCTGTAAAGGGCCAAAAGATGAGAAATATTTTAGGTTTTGAGAGTCAAGAGGATATTATGTACATACTTATAAAACTACTTAAAATGTAATCCTTAAAAAATGAAAACCATTTCTAGTTGGTGGGTCTATAAAAACTGTCAGCAGACCAGATTAGGCCTGTGGGGGATAGTTTGCTCTACCTTGGTTAGAAGGTTCCTACCTCTTAGACTTGATCTTCTAATATTTCCCTCTTCCACACCATCTCCGAACATGCTGGCCTTTTGGTCTGATTTTTAATCATTTCACACTATTTCACTCAGGGCTTTTGTACCTGCTAGTTTCTATGACAAGGATGCCCTTCCCTGATCTTTTCTTGTGTGCTTCTTTCTCAACATTTTGTTACCTATGAGCTATCTTCTCAGCAGAGGCTTTCTCAGACAACCTGATCTGATGTTTCTTTTTCCCTGTGAACCCAGTTACTTTCTACCACATCACCCTGCATTAAATACATGTATCCTTTACTGTACTTATCATTCTTGGAAATGATCTCAATGATTAGTTTTTATTGGTTTATTGTATTTTTCTCTAACTAGAATGTGACTACCATGAAATTAAAGGCCATATCTGTCTATTTGCTTCTATAATTTTGTTGGATTTTTTGTTTTCAGCTATGATCATTACAGTGCCTGGTCTTCTTTGAAAATTATAGGAGTCAACATTTTAAAACTCTGGATAGTGCAGCTTTTAGTTTTGGAATATTAATCTCAAATATTTAAATCATAACAGCTTTTGCAGGTGCATTTTCTTATTTAGCATGCATCATTTCTCATACATCAACATGCATTTAAAACAATACCGTATGTAAAAATATATTTAAATAGCTACAGTTAATTACTCCTTTGGATGGCCACTATTATCATAGTCATGTTTACACATACCGGTATCTTTAAAGCCAAATTTGCATCATATTTTATGAAATACCCCTAACCGTCACTATTCGTATTTTGGTTTGCCATCTGTCTGTCTTCCATTGTTTGAAGATATTTTACTGTTTTTCCAGGATCTTATGTGTGTGTTTGTGTTTTTGTATGTGTCTGTGTGCTTAATGTAAAGTTCTAGCAAAGTGTCTCCAAGAATTTATCCAGATATAAAGCTGTCAAATAAAAACTTGGAGAATAGCGAATGGCTGTAGGGAAGTGTTGCTTCCTTCAATATTTGTGAGAAACAAATTTTATGTTTAATTCAAAAGTGAATATATAATGTATGTAGAGACAAATGCATAAGAATGTTTATTGAGGCCTTGATTATGATAGAAAAAATATAAAAACCTCATATATCTATCACTAAGATATTGGTTATGTAATTATAGTACAATTATAAAATACATTGAAATGGTGATGTAGATCTGTATTATTGTGAAAAAAGTCTGCTACACACTGTAAAGGAAATAGATTATCCACAGTCCATCTACTATGATTTTATTTAAAAAGATATATAAGCACAAAGGCATATATATGTATAAAGAGAAAAATATCTGAAATATTATAATTCTATTCTAGCATGTTGTATTAGTCCTTTCACACGCTGCTATAAAGAATTGCCCAAGATTGGGTAATTTATAAAGGAAAGAGGCTTAATTGACTTATAGTTCTGCATGGTTGGGGAGGCCTAGGAAACTAACGGTCATGATGGAAAGGGAGGCAAACACAATCTTCTTTACATGGTGGCAGGAGAGAGAAGAATGAGAGCTAAGTGAAGCCCCTTATAAAACCATCAGGTCTTGTGAGAACTTACTATCACGAGGATAGTGTGGGAGAAACCACCCCCATGATTCAATTACCTCCCACCAGGTCCCCCCCACCACATGTGGGGATTATGGGAACTACAATTCAAGATGAGATTTGGGTGGGGACACAGACAAACCATATCACGCATTAACAGTGATTACACTGGGATTGGTGGTATTACTGATGACCTTTATTTTAGTATTATTTTTGCAACATCCACTTGTTACTTTTATAAATAGAAATAATAAATTTATAAATATACAGCATTATTGCAAAAATAAATATAAAAATGAATATTTTGGGAATTAAGTAAAAATTTTTTATTACCTGTTAAAGACATCTACTTCTATTCTGTTTTCATTTGGAAGCCGTAGAATTGCCTGTGGGTTGAGAAGGAGTAATTGGCAAGTATATTTAGCCATTTTTACTAAATCCAATACTTAGCTTATGTAAGTAAGTTGTTTCAATGTGTTTTACAAAAATTATGCTTGGCCCAGAGAAATGCACTAGTGGTTAAATTGAATTTCATTACTTATTTCCCCTACACTGTGGTCTCTGTTTGCTTAAGAATTATCCAGGCTATGATTTTGTTTCATGTATTTGTTAGTATTGTGTTGATTCACATCCACAACAGTAGGTTACTGGTGAGGGCTCTCTTTTTTTCACTGTAATTCACTCTTTCTTGAGCCTAACTATAATACCTTTTCAATACAATATATTGAATCCTGTCTCAGGAGAGGAATCTATCTCTGATTTATACACACATCCATTTTTGTTGTCACTCAGATACTGAAATATCTATTGCTCCATCTCAGGCTTTATTAATCTGTTTAAAAAACTCCATTTCAGTGGAATTGTCCACTATATGCACATATTAATGGTATTAGATGCCTTATACTGCTAGAAAGTATCTTCAATAAGGTTAGAAACCCTGAAGGGAGGAGAAGAAGGGGAGCAGTCAGATGGGAAAGAAAGAATAGAAACAAAAATCCTTAGTAACATGCTAGATTTTTTTTCATAACTCCGTAATATTGTATTATGTTGTATTGTATTTTTTAATTTCAGGTACTTATGAGACTTTTATTTGCCTTTCTTCACTATATATTTCTATATAAATATGATACTTTGAGATGGCAGTTTCTTTTATATTTTAGTTGAAAGTCGTATTTTGTTTAATCACTGTGGTAAAAAAAATTGTGTATCTATTTTTTCATCAAATTTTAGAACACTTTTTTCTTTAAAAATATAAATCTGAATTGATTTCCTTTTTTTGTTTTCAGAGTATGTGAGGGCTGCTTATTTTACAGGAATAAGCAAGTTCATACATTTAAGCAACTGAAATTGGACAGATTTTAAAGTTAAATGACTGGTTTTATTGAGAATAAAAGGAGAAATACTAGGAGCAAAGGATAGAAGGGGGTATGGAAATGTGTGAAAGATGGGAAGGGAGGAGGGAGGGAGCACAACATAGGTTAAAGTGTGTTTTTCTGGTACAGACCAAGTTGGCCTTAACTTCTTAAGAAGCAGAATGCATCTCTTCTGAGCCACCATTGGGTGGCTGCTAATTAAATGATACCACATCACCTTATCTCCAGACTTTCATACCTCTACAGCCAAGTGCTGAACTTGCTTTTTCAACAGATAAGATTTTCCTTTGGCAGCTACCTGTAACTTAAAGCTTCTATTGCTTTAAACTTCTCTGTTTATTCAATTGCCAAGCAGATAAAAGTTGCTTAATTTTGCTGACTAAAATTGGTTAAGCAGCCCCAAAAAAGATTATGAGCTTTCTTCTGACTCTTATTTTTTTCCTGACTCAAGGGAATAAGATTTTAAAGGCTGCCTGTTATTCTGCCAGGATTTCCAAGCTGAGGCCCCTTGATGTTTACATTTTCTTGATGTTTTCATCTTTTATTTGTTTGTTTCTGTTTTTTCCAACTAGGTTTTTACTTAATTTTGCCTTCTTTCCTATTTCCTCTCCTTACTGGAGTCAAACATTATAGGTTTAGAAAATGTGATAATTTAAAATTTTTGCATGAAATTCACTTATAGATAATTGTGTCACTTAGGAAATCCTGTCTTCTGCAATGCTAAGCCAGTGATTCTCCAAATAAGCTATTGGGTTCCTCTGGATGTCCACAATCCTGTTTGGGGACTCCAGCCACGGACATGGAGACTTTTAGTTATTTAGGGTAATGTGAAATGGCTGCACTTACTTCTCTGTTCAGGGGAGAAATTGGAATCCACACTCAGAATGAGAACGATGTACTATTTTTAAATATAATGACTTTGAAGGATCTACATTATGTTCTTATACTTACCTCTGGATCATTTTGGCTAAGGTAACTACAAGATACTGGGTGAGGTCTGAAGCATCCTGAATTCTCTGATGTATCCACATTTTGCTTTAGGGGCTCATACTATGATTTTTATCTGTTGTTTTTCCACATTCTCCAAAAATGACTTTATGGTTTTTCATCTAAGTTTTTTTGTCCATTCCTTTATGCTAGTCTCTTGTCCACTGCTTAGTAAATTTCACACTGAAGATGGTTTTATTCTGATACTTTGTTTCAAGGGTTCACTTTAAGTAGCATCTTTATTGGGCACTACATACTTATGCAACCCATACTTGCTGGTCTTTTTCTTTCTTGAAATAAAAACTTTTATGATACATTCTCTCTCTCTCCCTGCCCCCCCCTTGCACACACAGACACACACACACACACACACACACACACACACACACACACACCACTCTAACAGGCACATTTTGCTACATGATATTCTCTTGGAGCAGGAGAGATTAATTTGGACTGGGGAGAAAAAGAAAAATACATCAACTAATATGTTTTTGTGCTTTTACTCTGGTTGAGACAATGGTGCAAAATCTGATGAGTCATATGAAGAAATACTACATAGGTTTTTTGTTTTGTTTTGTTTTCATGGGGGGGAGATTATAGCATATAACAGACGCAGAAACCATCACAAATCAAAGCAGGAAATAACAAAATCAAATCAATGGTGGAAGCAGAAAGGTTAGAAGACTTGGAAGAAGGGAAGATGTAAATCAGGAAGACTTCATAGAGGATTTGGGATTTTTAAGAATGAATTCAAAAAGAGAGGGAGGGGCTAGGGAAAATTGGGAGATGTTGGTCAAAGAGTGGAAACTCTCAGTTATAAGGTGAATAAGTTCTGGGGATCTAATGTACGGCATGGTGACTATAGTAATAAAATTGTATTGTTTACTTAACCATTTAATAAGAGATCAGATTTTAAGTGTCTTCACTGCCCCCCTCCACAAATGGTGACTATGGGTGGCAATGGATGTGTTAATTAGTGATTGTGGCAATCACTACATAATGTATACATATATCAAATTATGTGGTGCATATTGAATATATATAATTTTTGTCAATTAAATATTTGTTAAAAAGGAAAAGTGAATGCATTATTCTGTATTGGTAAGTAAACCATTGAGGATAGAATATTCCTTTATTTTTATTTAAAATTTTCTCAGACAAAATGCAGGAGGGTTTTAGAAAATCTTGTTTACACTTCTAAGATAAAAGCATAAGAGAACTATATCCTCTATATCACTTTTTGGGCCCTTTATCTGGGAGTTTTTCTAAGCTAATAGAGTCAGCTCAAATTTTGCACAAGCAAAAAAATTTACCTGCTAATTCTGGTCTTTGAGTTCTTTGCTGATAGGCAAGCACTTCCCTGCATGGATTTGTTTTTCAGATGACAGCTTTTTGCCATCTGATTCCTAGTTCTTTTAAGATTGTGCATCCCAAATGGTTTGCAACGGCAGACTTCCATTTAACTGCCTGGGTCACATTGAGGGGAGCTGGAAGGAGAGAATGGAGTAATGGAGTATGTGCTTTTAGAAGGCATCCAGTATTTGTAACAGAACTGTGTGACTTACTGAAAGAGAATGTGTAGGGGAAATAGCAGCTCAGGCCAGGAGGAGAAACAAAAACAAATGCATATTCCAACATGGGAGAGGACAAAAGAAAAGAATGCAGAAGGGAAATGTAGTCGGCAGAGAGGTGGCAGACTGATAACAAGTAAGAGAATGGAAACTTATCCTTTGGGGGATAATATTCATCACTGGAAATGACTTAGCCAAATTCATAATCACCGTCAACAGTGCAAAAATTAACTTGTCTCTGAGATGCCAGCAATCCTGAGTAATGGTACACAGTTACATCGTTAAAAATATATTTGTGGAGTCCAGTGAAGCATAATAAATTGTAAGCAAGTGGAAATGTATTAAAACATGAGGAGAAAATGATTTGCAATAAAAGCCAAATATTCAGCCCGGGGAAGAGATGCTAAGTAATGTCTTAGCAGCATCTCTTAGTGCAAGCCCCATCAATGGAAGCAGCTATGGGCAAAGGGCAACGCACATACTTGAGTAGCAGCATGCCAAGTGGCCAAAGTTTTATGTAGCAGCTCCTTGACAAGTTGTCCCTTTCAATCGTAACCTATGGTATTCGTAAAGGCTTGAGATTTATTCAGGAATTCAGAGACTAGATTGTTTCCTACTTTGACCAAAAATAAAGGACTGGGAAAGATTTAAATAAAGGGTAACTAATCCATCCATCTGTAGGTGTTAAATTTCCATGTCATAAGTTTAAAAACTGCTGAGCTGGGCAAGGTGGCCAACTAGATGTAGCCAGGTAGAGCAGCTGCCACTGAGGGACTGGGATGATGGCTGCACTTCTAAGAGATCTTCAGAGGGAAGGCACTGAGGGTGGCTAGAGGGAAGACACAGAGGCTGGGCTGAAGGGGGAGGAAGCTGGGAACCCTGATTGGGGCAACCGTGCATCAGGACTTGTTCCTGGTCCCCAGTGAATCATGGGGAACAGGTGAGGTAAACTGTCAAGGAGCAACCCAGTCTTGCCATGGGCCTCTGGAATCCTGGAGGAGCAGACACCTTTACCACCATAGACACTTAAGTTGGCAGGGAGAGCTGCTTAGAGAAGTGGTGGGGCAGCACTACAGCCAATGTGGAGCCCAGAGGGTTTAGTACAGGAACGTCTGTAGTGAAGCATGGCCAGGGATGCCCATCCCCCTAAGCTCACCTTGCTCCCTTAGGAGACTTTAGTCCTAGGAAAACTGTCAGACCTGAATTCTGCAGGATGGTCTTGCCCATCAGCCAGAATGATGTGACTTGAGAAACCCCTTGGTCTATACCCTCTCCTGGGGCTCCAGCCTGGCTGTGTCTGCTTGCAGTGCAGCCTTCGGTGACCTGGAGGTCCACATCTTAGCTTCCATGCTGGTGGATTGTGCCTGACCAGCAGAGAGCTCCAGCAGAGTGGACCCCACAGACATGCACCAGCCCACCTGCTTCCTCCCCCAGCTGCAATTTCCTCTGGGTCTAGGACTGACCCTGCCCCCACCCCCCCCAACCCGGCCCACATCACTTTGCCAGCATGTGTGTGTGCCACATGAGTGGATCTTGTCTTTCTTGCCCCACCAGCGCACATGTGTGCATGCACCCTGCCCTGCCACTGCTGCCAGCATGAGTGCACTCCACCCCCCTATGCCGCCATACCACAAGCCTAGGTGGGCACAGAGCTGGCCAGCCCCACCCCTGCCAACACCCCATCCCTGTGCCAACACTGCCTCCAAAGTGAAACTAGGCATAAAGAACAGCAGACCACCCTCTTCCCCCTGACAAGAACTCTGATAACTCAAAAAGCCAGAGTGCCTTCTTTCCTCCAAATGACCACACTAACTCTCTGGCAAGGTTCTGAACTGGGGTGAGATGGCTAAAATGACAGAAATATAATTTAAAATATGGATAGGAATGAAGATTACAATATGCAGGATTATGTTGCAACCCAATCCAAGGAAGCTAAAAATCACAATAAAACAATACAGGAGCTGACAGACAAAGTAGCCAGTATAGAAAAGAATGTAAATGACCTGATAGACCTGAAAAACACACTACAGGAATTTCATAATGCAATTGCAAGTATTAATAGCATAAGAGACCAAGCTGAGGAAAGAATCTCAGAGCTTGAAGACTGGATTTCTGAAATAAGACAGTCAGACAAGAATAGAGAAAAAAGAATAAAAAGGAATGAATGAAACCTTTGAGAAATATGGGATTATGTAAAATGACCAAAGCTATGACTCATTGGTATGCCTGAAAGAGATGGGGAGAATGGAAGTAACTTGGAAAACATATTTCAGGATATCATCCGTGAGAACTTCCCCAACCTAGCAAGACAGGCCAGAATTCAAATTCAGGAAAAGAGACCCCAGTAAGTTACTTCACTAGAAGATCATTCCAAAGAAACGCAATCATCAGATTCTCCAAGGTCAAAATGAAAGAAAAATGTTAAAGGCAGCTAGAGAGAAAGGTCAGATCACCTACAAAGTGTAGCCCACCATATTAATAGCAGATTTCTCATGAGAAACACTGTAAGACAGAAGAGATTGGGGACTAATACTCAACATTTGTAAAGAAAGGAAATCCCAACCAAGAATTTTATATCCAGCCAAACTAAGCATTATAAGCAAAGGAGAAGTAAGATCCTTTTCAGACAAGCAAATGCTAAGGGAATTTCTTACCACCAGGCCTGCCTTACAACACCTCCTGAAGGATGCACTAAATATGGAAAGGAAAGACTGATACCAGCTACTACAAAAACACATGAAGTAAACTGATCAGTGACCCTATAAAGCAACCACACAAAGAAGTCTGCATGATAACCAGCTAACATCACGATGACAGAATCAGATCCACATGTATCAATACTAACCTCGACTGTAAATGGGCTAAATGCCCCCAACTAAAAGGCACAGAGTGGCAAGCTGGATAGAGAACCAAGACCCAATGGTATGCTGTGTTCAAGAGACTCATCTGTCATGCAGTGACACCCACAGGCTCAAAATAGGGGGATGGAGAAAAATCTACCAAGCAAATGGAAAACAGACAAAGGCAGGGGTTGGAATCCTAATTTTAGATGAAACAGACTTTAAACCAACAAAGATAAAAAAGACAAGGGTATTACATAATGATAAAGGATTCAATTCAACAAGAAGACTTAACTATCCTAAATATGTATGTACCCAACATAGGAGCACCCAGATTCATAAAGCAAGTTCTTAGAGAACTTCAGAGACTCTACAATAATAGTGGGAGACTTCAACACCTCACTGATTGAATTAAACAGATCATTGAGGCAGCAAATTAACAACGATATTCAGGGACTGAACTCAGGACTTGATCAGTCTATTAACCTGACAGACCTCTACAGAAACAGAACTCTCCACCCCAAAGCAACACAATATATCAGATTGGTGCAAAAGTAATTGCGGTTTTTGCCATTACTTTTAATGGCCTAATACATTTTTCTCATTGCCACATGGCATATACTCTAAAATCCATCACAGAAGTGATATAAAACAACCCTCAGCAAATGCAAAAGAACTGAAATCATACCAGCCACTTTCTCAAACCACAGCACAATACAATTAGAAATCAAGACTAAGAAAATCACTCAATACATACAATTACATGGAAATTAAATAACCTGCTACTGAATAACTTTTGGGTAAATTATGAAATTAAGGCAGAAATTAAGAAGTTCTTTGAAATTAATGAGAACAAAGATACAACATACAGAATTTCTGGGACACAGCAAAGGCAGTGTTAAGAGGAAAATTACTAGCACTAAAAACCTGCATCAAAAAGTTAGAAAGATCTCAATTTAACAACCTAACATTACAACCAAAAGAATTAGAGAACAAAGAGCAAACCAACCCCAAAGCTAGCAGAAGATAAGAAAGAACAAACAGTAGAGCTAAACTGAAGGAAATTGAAACCTGAAAAACCATTCACAAAGTCAAAATTCAGGAGTTGGTTTTTTGAAAAAAGTAGTAAAATAGATAGACTGCTAGCTAGACCAATAAAGAAAATAAAGAAGTTCCAAATAAACACAATTAGAAATGACAAAGGGGATATTACCACTGACAACACAGAAATATGAATAACCATCAGAGAATATTATGAACACCTCTATGCACACAAACTAGAAAGTCTAAGAGAGATGGATAAATTCCTGGATACATACACCCTCCTAAGCCAGAACCAGAAAGAAACTGAGTCCCTGAACAGACCAAAAATGAGCTCTGAAATTGAATTAGTCATAGTGTACCAACCAAAAAAGCTCAGGACCAGACAGATTCACAGCCAAATTCTACCAGATGTACAAAGAAGAACTGGTACCATTCCTACTGTAAGTATTCCAAAAAGTTGAGGAAGAAGGACCTAAGCATTGACCTGAGGTAAGAATTGAGCACACACGTACATAAATATAGGAACAATAGACACTGTGGACTACTAGAGAGTGTGTATGTGGGGAGAGGGGGGCTAAAAGACCACCTATTGGGTACTATGATGATTGGGTACTTGTCACCAGGGTGACAAGATCCATACTCCAAACCTCAGCACCACACATATTCCTGTGTAACAAATCTGCACATGTAACCTGTGTATCCAAATTAAAAGTTGACATTTTTAAAAAAGAAAAAGTTAACCCCAAGTTTCTCTAGTACATCTGTATTTTCCTTTTCAGTTAGGTTATAGCTAATAAGAAATCTTCTAGCTACACAGGAGAAATAATCCCAGCTCATTCAGGAGACAAGCCAATTATTCACATACATTTCCAAAACTTTTCATCATCCAAAATTAAAACTCTGTACCAATTAAATACCAACTTTTCATTCCTCCCTTTCTCCCGTTCCTGTTAACCATTATTCTAGTTTCCATTTCTATGAAATTGACCGTTCTAGGAACCTCAAATAACTGGAATACGCAGTACTTGTCCTCTTGTGTCAGGCTTCTTTCACTTAGCACATAAGCATCTTTTTAGGCATTATTTCACTTGCATTGCACTCCTGTCCACAAGTTCCGTGAAGTCATCCTGCAATATTAATTTGCATCTGTCCTTGTCTCTTAAAATTCCTATTATTTCAGGTCTTAATTCCTGTAAGAATTTCTTGGTTCACTGATTCTTCAATACTTTACTACCCATCTTTTTAACAGCTTTTTAAGTTTTATCTAGCTTCTTTCCTACATAAGAAAAAAACCTTCCAAAAATATGTTCTCACTTCAGCATCTTTGCTGGTGTCCCACTGACTCATAAAAAAAGTTGTAACTCCTTAGCCGTGTATTCAAATTCCTTTACAGTGTGGATTTTACCTACATCTTCAGCCAAACGCATTTACTTCTTATGACAAGCTTTGCTTGATCAAGAATGTAAATTCTCTCACCCTGCAAAACTCCCTTGGTATTTTCTACCATTTCCTCCTGATCTTGTGTATTGTTACTTGTATATATCAAGCATGCTCAAAGCCTTCTCTTTTAAGATTGTCCAAGAAAGATCACTTTATCACATATAACTGCATGGCAAATATTTTCTCTAGTAGATGTTCTTCCTCTTCACCGGCTTTGTATTATCAACCCTTCCAATGTTTGCCTTGTTCTCCTACCTACACTTTGACTCTGAACCTCACACTCATAGCACCTGAGATACTCAATAAACATTTTTTATTTCATTTTTTAACTTATTTTTTTAAGTCCAGGGGTATATGTACAGGTTTGTTATATAGATAAACTCATGTCACAGGGGTTTGTTTTACAGATTATTTTGTCACCCAGGTATTAAGCCTAGTAACCATTGGTTATTTTTCCTGATCCTCTTCCTCTTCCCACCCTCCACCCTCAGGTAGGCCCAGTGTCTGTTGTCCCCCTCTATGTGCCCATGTATTCTCATCATTTAGCTCCCACTTATAAGTGAGAACATGTGGTGTTTACTTTTCTGTTTCTCCATTAATTTTCTTAGGATTATGGCCTCTACATCTATCCATGTTGCTGCAAAGGATATGATTTCGTTCTTTTTTATGGGTGCATAGTATTCCATGGTGTGTGTGTACCACATTTTCTTTATACAGTCCTCTGTTGATGGACATCTAGTTTGATTCCATGTCTTTGCTATTGTGAAAGTGCTGTGATGAACATACACATGCATGTGTCTTTATGGTGGAATGATTTACATTCCTTTGGGTATATACCTAGTAATGACATTGCTGGGTTGAATGGTAGTTCTGTTTTATGTTTTTTGAGAAATTACCAGACTGCTTTTCACTGTGGCTGGACTAACTTACATTTCCACCCACAGTGTATAAGGGTTCCCTTTTCTCTTCAGCCTCATCAGCATCTGTTGTTTTTTCCACTTTTTGATAATAGCCATTCTTACTGGTGTGAGATGGTACCACTTTCATTCACCTCATTGTGGTTTTGAAAAGTTTTCTGAAATTCAAAATAGCTGGTAATACTTGCACACATTCTTGTATAGCAAGATTTTGTTGGAGTTTAGTAGAGATTCCATATCTGGTTCACTGATTCTTCAGTACTTTACTACCCATCTTACCTTATCCTTTTTCATTATCTGTTTGACCCATGAAAATGTCTTAAATTAAGACTCCTGACATAAATAGTGTACAAACAAAAAATTAAGGACTCATAACTGAAGCAGGGACATAGGGCTTATTAATGGGATTAAGAAGTTCTTAAGCAAAGCTGAACTCTATTTTATCTCAATGGTAAAATGGACTCATGATATTTTCATAGCTTGACCAGTAGAATTATTTCTCATTGCAGAAGAAAATAGGATTAAATGATTCACAAAGCTTTGTTTTGCTGTGTCTATAGTGCCAAAGTGAAAAAATTTCAGGTTCATGTGTATTGGGCTAACAATCCAGAACATTATGGCAAAAAGTTTATTGTTAGGTTCTCAGTGATTTACCACAGCAGGCTTCCAATGAAGGAAATCCATTTAAGTAAGGCAGTCTACATGGCTTGTGCTCCATGAGAGAGTTAGATCTGACTTTATCACACAAGGCTAGAGATAGAGAAAGCATCAATCCTTTCAGGGCACTGCAGAATATATGCTCTGAAGGCAATTACACAAAAAAGGCCATGTCACAATTTTTTTTTCTATTGGACACTGATCACTTGTTGTCAATTGGCATTTCATGTATTACACATCTCAGTCCAATTGCTTCAAAAGTTGGAGACACTTTTTTAGAGAAAGAAAGAAAAGGGGAGGTGTGGATGCTGGAAACATACACACAATGATTGGGTGCGCTTAGACACTTTCCTCCTGAAAAGGCAGTAAATATGCTTAGCTTATTTTATGGCGAGTCATTTTATGCTTGTGTAACTCCATTTTTTGAATACCCCTTCTCCCGCAATCCCACTCCATTCCACAGTAGCCAGGTGGTGCTGCTGGTAATGATGTTGCTGCTTCAAGCAGGACAGTTTAGCTCCTGCATTTGTAGCAGTATCAGATGTTTTGCCTTCCAGAGTAGGGAATTATGTGGGATCAGGCATCACTCCAACATTTTATCTGTGTTGCCTGCATTTGGAAATATATCTCAAAGTTTGGATCCCCATTTGAATGTGTGCTATAAATTTAAGTGAACACTCTTACAGTTTCCTTTTGAATGATTGGAACCACTATACTGCATTTTCTTATCTGATTGTCCTTCTTATGCCTCACAAAATTTCCTAAAAAATACAATATGAAGAAGGAAAAATATATATACCAGAATTATGCCTTAAGGTAAAAGATTATTAAACTATTTATGTGCCTCCCATCCAATGACGTTAGCCTGGTACACTGGTTTAGAATTGAAAATAAATGCTTGATGCCATCTAGGTTGCTTGTGCATTTTAATTTCAGGGTGACATATTCAAACTATCTTTCTCAGAACTCTGCCAAAGTATCACCTATAACTCATACCTAGACTGGAATTTCCATCTCTATTGCTTCAATCCTATGGAATAGACAATCATGCCTTGCATAGCTAGCATCTTCCCTTGTATTTTGCTCTCATGCAATATAGAGAAAAAATGTACCTTATGGGGAAATCCATTGCACTGTCTTTGTTGATACTCTTAATCTGTGAACTAAAAAGTTTAATAACTAGGGTACAGCAGTAGCAAACAGTTGATTTGTGGCCTTCATAAGACTGTGGATGGATCTGCACTTTCCCAGTTGCATGCATGTTAATCTAGATTATTCCTCATTTCCAGCATGAGGACAGCAGAATGCTTTTGTGCTACTCCTTTCCTTTCATTTCTATTCAAAGGGATTTGTTTTCATTTTCTGCCCTTACATCATTTGATGTTCTCTTGGGCTTGGCAGTCCTCTTTGTGAGAACAACTTTCTAGGGCTTTCTCATTCACACAATCTTTTAGTTTTTCAGAGATTAGACAACTATAGCCCATGGGCCAAATATGACCTACCACCTGTGTTTATAAACAAAGTTTTATTGAAACACAGTCATATTTGTTTTTACTGCCTATGACTGCTTTTGCTCTACCACGACAGAGTTTAGCAGACTTGAGTAATTAATAATGCCAGAGTTGCTAGAGACCAAATGTCTCATGAAGCCTAAAGCATTTACTATGTGGTCCTTTGCAGAAAGCATTTGCCAACCGCTGAACTATGCATTCACTGAAAACACATTTATTAAATGCGAAGATTTTACTGTGTGCTGGATGCTATAGATCTAAGTATAAAGGACATAATCCTTTCTTGAGTTCAAATACCATCTTGTGGGAGAGACAGACACATCAGCAATAGCTTAACTATAGAATATAATAAATGTCTCAAAAGTGATTTTAGTAGACATTTAATGAGTATAGAATAGAAAACATCCAACTATCTGCTGGAGGGCCAGGAGAGGTGGTTTAGAAGAGGGTTTCATGAAGAGGCAGTCTCCACATTATTGACTTGCAAGACAAAAAGAAGTTCTTTTAGTAGAAAGTGAGAGCCCTAGGCCACATTCCTGGCAAAGAAGCAACGTGAACAAAATCACAGACAAAGGGGCAACTTCCTTGGGAAATAGCAGATAGTCCAGTTTGGCTTTAGCAAGGTAAGGTGGGGAATTGATAGGACCTGGGAAAGGTAGGCAGGTACAGATTCCAAAGAACTGACTTGCATTATACAGAATTAATGGAGTTTTTAAAATGATATAGTGGCAAAGAGAGGGAAGAGGAATAAAACTTTGGTTTGCTTTGCTTGTATACTTACAGCAGCTTCCCCAAACACTAACCTTTCTAGCTCCAGCAATCACCTACTTGCTTGGGAATACTCCTCTCTTTAAGGAAGGCAGGGGAGGAATAAAATCTCTGTTCAGGTGAAATTACTATTATCAATGTGGCATGGATTTTTGTGGTGGGGGAGCTGGGGAAGCGTCTTTTTTTTTTTTTTTCAGTCTTTGTTCCAGGGAGAAGGCCAGTATTATCTCTCAGTAAGCCCATCAAGGACTTTGTGCATGGTAAGTAGAAAAATCCCAACAATTCTCAGTGATTATTTCAAGAGGAAAAGGGACTATTCACTGGAAGTATTCAATCAAGTGGAAAGAATTATCCTTATATCCATTACCTGTTTTCCCAGTGTCTGACAGAGATGTTTGATACTTACAATAAATTGGTCTTCATATGGCAATAGGAATTAAGCAAAGTGAATTAAAAGAATAGCTTGCTCTTTGCCATGAAAACTAGCCTGTTTAACTAAATATATATTAATTAGTAGATACCACTAATGAAGATTAACATAGCCAGTCAATTTATTTTCCTTTCCATCAGAAATGATGTTTTTAAACTTCTTAGTGTGGTATTTATCTTTGTTCAACTTCAAATCCCTCTTGTCTTCTTTGAAATCTCACAGAAAACTGTTGCTATCACACTTCAGAGCTCAGAAATATTCTTCCAAATCCCTAATCAACTGGGTTATCCAAAGGGTAACAATAACTAACATTTGCATAAGACTTTCAACATAGAAAGCATCTTTAACATAGACTGTCTCATTTGCCTTCAAAAACTTATGAGGTAGATGCTATCCTTATCATCTCACAGGTTGGAAATGGGGATTTTTTGAAGTTAATGGTTTCCCTCAAGATCTCATATTAAATAAGTGGCATAGTTCAGAATCAAAACACAGACTTCAGAGTCTGTGCTTTTAAAATTCTCCTGGACTGATTTATCTTTTCCTGAAGTAATGCACAGATGTAACCAACAGTGTTGGAAGCAATAGTTTCTTGCCATCAAAACCAGTCAAAAGGGAAGGATAGGCTTCTCAGATAATGCAATGTTGATGACTTGTACTCACTCAGGCAGAAGAGAGTCACTGCCAAGATTTTTTCCCCTTTATGACTACAATAAACTTTTGAAGGCCAAGCACAGTCCACATTCAGAGAGTGCACAGTTTTTAACCCAAGGTCGAAATTCAAACTCACATATTTAATTATCTCTCTCTTTTTGGATGCTGGTTTCTGTCTCTATACTTGCAAGGTTTCAGATCCCCTCGGTATTTCTTTATTTACATTAAATTGCATTTCACTTAAATTAAGTTGCATTTGACTCAAGTAACATCTTCTGAGCACCTATATGTTGAAAAACAAAAACAAAAAACACTCTGCAGAGTTGTTTGAGCTCTTTCTGGTTGTTAATTTTCTTCCATTCTGTGGGTTATCTCTTCACTTTGTTGATTGTTTCCTTTGTTGTGCTGCAGTGTTTTAACTTGATGTGATATGTACGAAGTTCTGATGAATTCTTCATAGAATTCTTGGTGCTTCATTAAATAAAGATCTTGAAGCGACAGGCTTGCTTAACCCAATCACCTACCACAGGATATTTATCTACTGGTCTGTTCAGGTTTTGGATTTCTTCGTGATTTAATTTTGTTATGTTGTATGTGTCTAGGAATTTATCCTTTTATTGTAGATTTTCCAATTTGTTGGTGTATAGTTGCTCATAGTTACCACTAATGATCCTTTGAATTTCTGTAATGTCTCATTAACATTTCTGATTTTATTTATTTAGGTCTTCCTTCTCTTTTTCTTTATTTGATTGACTGAATGCTGGTCAATTTTGATTATCATTTTAAGAGCCCAATTTTTTGATCATTGATGTTTTGTATCATTTTCTTCTTTTCAAATTCATTGATTTGCACTGATGTTTATTATTTTTTCCTACTAAATTTGGGTTCAGTTTGCTTTTGCTTTTCTAGTCCTTGAAGATGCATCATTAACTTGTTTTTTGAAGTTTTTCTTCTGTTTTGGTGTAGGGATTTATAACTATAAATTTCCCTCTTAGTACTGCTTTCACTGTATCCCACAGGTTTTGATATGTTGTATTTCCATTATCATTTGTTTCATGAAATTTTTCAATTTTGTTCTCAATTTTTTAAATTTACCCAGTGGTTATTCAGGAGTATATTGTTTAATTTCCATGTGTTTGTATATTTTCCAAAGTTCCTTTTGTTATTGATTTCTAGTTTTATTCTGTTGTGGTCAGAGAAGATGCTTTATATTATTTCAATTATTGAATGTTTTAAGACTTGTTATTGTGCCTTAACATATGGTATAACCTTAAGAACAAGCCATGTGCTGAGGAGAAGAATGTGTATTCTGCAACCATTGGATAAAACATTCTGTCAATATCTGTTAGGCCCATTTGATCTACAGTGCAGACAAAATCTGATGTTTCTTTGTTTATTTTCTGTCTGGAAGAACAGAAAGTAGGGTACTTAAGTCTCTGGCTATTATTGTTTTGGGGTTATCTCTCTCTTTGGCGCTAATAATATTTGCTTTATATATCTTATTGCTCCAGTGTTTTGTGCATGTATATTTACAATTGTTAAATCCTCTGGCTGAATTGACCCCTTTATCATTATATAGTGACCTTCTTTGTCTCTTTTTACAGTTTTTGTCTTGAAATCTATTTTGTCTGACACAAGTGTAACTAATTCTGTGTTTCTTTGGTTTCCATTTGCATGGAATAACTTTTCCATCCATTTACTTTCAGTTTATATATGTCTTTGTAGGTGAAGTATGTTTCTTTTAAGCAACAGATCATTTGATCTTGTTTTTTTAAAATCCACTTAGCTACTCCATGTCTTTTGATTGGAGAGTTTAGTCCACTTACATTCAATGTTATTATAGATAAGTAATGACATACTTGTGCCATTTTCTTATTTGTTTTCTGGTTGTTTTGTGGTCTTCTCTTTCTTCTTTCCTGTCTTCCTTCTAGTGATGGTGATTTTCTTTAATGGTATTATTTAATTTATTGCTTTTTAATTTTTGTGTATCCATTGTATGCTTCTTGATATAAGGTTATCATGAGTCTTGCAAACACTATCTTATAACCCATTATTTTAAGCTTAAAGCAACACTATTTGAATAAACAAACAGAAAAGCAAAACTAAAACTAATAGCAACTGTACATGTCAGCTTTATCCTCCTACTTTTTAACTTTTGGTTTCTCTGTTTATATCTTACTGTACTATGTCTTGAAAAGTTGCTGTAGTTACTACTTTTGATGGGTTAATCATTTATTCTTTCTGCTTAAGATTAGTTTACACACCACAATTACAGTGTTATACTATTCTATGTTTTTCTGTGGGCTTAATATTATAGGGACTTTTGTACCTTCAGATGATTTCTTCTTGCTCATTAATATCCTTTTATTTCAGATTAAAGAGCTCCTTTAGCATTTCTTGTAGGACAAGTCTAGTGATGAAATCTCTCAGCTTTTGTTTGCCTGAGAAGGTCTTTATTTCTCCTTCATGATTAAAGGATATTTTCACCAGGTATACTGTTCTAGGATAAAAATGTTTTTTCTTTAGTATTTTAAATATGTCATGCCTCTCAATTTTGCCTATAAATTTTCCACTAAAAAGTCTACTGCCGAATAGAGCTCCATTGTATGATATTTGTTTGTTTTCCCTTGCCACTTTTAGGATCCTTTCTTTATACTTGACCTTTGGGAGTTTGATTCTTAAATGACTTCAGGTTTCCTTTGGGTTAAATCTGCATGTCTATTACCTTCTTGTAGTTGAACATTGATATCGTTCTCTAGGTTTGGGAAGTTCTTTGATATTATCCCTTTGAATAAATTTTCTACCTGCATCTCTCTCTCTCTTTCTCCTCTTTAAAGCCAATAACTCTTACATTAACTGAGCCAGCATGTCTTAGTGCCCAAGGCCAATGGCATACTCCCTGGGTACTGCTGCTTTTTATTCAGGGCCCAAAGCTCTTTAGTCAGCAGGTGATACATCCTAGCCCTTTTGAGATTGTTTTTTATTCTTTTTTTTTTTGTATTCTCTGTGTATTTTCAAGTAGCCTGTCTTCAAGCTCACTAGTTTTTTCTTCTGCTTGATCAATCTGCTATTAAGATACTCTGATGCATTCTTCAGGATGTCAATTGCATTTTTCAACTCTAGAGTTTTTGCTTGATTCTTTTAAATTATTTCAGTCTCTTTGTTAAATCTACCTAATAGAAATCTGAATTCCTTCTCTGTGTTATCTTAAATTTCTTTGATTTCCCTGAAAACACCTATTTTGAATTATCTGTCTGAAAGGTCACATATCTCTGTTTCTCCAGGATTGGTCCTTGGTGCTTTATTTAGTTTATTTGGTGAGGTCATGTTTTTCTGGATTGTCTTGATGGTTGGTGCCTGGGCATTGAAGAGTTAGGTATTTATTGTAGTCTTTGTAATCTGTTTTTTATTTTATTTTATTTTATTTATTTATTTATTTATTTTGTGCCCATCTTTCTTTGGAGGGCTTTCCACATAGTCAAAGGGACTTGGACCCCAAACCTAACAATACTGTAGTTTTTGCAGATTTGTAGAAGTACTGCTTTGGTGGTCTTGAATAAGATCTGGAAGAATTCTCTGGATTACCAAGCAAAGACTCTTGTTCTTTTCCCTTACTTTCTCCCAAACAAACTGAGCCTGTCTCTCTGTGCTGAGTCACCTGGAACTGGATGGGGGGTGGTGATGAAAACACCCCTGTGGCCATCACCACTGGGACTGTGCTGGGTCAGACCTGAAGCCGGGACAGCACTGGGTCTTCCCCAAGGCCTTTCTCTTCAGGGTGGAAGGATTCCCTGGCCTTGGGCATGTCCAGAGATGCTGTTTGGGAGCCAGGGATTGATTAGAGTCAAAGACTTTAGCAATTTACCTGACATTTTATTCTGCTGAAGCTAAACTGGCACTCAAACCACAATACAGAGTTCTTCTTGCTTCCCCCCCAACTTTTTTCCCCTGCCCAATTTTTACAGGAGACTCTCCCTGTGGCCGCCACCACCACTGGCCCATGGGAGGTTCTGCCAGGCCACCACCAATGTTCACTTAAAGCCCAGGGCACTTCATTCAGCTTGTGGTGAATGCTGCCATGTCTGAGATTCACCCTTTAGGACAGTGGGTTCCCTTTTTGCCCAGGGCAGGTCCAGAAATGTACAGTAGTCCATGCCTGGACTTGGGTACCCCAAGAGACTGCTTGTTGTCCTACTCCACTGGCCAAGCTGTTACCTACATTGCAATTCAAAGTCCTCTTTACTTTTTCGTTGGCTTTTTTTTTTTTTTTTTTTTTTTTTCCAAATAGAAGCTGTCTTTCACCATAGTCACCACAGGTGGAAATGTGGTGGGTCATACCTGAAGTCATCATGTGTCAGTGCCCAAGGCTCATTGCATACTCCCTGGATATTGCTGTTTTTTATTCAGGGCCTAAAGCTCTTTAGTCAGTAGGTGATGAATCCTGCCAGGACTGGGCTCTTCCCTTCAAGGCACTGAGTTCCTATTTTGCCCAGAATTTGTCTAGAATTGTCTTTTGGAAGCTCAGGCCTGGAATGAGGGCCTCATAATTCTGCCTGGTACTCTATCCTATTGTGGCTGAGCTGGTATCCAACATTCAAGAAAAATTCCTCTTTACTTTTCATTCTACTCTCCTTAAGTAGGAAAAAGGAGTCACTTTTATTACTATGAGCTGCACTGCCTGGGGTTGGGGGAGAGATGGTGCAAGCACTCCCTTAGCTGTCCCAGCTGGTGTCTCCCTAGATTACATGCCACCCTAGTCCATGCGCTCTAAGCGCCGCTTAGGAGTTGCCTAGGAATTACAGTCTTTGTGTCCTAGACTGCCTTTTAAGCTTACCTAGGATTGCAGAGCTCTTCAGCCCCCAGTAATAAGGCTGCTGAGAAACTCAAGTTCTGACTGCTGGGATGGGGTGCTTTCCCTCTTGGTGTGGCTGGTACAAATCCTCTCTCCACATGCAGGTGCTGGCTGAACCCGGCATGAGTTTTTTCTCTGCTGTGACAGGGAAGCACTGGGTTTAATGTAAAATACCCCAGTTTCTGTGCTCTCCCTTCCCAAAGTACACAGATTCTATTTCTGTGTTGCATGGTGGATGCTGAGGGCTGTGGGAGGGATGGCATCAGTGATTCAAGACTGTCTCTACTGTCCTCCCCAGTGTCTCTTTCAGGGATATGAATTTAAAACCAGGGAGTAGGATTGTTCACCTGATTTTTGGTTCTTGTGATAGTGCTTTTCTGTGTTCAGATAGTTGTTAAAAATTTGGTGTTCTAGCAGCAGGAACAAAAGGTGTAGGCTTGTACCCAACCACCTTGCTCCACCCTCATGAGCTTTTTAGAAAAATGCCATCTTAGCTGCCAATCCTGATCCTGGACTCTTCAGGATAATCTTGACCTGCTACAGTTCACATTTCCATGTAACTGTGTCAGTGATGTTACACTTGAAGAGACTTGCTGCAGGTTTGGTACTGATAGCTGCCATCAAAGTGAATCTTTTCATATGATTTAGGGGTCATGTGTGTGAAAGAGTCTTATTAAAAATTACCTTAAAGGTCTAAGGGGCATTCTTTGGCTTTGGGAAAGAAGGATAAGGCTCTGGAAAGGATAAAAATGAAAATGGTCTGTCTCATATGTTCCTCTTTCATCTTTCAATCCTGACTTTCTAGTTCAGAGGTTTCCAAATACCCGTTTATAAACCAAAGTTGATTTGTAACCATATTATTCACATTTTGGTGAGATAAGAAAACTGTGTTTATAAATTTCTTTTAGGAAACTATGGTGATGATTAATAATAATACGGAAAGAAAATAATTGCTTGTCAAAATAAAGTTTTACAATCTTGTGTATAGTCATTAAAACTTTTGTGGGACTTTTCCTGGTTCATCATATACAACTATTTGGGCACTGCTGCCGTAGTTCACCAGAATTTAGACTCACCGAATTGGACAATTATCTCTGCCCTGTAGTCCAGGGTCTAGACAGATGCTAATAGCAATTTTCCAGCCTAGTGGATTTCATTTTTTTCATTTTTTTGTGTGTAAATTTCAACTTATATATTTTAGATTCAGTGGGTATATGTGCAGGTTTGTTACATGGGTAAAAAATGTTACCCATGATGCTGAGGTTTGGGGTACAGATGATTGTGTCACTCAAGTAGTAAGCATAGTTTCCAATAGGTAGTTTTTCAGCCCTCCTCCCACTCCTTTTCTCTCTCCTCTAGTATTCTGTAATGTCTATTGCTCCCACCTTCATGTTTGTGTGTACCCAAGGTTTAGCTCCCACTTATAAGTGAGAACATGCAGTATTTGGTTTTCTGTTTCTGCATTAATTCACTTAGAATAATGGCCTCCAGCTGCTTCCATGTTGCTGCAAAAGACATAATTACATCATTATTATTTTTACAAATTTTATAAACATGTTTTATTTGTTTTTCTTATACCATCAGAACTGAAACTACTGTCATTTCCCTCTATCAGAAAAATCAATATAAAACACATACTGATGCTTCTTTTAAAAAATAGCAATTTAAAAGGTAGTAGCAAGAGGCATTTGATATCTTTTCCTTCTAAAAAAAATTCAAGCTTAGGACAACATGGCACCAAGAGTGTTATGATTATTCATTAGAGATTTTCATCAGTCCCTGTACCAGTTTACATGACAATACGGCAAGATTCAAGGATTAATGACAGACAACGTATTTGTCATAAGGAATAATACATAGTACTAATCCTTAAAAAAGTCATTGTCTCAGTGTAACTGTTAAGTGTTCAAAAAGACATCTAAGCACAGCAGCAGCCATCCAGATTAGATCCCATATTTGTTGCATATCTTTCAGAAACTGCCAATCAAAGCCGAGTTTTGCATTTTGGCTTTGTGCTACATAGAATCAGTTACTACTCAATGTTTAGCTCCCACTTATAAGTGATAATATGTAGTACTTGAATTTCTTTTCCTGTATGAATTCTCTTAGGGTAATGGCCTCTAGCTCTATCCATGTTGCTGCAAAGGACATGATTTCATTCTTTTTAATGACTGCATAGTATTCCATGGTGTATATTTACCACATTTTTCTTTTTTTTCTTATTTTTATTTCAATAGTTTTTTTGGAACAGGTGGTTTTTGGTTACATAAATAAGTTCTTTAGTGGTAATTTCTGAGATTTTGGTGCACTTGTCACCTGAACAGTGTACACTGTACCCAATGTGTAGTCTTTTGTCCCTCACCGCTCTCTCAAACTTCCCCCAAAGTCCCCAGACTCAATTATATCATTCTTATGCCTTTGCATCCTCATAGCTTAGCTCTCTCTTATACTTGAGAACATACAATATTTGGTTTTCCAATCCTGAGAGTTGCTTCACTTAGAATAATGGTCTCCAACTCCATCCAGGTTGCTGTAAAATGCCATTATTTTATTCCTTTTATGGCTGAGTAGTATTCCATTCTGTATCTTCACCACATCTTTATATGCTTGTTGGTTGATGGGCATTTAGGCTGGCTCCATATTTTTGCAGTTGTGAATTGTGCTGCCATAAACATGTGTGCAAGTGTCTTTTTCATGTAATTACTTCTTTTCTTCTGGGTAGATACCCAGTAGTGGGAGTGCTGGATCAAATGATAGTTCTACTTTTAGTTCTTCAAAGAATCTCCACACTGTTTTCCATAGTGGTTGTACAAATTTATATACCCAGCAGCAGTGTAAAAGTGTTTTCTTTTCACCACATCCATGCCAACACCTATTTTTTTTTAATTTTTAAATTATGGCTATTCTTGGAGGAGTAAGGTGGTGGTATCTCATTGTGACTTTAATTTGATTTCCCTGGTCATTAGTGATGAACATTTTTTCATGTTTTTTGGCCATTTGTATATTTTCCTTTGAGAATTTTCTATTCATGTTCTTTGCCCACTGTTTGATGGGATTATTTGTTTTTTCTTGCTGATTTGTTTGAATTCCTTATAGATTCTGCATATTAGTCTTTTGTTGGATGCATAGTTTGCGAAGGTTTTCTCTTACTCTCTGGGGTGTCTGTTTAATTTGCTGATTTATTTCTTTCGCTGTGCAGAAGCTTTTTAGTTTAATTACATCCCATCTGTTTATCTTTGTTTTTGTTGTATTTGCTTTTGGGTTCTTGGTCATAAACTCTTTGCCTAAGCCACTGTCAAGAAGGGCTTTTATGATGTTATCTTGTAGAATTATTATGGTTTCAGGTCTTAGATTTAAGTCTTTGATTCATCTTGAGTTGATTTTTGTATAAAAATCTGCATGTGGCTTGCCAATTATCCCAGCACCATTTGTTGAAAAGTGTGTTCTATCCCCACTTTATGTTTCTGTTTGCTTTGTTAAATGTCAGTTGGCTGTAAGTATTTGACCTTATTTCTGGGTTCTCTATTCTATTCCATTGGTCTACATGCCTATTTTTATACCAGTACCATGTTGTTTTGGTAATGACAGCCTTGTAGTATAGTTTGAAGCCAGGTAATGAGATGTCTCCATTTATTTTCTTTTTGCTTAGTCTTGCTTTGGTGATGTGGGCACCTTTTTGGTTCCATATGAATTTTAGGATTGTTTTTTCTAGTTCTGTGAAGAGTTATGGTAATTTTATGGGAATTGTATTGAATCTGTAGATTGCTTTTGGCAATATGATTATTTTCACAATATTGATTCTACCCATCCATGAGCATGAGATGTATTTCCATTTGTTTGTGTCATTGGTGCTTTCTTTCAGCAATGGTTTGTAGTTTTCCTTGTAGAGATTTTTCACCTCATTGGCTAGGTATATGCCTAAGTATTTTATGTTTTTTGCAGCTGTTGTAAAAGGGATTGAATTCTTGATTTGCTTCTCAGCTTGGTTGTTGGTGATGTATGGCAGTGCTACTGATTTGTATACATTGATTTTGTATCTTGAAACTTTACTGAATTCATTTATCAGATCTAGGAGGTTTTTGGATGAGTCTTTAGGGTTTTTTAGGTATACTATCATATCATCTGGGAACAGTGTCAGTTTGACTTCCTTTTTAGTGATTTGGATGCCCTTTATTTCTTTCTGTCGTCTGATTGCCCTGGCTAGGAATTCCAGTCCTATGTTGAATAGAAGTTGTAAAACTGGGGATCCTTGTCTTATTCCTGTTCTCAGGGAGAATACTTTAAACTTTTCCCCATTCGATGTTATGCTGGCTGTGGGTTTGTCATAGATGGCTTCTATTACCTTGAGGTATGTCCCTTCTATGCCAGTTTTGCTGAGGGTTTTAATCATAAAGGGATGCTGGATATTGTCCAATGCTTTTTCGGCATCTATTTAGATAGTCATACGATTTTTGTTTTTAATTCTGTTTATATGATGTATCACATTTATTGACTTGTGTGTGGTAAACCATCCCTGCAACCCTGGTTAAAAAAAAAAAACTCACTTGATTGTGGTGGATTATCTTTTTGATATACTGTTGGATTTGGTTAGCCAGTATTTTGTTAAAGATTTTTGCATATATGTTCATCAGGAATATTGGTCTGTAGTTTTCTGTTTGTTATGTCCTTTCCTGGTTTTGGTATTAGGGTAATACTGGCTTCATTTCAGCCATTTTAAATTTAGGGAGAATTCCCTCTTTCTCTATCTTTTGGAATTCTTTCAGTAAGATTGGTACCAATTCTGTGAATGTCTGATAGAATTCAGCTATGAATCTGCCTGGTCCTGGACTTTTTTTTTTGTTGTTGGCAGTTTTAAAATTACCATTTCAATCTTGCTACTTGTTGGTCTCTTCAGAGTTTCTATTTCTTCCTGATTTAATCTAGGAGGGTTGTATATTTCCAGTAATTTGTCCATCACCTCTAGATTTTCTAGTTTGTACATGTAAAGGTGTTCATGGTAACCTTGAATGATCGTTTGTATTTTTGTGTTATCTGTTGTAGTATCTTCTGTTTCATTTCTAATTGAGCTTATTTGGATCTTCTCTCTTCTTGGTTAATCTCATTAATAGTCTATCAATTTTGTTTATCTTTTCAAAGAACAAGCTTTTTGTTTTACTTACCTTTTTTAGTTTCAATTTCATTGATCTCTGCTCTGATCTTTGTTATTTCTTTACTTCTGCTGGGTTTGAGTTTGGTTTGTTCTTGTTTCTCTAATTCCTTGAGGTGTGTGTGACCTTAGATTGTCTATTTGTGTTCTTTCAGACTTTTGAATGTAGAAATTTAATGCTATGAACTTTCCTCTTAGCAGTGCTTTTGCTGTATTCCAGAGGTTTTCATAAGTTGGGTAACTATTATCATTCAGCTCAAATAAATTTTTAACCTTTGTATTCATTCGATTGCTGACCCAAAGATCATTCCAGGGCAGATTATTTAATTTCCATGTATTTATATAGTTTTCAGGGTTCCTTTTGGGGTTAAGAGGATACTTGATATAATTTTGATTTTCTAAAATGCATTGAGACTCATTTTATGGTCTATCATATCGTCTATCTTGGAGAATGTTCCATGTGCTGATGAAAAGAATGTATATTCTGCAGTTGTTGGGTAGAATGTTCTGTAAAGTATCTGTTAAGTCCACTTGTTCTAGGGTATAGTTTTAAGTCCTTTATTTCTTTGTTGGCTTTCTGTCTTTATGACCTGTCTATGGCTGTCAGTGGAGTATTGAAGTCCCCCACTATTATTGTGTTGCCATCTATATCATTTCTTAGGTCTAGTAGTAATTGTTTTATAAATTTGTGAGCTCCAGTATTCAGTGCATATATATATATTTAGTATTGTGATATTTTCCCATTGGACTAACCCTTTTATTATTGTATAATGTTCCTCTTTGTCTTTTTAAGATGTTGTTGCTTTAAAGTCTGTTTTGTCTGTTATAATAATAACTACTCCTGGTCACTTTTGGTTTCCATTTGTCTGGAATATCTTTTTGCATTCCTTTACCTTAAGTTTATTTGAGTCCTTATGGGTTAGGTGAGTCACTTGGAGACAGCAGATAGTTGGTTGGTGAATTTTTATCTATTCTGACATTCTGTATCTTTCAAGTGGAGCATTTAGGGCATTTACATTCAATATTATTTTGAGATGTGAGGTACTGTTGTATTCATCATGCTAGTTGTTGCCTTAATGCCTTGTTTTTTTTTATTGTGTTAGTGTTGTATAAGCTCTGTAACATTTATGCTTTAAAAATATTCTATTTGTTTTTTGACATTTTGTTTCAAGATTTAGAACTCCTTTTAACATTTTTTGTAGTGCTGGGTTAGTAGTGGCAAATTCTCTCAGTATTTGTTTGTCTGTAAAAGACTTTGTCCTTTATTTATGAAGCTTTGTTTTGCTGAATACAAAATTATTGGCTGACAATTATCTTGTTTCATTAGGCTAAAGATGGAACACCCATCTCTTCTGGCTTGCAAGGTTTCTTGTGAGAAATCTGATGTTAATCTGATTGGGTTTCCTTTACAGGTTATCTAATGCCTTTGTCTCACAGCTCTTGAGATTCTTTCTTTCGTCTTGACTATAAATAACCTGATGACTACGTACTTAGGTGATGATCTTTTTGCGATGAATTTCTCAGGTGTTCTTTGAGCTTCTTGTATTTGGATATCTAGATTTCTAGCAAGGCCATGGAATTTTTCCTCAATTATTCCCTGAAATAAGTTTTCCAAACTTTTTGATTTCCTCTTCCTCAGGAACACCATTATTCTAAAGTTTGGCCATTTAACATAATCACAAATTCTTGGGGACTTTGTTCATTTTTTAAAATTCTTTTTTCTTTGTCTTTGGGTTAATTTGAATGCCTTATCTTCAAGCTTTGAAGTTTTTTCTTCTACTTGTTTTAGTCTATTGGTGTAACTTTCCACTACATTTTGTATTTCTCTAAGTTTGTCCTTCATTTCTAGAAGTTGTGATTATTTTTTCTTTATGATATATATTTCTCTGGAGAATTTTTTATCCATATCCTGTATTTTTTTTTCAAAATTTAAGTTGTTTTTCACCTTTCTCTGGTATCTTTTTGAGTAGCTTAATAATCAGCATCTTAAATTCTTCATCTTGCAATTCAGAGATTTCTTCTTGGTTTGGATCCATTGCTGGAGAGCTGGTGTGATCTTTTTGAGGAGTGTTTTAGAATGCTGTTTGGTCATATTATCAGAATTACTTTTCTGGTTTCTTCTCAGTAGGGTAGCGTATTTCAGTGGAAAGGTCTGAAATACAAGGCCTACTGTTCAGATTCTCCGGTCTCTTGGAGTGATCCCTTCATGTGGTGCTCTTTCCCTTCCCCTAGGAATGAGGCTTCCTTAGAGCTGGACTGCAGTGATTGTTATTGCTCTTCTGGATCTAGCCACCCAGTGGGGCTAACAGTCTCCAGGCTGGTGCTGGGGAATGTCTGCAAAGTCCTGTGATGTGGTCCAACTTCAGGTGCCCCAGCCATAGATACCAGCACCTGCTCTGGTGGAGGTTGCAGGGGAGTGAAATAGATTCTCTTAGAGTGCTTGGTTGTAGATATTTTTAGTGTGCTGGCTTTCTCAAGTGCTGGTTATGCTAGCAGTGAAGCTGTCCTGCAGACACACTCAGGACCCCTGTTAGCCAGGATGTTGCAGGCATTGGAATTAGGTATTGTTTTCTTCCTGGTATCAGGGTTATTCTGTCATGAGTTGCTGTAATGAGCTGAGTTGGTTGGCCTTCAGCCAGGAGGTGGCACTTTCAAGAGAGCACCAGCTGTGTGGTAGTAGTAGGGGGACCAAAGCTTGCCCTAAATTAGTCAGTGTAAGTATTTTGGTTTCTAAGGCAGTGGGCGGGGTCATAGAGCTCCCAAGAGTTTTTATCTTTTGAGTTTGACTATGAGAGCCTATAGAGAAGTACCATCAGGTGGGGGCAAGGTTAGGTGGGTCTGGGCTCAGGCTCTTTAGGTGGGGCTTGCCATGGCTACTGTGGGGGCCAGAGGGTGGTTTTTGGGCCGATGGGGTTATGGTCCAGAGGGAATCTTGGCTGCCTCTGCTTTGTCAATATAGTTCACCAGGGAAATAGAGGATAGCCAATAGCGAGAGGCCTCACCCAGCTCCCAAGTGGTTGATGAGTCCAGTCTTGCTCCTGCAGTGCCCTGCTCAGACCTTGCCCCAGGCTGTGAGCTTTCCCACTGAGAAAGCAAGCCTGGCTTTTGGTCCTCACCCCTCCCTGCCTGCCCACTTCATTGGCAGCAGCTGCTGGACTTGTATTTGCGGTAGCTCCTGCTCATCTCCTAGACTCTACTCAGGAAAATCATGCCCAGTCAAAACCACTACCAATTTCAGCTGGAAGCTTCCTTCACCCTGAGACCTCTCCCCTATTCCTCTGGCTATTTTCTCCTAGGGACCCTGTGAGATGTAGTCAAGGATGGCTTCCCTGGACTTGAGCTGGAGACTGGGAGTGCCTGCAAGGAACTTCCCACTGCTGCTTCTACTTTTATATTTTGTATTTTGCATAACTCTTTACATCTATTTCAGCTCTAAGTCAGGCTAAATCCTTCCCAATGATCTGTGTTTTCAGATTCTCCAGTGGGTATGTGTGTTTGGAAGCAGGTTTTTCCTCTCTCACACTTTGGGAACTCACAGATTTTTGCTTGTCTTGTGGCATTTGCAGTGGCATGCTGCTTCTTTCAAAGGATCTGTGAATTCTTTTAGTTTGTTTGGTACCTTCCTGCAGTGGTTCTTGGAGCAAAAGATCACAGTGTGAGTTTCCACACACTATTCTGTCTATCCAAGTGGGAGCTGCACATTAGCTCTACCTCCTATCCACCATCTTGTCCCCTTAATCACGCTTTCTTTATCTAGTTCACTGTTAATGGATATCTAGGTTGATTCCGTATATTTGCTATTTTAAACAGTGCTGTGATGAACATACGAGTTAATGTGTCTTCATGGTTTCTTGTATAGTTTCCTTTGCTGTGCAGAAGATTTAGTTTAATTAGTTTCCACTTGTCACTTTTTGTTTTTGTTGTGTTTGATTTTGGAGTCTTCATTATGGCAGATAATACAGGGTTTTCTAGGTATAGTATCATGTTGTCTGCTAAAAGAGATAATTTGACTTTCTCTCTTCTTATTTGGATGCCTTTTATTTCTTTATCTTGCCTGATTCCTTGGGCTAGGACACTCTGTACTATTCTGAATAGGAGTGGTGAGAGTGGGCTTCCTTGTCTTTTCTCAGTTCTCAAAAGAATTCTTCCAGCTTTTATCCATTAAATATGATGTTGGCTGTGGGTTTGTCATGGATTGCTGTTATTATTTTGAGCTATGTTCCTTCATTGCCTATTTTATTGAAGGTTTTTAACATGAAGCCACGTTGAATTTTACTTAAAGCTCTTTCTACATCTATTGAGATGATCATGTGTTTTTTTGTTTTAGTTTTGTATATGTGATGAATCACATTTATTGATTTGCTTATGTTGAACCAACCTTGCATCTTAAGAATAAAGCCCACTTGGTCATGGTAGACTAGCTTTTTGATATGCCGCTGGATTGTGTTTGCTAGTGTTATGTTGAGGATTTTGTGTATCTATGTTCATCAGGAATGTTGGCCTGAAGTTTTCTATTTTCACTGTGTCTCTGCTAGAGACTCAATATGTTGGCCTCACAGAATGAGTTAGAGAGGAGTTCTTCCTTCTCGTTTTTTGGGAATAACTTTAGTAGGATTGGTACCAGCGCTTCTTCATATGTCTGGTTGAATTCCACTGAGAGTCTTTCTGGTCCAAGGCTTTATCTGGTTGGTAGGTTTTTTATTATTGATTCAATTGTGGAACTCATTATTGATCTGTTTGAGGTTTTAGTTTCTTTCTGGTTCAATCTTGGGAGATTTTATGTTTCCAAGTATTTATCAATTTCGTCTCTAGGTTTTCTTGTTTGTGTGCCTACAGGTATTTACAAGAGTTTCTGAGGGTTTTCTGTGTTTTGTGGGTGGCTGATGATGTTCCCTTTGTCATTTCTGATTGTCTTTATTTGGATCTTCTTTCTTTTTTCTTTATTAGTTCAGCTAGTGGTTTATCAATGTTATTTGTCCTTTCAAAGAACTGTTATATTTGGTTTCATTGATCTTTTGTATGGGTTTCCTCATGTCCATTTTATTCAGTTCAGCACTGATATTTGTTACTTATTTTCTTCCACTAGCTTTGGGGTTGGTTTTGCTCTTTTTTATAGTTCCTCAAGGTGTGTCATTAGATTGTTAATTTGAGATCTTTCTAACTTTTTGATGTGGGTGTTAGCACTATAAACTTTCTTCTTGAAACTGCTTTAGCTGTGTTCCAGAGAGTCTGGTATGTTGCAACTTTGTTTTCATTAGTTCCAAAGAATTTCTTGATGTCTGCCTTATTTCTATTCTTCATTCAAAAGTCACTCAGAAGCACATTTTTAAATTTCCATGTAATTGTATGCTTTTGAGAGATCTTCTTGGTATTGATTGTTATTTTTACTGTGCAGTGGTCCAAGCATGTGGTTAGTATGATTTCATCTTTTTTGAATTTGTTGATAGTTGTTTCATGGCTGAGTGTGTCATTCATGTTAGAATATATGCCATGTGCAGATTAGAAGAGTGTAGATTCTATTTTTGTCAGGTGGAGTATTCTGTAGATATCCATTAGGTCCATTTGGTGAAATGTTGAGTTTATGTCCCAAGTATCTTTGTTAATATTCTGCCTCAGTAATCTGTCTAATACTATCAGTGAGTTGTTGAAGTCTCTTACTATTATTGTGTGATTATCTAAGTATCTCAAGTCTCTAAGTATGTGTTTCGTGAATCTGGGTTCTCCAGTGTTGAGTGCATATATATTTAAGAGAGTTAAGTCTTCTTGTTGAATTGAATGCTTTATCATTATGTAATGCCCTTCTTTGTCCTTTTTGATCATTGTTGGTTTAAAGACTGTTTTGTCTGAAATAAGACTAGCAACCACTGCTCTTTTTTGTTTTCCATTTGCTAGACAGATTTTTCTCAACTCTTTATGTTGAGCCTATGAGTGTCCTTGCATGTAAGATGGATCTCTTGAAGACATCATACAGTTGGGTCTTGCTTCATTATTCACTTGACACTCTGCCTTTTAAGTGGGGTGTATGGTCCATTTATATTCAAGGTTAATATTGATATTGGTGGATTTGATCCTGTTACCATACTGTTAGCTGGCTGTTATGTACACTTGACTGTGTAGTTGCTTTATAGTGTTAATGGTCTATGTACTTAATTGTGTTTTTGTGGTGGCCTGTAATGGTCTTCTGTTATCATGTTTAGCACTCCCTTAAGCACCTTTTCTCAGGCCAGTTTGGTGGTAATAAATTGCCTTACCATGTTCTTGTCTAAAAAGGATTTTATCTCTCCTTTTCTCATGAAACTTGGTTTGGCTGGATAGGTTTTGTTCCTTTTTTTAAATACTTTTTTCTTCATTTTGGTCTGAGTTGTTTCGAAGAACTGGTCATCAAGCTCTGAGATTCTTTTTTTCCTCAGACTAGTATACTCTGCTGTTCATACTTCCAATTGTGTTATAAAAAATATGCAATGCTTTACAAATTTGCATGTCATCCTCACACAGGGGCCATGCTGACCTTCTCTGTATTTTTCCAATGTTATTAATAGTATATGTGCTGCTAAGGTGGGTACTACATTCTTTTTCACAGCTATGTAGTATTCCATGCACCATATTTTCATTTTCTAATCCACTGTTCATGGACACCTAGGTTGGATCCGTATATTTGCTATTGTGAGTAGTGCTGCAGTGAACATACAAGTATAAGTGTCTTTTTGGTAGAATGATTTATTTTCCTTTTGGTATATACCCAGTAATGGGATTGCTGGGTCAAATGGTAATTCTATTTTAAGTTCTTTGAGAAAATTTCAAACTGCTTTCCATAATGGATGCACTAGTTTATATTTCCACAGTATATAAGCATTTCCCTTTCTCCACAACCTTGCCAGCATCTGTTATTTTTTGACTTTTCAGTAATAGCCATTCTGACTAGTGTAACTCATTGTGGTTTTGATTCCCATTTCTTTGATGATTAGTGATATTCATATGTGTGTCAGTCATCTGCATATCTTCTTTTGAGAAATGTCTGTTCATGCCCTTTGCCCATTTTTATTAGGGTTATTAATCTTTTGCTTGTTGTATTGTTTAAGTTCCTTATGGATTCTGGAAATTAGACCTTTGTCAGATGCAATGTTTGCAAATATTTTATCCCATTCTGTAGGTTGTCTGTTTTCTCTGTTGATAGTTTCTTTTGCTGTGCATAAGCTCTTTAGTTTAATTAGATCCCACTTGTCAATTTTTGTTTTCATTACAACTGCTTTTGAGGACTTAATCATAAATTCTTTGCTAAGTCGAATGTCCAGAATGGTATTTTGTAAGTTTTCTTCTAGGATTTTTACAGTTTGAGGTCTTCCATTTAAATCTTTAATCAATCTTAATTAATTTTTGTATATGGTGAAAGGTAGGGATCCAGTTTCATTCTTTTGCATATGGCTAGGCAGTTATCTCAGTACCATTTATTGGACAGGGAATCCTTTTTTCATTGTTTATTTTTGACAGCTTTGCTGAATATCACATGGCTGTATGTGTGTGGCTTTATTTCTGGTTTCTCTATTCTCTTCCTTTGGTCTATATGTCAGTTTTTGTACCAATATTATGTTGCTTTGGTTACTGTAGGCTTATAGTACAGTATAGTTTAAATTCAGGTAATGTGATGAATCTGGGTTTGTTCTTTTTGTGTAGGATTGCATTGGCTATTTGACCTCTTTTTTTGGTTCCGTATGAATTTTAGAATATTTATTTCTAATTATTTGAAAATTGATGTTGTTTAATAGGGATATTGTTAAGTTTGTAGATTGCTTTGGGCAGTATGGCCATTTTAGCAATGTTGATTCTTCCAATTCATAAGTGTGGAAGGTTTTTCCATTTGTTTATATCATCTCTGATTTCTTTCAGCAATGTTTTTAAATTCCCATTGTAGAGATCCTATTTGGTTAGGTGTATTTCTAGATATTTTATTATTTTTTGGTGGCTAGTATAAATATAATTGCATTCTTAATTTGGCTGTCAGCTTGAATGTTATTGGTGTATAGAAATGCTGCTGATTTTTGTACGTTGATTTTGTATCCTGGAACTTTACTGAAGTTGTTTATCAGTTCCAGAAGCCTTTTGGCAGTCTTTAGGATTTTCTAGGTATAGGATTATATCATCAATGAAGAGAGATAGTTTGACTTTTTCTTTTCTTATTTGGATGCTTTTTTTCTAGTGCGTGATTGCTCTTGCTATCACTTACAGTGCTATGTTGAATAGGAATGGTGAGAGAGGACATCCTTTTCTTCTGCCAGTTCTCAAGGGGGAAATCTTCCAGCTTTTCCTACTCAGTATGATGTTGACTAAGGTTTTGTCATAGATGGCTGTTATTATTTTGAGTTATGTTCCTTCATTGCTTAGTTTGTTGAGAATTATCATGAAAATATATTAGCTTTTATTGAAAACATTTTATGTATCTATTGGGATGATTGTATGGTTTTTGTTTTTAGTTTTGTGTATATGGTGAATCACATTTATTGATTTGCTTATGTTGAACCAACTTCATATGCAAGAAATAAGGCCTACTTCATTACGGTGAATTAACTTTTTGACGTGCTGCTGGATTCTATTTGCTAGTATTTTGTGGAGGATTTTTGTATCTATATTCATCATGAATATTGGTCTATAGTTTTCTTTTTGTATTGTGTCTTTGCCAGATTTTGCTATCAGGGTAATTCTGGCTTCACAGAATTAGTTAGGGTGGAGTCCCTCCTTCACAATTCTTTAGAACAGTTTCAGCAATATTCTTACCAGCGCTTCTTTGTATGTCTCTATATTTTGGCTGTGAATCCATCTCGTCAAGGGCTTTATTATTTTTGGTAGGTTTTTTATTACTGATTTAATTTCTGAAGTCAATGTTGATATGTTCGGGGTTTCAAGTTCTTTTCAATTCAGTCTTTGCAGGTTGTGTGTTTCCAGGAATTTGTCCATTTCCTCTAGATTTTCTAATTTGTGTGGACAGAGGTGTTCATAATAGTTTCTGAGGATCCTTTATATTTCTGTGAGATCAGTCGTTATTTCTGATTCTGCATGTTTGGGTTTTCTCTCATTTTTTCTGTGTTAATCTAGCTAATGGTTAATTGATCTTGTTTATTTATTCTTTCAGAGAACCCACTTTTGCTTTATTTGATCCTTTGTATGAATTTTTGCCTTTCAATTTTGTTCAGTCTTGCTCCAATTATAGTTATTTGTTTTCTTCTGCTAGCTTTGGGGTTACTTTGTTCTTGTTTTTCAAATTGCTCTAGATCTAGTATTAGATTGTTAAATTGAGGTCTTTCTAACTTCTTGATGTAGGTGTGTTTGCTACTTTTTAGATGTCTATTAGGTCCAATTGCGCAAGTGTTTAATTTAGGTCCAGAGTTTCCTTGTCAGTTTTCTGCCGCAATGATCTGTCCAATTCTGTCAGTGGAATGTTGAAATTCCACACTATTATTATGTGGCTGTGTAAATACTTTTGAAGGTCTAAAAGTACTTGTTTTATGAATCTGGGTCATCCAACGTTTGGTGCATATATATTTAGAATTGTTAAGTCTTCTTGTTGTATCGAATCCTTTATCATTATATATTACATTTCTTTATCTTTTTTTACTCTTGGTTTAAAGTCTGTTTTGGCTGATATAAGAATGGTGACCCCTGATCTTTTTTTATTTTCTGTTTCCATAATAGGACTATGTACGTAAATTTATTTTTGTGGTAGCAAGTATCTTTCTTTCATTTCCGTGTTTAGAACTGCCTTAAGAATCTCTTATGAGGCTGGCGTAGTGGTAATGAATCCCCTTAGCATTCGCTTGTCTGAAAAATATTTTATTTCTCCTTCTCTTTTGAAGCTTATTTTCGGGAGAAATGAAATTCTTGGTTAGAATTTCTTTTCCTTAGGGATGCTGAAAATAGGCCTCTAGTCTCTTCTGGCTGTCAGGTTTCTGCTGAAAAGATCATTGTTAGTCTGATGGGGTTTGCTTTGTATGCGATCTGACCATTTTCTCTAGCTGCCTTTAAGATTTTTTCTTTAGCTTTGACCTTGGACAGTCTGGTATCTATATGCCTTTGTGATGTTTGTTTTGCATTGTATATCACAGGTATTCTCTTAATTTCTTGTGTTTGGATGTCTATCTCTATAGCAAGATAAAATAAATTTTCTTGAATTATTGCCTTAAATATGTTTTCCAGTTTGTTTACTTTTTCTCCTTCTCTCACAGGTATGCCAGTAAGTCTTAAGTTTCATTGTTTTAAAATTTTCAAAAAAATTTTGACTGAATGTGCTAGTTTGAAGAACCAGTTCAAGCTCTGAGTTTTTTCAGTTCCAGAAGCTCTGATGCATTTCTTTTTAAGATGCGTCTCTCTTCCTTCTTTTCCTGAATTGTTGAGAAGTTTCTCTGTGTTGATTTTTAACTGTCTTGGATCTCATTAAGCTTTCTTGCAATCCATGCTTCACATTTTCTGTCATTTTTGAGTTTTCATTTTCTTTAGGGACCACTGCTGCAGAGCTGATGTGATTCTTTGGTGGTGTCACAATATTCAGGTTTTTCATGATGACAGAACTCTTGCCCTTTTTCCTTGTCATCTCGAGACACTGGCACTTCCAATTTATGTAATTATTTTCATGTGTCTTTCTTTCCTTTTTTTGTCTTTCACTTTTCCTCTTTGCCTATGGGGTGTGACTGTAGAGAGTGTTGGGTAGAGTCTTCTGGCTTTGCTTCTACAGTCCTATGCACTTCTGTCAGCAGGTTTTATATTGGACTGTGCAGTTTGACCTATAGGTCAGTAGATGGCGCTTACAGATAAGAACTGGCTATGGCCAATGTGGATGAGTATATACTGGATCTTTTTTTACTGGGAGACTCTGTTGAGAGCCAGCCTCAGGCAATGGGCTGATCCGTGAAGTGAACAGTGGCCTGAGCTCCCTGATAAACCCTGTAGGAAAGGATGAAGATAGGCAGGGCCAGATTAGGTAAGCCTGCCTACAGGTTCCCTGATGGCAGGCACAAGCACCAGCACCAAGAAGGAGATCCAGTGAGTGGCCACCAAGTTTTCAGAAGTGGGCATAGGCATGGAGCTGGGGAAATCTCTGGCTTCAAGTCTCTGCATGAGGGTGGGGCAGCCTAAACTCCTGTTGCAGAAGAATGGGTGTTCCAGATGTCTGGAGATCTTCCTGGGCGTGGAGCATAGAGGGTCCTGCTGCACCACAATCTCTGCACAGGAAGGGTGGGGAGATTCAGGCTGCTAATCCACGTGAGCAGGTGCTCCAATGCTGGAGATATGCCTGGGCATGGAGCAAGGAGGTCCTCACTTCACTATAGTCTCTGCGAAGTGGAGTTCAGACTGCTGATCCAGGTGGGTGGGTGCTCTGAATGCCAAGAGCTTCTTAGCAGACTTTATTACTTTCAGACAGTATAATTACTGTCAGAAATACTATAAATGGCAGGGCATGCTGTGTATTGTGATTCCAGGTGGTGCCTTTTATATGATAGTCTAATTTAGTCTCTATGTTAACGGAATCCCAGGAGTTGTACAGGGCCCTGCTTTCCCAAACTTATATGGCAGCCTTCACACTGTTGAGGTCACTGTGGCCATGATGTTACTTCCAGCTTTCCCATAATTAACTGCTTCCTGCTCCAGGCTCTTTTGTATTTACTGATGTTTTCTAGAGCCACTTTATTCCTATGACTTATTTAGAATCCAGTGTTTGTTCACCACTAAAAATACTCTGTCTTTATGACCAAGAAGAGTAAATGTTGGACAGCAGTGTTAGATATGATGATCACACTGTTTATTTTTGAAGTGTTTGGAGACAAACCTTGATGGAGGCAGAACGAAGAGTAAAAATAATTTGGCCTAAGGATTGCTAACTGTGTAACCTTGGGCAAGATGCTTAAACTCTTTAGAGCCCTTAATTATGTTATATGCAGAATGGAGATAATAATGTATTTGCTTTTCTTTTGGTGAAGATTAAATGAGATAATAGATGTAAAGTGTTTGAATCAGGGTCTAACACTTATTAGCAGTATGTATTAGTTGCTCAAAAGTTATAAGTTGTCTTCTTATCATCCTTTTTATCTTGATTGTTGAAGTTTTTAAGTTTGATACATTAAAGATTTCATGTCTTTTTTGGGTATATTAAGTCTTTTATCATAATGTCATGTTCCTTTCTGTACTTAGTAATTTTTTTTCTTTTCTCTGAAGTCTACTTTATCTGCTATTCATATAGCTATATAGCTTTTTTGTGATTGTTTTCATGGTATATATATTTTTCTTCTATTTACTTTTTACCTACTTATATCAGTATATTTGAAATGAATTTCTTGTAGACAGCAGATAGCTGAGTCATTTTGAACTATATTCTGATAATTTTTTTAATATAAAGCATTTATATTTTAATTGGTGTCTTTAAGCCCTTCATATTTAATGTAATTTTTGATGTCTGGATTTAAGGCTGCCACTTTATTGTTTTGTTTGTCTTGTTTTTGTTTCTCTCTTTCTCTTTTCTTACCTTTCTGTGGGTTACTGAAATAATTTTTAGTGTTACATTTTTCCTTATCTGTAGTGTGCATATATTTCTTTGTATATGTTTTAAAAATATTTTTCTTAGTGATTGCTCTAGATATTACCCTATATTCCAATTTAAAGTTGCACTAAATTATATACATAAAGCTCAAATCAGCCTACTCCAAATCTGCTTCACATTTTCCTCCCATCCTACTGGGCCGTGGGGAGAGATAAGTATACATTCAGTGATATGTATAAGCCTTCTCAAGTAAGTGTGTAAATTATATAATTGAGTGTGTATTTTAAACTAGAAAAATAATGTGTCATTGTAAAAATAAAGGGTAACTCCTTCTTATTTGCCGTTTCCCATTCTTTTTGATACTTATCTATACATATAATCATATGAAAATCCTTCTTTTTTTATTTTTTGCAGACAGGGTGTCATTCTGTCACCCAGGCTGGAGTGCAGTGGCGCAGTCCCGGCTCACTGCAACCTCTGCCTCCTGGATTCAAGCGATTCTCCTGCCTCAGCCTCCCAAGTAGCTAGGATTACTGGCGTGTGCCACCAAGCCAGCTAATTTTTTTTTTTTTTTTTTTTTTTGAGACGGAGTCTCGCCCTGTCACTGGTCTGGAGTGCAGTGGCACGATCTCGGCTCACTGTAACCTCCACCTCCTTGGTTCAAGCGATTCTTTTGCCTCAGCCTCCCAAGTAGCTGGGACTACAGGTGCACGCCACCATGCCCAGCTAATTTTTTTATTTTTAGTAGAGGTGAGGTTTTGCCATGTTGGCCAGGATGGTCTCGATCTCTTGACCTTGTGATCTGCCTGCCTGAGCCTCCCAAAGTGCTGGGATTACAGGTGTGGGCCACCACGTCCAGCCTAAGTAAAATTTTTTATTTGATTTATTTTCAGTGTTCAAGAGCCGGGGCACTGGCAGATTTCATGACCAAATATTAGAACCATGACAACTCAGGAAACCAAGTCTATTTCCTCTTAAGTACCACCTATTTAGAGTCAGAAGGAACCTCCGCTGAATTTTGTAGGAATTATTTCCTTGCTTTAAAAAATACTGTCACAACTTTTTGTGCCTTAGTAAACAAAATAGTCCATTTTTTGCCTGTTTTTGAACTATATACAAATGAAAACATACGTTTATTTTGTATTTTGATGGTTTTGCTCAGTATTATAGCTATGAAATTCATTCATGTGGTTTTGAGTAGATATAAATCAATAGGAAAAAGATACATAGCTCAATAGGAAAATTGGAAAAATACTTAAATGGACATTTCAAAAAGAAGGAAATTCATTGGTTAAAAGTTATATTTAAAAATATACCACCTCATTTGTAATCAGGAACATGCAAATGAAAACTACTATGTAATACATCCACCAGATTAAAAAAAATGGAGCAACACTATGTGTGAGGATGAAAAGCAGTAAGAATTTTTTTTGTGTGTGTGTGGGTAAATTGTGTAATTTCATAGGAAGACTGTCATGTTTACTGTCTGTCCTCTGTGTGGGAGCATCTGTGTGCAGACACAAGCACAGCAGTAGCAGGACTTGTGAAGCCTGTGGCCATGTACTTACCCCTTTCTCTAAGGAAGATGTAAGGACTTCAAAATAAGCTCATTTTATTATTGTTATTATTATGCTTTAAGTTCTGGGATACATGTGCAGAATGCACAGGCTTGTTACATAGGTATACACATGCCATGGTGGTTTGCTGCACCCATTAACCTGTCATCTACATTAGGTATTAAGAGCAGTAAGAATTTTTATATACTACTGATACGTGCAAAATTCAGTACAACCGTTTTGGAAAATCCCCCTGGCATAATGCTGGGTAATATACCAGAAATTCCTCTCTTCTGTATATAATATAGAAACACTGGGGTATATGTAAATCAAGATTCTTGTGCAAGAATATTTGTAATAATATTTTTCACAGTTGCTCCAAATGGGAAGGAACTGGATAAATCAATTGTAGTAGATTCATAAATACAAAACCATATGGCAACAAAAATAAGCAAGCTACATCCACTTTAGATTTCTGTGAATCAAATTTATTGCTTTCTTATCCATTTCATCAGTTTTCTACTGTAGTGACATTTTGGAAACTTACTTGAACTAACATAAACTATAGAAATTTTTTATTTTGCATATTTTGAACCTGATGGTTTACCATATATATACTAACTTCTTAAATCAAGTATTTTATGGCATTTGTTTCAGCTTGAAGAACAAAGCAAAGTAGAAAAATGTAGTGCTAGGTTCATTGGCTCTCACCAGGTCAGCACAGTGCAATCCTGCCTGACATGCACTATGACCTATTTGCCTTTGCAAAAGGTCACTGGGAATTTCAGAAAACAAAATGCAGGCAGAGATCAAACTAGTAGGAAGAATTCAATGGAAAGGGAGAACACCAGCCAATTTGGCATTATGTTGAGAAGCTATACCTATACCTTTTTTTTTTTTAAACTTGTGATAGGGCATAAAAGCTGGTGAATGGGTTTTAAACTCTTAGAATCTCCCTCTCTCTTTCTTTTTCTTTCTTTCTTCTTCTTTTTTTTTTTTAACCATGAAGAGTTGAGGAGGAATGGGGATAAGGTAAGTGCTCCCTCCCTAGCCCCCCAAAATCCTGGTGGAGCACTAAGCATTCTACAGCTGGTTTATACTTAGAAGATTTCATGCAAAGCTTATGGAAAGTAACCTGATATTACACCACAGCTTTCTTCAACATCAGTCTGCAACTGTTCCAACAGCAGTGCATGTTTTCAGGGATGATTTTATGTAACTAGGCATTGCTGTCTGGCAAAGCTCTGACATGATGCCTCCTCAAGTTAGTTCTAACTAATTAGTGTTAGAGATAGTAATAGGAGCAATTTGCTCACCTGCTTTTGATAACATTTGCCAAGTTTTCTAGGCATAAGTACCAGACTTAAATGGCAGCATACCAGGATTATAGGCATATTGGAGAATTTCAATTATATTTCCAAGGGAGAATTTGGCTTTCAAACTCAAGCTTCCATTTGTCTCAAAGTATAAAATCACTGCACTGCATAGTAAATTTGTTGTAGTGCCTTTTGAAACGGAGGAAATTCAGACTATTAAATGAAGATTCACAGAAGTGTCTACTAAGTGATGCCCCAATAACTGTCTGCCTGATTTTATACCCTCTCCTTTGCTTGATCCAAGGTCCACTCCTCAGCCTGCTTGACTGAGACATCTGTAGCTAATCTGAGTTCACTTAGCACTCCCCTTCTGGAGTGGAGGGTTTAACATTAGTTTACCAAGTCTGATCTTAACACTTGTGGATAAGTCTCCTGCAATATGGACCAAGGTTATTTAGGTCCTGAGTGCTTGCTCAGTGTTGGATTTTAGGTCACCATATCCTCATCAGTCACTGGGTCTTCACTTTTCCCATCTGTAAAATGAAGAAATGGGACTACATGGCTCTTACATCTAGATTGGTTAACTTAGACCTGAGCTTGTTTTTGGACATGAGGCTTTTTCTTTCTTTCTTTCTTTTTTTTGATAGAGTTTCACTCTTGTCGCCCAGGCTGGAGTGCAATGGCACAATCTCGGCTCGGCACAATCTCGGCTCAGTGCAATCTTGGCTCAGTGCAATCTTGGCTCACTGCAACCTCTGCCTCCGGGTTCAAGGAATTCTCCTGCGGCAGCCTCCTGAGTAGCTGGGATTACAGGCATGCACCACCGTGCCCAGCTAATTTTGTATTTTTAGTAGAGACAGGGTCTCTCCATGTTGGTCAGGCTGGTCTTGAACTCCCGACCTCAGGTGATCTGCTGGCCTCGGCCTCCCAAAGCGCTGGGATTACAGGCCTGAGCCACCGTGCCCGGCCCTGACATGAGGCTCTTTACTCCTGTCTTTACGACGCTAAGTTCTTCCATTCAGACTGAGACTCCTCAGTCTGGAAAAATACTCTAAAGAGCAAAATCCCCTAATATTCTGCCTTATCTTGGTGAAACATTTCATTTCATAAAGATCTAGCAAGTCTTGCATTAGAGTATATCCTGAATATTCACAAAGACAGCTAACACGGACAACAGTTTAAAATGTTACTTTATATTTTTAAGATTGGGAGTTCCTAACTTTAGGCCCATGGACTGTGAAATTTGTGTCTGTGTATATGTGTATGCACACATTTTTAAATTGTCTTTTGGAAAAGAGTGTCTGGTGCTTTTGTCAGTGTCTTTACTGAAAGACTTGAGAACCTCTGAATTGAGGTGTGAGTTTTTTGCATATTAGAAAGGCAAACGTTTAGACACAGTTTCTAAATTTAGTTAATGAACTGTATATTGAGCATATGGAGGCATATGTTAAGCAAAAATCTTCCTACTTTCTTTTCAAACTTCAGTATTTTAATTTTAATGTAGCAAATATTTTCATGATTGAATTTATTTCCCATCAATATTGGTTTCTATCTCCACTCCATTTTCCTTCCCGGCCTTACCTCTTTCTTTCTCTTCCCCATTGTTTCTTTGACCTTCTTTATTCTTTTCTTCTTATTGTATTCCCTCTCTCTCCTCCCTATCCAGTTTTCTTTTCTATATCTCTTGTCTCAAATGGTTTTACAGCAGAAATGACACGTTCTTCACTATTGTATTCTCAGTCCCCAGGAGACTTCCTGGTATACAGTATTATGCCATTTAGTAAATAAATATATGAGTGAGGCATCCACAATGGATGCTGTTCTTATTCTATCAATTATGAGACAATCAGATTGAATCTAGGAGAGTGTTGCAAGTGTTTTTCAAGAAGGGTTCTGAGTGATCTGTGGATCAAGAAAGTAAGATTTGCTAAAAGTCTTTCCACATATGAGAAAATCCCCTGGGTTTTGAGATGTTTATTTTGGTAGGCAGTTTCCAAGATGGCCTCTAATGGCTTCTGCCTGGTATTCACACCCTTTTGAACCCCTTCCCATTGTATCTAATGGTCTCTGTCTAAAAGTCACACCCTGTTGTGACCCCTTCCCATTGTATCAGCATCAGACTATGTGACCAATAGTGTATAGGAGAATGATGGTATGTCATTTCTGCAATAAGTAACTAATACAGTTGTTGAATGACATGTTTGGGTGGTGACAGACAAGTTAATGATCTGATATTAGCTCATAAAGCTGAAGAACATCTACTTTTGCTTTTGCTGATTAATACTCAGGTTGGGGCAGTCACAAATCTTACAACTATGTTATGACCTTGAGGAAATAACTTTCCTCTTTGGAATTTCATTTTATCATATGTATAATGAAAAACATAGACATTCTAATACTATGTAATTTTTCTAGTATAGTGTATGTGGAATTTATTAGTTTTTTGGTTGAAAACCTGAATTACTGGAAAAAAGGAGCACCTTCTTTAATAGATATTACATTCATTGATGTTGACTCTGAATTTTAAGTTTGGATTAATGTGCTTTGAGAACTTCATATTGAGAGTCTGATATCTTTTGCTGATATTTTTGACGGGTGAAATTATTTTGTTTAAAACAGTAAAGAAAAGAGGGGAAAAAAGAAAAATGGCATAGGGTTGTTCACACCATTTTATGAGATTATGTGGCATGACTTTTAAATTTTTTTAAATTTCAGTAGGATTTTGGGGAACAGGTGGTATTTGGTTACATGAATAAGTTCTTTAGTGGTGACTTCTGTGATTTTGGTGCACCCATAATGCAAGCAGTGTACACTGTACCCAATGTGTAGTCTTTTATTCCTCACCCTACTCCCACCCTTTCCCTGAGTTCCCAAAGTCCAGTGTATCATTCTTATACCTTTGCATCCTTATAGCTTAGCTCCCACATGAGTGAGACTATACAATGTTTGGTTTTCCATTTCTGAGTTACTTCATTTAGAATAATAGTCTCCAATTTTATCCAGTTTGCTGCAAATGCCATTATTTCTTTTGCTGTGCAGAAGCTTTTTGGTTTAATTAAGTCCCATCTATTTATCTTTGTTTGTTACATTTGCTTTTGGTTTCTTGATCATGAAGTCTTTGCCTAAGCCAGTGTCTAAAAGGGTTTTTCCAATGTTATCTTCTAGAATTTTTATGGTTTCAGGTCTCAGATTTAAGTTTTTGATCCATCTTTCGTTGATTTTTGTTGCATAAGGTGAGAGATGAAGATCAAGATTCCTTCTTTGTGTGGCTTGCCAATTATCTCAGCACCATTTGTTGAATAGGGTATCATTTTCCCACTTTATGTTTCTGTTTGTTTTGCCAAAGATCAGTTGGCTGTAAGTATTTGGCTTTATTTCTTGTTTTCTCCTCTATTCTGTTCCATTGGTCAATGTGCCTATTTTTATACCAGTACCATGCTGTTTTGGTAACTATAGCCTGGTACTATAGTTTGAAGTTGAGCAATGGGAGGTCTCCTTTTTTTTTTCTTTTTGCTTAGTCTTGCTTTGACTATGTGGGCTCTTTTTTGGTTCCATATGAATTTTAGGATTTTTTTCTAGCTCTGTGAAGAATGATGGTGGTATTTTGATGGGAATTGCATTGAATTTGTAGATTGCACTTGGCAGTATGGTCATTTTCACAATATTCATTCTACCCATCCCTGAGCATGGATTCTGTTTCCATTTGTTTGTGTCATCTGTGATTTCATTCAGCAATGATTTGCAGTTTTCCTTGTAGAGATTTTTGACCTCCTTCACTAGGTATATTCCTAAGTATTTTATTTTATTTTTTGCTATTGTAAAAGGGGTTGAGTTCTTGATTTGATTCTCAGCTTGTTTGCTGTTGGTGTATAGTAGAGCTACTGATTTATCTACATTAATTTTGTATCCTGAAACTTTGCTGAATTCATCTACCAGCTTTAGGAGCTTATTACATGAGTCTTTATGGTTTTCTAGGTATAAAATCATATCATAAACAAGCAGCGACAGTTTAACTTCTTTTTTGCCAATTTGATTGCCCTTTATTTCTTTCTCTTGCCTGATTGTTCTGACTAGGACTTCCAGTACTATGTTGAAAAGACGTGGTAAAAATGGGCGTCCTTGTCTTGATTCATTTCTCAGGGGTAATGCTTTCAACTTCTCCCCGTTCAGTATAATGTTGGCTGTGGGTTTGTCATAGATGGTTTTTATTACCTTAAGATATGTCCATTCTATGCCAGTTTTGCTAAGGGTTTTTACCATACAGGGATGCTGGAATTTGTTAAATGCTTTTTCTGCATCTATTGAGATGATCTTGTGATTTTTGTTTTTAATTCCGTTTATGTGGTGTATCACATTTATTAACTTGTGGATGTTAAATCATACCTGCATCCCTGGTATGAAAGCCACTTGATCATGGTGGATTATCTTTTTGGTATGCTGTTGGATTCGGTTAGCTAGTATTTTGTGCTCTTTCAGACTTTTTGATGTAGACATTTAATACTATGAACTTTCCTCTTAGCATTGCTTTTGCTGTATCCCAGAGGTTTTGATAGGTTGTGTCATCATTATCATTCAATTCAAAGAATTTTTAAATTTCCATCTTGATTTCATTGTTTTCTCAATGAATATTCAGGAGCAGGTTATTTAATTTCCATGTATTTGCTTGGTTTTGAGGATTCCTTTTGGAGTTAATTTCCAATTTTATTCTACTGTGGTCTGAAAGAGTACTTGATATAATTTTGATTTTTCTTAAATTTACTGAGACTTGTTTTGTGCCCCATCATATGGTCTATCTTGGAGAATGCCCCATGTGCTGATGAATAGACTGTATAATCTTCAGTCGTTGAGTAGAATGTTCTGTAAATATCTGTTAGGTCAATTTGTTGTAGGGTATAGTTTAAAAAAGTCCATTGTTTCTTTGTTGACTTTCTACCTTGATGACCTGTCTAGTGCTGTCAGTGGAGTATTAAATTCTCCCACTATTATTCTGTTGCCATCTATCTCATTTCTTAGATCCAGTAGTAATTGCTTTATAAACTTGGGAGCTCCACTGTTGATGCATATATATTTAGAATTGCGATATTTTACTGTTGGACTAGTCCTTTTATTATTATATAATGTCCTTCTTTTTCTCTTTTAAAGTGTTGTTGCTTTAAAGTTTGTTTTGTCTGATATAAGAATAGTTACTCCTGCTCACTTTTGGTGTCCATTTGCGTGGAATATCTTTTTCTACCCCTTCGCCTTAAGTTTATGTGAGTCCTTATGTATTAGGTGGGTGTCCTGAATACAGTAGAAACTTGGTTGATGAATTCTTATCTATCCTGCCATTCTGTATCATTTAAGTGGAGCATGTAGGCTATTTACATTCAACATTAGTATTGAGATATGAGGTACTAGTCTATTCATCATGCTATTTGTTGCTTGAATACTATTTTTTAATTGTGTTATTGTTATATAGGTCCTGTGAGATTTATCCTTTGAGGAAGTTCTATTTTGGTGTATTTTGAGGATTTGTTTCAAAATTTAGAATCTTTTAGCCATTCTTGTAATGCCAACTTGATAGTGGTGAATTCTCTCAGCATTTGTTTGTCTCAAAAAGACTGTATCTTATCTTCACTTATGAAGCTTAGTTTTGCTAGATACAAAATTTTTGCTGATCATTGTTTTGTTTAAAGGGGCTAAAAATAGGACCCCAAACCATTCTAGCTTGTAGGGTTTCTGCTGAGAAATCTGCTGTTACTCTGATAGGTTTTCCTTTATAGGTTACCTGGTGCTTTTGCTCATAGCTCTTAAGAATCTTTCCTTTGTCGTTACTTTAGATAACTTGATGACTATATGCCTAGGTGATATTCTTTCTGTAGTGAATTTCCCAGGTGTTCTTTGAGCTTCTTGTATTTGGATATCTACATCTCTAGCAGGGCCAGAGAAGTTTTCCTTGATTATTCCCTCAAATATGGTTTCTAGACTTTTGGATTTCTCTTCTTCCTCAGGAACACCAATTATTCTTAGGTTTGGACACTTAACCTAGTCCCAAACTTCTTAGAAGCTTTGTTCATTTTGTAATTTCTTTTTTCTTTGTCTTTGATGAATTTGATTAATTCAAAAGCCTCATCTTCAAGCTCTGAAGTTTTTTCTTCTGCTTGTCCAGTTATAGTCCTGAGACTTTCCAGTGCATTTTGCATTTTTCTAAGTATGTCCTTGATTTCAAGAAGTTGTGATAGTTTTTTATTTATGCTCTCTATTTCACTGAAGAATTTTTCTTTCATATCCTGTGTCATGTTTTTGATTTCTTTAAGTTGGAGTTCACCTTTCTCTGGTGCCTCCTTGATTAGCTTAATACTTGACTTTCTGAATTCTTTTTCTGGCAGTTCAGAGATTTCATCTTGGTTTGGATCCATTGCTGGTGAGCTGGTGTGATCTTTAATAGTGTTTAATAATCTTGTTTTTTCATATTACCAGAATTGCTTTCCTAGTTCCTTCTTATTTGGGTAGACTATATCAGAGGGAAGATCTGGGACTCAAGGGCTGCTGTTCAGATTCTTTTGTCCCACATAGTATTCCCTTGATATGGTGTTCTCCCCCTTCCCCTAGGGATGGGGCTTTCTGGGAGCTGAACTGCAGCAGTTGTTTTTGCTCTTCTGAGTCTAACCACCCAGCAGAGCTACTGGGCCCTGGGCTGGTACTGGGGAGTGTCTGCAAAGAGTCCTGTGATGTGATCCATCTTCAGGTCTTTCAGCCATAGATACCAGCACCTGCTCCAGTGGGGGCAGAAGGGGAGTGAAGTGGACTCTGTGAGGGACCTTGGTTGTATTTTTGTTTAGTGCACTGGTTTTGTTTTGGTTGGCCTACAGCCAGGAGGTGGGACTTTCAGGAGTGCATCAGCTATGGTATTATAGGGATGAAGCAAACTTGCCCTAGGCTTGCCTGGTTATATATTCAGGTTTCTTAGGCAGTGGGCAGGGCCATAGAACTTCCAAGAGATTATGTCCTTTGTCTTCAGCAACCAGGGTGGGTAGAGAAAGACCACTGTGTGGGGGCAGGGATAGGTGTGTCTGAGGTCAGACTCTCCTTGGGCAGGGCTTGCTGCAGCTGCTGTGGGGAATTGGGGTGTGGTTCCCAGTCCAGTGGAATTAGGTTCCCAGGTAGATTATGGCTGCCTCTGCCAAGTCGCCAGGGAAGTAGGTGAAAGCAGGCAGTCACAGTCCTCACCCTGATCCCATGCAGCCCGTAGTCCTAAAGGCCGGTCTCACTCCCACTGTGTCCCCACAACAGCACTCAGTCTATTTACAGGCAGCTGGTGACCAGGGCTGATAACTTGCCCCAGACCATCAGCCTCCCTTCTGAGAAAGCAAGCCAACTCAGTTTTTTGGCATCTCAGGGAGGCTGCAGCAGGGATCCACTTCCTTCAAAGAGTCTGTGGATTCTCTTAGCTTTCATGGTATGTTGCTGTGGTAGTTCTCAGAGCAAAAGTTCACTATGTGAGTCTCCACATGCTGCTCTGTCTGTCTGAGTAGGAGCTGCAAGGTCGTCCTGCCTTCTGTCTGCCATCTTCCCCTCAATAAATTACCTATAACTTTTTATTCTACCTATATCTAAGTGTGTATCTTTTTCTGTATCTGATTTTATAGCTATATATGGACATCTAGTCTGTCCTTAGATATCCCATCCACTTATAATATCATTATTATGATTGCGAGAGATTTCTTGTAAACTTTAGTAGGCAATCTTTGTTATATGGATATCTGTTAATCTATATATTTTAGGAAGCTTCACCAGAGTGAAGCATTCATCTACTACTTACAGAAAACAAATCAAAATAAGCATAACTTGCAACATCATTTTTTAAGACTTGAAAAGCATTATCAGTAAATGATACTGTTGTCATGGAATGTGTGCAGTGTAAATGCATTTTGTGCCAGCCATACATTAGACTCTCACAAGGGCAAGGGAAATTGAAACTGTCTTTCTAATGGATCATAAATCTTGAAAATGATTTGAATTCATGGATTAAATGTCAGCTTTGGAAGCATTTGCTGATTTATCTTGGATCTTAAAAGAAAGAACATTTCTATGACAAATCAAATTAGTACATTTTCATATTCTGGATTATAGTTTTCCAGAATGATATTCTTCAAAGAAATAATATGACATGTTAATATTTTCCCTGTTAGAAGATGATGATGATGACGACGATGATGTTGATGAAGCTTCTCTTTGTTAATTAGAAGACCCTTGGAGACTAGACTATTTATGAAGCTAAGTGTTGAATTAGAATATAGAGATTATAATTTAAATAATGGATTGCACCTCAGAAACACCAAATTGAATCAGTTAGTGAGTGGCTGACTTAGTGGCACCAGTGTGATTGAAGTAAAATCAGAGATTTTGTGTAATTTCTTTAGTGTTTCTCTCCTCTACTTACCATTCCTATGAAGGAAATTATGACTACTTTTTTGACTTGGGATGACTTTGGCAACTTTAATGTTTCTCTTTTTGTCCAAGTTCAAATTATAAGCATTCTCTGAAAACAGCAGCTTCCCTTTCGGTCCAGGAAATTGCTCTAGGCCTGGCCTCTCATCCTTTCATTCAAAATCTTTAACTTTCTTCTTCACACATTTATACCATCTCTTCTCTGAGTCTCCACAGACTGATAATGTTTTCCCTGGGTGATGGTCATGGTTTCTTTATCCCAAAGATAAAGAAATATGAAATACAAGGAGTATTTTATACTCCTTGATTCCCACTTTGTAGTCTGAGGAAAAGTTATGCCCCATCCATGTCTGACACTTACTCAGATACCTTCTGAGCCAAAACCCAGTGCCCTCCTCTACAGCTTAAATAAGAGGATAGGCTGAGCTAATGGGTTTGTTCCATGACCAAATGGCTATCATGCCATTTTAGGAAAACTTAGGGGATGATACACATTTCCTTCAGTACTTGGGATTTTAGAAACAGTCCAAGTCTTGGTGATAACCTATTATAAAAGTTGTTAGTGTTTGTAACATAGGTTTAGGCTCATTAAGTTAGATGCTCTGTGGAGTTTTAAAGAAAAGAGGTGAATTGTGTCTTAAATTGATTGTAAAAGACCATATTGAGATGTATGACACATGACACTTTGGCCAGACTTTCATGGTTAATCAGGTGTAATCGGCTTTCTGCCCTTCAGTAGAATACTCTAGCTTTTATGCTTTCAGAGGTAGTAGTTTCTGTTGCTTTTTTGTCAAGAGTATCATAACTTTCACATGTAGGACCACTTGATGACAGTAATATTATTTTACCTTCCTCTACATAGGGAGACATGATAATGACCTCTATCTTTATCAAGCCAGAATGGCACCGCTAAGTCAGGCTTATAATTGCTGGTTCTCATCTTTTTAGTGGAGAAACATTGAGCTACATAGATTTTGCTGTCCCTGATATCTGAGCTTATTTCTTCATCTTTAGAAAATTGTGAACTTGCATTATTTCCTTGGTTCACATGAAGATTAGACCATCGTGATTAAATTTCCTATGTGCCTGTATTGTTACAGCATCTCTCTGTTATTTGATATTCTGTCAATTGGAACTCTTTTTCTGATGGAAATGAGATATTATTTATTTATACAGTTTATTAGGGTCTAGTTGATATACAAAAATGGTGCACATTCAATGTATACAAGTTGATGAGTTTGGACATATACATACACCTTTAAAACTATCATTACAATCAGGGTAATCAACATACACAACGCCTCCCAAAGTTTTCTTGTGCCCTTTTGTTTTAAGAACTATTTACTAACTGGCATTTCTCCTCTAATGTGGAGCAGACTGACTGATTTACAGAGTATTTATTATACCTAGTTTTTTCTGTCTTGGTGTCACATCACCTCTTATCACTACTGCATTCATTCATTCATTCATTCATAACTACATATCAAACATCTACAATACCCCAGGCACCATTCTAAGTTCTGGGAATACAATAGCGAGCGAAACAGATGAAACCACCTGCTATCATGACGCTTACAGTGGCAGCTGCAACTCGTTCAATGTAACCTCTGCTCCTGCCCTTTTTTTCTTTTGACCTAAGAGTTTCAATCTCAAGCTCTTCCTATAAATGCTTACGTCTATTGCTAGAGTCTCTACGAGATTGTCTCTCTTCCACCAGCCAGGCTCTACCATAAAGGACATTAAGTGTAGGTTCCTAAACTGCCATGAATATGGAAGACATGTTCTTGGTGTTTCAGTTTATCAATTTGAAATACACTTGCTAGATAGAAGCATTAAAACAATATAAAAAAAATGATGAGGGTCCCTAGTATTATTAGTATGTTTCTTCAGCTACATTATGGGTTAAAAATATTTGTTTGAACTGCCCTGTGCCCTAAGCACTGTTTTTACAAATGCATCCCTGGTTTCCAACCAGATATTTTTCAGACAGATTGGTGGAACCTGAGTTGTCAGCTGGAAATTTCTTGTGCAATCATAATTCAAGATTGTAATGATGACCTTGGAGCTCTTTAACATGCAAACATGGCTTTTGAATGAAAAAGGAATGATTACCTTTTCTTTCATCTATTTTTAGATTTATTTTTCTATATTGTATTTCTTTAAAGAGTGATAATCTTCTATACAGGATAGATAGAATAACTCAATTGATCACTCCCCACTAAAGCCTCTATCATTTGACCAGATAAGATAACAAAAAGTTTACTATACTCAAGAGTCTCCTTTGGTAAAATAGAAACCTATGATTCTAGGTTATCTTTGAGACCTGGGGAAAGTAACAGAGATGAATTGTTTCATCTTCCTGTCTGAACACCCTCTCGAGAAAAAAATACTTTTTGAAAAATGAGATAAAATGGTGTCTAGTGAGTCATGATTTCAGGTTAGTGCAAGTCCAAAGCACTCAGGAGGGTCTACTTTGTGTGTCTCAATTAACAGTACACATTCATAGGACTCCTTCAGTTCCCTGAGTGTAGTCAAATTATCTGTTACCTAATCTGTTCAGTGGCCTCATCAGGCCACACAGGAGGGGAAGGAGGCACAGCTGGCTCAAGAGCAGCACCTGGGCATCATGGGAAGCTTCCAGCTACTGAGCTCAAGCCACTGATGCCTCTCTTCTGCCTTTTCATTGCTGTCTGTGTTTAGACTGTGGGAATCTATGTAGAGAATATGCATTGAGGATCATGGACCTTATGAATGAAAAGGGGTTGATGGTGAAACTTGGACTTCAGGAGCCACTTCTTTGTTTTTGCTAAGCTTTCCTGGGCAAAAGCTCTGGAGAGAAACAAAGGAAGGAGGGACTGGCAGGGTTGAAGTCCCTTTTACTTAGACTATTGCTTGTTCTCTGTTTCTCATTGCAGGCTGCAGTCTGGTGTGTAATCTGAAACAGAAAAGTTACAGATCTTCTGTTAGGGCACCTTGAAGTGGACATTAGGCTTGGATAAAAGAAGCTGTGGTTCTTGTGTAGAAGCAGAAAATCTGGAGTCAGGTTCTGAGCAATTTTACTTCTAAAAATTTATCCTAAGGAAATAATGCTGGTGGGGATTATGACTTATCTGTCAATCTGTAGAAATACTGCCAAGGTCTGAAATAGAGTGCAATGGTTATGTGTATGCTCTGGAACAGAAATGTCTTAAGTTCAAGTTTTAGCTCTGTAGTTTACTGAATGTGTGACCTCGACCATATTGTTTAACTTCTTTTCGTCTGAGTTTACTTCGTTTCTAAAGGGAAGATTTTCATTGTATCCATTTCATAGGATTTGGGTACACATTAAATTAGTTGAAAGTTGTAAATTGCTTACCACAATGCATTCCACATAAACTGAATAAACATTAGCTGTTATTATTATCAGGTGGTTTATCACAGCATCGTTTATAAGAATAAAAAATTGAAATGACATAAATATCTATTTTAAGAGACTAAAGAAACCATTATATAATGATTCTTCCATGTAATGTGAGACTTTACAGCTATTAAAGCTGATGTTTATAAGACTCTTTAATGGCATGGAAAAATATTGCTTAATGGAAAAAAACAAGTTACAGATGTTATTCTTAGGGCAATTCCATTTGTTAAACATATTATGTAGATACATACAGAAAAAGAAGATAGTATACACACACAGTGTTAGCCATACGATCACAGATGACTTTTTTTTTGTCCTTAGTTTTGTTTTCTATCATAAACAAGTGTTAAATTTGCAATCAGAGAAAAGCGTATATATTTTATTAGGGCAACAACAATTTGGTTTCAGTAATTTAATCTTTCTGTTTATAAAATGGGAATAAAAGTAATTCCCATGTCATAAGATTGTTGTCAGAGTTTTCAACACATTGGTTCTTCTTCACCGTGGCCTGCTGGGCCACCTGATAGAATGAGCCCAGTAATCATCTTTCAGCACATTCTCCTGACTGATGTGCTTCATATCATTTCTCCCTCTCTGAAATTAAGCTTGTTTATTTGTATTTTTTTTTCTTTTTATCTTTTCTCTCTGAAATGAAAACTCCCTATCTAGGGGACCTTATCAGTCTTGTTCACAGCTGAAGTGCTTAGAATATTGCTTGGTAGCTCAGGTATTCAATAAATAATTGTTGAATGAATAATGAATATCAATAAGTTTTGCAAAGTGCTCTAGAAAAATGTTAACTGCTGTTATTAGAAACAGTGATATAGTTCACTCCGAATCCCTAAAAAACCAACTAGATCAAAAAGCTGTTCTCCAGTGCAGTGACTATATAAAATGCCATATCAGGAGCTAGCACTTAGACTGGCTTACTACATGCCTGGCCACGTTCTCAGGAATAAAATGGTTATCTAGTTTAACTACTTGCCTTGTTATCTTGTGTAATCCTCAGAGCAATAATATGAGGTCTGTTACTTCCTTGTTTACAAATTCTGCAGTTTTGCAAAAAAAGGTAAAAAGCATAAGGAAGTCAAATAACTTGCTCAAGTTCACACAACTAATAGAACACAGATTAGGATTGACACCCAGGGAATCTGGCTCTTATTTTGTGCTTGTAATCACTACCCTATAATACAAATGCCAAGGATCTCTAAAAATTATCTGTACGTGGAATTATGCATACATTTGTGTATGCAGACTCAAGTACTCAGGTGATTGCCAGTTCAGAGTCAGGTCAAGTTGTTTAGTAATATCAAAAGAGAAACAGAAATTGTAAAAATTTAAAATGTTAAAAATAAAAAGAATAAATCAATAAACCAAACTGAATTCTATAGTATTTTATGCTTAAAAGCAGCTTTCATATAGTATCTCTTTTTATTGATCTCAGATGTCTTGAATTCAAAGCTAATCTTGGAAATATTTTATATTCAAAGGTTAATGGCCTAAATATGTAAAGGGCACTTAAAAATCAACAGAAAATTACTAATAATCTAAAACGAAAAATGAAATGGGTATACTGAAACAGAAAATAAGAAATGCAAATGACTTTTAAATACATGAGGAAATGTTTATGTTTACTATTAGTCAAAAAATTAAGGCAAATTAATACAAGACTGCCATTGTTGTCAAACAAATTGCTGAGCTTTACAAAAAGTGTAATTTTTGGCCAGGCGTGGTGGGTCACGCTTGTAATCCCAGCACTTTGGGAGGCGGAGGTGGGGAAATCATGAGGTCAGGAGTTCAGGATCAGCCTGACCAACATGGTGAAACTCCATCTCTACTAAAAACACAAAAAATTAGCCAGTTGTGGTGGTGCACGCCTGTAATCCCAGCTACTCAGGAGGCTGAGGCAGGAGAATGGCTTGAAGCTAGGAGTCAGAGGTTGCAGTGAGCGGAGATTGCACCATTGCACTCCAGCCTGGGCAACACAGCAAGACTCCATCAAAAAAAACAAAAGAAAAAAAATATATAATTTTTTATGCTGGCAGGGACTAAGGAAATGGTAGTCTCATAAATGCCTAGGGGTATAAATTAGGATAAACTTCATGGCAACTAATTTGTCTCATTATTTTAAGAATCCTAAAACATCCATATACTATGCCTCATTAGTTTTTCTTTGAGCAAATAATCAGAGATGCATAAAGTATTTTTACTCATCCGAGTTTTATTTATAATTATTTACAAATGAAAGAGAGAGAGCTCTCGACCAGCAAATTAACTGAGAAATAATTGAATAAATAATTGTATATATTTAAAAATATTTTCAATCTACTGGAATAGTGCTTACGATTAAAAGCTGTGTGAAGAAAAAAAGCAGGGACTTAAATACCAAAATCATATTAAAATGCATACGCATGAATGAAAAAAGTATGGATGGATTTTCAACAAAGCAACCACTTTAGTTTCTTCTGAATACAAGATTGTCTGCTTTTACTTTTATTCTTTATGTTGTTTTTTCTGTATTTCCTATTGTTTTAAACAATGATCAGAAAAATAAGCATTATTAAAAATAAATGTACAGCCCCAAAAAATAGCATAAGTTACTGATTTTCCTCAGCACAAAGTCCATTTTAACAATAGCTTTGTACCAAGCAGTAGAACTCATGTAAACACAGATTTAAAGACATTAAACCTTGAGATGTCTGTCAATTAAAAGGGAAAATAATGTTAAAGAGAGTATGAAAAACAGCATGGAAGTTCCTCAAAAAGTTAAAAAAAAAAAAAAAAGGAACTACCATACAATCCAGTAATCCCACTCCTGGTTATATATCCAAAATAAATAAAACAAGTAGCTTGAAAAGATGTCTGCATTTCCATGTTCATTTCAGCTTCATTCATAATAGCCAAGACAGAGAAATGACCCAAATGACCATTGATGAATGAATAGATAAAGAAATTGTGGTATATTTATACCATCGAATATTATTCAGCCATAAAAAGGACTAAAATCCTGTAATTTGCAGCAACATGGATAAACATTGAGGGCATTATGCTAAGTGAAATAAGTCAGACAGGGAACGACAAATATTACATGATTTCACTTACATGTGGAGTCTGAAAAAGTCAAACTCACAGAAGCAGAGAGTTGAAAAGTTATTGCCAAAGGCTGGAGGTTGGGGGAAATGAAGATGCGTTGATCAAAGAATACAAACTTACAGTTATAAGATAAATGAATTGTGGGGATCTAATGTATAGCATGGGTGGTGATAGATGCGTTAATTTGATTGTGATAATAATTATATATGTATATCAAATTGCATTGTACACCTTGAATATATATAATGTTTGTCACTTAAATACTAAAATGCAAAAATAAAAAAGTTTAGTAATTCAAGACTGAAAAATGACAGTCAAATTCAAGCATTCCAAATGTACTTAGAATTTTATGAAAGTGTTATAGCAAAAATAAAAGAACAAAAACAAAGAAATAAAGTCTTTCTGGAATCTGCAGAGGATTTTTTCATGTAGTTAGATACCATATAGTCACTGTATTGGGGTGGTTGGGGGGGGAGTCTTTTCAGTCTATTATTAAATGTCTTTTCTGCCTCATTGCTTTCTTTTTAAAGCTTCATTGCTTTTATCCCAGTTTTAAACACCATTGTTACCTCTGTTCTGCCAAAAGTTAATGCACCATTTATATACAGTCCCTTCCTAGGGCCTGCCATTCATCTTAACTATATAGCTCACACATGCAAGCATGTGAGTAGATGGCCCATCCACCTGCACAGGTTTCATTCAGTTCATCACATATTTCTTTCTGATCTTTGAGTAGGGGCTATCTGGTTCTGCTCCCAAGGTACTGGCTTTTCATTTTCTGTTTTCCCTTTTTAAATCATTTGTGCCTATTCCTTGTTTTAATTGGTTACTACTATGTTAAAAATCATTTGGCAGCTGGGATAGGAAGAATAAATCTCTCGATTTTGTCCTAACTGATTTTTATATCAGCTAGGGTAGGTTAAGTTATACTATGGTAACAAACGATTCCCAAATCTCAGTGGCTTAAAACAAGGTTTATTCTTGCTTATACTTCATGTCTACTGTAGATTAGCAAGGGCCTCTGCTCACATCATCTTTTAACTCTAAACCCTGGTACACAGAGCAGCCATCATTTGGAATATGGCTACTTGCTCTGGCAGAGGAAGTAGGCACCCCACACTAGCAATTAAGTGCTCTGGCCATGAATCGACACATCTCAGCTCTGCTCATACCTTGATATTCAGAACTAGTGCCATCACTCCACCCAGCAACTGAGGGTTGGGGCCAAAAATAGCACAGAAAGTAGAGAGCTGAGAATAGCTAGGAAGCAGAATCTATAGCTACTTACTTCTTTCTCTAAAACGAAATATTTTTGAGACTTTGCTTTGAGTGATTCTTGAGAGCCAATTGCCCCTATTTAAACACATGTGTGCATATCAGATTTTAACAAAACCAGCGAGCATTTTGATCATCTCCTGGGTGTCAGATACTGTACTGGGTGCTGGTGACACACAAGTGAATATAATGAAACACAGCTTCAAAAACCAACCAGTCTCGTTGGGAAAAAGAAGCATCAAACTGAGTAACTATAAAGCCACCTATATCAAGTGCTTTAAAAGAGGTATGAACCAAATTGCATGGAAGCACAAAGTACAATGGAACCCATGTAAGCCCCATCCATTCAGGCATTATTGACAATCAAAAGATGGATTTATCATGGGAAACAGAATAGGGACCTCAGCCCTCTGCATTTATTTCACCACTTCCTCCTGTGCATACATCTACATGTAACCCACACATCAGATGTCTCCTTGAGAAGTAGATGAGTTTGAATTGAGCCCACAACTTCAGGTCTAGGGAAAAAGCCAAATCCAATTATAAGATTGCTGCAACTTTTAAGGAAGCTTACATTCTCCTTGTCATCTTTTTTTTTTTTTTTTCCTGTGGGGTTCTGCTTCCCACACTGTGTCTCATATTATGTTACTCCCAAATGTGATCTGCAGCTCATTTGATTTCCACAAAAGAAGCAATTTATACCAAACCATGTTTGTACAATAGGCTTCACAGAACATTTGGTGGGAAGAGTGGGGCAGTAAAAAGAGAGACATACGTTCTGCAACACAGTCAACTGCAAATGAAGCATGAAAGCATTCTGAAAATACCCTGAAATCAACACAGCATAGAGAGGAGCCCCAGTGGCCCTTCACTCTACTTAGTCTCTTCTTCTCCCTATCTTGGGGTCTTTTCTTTCCCTCCTTTCTCTTCTCTCTTTCTGATTTATTTATTTTTGGTACCAATTAGAAGAGGCTAGATTATTGCTGCAGTAATAGGCAATCTCCCGAATTGTATTGGTTTAAAATAACAAAGGGTTATTTCTTGCTCACATTACAAGTCTATTGTTGATTATTGGGGGCTCTGTTTCGTATCATCCCTGTACATCAAAAGCAAAAGAAATGCTTGTACTTACATGGCATAATGTACTGCTCATCTTTTGAGGCCAGGGTTCTAGCCAAACCTAAATCCTTGTGACTTTACTTTATCCTGACAGAATTCTCGTAGTATTTTCCCAAATCGAGATAGTTACATCTCTGAGATAACCTCTTGTGCCAACTGTTTAGATAATGTATTTTTCTTAAAACAAATATCAATTTACAATATATGCCTGTTTACAGGACTGGTACAGTCCCCTCTTTTGGAAGCCTGGGGAGGAGACTTGAGCCAGAAGAAAGCAGGTTTAGCAGGTTAGATAATAAAATATGTATGGAGATCTATCTAAACATTCCTTCCCTCCCTCCCTTCTTTTCCTCCCCTCCCCTCCCCTTCCTTTCCTTTATTTTTAACATATTTATTTCTCTCTTCTTATCTTCCTCTTTTTTTCCCTCCTTCTATCCTTTCCTTTCTTTCTGCCTTCTTTCCTATTACTTATCTATCATCTGTCTATTCTGTAACTGGGTAAATGTTTCTAATCTAGCAAGAAAGACTTGGCTTATTGTTCTCATTGACAAAAAATTCATTCAAGAGAAGAGCTGCAGTGTAGAAGACACCCTATTGTACTGGGACCTAGGATATAATTCTAAACTCTGACTGGGTGACTTTGGGCAAATCACTCTCTTGGCCCATCTTTCTTCATCTACAATAGGAGGAAAGGCTTTTGAGATTCATCTCATCTCTGAATTTTTAAGTTTATGAACATTTTAACTATGACAAGATTTTTAGATTTCTAAGCTTTAATATTTTAAAATACTACAAAAACAGGTAGTTTAAGTAGAATATTGCTTTGTGCTCTCTTTCTAAAATACATAGCAGATGATACAATAACACATCAATATAAAGTCTATGAGACTCATCTGAAATTGGTCTTTGTGCAGAGCAGTCACCCTTCATCCTTCATATATACATCCTTCATCCTTCATGCTTCAGATATATCTAGTCAGAGAAAAAATAAAAAACAAGCGTGCTGTTTTTCCTAGACGCTTGCCTTATTCTCACTGCCTGCAAATTTTGACCCTAGAAAGCTTTTCAATGAGTTACTTGGAGAAAGATTCATTGTTGGCATATAATAACCAAAGAGCTGTTCATCTAAAAAGAGATTCAGCTTTCCAGGTTGTATGTGAAATAGCCTTAGCAGTGATGATGATTCTGGTTATGGAAAAATAAATACAGTGAAATTGCAGTGAGAACCATTCCACAGCAAACACAGGTGAATAAAAGTGGATGGCATTTCAAAACTAAGATATTTTTGCTAAAACCCCAGCATTGGTTAGATACACTTTCATTTGCATGAAAGAAGCAGGGCAAATGGAGGAAATAAAAGGACAAGCAAGTCAACAGAAGTATTAGTGTGGATAAAAACAAATGCCTGGCAGCCTTATACAAAAGAAGATATTTTGTGTTGTTGGGTTTTTTGTTTTTCAATTTTTTAATTTTCTATTTTTGTGGGTATGCAGTAGGTGTATATATTTATGGGGTACATGAGATGTTTTGATACAGGCATGCAATGCGTAATAATCACATCCTAGAGAATGGGGTATCCATCCCCTCAAGCATTTATCTTTTGTGTTATAAACAATCCAATTACACTATTTTAGTTATTTTAAAATGGACAGTTATTACTGACTATAGTTACCCTGTTCAGCTATCAAATAGTAGGTCTTATTTATTCTTTCTATTTTTTGTACCCATTAACAGTGCTCACCACCCCCAACCCCTCCACAACCCTTCCCAGCCTCTGATAACTATCCTTCTACTCTCTATGTCCATTTCAATTGTTTGGATTCAAAAGATCTTTTATTTCAATATGAATGTGTAAAAAAAGTTCATTGTTATCAGAGTGTTTTGCAAAGCATACTTTAGGTCTTAAACATTCATGTTTTTGTGTCTAAACCAAGGAGTATGTCACTTGGTAGTAACGGAAATGAAATGTCCTCCATCTCAATGCCCACTAATTTGGATCCCCATGTACTCAACCAAATATCCACAGGAAGATTACATGGCTCTGTCCCTTTTACTGACTCTCCCAATGTTTCTTTGACCTGGTCTATTTCTAGTCCTGCAGCAATATATGTATTTTCATGATAAAGTGCTATATTAAATGTCTCTGGGGTTTCAAAGACTTGAATTAAAAAAAAAAAAAACTTCTAGAAAAGGATATTCTGAAATGCCAATAGATAAAATTTAAAATTAGAAATTAATATTATTTAATTTAAATAATTAGAGAATGCCATGGCAATTCTCAAAGCCTTCTTTTGTTTGAGGCAAATATTGAGCAAAATATTTTTATGTTATAAGAAAATGTTATCCAGTTATGCTAGTTTTTTTTTTTTTTTTGATATGGAGTCGTGCTCTGTCACCCAGACTGGAGTACAACAGTGCCGTCTCGGCTCACTGCAACCTCCGCCTCCTGGGTTGAAGCAATTCTCCTGCCTCAGCCTCCTGAGTAGCTGGGATTACACACGCCCACAACCATGCCTGGCTAATTTTTGTATTTTTAGTAGAGATGGGGTTTCATCACGTTGGCCAGGCTGGTCTCGAACTCCTGACCTCGTGATGCACCTGCCTCAGCCTCCCAAACTGCTGGGATTACAGGCGTGAGCCACCGTGCCCTGCTGCTAGTGTTTTTTTTAGTAGTTATTTCAGTGAGAAAATTATGATAACACCAACATCAGTGGAAATGCATTGGTTTGTATAAGGTGTTTAATTTTTGTCCTGGTCATTTCACAATGCCTTATGGTCATTTTTATATTTACATAAATTTAAAATTTTGTAAATTGTTTTAATATAATTATTGTAATGTAAATTGTTATATATTTAATAGTTCATGCCTCCCCAAGGAATGGATGAAGGAAGTCTCAGAGGTCTATTAAATTATTTGAATTCTTATGCAGTTTAATATCCATCTTAATGTAATATAATATTTTAAAAGAATTCTACATTTGTATAATGTAGAATTGTGTAGATTTCCTTTAAAATGTATGTAAAACATTTCTTGAGTTATAAATATTTCTTTCAATCCAAATATTCCATGTGTTTAGAATATAACATTACTTACTTTTGTTGGTATAATTGAATTATTCTGATGATCAAAATCACATGTGTATGTGAAGTTATTATTTGTGGTAGTTTTAAAACATAGTTGTAAGTTCTTTGATACTTCTCCCATTGAGAGCTGGCAGCTAAGTCCTCTCCCCTTGAATCTGGGTCAGCCTGTGACTTCTTCCATTAATACAGTGACCTGGAAGTTATGTTATGTGATTTCTAATGCTGGGTCATAACAAACCGTGAAGCTCTTGTTGTCTGCTGAAATACCTGCCTTGGTGCTCTTAGGCATCATGTAAGAATATCATCAATACCTTGAGACTTCCATGCTCTGAAGGAGCCCGAGCCATGTAAAAAGGCCAGATAAAGACTGACGTTGGAATTAGCTCAGTCCTGCCTTCAGTACATTTTTGCTTAGTCACCAGACATGTGAAGGAAGTCTGTCTATCACGTTAGCCCCCAGTCATCCTAGTCACCCCCAGTCATTGAACTCTTCCCAGCTGAGGAATCAAATGATGTAACTATCAGATGATAGCCATCCCTGCTATGCCTTACACTGAATTCTTGACCCCAAAATTCATGAGCATAGAAAATTGATTGCTGCTTTATGCTACTACTTTTGGATTGGTATTTGACACAGCAAAATTTATTGTAATTTTTCTGGATGATGTATATATTTACATTCTTCCATTATTGCATGTACTTCTAAAATACTCAGACCAGCAAATAAATTAAACACATACAATAATATGAAACAGCAGAGTGTTGCTGATTATGCAATATAAACCATTTCTAAGTTTACCTTTTCTTTTTATAAAAACATATATTCCTAATATATCCAGGGTATAAAAAATTGCATTAAAATATTTAGTGTCTCTCTAGATGTTTATAGTATTTAGGGAGCATGTGACAGTCTTTTATAGCACTATAAAAAGTGTGTCAGTCATTTCCAAACTTTTTTGAATAGGCATCCACCAGTGTATTCATGCACAAATTCACAAAGACAAAAAAATAAAAGAACGAGATGAAAACTGAATAGAAATAGAAATTTTCAAAATTTTGCTTGATGCCACAATTAAATGTCTTGCCAACCTGTCAAAGTACCCACATCTTACTCTAAAGATCACTGAACTTAACAGTGGATAAAAAAGAATATCCAAATATTTTTGAAATGGTACAAAAATGTAAGTTAACTATTTGGGCTCATCACCAGTTTCATCCTCTCACACTTATATTGACTTTTGTGATAATCACATCCATTATTTTACGAACTTAGCCTTCAAGAGAGAATAATGAATGGATCATTGACTGAACTGCAGTCAATAGGCTATTATAATTTCCCTTAATACAGCAATATTGAAGAGTCCCAGTTTGTTTGAAAGCTTACAGTTGCTGAACAACTATAAAAAATGAATATGCATTATAATGAAGACACTGAGAAAACATTCTGAAAAGTTTAGTAATTAGAAAGAAAGAGCAAAAAGTCACAAAACAAGAAAACTATTTTCAAGGTTAAGTTGTTTTAGAATTTGGCTAAGTTTGTGATATATGTTTATGAGGTGCAAATTTGATTTCCAATCCAGCCTACATTTACTTCATGTTTACTGTATGCTAGATATACTGAATGCCTTCTCTCAGATATTATTTAAACTGCCAGCCTCAGATACCTCTAATCTTTCCTATTCAAAATCATTTATATTGGGAATTTTTAAAAAATAGATGAAATGAGAGAGATATATTACATTTTAAGGAAATCATGCTATATGATAAAGGTCAGAAAATGTGGCCTGCCTATTTGTTCTGTCAATAAAGTTTTACTGAAACACAACTCATTTGTTTACATATTGTCTTGCTCTTGTGCTACAACCGTAGAGGTGAGTAGTTGTGTTAGAGACTATATGGCCTGGAAAGCTTACAATATATACAATCTGGTTCATTATAGAAAAAACTCGCTGGACCCTGATTTAAGAGATATGCTAAACCAACTTCTTTACTTCACTACAGTTTGCTAGCAGTCAGGACAGAATGCTATTTCATAGTGGGTGGGGTGGCTCAAGTGGTTTGTAAAGAAAATTAGTGCCTTTCACCTAGAAAGTGATACTTTAAATTGTCACTGATTGGCATTATTAACCTAGTCAAGCAAATTAGTACTTCACACTTGAGATAAATCAGGTTGGAAAAATTAAAAAAAATAACCTGTGAGATTATGAAATAGTGTACATTTAAAACATGTTCACTATTGGGTTACTGTAACCACCCAATGGGTTGGTTCACCTGGCCTGCTGCCTAGATGTTACCAGTGGAAGGTACCAGGGTTACTGGTGGTGAATCTGTATGGGTCTGCAGCAACTTCAATTCTTGCCTCCTCAGAAGAAATGATTCAACTGAGAAGCATAAGGCAGGAAAAGGGACTGAGGCAAGTTTCAGAGCAGAAGTTGAAGTTTATTTAAAAAGGCTTTAGAATAGGAAAGAAAGGAAAGTACACGTGGAAAAAACCTGAGTAGGCACATGAAGGTCAAGTGCAGTGTTTAACCTTGATCCTAGGACTTTATAGGCTGGCCCTTTCCAGTGATTCTTCCCTTAGGGTGCGTTGCCTGCTTGGCAGGGCCTTCCTTGGGAATTGAGCACATGCATTGTATTGAGGAAGTTGTACGCATCCCCATCTGATGCTTTCTCCCCTTTTCTAGTGGGGTGCCCCTAGAAGGTCGTACTATGCCATTTTGTCTCCTAATGCATATGCCCAAGATGTTGCTTCTCCTTGGCATCTGCGTTCAGTTAACATTTTACTGCAACAGGTGTGGACAATTAGGAAATGGCCTCCCCCTGGCGCCAGCTGCCAGTTTATCACTTTTAGAGAGACAATGCAATCTTTGTCAAACCATAACCTGACTTTCCTAGTGGGTCGGGGAGCCCCCTCTCCTGCCCTGCTCATGCCTGTCTAATTACCTGTAACATAGACAGATCTGATTTATCAAGATGGGGGAATCGCAATGGAGAAAGAGTAATTCACGCAGAGCTGGCTGTGCAGGAGACCAGAGTTTTATTATTATTCAAATCAGTTTCTCTGAGAATTTGGGGATTGGAGTTTTCAAGGATAATTTGGCGGGTAGGTGTTTGGGAAGAGGGGAGTGCTGATTGTTCAGGTTGGAGATGGAATCACAGGGATCAAAGTGAGGTTTTTTTTGCTGTCTTCTGTTCCCGGATGGGATCACGGAGCTGGTTGAGCCAGATTAGCAGTCTGGGTAATGTCAGCTGATCCATGGAGTGCAGGGTCTGCAAAACATCTCAAGCACTAATCTTAGATTTTGCAATATATAGTAATGTTATCCCCAGGAGCAACCTGGGGAGGTTCAGACTCTTGCAGCCAGAGGCTGCATGACCCCTAGACTGTCATTTCTAATCTTGTAGCTAATTTGTTAGTCCTGCAAAGGAAGACTGATCCCCAGGCAAGAAGGGTGTCTTTTTGGGAAAGGACTATTATCAATTTTGTTTCAAGTGATAAACTAAATTCCTTCCCAAGGTTAGTTCAGCCTATGCCCAGGAATGAACAAGGCCAGCTTAAAGGTTAGAAGCAAGATGGAGTCAGTTGTCTGTCCCTTTTACTGTCATAATTTCCTCAGTTATAATTTTTGGAAAGGTGGTTTCAGTACTTAGAATTTAGAGCCATTCAGCATCTTTCAAATGAGTGTAGAGAGTAATTTCTTTATCTCTCTGGGGAAATACCTTTGATTTTATCATTTGCCCAGGTCTTTTTGGCTAGTGTTACCCTGGCTTGTGTGGCTATGCGTGTTGGGGCTAGAGTAACAGCACTGGTGGGCTGAGTTACCAGGAGATAGAATGTGTTAGGCTGGGCTGTGTTTTGGTGTGGCTTTGATCTGAAACTATGTATGAAGACTTGAGCCAAGGTGAATATCAGAGGAATAGCATTAATCTATGAATTCTAAGACATATTTATATAAAGGAGGTTATGGTAGAATTCAGAAGAGGAAATAGGACGATCTTAAGAAATGGATTTAGTGCCTGACTAAATGAAATGAAATACTTCTGGATGACACAACTCAGGGGCCCTGGTGGCTTCCCTTTTTGGGGAATTGGTGAAAGGTGTGTGTCAGAATGGCTTAGCCGTTTCATTATTTTTCTTCCAAGTCAGGAAATCAGCCAGTTCCATTAGTTGTTGCTAATAAAGCTGTGCTGGGACAGATTGCACGTACCTACCCACCCAGTCCTACAGCTTTATTTATTTCTATCATTCATTGATGGTGGTGTTAAATGGAGAAGCCCATCAGATAATGCCTGGAACAGAGCATCTACTCAGGATATGCTCACTAAATGAATTAAAATAATTTAACATTAGATATTCAGTGTGAGCATAATTGAACAGGTTTTCCTTCAGTTACTGTCACAAAAGAATGGCATCATGTAAATGTAAAATACAAATACATATAAATATAAAATGAATTAATCATCTAGTTTTCCACTTACTAGATTATTCCAGTCCAGTTTAATTACAGGCTGTTTTCATGCCTACTCTGTTCTGCAGATAATCAAATCACGTATTTTTTCTAAAATGTAATTTTTTATAGCATTAGTTCAGCAAAGCATGATGGAGAGAATAATAAGCCTTGAAAACCAGTTGCTATCTTACTTTTTACCTACTAGAGTTAGTCCTCTCCTAACACACAGAGCCATGCTTTCTGCAAAGAAAATGTTGATTTCTTCTGAATACTACTTCCTTCCCCAACACGTGCAAGTATTTTTCTGTTCTAAGTGAACATATTTTCTCCCTTGCGGGACAGACAGTGGAGAAGTTCAAAAAGGCAAGCACTGTCTTGTGCTTTCCTGAGGCATGGGTAGAGTCCACTATCATTCAGCTAGCCTGACTCCCCAAACTCCAGTATCTTTTATCTCTTTTATCATTTTGTATTGGTGTCTTTCTGCTTACTGGTGTATTGGAAATATTTTTTAAAAGCCAAGCAAAATCTCTATCTGCATTATTCTTTTAAGATAAATGGATTAGGCATGGCTAATATTTAATATACAGATGGACATCTGATGCCATTATTCAGTCTGCCTGTTGGGCTTTTAAGGCAAGGCTATATACCTCCCAAGAAGAATGAAGATCTTTCTTCCCCAAGATCAAAGACACTAAATCCCAGACCATAGAATGTACAGTATCAGGAAACCCTACCTAGTAATTTCTTCTAAAACATCTCCTTTTTTCTGTCTCATCCAAAAACATAGGCTTCAAGCAATTTATTTGAAATGCCACTAATCAGGAAGGAAAATAATTATTTCAGAAAAAGGAATGTTAGTTTTGCCACTGATTGGTGTATAACTCTTGAAAAAGCACTGCCATTTTAAGTGAGTGGGTTTTAAAATAACAAAGATTTGTAAGGGGCACTTCTTATTTATCTTTGTGGCAGAGGGTGGCAGAGGACCAGAAAATTTTTAATACAGTATTTCCTACTGTAAACAGAGCCAAAGGACAGGGTAGTCATATTACAGAAGAACTTTAAATTTTGCATAAGTAATATATTATCAATATTCTAATAATTAAGGATCCAGGTTTCAAGTACTATAACAAAGTTTTGTTAAATTATTTAGTAAGTTTTAAATTGTGTTACATTATTTGTATTAGGGAAAAATGAATTTGCATTGGAATTTTCAGGACCATATATAAATTATACAGTAATTCATCCTATGGAAACAATTATTATCTTGTTGGTCCAAGTCCTCCTTAGCATAAGGGATAACTTAAATAAAATATAATTTATCAATCTGCATTCACAGGCTTTTTAATCCTTTAAGCGCCACATGACTATCAAATACTACCAATGAGTTTTTCAATTCCTGACATTTGTCACTGTGAGAAGCATAGACTATAACCATATAGTCATGCTCTCTCTTACAGTGATCTCCATCCTGTCATATATAATGAGACAGCCTGTTTTCTTTTTCATATTGGTAATAATAGAAGAGTAGAAGAACACTGCAGTGATATATTTTTGAAGCATTAATGTATAATAACTTTTGGTGGAGTCTTGATTGGTATATTTATGTTAACCAGCTTGAGAAAAGTTTACTTGTTGTTTTTAAAATTTATATTATTTAGTCATACATCCTTTTAAAATTTTGATCCTCTACCAAAAATGGACACAAACACACACACATACACACACACACGTACTCACAAGCTATATGTACACAATTTCATTTACAATATCAGTAGTATGATCTCTGACACATATTTATCCATCCATAGATATTTGGCAGTCTGTTAACCCTAGGTTAAGAACCACTGCTTTATGGTAGCTTGACTTTGATTTGTGAATTTTCTGATTGGAGACTAATTATAATTTCCCTCAGTTTTAGGGGACTCATACTCTCGGTAATGCGAGCAGAAGGCAAGAAGATAGATACTTATTCATTTGGTACTGGCATCTTTCTGCTTACTGCTGTATTGGAAATATTTTTTAAAAGCCAAGCAAAATCTCTATGGGCATTATTCTTTTAAGATAAATGGATTAGGCATGGCTAATATTTAATATACAGATGGACATCTGATGCAATTATTCAGTCTGTCTGCTATGGGAATGGTCGCACAGTGTTGGAAGAGATTGGCTAGCTCTTTTACAAAACTCTTTCTTCCTCCTGGCACAGGATTGACTACCTTTTAGACAGTTGTGTAGTTAGGTGTGGCCATTTGATTGAACTCTGGTTAACAGAATATGGAAATGAGTGATTCGCATTGTTCCTGGCCTGTCCCATAACAGACCTCCCATGCATGATCTTTATGGCTTAATGGAAATGAACATGGAGGCCTTGGGAGACAAATGCAGGAGATAACAGAGGCATAAAGTAGAAAGGAGCTGGCTCTCTTAATCGCCTCTTGGAGGAGAGCTGCTGCTGAACAACCATTTTGGACTTTTGTGTTAAGCTAGATAAATTTTGGGGTTCTCTCTAATAGCAACTAAACAGACCTGAACTACTATATAAGGCTTACTGAATAATTCAGAGTGGAAAACTACAGGAGCGTTGCCAAATTCTAGGGGAGTGCCACATTCTGTTTATTTTCAGTATTTTGTGACACATGCTGTTTACTTGTGACTGGCTAGATGGAATAATGCATGAAATAATATTGTCTAGTTTCAACTTGAAGTAATCCTCAATGATGGACACATAGCTTAAAAAGATTTCTTCAGAGAAAATGTGAAGAGAGTGTCCCAATAATGCGAGCAGATATGGAAATTCTGAAGAGGCCTCACTGCATCTTTTCTATGAGTTGAATGAGGCGTTCAGCAGTCCCTTAGAGAGTAAAACAATATTCTGAAAAGATGCCAAAAATTCAACCAATCACAAAGGCTATTTGAACTACTTATATACACCCATCATTAATAATAATACATTCTGTCCTATATTGTAATTTGGATTATTAAATAGAGTAATTCATATATAAAATATGGGAGAGGGCATGTTCAATTTTTTTTTTAATTGGTAAAAGTATATAATCAAAATCCTCTGCAGAGCACTGATCTAGACACTGAGAATCCTGTATCTGCTTGCTCACTGGATGCTCCTACAGAAAAGTGAAAATTTGTCTAAACCACTTGAACAGTGTGCTTGGGACACAACTTTGGAAGTAGTCTAATGGACAAGTTAGTAATCATGAGGGTAAGGCTATCATACTGGTGAACCCCTCAAAATAAAAAAAGTTAGCAATTGAGTTAAAAAAGAAAAGTTTTTTTTTCCCTTTCTATGTCTAAGTACTAGGTTAGTATATATATATTTTTATACTGAATTCTTCATTTGAGTGTCGTGACCCTTTAAACCAGCTGGATTTTTGGTTTGGAAGAATCTGCAATTTCAATTTCAAAATTAAAGATAATATTACTCTATTAATTTATGAGTTTACTGCTGTATAATCTTGAATAAGTTGACAAGTCTGTTATAAAATAGAAGTAATGAAGAATAGAATTTACCTTATATTTCAGGTTTTCCAATTTTTAATGACTTCAGTATGGATTTTCTACATGATTTACCTAATGTTTAGATACTGTCTGCTGTTTCTTTAGGGCCACAACAATGTGTTTAGAAAATCAGTCATTGGTTGCAGTTAGGATTAAAAGTATCTTAATTTTTTTGTCACTTGTTTTTTTAATTATTAAAACATCATGTCTCCATTAAACAAAAATCTTCAGAGATAGAGAAAAACATAAAGAATAAAACCAAGCAACTCATAATCCAGAGGAAGGCTCTTGTATTGTATGTTAGACCCATATTTTTTATACAGATTTGTATGCCACCCTTTTCTATTACCTTATAAAAATCATTTTTTTTAAACTACATTATTCTGCATTTTGAAAGTTAGTTGTGATTATTTTTAACAAATAATATTGTGGAATATTGTAATTCTTTTGAATATTTTCATACCGCTGTATGTTTAGATCAATTTTGTATTTTTCCCATTATAAGTGATGCCATGATGAATATTCTTCCATATTAAGCTTTGAATGAATTTATGTAGGTCCTGAAGGTAAATTCCTAGAAGTGGAAGTATACCAAGTAAAATTACAGGAACATTTCAGAGGTTCTATTCATTTCATTGCAAAGCCATCAGTATTGAATATTATAATTTTTAAATAGTATATTAGTTTTATTTTCTATATTTTGTTGCTGACTGCTTAAATTGAAAATGCTTTCATACATTTACTAGCTTGGTACTTTCTCTTTTAAATCATCTTCCTTTCTATTTGAAATAATTTTAGAGTTAAACAAAAGTTGCTAAAGCAGAACAAGGAAAGCCTGTATACATTCACTCAGATTCCCAACATATTGACATTTAATTACTTCTATATGTATGATTATATCTTTTTGAAATGTTTAAATGAAATAATCAAACATAGTTTTAGTGAAGTATAATAGGTTTCTAGAAGATAACTCAAATTTATCTTTCTGATTTGGCCTGCATTCCTCATTCTCTTTTGCTCTTCTGAATATTACACTTTTGATTGGCTAGTCCCTTTTTGATACTCATAAATAACTCAATGACCTCGAACATTCTCTTTTATATTATGCTATTTTAGTTCTCCATTTTGATTGTGGTATTTTAGTTCTCCATTTTGATTGTGGTATTTTCTCATCCCAACTTGAGCAGGGGTATACTGTAACAATGTCCATAAATCTGGGCTTTGGTACTGGGGGAAAAGACATGGTGAAACTAAATATTTATGTGGGAAGACAGGGAAGCCAAATGTTTGAAAAATATCCCAGGCAACTCTGATAATTTCTTCCCACTATTATATTTAAGAATGATTAAGGTAAAAAGTCATTTCCTTAGATAGATTTCCTAGATACATTTCCTGTCTCTACCATATATAATTTAAAATCACTTCGGTATGCGACTTTCCAACTTACGCTTGATTTGGGAGAGTATATATGGCTGTGAATAAAGTATCACTAATTAAGAAATCTGGAGGCACAGGCCCAGGAGGTAGCTTTTCTAGTCCTGATTGGCTGGAGCATACCAAGTCTATGAGCCCACCCATACAGGGGATATTTCCAAGGAATTGGGAGAAAAGTCGGGTTTATTTACTCCATCTTCTTACTGTTTATTGAAAGATTGGGTTGCCATGGTGATGGGAAAGAGGTATAATAAGAGATTGGGGAAAATGTTACAACATGGAGAAGGATTTGGTTTTTCATCTAGTTAAATGGAAGTTGACGTTTTTGAACTACATTTGTATTATCTCATTGTCCTTCCCCTGTCAGTATGCATCACAAAGTCATTAAAATACTTCAGCATCTATCTCTGTTTTTATTACTTTATCGTGATGACTCTTGGGAGTCCTTAGCCATTGAAAAAGGCGTGTGTGTGTATGTGAGTGTTTAGGGGGGTGCAGAACATTTTTCACATTCCTATTTTGTGAATTTCAGGTTTCCTGAATTAGATTGTCAGAAATTTTGCCTTTTACATAAACATTTTTAAGGAATCACTTTTTGAATTAATCAATTTTACTGTTTTGTGCTTTCAGATTAATTTCTATATTCCTCTGCTCTTTTTTTTTTTTTTTTTTTTAATCCCACTTGTTCAGTTTAGTCAAGAAAGTTTGGACCGAATTAGTGAAAATATGGAATTGTGGAGTATTTTTAAAGAACTGAAGTAGTATTAATTTCAAGTATCTATATGATGGTATTTCACTTATAAAACTATACATGGTGTTTGTCCTTGGGGACTTAATTAATGGAAAGATAAAAGTGGTATGTAATCAGCTTATCAACAGAAGGAAGAAATGCGAGCATTTTTTTTTTAATTTTTTTAGTATTTATTGATCATTCTTGGGTGTTTCTTGGAGAGGGGGATTTGGCAGGGTCATAGGACAATAGTGGAGGGAAGGTCAGCAGATAAACATGTGAACAAAGTTCTCTGGTTTTCCTAGGCAGAGGACCCTGCGGCCTTCCGCACTGTTTGTGTCCCTGGGTACTTGAGATTAGGGAGTGGTGATGACTCTTAATGAGCATGCTGCCTTCAAGCATCTGTTTAACAAAGCACATCTTGTACCGCCCTTAATCCACTTAACCCTGAGTTGACACAGCACATGTTGCAGAGAGCACGGGGTTGGGGGTAAGGTTATAGATTAACAGCATCCCAAGGCAGAAGAATTTTTCTTAGTACAGAACAAAATGGAGTCTCCTATGTGTACTTCTTTCTACACAGACAGAGTAACAATCTGATCTCTCTTTCTTTTCCCCACATTTCCCCCTTTTCTATTTGACAAAACTGCCATCCTCATCATGGCCCCTTCTCAATGAGCTGTTGGGTACACCTCCCAGACGGGGTGGCGGCTGGGCAGAGGGTCTCCTCACTTCCCAGACCGGGCGGCTGCCAGGAAGGGGCGCCCCCCCACCCCCCAGACGGGGCGGCTGCCAGGCGAGGGCGCCCCCCACCTCCCAGATGGGGCGGCTGCCGGGCGGGGGCGCCCCCCACCTCTCAGACCGGGTGGCTGTGGGGTGGAGGGGCTCCTCACTTCTCAGACGGGGCGGCCGGGCGGAGGCGCTCCTCAGTTCCCAGATGGGGTCGTGGCCGGGCAGAGGCGCTCCTCACCTCCCAGACGGGGTGGCGGCCGGGTAGAGACACTCCTTACCTCCCAGACAGGGTGGCCGGGCAGAGGTGCTCCACACATCCCAGATGGGGTGGCCGGGCAGAGGCGCTCCCCACATCCCAGATGATGGGCGGCCAGGCAGAGACGCTCCTCATTTCCTAGAGGGGATGACAGCCAGGAAGAGACGCTCCTCACTTCCCAGACTGGGCTGCCGGGCAGAGGGGCTCCTCACATCCCAGACGATGGGCGGCCAGGCAGAGACGCTCCTCACTTCCTAGACGGGGTGGCGGCCTGGCAGAGGCTGCAATCTCAGCACTTTGGGAGGCCAAGGCAGGTGGCTGGGAGGTGGAGGTTGTAGCGAGCCGAGATCATGCCACTGCACTCCAGCCTGGGCAACATTGAGCACTGTGTGAGCGAGACTCCGTCTGCAATCCCGGCACCTCCGGAGGCCGAGGCGGGCAGATCACTCGAGGTCAGGAGCTGGAGACCAGCCCGGCCAACACGGCGAAACCCCGTCTCCACCAAAAAATAAAAAACCAGTCAGGCGTGGCGGCGCGCACCTGCAATCCCAGGCACTAGGCAGGCTGAGGCAGGAGAATCAGGCAGGGAGGTTGCAGTGAGCCGAGTTCGCGGCAGTACAGTCCAGCCTCGGCAACAGAGGGAGACCGTAGAAAGCGGGAGACGGAGATGAGGAGACCGTGGAAAGCGGGAGACGGAGACGGAGACGAGGGAGAGGGAGAGGGAGAGGGAGAGGTATTCCTATGCTCTTACTAATTTATTTTATTTTTGTTTTTCTCTATTTTGAGTCAAGTCCATAATTTATGTATTTTTATTAATTTTTTAATAAGGAAAGCAATTAAGATTCTCATCTGTCTTTTAGGAACAACTTTAATTTTTTTCTGTTTAAAAGAGTAAATGTATTCGTTGTAGAAAATCTGATAGTATACATGGAGAAAAAGTAGACATTTGTACAGCTTTTACTACTTTCCCATAAGTTTTGACATGTAGTATTTTTTTTCATTTTTGTCAACGTAGATAGTAATTTTAGTTCTGATTCTGTGTTTTGGGATGTACAAGTTAGTTGGAAAAGAGTAAAAAAAATTTAAGTAAGAGAGGTTTTATTTTGCTAACATTGTTATTATTTTCAATTTTTCATATTGTGAAATAAAATATGGCTTTCACAACATAACAGTGACTTAAAAATGATAGAAGTTTTTTCTATCATTTTTCCCTTGTGTAAAAATGTCTGGAGGAAAAGGCCCGATGGCTTGCTTAGTAGCTTCTTGGAATTATCATGGATCCTGATTTCTGTTGCTATTATCCTAATATAAGGTATTCATGTTCTGGTCACCTCTTGTTTACGATGACTGCTAGTGCCCTAGCCAGTTGTATCGAAGTTGCAGTCTGCATGAAGGAAGAAAGATGGAAGTGCAGACAGAGGAGAGGCCCTCCCAGCAGAGTTATATCCCTATAAGGTGTTTTTGTGACGGTCCTAAGTATTTCCACTTGTATGTCCTTGACCAGAATTTTGTCACTTGACCACTGCCAGCTGTAAGAAAGGTTGGAAAATCTAGTCTTTTATTCTGGCAATTAACTCAGTTAAAAGTCAAGATTTTATTTCTAAGGACAAAAGAAAGAATGAACAGTGAGGTGGGCAGGTAGCGGCTTTGTAAGAGTATAATTTAATGCTCTTCACTGCCCCCTACCCTTGCCACAAATCACTTTTTTCCTACCTCCAAATACAGTTATATTTTAAGTTTTTGTTAAATCAATAGCCAGAATATACTTAGTATTATACTAATATTAATATTGCTCACATTTAAGTAATGTGAAGTAGTGATCACATTCTCTTTTTGTGTACATCACTTTGCTTTTCCAGCTATGACAGACAAAATCATTTCACATCTATTCCAATCCCTCCTTTGTGTTGACTCAGTGATGAAAACTGCAGAACTAAAAACATGTCTCCCAGATTTCTTTGAATCCAGGTGTGGTTATGTGACACAGTTCTGGAATCTTTTTTTGTTTGTTTGTTTCTATTTTTCCCATGATTATTGAGGCTGAAATGGCCATTTTGTGACCAGAAGGAAAACAGTAATCTTGGCCCTACTAACACCAGCAGTTACCCATCTCCAAAATTCTTATATGAAAAAAATCGGAAAACAAAACCTATTTGTGTAAGCCCCTGTATTGTCAAATGTTCTGTTACTCATAGCCAAATGTGATTGCTAATTGATACACTTGTAGTAAAAAAAAGTCTTTTATATATAAATTTTCTATCTAGTTATGACTAATTTTAACTTGCACTATAGATCTGACGGCCTTTTGGCAATGGGAATACCTCCCAGATTTTGCATATTGCCTGATAGCCAATCTTAATTTTTTGTAAGATTTGTTTCCCATCCCTTCATTGCTATTTTACCATGAATTTATAACTTCCATATAAGGAAATATTATGTAGATACTACTTTAAATCCTGGAATTTCTTTTTTTCTTTTCTGTTTTTTTTTTGAGACGGAGTCTCACTCTGTCACTCAGGCTGGAGTGTAATGGCATGACCTCGGCTCATTGCAAACTCCGCCTCCTGGGATCAAGCGATTCTCCTGTCTCAGCCTCCTGAGTAGCTGGGATTATAGGCACCCACCACCACGCCTGGCTAATTTTTGTATTTTTAGTAGAGCTGGGGTTTCACCATGTTGGTCAGGCTGGTCTCGAACTCCTGACCTCGTGATCTGCCTGCCTCAGCCTCCCAAAGTGCTGGGATTACAGGCATGAGCCATTGCGCCCGACCCAATCCTGGAATGTTTTAATGAGTGAATCATTTTTGTCGTTTATTCTACATTTACTTCTAAATTTAACTTTTAAAAATAAATATATCGATAATTGGATATCAATGCATCTGGTTTCCAAACTGCTTTCAGAAGATGATTTGAACTTATTATTTTTAATAACTGGAGAGTAGAGATAGATTTCAACTAGGCAAAGAGAAAGTAAGGGCCAAACGTGATATTCTTGGGACCTCTGCAGAATTTACATTTAAACTCATTACATGTTTAGAGCATGTAATTTAATTCAATAAAGGTGGTTTAGGAGGCAGCAAGATGGGGAGGTGTGCCTTCTTGTTTATAGAGAAATTTTGGGCAACCTTAGTATACCAGGATACAGCCTTTCCAATTTCCCTTCTCTTTATTAATGATCCCTTTTATTTGGGATTTGGCCAAAAGGAATATAGTTTGATTCATGTGTTCACTCAGACTTTCCATTTGTAGTCACTGATGATTTCAACTCTCTTTGCAACTAGAAAGACGAAAAATGTTGTAACTGGCTCCATTTCTCTTTTATGGACCCCTTGAGCACTAATTATTAACAACCAAGGGAGCAACTGGGCACAGAATTTCCCTAGGTGATTGACTAATCCGGTGGTTCTCAAAGTGTAGTCCTTGGACCAGCAGCATGGGATCATCTGGGAGCTTATTAAAAATGGAGAGTCTTAGTTCCCAACTCAAACTTTCTGAATAAGAAATTGGGAGTGGGGCCCAGCCATATGTATTTTAACGAGCCCTCCAGGTGATTCTGATGCATCCTCAAGAGTGAGAATAACTGATTTTAATTATTAGGATCAGAAAAGAAAAAGAAGCTCTGGTTAGCCCAGAAGTGTTAAAAAGTTCAGCTGGCAATCTGAGAGAAAAAGATGAAAAAGAGAAAGGTAGTTTTTCTTCAGTCATCAAGGCGAGCTGGCAAAGAAAACTCATTGATAAAATAGCATTGGCTATGCAATGTAACTAAAGATGTGTGATACCATCATTTAGTCATTCATTTATTCTTCATTTTTTATTTAATTTTTTTTTGTTTGTTTATTAACGGTGATTGTTTGCCAGGCATTGAACTAAGTTTAGAGAAAAGATGCAAAGGTGTTTAAGACATAGAACTGTTACAAGATCTTTGGGGTGTTGCTTTTCTGGCTGGAAACCTCTGCGGCCAGTGGCACTATTGCCTGAGTTCTTGTCCTAAGTCCAGGAAGAATGAGGTATGCAGACAAACGGAATGTGAGCAAGATGAAGAGGAGCTTTATTGAGTGTTAGAACAGATCAGAGGAGACCTGCAGTGGGTCGCTTCTTTCTATAAACAGGTCATCCTGTTCAGTGCTCAGCTCTCAGCTGAGAGGGGAGGCCCTGGAGTTGTGGCTCCTCTCTGCAGGCAGGTCATCCTGAGAAGTGTTCAGCCCTCACCAGACAGGGTAGCCCTTCTCTGCAGCTGGTTGTCCAGACATCTGCTCTGCTCTGAGTTTAGGGTTTTTATGGTCTTCGTGGTGGGAAGTGCGTACTGATTGGTCCATGGGCAGCCATGGGTGGGCCCTGGAAAAAGCACAGCCAGTTCCCCCTCCAGTCTGCAGGACTGGCAGCCCGGCCTCCTCAGGCCCTCCTGGCCTTCCTGGCCTCAAGGTGAGGCTTCACCAAGGACCTGCCCCCTTCTGTCCAGGAGCCTGTCTGCCCCTCCTTCATGGCACCCAGGCCGTTGGTGCCAAGGGGTGTCTGCAGGCCAGTGCTGAGCTGCCCTCAGCTCCACTTCGGCTTCCCTCCCATGCTCCTGGCACCCAAAGTCCAGAGGAGGCTGAGGTGGCAGGGGCCTGGCTGTCAGTGCTGCCCCAAGCGTGTGCCCATCCAGCTGCACAGCAACAGCACCTGGGCTCGGGCCCAGCCTTGCTCCATGATGTGAGTGGGAGTGGGTGCTGGGAGCAGGGAGAGGCCAGGCAGTGGGAGCAGGCACTTCTGAGCCTGGAGGGAGCAGAGGTGACTTCTTGGGCCCCCAAGAGCACAGGGATGCCTGGTCCGCAACAGGGCTTGGGCGGCTGAAGCTGCACCAGGGGAGCTCCCTCCCTACCAACTTGGAGAAGGCGGGTTCCTGCTTGTCCCTGGCACCTGCGGCTCCATGGAGTGTGCAGCCCTGGCCATGCCTCCGAGATCTGAGTGGGTGCTGACAGCGAGGAGAAGCCAGGCAGTGGGAGCAGGCACTTCCAAGCCTGCAGGGGGCAGGAGGGCCTTGCCAGGCCCTCAAGAGCACAGAGACACCAGGGTCTAGAGGCGTGCCAGGTAGCCGCAGCGGCACCCAGGGCACCCAGGGAGGGCAGAGGGGCGTGGGGCGCCTGCCTGCTCCGTGGAGTGGGAGGCCAGCAGTGCCTCCACACTGCAGCCGCCGTCTTGGCAGTGGCCATTCTAGATGGGCCGCTGCTGCCGTCAGAACCAATCTTTAAAGAATTTATATTCTGTAAGGAGAAAGCAGGAGGGGATTCGGAAAGAAAGTAAAATAAAGCAAGAGGCACACATATGGGCTTAGAAGCACACAGGAAAGACTAAAAATGAAAAGGCAAAACCTCCTTTAGTTGAAACGAAGGTATAGAGTTTGACACTGATACATTAATGATATTTCCCATTTGTATATGGCTTTGTGAGCCATATGCGAAAAGAACACAGGCCCACATGCATGCTAATGGTAATGATACTGTGGATTGTTGTAGTAATAATTTATGCTCCAGGAAAGCTGTGGTGAAAAAATGTAAACACAGAAGTAATCAAATACACAGTGGTAGTCTTTTCATCTTCTAAGGTAAGTACACTTCAGCCAGGAAAACAATCAACTTAAACTCAAAATACAATGGCCTGATGAAGAAACCTCAGTGACCCTACACGCACAATTGAAGGGCATAGCAAGAGCAACATCTTGGGAAATCCAATGAAATCTAGTCAGTATAGATTTTGACCTGCCATTTCAACCTGATCAAATGCAGCTCACTACATCCTAATTGTTAACAGAGAAAATTGACTGAGGAGAAAAATCAGCTCCTACTATTGTTCCAGTGACATTGCTCCAACTAAGAAAGAATTCAATCTCTGAAGATCTAGCAGAGGCTGCTGTGAAGGAACTGCTTACAAAGCTCTCTCTTTGTGATTTAAAAGCATGAAATAACCTCATTTCAAAGTTGAAAGTCTTAAAAAAAATTATCGCCTGTATAGCCTGGATTTTGAATCAGGCTTGGGATAAAGTAGAAGAGTCTCTGCATGTAGACCCAAATATCTGTTATCAAAAAGCCTGATCATTCCTTTCAGAATTCATGGCAAATACTATTTTGCCATCCAAAATACCTTTTGAAGGGCATTTGAGTTTTTAGGGCAATTTCTGTAGGGAAACAAAACAAATGCACAGAAAATCTATTTGCACCTTATGCTGTGGAGTCCCGGTGTATTTGAGTCATCTTGTTCATGGAAGAAATTGTTCTTAAAGAACAGCTATCAATATTGCAAAATTGTAGGGTGGGATTCTAAAAGACAGTTCCATCTACATTCTTGTTTGCTTGTTTCTCCTCTACTGCTTGAAACAAAATAATTTACATAGATTTTGTTTGTGAGACAATAGTGAGGGCATCTTTGGGTCTTTGGAAGGTCTCAGTAACGTTTGGCTATCTGGATAGCTCATATGTTGGCTTTCCATAAAGAAGTCCGTAAAGCTCAGAAAAACTCTTTACACATCATGTAACTGTGCTGTGTTTGAAAGTTGCCTCCTGAAAATTAAATAAAGCTATATTGATTTCTTCTGGGCCACATAATTTATTTTTGGAATTTAATCTAGCTCAAATTTCTGCATGGATTTTTGAGATAATGTTTTTCATCATGGTCTGAAAATAGAGCTAACTAGTTGGAAATGCAGGTAGCTACCATGTAGATATATTCCCACATTAGGCTTATTATTTATATTGTTCAGCCATATAGTCAAAGAAAAGAAATTGTTCTCCAGAACACTTATCAATATTGCTATTAAGGCAAAAATTTCTAGGCTCTAACGTTATAGGAAATGTAGAAGAAGGTAGGAATATAAATGTCTGAATTATCCACACTTTATAGATGAATTTCCTAAGTAAAGCCTCAGGTTAACAATAGCATTTACTAAAGTTCTCCTAATCTTCTGCTTCTATTCAGGGTCACATACTACATAGTCTTTGATCCCAAGAATCATGCTACTAATGGAGTACTTACTGTATTAGCATGTTAAAATATTAGGAAAAAGATTATTGTACTACTTATGTTTGTGCATGGATTAATTCCTCTATTATTTGACCACTATTTATTGACAGCTTACAACGTATTAGGCATTGGGTGGAATAAAGACATGAGTAAGACACAGCCCTTACCACCAAGAGTCTCAGAATCTGGTAGGAATGCTATAGCAGAGACTGATGTTTACAACAGATGGCAGACTGTCATAGGTAAATGGATAAAAAAATAGATAAAGATATATAGATGACAGACAATAGATATATGAGATTGGTAAATAGGTGGATAAATAGATGGACAGATAGATGGATGGACAGAGAGGTAGGTAGATAGATAATTAGGTAGGTACCTATCAATGAGTTAGATGTTGTCATTCTCTCTTAGAGTGAAAGCTGAAGCAGTGCCTCAAAGTCTACATGGTCTAGCTTCCTGCCACTCCCAACACTGTATCCTCCTATCCTGTTCCTTTCTTATTGTGTTTAAAATACTAACTTCCATGCTGTTGTTGAAATGCATTTAGTATGTTCTTCCTAAAGTTTTTTGCATTTCCTATTTCCTTTGACAGTTGGAATTTTTTTCCCTAAGATATACTCATAACTTTCTCTTTCCCTTAATTCCGATGTTCAAATGTTACCTCATCAAAGAAATATTCCCTGACCACACTACTATTGCCGTTCCTCTCTCTACTTTTACTTATCACTGCTCTTCATTGAAGCTATCACTACCTGCCACGTTATACATTTATTTCTTTCTTTTTCTGTCTTCTAGAATGTAAGCTCCATAATAGTGTGAACTTTTGTTAACCACTCTATGCCCAGTGCCTGAATTGTAACTAACATATAGTAGGTACTCAATATGTATTTGTTGGTTGAATGAATGACTAGAAAATTATGTAAAAGCATCATGGAGAAGAACATGAAAGACATTGGATTCTGAATTAAGGAATTTTGGCTTTATTTGATAGCTGTATCAGTCTACTACTCCCACAAAAATACATTGTCATAATACAATAATAATCATTTATTTCTCATGCATCTGCAGATCAGTGGCTAATGGTTGGCTAATTGAGGCTGTGCTCAACAGGATGGTTATACTGGTTTTAGTTGGGCTCACTTCATGAATCTGTAGTCAGCTTGCATCTGTAGCTAATCTTCAGGGACCAATGGACCAGCCAGGGTGTTATCTTCTCATGGTGAAGACAGACCCAAATGAGAGCAAGACTGCCTGTGCCAGTAGTTTGCCATCCTCTATATGCATCATGTCTGCCAACATACCATTGGCCACAGCAAATTATACCCCAAATCAAAGAACAGGGAAGTCACTTTGCTTGTAGAAGGAGGAGTAAAATTTAAATTGAATCATGTGGGGAATGTTATTTACATTTGTCAGCAGTTTAAGCTTTTTTATGGATTATTATAAAACATTTAAGTTTTTTCATCATTGAGATATATTATTTGGAGCCATTGTTGAATTGAAATTAATGAAGGTGAACCATCATGCAGTCTTCCAATTAAAAAAAATAGTTTCTAGCATGCAGGTGGTGGTGTACGTATGTCCGGATCACAATATACCCAGTATGTAGGTTAATAACTTGTGCTGTTAAGAGATAGTTTGTTTTATACACGATTTATTTCCCAGCTTTTATCTTAGGAACAACTAAGTGCTCCCTCTGCTCCCATACAATTTTCCCTTCGTAGGAATTTAATTTATAAGACTGCTGACTTTAATTACAGATGGAAGCATGAAACTGTTCTATCAAAATGTAATTGACTGTCATAATAGTATAGCTTTGAGATTTTCTTGTTTTCCTCTCCCATCTAAAAAGAGTAGACTCTGGAGATTAGAGTTAATGATGCTGATGCTGTATTGATTGCTGGATTATTTGTTTTCTTTCTTCCTGCATTTGGGACTAACTTGATTATTTAAAAGACACCTGCAATTCTTTAGCAAGTGTTTAATTCCAGTCAGGGAATGTTCCATCACATATGTGGGTACTGTATTATAATGTTTACCTAAATATGACAATATGATAATAATATTTTTGTGTGTGTATATTATGTGTTCGGTAGGAGTTGCGGCAGAGAACAGTTTTAGTATTGGGCAAAAGTCCAAGAGTTAGAAGAGTTATCACTAGCAGGGTCAGGTTGAACAGAATTTCTAGGTTGCATTTCCTAGAAAAACTAAAGTCACATCTCCCCTATGTAAGAGATGAAGTCGATAGGGGGTGTTACGGGGCTGAAAATTATTCATATTCTTGAAGGCAATTTACTTATAAATGTGGCCACCAATAAATCTTTGGTTACATACTATATCCCAGATAGCCATACCATTGGCTAAAATTCCTAGCAGCTTCTGTTAATTGGAGCCTAAATGGAGTTAATTACAGACAGGTGAATCCTTTCATATTATGAATAGTGATGTCTATCATCCTTGTTTCAGTTAGATTTCACCATCATAACAGTGTTCATAAAGGGCTTTGTGCTTCATGACTTTGCTTCCCATGCTAAAATTGAATAGACCTACCTGCATGTTTTCTTTTTGTATTTTTTGCTGTTGTAAGACAGTTATTCTCGTTTTTAACATCTGCCCCAGCTCTTCACTATGCCCACTCTCTGAAAATGATTTGGTAGTTTCCCTCTTGGTTTTATTTGATCCGTAGAATGAAGGTAAATAAATGGTGAGCATGTCAATACAAGCATGCACAACCCAGTACGGGTGCACAAAGATGGGGAAAATGAAGCAAGTGGATTTAAGTATCCTAACTCAGTATTGTTTTATTAAAACAATACTTAGAATAGTCTTTTTATTAAATAATTTTGATAGAATAACATATAATTCTGATTAATTTGCTAGAATAAATATAGGTTTTTACTTAACTCCTGGATAATCACATCTAAACTGTGATAGAATTATGACAAATTTCTAAAAGATTCTTCATTAGGCAGCCTGTGTGAACTCTTTTTTTGAGATGGAACCATGTATATTTTGAAGATCTCATCACCACATATCTATGACATTTCACATAATGACTCCGTAAAGACATATTCTGACACATTCTCATTAGCAAGTTATATAGATTGCTTACTAAAGTAGTGGAAATTACTTTTGAATGAACTCTGCAAGCCTGGGTAAATGACTATGTGAGAATGAGTTAATCAGCTGTCTTTGTTAAATGTTTTTCTAAGTGTGGGAGGCCTTAGCAGGTAATTTGGCTTTCTCTGATTTGCAGCTGCTGTCATCATTGCTGTATGTGATTGATATGTCTGACTGGACAAATTTGCAACCTGACACTAATGCTGATGAATGGTTCACAGATACTGGATTATTGATAATTTCAGAAAGTGCCCATGGAATTGCATCTAAGGGGCTGGTTTTTCAACTTGCAGATCCATGTCGTGGTAAAACTTATGAGGCAAAATTTCTTTGTGAGAGTTTTGAGTTAAGCCCCATATAAGGTATAGTAAAAATGCAACAAATTGTGCTATGAATTTTCTCTAGAAGAACAAATTTCAGCCTCAGTTTTGGTATCAGGTAGATATATTCTTACAGATAATGGATTCCTTTACAATTTTGTGTTTTACCTGCAACTGCTTTATGAAGTAAAGGATTATTTTTGCTTAATAGCTGCACAATGTTTTGCAGAGATGTAGAATGTTAGGCTTAAATGTATCATTTGATATTGCCAAGTCCAATACTTGTCAAAACCTCTCTAATGTCAGAGGAGGGTAAATACTTGCATTCTGAAATTTGGGAGTGGAACCTAAAACCAATAAACACGGTTGTATTTGAGGTCGTAAGATTTAGAATCTTTATCCATAGTATACCCATGTTCATTGAACCAATATTTCTGCTTGGCTGAGCTTCCTTGTCTGCATGAATTAAATTAAATTGGCTTAATACCCTCATTCCCATGTCCTATGAGAATTCCAAAGCCTTTCTCATGATATGTGTACATTCCTAGGGGCTAGGTCACCTGTCTCTCAGGTTGTGTTGGTCACCTGTCTCTCAGATTTCCTGCTTTCACTGAACTTTCAGTCTCTCTCTCAAGTCTTATCATCTTTAGCTATTTTCTCCCCACCCCCTTGAAGATCAAAAAATAGGGTTCCCTTCATTCGTTTCCCCATAATGTAACTCATACAAGGTATATGTAGGAATACTAAATGTTGGTTAAAAAAATAGTTCAGTGGCAATGAATTTGCAGCATAGCACCACACAGCAGAAACTTAAGAGTAAATGTGAGCCAATTTTGATCTTAAAAGTGTTCTGTCACCCTGCCTCTGGGATCTTCTCACCAGCTAACATTGATCTGTAGGCTCTTCTTCTGCCACCCATGCCTTATTTCATCTCACTCATTTTTTCTCTCTCCATACTCCATTCTTCTCTGAATTGTGTCACAAAGTTTTGCTAATATCATATCTAGAATGGTTTAGGTACCTGTCTAGTTCCAGAAAACTGAGGCTACTTCACTAGGCACCTTTGTATCATAAACCTTTTCCATCAAGGTGGCTCCCTGAAAAAGATTGTTTTATTTCACAGAAGAATTCCATAAAGAATCTCCTCCTTTATTTCCTCCATGTTACACTGATTTTAATTAAAAAGCTTTGTTCCTCTTATATATTTAGTACATTTTCTGCTTCAACAACATGTGACCATTTTTAACTTATAATTTTGTGCTTACCTCCCTATATATCCTAAACATTCAGTTTGAAAAGAATGGGTCTATCTCCTGACACAAGTATGAGTCTACTTCTCGGTCTCTCTTCTGTTATGTCAGCCTCTCTCATTTTATGAGAAATGAAATCCAACATCACTAAGTGATTTGCCCAATGTTCCAAAACTCAGAACACTTAACAGGGAATACAAAATTCTGCTCTCTCATTATTCAAGATGGAATAAGTTTCTTATTATTAGTGAAATTGTGTCAAGCAAGTACATCTCTACTTTCTCATAGGGGATCCTTAATTGTGTGCCTAATCTTTTAAGAAAAATTTTGTATTCTAAAAATATCCATGTGAAATGTCCATACGTGTTTTTTTTTTCACTTATGCCTGCATTGACCTGTTTATAAATTTCTTTTGGAATATTACCTGCGGGAAACTTCAATGTTATGTTAACTTATGTACCATCATGTGGGAAGGTTTATCTATCTGCCAGATCCTGTTCAGGTATTTCTTTTTTTTCTTTTTTTTGAGACAGAGTTTCACTCTTGTTGCCCAGGCTAGAGTGCAATGGCATGATCTCGGCTCATTGCAACCTCTGCCTCCCGGGTTCAAGTGATTCTCCTGCCTCAGCCTTGTGAGTAGCTAGGATTACAGGCATGCGCCACCACACCCGGCTAATTTTGTATTTTTAGTAGAGATGGGGTTTCTCCATGTTGGTCAGGCTGGTCTTGAACTCCTGACCTCAGGTGATTCGCCCACCTCGGCCTCCCAAAGTGCTGAGATTACAGGCGTGAGCCACTGCACCTGGCCCTGTTCAGGTATTTTTGTGTTTTCCTTTGTCCTGATGGTGAGTCATCTGATTATCAGGGGCCAGCAAGACCTTGGAGAACTGCTGTCTCAGAACTGAGGACAAGGTTTCTATTTTGGTTCTTTCCCCCACAGATTATTTTTCTTTCAAGCTTTGTGTCTTATTAATTTCCATGATTGACCACACATTTTCTTGTGGGTACAAATTCTCACCAAATCAACATAGATTTAAAAAATTCCACCTGTGTTCTTTGAACTGTGCAAGTTTTGATCAGGGATTGAAAAAAGTATATACCTTGGTTCTTATTCTCAATTTTCTTAGTGTTGGAGAGAAGAAATAGATATGTTTAAAAGTTAAGTAATAAGATTTAAGTGACATTTTTAAGAAAATAATAGAAGTAATATCATAAAGCTGAACACTATACATTGATAAATTAAAGGTATTTAGACAAATGACTATGTTTGTGCTCTTTTGAAAATCTGCTCAAAGCTGTGGACTCTGTCTAAAGAAATGGACATACACATATACATTAATGATTGTTATATCTCCATGGAGAATTATGTGTATATGTGTCTAATAAAAACATTTCAAAATGCATGTGGCAAAACTGACAGAAATGCAAGGAGAAATAGATGACGTTAAGAAGCCTTAGTCCAGACTGAAAGTACCATAGGGGTTGAAAGACATGGATGATTGATTCCAGATGGACTGATCAAGGAGACTTCTGGAGATAGGTCTTGAAAGATTAACAGAAGGGAAAAGGGCAAGGCTGGGGCAGAGAGCATTCCAGACAGGAAAAACCCCGAGAAAAACTGTAAAAGACAGGACATTAAAAAGCATAGTTTGGCAGTGCTAAACCAATTTGGAGTGAGGCAGAAGTGGAAGGAAAAATATCAGGAATGGGTTCAGCTTGTGTTGGGTTGCAGAGGACTGTGAATAATGGTGCAATTATTTTTATTTATTTATTACAAAAGTAATACATGCTCACTGTAAGAAGTTCAAATCATAATGGGATCTAAGAAATAGAAAGTGAAAATCCTTTTCTTCTAATTGTGGAGTATTATTAGTATGCACTACATGTGCTGAACCTGCTTTTTGATTGAACAATGTAGGCATTATGGCCGCCTTTCTACATCAAACATAAATATAAGCCTTGTCATTTTAATGATTTCAGCATGTTTTTATATGAAAGTACCATGATTTGTGTCATCAATTTTTCGAAGTTTTCTCCCTTATTTCACTAGTATACCCATTATGGCAATAAACATCCTTATTCTTATACTTTCAAGCACTTCTCTTATTGTATCTTTAGGGACAAATTCCTAAAACTTCTAGATCAAAGGATATACATATTTCAAATTCTGACCCATTTTATTAGATTACCCACCAGAAATTCCATCTCTGTCAAGAGGTGTAAGAATCCCCGTCTTCTCATATCTTCTACTTTAACATTTTTGATCTCTTAATAATACCTTTTCTTGGTTTGGAGTACAGTTATATTGTTATTTTTAAAAATAACTCTTCAGTCCTTTCTTTGGACCAAGAAAGGGAGAGAAAGGGTGGGGAGGGGAAGGGGAGAGAGAGACACAGAGAGAAAGAGCACGAGCGAGCTGAAGCATTTTTGTTCATCTCTCTTGCTGTCCTCAGAGTTGTGTATTTCTTAGGAACCAGAGCAAATTCTGTAACAATTATGAAAAGAATGATAATAAAGAAGAGTATTCTGTGTGAAAGAAACATGAGAACCTGTCATGGGGATGTTATACTGGTTTAGTGACGGGTAGATGAAAACTGTGATGAAAACAGATGTAGAAGAAATGAAAGAGATAAGCTGAAGCAGAAAAAGCCCTTACCATAAGGAATAAGAGACTACATGTGCAGGTCTGCAAGAGAAACCATACTCTTTCTTCACAGTCGACACACCCTATCTTAGCCATTTTGTATGCTAATAGCATGCACACCCATTGGAGGCAGTGATCCCAGAAGGGCCATTGAGTGCTAGTGTAGCCATTCCACCTCCAACCTGCCCAGTGCTTGCCTAATTGAAAAGCTGAAGTATGGCTATCCACACAGCAACACCCTAAAACATGGTTTTCCTAATATGGGACAGCGATGATTCATAATATTTTGTTCAAAAGGTCTACCTAATTACCCCTCTTTGTATACAAACCTAGACTTTGTATTAGATGGGGCTTCTGCTTGTCCAAAAACTTTTCAATTTATCCTTAAGTTTACGCTCTTAGTCTGTATTTTTAAGTTTAATACAGGCTAGTACTTTTTAGGGTCAGTTGGCTTTTATTCTTACTGTGATTTTCCTGTTCTGTCCACAAATGAGCACACGCCGTGGTTAGTTGTTAGAGAGATGTTACACAAGATGTTATTTGCATAATGAGTTAACTCACCTTCATTAATTTCCTGTTAGTCCTCTTTCTTTTTCTAATCCTTGCTCACTAGGGCAGTTGTGATGTTTGCCTGGCTAACTCCACTTTCCATGTTTGATATCCCTTCTATGAGTTTTTAAAAAATTCACTCTCCTTCTAGGAAATTAGTGCTTCCCTGTTACTTCCATCTTCTATCCATTATAATTCAGAAAAGATGTTATGTTAGTATCTTACTATAAAATTCCATCCATTTTGTATATTTAGGGTTATCTGGAACATAAACCTTATCTCACATTGTGATCTAAGACAGAGGTCAGTAAATTTCTTCTGTAAAAGGCCAGGTGGTAAATATTTTAGGCTTTATAACCCACATATGGTCTCTGTGGCAGATTTTTTCTTTTATTGATTTTTTTACAGCCGTTTAGAAATGTAAAAAGCATTCTTAGATCACAGGCCATACTAAAAAGGGTTTTAGAATTGGCCCACAGCCATATTTTTCTGTCTTCTGACCTAAGAGGCTACACTGCGAGGATGAAAATTTTCCATTTATTTCGACATTTGCCCAGGAGACATCAAAGCTAACCACTGTAATTTTTCTAAGCAGCTAAGAATCATGAAGTTTGAAAGACTCCAGTATACCGGACTCTTATTGGACTTAATGGAAAACTGTTTTTGACCAATGGACAATGGTCTTTGTTTTAACCAATTACGGGCAGACCTGAGGATTTATTTCATGCTAGGTTTTCAGACCTACCTTTCTTGAAGCCCTTGAGTTCCTCCCACCCCCAGGTGATCTACTTAGTGAAGTTTGACATTTGTGTATGTTCTCTTGTCTGGCAAGTTAAGAAACTGAGGGTTTTTTTTTCTTTTTCCTTGGGTAGTCTTTGTTTTAGTCATTGACAATTCCCTATGGAAGAAATTCACACGTTAGTCAGCAGGTGGAAAAGTTCTTGCGGATGTTGAGTAAGGAGAACTTTTCTTATAGTTTCTGAAATTATGCTTATCAAAAGAATAAAGTTTGGTCAGCTGGGGAAAAATGAGAATGAACAGATAAGGACATCTTGTTTTTGTACAAAGTATAGGAGATACTGTTTAGTCTTTTTAACAAAATAGAGCAAAATTGTTTACTGTCAGAAAAAAATGTGAAAGTCTTTGAAATTAGCAGAAGTCATTACTGAGTGTCCTGCAAATATAGAAAATTGATGATGATGCAAATTTTGTTTGTTCATACAAATGCAAATAACTTGTATCCAAATAAGTTCAATGAATTATCGCCCCATGGATTTCAACTAGTTTTTATCTATTCGTCAACTCAAGTGTTCCTGATTTCCCTTATATATTCATTCTTTGAGTTCTCCTTTGGACCAGATATAACATCTTCCTACTCTCATTAATTAATGACTTAAATAAACTCTTTGCCATGTAGGACATTAAACATTATTATGAAAATTATCTTCTAACAATCTTAGCATGGCACAATATACTTCATTGTAACATGTAAGCATGTATTATTTGTGGCATATGGTTTTATAGTTATAAATCATGTTTTACATTGTTTTTACTCACTATATATATAAGCGAATTATTTGACTTAATTATCTAGGTAACTGAAGTCCATGGAAATTAGGCTTTACTTGTCTAGGCATTTTTGTGTGTAAGTCTTTCTAACTAAAAGATCTGATCATGAGAAATAATTCTCCACTCCTTTTTATCCATATGTCTATCTGTGATGCATAAATGTTAGGTTTTGCCTATGATTTTGTGGCAACCAATTAGGTCAGCTTAAAATTTCAAGTTGAACTGACATCACATTTTTAAAAATGTGATACACTTAACAAATAGCAGTTTTAGGTTTACAGCAAAATTGAGCAGAAGGTACAGAGGTTTCACATACCTCTTGCCCCCATACATGCATAGCTTCCCCCGTTATCAGCATCTCCCACACAAGATTGGTACATTTGTTACAGTTGGTGAATCTATATTGACACAACATTTTCACCCAAAGTCCAAAGTTTTTACATTAGGAATCACTCTTGGTGTTGTATGTTCTATGAATTTGAAGAAGTGAATAGTGGCATGTATTCACCATTATAGTATCATTCAGAGTAGTTTCACTGCCCCAAAAATTCTGTGTTCTGACTGATTCATCCCTTCCTCTCCTCTAACCCTTGGCAACTACTGACCTTTTAACAATAGTTTTGTCTCCACAGTGTTGCTTTTTCCAGTACGTCTTATAATTGGAATCATATGTTATGTAGCCTTTCCAGATCTACTTCTTTGACTTAGTAATACATGTTTAAATGTTCTCCGTGTCTTTCCACGGCTTGATAGTGCAGTTTTTAGTGCTAAATAATATTCCATTGTCTGGGAACACCACAGTTAATTTATCTGTTCACCTACTGGAGGATATATCGGTTGCTTTCAAGTTTTGGCAATTATGAATAAAGCTGCCATAAACATCCGCGTGCAGGTGGTGTATAGACATAGTTTTCAACTCCTTTGAGTAAATACCAAGGAACAAGATTGTTTTTGCATTCCCATCAGCAATAGTGAAAGTGCCTGTTGTTTCATATGCTAGCTGGCATTTTATGTTATCTAATACTGATACTAATATGGATTTTGCCATTTTAATAAGTAAGCAGTGGCATCTCATTGTCCTTTTATTTTTCATTCTTCTGATGTCATATGATGTGGAGCATCTTTCATATGCTTATTTGCCATCTGTGTATCTTCTTTGATGGGAAATCTATTAAGATCTTTGGCCCACTTTTTAATCAGTTTGTTTGTTTTCTTATTGTTGAGTACAGATGGTCCCCAATGTAGGGTGGTTTGACTTAAAAATTTTCAACTTTCCAGTGGGTTTATTGGGACATAACCCAGTATATCTTAAGTCAATAACCATCTGGACTTAAGGTTGTTTGACTTATGATTTTTTTACTTATAATGAGATTTATTGAGAAGTAATCCCATTGTAAATCAAGAAGCATCTGTATTAAGAGTTCTTTGTATATTTTGCGTAACAGTCCTTTATTCAGGTATTTTGTTTGCATATATTTTTTCCAACTTGTGGCTTTTCTTTGCTTCCTCTTGATAGCATCTTTCGCAAAGCAGAAAATTTTAATTTTAATGTAGTCCAGCTTATCAATTACTTCTTTCATGGATTGTATCTTTGATATAGTATCTAAAAAGTGATTGCCAAACTGAAGGTTATTTAGATTTTTTCCTATGTTATCTTCTAGGAGTTTTATAGTTCTGCATTTTGCATTTAAGTCTGTGATCCATTTTGACTTAATTTTTGTGAAGGATGTGAGCTCTGTGTTCAGATTTATTGTTTTCACATGTGGATGTCCAGTTGCTCCAGCACCATTTGTTAGAAAGACTATAATTTCTTCATTGTACTGCCTTTGCTTCTTTATGAAAGATTAGTTGATTATGCTAATGTGGGTTTACTGCTGGGCTCTCTATTCTGTTCCATTTATCTATTTGTTTGTTCTTTCACCAATGCCACGCTGTCTTGATTACTACAGTTTTACAGCAAGTTTTCAGTTTGAGTATTGTTAGTTCTCCAACTTCTCCAATATTGTGTTGGTTATTCTGGGTCTATTGCGTCTCTTTATAAATTTTAGAATCAACTTTTTGATATCCAGAAAATAACTGGGTAGGATTTAGATTGGAATTGCTTTGAATCTATAAATCAAGTTGGGAAGAACTGAGATCTTGAAAATACTGAGTCTTCATGTTCATAAAGATGAATATCTTTCTATTTATTTAGTTCTTTAATTTTTTTCATCAGAATTTTATATTTCTTCCCATAGGTCTTGTACATATTTTTACCAGATCCATACCTAAATATTTCATTTTTGGTTATGCTAATGTAAATGGCATTATGTTTTTAATTTCAAATTTCACTTGTTCACAGCTTGTATACAGGAAAGTAATTGATTTTTGTACACTAACCTTGTATCATGAAAGCTTGTTAAATTTCCTGTTAGTTCCAGGATTTTTTTTCTGGTGATTCTTTCAGATTTTCTACAGAGATAATGATGTGATCTGTTAACAAAGACCAGTTTTATTTCTTCTTTCTAAATCTGTATACATTTTCTTTTATTGTCTATTACATTTGCTAGAACTTCCAGTATGATATTGTAAAAAGTAGTGGTGAGAGGTGACATCCTTGCCTTATTCCTGTGATTAGTAGAAAAGCCTCTAGTTTCCCACCATTAAGTATGATGTTAGTTGTAGGTGTTTTGTAAATATTTTTTAATCAAGTGGAGGTTCACCTTTATTTCCAATTTACATGAGAGTTTTTATGATAGATTGGTGTTGGATTTTTCATATGCTTTTTCTACATCTATTGGTTTAATAATGTGGCTTTTATTCTAAATATTTTATTCTAACACTTGTTGATAAGATGGATTACATTAATTTCTATTTGAATGTTGGACAAGGCTTTCATTCGTGGGATAAATTTCACTTAGTTGTATGTATAATATTTTATAATTGTTAGATTTGTTTTGCTAACATTTTGTTGAAAATTTTTACATCTATATTTATGAGAGATATTAGTCTGTGGTTTTCTTTTCTTGTAATGTCTTTGTTTGGTAGTAGTATTAGAGTAATACTGGCCCCATACAATATGAAACTATTCCCTCTGTTTCTATCTTCTGAAAGAGAGAGTCGAGAATTGGTATAATTTTTTCCTTAAATCTTTGGTAGAACCTACCATTGAGCACTTTCATTTCTGATACTCATAATTTGTGTCCCTTTTCATAGTTAGCCTGGCTGTAAGACATAGAAAAAAAGAGTGTTTTTCATACTCTCATGCACCATTCAGTAGAACACTTCTGACACCAAATGTGTGCATTTTTTTCCCAGGCACACATCAAGTAATTCTCCAGAGATTACCAACTGGGTGTCCTATAATGTGACTTGATTCTGACACTATCTACCCAGAGATAGCATCAGATGCCACAGGGTAAGGACTCAGTCCTACAAGACTGCCCCCACCTCGGATGCCAGTTGAAAGTCCCAGGTTATGACCTGTGGTTCTGACCAACTGGCTATAAATTGAGGTTTCCATGACCCCCTCCTTGAGTTTAGTTAATTTGGTAGGGTAGCTCATAGAACTCAGGAAAACACTTTACTTATATTTACACATTTATTATAGAGGATGTTACAAAGTATTCCGATGAACAGCCAGGTGAAGAGATGTATAGGGCAAGGTCTGGAAGGAAAGGGGCATGGAGCTTCTATGCCCTCTCTCAGTGTACAAGCCTCCAGGAAACTCCATGTGTTTAGCAATCCGGAAACTCTCTGAACCCTGTATTTTTGTGTTTTTATCATGGCTTCATTATGTAGGCATGATTAATTAAACCATTAGCCAGTGTTGGTCAGCTCAACCTTCAACCCTTCTCTCCTCCTCTGAGATTGGTGAGTAGGGCAGGACTTCAAATTCCAACCACGTGATCTCATGATCATTTTCCCTGGTAACCAGCCCTTATCCTGAGGCTATGCAAGAGCCCACCAAGAGCCACCTAATTAGAATAAAAGATGCTCCTGTTATCTAGGAAATTTCAAGGGACTTAGGACCTTCATGTCAGGAACCATAGGCAGAGACCAAATATATATTTCTTATTATATCAAAACGTCACAGAAGTGTATTGATTTTATTAATCTTTTCAAAGAATTAGCTTTGATATTGTTTTTTTTCCTATTTATTTAAATATTATTGATACCGACTCTACTTTTTCTTTTTCTTTTCTTTTTTCTTGGAGATGGAGTCTTGCTGTGTCGCCCAGGCTGGAGTGTAGTGGCGCGATCTCCGTTCACTACAACCTTCCAGGTTCAAGCAGTTCTCCTGACTCAGCCTCCAAAATAGCTGGGATTACAGGTTTGAGCCACCACACCCAGCTAATTTTTTGTATTTTTAGTAGAGACGGGGTTTTACCATCTTGGCCAGGCTGGTCTCAACTCCTTACCTCAGGTGATCCACCTGTCTTAGCCTCCCAAAGTGCTGGGATTACAGGCGTGAGCCACTGTGCCTGGCCTCTGCTTTTTCTTATTTGTTTTCTGCTTACTTTGAGTTTAATTTGCTGTTCGGTGTCTAGTTTCCTAGTGTAAAACTTAGATTATTGATTTAGATCTTTTTTTTCTACTATATGCATTCAATGCTATAAGGTGCCATCTAAATACTGCTTTTGTTATATCCTGCACATTTTGATGTTTTGTTTTTATTTTCATTTAGTTCAAAACATTTTAAAATTTATATTGAGATTTCTTCTCTAATCCACTGATCTATGTGTTGTTTACAGCATGTTGTTTAATCTCCTACTATTTGGAGGTTTTCCAGTTATCTTTCTGTTCTTGATTTCTAGTTTATTTCTGTTGTGGTCTGAAAGTAGACGCTGTATGATTTGTATTCTTTTAAATTTGTTTAGGTGTATTTTATGGCCCAGAATGTGGTCTGTCATGGTGAATATTGCATGTGAGCTTAAAATAAATGGGTATTTTGCTGTTGTTGGATAAAGTAGTCTGTAGATGTCAATTACATCCAGGTGATTAATGGTGTTGGTGAGTTCAGCTATGTTCTTACTGATTTTCTGCTTGCTGAATCATCTCTACATTTCTGATAGAGGGGTGTTGAAGTCTCCAACTATAATAGTCTCTTCATCTATTTCTCCTTGCATTTCTGTCAGTTTTTGCCACATGTATTTTGAAACGTTTTTATTAGACACATATACATTAATGATTATCATATCTCCTTGGAGAATTAATCTCTTTATCAGTATGTAATGTCCCTCTTTATCTCTGAAAATTTTCCTTGGTCTGCTGTCTGCATTGTCTTGTATCACGAAAGCTTGTCTGCATCGTCTGAAGTTAACATAGTTCCCCCTACTATTTTTGATTAGTGCTAGTGTTACAGGAAAGGGGCCCCCATCCAGACCCCAAGAGAGGGTTCTTGGATCTTGTGCAAGAAAGAATTCAAGGTGAGTCCACAGTGAAAAGTAAAGGCAAGTTTATTAAGAAAGTAAAGCGGTGAAACTACAGCTACTCCAAAGACAGAGTAGGACATTCCTGAAAGTAAGAGGAGGAGCGTGTCCACCCTAGGTATAATTCTTGTATAGATACAGGATAGAAATAGATCTTGTGGAGATGTGTTCTGCTCCAAGGGTTTATGATAAAGGGTTAATTTTCTTAATTACTACATTTTGCAAGGATCGATGTTAATATCTTTAAAGTAAAATTAGGAATGCCTTTGTTCTCCAGATATCAGGATATTTGGACACTTCCAAGTCTGGGTCTGTTTTAGTAAACATTATTAATTTGTTCTCTTATGCATAAACATCTAGAGGCTAGGAATGCCTAATTTTCTGGGAATACAGCCCAGCAAGTCTCAGCCTCATTTTCCTAGCCCTCTCTCAAAATGGAGTCGCTCTGGTTCGAATGCCTCTGACATTAGCATGGTATATCTTTTTCCATTTCTATGCTTTTAATCTATATGTATGTTTATATGTAAAGACAACATATAGTTGAACGTGTTTTTTGATCCACTCTGACAATCTCTGTCTCTTATTGGGTGCATTCAGCCCATTGATGTTCAAAGTGATTACTGATATATTCAGATTAATATTTACCATATTTGTTACTCTTTTGTATGTGTTGCCCTTATTTTTGTTCTTAGTTTTGTCTTCCACTTTTTTCTTTCTTCTGTGGTTTTAATTTAGAATTTCATGATTCCATTTTTCTTTCTTAGCATATTAGTTATATTTCCTTTAGTGGTTACCCCAGAGTTTGCAATTTATATTTACGACTAATCCAAGTCAACTTTCAAATGGCACTATTCCACTTCATGGGTAGTGTAAGTATCTTCTAATAACAAAATTATCTTTATTTCTTCCTCCTGTCCCTTGTATCTTTGCTATCATTCATCTCAATTCTACATAAGCATATATAATACGTATATATATTCAAAATAAAGTGACAAGAATATATTCATTTATATATATAATATGTACATATATATGTATATAATCTTGCCATTCTTATTTTGAATGAACTATTTCCTGTGAAATAATTTACAAATAAAAAATAAGCTGTAAAAGCGCTTCTTCTAACATTCTTGTAAGCCAGATCTACTGTCAATAAATTTTCTCAATTTTTTATTTACCTAAAAAAGTATTTATTCCTTCTTCACTTTTGAAGGATAATTTCACAAAGTACAGTACTCTAGGTTGTGCTTTCTTTCTCTCAACACTTTAAATATTTCCTTGCTTGCATGTTTCCTGTGGAGAAGTCAGATGCAATTCTTAATTTGCCCCTCTATATAGGTTTCTTAGTTCATTTTCTGTTGCCTATAACAGAATACCTGAAATTGGGTAATTCATAAGAAATGAAATGTTTCTACAGTTTTTGAGTTATATTTTTAGCACACAACTTTACATAATATATTGTAATTACCTATTCACTTTTTTTTGTTGTTTTCCTTTAACAGACCTTGAACTTCTTGTTGTCATGGTTCATATCTTATTTATTTGTATGTCTCTATCTAAAACTTTTACCTGGTATTCATTAAATTTTAAGAACTCAATATATGCACTTTGAAGTAATGGTTTTCCTGACTTTTAGCCTACAGCCTTTGCTGTGATTTAAATAGTTACTCACTCTGTTCTATTCACAGTGCTAATCATTCCCTTCTATGTGCCTACTGCATATGTTGTACATACCTCCATTATTACACATAGCATCTTGTACTCTCATCATTTCTTTCATTTTCTGTCTTATTCGATTAAACATGTCCTCTAGATGAAGAATCTATATCTTATGTAACTTGCTTTTCCAAATACCTAGCAAAATGCTTGCCACAGGTGGGAAAGTCAGGAATTAGTCACTAAAACAGAATTGAAGTAGATATACAAAGGCATTCACAAATCAGCCTGCCAAGTACAAACCAAGTTATGAATATTTTAATTTTACCAGCATTCTTTACTCTTAAATAAAAGAAATTTTAAGGGTAGCATCATATTTTTAAAACAAAGTTTCCAATGGCAGGGAAATTCTGGATTTCCCTGAAAATCATTTTTTCCCTCCCTGAGGATGCATGGCATTCTATTACTAGAAATTTTTGTATAAAAAAGGTGTGAACTAAAACCTAATATAACTTTAGGCCAAAGGTGCTGAGCAGTTTAAAAGTGATTCTACAAGGCAATGTCAGAGCTCCACAAGATTTTTTGTTTTTTTAAAGAGAGAAAGCTCTGGATGCACTTAACTTATGTGTTTTATGAGTTAAACTGACTCTTACCTAGCAAATGCAATTTCTTGGAGACTAAGCAAAAATCAATTTAGGAGTTCTCAAAAAACTGTTCTACATTTTAGATCATCAGAATATACATGTTTTCAAGTTAGAAGGAAAATTTTCTTCTGATTTAGCAATCTGAAATACACAGCAAGAAGAAATAATGTTAATAATCAGTATCTTACTATTAACTTCACTAAGGTAGTGCCAAAATGACGACGAAAAAATTTTTAAAGGCAATGGCAAGCCCCTGGTCTGGCCTGTAGAGCTTGGATTTCATCATCCCATTCTAAGAAGCAAAAAACTTAACAAACTGAAAAACCAACGACTTTTCTTATATCCACCGAGAAAAGTGAGGTCGCAGGGCAAACCATTGCTTCTAAAGTTGGAGACACAGATAGACAAATACAGAGAATGACAATTAACCAGAGCAGAAACCCACAAGCAGAGATAACCACAGTAACCAGTGCTGCCAGGGTAGAAACACCTTAGCTGACAAATTGCTAAAGACTTGAATCAAAAAGGCTGAGAGAGAAAAATTCCAGGGGGACCTAGTTGTTGGGGTCTCCAGGAGCTCAACCAGGTTCTCATAGTAAAGATTAGAGAAAAATCCCTTCATGGTTCTGGCAAAAGGAGGGGAAAAGTAAGCATTTTGAAATATACGACAGCATTCTGTTCTTAACAAGGCCTGCCTTAGGAGAAACTATTTTACCAGAGCCGAAACTATTGAGGTTTTATCAGAGCCTAACTGACCTGGGAGAAGGAAAATACTCAGTTCCAGCCTTCTGTAGCCTTCCACATGGGAAAAGGGAAGATACCCAACTGCAGCCCTGTCCAGCCATCCTGCCCAATCTAAGGGAGGAAAATACTGAGAAACACTTGTGAAGTTCATAGTTCAGGAGCACAAGCTCACAAAGAGACTAAAACTGAAATATAGGCCCCCTTCGGCACCTGTTCACCACCTTACTAAAGGCCTATTATCATAGTTACTGTTACCAAGTACGTTATGTCTGCTTGTCAAGAAAAAAATTATAAGTCATACTAAAAGGCAAAAAACACAGAACAGACTAAGCATCAGAATCAGAGTTAGATAAGGCAGCGGTGAGGGCTGGGTATGAGTCAGAGAAGGCTTCTGATGGGAAAACTTGAGCCAAGTTTGAAAAGATGTGTGGGAAAAGACAAGGAAAAAAAGGATGAGGAGCATGGGATGACTGTTTGAGTAGAGACTAGCTATGCAAAGACCCAGAGGCCTGAGAAACAGTCTAGCAAATTTGGGGCATGTGACCTGAATGCCAGCAATTAGGGTGGCAAGTTAATATTCAGTGCTGGATGGGCAGCTGCGGAGTCATATAGGAAGGGGCTTGTATGTCATGCTAAGCTATATACATGGTATGAGGAATCTTTAAAGTGTTTCAAACGGGAACAGTGGGAACAGCATCATCAAATTTGCCTTCATAAAATATCACTATAAAAACATTGTGGAAGAGAAGGATTAGAAGAAAATAAGATTAGAGGCAAGAAGATCAACTAGAGTTTCTTATAGGAATTTGTATTGGAAAGGGACATAGCCTGAACTCAGACAGGAACAGTGGGTATAAAGAAGAATCAAGACGTGACATGGAATGACTTAGAAGGAGACACCCATATTTCTGGCTTATCATGGTGCCATTTCCTACATGGAAATGATGGTGAATTATGGCAAATGAATAGAGATGGGGAGTAGTCCACTGGGAATGATATATTTAGTTTGGGGCATGTTACAGTTAAGATGAAGATCCAAATAAACATGTCAGTAAAGCAGTTGGGAAATTCAAGTTTGGAATTGATCACAAATCTACACCCAAGATAAAATTTGGGACTTTTCAATATATAATTATAGATGAAGAACTAGATGAAGACACTTTGGAAAGAGTGAATAAAATTGGACTCAAAGTGGATCCCAATGAATCCTATTATGTAAAGGATAAAATGAGAGGAGTAAGGGAGCAGAAAACTAGAAAGGATGTCAAGAATGAGTGACCAATGAGGCTGGAACAAAACAGAGAAGGATGGTATTACAGAAACCAAGTGGAGGTTCTAGAATGATAGAATGGTTAATATTAATAAGTGCTTCAGTGAGGCCAAGAGAAGGCAAAAGGATAAATGATACATAAAGCTAAAATAGCTACTTGGGTTGAAACAAAATGTGTGACCAGTTTTGATGACATAATAGGATTTTGTGGAAATGAAAGCCGGAATGCGGTGGGCTATGGAGAGAAATGAGGATGGTAGTGTGCATTTTGTCCAAGACACTTATGTTCGAAGGAAAAGTTATAGTAGCCGTGGAATAAAGCACCAGCTATTTCTAAAAATACAGTCCATGAAAGCAGATATACCCCTTATTGACTGTTATAAATTTCTTTTACAGTGTCTGACACTGAATTCATTTGTTAAATGAATGCATAAACTATATAGGAGAGACATGAGGATGTCTATTTATCAATAGAAAAAAAAAGAGACTCAGTGTAGGTGGTGGACTCCAAGTAAGAGCAAACTTTAAGAGAGCCTTGGGCTAAGATGTTGTGGCTAGGAGGAGGAGAAGCTCTGGGACTGAGCATAAAACACACACATTGGAATGAAGACTCTCCTACTCATACCCGTGGGAATAGGATGGTGAATAATGCCAGAAAATTTCAGTGCACTTCCACCGGGAAGTTGAGGGATGCAGAGACCTATTCGCATTCTTGAGATTTTGTGGATACGAATCCAATGTATCCTGACCTAGAATGACCTTCTAAAATGACAAAAATATCTCAGATAATTGTGGGTGTAACAGAGGTAAAAGAGGCTGAATTATTGAAATGGTAGCCTCAATTTTACCTGACATGCTGAGGAGAACTGGTCTTCATTTACAGTGTTTTGCCAGTCTCAGTGTTAATCATGCTGACTGCTCCTTTCAATACCCCTCTGAGGTAAGTTAGCTCCTCCATTAACCCTAATAGAAGAAGTCTGACTCAGCAGGAATACTAAATGAGAAACAGAGAAAATCCAATTCAGACCTTGCAGCCACCCAACCCAAGTTACTCTCTGAGGGCCTCATCATTCTTTTCTGCAGATAAAGATATACCAAGATTGACTCAGCACAGAATGCATGGATAAGCGTTGGACAATTAGAATACAGCTATCATGTGACTCAAAACCCCATATTTCTAGAATGAGCAAGCATACTATTAGAATGAGCATTCATATTATTAGAGCTATATTATTTTAAAACAGCTACTAGATTAAGAAAGGCGCCCCTGCCTAGTCCCTCTGCTGCCTTTAAGCATGTATGTGAAGTGTGAGAGACAGGTGATCACCACAGGTTCAAATAGAATTTTGTATGTGAATGTGGGTATAATATAACATTCTCCAGCTCCAACTTTGAATATGTGTAAGGCAGTCCCTGAGGAAGTTCTCTTCCTGACTACATATGAGCTATCCTCGTAGGGTAATTGCAAGAGTCTGAAATTCTATACTACCTAGTTTGGAGAACAAGCTGGTGTAATTTGAATTTTACCATTCATGAAACCACATTTGTATTCCCAGTAGTTTTGGAGAAGTGTGGTTGGATCCCTCCTTTGTGTAAAATCTCAGATCTCTCCTCCGACAGCTCAGGTTGAGCTCATGATACCTGTCTCCATGAGTTAAGATATAATGACAAGGTAATCTGATGATTTACTTTCCCTCTGTATGCCTTTGGGGTTTCTTTTCTTTTCTACCAGCAAATAATCAGGTAAGTGAAGTGATTTATGCTAGTGCAGATTTGAACTATGGGTTTGTTTAAAATTTGATATTTTGTTAATCATAATTTTTTGCATTAACTTAGATTTCATTTTTTAAAATTGGTGCAAAAAATTGTGATTAACAAAATATCATTTAGATTTTTAAAATCAAAACTTACGTAAAAATGTTGCATTATTATATTATTTACCTCAATAGCTAATTTTGTGTGTGTGTGTGTTAGGAGCATATCTTCTCTTAAGTGTTTTGCCTGAGTGAAGTGCCTACTCACGTTACCATATTCTCCGTGCTGGAAACAAGTATGTATTTATTAAAGCTTTGTTTTCCCTTTTAAAATAGTTTCCTTGGCTAGTTATATGAACTTAGATTCATTACATAACCAGTCCTTCTTGGGATAAAAACCAGATGGTGAATTGTTGTGCTCTGAGATAGATTTTGCTTTTGGAAATTTTCAGATAATAATGATTGCCACTTCATGTAGGTTTTGAAGAAGCCCTGAGGGTAATTGCAAAGGAATGACTAAAAAAGATATTGGACACAGGGATATCATTAAATAATAGATCTTTTTAAAAGTTGGTGCTCTGAAGATCCATTTCGGTAGTTAAGGTGAAGGTATGTTTGCTCCAAAGGCCACATTATTTTCTTTGTGTGCCACATATTTTTGATGAAGTAAATTTGAACTTACATAGTTCACATCATCCTGATGAAAAAACATATTAATTCCTTAAATAAATGCATGTGCTTATTTTGTTGACACAAACTAGAAATATGTATTTCTGAGAGGATAATATCTGGAATATGTATTTTCTCATTTACTGCACTGTTACTGAAAAAATCCTGCAAAGATTTTGTCTTAGGTCATTGTATTGTGGCCACATGCCTTCATATTCTTGATATGTCTGTATCTGCACACACCTATTTCTAATTTTTTGTTGTAACAGCTTTTGCCTGAAAGCGGTTTAGAATTTCTGTGATAGGAGAAGGGAAAGAGCAAGATAGAGAAATAGGACTTTCCCACTCTTGTTTCCCCACAGAAACATTAATTTGAAAAACCATTCATGTGTGAAAATACCTTCACAAGAGCTAAGGGAACCAGGTAAGAGATCACAACACCGGGATGTAGCACAGAAAAAAAAAAGATGTATTGAAGAGGTCAAAAAGAACAGTTTTACATTAACTGCATTACCCTTTACCCAAATGCAGGCAGCACAGTGTGGAGAAGGATGCTCTCTGCATGTGGGAAGGACAGGGAAGTAAGGACCAGATTCTGCCTTGGACCCCAGCATAGGCCACTGTAGTAAAACCCAGCACGGGGCAGGCTTCTGTGGACCCAGGCGCCAGACTGAAACTTGCAGACTGAGTTATTACACTTGCCCCAGTGCCTTGCTATTATCACATAGCACCAAGCTCCAGGCCTGCCTGCTGAACTCAACCTCTGGTCTTCCCTACCACTGGGCTGACCTCAGTGGCTCCAGGCCTCAGACCACCCTTAGTGCCAGGCCAGCTCCAGTGGAGCTGGGCCTTGGGCTTATACCAGTGGCACCAGCATTTGGACCTGCTCAGGGTCAGGCTGACTCCAATAACCCCAGGCTCCAGACCACCCCCAGTGTCAGGCTGACCCCTATGGCCCTGGGCTTCAGGCTTGTCACAGCACTATCTACCCCCAAAGCCATTAGGGGGTAATGGCTCATTAGGCCAGCACCCATGGCCAGCCCCTCCAGATACAAGTTCCAGGTCCATCTAGCACTAGGACAGCTCCTGCACCCCCAGACACCAGGCCCATCCTAGGATCCAGACAAGGCCAGAACTAAGTTGATCCACACAGCCCTAGGTGTCATGCCTGTTCCAGTGCCAGATTTGCACATGGCTTTAGGCACTATGTCAACACACATGGACACAGACTCTAGGCTCCCCAGCAGAGTGAGTCTCCAGCAACACTCTTACATATCCAAGCTTCAGAGTAGACATTGTGGACCTAAGGCCTAGGTTTACCCTTGAAGACTTAGGATCCAGGCCCGTTCCAGAGGACACAGACTTCAGACCCATCCTACTGCCCGGCCAGCCCCTTCAGATTCAGACTCACAGCCCATGTCAGTGCCAAGTCAGCCTCTGTGGACATAGGTGTCATGTTAGTTCTCAAGGGTATAGGCTCCAGGCTCACCCCAGTAGACCTACTTGACAGGCCCATTCTAGTGGATCCAGGACCACCCAGTGGCAGACCCAGGCACCATGCCAGTAGCTAGATGACTCCAGCAGCAAGCCTTCCAATAAACTATGCCAGAAGGCCTGCCCAAAGTTTCTGAATGGGCTGGCAAGTAAAGGGCTTTCCCAGACAAAGCCAGCCTATAAAGACATAATTAAATGTATACTTCTTCAAATGGGCAGACACCAATGCATGGCCAGAAAAATCAAGGACAATGAGGGAAACATGATATCTCTGAAGGGAAATAAAGTGCCAGTGATGATTCTAAATAAATAAAAATGTTTGAGTAGCCTGAAAAGGAATTCAAAATACTGTTTTAAGTAAGCTCAGTGAACTTCAAAAAAAATACAGAGAAACAATTCAAAAAAATGAAGAAAACAATAAATGACCAAAATGAGAAATTTAATAGAGATAGAAATGTTTAAAAAATTGAATAGAAATTCTGGAGCTAATGCAATCAATGAAATGAAAAATGTGTGTATGTGTATGTGTGTGTGTGTGAGAGAGAGAGAAGGGGGGGAGAGAGAGAGAAAGAGCAAGAGAGAATCAGTTGCAGAATTGATCAAGCCAAAGTACATCTGAACTCAAAGACAGGGTATTTGAACATATGCAGTCAGAGGAGCAAAAAGAAAAAAAGAATGAAATGTAATGAAGAAAGTTTATGGGAGTAGTGGGACAGCATCAGAAGAGCAAATTTTCAAGTCAAAGGACCTCAAGAAAGAGAAAAGGAAGACGAAGGTGTTGAAAGCTTATTTAAAAAAACAATAGTGAAAACTTTCCAAACCTAGGGAAAGATACAAACATCTAGGTACAGGAATGTCAAAGGTCTACAATTAGGTTCAATCTGAACAAGCCTAGCCCAATACATATTGTAATCAAATTGTCAAAAATCAAAGCAGAGAGGATTCTGAAAGCAGCAAGAAAAAAGAAGCAAGTAATATTTAAGGGAGTTCCAATAGGCTAGCAGATTTCTCAACAGAAATTTTACAGGCTAGGAGAGAGTGGGATGATATATTTATAGTTCTGAAGGAAAAAAACCCCATCTGTCAATAATACTGTGCCTGGAAATTCTGTTCTTCAGAAATAAAGGAGAGATAAAGACTTTTCCAGACAAACAAAATTTGAGGTAGTTCATTACCATGAGATCTGTCTTACAATAAATGCTAAAGGAGCTCTTCATGCTGAAAGAAGAGGTTGCTAATTAGTAACATGAAAACATATGAAAATATAAAACTCACAGGTAAAAGTAAGCACACAGTCAGAAGAATACTTGAATACTCTAATAATAGCATGTAAACCATTACATCGTTAGTATGAAGGTTAAAAGACAAAACTATTAAAAGTAATAATAGCTACAATAATTTGTTAAGGGATATGCAATATAAAAGATATGAATTATACCATCACAATTCAAAATATAGAAGGAGAGTGGAGTAAAAATGTGGAGTTTGTGTGTGTGTGTGTGATCAAAGTTAAGTTGTTAACAGCTTAAAACAGCCTGTTATATTTTCATAAGCCTCATGGTGACCCTGAAGCAAAAACCAATAGTGGATATGTAATAAATAAATAGCAAAGAACCAAAGGATAGCACTATAGAAAACCACTTACACAGGAAGACAGCAAGAGAAGATGAAAAAGGACTTAAGAAAAGATGGAAAACAATTAGCAAAAGGGCAGTAGTAAGTTCTTGCTTATCTATAATTATCTTAAATGTAAATAAATTCTTCAAACAAAGGACACAGAGTGGCTTAATGAATATAAGAAACAAAACACAACCATTTGCTGCCTAAAAGAAACTCATTTCACTTGTAAGGACACAAGTAGTCTGAAAGTGAAGAGATAGAAAAAGATATTTTATGCAAATAGAATCCATAAAATAGCACAGGTTAAAAATTATATCAAATACAATAGCCTTTAAGTCAAAACTGTAAAGTGAAGGTAATTACAAAGAAGGTAATTTATAATGACAAAGGGGTCAGTTCAGCAAGATGAGATAGCAATTGTAAATACATTCAATATTGGAGCACCTAAATATAAAAAAAATTAATAGAACTGAAGGGAGAAATAAACTGCAATACAATAATAGGGTACTTTAATATACCACTTTTAGCAATGGACCAATCATCCAGATAGCAAATAAACAAGAAAATATTGGACTTAAACTATATTTTAGACCAAATGGGACATAACAGACCAATATAGAACATTTTGCCAAACAGCAGCAGAATACACATACTTCTCAAGTGCACACAGAACCTTCTCCAGGGTAGATCATATGTTAGGCCACAAAGTAAGTCTTAGCAAATTTTAAAATACTGAAATTATATTATGTATCATTTCTGATCACAATGGTATGAAATTGGATATCAAAAACACCTTGAATTTGTGGAAAAATTCACAAATACATAAACATTAAACAACTTACTCCTAAACAACTAGTGGGTCAATGAAGAAATTAAAAGGGAAATTAAAAAATATCTTGAGACAAATGAAAATGAAAACACAACATACTAAACTTATGAGATGAAGCAAAAGTCGTTCTAACAGGGAGTTTTATAGCACTAAATGCTTACATCAAAAAAAGAAGAAAGAGATCAAGTAAGCAACCTAAGACTGCACCCCAAGGAAATAGAAAAAGAACAGACTAACCCCAAAATTAGTAAAAAGAAGGAAATAATAAAGCTGAAAGCAGAAATAGAGTAGAAAAACAATATAAAAGGTCAATGAAACTAAGAGTTGGTTTTTTGAAAAGATAAAAGTGCAATCCCCAAATTCATATGAAACCACAAAAGACCCCAAATACCCATAGCGATCTTAAGCAAGAAAAATAAAGCTGGAATTATCACATTATCTGATTTAAAAATATGCTACAAAGCTACAGTAATCAAAAACAGCATGGTACTGGCATGGAAATAGACACATAGATCAATGGTACAGAATAGACTGGAAATAAATCCATGCATTTATGACCAACTGATTTTTTTATAAAGATGCCAGGAATACACAATGTGTGAAGGACAATCTTTTAAATAAATTTTGTTGGTAAAACTATATCCACATGCAGAAGAATGAAATTAGACCCTTATCTCATACCATATACCAAAATAAATCCGAAATGAATTAAGGACTTAGAAATAACATGCAAAGCTATAAAACCATCAGAAAAAATACAGTGGAAAAGCTCCATGCTATTGATCTGCATAATGATTTCTTTTTGTCTGTAACCCCAAAAGAATAGGCAACAAAAGCAAAAACAGACAAATGGAATTACATCAAAGTTAAAATCTGCATAAAAAAGGAAGCAATTGACAGGATGGAGAGACATCCTATGGAATGGGAGAAAATATTTGCAAACCATATATCTGATAAGAAGTGAATATCCAAAATATATAAGGAACTCAATAGCAAGAAAATGAATAGCCTGATTTAAAAATGGGGCAAGAACGTAGACAGACATTTCTCAAGAGAAAACATACAAATGACCAACAGGTATGTGAAAAAATGATCGACATCACTAATCATCAGAGAAATGCACATTAAAACCACAAGGAGTTATCAGCTCACACTTGTTAGAAAGGCTTTTATAAAAAAGATGAAAGATAAGTGTTGGTGAGGATGTAAAGAAAAAGAAATTCTTTTTTTTTTTTTTTTGAGATGGAGTTTCACTCTTGTCGCCCAGGCTGGAATGCAGTGGTGCGATCTTAGCTCGCTGTAACCTCTGCCTTCCGGGTTCAAGCGATTCTCCTACCTCTGCCTCCTGAATAGCTGGGATTACAAGCACTGGCCACCACGCCCAGCTAATTTTTGTATTTTTAGTAGAGACAGGGTTTTGCCACGTTGGCCAGGCTTGTCTCGAACTCCTAGACTCAGGTGATCCACCCACCTTGGCCTCCCAAAGTGCTGGGATTACAGGCGTGAGCCACCACGCCTGGCCAAGAAAAAGAAATTTTTACACACTATTGCTGTGAATGTAAAATTAGTGTAGTCATTATAAAAAACAGTATGAGGCTCCTCAAAAAATTAAAAACAGAACTACCATAATATCCAGCATTCCCATTATTGGGTATATAGCCAAAGGAAGTGAAGTTAGTATGTTGAAAAGATATTTGCATTTTCACGTTCTTTGCAGCATTATTCACAATGGCCAAGATAGCAAATCAAACTGTCTGTCAATGGATGAATGAATTAAAAAAATATGGCATAGATACACAATGGAATACTATTCAGCCATTAAATAGTCATGTGTGACAACATGGATGAACCTGGAGGACTTTATGTTAAGTGAAGTAAGCCAGGCACAGAATGACAAACCCCACATGATCTCACTTATATGTGGAATCTTAAAAAGTTGAACTCATAGAAGTAGAGAGTAGAGTGATGGTTACCAGAGGCTGGGGTGGTGATGAGGGAGTAGGGGTTGGACAGACTTTGGTCAAAGGACACAAAATTTCCTATAAATAGGAAGAAAAAGTTCAAGAAATCTTTTGTACAATGTGGTGACTATGGTTAAAAATGCTAACAGTAGATTTTAAGGGTTCTCATTAGAAAAATGATAACTATATGAGGTAATACATATGTTAATTTGATTTAGCCATTCCACAATGTATATATGTTTCAACATATAATGTTTTACACAGTAAATATATATATTTTTTTGTTTTTCAATTAAGAAAATAAAAAACATTAAAAATTGCTGTGATATTTACTTTAAGAAAGCTAAGCATTGCAGACCTTCTTGGTGCTATTGGTATTTGTTACAAACCATAGTTGTTACCCAGTCACAATCACACATAGTACCAACTCTCCAATCTTACATATATTCTCATTTTTCTTGGGAAAATACCTAGGTGTAAATTTATTGAATTATGTAGTAAGTGACTGTAAGGAACTTCTGAACTGTTATTAAAAAGATCTGCATCATTCTTATTCCCACCAGAAATGTATGAGTTTTTGTGGTGCTGGATGCTTGCCAGAACTTTGTGTTGCCTATTTGTTTCCTTTTGTTATTCTAGTAGATGGGTAGGGGTATCCAGTGCGATTTACATTTTTATTTCCTCAGCCACAAAACATGAAGATTTCTGTTACTCAAGAAAACTGACTGATGGTCAGTTTTAACTGGGTAATAGTTTAAAACTTTTCAACTTGATTCTTCTAAGATTATCTAACACGTTATACATAAAGTAATATATATTATTATTAGCAGAAATATAATGAGTTTATACTTCAAGAGTAGGGAACTACTTAAGGAGATAAATGTAACATCTGTTAATTTATTTGCAGTCAGCCTAATTTAAAATTTTAAAGCATAATAGGTATTTATTTTGTTGGTGGTTTTGTTTTCTAAGAAATAGTAAGTCAAAACTAATAAAAAATCAACTGGTTACATTTTCATTATAAGTAGTAATTTATATGCAATATTAGAAACTTCAAATATTATTTTGTATTGGTGTACATAAAAAGTAATTGTAGAATTAATTATTGACTATTTTTCCTTTAGTAGTCAAAACTATTCATTTATGATTTTAAGTGTGCTTGGCTTTAAGTATATACTGACTGCTTAGGAATTTAGCTCTTCTCATACTTCAAAACACTTTGAATAAATAGTAAGTGCTTTTGAAAATACTTTTCTGTGCATGTTCTGATGGCTAGGGACTGGTAATAAGTTACATGCCTGTGTCAAGTGCAGGTCTGGTGTAGAATTACTATCAACTACATTGATAAATGATGCAATTTACTGTAGTATTCTGATTTTTTTAATAACATTACACTGCTATGTAGAGTACTTCACCTATTTTTTTTTCTGATGGAGGAATTGACACTGTCAAGTGAATATAAATAAAGTTGAAAATACTTTGATACACAATCCTTGAGATAATTTATACATAATTTTTGATAATTCTGACTCCCTAAATTCTTTTTTCTTCGATTATAGAAACTGATCAAGTGCATGTATTTGCTTGAATATGCACATATTGCCAGCATTTATCCATTCAATTTTGTATTTATACACTGGAGCCTCACCTATTCTATGTAGATAATTTCAAAGAATTCAAATAAAAAAAACAGGATGGTGACAATTCATTATTTTGACTTTACTGTCTTAGGAGACAATGATGGTGTTCTATTAAAGTGCTACTCAAAGTATGTTTTGTGGGTGGATGTTGGTCCACAAACATAGTGGCTTACAATGACATATGTTCAGAAATTGAAGGCACACATTTTGAAACTTTTAAAGTAATTGGAAATCGTCATGACTTCCAAGCAGTGCAATGCAGAAAAGTTGGTCTATGATGACCTGGGGTGGGACAAGGGCCAGGGGTAGGGTTAATATGATCCTTCATTAGATGCTTTGAAAAACGCTTATCGATAACATAATAGCAATTCTCTGAATTCTTTGACTTTGAAATATAACTTTATTGAGTGCTATGTGTCAGGTACCATGCTAAATATTTTACAGTGGTGTCTTATTTATCCCACATACGATTCCTACTGTGTGTTCTTGTTGGATCCATTTTACAGAAGCGCAAAGAAGTATCTTGCTTAAGGTCACACAGCTAGCAGATACATATCAAGATAACTATGGAGAATAAAGTAGCTTTAGGTAAACTGATAATTCTACTTTGACAGTAGTTCTTGCTGGTTTTGGCTCTTACATGTGCAACCGAAGGACAGTAAGTGATGTATATACATTGTAGGACTTTCTGAGACGTGTGCCTCTGGTTTAGGATGGATGAGTGGACAACCAACCTAGATAAATCACAGCCTTACTATTTCAGGGGTGAAAAGAATCCTCTGTCCCAGTGTGAACACTTCAGATATATGTTACCACATAAAAAAACATAAATCTCACTCATAACCAATAGGAGAGCTCCAACACATTCATGAAAGATCCACCGTGGAGACCTAAATACCTCGCAGTAGGCCCCACATCCAACATCGCAGAACAAATTTCAGCATGAGATTTGGAGGGGACAGATATCCACAGTGCCTTCCTTTGTTGATTCTAATTGGCTCTGAGGCTGAAAATTTAATGATTAAATATATTAGGTGTTGAGTAAAAGGCTAAGGTATTCCCATTTGATAAGTGTATTGAATTGACACATAGAAGATGTGACAATGCTTGTGTTTCTTCAAAGTATCTTTTGTATTTGTTTGATTCCTGGATTTTGGTAGATTCTGGTTAGGAATTATTGCCAGATGAGGGTTCTGATAGCTGAGCTCTTATTGTACTTAGCAAACTCATTAGTAAGTATCAGAACTTTGTCGTGTGTTCTTTGTGTCTCTTCCATATTCAGATTCAATAGAGACAAAAGTATTATCAATATTTTTATTCAAATAAGATAAATGTCAAACATGTTATATGCACATATTTACTAAAATAAACAGCAAGATGTTTATTTCAAGGTGAGAGATGATACTACTAAGCTTTTCTGTCTTGGCTGGCTTCTCCTTGCTTTACATAACTGCATCACTAACACAGAGCTGAATAGGTGCAGCTGTTGCTTTCTGTATTATAATGATCACTATTAATTCCTCCTGGCAAATCTAGCCCTCGGGTATCAGTATCAGTGAGTTAGGAAACAAAGACTGATCTGAAATGCTGGAGGTGGTGAAGGGAGTACTTCAGGGATAAAAAAGGGTTTTCTGATTTTTTCAGTATAGTTTTAAAACTTGGCTTTTTGGCCTGCCAACAATGTGAGATTACAGATGCTTTGGAATTATATTTACTTGGAGGAGGGTAGACAGAGAAAGATTTTATTTTGTATTTCATTTTACTGGATGCCTTTTGACATTCTGGGCAGCATCAATTGGCAAAGGTGATTATGTAATCAATAGGGCAGAAGAAGAGCTCAGGGTTGCAATTAACATGTTATTGTACAAATCAAAGGAACAGTAAAAGGCAATTTGTTCAACTTGTCACCTGGCCTGGACAATGTGTGTGCAGACAATAAGGGAGACAGAAAATTGGAGTGGAGAAGCAAGAAACTCAAAACACTCAGGCTTTTGTTTACTTTCTTTTCAACTTAGTATTAGCCAAGGTTACCTGTCTGACAACTTTAAAGTAGGTGACAAGGATCAATGATGTATTATTTCCAGTTTTTAAACTAACATTTAGAGAAAGATTAAATAATCTAAGTTATTTGGATGCTAGTTTTATAATTTTTAATATCTCATATTACATCTCTATATTTGAATTTAAGACAGTCAATATAATCGTTCTATTGGGATAAAACTTTGCTTTCTAACAAATCCCAGGCAATGGGTGCACTCCCTGCACTTTGGGAGGCCAAGGCAGGCAGATTGCTTGAGGCCAGGAGTTTGAAACCAGCCTGGCCAACATGGTGAAACTCTGTCTCTACTAAAAATATAAAAATTAGGCAGGTGTGGTGGTGCATGTCTGTAATCCCAGCTTCTTGGGAGGCTAAGCCACGAGAATTGTTTGAACCTGGAGGCGGAGGTTGTAGTGGGCTGAGATGGTGCCACTGCACTCCAGCCTGGACAATCGAGCAAGACTGTCTCAAAAATAAAGAAAAACAAATCCAAGGCATGAAATAAATATTCATCTAATAGCCCCTATACAACTCACAGCATGTTACAAAAATTTATGAAGACAAAGTTGTGAAACATTCCAGAATAAAATAAATAATGATCATATGATAAGTCTTCCTATAATTTAGTTATGTTTGATTTAAAAAGTAGAGCTTTGGATAAAATCCTTAGGTATATGAAAAATAATTTAATGGAATCTCATTCTGTTCTTAAAGAAACTACTTAAAGGATATATTACTATTTGATACTTATAAGCCTTATAAAGTAGTTTGCACACATGTTATCCTTCTATCACCATATAATATTAGCAGATTAATAAATAGTGCTGTGTGTGGCATACCTTGGTCTTTGAAACTGAGCAACACTTCACAAATGGCCTAATCTCCAAGTATGAGTGTTTATATTTTTGTAATTATGTAGAACAAATGTATAATGATACTATTATCTCATTTCATGATTGAATATTTATTAATGATGTTATTCACTCCCTCATTTATTCAATAAACATTTACGGAATATCTATATTGTACCAGGCATTGGGTTACATACTATGTTTTTTTTTAACAGAATAAAAATATTTTTATAATGTTTTATAGCTTAGGATAGTGAAAAGAAGAGGCCCTCCAGCTAGATTGCTTTGTTTCAAAATTTACTACTGTCACTTACTAGATGACTAACTTTGGACAAATTACTGAACTTCATAGTTAAAGTTGAGGTAATAATATTTCTTTCATGAAGTTCTTGTAAGGATCAAATGAGTTGTGTGGTGTGTGTGTGTGTGTGTGTGTGTGTGTATAAATTAGGATACTACCTGAGAAAAACTTTATACACACACACCTGTTGTTATATTATTTAACTAGATGTGGTTCTGACCTTAGAACTTGGCATTGAGTGGATGAGATAGATGCTATCTCTATTAGTCAGGGATCTCTAAAAAGGTTGGACCAATAGGATGTGTGAATACATATACATACATACACATACATATATAAATTTATATATATAACTCTATATGTAAATGTACATATAACATATATATTTGTTTTATGTATAGATAGATGGATAGATAGACAGAGAGAATAATGTAGCTTGAGAGTCCACAGGCAACCCAGAGGCAGGATTCCCTCTGTGTGTACTTGTGTTCAAATTTCTTCTTCTTCTTCTTTTTTTTTTTTTTTTTTTTAGATGGAGTCTCGCTTTGTTGCCCAGGCTGGAGTGCAGTGGTGTGATCTTGGTTCGCTGCAAGCTCCGCCTTCTGGGGTTGACGCCATTCTCCTGCCTCAGCCTCCCGAGTAGCTGGGACCACAGGCGCCTGCCACCACGCCTGGCTAATTTTTTTTTGTATTTTTAGTAGAGACGGGGTTTCACTGTGTTAGCCAGGATGGTCTCGATCTCCTGCCTCATGATCCGCCTGCCTCGTCCTCCCAAAGTGCTGGGATTACAGGCATGAGCCACCATGCCCGGCCTCAAATTTCCTCTTCTTATAAGAACATTGGCCATATTGGATTAGGGCCATCCTCATGATTTTGTTTTAATTTAATCACCTATTTAAATAACCTGTCTGCAAATATGGCCACATTCTGAGTTACTGGGTACTAGAATTTCAGCATATGAAAATTTCTGGGGGACATAGTTCAGTACATAACACCAGCCTAATTCTATATAATACAACATACATGGTAATAACAATAGTTTATACACAATTCTGAGGAAACAGAGGTAGGAGTACTTTTCCCTAGGCAGTGATAGTGGAAGTTTTGGTAGCAGCTGGAGGGATAGGCATTTCAGTGAAGATGTTATTTACAAATGAAATTAAGAAAAAGAATTCACCTTGAGTACAAGCAAAGAAAGCTTTCTAAATAGAGGGAAGAGCACAGGCACAATCAATGATGCACAGAAGTTCCTGGTTCCTTAGGGTTCTACAAGTCTTTCAGTTGAGGAGGTTGTGGGGAAGAGTGAGAGGAAGTGAGCTTCAGGACTGGGAAAGAATGTAAGTGATTTTTTTTTTTCTTTCCGACTTTTATTTCAGGTTCAAGGGATACATGTGCAGGTTTGTTACACGGGTAAACTGGATGTCATGAGGGTTTGGTAACCAGATTATTTCGTGACTCAGCTAATGAGCATAGTACCCTATAGATAACTTTTTGATCCTTACCCGCCTTCCATGCCCCACCCTCAAGTAGGCCCTAATGTCTTTTGTTCCCTTCTTTGTGTCCGTGTGTACTCACAGGTTAGCTTCCACTTACAAGTGATAACATACAGTATTTGGTCTTGTGTTCCGGCAATAATTCACTTGAGATAATGGCCTCCGGCTGAATCCATGTTGCTGTGAAGGACATGATTTGATTGAGGCAGCGCTCCTTTCGTGGGAGCACTAGCTGCGGGGGTCTGCCTGCAGACCCTGACCCAAATGATGGATGAATAAAACGTACACTGATAACACAGATATTCTGTTTTGCCAGTCCTGCTGAATGTCCGACCGCCTACACACCAATAGAGTTTGTCACTGCAGCTGGCCTCAATCAGCTCGGGAGGCTTGCATTTATTCATTAAGATTGGTTAACAAAAGCTTGAGTTAACACCAATATATGTAATTAACATGGTTAAGAGAGTAGTTCTGCGAATGACTCAGGTAATGCGGTCTACAGTAAGTACTATTAGGGGGCAATATCCCTGGTTGACCTCCCCCCGAGAGGGCCATCTGGCTCAAAGGTTAGTTAATGGAGGTAGGGTAAACAGACTTAACAGGGGAAGCCTTTATTGTTCCTAGTATTTACCCTATGACCTAATGCTTTAAGGTAAGAACCAGCTGCCTTCAGTCTGTTCAATTATTACAAGCTATGTAACCTTTCGGCCTTCCAAAAAGGTTTGTGACTATTCCCTATAACTTTCCCTAATATTTCCCTTTAATATTTCTGCAACCATCCTGAGTGGATCCCAACATTTGATTCTTTTTTTACAGCTGCATAGTATTCCATGGTGTATATGTACCATATTTTCTTTATCTAGTCTACTATGAATGGGCATCTAGGTTGATTCCATGTATTTGCTATTGTGAGTAGTGCTGTGAAGAACATATGCATGCATGTTTCTTTATGGTAGAACAATTTATATTCCTTTGGGTATGTATCCAGTAATGGGATTGCTGAGTAAAATGGCAGTTCTGTTTTACATTCTTTGAGAGATCTCCAAACTACTTTACACAGTGGCTGAAGTAACTTACATTCCCACCAGCACTGTGTAAGTATTCCTTTTTCTCCATAACCTCATCAGCATCTATCATTTTTTGACTTTTTAATAATTACCATTCTGACTGGTGTGAAATGGTGTCTTACTGTGTTGTTTTGCATTTCTCTAATGATTAATGATGAGCATTTTCTCATGTGCATGGTGGCTGCATGTATGTCTTCTTTTTGAGAAGTGTCTGTTCATGTCCTTTGTCCATTTTTTCAATGGGGTTTTTTTGATTGTAAATTTGTTTAAGTTTCCTGTAGGTTCTGGATGTTAGACCTTTGTTGGATGCATAGATTGTGAATATTTTCTCCCATTCTGTAGGTTGTCTGTTTGTTGTTCATTTCTGTTGCTGTGCATAGACTTTTTAGTTTAATGAGGTCACACTTGCCAATTTTTGTTTTGGTTGCAATTGCTTTTGGAGTCAGAAGTCCAAATGTTACTTCCTACATTTTCTTCTAGAGTTTTTAGAGTATTAGCTTTTACATTAAAGTGTTTAATCCATCTTGAGTTGATGTTTGTATATGGTGAATGGTAAGAGTCAAGTTTCAGTCTTCTGCATATGACTACCAAGTTATCCTCACACCATTTACTGAATAGGGAGTCCTTTCCCCCATTGTGTGTTATTGTTGGCTTTGTTGAAGATTAGATGGTTGTAGGTGTGTGGTTTTATGTTTATGTTGTCTAACATGTTCCACTGTGCTATGTGGCTGTTTTAGTATCAGTACCATGCTATTTTAGTTACTGTAGCCTCATAGTATAGTTTGATGTCAGGTAGTATGATGCCTCTGGCTTTATTTTTGTTTCGTTTTGTTTTTGCTTTGGACCGTTTTGGCTACTCAGGATCTTTTATAGTTCCATATGAGTTTTATAATGATTATTTCTAAGTCTGTAAAAAATTGTCTTTGGTAGTTTGATAGGAATAGCATTGAATCTGTAAATTGCTTTGGGCAGTATGGCCATTTTAACAATGTTGAGTCTTCCTATCCATGAGCGTGAAATGTTTTTCTATTTGTGTCATTTCTGATTTCTTCCAGCAGTACTTGTAATTCTTGTTGTAGACGTCTTTCACCTTGCTGGTTACCTGTATTTGTAGATATTTTATTCTTTTTGTGGTTACTGTGAATGAGATTATGTTCTTGATTTGGTTCTCAGCTTGGATGTTATTTGTGTATAGAAATTTAACTAGTATTGGCCAGGCATGGTGGCTCACTCCTGTAATCCCAGCACTTTGGGAGGCCAAGGCAGGCGAATCACGAGGTCAGGAGATTGAGACCTTCCTGGCTAACACAGTGAAACCCCATCTCTACTGAAAATACAAAAAGAAATTAGCCGGGCGTGGTGGTGGGCGCCTGTAGTCCCAGCTACTCGGGAGGCTGAGGCAGGAGAATGGCGTGAACCCGGGAGGCGGAGCTTGCAGTGGGCTGAGATCGCGTCACTGCACTCCAGCCTGGGCGACAGAGCGAGACTCCGTCTCAAAAAAAAAAAAAAGAAAAGAAAAAAAAGAAATTTTACTATTATTTGCTCATCAATTTTGTATGCTGAGCCTTTTCTTAAGTTATCTTATCTCGGAGCCAGTGACTATATCGTTTTTTGGTATAGAAGTATATCATCTGGAAAGAGAAATAGTTTGACTTCCTCTCTTGCTATTTTGATGTCTTTTATTACTTTATCTTGCCTACTTGCTCTGGCTAGAACTTCAGTACTATGCTGAATAGAAGTGGTGAAAATGAGCATCCTTGTCTTCTGCTGGGTTTCAAGGGGAATGTTTCTAGCTTTTGCCCATTCAGTATGATGTTGGCTGTAGATCTGTCATAGATGGCTTTTATTATTTTGGAATATGTTCATTCAATGCCAAGTTTGTAGTGGGTTTTTTACATGAAGGGATATTGAGTTTTATCAAAAACCTTTTCTGCATCTATTGAGATGATCGTGTGGTTTTTGTTTTTAGTTTTGTTTATGTAATGAACCACATTTATTGATTTGTGTATGTCAAACCAACCTTACATCCTAGGAATAAACCTACTTGATTATATTGGATTCACCTTTTCATGGGCTGCTGGATTTGGTTTACTAGTATTTTGTTGAGGATTTTGCATCTATGTTCATCAGGGATATGGGCCAAAAGTTGTCTTTTATCATTCTGTCTCTGCCAGGTTTTGCTATCAGCATGATGTTGACCTTGTAGAATGAGTAGGGTGGAATCCTTCCTCATTGACTTTTTTATGTTTAATAAGTTTAGCATTATAAATATTTACTTTTTGAATTTCAATAGGGTTTTGGAGAACAAGCGGTGTTTGCTTACATAAGTAAGTTATTTAATGGTGCTTTCTGAGATTTTGGTGAACCCATAACCTGAGCAGTGTACACTGTAACCAATGTGTAGTCTTTTATCCCTCACCACCTTCCCACCCTTTCCCCCAAGTCCTCAAAGTCCACTAAATCATTCTTATGCCTTTCCGTCCTTATAGCTTAGCTGTCACTAATGAGTGAGAACATACAATGTTTGGTTTTCCATTCCTGAGTTACTTCATTTAGAATAATGGTCTCCAATTCCATCTAGGTTGATGCAAATGCCATTATTTAATTCAATTTTATGGCCGAGTAGTAGTCCATGGTATATATAAGACACATTTTCTTTATCCACTCATTGATTGATGGGCATTTGGACTGGTTCCATATTTTTGTAATTGCAAATTTTGCTGCTATAAACGTGTGTACAAGTATCTTTTTCATATAATAATTTCTTTTCCTCTGGGTAGATACTCAGTAGTGGGATTGCTGGATCAAATGGTAGTTCTACTTTTAGTTCTTTAAGGAACCTCTGTACTGTTGTCCATAGTGGTTGTACTAGCTTACATTCCCATCAGCAATGTAAAAGTGTTCCCTTTTCATCATATCCATGCCAACATGTATTGTTTTTTGATTATCGCCATTCTTGCAGGAGTAAGGTGGTATCACACTGTGGTTTTATTTGAATTTCCCTGATCATTAATGATGTTGAACATTTTTTCATGTATTTGTTGGCCATTTGTGTATCTCTAGAGAATTGTCTGTTCATGTCCTTGGTATGCTTTTTGATGGGATTGTTTGTTTCTTTCCTCCTTATTTGAGTTCCTTATAGATTCTGGATATTAGTCCTTTGTCAGATGTATAGATTGTGAAGATTTTCTCCCATTCTTTGGGTTGTCTATTTACTCTGCTGATTGTTCTTTTACTGTGCAGAAGCATTTTAGTTTAATTAAGTCTCATCTACTTATCTTTGTTTTTGTTGCATTTGTTTTTGGGTTCTTGATCATGAAGTCTTTGCCTAAGCCAGTGTCTAGAAGGCTTTTTCTAATGTTATCCTCTAGAATATTTATGGTTTCAGGTCTTAGGTTTAAGTCCTTGATCCACCTTGAGTAGATTTTTGTGTAAGGTGAGAGATCAGGATCCAATTTCATTCTTCTACATGTGGCTTGCCAAACATCACAAGCACCATTTGTTGAAAAGGATGTCTTTTCCCCACTTCATGTTTTTGTTTGCTTTGTCGAAGATCAATTGGCTGTAAGTGTCTGGTTTTATTTCTGGGTTCTCTATTCTGTTCCATTGGTCTCTGTGCCTATTTTTATATCAAAACAGCATGGTGCTGGTATAAAAATACCAGTGACTATAGTATAGTTTGAAGTAAGGTAATGTGATGCCTCCAGATTTGTTCTTTTTGCTTAGTTTTGCTTTGGCTATGTGGGCTCATTTTTGGTTTCATATGAATTTTAGGATTGTTTTTCCTAGTTCTGTGAAGAATGATGGTGGTATTTTGATGAGAATTGTGAGTTTGTAGGCATACAATCATATCATCAGCAAACAGTGACACTTTGACTTCCTCTTTACCGATTTGGCTGCCCTTTATTTCTTTCTTTTGTCTGATTGCTCAGGCTAGGACTTCCAGTACCATGTTGAATAGAAATGGTGAAAGTGGGCATCCTTGTCTTGTTCCATTTCTCAGGGGGAGTGCTTTGAACTTTTCACTGTTCAGTATAATATTGGCTGTGAGTTTGCCATAGAAGGCTTTTATTACCTTAAGGAATGACCCTTCTATACTGATTTTGCTGAGGGGTTTAATCATAAAGGGATGCTGGATTTTGTCAAATGCTTTTTCTGCATCTATTGAGATGATCACCTAATTTTCATTTTTAATTCTGTTTATGTGGTGTATTACACTTATTGACTTGTGTTTGACAAAACATTCCTGCATTCCTGGTATAAAACCCACTTGATCATGGTGGATTATCTTTTTGATATGCTGTTGGATATAGTTAGCCAGTATTTTGCTAAGAAGTTTTGCATGTATATTCATCAGAGTTATTGGTTGGTAGTTTTCTTTTTTTGTTATGTCCTTTCCTGGTTTTGATATTAAAGTCATACTGTCTTCATAGAATGATTTAGGGAAGATTCCCTCTTTCTTTGTACAATAGTGTCAATAGGACTGGTACCAATTCTTTTGTGAATGTCTGATAAAATTCAGCTGTGAATCCGTCTGGTTCTGGACTTTTTTTTTTGTTGGCAATTGTTTTTATTGACATTTCAATCTTGCTGCTTGTTATTGGTCTGTTCAGAGTTCTTATTTCTTCCTGATTTAATCTAGGAGGGTTGTATATGTCCAGGAATTTATCCATCTTCTCTAGGTTTTCTAGTTTATGCCCGTAAAGGTGTTCATAGTAGCCTTGAATGACCTTTTGTATAATATTTCTGTGGCATTAGTTGTAACATCTCCCATTTTATTTCTAATTGAGCTTATTTGGATCTTCTTTCTTCTTTTCTTGGTTAATCTCACTAATGGTCTATCAATTTTATTTATCTTTTAAAAGAACCAGCTTTAGGTTTCATTTATCTTTTGTATTTTATTTTTGTTTCAATTTCATTTAGTTCTGCTCTGATCTTTGTTATTTCTTTTCTTCTGCTGGGTTTGGGTTTGATTTGTTTTTATGTCTCTAGTTCCTTGAGGTGTGACCTTAGATTGTCCATTTGTGCTCTTTCAGACTCTTTGATGTAGGCATTTAGTGCTATGAACTTTCCTGTTAGCACCACCTTTGCCATACCCCAGAGGTTTTGATAGGTTGTGTCACTATTATTGCTCAGTTCAAAGTATTTTTTAATTTCCATTTTGATTTCATTGTTGACCCAAAGATCATTCAGGAGAAGATTATTTAATTTCCATGTATTTGCATGGTTTTGAGGGTTCCTTTTGCAGTTGATTTCCAATTTTATTCCACTGTGGTCTGAGAGAGTACTTGATATAATTTTGATTTTATTTTTAATTTTATTTAAAAGTCTTAAATTTATCGAGACTTGTTTTGTGGCCTGTCATATGGTCTGTCTTGGAGAATGTTCCATGTGCCGATGAATAAAATGTATTTTCTGCTGTTATTAGCTAGTATGTTCTGTAAATATCTGCTAACTCCATTTGTTCTAGGGTATAGTTTAAATCCATTGTTACTTTGTTGACTTTCTGTCTTAAAGATTATACTTTCTGTCTAGTGCTTTCAGTAGAGTATTGAAGTCCCCCACTATTATTGTATTGCTATCTCATTTCTTTGGTCTAGTAGTAATTGTTTTATCAATTAGGGAGCTCCAGTGTTAGGTGCATATATATATTTAGGATTGTAATATTTTCCCCTTGGACAAGTCGTTTTATCATTATATAATGTCTCTCTTTGTCTTTTTTAACTGCTGTTGCCTTAAAGTTTGTTTTGTCTGATATAAGAATAGCTACGTCTGCTTGCTTTTGGTGTCCATTTGCATGGAATATCTTTTACCACTCCTTTACCTTAAGTTTATGTGAACACTTATGTTTTAGGTGAGCCTCTTAAAGGCAGCAGATACTTGGTTGGTGAATTCTTACCCATTCTGCCATTCTGTATCTTTTCAGTGGAGCATTTAGGTCATTTACATTCAACATTAGTATTGAGATGTGAGGTACTATTCTATTCATCATGCTATTTGTTGCCTGAATACCTTGTTGTTGTTGTTTTTTTATTGTGTTTTTGTTTTATAAGTCCTGTGAGATTTCTGCTTTAGGGAAGTTCTATTTTGGTGTATTTTGAGGAATTGTTTCAATATTTAGAGCTTCTTTTAGCAGTTCTTGTAGTGCTGGTTTGGTAGTGGTGAATTATCTTAGTATTTGTTGTCTGAAAAAGATTGTATCTTTCCTTCATTTATGAAGCTTTGTTTTGCGGGATACAAAATTCTTGGCTGATAATTGTTTTGTTTAAGGAAGCTGAAGATAGGACCCCAATCCCTTCCAATTTGTAGGGTTTCTGCAAAGAAATGTGCTGTTAATCTGATAGGTTTTCCTTTATAGGTTACCTGATGCTTTTGCCTCACAGCTCTTAAGATTCTTTCCTTTGTCTTGACCTTAGATAACCTGATGACTGTGTGCCTAGGTAACGATCTTTTTTCAATAAATTTCCCAGGTGTGCTCTGAGCTCCTTGTATTTGTATGTCTAGATCTCTAGCAAGGCCAGGAAAGTTTTCCTCAATTATTCCTTCAAGTATATTTCCAAACTTTTAGATTTCTCTTCTACCTCAGGAACACCAGTTATTCTTAGGTTTGGTCATTTAACATAATCCTATACTTTTTGGATGCTTTGTTCATTAAATATTTTTTTTTGTCTTTGTCGAGTTGGGTCAATTCAAAAACCTTGTCTTCAAGTTCTGAAGTTCTTACTTCTGTTTGTTTGATTTTATTTTCCAGACTTACCAGTGCATTTTTCATTTCTCTAAGTGTGTCCTTGATTTCTATAAGTTGTGACACTTTTTTATTTATGCTATTTCACTGATTTTTTTCTTCATGTCTTGTATCATTTATAAAATTTCATTGAGCTGGAGTCACCTTTCTCTGGTGCCTCCTTGATTATCTTAATAATCAACCTTCTGAATTCTTTTTCTGGCAATTCAGAGATTCCATGTTGGTTTGAATCCATTGCTGGTGAGCTAGTGTGGTCTTTTGTTGGTGTTAAAGAACTTGTTTTGTCCTATTACCAGAATTGTTTTCCTGATTCCTTCTCATTTGGGTAGACTATGTGAGAGGGAAGTTCTGGAGCTCATGGGCTGCTGTTCATTTTCTTTTGTCCCATGGGGTGCTCCCTTGATGTAGTGCTCTCCCCCTTCCCCTAGCGATGTGGCTTCCTGAGAGCCAAACTGTAGTGATTATTGTTTCTCTTCTGGATCTAGCCACCCAGACAAGCTGCTGGGCTCTGGGCTGGTAATGGGGAGATGTCTGCACCCCTTGTGGTGTGAACCATCTTCAGGTGTCTTAGCTGTAGATAGCAGCACCTTCTCCAGTGTTGGTGGCAGAAGAGTGAAATGGACTCTGTGAGGGTTCTCAGAGGTAGTTTGTTTATTGCACTAGTTTTGTGTTGGCTGGCTTCCTGCCAGGTGGCAGTACTTTCAAGAGAGCATCAACTACAATAGTATAGGTAGGATCAGGCTGTGGACAGGGCCCTGGAGTTCCCAAGAGATTATGTCTTTTGTCTTCAGCTACTGGGACAGGTAGAGAAAGACCATCAGGTGGGGGCAGAGTTAGGCATGTCTGAGCTCAAATCTCCTTGGGTGGGGCTTGCTGCTGATACTCTGGGGGTGGTGGTGTGGTTCTCAGTCCAATGGAAGTATGTTCCCAGGGTGATTATGGCTGCCTCTGCTGTGTCACACAGGTCACCAGAGAAGTGGGGGAAAAGTGGCAGTTACAGGTCTCATCCAGCTCCCATGCAGCCCAATAGGCCCGTCTCACTCTCACAGTGTCCCCCACCAGCACCAAGTTTACTTCCAGGCAGCAGGTGAGCAGGGCTGAGAACTTGCCCCAGGCTACCAGCCTCCGTGCTGAGAAAGCAAGCAGGGCTTTCAGGTTTCCCATCTCCCTGCCTGCTGTGGCTTCAGTGCTGTCTGCACTCCTGATTCGCCCCGTCTCCTGAGTTCTCTCCAGGAAACTTCACATTTGGTTGAAATTGTTACAAAGTTCAGCTGGAAGTTTCCTTCTCCCTGTGGTCTTTTCCTAGTTCCTCTGGCAGTCTTCTACAAGGACCTCTGTGAGACAAAGTCAGAAATGGCTTACCTGGGGACTGAGAGAGCTCAGAGGGCTCTTCCTGCTGCTTCTTCCATCCATGTATTTTGGTCAGCTTTCTAAATTTGTCTCAGCTTCAGGTAAGGTCAGATCCTTCTCCTGTGATGTGGACCTTCAGGTTCCACAGTGAGGGTGTGTGTTTGGGGGTGGACAATCTCCCTTTCACACTTTCACACTTTGGGTACTCAGTTTTTCAGCTGTCTCCTAGGGCCCGCAGGAGCATTCTGCTTCCTTTGAAGGGTCTGTGGATTCTCTCGGCTTCCTGGCATGTTCCTGTGGTAGTTCTTGGAGCAAAAGTTCACAAGGTGAATCTCCATATGCTGTTCTTGCCCTCCTAGTTGGAGCTACAGTTCAGTCCTGCCTCCTATCCACCATTTTCCTTCTCTCCTATCTCCTCATTGATTTTTAAAAATAGTTTCAGTAGGATCTGTACAAACTCTTCTTTGTATGTCTGGTTAAATTTGGCTGAGAATTCATCTGGCCTAGCTAGGTCTTTATTTTTTTGTTAGTAGGCCTGTTATTACTGAGTTAATTTCAGAACTCGTTATTGATCTGTTCATGGATTCAATTTCTTCTTGGTTTAATTTTGGGAGGTTGTATGCTTCCAAGAATTTGTCCGTTTTTTCTAGGCTTTCTAGTTTGTGTGTATACAGATGTTCATCATAGCCCCTGAGGGTTTTTTATATTTCTGTGGTGCCAGTGGAAGTGTTTCCTTTTTCATATCCGATTGTGTTTATTTGGATCTTCTCTGTTTTTTTTTTTCTGTCAGTCTAGCTAGTGGTCCACTAATGTATTTATTATTTCAGAAGTATTATGTAAAACCCAACTTCTGTTTTTTTGATCTTTTATATGGTTATTCTCATCTCCATTTCATTAAGTTCAGCTCTGATTTTGGTTATTTTCTTCTTCTAGCTTTGAGGTTGGTTTGCTCTTGTTTTTCTAGTTCCTTTAGATGTGGTTTTAGTGGTTGATTTGGTATTTTTCTAATTTTCTGATATGGGTACTTAGCACTATGAACTTTCCTGTTAACACTGCTTTAGCTGTGTCCCAAAGATTCTGGTAGGTTGTTTCTTTGTTTTCATTAGTTTCAAAGTATTTTCTTATTTCTTCCTTAATTTTATTCTTTACCCCAAAGTCATTCAGGAGCAGATTTCTTAATTTCCATGTAATTGTATGGTTTTGAGGGATTTTCTGGGTATTGATTTCTATTTTCATTGCATTGTGGTTTGAAATTGTGGTTGGTATAATTTTGGGTGTTTTGTGTTTGTTGAGAATTGCTTCATGCCTGAGTGTGTGGTCGATTTTGGAGTATATGTCATTGGCAGATGAGAATAACGTGTATTATGTTGTTTTTGAGTGCAGTGTTCTATTGATGTCGGTTTGGTGTATTGGTTCAAGTGTTGGGTTTAGGTCCTGAATATCTTTTTCAGAATTCTGCCTCAGTGATTTTTCTAATACTGTCAGTGGGGTGTTGAAGTCTCCCACTATTATTTTTTGGCTATTTAAGTCTCTTTGTAGTTCTCTAAAAACTTGTTTTATGAATCTGGGTGCTCCTGTGTTGGGTAAATATATACTTAGAATTGTTAAATTTTGTGCTGAATTGAACCCTTTATTATTATGTAATGCCTCTCTTTGTCCTTTCTGATCATTGCTGGTTTAAAGACTGTTTTGTCTGAAATAAGAATAGCAACCTCTGCTTTTTCTTTCTTTTTTATTTGCTCGATAGACCTTTCTCCATCTCTTTATTTTGAGACTATGAGTGTCATTGCATGTGAGATAGATATCTTGAAGGCAGTATACAGTTGGGTCTTGCTTTTCTATAAAACTTGCCACTCTGCTCCTTTCAAATGGGGGAATTCAGCCTGTTTTCACTAAAGATTAATATTGATATGTGTAGATTCGATCTTTTCATCATGTTGTTAGCTGGTTGTCACGTAGATTGATTGTGTAGTTGCTTTATAGTGTCAGTGATCTAGGTACTTAAGTGTGTTTTTGTGGTAGCCATTAACGTTCTTTCATTTCCATGTCTTGCACACCCTTGAGGACCTCTCATAAGGCAGATATGGCTATGAGAAATTCTCTTAGCATTTGCTTGTCTCAAAATATTTCTTCTTCACCTACGAAGCTTAATTTGACTGAATATGAAATTCGTGGTTGGAATTTTTTTTTCTTCAAGGATGCCGCAAATAGGCCCTCAATCTCTTCTGGCTTGAAGGGTTTTTGCTGAAGGGTCCACTGTAAGTCTGATGAGGTTTCCTTTTAAGGTTGCCTGCCCCTTCTCTCTAGTTGCCTTTAATATCTTTTCTTTCTTGTTGACATGGAGAATTATTTGACTGTGCATCATGGAAATTGTTTACTTGCATAGTGTCTTTCAGGGGTTCTGTGAATTTACTGAATTTGAATGTTGACCTCTCTAGCAAGGTTAGAAAAATTTTCATGGACAGTATTCTAAAATATGTTTTCCAAGTTGCTTGCTTTCTTTTAGGGATGCAGATGAGTCATAAGTTTGGCCTCTTTATATAATCCCATATTTCCTGGAGGTTTTATTCATTCTTTTCTATTATTTTTTCTTTATTTTTGTCCGAGTTGATTCAAAGAACTAGTTTTTGAGTTCTGGCATTCATTCCTCATCTTGGTCTATTCATTCAGCTCTTAATACTTCTTATTGTATGGTAAAGTTCTTTTGTTTTTTTGTTTTCCCAAGACGGAATCTTGCTCTGTTGCCCAGGCTGGAGTGCAATGGTGCGATCTCGGCTCACTGCAACCTTCCAGGTTAAAGCAATTCTCCTATGAGTAGCTGGGAGTACAGGTGCACAACACCATGCCTGGCTAATTTTTGTATTTTTAGTAGAGACAGGGTTTCTCCATTTTGGTCAAGCTGGTCTTGAACTCCTGACCTCAGGTGATCTGCCCACCTCGGCCTCCCAAAGTCTTGGGATTACAGACATGAGCCACCGTGCCTGGTGATAAATTTCTTATAGTATATGTTTCAGCTTTATAAGATCAGTTTAGTTATTTCTTAAATGGCTATTATGTCTTTAGCTTTTCAGTTATTTTTGTGAATTCTATACGTTCCTTGGATTGGGTTCAATTTTTTCCTGAATCTCAGTGACCTTGGTTGCCATCCAGATTCTAAATTCTACACCTGTAATTTTCGCCATTTCGCCTGGTTAAGAACCCTTGTTGGGGAGCTAATGGATCATTTGGAGGAAAGAAGACAATCTGGCTTTTTAGAGTTGCCAGAGTTCTTGTGCTAGTTCTTTCTCCTCAGTGTGGGCTGATGTTCCTTTAACTGTGACGTAATTCGAGTATAGTCAGTTGGCTTCATTTCTGGATGTTTTTAGAAGGCTGAAACTTTGTATAGGGTCTTTATTTTTGGCTGGATTCTTGCCCTTGTTTTCACAGGGTGGGTATATTAGCACAGTATTTTTGGTTGTTGTAGTTTTGGCTTGAATCCAGTAGAGATGCTTAAGCATAATGTTCAGTAGATAGGCTCCTACTCAGCCATGTGGCTCCTCCATATTTCCTTGCATTTGCGGCCATGCTCCCTTTCAGTGCTCTGAGTGTGTGGGCTCTTCTCCTGCTTCATTGCTGGCCGCAGATCTCAGCTTGGTCCTCCTGAGCTGTACACTGCAGATCTTAAGTGAACTTGAGATTTCTGTTAACTCCACAGCTTTGGGGCAACAGGGGCAGGGACCTTGGCAGTGGCAATGGCAGAGGGCTTGTCATTGGTCTCTGGGACCTCCACCTCAGAGAAACAGAGCTGCTGCCAATCAGAATAATCTCCCATGGGTAGGGCAGCCACATTGCAGGTCCAAGCCAGGGAGACCTGCCTGGCAGAGGGCGTGGGGTGGGATGGGGTGGGAGAGTCAGGGAACTGTCAGGGAAGATAGTCTGGCTTCCTCTCTCGAGGGTGGCTATGGCATGCTGGAAGTGCCAGTAGAGCACTCAGGCTTTGTGTTTCTTTCCCTGCCTGGTGGCAACAGGGGCAGTTACCATTGCAGCAGCAATAACAAAGGGGCTGCCAGTTACCTCTGACAACTCCACCCCAGAAAGATACAGAGCCATTGCCAATGGGAATGTTCAGCTGGAATTGGGGTAGCTGCACTGTGGGCCTAAGCTGAGGCTGTGTGATATGGTTTGGCTCTGTGTCCCCACCCTAATCACATCTTGAATTATAATCTCCATGTGTAGGGAGAGGGAGCTGTAATCCCCATGTGTTGAAGGAGGGAGATGATTGGATCATGGGGGAAGTTTCCCCCATGCTGTTCTCTTAATAGTGAGTTCTCATGGGATCTTATGGTTTTATAAGTGTTTGGAAGTTTCTCCTTCACTCTTCTCTCTTTCCTGCCATTTTGTGAAGAAGGTACTTGCTTCTCCTTTACCTTCTGCCATAATTGTAAGTTTCCCGGGGCCTCCCCAGCCATGTGGAACTGTGAGTCAATTAAAACTCTTTTCTTTATAAATTACCCAGTCTCAGGGAAGTTCTTATAGCAGTGTGAAAATGGACTAATATACCCTTCTTGGTATAGAGCAGGGAGTCAGGGGCTTACAAGAAGAGAGAGTGGCCCCCTCTCCATAGGGTGGCTGCATGGTGTTGGATTGTGAGTGAAGTGATCAGGGTCTTTGTTTGCTCCCCAGCACAAAGACAACAAGGGCAGGTATTGCTGCAGTGGCAATGGCAGAGATCCTCTGCTGTCTCTGGAAATTCCACCTGAGAGAAGGCAGAGCCACCACCAACTTAAATAATCAGGTGGAGACAGGGCAGCTGCACTAGGGACCCAGGTCAGGAGGACCTGTCCAATGAGGAGTAGCAGAGGCAAGGACCCATGTGGAAAAGAGTCTGGCCAGATTTCTATATGTTAATGCAGTGTCCAGGAGGCCTGAGACCATTCTTGGGCTCTTCAGTCCCTCCCCAGCCTGATGGCAGCAGGGGCAGGGGCTGCAGCAGTGACAATTGCAGTGGGCCTGTCAACCTTTGGAGCTTCATTCCAGAGAAATGGAGAGTCCCAACTGGCTAGAGTGCTCAGGCAGGGGTGTAATGGCTACACTGGGGCCCCAGGCCAGTGGGGTTTGCTTGGTGAGGTGCAGAGGAGGCAAGGCTTACAGTCTGTCTGCACCACCATGGATGCAGCCCTTATCCTGAGGATGTGCAAGAAAGCCTGTCTTTGTTTGTAGCCAGTGGGGATCTGGCTGCTGGTGCCAGGGTGCTCAGGGATCCAAGGGCTTTGGGGCTCTATGTGGCCCTGAGCACTGGCTCTGCCCAGGCCCCATGCAGCTCTTTATGTCATTCTGAATACCCCAGGGGGAAGTGGGGCAGGGGAATCTCTCATGTACAGGATTGCAAAGGTCCCCTGGGGAAATGTGGGTCCTTGGGGTCTCTTATTCACTTACCTGTTTCTTGTGTTGAGGAGCCTCCTTTGCCTTCATGCCAGTGATGGGTGGATGACTGTCCTGCCGTGCTCCTCTGCTCTCCATGGATCACCATTGCTTCCTTGATGAATCACAAAATGGCATCCTGAATGATCCACTTGAGGAGCTATTGTTTACTTGTTGCTCTGTTTCCTCTCTGAGAGAGTAGCACACACTAACTAGCTGTTTCTCATCAGCCATCTTGGCACCAAAATATGTAAATGATTTTTAAAGCCCTACCAAGAGCTTAGAATTTTTCCTGTGGGCAATGGGAGTTACTGGACGTTATTGATTAAGTCAGAATCATGATCTGTTTTTAATTAATTTTACTTGAAAAAATTACTCTGGCGGCAATGTGGAGGTTAGCTTTGGCAAGGGAGACACTACACTGATGCAGTTGTAAGGAAATAAATTGATGAGGGCTTGAAATTTAATAGCTGTGAAATGAGAGAAGGACATGAATTTGGCAGACATTTCTAAGGTAGAATTGGTAGGGTTTGGTTGAGAGTGGAGAGAGTTGGGGAAATAAAATAACATTCTGAATTTTCTGGCTTGATTGGGTAAATAACACAAACTTAGTATGTGTGTTTGTGAGGCTATTGTGAAGTGTTTGTTGTGCATGGCATTGGAAAAGGATTTGAAAGCATTTTGGAGTTTACTTAAATTACCATAAATTTGACACATTTCACATATACCAATAAGCATTCACAAGTATTCACATAAATTCAAGGAGATACAAAACTGCACTAGACTAGTTCCTTGGGGAAGGGAGACTAGAAATGAAGAAGGGTGGTAAAAGGGAATATGTAAATAAATAACACAGGAGAGACCTTGCATGGACCAATAAGGATGGCGTATATGAGCTAATTAGTATAATTACTCAACCCTCGACACCTGTGCTATGAACTAATTAGTATGACTATTCAGCCCTCTCCACCTGAGGTCCAAACAAGAGAATAATAAAATACATTTGGCATATTATTTTAGAACCAGGTGAGCTCCACTGCCTGATGCCAAATAGGGGGCAATAAACAAAATACGTGTTGATTAATGCCTGGAATGTATGTCCAGATAGAGGCTACATAAAGTCAATGATTTTTTAAAAAGTTGTTAGTGTTGAAAAAGCTTAAATAGAAAGTACTGTAGAATTAGTTGGCACTCTACTGCATATAATATGATAAAAATAACTAACATTTTTGACTGCTCAAGTAGATTATATATATTCCAACAGCTTTATATGTATTAATTAATTTAATTTCCACAGAAACATAATAAAGTGGTTACTCTAATTATGTCAATTTTATAAGTGAGGACCCTGAGGCATAGAGAGAATTGGCAACTTGCCCAAAGTTAGATAGCTAGTAAGAGTAGGGACAGGATTTCATAGCCTATGGTCTTAAACACTACTCTACTGCTCCTCTGATCTTTTCCTATTTTATCTTATCTTTCTTTATATCATGTATTATAACAGGAGGGCAGAGGGGTTTGAATTGCACAGTAAGCCCTTGATTATAAACTTATTTTTGCTAGAGCCACAGTCTAATTTCTCCATGACCAACAGAATGCATAGTAGATCCCTGGTGCTCAATAAACTTTTGTTTCATGAATACATTAACAAATACCCCACAGAAGTTTGCCAGCCTAGGCTTCTGGTTTCTGATAATGGCTGTTTATATAATTTTGACAAACTCTAACACTGAAAACAGCTAAAATTTTTTGATAAACTATAAAAGGTAAAATCTTTTAAAGACATGGAAGAACTAACAACATGGTAAAAAATTACCAGGTCAAAATTAATGTAAAAATAGGAATCCAGAAATAAATGAGAGTAAAATACTGCTTTTGCTTTGAGAGCATGTGCTGATTTGGGGAAATTGCAACTTTAATTTTCGATGACTTTGTTGAATAAGAAGGATAAACAAGCTTGCATAGTTAGAGGAATGAAATAGAAGATTCTTCCTAGAGTAAATTGTGGATTTCATTAACACACCCTCAGGGTAAGAGTAAACTCTTCCATGTGATGTTCTACAGGCTAAGTTCATATAGTCTTCATGATCCTGAAAACCTGTGAGTTAGCCTCAATTTAAAATGATTGTTGACTTTATTGACAAGCACATGTGGCAGAAGCAAATGCATGTATTCTGTAAGGAACAGTACATTTGTCCTATGCTTTAAGTGAGCTATAAAAATAATTTTGAAGTAAAAATATTTTTACCCAATCAAATATGGTAAGGCACTCAAAGAAATAAGATACTGTAAGCAAACAAACAAAACAATAAAAGCAATAGACAGAAAACCACAGACATTTTATATTGGTATTAATAGACAAAGATTGTGAAACTATGCTTAGTATGTTTAAAGGAATAAAAATAAGGTTGAAATATATTCAGAAATTTAAAAAAATAAAAAATGTAAATTCAATTAGAACTTATAGACATAAAAAAATTAAAATGAGATCTCAATGAGTGATTTTGATAGTGGACTACACACTGCTAGTATACATTTTTTAAATTAGAAGATGGTCTAGAAGGATTTGTCCATACTGTAGTATGTAAAAAAGAAATGATGAAAAGAACAACAAGGAAAGAAAAAAGACATCAAATTTGGAGTGTGAAAGTGATTTTATGTTTAAATCTAAGAAATGCATATGTTTAAGAGAAGAAAAGAAAGACTGAAAGGAAAGGGAGGTAAAATTTGGGGAGGTAATAAGTAAGAATTATTGATAAACAGTAAGCAAATACACAGATTACAAAACAAATAAACATAACAGGAGGGAAGTAAGAAAGAGGGGGAACTAAAGAGGTCCTAACCTTTTTCAGCAACAGAAACACTGATTTAATAACCATCCATAGATGAAATACTTTTATGAAAGCTCTGGAATTCAGGGTAGAGGTTGCAGCAGTGTGGACCACAAAAATGGGTAAAATGCACTGAAAGACTAAGAAGAACAGTTTTACTTTACCTGCATTACACCTGTCCCAAGCTGGCACAGCCCAGTGTCAAGAGAGATCATCTTGGCCTGTGAGTTCTCCCATGGGAGATAGATGAAAGTGTGTATGGGACATCCCCAGCATTTAGATGCATTACTTGAGAGGCACACATGTAATCCCTCACCCAGGACGCTGAGGCAATCAACACATCTAGATCATCTGGAAGTAGCTAAGAACAACAAAAAAATGTGCAGGCTGTCAACAACCACAGCACAGATCTCAGTAGTCAGCTTGCAGACCCTAGTGGTGGGCTTGCCCAACTGTGGATCCTAGCGCTGGGACCATTAAACAACCCTGCCAAATGGCTAGCCTGTAGACCTTGCCAATTGGCTCTCCCAGAGTCTTTGGCCGGACTTAATGATGAAGGGCTTTTACTGCTGAAGCCAGTCTATAAAGGCTAGAATATGTAAATGCTTCTTCAAAAGTACAGATACCAACGTGAGGATACAAAGATCATGAAGAATCAGGAAAAAATGACAACACCAAAGGAATAAAATAAAGCTCCAGTAACTGACACAAAAGATATGGAAATCTATAAACTACCTGACAAGGAAGTTAAAATAATCATCCTAAAGAAGATCACTGAGCCCTAAGAGAACACAGATAAGCAAAGGCAGTCACAACAACCTAGTCATTAAAGGAGCATACCTCAAGATAATAAGGGTCATCTATGACAAACCCACAGTACACATCATACCAAATGGGCAAAAAGTTGAGGCATTCTCCTTGAGTCCTGGAACAAAACAAGGATGCCAAATCTCAGTGCTCCTATTCAACATAGTACTGGAAGTCCTAGCCAGAGCAATCAGGAAAGATAAAGAAATAAAATCAAAATATGAAGTGAGGAATTTAAACTATCTCTCTTGGCAGATGATATAATACTATACCTAGAAAACCCCATAGTCTCTATCCAAAGGATCCTGGATTTGATAACAACTTCAGCAGAGATTCAGGGTACAAAATCAATGTACAAAAAGCAGAAAAAGGCTTTCGATCATCGTGGTGGATGGGAGACAGGACTAGATTGCAACTCTGGACAGAGCAGCGTGCAGAAGCTTGCACTGTGAATTTTAGCTCCAGATCAATGGTAACAACAAACCAGGAATCCTGAGAGGACCCACAGACCCTCTGAAGGAAGTAAACTGCTCTTGCAGGATATGAGAGACACCCCAAATACTGTGAGTGCCCCAACTGTGGAAGTGGGAAAGAGAAATCCTCCTCTCCCAAACACACACCCACACTGGAGAAGCTGAAGTTCTGTTGCGGGAGAAGTTTCTGACTTTACCTGGAGCTGACTCAATTCAGAGGGCCGAGCCAAATACAGAGGTAGAGGAAGCAACAGAAAGGCCCTGAGAGCTCACTATGTCCCCTAGCAGGCCATTTCTGTCTGACATTACAGGAATCCATTGGGAGGGTGACCATAGGAGCAGGGGGTAAAACAGGGGGAAGGAAATCTCTAGCTGAACTTTGTAACAATTTGAACAGGACAAGAAGCTTCCCGGCCAGACTCGGGGAAGGGTACAAATCCAGTGTGCAGACTCCACAGGCAGGGGGAAGAAACACCCGTTTTCTTTTGAAGCTGGGAGGCAGGTAGCCCAGGGCAAGTTTTCAAGCTCATCACCCCCTCCACCTGGAAACAGACTTGGGGCTGTTGAGGGGAGGGGGCACAGTGGGAGTGAGACCAGCCCTTCAGTTTGTGTGGGAGCTGGGTGGGGCCTGTGACTGCTGGCTTTCCCCCGTTTCCCTGACAACCTACATGACTCAGCAGAGACAGCCATAATCATCCTAGGTACACAACAACAGTGACCTGGGAATCTCACCCCCATCCCCCACAGCAGCTGCAGCAAGACCCGCCCAAGTCTGAGATTGGATGCCCCAACCCCACCTGACGATCCTTCCCTATATACCCTGGTAATGGAAGACAAAGGGCATATAATCTTGGAAATTCTAGGGCCCTGCCCACCTCTGGTCCCTCTCTGTACTACTAAAGCTGTTGCTTTCTGGAAAGTGCCACCACCTGGCAGGAGGCCAACTAGCACAAAAATAGAGCATTAAACCACAAAAGCTAAGAACCCCCACAGAGTCCATTGCACCCCCCACCACCTCCACCAGAACAGGTGCTGATATCCACGGCTGAAAGACCCATAGATGGTTCACATCACAGGACTCTGTGCAGACAACCCCCAGTACCAGCCCAGAGCCAGGTAGACTCACTGGGTGACTAGACCCAGAAGACAGACAATCACTGCAGTTTGGCTTACAGGAAGCCACATCCATAGGAGAAGGAGGAAGGTACTACATCAAGGGAACACCCCGTGGGACAAAAGAATCTGAACAGCCTTCTCTGACAGAGCCTACCCAAATGAGGAGGAACCAGAAAACCAACACTGGTAATATGACAAAACAAGGCTCATCAACCCTCCCCCAAAATCATACTAGTTTACCAGCAATGGATCCAAATCAAGAAGAAATCCCTGATTTACCCAAAAAAGAATTCAGGAAGTTAGTTATTAAGCTAATCAGGGAGGAACCAGAGAAAGACAAAGCTCAATGCAAGGAAATCCAAAAACTTATACAAGAAGTATATATGCATGTATATATGTGATGGAATACTATGCAGCTATAAAAAGGAATGAATTAACAGCATTTGTAGTCACCTGGATGAGATTGAAGAGTATTATTCTAATTGAAGTAACTCAGGAATGGAAAACCACACATCATATGTTCTCACTGATATGTGATACATCCTAAGCTATGAGGACACAAAGGCATAAGAATGATTCAATGGACTTTGGGGACTTGAGGGGAAGAGAGGGAGGGGGGTGAGGGATAAAAGACTACAAATATGGTGCAGTGTATACTGCTTGGGTGATGGGTGCACCAAAATCTCACAAATCACCACTAAAGAACTTACTATATAACCAAATACCACCTGTACTCCAATAACTTATTGAAAAAAATCCGAAGCATTTCTATACACCAATAATGTCCAAGCTGAGAGCCAAATCAAGAATGCAATCCCAGTCACAATAGCCACAAAAAGAATAGAATACCTAGGAATCCAACTAACCAGGGAGGTGAACCATCTCTACAATGAGAATTACAAAACACTGCTGAAAGAAATCAGAGATGACACAAACAAATAGAAAAACATTCCATGCTTATAGACAGGAAGACTTGATATTGTTAACTTAGCCATCCTACCCAAAGCAATGTACAGATTCAGTGCTATTTCTATCAAATTACCAAAGACATTTTTCACAGAGTTAGAAATAATTATTTTAAAATTCATATGGAACCATAAAAGAGTCTGAGTAGCCAAAGTAATCCAAAGCAAAAACAAAACAAAACAAAAAACAAAATTGAAGGCCAAAGGCATTACACTACCCAGCTTCAAACTACAGTACAAGCCTATACAGTAACTAAAACAGCATGGTACTAATACTAAAACAAACACATGGAACAATGGAATAGGTTAGAGAACCTAGGAATAAAACCACACACCTACAATCATCTGATCTTCAACAAAGTCAACAATAATACACAATGGGAAAAGGACTCCCCATTTAGTAAATGATGCTAGGATAACTTAGTAGCCATATGTAGAACATTGAAACTTGACCTTTACCATTCACCATATACAAAACCAACTCAAGGTGGATTAAAGACTTAAATGTAGATCCTAATGCTATGAAAACATTGCAACAAAATAAAAATTGACAAGTGGTACTTCATTAAACTAAAGAGCTTCTGCACAACAACAACATAAAAACTATCAACAGAGTAAACAGACAGCCTACTGAATGAGAGAAAATATTTGCAGACTATGCATCTGACAAAAGGCTAATATCCAAAATCTATAAGAAACTCAAATCTATAAGCAGAAAACAACCTCATTAAAATGGGCAAAGGACATTAACAAACACTTCTGAAAAGAAGACATACGCGTGGTCAACAAGCACATGAAAAAAATGCTCAACATCACTTATCATTATGTTAATACAAATCAAAACCACAGTGTTGCCTCAAACCAGTTAGAATGGTGATTATTAAAAAGTAAAAAAATAACAGATTCTGATGAAGTTGTTGAGAAAAGGGAATGCTTATGCACTACTGATAGGAATGTAAATTAGTTCAGCCACTGTGGAAAGCAGTTTGGAGATTTCTCAAAGAACTTAAAATAGAACTGCCATTTAACTCAGTAATTTTATTACTGGGTATACACCCAAAGGACTATACACTGATCTACCATAAAGACACATGCACATGTATATTCCTTGCAGCAATATTTACAAGAGCAAATATGTGAAATCAAACTAGATGCCCTCTCATGGTGGACTGGATTAAGAAAATGTACCTATACACCATGGAATACTGTGCAGCTGTAAAAATGAATGAAATCATGTCTTTTCCAGAAACATGGATGGAGCTAGAGGTTATTATTCCAAGCAAAGTAATGCAGGAACAGAGAACCAAATACTGCATGTTCTCACATATAAGAAGTTAAACAATGAGTACACATGGACACAAAGAAAAGAAAAATACACACTGAGACCTATTTGAGGATAGAGTTTGAAAAGAGGATAAGGATTGAAAAACTACCTACCATGTATTATGCAGATTACCTTGATGATATTATCTGTACACAAATCCCCCATGACATTCAATTTACCCATGTAACAAACATGTAAATGTCCACCTTCAACCTAAAATAGAAGTTGGAAGGAGATTACAAAATGAAATCTGGAAAATAATACATGAACAAAACTAGAAATTCAACAAAAATATGGGAATCATAAAATCTAGAGCTAGGAGTAAAATGAACTAAAAAATTGAATAGAGACCTTTAACATCAGACTAATGAAGCAAAAAAAAATCAATAAAATAGAAGTCAGGTCATTTGGAATTATCCAGTTATAGGAGTAAAAAGGAAAAGAAATGGAAAAAAGAAAGCTTATGCAACTTATGGGACACCAACAGGGTAGCAAATATATGTGTTCTGGAAGTCTTAGAAGGAGAAGAAAAAAAGGTGGAAGCCTTATTTAAATAAATAATGACTGAAAATTCCCAAGTCTTGGGAAAAAAACTGACATCCAGATTCACAAAGCTTAAAAGATTCCAAAGAGTTTGAAACTAAAAATACCTACATTAAAACCCATTATAATTGAATTGCCAAAGTCAAAGAGAAATAGAGAAGTTTGAAAATAGCAAGGCAGAAATGACTCATCACATACAAAGGAACCTCCATAAAACTATCAATGTATTTTTCAGCAGAAACTTAGCAAGTCAGGAGAGATTGCAATGATATATTCAAAGGGCTAAAAGGAAAAACTGCCAACCAAAAGTAATGTATCTGGAAAAAAAAAACCCTTTAACAATGAAATTTCAATAAAAACTTTTTCAGAGAAAAAAATTAGGGAGTCTATTACAATTAAACCTGCCTTTCAGAAAGTACTGAAGGGAGTTCTTCAAGTTGAAATTAGAAACATGCTAAAAGGCAATATGAAAGCATATAAAAAGGTAAATATATAGACAAATGCAGATCAGTATAATAACAGTGATGCTACACAAATCACTTTTTAACTCTATTGAAAAAGTTAAAAGACAAAGGTAATAAGTATAACTAAAAAATAATGAATACATCATATAAGAAGTAGTAAAATCTGATATTAGTAACATGAAATGTGTGTGGTGGGAAATGTATAGAATTTTTATGTGATTGAAGTTAAGTTGCTAGTAGCTTAAAATAGACTGTTATAACAATAAAACAGTTCATGGTCACTACAAAGAAAAATAAACGTATAGTAGATACACAAATATAAAGAGAAAGGAATCAGAACATATCCCTAAATATCATCATCAAATCAAAAAGGATTACATCAAGAGAAAAGAGGAACAAAAGAACTTCAAAACAGACAGAAAACAATGAACAAAATGACAATAGTAAGTCCTTACTAATCGATAATTACTTTAAATGTAAATGAACTAAACACCCCAATCAAAAGCCATCAAGTGACTAAATGGATACAGAAACAGCATACAACTATTTTCTTTAAACAGGAAACTCTGTTTGTATTTAAGAACAGAAATTAAACGTGAAGGAATGATAAAAGATATTTAGTGGAAATGGCAACCAAAATATAGCAGGATTGGCTGTACCTATTTCAGACAAAATAGACTTTAAGTCCAAAGCTCTCACAGGAGAAAAGGACATTTTATAAAGATAAAAGGGTCAACCTACTAAAAAGTTTTAACCTTTATAAATATATATGCACCCAAAATCAGAACACCTAAATATATAAACATTGAAAGAACTTATGGGGGAAACAGCAATAGAATAATAGTAGGAGACTCCAATACCCTACTTCTAATAATGGACAGAACATTCAGACAGAAGATCCATTTGGAAACAGAGGACTTTAATAACATTATGGATCAAATGAACCTAATGAAACATTTCATTCAATGATAGCAGATACCCATTCTTCTCAAGGGCACGTGTATATTTTTCCAGGATGGAGAAATTTTTCTCACATGTTAGTCACAAAGGAAGTCTTAACAAATTTCAGAAGACTGATATCTTACTAATTACCTTACTTGACCACAATGGAGTGAAATTAGAAATCAGTACTCGAAAGAAAACTAGAAAATCCAAAAATATGTAAAAATTAAACAACATAGCCTTGAACAACCACAATGAGTCAAAGAAGAAATCAAAAAGGAGATTAGAAAATATCTCCAGATAAAAATGAAAACACAACATATGAAACTTTATGGCATACAGCAAAAGTAGTACTAAGAGAGAAATTTATAGCAATAAATGACTACAATAAAGGAAGAATGATCTAAATAAGCAATCTAACTCTACATCTCAAGAAAACAGAAAAACAATAACCTATCCCCAAAGTTAACAGAGAAGAAAATGATTATTCAAGCATAAATAAATAAAATGGAGAATAGAAAATCAATAAAAATACAACTGAGTTGTTTTTTTGAAAAGATCAATATGTCTTTAGCTAGACTAAGAAAAAAATGTAGGCAAAGACTCTAATAAAATTAGAAATCGCTGAATGCAGTGGCTCACACCAGTAATCCCACCATTTTGGGAGGGTGAGGCAGGTGGATTACGAAGTCAGGAGTTCGAGAGCAGCCTGGACAACACGGTGAAACCCCCATCTCTACTAAAAATACATAAATTAGCCAGGTATGGTGGGACATGCCTGTAATCCTAGCTACTCAGGAGGCTGAAGCAGGAGAATCGCTTGAACTCGGGAAGTGGAGGTTGCAGTGAGCCAAGATCATGCCATTGCACTCTGGCCTGAGTGACAGAGTGAGACTCTGTCTCAAAAAAAAAAAAAAAAAAAAGAGAAATTAAAAAGGAGACATTATCACTGATGCCACATAAAAAAATTATAAGAAACTATTAAAAACAATTATAAACCAACAAATTGGACAACCTAAAAAAAGAGAATACATTTTAAAGAACATACAATCTACCAAGACTAAATTAAGACACAGAAAGCCTGAAAGAACCAATAACAAATAAAGAGGTTGAGACAGTAATTAAAAACCTCCCCCCTAAAAAACATCCCTTGTTCAGATGGCTTTACAGGGGAATTTTACCAACCTTTTGAAGAATTATCACCAATTCTTCTTAAAGTTTCCCAAAAAATAGAAGATAGAATACTTCCACACTCATTTTATGAGTCTTGTATCACCCTGATTCCAAAGTAAGAAAAAGACATCACAAGAAAAGAAAAGTACAGGCTGATATACTTAATAAACATAGATGCAAAAATCCTGTTTGCAGATGACATGATCTTATATTTAGAAAACTCTAAAGATGTCATTAAAAAAAGGGTTAGACCTTGCCAAGACCAGCTCAGTTGTGGAGACCCTAACCCAGCAGCACTAGAGGAATTAAAGACACACACACAGAAATATAGAGGTGTGAAGTCGGAAATCAGGGGTTTCAGAGCCTTCAGAGCTGAGAGCCCCAAACAGAGATTTACCCACATATTTATTAACAGCAAGCCAGTCATTAGCATTGTTTCTATAGATTTTAAATTAACTAAAAGTATCCCTTTGGATGGGCCAAATTAAAGGAATAGGTTGGGCTAGTTAACTGCAGCAGGAGCATGTCCTTAAGGCACAGATTGCTCATGCTATTGTTTGTGGTTTAAGAATGCCTTTAAGCGGTTTTCCACCCTGGGTGGGCCAGGTGTTCCTTGCCCTCATTCCAGTAAACCCACAACCTTCCAGCGTGAGCTTTATGGCCATCACAAACATGTCACAGTGCTACAGAGATTCTGTTTATGGCCAGTTTTGGGGCCAGTTTGTGGCCAGATTGTGGGGGGCTTGTTCCCAACATGTCCCCCTTCTCTGATTTGCAAATCAATAAAAGCAAAGGCAGCTTTGTCATGGTGAGCTACTTCTCACAGGAGTCAGGATCCACATCAGCAGACTATACAAAGACAAACAACACAGATTAAAAGCATAATCATCATTGAAATCACAGAGCTTCCAAGTGTTTTTATCCATTTTAATGGGTTACTAGCTGCTAATTTGTTTGTAACTCCTTCAAGCACTCCAGTTCCTGACATTAAGGTCAGGTGTGCCTGGGATGCTTTAAATATTTGTTCTTTAATTTTGCAATATCCAAAGACAAGTTTGTAGAGTGTCTTTCTAGGTGTGTTTTTATTCTTTCCCAAATTTTGATCTTATTAACAGCTATTAATAGTTTCCACAAATCCTTATGTTTAGCTCCTACAACGAACCATATCATTTGAGGTTGAGGTGCCACTATACCACCATGGTTCCAGATAATAGGAACTTTTGCTGTACTTCTTATCATTTCTACCATCTGACCATTTTGTTCAGATCAGCTGAACACAGTGTGGCCATGGCACACAGACCGAGAGGTGCAATTTAAGCTAAACATCCCCTTAGGGGACCAATCAATAATGATTCCACAGGAATCATTGTGCAGCACCTCTGCCTATTCTGCAAAGCAATCTTCCTAAACAAGTACGTTCATTATTTCTGGCCAGGTTCTATTTTGTTTACAAATAGGTTTTTGAAGGTGGTATGCCTCAATTATAGGAGCAGATTTATTATGGTAAATACTGAGATCAGAAAGCATGTGTAACTGTGTCATAGAGTGATTATGTCCAGGCATTGTTTCCAGCCAAGATTGATAAATATGCCCAATAAGTATAATTGTTCTCTGTGTCAGCCCTTGTTGAAGGAATACTCATGGCAGTGGCGATAACCGCTATCATAGCTACCATTAAATTACTCATTGTGACTGGCTGTCCCGCTTTCCTCAGGTTTTCTTCTGCCTTCTGTGACAGCTTCTTGATCTGTCCCCAGGTGGGTGGCTGTGTTCGACGGGTGTTGCTTGTGACAGTTGGGGTCCTCCTCAGCGTCAGCCTTGACATGGCTGCAACCGAGGGGTCCTTGGGATCCTCCTGGGATCTCTTCCTCAACATCTGGCTCATGTTAAGGTTTCAGGTGTCTTGATGATATCCAAATCAGCTGTTGATTTTGGCCTGGAGAAATACAAGCATAACCTCTACCCCAAGTTATTATTTTCCCTATTTCCCAACTTTTTGTTATGGGATCTCTCCACCAAATCAGTTGTTCTGCTTCTGTTTTTGCAGCTGGTTTCTGTAGATAACTGTTCAGCTGCTGATAACATCTGGCCTTTGGGCAGGCTCAAAACATTTAAAGTTAATAATGCTAGATTCAGTTGCATCTGTGGGGTTCCATATTCTCTATTTCCCCCTTTCTGCTTTTGCAAATGCTGTTTTAGGGAGAGATTCATTCTTTCCACTATGGCTTGTCCTTGAAAATTGTATGGGATACCAGTAATGTGTTTAATATTCCACATAGAGAAAAATGTAGCTAGAGCTTGGCTAGTATAGCCTGGGGCATTATCTGTTTTAATAGAAGCTGGAATGCCCATCACTGCAAAACACTGCAAAAGATGATGTTTAACACAGGCAGAAGGCTCTCCTGATTGGCATGTAGCCCAGACAAAGTGAGAAAAGGTATCCACACATATATGTCCATAAGCTAGTCTCCAAAATGAGGGAATATGTGTGACATCCATTTGCCAAAGACAGTTAGGTTCCAATCCTTGAGGATTAACTCCTCCAGTAAAAGATGAGGAATGTACCATTTGGCAAGTTGGGCATCACTGGATAATATTTTTAGCCTCTTTCCAGGTAATGCTGTCTGTATCTGCGTTTGAGACCAGAGGCATTAACATGGGTTAAATTGTGAAAATGTCTAGCATTAGATATTGCATTAGCAACTAGGTGATTGGTCATTTGATTCCCTTCAGTCAAAGGTCCTGGAAGAGGTGTATGAGCCCTAATGTGAGTGATGTAAAAAGGGTGCCTTCTACTTCTAACTGCTGTTTGCAATTGGGTAAATAAAGTCATCAGTTGTTCATCTGTATGAAATTGTAACTGAGCATTTTCAATTAACTGTGTGGAATGAACCACATATAAAGAATCAGAAATCACATTAACAGGCATATCAAAAGCAGTCAATACCTCAATTAGAGCTACAAGCTCTGCTTTTTGAGCTGAAGTATAGGATGTCTGGAAAACTTTACTTTTTGATCCAGAATAAGAAGCTTTACCATTACTAGACCCATCTGTGGAACAATGAAAATGCTTAGTAGGCTGCAGGTTGTTTACTGCAGGAATTGTAAACGCAAACCGTTCACAGTCTTGCTCAGCTAAGGGGATAGTAAAGAAACAGTCTCTTAAATCTATGACTATTAAAGGCCAATTTTTTGGAATTATAGCAGGAGAAGGCAATCCTGGCCGTAATGCTCCCATAGGCTGTATAACTGAATTGATAGCTCTTAAGTCAGTTAACATTCTCCATTTACCTGATTTTTTTCTTAATTACAAAAACTGGAGAATTCCAAGGGGAAAATGTTGGAGCTATGTGCCCATTTTCTAATTGTTCAGTAACTATTTTCTCTAAGGCCTCCAGTTTCTCTTTACTTAGCAGCATTGTTGTATCCAAATTGGCTTATCTGTTAACCATTTTAAAGGTATAGGTTCTGGAGGCTTAACAATGGCCGCCATCAAAAATTATTTCCTAATCTTTGGCGGGAACTTTGTTTTTCCACTTGAAGCAGTTCTTTCAAACCTTGCAAATTTTTTTCTAGTCCCATACCAGGGACATGCCCCATTTTATGCATTGTGTGTTGACTTTGAGGGCTATATAATTGTTCTGGAATTAGAACTTGTGCTCCCCATTGCTGTAATAAATCTCACCCCCATAAATTTATAGGTACAGAAGTTATAATTGGTTGAATAGTCCCAGGTTGTCCATTGGGCCCCTCACAATGCAAAATATAACTACTTTGATATACTTCAGGGGCTTTACCAACTCCAACTATGTTAAATTGAGTGGGTTGAATTGGCCACGCGGATGGCCAGTGCTGTAGAGAAATGATTGAAATGTCCGCTCCTGTATCTACCAAACCTTTAAATTTCTTTCCCTGAATAGTTATTTCACAGGTAGGACGTTTATCAGTAATTTGATTTACCCAATAAGCTGCTTTGCCTTTTTTATTTGTGCTTCCAAATCTTCTTGTTCATTTAATTTCACTTTTCCCCATTCCCACATATGGCACAATCAGCAGCTGTGCTATACGCTCTCCTGGCTCTGCTTTCCAGGGAACAGAAGTAGATATAACAATTTGAATTTCCCCATTGTAATCTGAATCAATGACTCCTGTATGTATTTGTACCTCTTTTAAACTTAAACTAGACCTTACTAAAAGTAATCCTATTGTCCCTCCTGGCAAGGGTCCACAGACTCCTGTTGGGACGTTACACGGGGGTTCCCCAGGCAGAAGGCTCACAGCTTGTGTGCTGCATAAATCTACTGCAGCACTACTGGCTGTGGCGGGGGACAGACATTGTACAGGGGTGAGGGAATGGCCTGAGCTGGAAATGCCCCAGTTTAGAACCGGGCCCCGGGATGGGCCCCTCATGGCATTTCCCGAAATTGGGTTCCCTTCTTTATCAAACTTAGAGTGACACTGATTAGCCCAATGTTTTCCTTTTTTACATTTCGGACATATTTCAGGATCAGCAGTTTTCTTTTTTCCCCTATCTGGCAGCCTGACTCGCTGATTTTTTCTACATTCTTTTTTAGTATGACCATGCTTCCCACAGTTAAAACAAGCTCCAGGAAATGTAGTATTTCCTTTATCCACTCTCAGTCCTTCCATTGCCTGTGTCAACAAAGTAGCTTTATGCAGATTACCTCCAGTACCATCACAGGCCTTAATAAAATCAAGTAAATGTGCTTTCCCTCTGATAGGTCACAGAGCAGCCTGGCAATCTGGATTAGCATTTTCGAAAGCTAATAACTGCAACACTATATCCTAAGCAGCTGAATCTGCAATCATCTTTTTAAGAGACTCCTGTAACCGAGCTATAAGATCAATGTATGGTTCTTTGGGTCCATGTTTTATAGCACTAAAGGAAAGGTATTGTTCTCCACTTGAAGTGATTTTTTCCCAAGCTCTAATGCACACTCCTCTAAGCTGTTCTATGGCATCATCCTGCATGACCAGTTGTGCATCTAAACTAGCCCAGCTGCCAACCCCCCAAAATTGATCTGCAGTTATATTAATTTGAGGGTGGGCCTGGGCATTGTGAGCAGCCTGAATGGAAGCTTCATCTGCCCACCAATTTTTAAACTGTAAGAACTGAGCAGGAGTTAGACAAGCTCGAGTAAGAGTGTCCCAGTCAGTAGGAATCATCCAACTGGAAACAGCAACATTCGTTAACATTCCCATTACAAAAGGAGAACCTGGTCCATACTGATTTATAGCTTGTTTAAATTCTTTGAGTAATTTAAAAGGAAAAGTGTCAAATGTAGCTATAATATTTCCCTGTTGATCTGGGGGGTGTATTCTAACAGGGAACTGCCAAGCCTCTAAATCACCCTCTCGTCTAGCTTGCTGAATTCCTGCCTGAATAGAAGTAAGAGCGGTCACTTGAGGCACTGCTTGAACAGTCCCTGGGGCAACTACTTTTCACCCAGTGTCCTCCAGAAAAGAAAGATCTGGAGGGTCTTTTTCTTCAAAATAATAATGAGGGGGTGCAGAAGGGTAGGGATGAACCTCTCCTTCCTTTGCCACTTTAGCTTTAGCTGGTAAATAAACATGCTCTGTAACCTCTTCTGTTACTTCGCTATACTCTCCTTCCTCCTCATCATCAGTGTGAAAAAGTTCCAAGGTGGAATGAACTATACCCCACACTTGTCCCATTGTTACCTTCATGCTTCCAAGCTCCCCTTCTTACTCACCACGGGGATTGTTTTAAGAGTGCTCGGGTGTCCTCTAGCTAGTTCCACATTCTCCAGCCATTGCTCTGGCAAGCGTTTGACCTGGATTCGAGCTCCCATGATGGACACCACTTGCCAAGACCAGCTTGGTCGGGGAGACCCTAACCCAGCGGCACTAGAGGAATTAAAGACACACACACACAGAAATATAGAGGTGTGAAGTCAGAAATCAGGGGTCTCACAGCCTTCAGAGCTGAGACCCCCAAACAGAGATTTACCCACGTATTTATTAACAGCAAGCCAGTCATTAGCATTGTTTCTATAGATCTTAATTTAACTAAAAGTATCCCTCATGGGAAAGGAAGGGATGGGCTGAATTAAAGGAATAGTTTGGGCTAGTTAACTGCAGCAGGAGCATGTCTTTAAGGCACAGATTGCTCATGCTATTGTTTGTGGCTTAAGAATGCCTTTAAGCAGTTTTCCGCCATGGGCAGGCCAGGTGTTCCTTGCCCTCATTCCCGTAAACCCACAATCTTCCAGCATGGGCATTATGGCCATCATGAACATGTCACAGTGCTACAGAGATTCTGTTTATGGCCAGTTTTGGGGCCAGTTTATGGTCAGATTTTTGGGGGCTTGTTCCCAACAAGACCTAAAAAAAAAATTAGTAAAGTTGCAGGATAAAAATCAGCATACACAAATCAGTTGAATGTCTATACACCAACAGCAAACTATCAAAAATAGAAATTTTAAAAAGTCACTTAGAATAGCATAGAATAAAATACTTAGGAATAAACTTAATGAAGGATGTGAAAGATGTACTCTGAAAACTGTAAGATATTGATGAATGAAATTAAAACAGACACAAATACATAGAAATAAATTCTGTTTTCATGAAGTAGAAAAATTAATGTTCTTAAATGTCCACACCACACAAAATAATCTGTAGATTCAATGCAATCTTGATCTAAATTCCAATGGCTTATTTTATAGAAGCAGTAAAAAAAAGTCCAATATATGTATGGAAACACAAAAGCCCTCAAAAAAGCAAAGTTTATACAATAACTGAAAAAGAAAAGAAGCTCTAGACATTACATTTTTAAATTTCAGAATATACCACAAAGCTGCAGTAATAAAAATGGCATGGTACTGGCACAAAAAACACATAGACCAAAAGAATAGAATAAAAAGCCCAGGAATAAACCCATGTATATATGATTAAGTGATTTTAAGCAAGAATGTGAGGAATAAACAATGGAGAAATGGTAGTCTCTTTAATACATAGTTGTGGAAAGACTAGATATCTATATGCAGAAAAATGAAATTGATCATATTATGACCAGGCTTTTGTTTTGGACAGTGTAGGATTCTATTTTCTTTTCAGCTGATATTTGATATGACATGGGACTTCCTTTAAGTCTTGACATGGACTAAAACTTTAAGATCTGTTGTGGTTTCCATGAATGTGTATGTTGAGATAAATCCTCCATTAACCAATAAATTTTTATCATAAACAGAGTTATCTTTGCTGTGATGTTCATGTTGCATTAAAAAAACACACTTGATTGATTAAAATTTCAAACAAGCTTTAAAACTGTTATTACAGCATAACTTAGTCAATTCTGACTAATATGCTATTTTATTCATTTATATACTTACTTAATTTTTTTATTTTTAATATTTTGTGTGTACATAGTAGGCATATATATTTATGAATTACATGAGATATTTTGATACAGGCATGCAATGCATAGTAATCACATCAGGGAAAATGAGATATCTATCACTGTAAGCATTTCTTCTTTTTGTTAGAAACAATCCAATGATATTCTTTTAGTTATTTTAAACTGTAGAACTAAATTATTTTTGACTACAGTCAACCTACTATGCTAGCAAATGCTAGGTATTATTCATTTCTTTGTAACTTTTTTTTTGTACACATTAACCATTCCCATTTCTAGTAATCATTCTACTCTTTATCTTCATGAGGTCAATTGTTTTAATTTTTAGCTCCCACAAATCAAATAAGAACATACAAATTTGTCTTTCTGTACCTGGCTTATTTCTCTTAACATGATGACCTCCAGTTCCATCCATGCTGTTGAAATGACAGAATTTCATTCTTTTTTTATGGCTGAATAATACTCTATTGTGTATATGTACCACATTTTCTTTACCAATTCATCTGTTGATGGACAGTTAGGTTGCTTTCAAATCTTGGCTATTGTGAATAGTGCTGCAATAAATAAGGGAGTACAGATATCTCTTCAATATACTGATTTCTTTTTTTGGAGGGTATATACCTAGCAGTGAGACTGCTGGTAGCTCTATTTTTAGTTTTTTGAGGTACTTCTGAAATGTTCTTTATAGTGGTTGTACTAATTTAGATTTCTACTAACAGTGTACAAGGGTTTCTTTTTCTCCACATCCTTGCCAGCATTTGTTAGTGCTTGTCTTTTGGATAAAAGTCACTTTAACTGGGTAAAATGATATCCCATTGTGGTTTTAATTTGTGTTTCTCTGATGACCAATGATGTTAAGCATCTTTACATATGCTTGTTTGTCATTTGTATGTCAGCACTATGATTCATTTAAGAGTTTCTGTCCTTGTGGCCTAGACTGAATTTTCAACTTTATTTATGGCCCCGGAATACTTTAGTTCATGGTGACGTGGCTTGCCAGAATTCATGTTCCCACTGCTGGCATGGGTGATTCCCCTTGGGCTAGCACTGGTCTGTATGCTCCCTCTGTGGGTAAGCGTCAGCTTAGCTCAGCCTACTTTTGCTTTCTGCTGCGATAGCGCAGCACTGAATTAAACACAAATTCTCACAGTTGCTGCACTCTCCCTCTTTCACGTACATAGATTCTTTCTCTATGCCTCATGGCTACTTCTGGGGAATGGGTGAAGGGTGGCATTGGTGATTCAAGACTGTTTTTTCTACCCTCTTCAGCATCTCCTTCATTGATATGAAGTTAAACCCAGGTAGTATAGTTGCTCACCTGATTTTTATTTCTTATAAAGGTGCTTTTTTTGTGTAGATAGTTGCTAAATTTGGTGTTTCTGTGGGTGGGGATAATTGGTGGAGCCTTCTATTTGAACCATCTTGCTCCACTCCTTCTCCTGATTTACTACTTTAGTTTTATTATATGCCTGTTGCTTCTTATTTAGACAGTCTTCAAATTCCCCAGCATAAGATTTTTCTTCATAAAATGATAAAGTTGGATTAGACTATCTCTTATGTCCTTTCTAGTTTATAAATATTTAGGATACCCATCCCAGGTAAGTTTGTGACTATCTTCCCCTATAGAAAGTCAAATGAGAACACACAGTCAGAATGGCTTTCTCAAGGGCTTCTACAGTCAGTGAACTTCTTAAGATATTTTCCTTAACACAATGTATCATGAACATGACCATTTTCTCTTGATATTATAGCTCATCAAAAGTAGAGACTGTACCATACTCATGTCTAAATTCTTAATACATTATCATGAATTCACTCATCTTAAACATTCAAGTGACTTGCATCTGGAAAGCTATACACAGAAGTCTAACATAATTATCTCTCTTAATTTTGGCATTAAACATGGAACACTAATTGGAACCAATCTTCCAGGGTTAAGCATTAATTCATTGGCTTGGGACTGTCTTTACTCTAACCACTTAGACTAACATGTACAGAGTGACTAAATGGATATGCTTGAGAGTGCCTGCAAAGGCTGGTTAATTATTTTTGTGATCAAAGAAAATGAAGAAATATAGGCACAATACAAAACCTTTATTTGATGTGTACCAGTAATCAAAGTGCATACTTGTATATTTTGATGAAGATATGCAAATATTATTTCACCCTGGACACATCCTGTAACAAGAGCCCAGGGGATTCTTAATGATCTCCACATTTAGTCCTCTACATCTGCTTAGGCTTGTAATAAAAATTACCAAAGGTATCCTTTGCAAATTTACTTCTTGAAGACCTTAAGCAAGAATAATTCTGTAATCTTTGGTAGTATTTTGGTTTGCCACATAATCACAAAATTCCTCCCTATGTTAACTGTGCTCATGCTATAGCTCATTTTGGCTCTTTCCATCAATTTGGTCACAGCTGGCAAGCATCCTCTTGGAAATAACTTCTCACAGGTTTGGAGGCAAGTAATGAATCAAGCTTAGAGTGTCTAAACCTCCTCCTAGTTATAAGTGAAATAATTTAGATTTCCCTATGGCAGGCATTCTAATTTGGGGTTTCCTGCAGGTTGGTCAAGGATGTTGACAGAGGTCTAAATGAAGAAGCAGTGCTGGTTTCTCACTAATTGTATATGTATAAAACATAATATTATGTATGTTATGTAATGCAATTATATAATATTTAATATTCATATATATAATTATGATATTTCATATATATATGAAATACCCCTTTGGGGGCATGGGAAAAACCCACTTTTTTTACAGAAAAATTAAATTTTAACTAATGATATAAAATACAACTAGAAGACAACTGAACGAAGTGACAGAAATAAAACCTCACCTATCAATTATAACCTTGAATTAAAATTTTCACTTAAAAGTGATAGACTAGTAGAATGGACTAAAAAATAACCCAACTGTATACTGCCTAGAAGAAATTCACCTCACCTGTAAAGACATATACAGATTGAAAGTAAAGGAATGGAAAATGATATTCCACTCAAAGACATACCAAAAGTGAGCAGGAATAGTTATGTAGGATAAAACAGACTTAAAGTAAAAACCAGTCATAGGATACAAAGAAGGTCATTATGTAATGATAAAGGGATCAATTAAGCCAAAGAATATAGTATTTCTAATTAAATTTGCCCCTAACAATGGAAGATCCAGATTCATAAAGCAAATATTATTAGATCTAAAGAGAGGGAGATATACATCAACACAGTAGTATTTGGGAAATTCCTTTTCAGCATTGGGCAGATTATCTAGATAGAAAATCAACAAAGAAACATTAGATTTAAACTGCAAATTAGATCCAATGAACCTAGCAGACATTTAGAGAATATTTTGCAGAATAGAGCTGTTCTCTAGGAAAGACTGTATATGAGGTTCATCAGCACATGGAACATTCTTTAGTATAGACTATATATTAGGCCACGAAATTAGCTTCAACAAATTTCGAAAACCAAAGTCATTTCAGGTATCTTCTCAGTCCACAATAGAATACAACGAGAAATAAATAATGAGTAACTTTGGAAACTGTACTAATACATGGAAGTTAAATGTCATGATCCCGAAAGACTATTGGGCCTATGAAATTATGAAAGAAATTAAAACATTTCTTGAAATGACAGGAAATGGAAATACAACATACCAAAACCTATGGGATTTAGCAAAAGCAGTACTAAGAGAGAAGTTTGTTGTAATAAATGTCTAAGTCAAAAAAGTTGGAAGATTTCAAATAAACAACAATAATGCATCTCAAGAAACTAGAAGAGCAAGAACAAACCAAACACAAAATTAGTAGAAGAAAAGAAATAATAAAGACCAGAGGTGGGCCGGGCACAGTGGCTCATGTCTGTAATCCCAGTACTTAGGGAGGCCGAGGCGGGTGGATCATGAGGTCAGGAGATGGAGACCAACCTGGCTAACACGGTGAAACCCCATCTCTACTAAAAATACAAAAAATTAGCCGAGCACGGTGGCACGCACCTGTAATCCCAGCTACTCAGGAGTCTGAGGCATGAGAATCGCTTGAACCGGGAAGGCAGAGGTTACAGTGAGCCGAGATTGCACCACTGCACTCCAGCCTGGACGTCAGAGTGAGACTCTTTCTCAAAAAAACAAAAACAAAAACAAACAAACAAACAAAAAACAAGAGATCAGAGCTGAACTAAATGAAATAGAGACTAACAATGAAAAGTTTTTTTTTTAAAGATAAACAAGAATGATAAACCTCTAGGTAGACTTTAAGTGAAAAAAAGAGAAGACCTAGATAAAATCAGGATTAAAAAATGTGACAGCGGATATAACAGAAATATAAAGGATCATTAGATACTATTATGAACAAACGTATGCTAACAAACTGGAGAACTTATCCAAACCTGGATAATTTCTAGACACATCCAATCTATCAAGATGGAATGCAGAAAGAAATTAAGAAAACCTGAACATACCAATAACAAGCAAAGTAATTAAATCAATAATAAAAAGTCTTCCAACGAAAAAATTCCAGAGCCAGATGGCTTTACTGATGAATTATCCCTAACTTATAAAAAAGAACTAATATCAGTTCTGCTCAGACTATTCCAAAAAGTTGAAGAGGAGGAAATTCTTCCACTCATTCTATAAGGCCAGTAGTATCTTAACACCAAAACCAGACAAGGACACAACAAAGAAGACTAAAAGCCGATATCCCTAATGAATATAGCCCCAAAATTCTCAACAAAGTACTAGCAAACTGAATTCAACAACACCTCAAAAAGATAATATACTGTGATAAAATGAGATTTATCTCAGGCTTGTAGTTTTCTTTTCTTTTTTTTTTTTATGTGTCTTTGGTTTTGTAATCAGGATATATTAGCCCGTTCTCACATTGCTATAAAGAACTACCTGAGACTGGGTAATTTATAAAGAAAAGAGGTTTAATGGGCTCATGGTTCCACAGGCTGTACGGGAAGCACAGCTTGGGAGGTCTCAGGAAACTTACAATCATGGCAAAAGGTGAAGAGGAAGGAGGCACATCCTACATGGCTGGAGCAGGAGGAAGAGGGAGCAGGGAGAGGTACTACACACTTTTCAACAGCCAGATCTTGTGAGAACTCACTATCATGATAACAGCAAGGGGGAAAGCTGCTCCCATGATCCAATGACCTCCTAGCAGGCCCCTCCTTCAACATGGGAGATTATAATTCAACATAAGATTTGGGCAGGGATGCAAATCCAGACCGTATCACAGGGTAACACTGGCTTCATAGAATGAGTTTCGAAGTATTCCCTCCCCCACTATTTTTCGGATTAGTTTGAGTAGGATTGGTGTTTTTTTTTTTTTTTTTAATGTTTTGTGGAATTCAGCAGGGAAGCTATCAGTTTCTGGGCTTTTCTTTACTGGGAAACATTTATCACGGCTTCAACCTTCTTACTTGTTATTGGTCTGTTCAGATTTTAGGTATTTTTCTTGTTCAATCCTGGTAGGTTGTACGTGTCTAGGAATTTGTTCATTTTGTCTGGATTTTCCAATGTATTTGCTTATAGCTCATAGCAGCCAATAATTGCTCATAGCAGCCACTAGTGATCCTTTGGCTTTCTGCAATATCAGTTGTAATGTCTCCTTTTCACTTTCAGATTTTCTTTATTTGTATCTTCTCTCACTCTCTGTTTTTTAATTAGCCTGGCTAAAGGTTTGTCAATTTTCTTTAACTTTTTAAAAAACTAATTTTTTGTTTTATTGATTTTTTATTGTTTTCTTTTAAATTTTATTTTTTTAATTTCTACTCTAGTCTTTATTATTTCTTCTACTCACTTTGAGTTTGGTCTGCTCTTACTTTTCTAGTTCTTTAAGATGTACCACTAGATTGTTCATTTGAAGTTTTTCCTCTTTTTTGATGTAAGCACTTAGAGCTTTAAACTTCCCTCTTAGTACTGCTTGCTGTATCCCATAGGTTTTGGTATGTTGTGTTTGCATCATCATTTGAGAAAATTTTCAATTTCCTTCTTAATTTCCTTGTTGACCCTTTAGTCCTTTAGGAGTATATTGTTTAATTTTCAAGTATTTGTATTGTTTCCAAAGTTGTTCTTGTTACTAATTTCCAGGATTATTCCTTGTGATCAGAGAAGATGCTTGATATTATCTCAAATTTTTTGAATGTTTTGAGACTTGTTTTGATAACTGACATATGATCTATCCTTGAGAATGATCCACGTGCTGAGATGGATGTTTATTCTGCAGCCATTGGATAAAATGTTCCATAAATATCTATCAGATCCAGTTTTTCTATAGTGCAGATTAAGTCCAATGTTTCTTGGCTGATTTTCTATCTGGAAGATCTGTCCAATGCTGAAATCAGGGTGTTGAAGTATCCAGCTATTATTGTATTGGGACTTTTCTCTTTCTTTACCTCTAATAATATTTGCTTTACATATCAGGGTGCTTCAGTGTTGGGTGCATATAGATTTAGAATTGTTATGTCCTCTTGCTAAATTGACCTCTTTATCATTACATAGTGACCTTCTTTGTCTCTTCTAAAAGTTTTTGTCTTGAAATCTATTTTGTATGATATAAGCACAGTGATTTCTGTTTTTGTTTTTTTGGTTTCTGTTGGCATGAAATATCTTTTCCCATCCCTTTATTTTTATTCTATGTATGTCTTTATAGGTAAAGTGTGTTTCTCATTTTTTTAACTTTTATTTTAGGTTTGGGGGTACATGTAAAGGTTTGTTACATAAGTAAACACGTGTCATGGAGGGTTGATGTACATATTATTTCATCACCCAGATATGAAGCCTAGTACCCAATAGTTATCTTTTCTGCTCCTCTCCCTCCTCTCACCCTACCCCCGTTAAGTAGACCCCAATGTCTGTGGTTTCCTTCTTTGTGTTCCTAGGTTCTTATCGTTTAGCTTCCACTTACAACTGAGAATGTGCAGTACTTGGTTTTCTGTTCCTGTGTTATTCTGTGAGGCATGATAGCCACCAGCTCTATCCATGTTCCCACAAAAGACATAATCTTGTTCTTTTTTATGGTTGCATAGTGTTCCATGGTGTATATGTACCACATTTTCTTTATCCAGTCTGTCATTGATGGGCATTTAAGTTGATTCCATGTCTTTGCTATTGTGAATAGGGCTGCAGTGGATATTTGTGTGCATGTGCCTTTATGGTAGAATGATTTATATTCCTTTTGGTATATACCAAGTAATGAGATTGCTGGGTCAAATGGTGGTTCTGGTTTTAGCTCTTTGAGAAATCACCACACTGCTTTCCACAATGGTTAAAGTAATTTACACTCCCATCAACAACGTATAAGTGATCCCTTTTCTCCACAACCTCACCAGCATCTGTTATTTTTTGACATTATTTTTGAGACGGAGTTTCGCAATGTTGCCCAGGCTGGAGTGTAATAGTGCGATCTCGACTCACCGCAACCTCCACCACCTGGGTTCAAGCAATTCTCCTGCCTCAGCCTTCTGAGTAGCTAGGATTACAGGCATGTGCCACCACACCCAGCTAATTTTTGTACTTTTAGTAGAGACAGGGTTTCTCCATGTTGGTCAGGCTGGTCTCGAACTCCCGACCTCAGGTTATCCACCCGCCTTGGCCTCCCAAAGTGCTGGTATTACAGGTGTGAGCCACCGTTTCCAGCTGACTTTTTAATAATAGCTATTCTGAGTGGTGTGAGATGGTATCTCATTGTGCTTGTGATTTGCATTTCTCTAATGATCAGTGATATGGAGCTTTTTTTCATATGCTTGTTGGCCACATGTATGTCTTCTTTTGAGAAGCGTCTGTTCATGTCCTTTTTCTACTTTTTAATGAGCTTGTTTTTCTCTTGTAAATTTGTTAAGTTCCTTATAGATGCTGGATATTAGACTTTAGTCAGAAGCATAGTTTGCAAATATTTTCTCTGTAGGTTGTCTATTTACTCTGTTGATAGTTTCTTTTCCTGTGTAGACCCTCTTTCATTTAATTAGGTTGACTCGTCAATTTTCTGTTGTTGTTGCAATTACTTTTGGAGACTTTGTCATTAAATCTTTGCCCTTTCCTATGTCCAGGATGATATTGCCTAGGTGTCTTCCAGGGTGTTTATAGTTTTGGATTTTACATTTAAGTCTTTAATCCATCTTGAGTTGATTTTTGTGTATGGTGTAAGGAAGGGGTCCAGCTTCAATATTCTGTGTATGGCTAGCCAGTTATCCCAGCGCCATTTATTGAATAGGGAGTCTTTCCTCCATTACTTGTTTTTGTCAGCTTTGTTGAAGATCAGATAGTCATAGATATGCAGCTCTATTTCTGGACTCTCTATTCTGTTGGTCTATGTGTCTGTTTTTGTACCAGTACCATGCTATTTTGGTTACTGTCACCCTGTAGTATAGTTTGAAGTTAGGTAACATGATGCCTCCAGCTTTGTTCTTTTTGCTTAGGATTGCCTTGGCTATTTGGGCTCTTTTTTGGTTTCATATGCATTTTAAAATACTTTTTTCTAGTTCTGTGAAGAATGTCAATGGTAGTTTGAGAGAAATAGCATTGAATCTGTAAGTTGCTTTAAAAAGTATAGCTATTTCAGCAAAGACTTGGAACCAACCCAAATGTCCAACAATGATAGACTGGATTAAGAAAATGTGGCACATATACACCATGAAATGCTATGCAGCCATAAAAAATGATGAGTTCCTGTCCTTTGTAGGGACATGGATGAAATTGGAAATCATCATTCTCAGTAAACTATCACAAGGACAAAAAACCAAACACTGCATGTTCTCACTCATAGGTGGGAATTGAACAATGAGAATACACGGACACAGGAAGGGGAACATCACACTCTGGGGACTGTTGTGGGTTCGGGGGAGGGGGGAGGGATAACATTAGGAGATATAACTAATGCTAAATGATGAATTAATGGGTGCAGCACACCAGCATGGCACATGCATACATATGTAACTAACCTGCACATTGTGCACATGTACCCTAAAACTTAAAGTATAATAATAAAAAAAAAAAAAGCATCAGCCTACCTGGAAAAATACCAAATAAACTCCTGCTTTAGGCAATCACACACACAAAAAAAGTATAGCTATTTCAATGATATTGATTCTTCCTATACATGAGCATGAGATGTTTTCTTATTTGTTTATGTCTCCTCTGATTTATTTGAGAAGTGTTTTGTAATTCTCATTGTGGAAATCTTTCATCTACCTGATTAGCTGTATTCCTAGGTATTTTATTCTTTTTGTGGCAGTTGTGAATGGAATTGTTTTCCTGATTTGGCTTTCATTTTGGCTGTTGTTGGTGTATAGGAATGCTAGTGATTTTTGTACATTGATTTTGTATCCTGAAACTTTGCTCAAGTTGTTTATCAGCTGGAGGAGATTTTGGGCTGAGACCATGGGGTTTTCTAGATACAGATTAATGTCATCTGCAAAAAGAGATAGTTTGACTTTTTCTCTTCCTATTTAGATGCCTTTATTTCTTTCTCTTGCCTGATTGCTCTGGATAGGACTTTCAATACTATGTTGAAGGTGAGAGGGAGCATTCTTATTTTGTGCCAGTTTTCAACGGGAATGCTGCTGGCTTTTGCCCATTCAGTATAATGTGGGCTGTGGGTTTTTCATAGATGGCTCTTATTATTTTGAGGTGTGTTCCTTCAACACCTAGTTATTGAGAATTTTTAGCATGAAGGGATGTTGAATTTTATCAAAAGCCTTTTCAGAACCTATTGAGATAATCCTGTGTTTTTTGTCTTTAGTTTTGTTCATATAATGAATACTTAGCTTTGAATATCATGTAATTGGACTACAAATCACCTGCTGTTCCTCATTGTTTTGTCCAGCTTCCTGTGTTATTCCTCATCATTTCCCCATTTGTGACTTCCTGGTTTACTGTAACTCTCTTCATTACTCCTGTTTATTTTAATTCTGTTTATTATACTACAGACATAGATACTTCTCTGAAAACATTGAATTCTCAATTTCTTAAATTCTCCTTCTTTCCTCTATCTCAGTCACTCACTCTCATGGTCATGCCTTGGACCTTGCTTCACTGCAAGTTCTCTATAATCTCAGTTTTATGCATCACACTCCATGATAACTACTTCCTATCTATGCATCTCACTCCCATAGTTTTTTGACTCCAAAAATCTTTTAGCACTATTAGGATCTCCAATTTACTTATTTTACTGGTTTTAGTAATCTTTTGCTTCTTTGAAGTTTTTATTTATCTCCTTATCTGGCTAAATTTCATAGTTAATAATCACATTAAATCCCTTTCAACATGTCTAACTTCCTTGTTGTTTTCTTAGTTTGTGGTACTCACTTGGAAAATTAATCCTGATATGTCTGATTTTCTCAATATTCTATACCTGGACCCAAAGCAACAGACCATGTATGAAAAAAGAAATATCATCTTGGTGGTGTGACTTTAATTTCATGACCACAAACCTCGTGTGAGCCTTTAGTGCTGACTAGAAATCATATTTCCTTAGTTCATTAATTTTCCCTTCTCTTAACACCTTTTACAATTTTTTTCCCTCCTCATTGAACTTCTCTTCCACAGATGAACTATGTATTCCTAAGGCCTTCTTAGGTTCCATCTCTTCTTCTCTACTCAGGAACATTCCTTCAGTTCTTTTCCTGCCTATATCACTACTCCTTTCCCCTCATTGAATTATTCCCATCTATACAAATTTATTGCTATATTGTCAGTCTTCAAAACATTGCTTTCTTTCTACTGCTTTATTCCTCTGCTCTCCTTTGAAGCAAAACTCCTTGAAAGAGTTGTCAGTACTAATTGTGTCTAATTCTTCTATTTTCACTCCCTGTTAAGCCCACTTTTGCTCCTATTACTTCATCAAAATTTTTCTTTCCGTGAACACTATTGATCTTTATGTTGGTAAACTCTAATGTCAATTCTCCCTTCCCATGTACATAACCTCTCAGTAGAATTTGACCTTTCAGGAGCAGGTGGACACTCTCTTTTCTTCAATATATTTTATTCATTTGGTTTCCAGTGTACTTCACACTTGTTTTTTCTCCCACGTTATTGGCTGTTCCTTCTCTGTTTCCTCTGCTGATTCCTTCTTTTCCTCCTGAGACCACTAATTCACTAATTGTTGCAGTGCCTCAGGGCTCAGCCTATGGACTTTTTCTTCTTTTTATTTACTCTTAACTTCCTGGGAGAGCTCATCAAGTCTTGTGAATTAAATTTTATATATAAGATGGTGACCCAAATTTATATTTTCATTCTGGATCTCTATCTTGAATTTCAACTTCTTTTCCAACTGCGTTTTCAACATTTCCACTCTGACACTTCCATTCCACATCTCAGACTTAACACACTTAAATCTAAATTCCCAATCTAATATCTAAACTCCTCCAAAACCTCCTGTTCTACCCAGTTTTTCCCATCTTAGTTAATGCTAAACCTAATATTTTTACTTATTCAGGCAAAAATAGCCATTCTGACTCCTCTATTAAAAAAAAAACTCGCATAAATCTTCTTCATAAGATCCTGTAGGTTCTATTTTCAAATATATTTACATAGCCAGAACATAACATCTTCACATTACCTTCAGTGCTACCATCCCAGTTTAAGCCACTATTACTTATTACCCTCTGCTTTTTCTACTTTTTCATCTGAGACTTATAATGTATTTTCAAGCTGGAGTGATCCTGATAAAATCCTTCGAAGTCAACAATTTTGTCAAAATTAAAGCTAGGTGTTTAAAATTACTAAGAAGTGCTATACATCCTGTTACTTCTCTGACCTGTTCTCTGCCATATTCCCTTTACTTACTTAGCTCTAGCAAGATTTGGCCTCCTTGTTGCTTCTTCAATATTTTAGGTGTGCTCCTATCATAAGGCCCTAGGCTTAGCTGTTTTTACCTGTAACTGTTTCCTATCATATATTGCTTCTTTTACGTATTTTTTTTCAAATATTACTTCTTCAATTTAAGCCCACCCTTATAACACCATATAAAATTGCAAGCTGCATTTCTCACTTTTGAGCTCCACCTCAATCTGCTCTGGGTTTTTTTTTTTTTTTTTTTTTTTTTAGCTCTAATAACTTCTAACACACTTACTTAGTACTGATTGTTTTTCTCTTGACGTTTCCCTAGCTCCCAAAACTGTCTGGCATGTAGTAGAAGCTCAGTAAGTATTTGTTTAATATTGAATTAATTATTTGTTTATGTGACTTACCTTCCTTGCATTGTAAGGGCTTTCCTGAAACAGATATATCTTAAGGGCTTTCTATGAACATTAAAGAGAACACAGTGATACCCGTTCTCAATGAGCTTATAATCTTGCAAGCGAAGCAGGCTATGATTTCATTGTAATTAAATACCATGACAAATGTGTGCTAATAGTTCTGGAAGTAGGAACCTGTCTAGGAGATTCAGGGATATTTGTATACAGAAGATAATATATTAAGTAAGATTTGAAGTATGAATTAGAGTTCATCAAGCAAATAAAAGGATCACAGCATTTGTTATGAACTGAATATCTGTGTCCACCTCAAATTTATATGTTGAAATCCTAACCCTCAATGTGATGGTATTAGGAGGTGAGGCCTTTGGGAAAAAATTAGGTCATGAGAGTGGAGACCTTGAGAATAGTGTTAGTGAGCGTATAAGAAAAGCCATAATAGTTTAATTCCTCTCATTGCTTTCCACCATATGAAGAGTAGAAGGAGAAGACAAAAGATGATCCTCTGTAAACCAGACACAGAACCTACAGTCACTTTGATCTTGGACTTGGCAGCCCCCAGAACTGTGAGAAATACATGTTTGTTGTTTAAGTCACCCATTCTATGGTAATTTGTTATAAGGCCCAAACTGAATAAGATAGCATTTTATGAGTATGAAAAACATGTGCATCTATATCTCTATCTTAGTAGGACCTAAGAGTATATTTTTAAAATCAGGAAGGAAGATATTCTTTCACATTTTAAAAGTCTATATCACACATGGAGGTGGGTTTACCATGAAGCTAGGGAAGCTTTAGAGTAAGGACTCAATCGTTTGCAAGGGTCTTTTCTTGGAAAAGACCCTATCAATGTGTTTATACAATACACTTTTTTTGGTAAAAATTACAAATATATTTACTTTCAGTTAGTAAAATGAACATAACTTTACACTGTTATTTTCTGTCACATTTCACCTTGTGTCTAGTGATGATGAAGGGGGGTCATGGGCATTTTTTGGATTCGGCCAAGGAATATTTGAGTAGGGGCTACATGTAGTTTGAGTTTAGTACAATATATATTTATGGTTTACAGTCATTTCTGTGTTTATTTATTTAATGCATGCTCTAAATACCCACTGTGACTACTTACCATGGTAAAAGAGAATGGAACCAGAAGGTGTACAGTTGTGTGAATTTATCCTATGGTGTTCAGCCTAAGTTGTGAGTGGTGGAGAAGAAATCAAGTTATGGAACAGATAGAGTCAGAAGCTAGTGTGAGGAAAACATTTTCCAGTTTTTAGATATATAAAATTGTAACTGGAACACTAATTATTTTGATTAAGATGGCTTCTCTCTTTCAGAAAAATAACAAAATTTATTATGTGTCACCACAATGGAGGGCATTGACACAAACTAGTTAACATATACCATCAATTTAAAAAATACTTACGATTAGTATTGGACAGGAAAACTTGAAGTGACTTAAATTTTATATGTAAAATGAAATTGATTACAGGCACATGATTACATTAGTTTGTTGTTGTTGTGTTTTAGGGCTGCTGTAACAAGGTATCAGAAACCTCATGGCTCCAAACAACAAATATTTATTATTTCATATAGTTCTGGAAGCCAAAGGTATAAAATCAAAGTGTTGGCAGGGTCGGTCCTTTCTGGAGGCTCTGAGGGAGAATCCATTCCATCCCTCTCTTCATAGGTCTTTCCCCCATCTGTTTCTTATAGTGACAGCAGTTTTTCTATTTAGATTTACTCTAAATCCAAAATGACCTCATCTTAAGGTTCTTAATCATCTTAGCAAATACTTTATTTCCAAATAAGGTTACATTCACAGATATCAGGTGTTAAGACATATACATATCTTATATGCATATAAGGGGAGACACAGTTCAATCCACCACAATGACCTCACCAATAATGCCAGTTGCAAAACTGAGAGAAAACCTTCTACACTATCAATAATAAACTTATTTTGGTTAACCATGGGAGAAAAGATCAAATTAAATCTCTGTTCTTTCTATTAAAAATTGTATTTCTAAATTGTTGTAATATGAAGAGGTGTTTGAAAAGCATGTAGTCAAAAATTGTTGAAAAAATATAAGTGTACTAAACAGTTAAATATAATTCTTAGGATATTTTACTGGATTTGTGATGTCAGTGGTAATTCTCAGCTTTTCAAATTTGTAAATTAGAGCTTTTATCATTCGATTTTAAATTATTTAATTTATTTCATTTATTTATTTTTTGGAGACAGAATCTCACTTTATCCTCCAGGCTGGAGTGCAATGGTGCCATCTCAGCTCACTGCAACCTCTGCCTCCTGGGATCAAGTGATTCTTATGCCTCAGCCTCCCAAGTAGCTGGGATTACAGGTGCCTGCCACCATGCCTGGCTAATTTTGTATTTTTAGTAGAGACAAGATTTTGCCATGTTGGCCAGGCTGGTCTCGAACTCCTGAGGTGATCCACTCGCCTCAGCCTCCCAAAGTGCTGGGATTACAGGAGTGAGCCACCGTGCCTGGCCTTATCATTCTAAATAAATACATACTTCCATATTTAGTTATATATGAATAATTTTGCATTATTTTTCTCAAAAAGCATATCTCAAATGATATATCCTTCAGGTTCTACCAAACTGAGTTGCCTTCTGCACATTTGCATTATGAAGAGTTCATAATACGGACATCTCAGAAGATCTGTTCCATAATTTTCTTCTTTCTTTTTAAAAGTTTTATTTTTATTCTCTTTTAAATTTTCATTGATCGATGCGCATGAGCATACAAATATCTACAAACCTAGTCCTAGACAGTTTAGCTATTTGTTTAAATTATAGGGTTAAGTGTTTAAAAGATTGCTTTTAGCTTACCTCTGAAAGAGCAAGAAAGATTCTTTGTTGTCTTTGCTATCAGCCCAATATGGAAAAAGTTGCTTCAAAAGTATTAGCATGGGTTATCTCTTGGATAATAAACTTTTTTTTTACTGTGGATTTCACTGAGATCTTGGACTCTGATTATAAATAGAAATTTTCTTACAGCACCAGGAACATTTAATTCCATCCCATTTTCTTTCTATCAAATACATACATTGGAGGAGCATGGGTAGCATTATTCAAAAAGAGGAGACGGTTTAGATTTTAATGAGATAGGTTTATTTATTTATTTTTTTTCAAGGAACTTAAAGTTCACCTCGCTTTGGCTTATAGCTCTTGTGTTTTAGTTGTTGCCAAAAAATGTATTTCCAAAGTGAGAACTAGTTTCAGATATTTGAAGTTTCTAGTGATCATTGTAATTGTGCCCATATATTTATAAGAAATTCCATCACAGGAAAAATACTGAAAGAACCTACTATTTTGTTTCTTCAGAAAGTCCACATCTATTTTTATTGTAGGTAATATAGAAATAATTAATTCCATCAATATTTGTCAACAGAACAAATGTTCATTAAGTTATCTCATTGATTAGAAGTGAAAAGAGAAACCTTTTTAGGGTATACTAGACTGTATTGTCTAACTCGATGTTGAGGAATGAAGTTTAACATTTTCACTGAAGACTTTAAAATTGCATGGAAATATATGATGACTGTTAACTCTCGTTCTGCAGTCTTTTTGATTGCTGTGTATTTAATAATTAGTAGAAATCTTATTAGCATTTTGAAAAACATATTTTCATTTAAAAAAACTTTATGTATTTACCCAATTATGAGAGACTTTTTCTTTTCTGGACCTTAAAGCTAAAATCTATGCTTTTATGTTAAAAACAGAGAGATTGAAGAATAAACCATCTATCTTCCCTGCCTTTAGTCATGCTACCAGCATGCTTCAATATATGCAGCTAATTAAAAATGGAATGGGATCAAAAGTTATAAGATGAAGCTTCCATTCATGACCATGGTCCAGGACTCCCAGGGAATCCTCAGTAACACAATTTCACTACCCATGAGATGATGCACGAAGATACAGAATTTGAAAGCAAGAATTAAACTCACTGAAAAATTATTTTCCAATTGAATAAATTCCCTGGAGGATCAGAAACACATTGAAGCATAGTCTTCTCTTCAGGGTGCAACCATGCTCATTGTGTAGCAAAAGTTAGTTGAAATACTCCTGTTGTTAACTGTAAGCAAGCCTTTTGGATTGGTTCTCACTTTCTGGCTCTTCCTCAAAAGTCCTTGTTTAATCCTTCCTTGATCACATACTTTGGTTATGATCTAATTTCATTCCACTGGGACTCTTAAAACACAGTGTCATTGAAGGCACTCTAATGGGTTTGTCAGTAATTTCCTTTTCAGACTCACAATTTAGATTTGAAATATAAACTTTTGATAAGGATATTATTCAGAAGATTAGAGAAGGAGTAAGGTTTTTTTTTTGTCTTTAGAGGATAATAAATACTTCAAAGTGTTCCCTCATGAATTTTAAAACTCAAGAACACTTTGCAAGACACAAGATAAATTATTAGTAGTATTTTTTGCAGTTTAGATGAACATCTCTTTGTCATTATAATCAGGATGCTATAGTAGTAATTAAAGTTTTTTTTTAAAGTCTAATTCTTCTTTTTCTGTATATGTTTAATTGTATTTGATTTAAAGAAACACAAGTTTTTTTTATCTGTATAAACATTTCAGAATTTTCAACATGGATCTGCTCATATCGTGCTAGGTTTCTCCAAGAACAATATCTAATATAATAATATAGTCTAATTCTTTTTTTTTTTTTTTTTGAGATGGAGTCTTGCTCTGTTGCCTAGGCTGGAGTGTAGTGGCACGATCTCAGCTCACTGCAAGCTCCACCTCCTGGGTTCACACCATTCTCCTGCCTCAGCCTCTTGAGTAGCTGGGACTACAGGCTCCCGACACCATGCCCGGCTAATTTTTTGTACTTTTCATAGAGATGAGGTTTCACCACCATGTCAGCCAGGATGGTCTCAATCTCCTGACCTTGTGATCTGCCCACCTCAGCCTCCCGAAGTGCTGGGATTAAAGGTGTGAGCCACTGCGCCTGGCCAATACAATCTAATTCTTAATGTGGAGACTAAAATAACTAACAAATTATTTTTAGCATCTTTAATTTGTATTTATTTATTACTACTATTTTTCTGTTACCTCAACATAGAAAATATCACCTCACTAGTTCACTAAGCAACAGGATAAGAAATAACACATTAGAATAGTCATTCAGAATGAAACTGCTTTTCCTATTCTTTATCCATGTGTTAGTTTCTCCATTTAGAATTGGATTGAGAAAGTAATCCATGTATTTTAAGAGAAGACTGCTAACCAGACATGTCCTGCTAGCTAAAAAGTCTACTCATTTCTCCTTTAAGAAATACAATATTATCTTGGTAATTGAGTGACATGTATCACAACTTTAGTTATATACACACAATGTGGTTGTTCATAAAGTTTGTTACATTGTAACTGCTTTATATTCAGTGTAAGGACTTATCTATATGTCACAATTACTAGTTTTACATTGTATTGGTTGCCAGATATGTAGTAATTAATAAGGGCCATAATAAAATGATGGGTAAAAAACCACCACAAACACAGTGGCTTAAGGTAAAACATCTATTCTGACATATCTGTGCATTGGCTGTAAGTTGGCTAATCTAAATTGGGCTCAGCTGGTCTGGGCTCCAAATCGCAGTCTGAGTTCAAGTTTGCTCTGAGTCTCTTACTCTCCCGGGAACAGTGGGCTATCTAAGCATGTTCTTGTCATGGCAGTGACAAAAGCAGTATTATCTAAATCCCACTGCCCAAGCATATTTCAAGGCTTTTTTTTTTTTTATCATATCTCCTAATATCTTATTAACCAAGGCAAGTCACATGGCTGAGTCTAACATCGCTGGGGTAGGAAATTATACTTAGCTCACAGTGCAAGGGGAAAGAAAGGAAATATTTGTTGAACAGTCATCTAACTTATCACAATTTGGAATTTGGCTTTAAAATTTGTGGTGGAAAGTCCACTAGTATGCAGTGTCTGTCTTAGAATCTGTCCTTGGAGGCATGGTTTTAAAAGAACCTCAAATATCTTGATGTAAAGCAACCTCAAGCCATGTGCCCACAGGGAATATTCCAGTGAGGCTCAACTGCAGGTAAGATGCAGATTTATTTCAATGTAAAACAGTAAACTTAGCTCAGGTGGAACTTGCAACATCCACAGAGAAAAATGCCAGAATCAAATGCTTGAATGAGCAGCATATGCACGAATCAGTGGTATTCAACATTACCCCTCTGCAGATTTGTGGGCCTTTTGGAACCAAGGTAATACATACTCTTGACAGAAAATTCACTTTCTGTCAAGCTCCTCAATTTTTACCTTGAGTTCTCCCTTTTCTTTAACCTCCTTCATGTGTGTGCATGCCTCATAGTTCTGTGATTCATTTGGAGAAATTGTTTTAGAAAATAATATGCTATCAATTTCTTAGCTGGATGTGTAGGAGTAAGAAAAAAATAAAGGAGCCACATTTGGGGTGATGAAATTTTCATTTTTCACCAAGGTAAGTAGTAGTAGAGGTTGTCATTGAACCCATTACGATGGCTCACAGGAGGGAGGAAGGCATGCTCTAGATGAGAAAAAAGCAGGTATGTACTTTGGATGTTCCATTGGAACATTTTGAACATTTAGAAAATGGCAAATTGGAATCACTCACAGAACTCTGTCTTTCTCAGCAAATTCGATGTGTCAGAAAGTCCTAAAACCCTCCCATCAGTTGACAACTTTGCTGCAAAATCTATTGCTTGAGAAATGTGAGAATAAAAATGATGTCCTCTTTCTGGTAGTGTAATAGGCAAGTGAATTACTTAATATATTTTATATTCCCCTTCCCTTCTCATACACATACACACAGTATATTAAATTTTCATTACCTAAGTAAAAGAATGAGCCTGCCTTTAGCACAAACAAGAATTTTAGATTATAAATGTCTATGTTTATTGCAAAGCATAATGCATGCAAAGCTTTTGCAAGATTGTGAAGTATATCATGAGATAAATTTGGTAAATCATATTTTGCTTTTTTTTTTGTAATCCAAAGTAAATGTTACATAGGAAGAAAATAAAAACGTGAATCATTTCTTATGCTGGGGTATATTCCTTGGAAGCATATTGATTGGGTTTTAACTATGTTGCCATGTATGTATGCATGAAATGCATCATGTATTAAATGAATTTTTTAAAAGAAAGGTTAACTCTCTAAGCCAAGATGATGGGTTTGCTAAAGGGGAGAAAATTTTTACCCATGGATTTCTTTGGACTCAGGATGATTATAATTTTCAGCTTCAGTGATTGATTTTGATGCTCTGTTTCAGGGGCCATATACTCTTGGTGAATCATTTTAAAGAACTGAGTCTGTAGGGCCGGGCACAGTGGCTCACGCCTGTAATCCCAGCACTTTGGGAGGCCGAGGCGGGCAGATCATGAGGTCAGGAGATCGAGACCATCCCAGCTAACACGGTGAAACCCTGTCTCTAATAAAAATACAAAAAATTAGCTGGGCGTGGTGGCACACACCTGTAGTCCCAGCTACTCGGGAGGCGGAGGCAGGAGAATGGCCTGAACCCGGGAGGCGGAACTTGCAGCGAGCCAAGACTGTACCACTGCACTCCAGCCTGGGTGACAGAGTGAGATTCTGTCTCAAAATGAATAAATAAATAAATAAATACATACATACATACATACATACATAAAAATAAAATAAAAAAAGAATTGGGTCTGTATTGGAGTGATTTGACATCAGCGCTTCAGCTTCCAAGTATTATTGAAGTAAGAGCCCAAACTAACACTAGCTCTTGTACCCCAAGAGTTGAAAATGCTCTTACAATTTGTTTTAAAATTGTGTGACATTTTAATCACCTCTATACACAATTTCTAAAATACAAGACCTGTCATTCGGCAGAAATGTAATAAGTATTTGAAATAAAGTAAAATCTAGTTAGAAAGTTATTTGGGCTTAGAATTTAAAGTTCTAAATTTTAGTCCTAGTTGTACACTGATATTGGAAATATAATTAATTACCTGTATGTTTAACTATCCAGAAGTTTCTGTGCCTAAAAGTTCTCCTCTGTAAATAAGGATAATCTCTTTTCTCAAAAACTTAGCCTGAGAATGAAATAATTAACGTAATATGGAATTATCATTGAAATAATAAAACACTACACATGTGAGGTAAAACTATATAGTTTCTTACGCTTTTAAGTTTGGGATAAAAATTTATTATAATGGTGACTTTTGACTAAAGTGGGATCACATAAATACAATATAATTTCAACAGACACAGTTCATTTTATGCTACTGAGGTTTTGTTTTTCGTTTTACTTATTTCCTTTTTTGAGGGACAACTACGTAAAATCTATCCCAACCACAATAAAAGAGTTTATATATTTTTTCTAAGATAATTATGTATGTTGTTTTAATTCTTATTGTAAATATAATACACATTGTCTAAAATAAATACACGTAAACAAAAATGCAGATAAACAAAAGGAATAAAATACAAATCATCTGTAATTCCACGTTTTGAGATATAGCTTTCTAGTTTTATAAGTACATGTTTGCATGTGTGTATATTTACAAAAATATACATTTTTAACAACGAAATTGTTTTGTAACTTGCTTTTCGGAAATGTACTGTCCACTTTGAAAATTTTTGCAAGCCATAAAATATTTTTCTTTTATATATTTTTATGGCTGTTCATGTGCATTATATGACTCTACCATACTTTATTTTACCTATTCCCTGTTGTCAAATATTTAGTTGGTTTTTGTTTTTATTATTATGATAAATAATGCTGCAGTGAATAATTTTATAGCAAATTACTTACTGGAAACTTGATATATTTCCATGCTTATTCAAGCCATCTTTTTCATTTCTCAGTGAAGTTTTATAACTTGCATAGGACTTGGATAGCACTTATTGTTTCATTCATTTTATTAAGCTCTCTCATTAGTTATTAGTTTTAAAAATGTTATTCCAGACTCTCTTTTTAATACTTTTTCCCTTTAATGCATTAACTTATGGTTACAGGACAACAATGGATAGTAGTACCAGCAGACATTGTCAAATTGTTTTTGCTTTTCACAGTTAAGTTTCTATTGAGATATCAACCACTAGTTTGAGATTATTATTTACTATGTTAAAGAGGTTTAGCAATCAATTTTGTAAAATTATGAAATAGATGATGGAATTTTTAAGTTTTTTTTGGCATTTATTAGGATAATTCTATAGCTTTGGGCTTTTTGCCTAGTAACAGGATTGGTTTTAATAAGGATTCATGTAGTAAAGTTAACTATGGAACTGTGGAATGAAGGCTATACTTAGAGACCAAAAAAATGCTGAGAGTGAAATATGATTCTGAAGAGTATTGAATTAACCACCCTGGAAAACTCATTTATCTGCTTTGAAATTTAGTTTACTTTTTGAAGTAAAAGCACTAAACCTGTCACAGAATTAACATGAATATGGAAGTGTTTTTTAAAGTATACTGTTTAAATATCAGGATGGTATCTATAATTTTATTTAGCTATACTTAATCAGTTTTCAAGTGCAAAGACGAGCACAGTATTCATATTTCTAAGAGGGTCTTTTGATTTTCCTAGTTGCACAGGTTTTTTTCCCCGTTAACATTTAACTGAAGTAAAATGTATGCACAGAGAAGTGTACACATCGTAAATGGAATATGGTATCACAAAAGGGACTTAGCCATACAACCCCCTTCAAGGTCAAGAAATAGAATATTACCAGTATCCTAGAAGTGTGAGAGATGATTCTAATTTTAGAATATTAACAGTGTTACCTGAATCCTTTTAAGAAATCAGAATGTGTGTTACTGCTCAGCTGCATGATTAAGAAACCTATACTGTGGCCGGGCGCGGTGGCTCACGCCTGTAATCCCAGCACTTTGGGAGACCGAGGCGGGTGGATCACAAGGTCAGGAGATCGAGACCATCCTGGCTAACATGGGGAAACCCCGTCTCTACTAAAAATACAAAAAATCAGCCGGGCATGGTGGTGGGCAACTGTAGTCCTAGCTACTCGGGAGGCTGAGGCAAGAGAATGGCGTGAAACTGGGAGGCAGAGCTTGCAGTGAGCTGAGATCGTGCCACTGCACTCCAGCCTGGGTGACAGAGCGAGACTCCATCTCAAAAAAAAAAAAAAAAAAAAAAAGAAACCTATACTTTGTAAGAAGAAATTTTAATACTAAAAATCTTTGGACATTTTCAATTAGAACATACGGCATAATCAAACACCAAGATGCCATGGTTATTTCTCCAATAAAAAACAGTCTTCTTAACAATCAACTTTCTATGCCTTCTTCAGCCAGTTTACTGCCTTCATCTTAATTCCCTGATTTTTGAATTTTAAAACAAAGAGGCTGCAATATTTAAAAAAAAGTTACAAGTTGGTAAATGTGAGGCTATACATTGTTATTTTTGAGATTAAAATGCTCCTTAATTTTTGATTTAGGTAATGCAATATGCTTGAAAGTTTCAGGAGTGCTATTACATGATCTCTTTTTAACCTCATAAGAATCCTCTGACACAGCTAGATAAATGTTAAGAGAAAAAGACAAAGAAGGCAATACCCAGAGAAACAGTTGGTATGAAGTCAAATATTTTTAGGTGCAATGGTCTAAATAAGATTAACTTTTATATCTTTTTTTTTTTTTTTTTGAGACGGAGTCTCGCTGTCGCCCAGGTTGGAGTGCAGTAGCGCGATCTCGGCTCACTGCGGGCTCCGCAGCGGGGTTCATGCCATTCTCCTGCCTCAGCCTCCCGAGTAGCTGGGACTACAGGCACCCGCCACCACGCCTGGCTGATTTTTTGTATTTTTAGTAGAGACGGGGTTTCACCGTGTTAGCCAGGATGGTCTCGATCTCCTGACCTCGTGATCTGCCCGCCTCGGCCTCCCAAAGTGCTGGGATTACAGGCGTGAGCCACCGTGCCCGGCCTATCTTTTATATCTTAAGTGAGTATCATTTACATGATAGGATAGCTATATCTCTTTGGAAAGATCTGTATTTCTAATATATAATAACAATTTTTCTTTTAAATTTGATGAAAGATGCTGACATCTTAGCATGGAATGGTGAATGGAAGACCTTAGATATCTTGACTCTGAGCTGTTGTCTCACACTGAAAACTCGGAAATGGGTCAGGATTCAGAGAAACTGGTCAGTGTGTTTCAGGGGCTAAAAATTAAGTACTGTAGATGCCTGAGTCCCACTTAGTCAAGTTCAAATGCTTCAAATAAATGTATCTTATTGTTATTAGGGGACATAAACAAATGATCTAATCAATACTGGAATAATAGGTACAAACTTCACATGCCCCCAAGTTTCGGTGTACATGAAAATGTAACATTATTTTTTCTAAATGTGTTTAATTTTCTGAGAGCTTAAATACCATCTTAGCATGGTGGAAATGAACTGGTTTCTCCTGCTTTGCTTTTCTGCTGCAACAGCCCTCTCTGAGAGATGGATTCCTCTCATGGCAAGGTGTGGTAGGGTGGATTATGGGTAGGTAATAGAGAGTGTAGGCACGGGAGCAAGGAATTGTTGGTAAAAAGAAATCTTGGTTATTACTTAAAATTATTATCCTATCACAGAGACTTACAAAGCCAAATTGCAAAGAGACTATGCACCAAAGTGTTGAAAGGGAAACACTCTTTTCATTTTATCTTTTCCTCAGTCTCACCCACTAACAGGTGAACGATTAGGCTCATTTCCATTTATTAATATACTGCACGGGAATAGATATGCATTTGGAGAGTGATTAACAGAAAAACTTGACATGTTTCTTTTAGAAAAATAATGGCTGAGGATTTGGCAGACATCCAGATAACCACAGATACACCAAATTTGGTCTGGGAGCTTAAAATCCTCCTCTAGAACACAGTGACTTGGCTTTTCTAACCGATCTATTTTGGCAATAAGTTCTCTGTTCTAAATGATCCCAGCAGAATAGGTATAAAATACCAATGGCTTAAAAACATGGAAAATGACTGACATGCCTGGAACCTTGTCTATCCAAGACTATTTAAAGCCTATTTCTCTGGATGACATGTAGTCAGAGTTCAACATATCCATTATTGGAGGTCCTGTGCAGCCACATATAAAAATGTCAGCAGATTTGAGAGTAGTTAAACTGCAGATTGAATTTAGTAATTGTTTGCATTATAATTGTACATGATTTGAAAATGTCAAGGCTTTTAAATGTATAAAATTGCTTCTATGTTCTCAGTAACTGCTGTATGAAATAGCATTTTTTTCCTTACATTACGATTTAGTACTATCATTATATGTCCTTGCAAGTGTTAACTTTGAAGTCTTCTTTGTAAAGTCTCCGACAACTTGCTTTGTAAAAAGGCTGACAAAAAGAAGAGGGCAAAAATTTAAGTAAGGTTGTATTGACTTTCCTTAGGATGGCATTTTTATTGGACTTTATGAATGATTGTGGAGTAATCACTATAGAACTGAAAAGAAATTTACAGAGATCATCAAATATGAGTCCTTCATTTAATAAAGTGTGTTCACACTATACCATATATCAATTAAACTAAAAATTCAAAACATAGTGTATTATATATGAACAGTAACTAAAAGAGAAATGTTATTCTTTTAATTTTCTCTTTTTCTCAATCCTGACCCATGAACACCCATAGAGGAGAGTGATAGGCATAATTTTTACCATTTTTAGAAACATTTGGTCTTCATTTTGAATGATATCTCAGAGAAAAAAGTCTATATCCCTTGATCATTTATGCTGAAGGTAAAAGATGTCTTTAAGGTCATTTCTCTTAAGGATAGCTGACAGCTGTTCTTAATTGGGCTGTTTGTATCTGGATGGCCCCTTGGTTCCTTGTCCCAGTGGTTCTCAGGTATTTATATTTGCAGCAGATGTTGAAGATTTCCTTTTAAGTTCTAAGAATAACTTGGTTTGGTCATAAGTTGGCTATGATTTCCTTGGGAATCCTATTAGGACTTCATTGCTAATTATATTTACAGGGTGAGTTTTGGTAAATCGGCACTGCAAACACTTAAGGATTCTAGCAGAATGAATGAACTTCAATGTATCTGCTTACCTGCAATTACAATGAGTCCAGAAGAAACATAACTTTGTCCTTTGTCATATTTTGTTTTCTTGAATGGATCAAACAACTCTTTCTCCATAACAGTTATGGAGATAATTTCTATAAACAAACAAACAAATTTATTTTTGAAGGATTTGAGCAATTAACTTGGAAAGCCTTATGTGGTCTTATAAGTATTTTGTGGTTAAGTTATCTATACATGTAATGTCTAATGGCTCTTATTTTCTAGTTTATTCTGTGAACACACACTCACAAAGGAAATTTGTATTCAACATCCCTTCTTGCATTTCCTGGCCTGACCCTCCAAACAGTCATTTACTTATTCATTCAATTATTCAGTCACTGCCATGGTTTGAATGTGTCCCCAGAGTTCATGTGTTTGAAACTTAATCCCCAGTGCAACAGTGTTGGAAGGTGGAGCCTAATGGAAAGTGTTAAGGTTAAAAGAATTCCACTCTCATGAATGGATTGATGCCAACTATAAAAGGGCTCAAGTCTTCAACTTCAACCTCTTGCTCTCACTCCCCCTCTCTTTGCTTTTCTACAATGGGATGACATATGAAGAAGACCTTTGCCAGGTGCTGGCCCCTCAATCATGGACAGTTCAGCCTCTAGAACCATGAGTCAATGTATTTCTGTTCGTTATAAATTATCTAGTCTCTGGTATCTTGTAATAGCAGCACAAGGCAAACTAAGTCACTTACTCACAAGTATATATCAAGCTCCTTTTATGTCCCAAGCATAACATACTATTACTGTTGGAAAACAAAAGTGAATTAAACATAACTCTTTCTGTCAAGAACTTTGAGTCTTTTAGCAAAGTTATGACATATACAGGTTATTTATTATATTGCTATTTATTGGGAAACATTAAATAAGAGGTATTTCAGAGTTGAAAGGAGGGATAGTAAGGAGGGAAACTGCAGTATAATATTTGTAGATACTCTATTTGTTTATGTGTGTATATATATTACATTTTGTAAATATGTATAAACTTATATATAAATATTTGTTTATAGTGTGTTTGTGTATGTGCTTTAGTGGTAATGCTTTCTGTTTCATTTTGTTACCAAAATACTTTGTTAAAAGAGCATCTTGAAGTATTGTTAGGAGAAGTGACTAATTTAGAGAGTTCCAAGACCAATAGATATCCTTCATCCAAAATTCCATTTCTTGGCCCTACATGTAAAATTGATGACTTTCTCCTTTGTTCTCTTTGTATACAGTGAACATAATTATGTAGAAAGTGTTCCAGGATGGCAAATATTTCTTATTGTCTTGTGAGCTAAATTTGTAACCTCAAAGCTAATATGCAATCAGAAAATATTTGTTGAATGAATTAATTTGGGAAGGCCAGATAAGTAGCATCCCTCTATTAATTAGAGATTACTTTGGACACTGTAATGAAGACCCAAAATAATACTGATGTAAGCAAGATAGAAGTTTACATTTTGGGTGTGTGCAACAATCTGATATAAATAGTATAGGTGTATTTTTGCCATTTCATGATGTCAGAGACCCAAGTTTCTTTATTTTATTCTGTCAGCATCAATAGGGTTTTGCTTTCATTTATTTGAAACCAATATAACTTACTGTATTACCTAAAATCCTGCTAGCCGGAAGCAAAGGAAAAATGTGGACTTAATCACTTTCAGACTTTATTCAGGAAGTTGCACAAACCACTTTCATTCATATCCTGTTAGTCACAATTTGTCATGTGGCTGCAGCTAATTGAAAGCATGGCTGAGAAATGTAGGCATTAGTTGGGCAGCCATATGTCTCAGGTAATTGGATCTAGTTAGCAGTTTCTGCTAGTACACATAGTGTAAGCATAATGTCTATTTCAACGTGATTTATTATGTTATATATCCACTATAGAATCTGGCACCTTTAATTCTGGGTATGTGAAATGAAGAACCCCGACTTACTCTCTCACAGTTTTTCTAGCTGAACTAAGTAGCTCCTGATGTTCACTGATTATCAAAATTTTGATTATTAGAGGAACTAACATCATTTTAGAATTTTCATGTATATTTGTCAAGAAAACAATTTATTTCCGTGTTAGATTGACGCTGCCCTTCCCCTTCAGGAATATAATCCAAATAGAATAGATCACCTATTTTCCTTAATAAGTGTTCCAGATTGCTTATTGGTTCATTGTTCACTAGGCATTGTGCCAGGTTGCTGAGGCCTGTTGAAGGCAGGGTTACATATTTTTGGTTAAAAATAGGCAGGAATCTTTATTGTATCCATTCTCCTTCATCTTAGTAATACTTATAACACATGACAGATTACAAAAATAAAACCATTAGCTCTATTTTACATAATGGGAAACATCAGGAAGATCATATGGATTGCCAAACATCATAGGGTAGATTTCTAACAGAACTAGATGCTTACGCACCTGAACTGCGTTATTTTCCATATTTGTCATATTTCTTTAAATATCAAAGAGTTGAGGGAGATTTCAAGCACAGCTGGATTTTGTCACATTGTAGCATGTCTGAACTGATTAGGGGCTACTTTGTGGTCATTTCACATATCAGAGAACAGAATAGGAACTTCCTTTCCTTTGTTGCAAGAAGTTTGCTTGGCAGGTGGTGAAATTCAAGGAGATGAGCTTTGACTAAAACACATAGATGTTTTATGTAGTTAGTAAATTCTTCCTGATAAAAGTAGATGATGATTTGTAACACAAGATGGAAGGGTTAATTATTTTTCCCCACTCCACATAATTTATTTCCCCCACTCCACATAATTTAAAAAGTGTCAGATTCTTAATGAGTACATATGCTTTAACACCTTTGATTTCCTGAAGGATAAATATGGGGTTGTATATTAAAATTCTATTACAACTCAGATGTGAAGAAAAAATGGAATGTCTTCATTTAGTCTGTATTAAGTCTTGTCTGTCTCCTAAGTATTCACTTGGTAATTAGTTGGAAAGAAAATTAATTCTTAGTGCTATTCAATTTCTATTTGATATGATTTGTCTCTGTGTCACCACCCAAATCTCATGTTGAATTATAATCCCCAGTGTTGGGGGAGGATCCTGGTGGGAGGTGATTGGATCATGGGAGAGGATGTCCCTCTTGCTGATCTCATGGTAGTGAGTAAATTCTCACGAGATCTGGTTGTCCGAAAGCGTGTAGCACTTTGCCCTTCACTTTCTCCCTCTACTGCTCTGGCCACGTGAAGACTGTGCCTGCTTCCTCTTTGGCTTCTGCCTTGATTGTAAGTCTCCTGGGGCCTCCTTAGCCATGCTTCTTGTACAGCCTGTGGAACTGGGAGTCCATTGAACTTCTTTTTCTTTTAAATTACCCAGTGTCAGGTAGTTCTTTATAGCAATGTGAGAATGGACTAATACAATATTTTAGTGCAATAATGTAATGGATGGCATATAGTCTTTCTTAGATAAAGTTGCTCTGGTGCCCAGCCAATCTTTCCCTCTGTTTGCCATTCTTCTAAAGATGGCATCTAGCAGTATAAGGACTTACATGTATTTTTTGTGAAATGGTTACTTCTTGACCTCTTCTGGTCTTCATCAGTGGGTACTGGCTGTCATATGCTATCTCTTGGCCTTCCAGATTCACTTTGGTTTCCATTAGCTTCAGATATTGGAATTCTCTCCATGTCTTCCCTCTAGCCCACTGACCTAGTGGCGCTGCCTCAGTGTGCCATGGGCAGCCACACTGCAGCTCTATTTAGCCTGATTATGGATCTCTGAAAGTGAGAAGTGCTCATGAGAGCTAACCTCAAGCTTTAGAGGTGCAAGATGACTACTTGCACATCTCTGACAGCAGGTGAACAGGGAACATAAAGTTTTTGCCATGGGCATTATAGCCTTCAGTAGTGGATAGAAATGTCTCATTTACACTGGGGGAGTGCCATGAACTGAGTTATTGACCTAATGAAGAGGGAGCCAAATATTTGAGGAGAATTTTTCTTGAGCAATTTCCTTAACATTCTTTCCGTAGCAAATTCTAATGGCTATGCATTGAAGACTCTAGCAAATGTGGGATGTCAGTGAAACAGAAAAGAAAGGCAGATTTGAACATATGTATGTCATGTCTATTTGATTCAAATACTAAATTATTTGCAATGGGACTCCTGTGGGATCCCAAAACCTGATCCCTCCAGCCAACACACAGATCCTAGTTTCTTTTTCTGCTGTACTCATATGACAGAAGAATCATTATCCCACTAACATTACAGCTATTGTTGAGCTAAAAATATATTTGGTCCACTCTTTTTGCAACTATCCGTCCTCCCTCTCATTCACACTCCTTGAAGAAAGGCAAGGTGACTTTTTTTCTATTGTTGTCATATGTGCAGTAATGGACAGAGAGAAAGTAGAAATATTCTTTTTTCTGTGTAGATTTTAAGGAGACTCACTAAATACACATAAGCCAATGACAAAAATAAGGTTAACTTCTCTGGGAAGAATGAAGCACCTGTTACAAAGTGAACATAGTACCCCAGGTCTGAGCTGCAGTCCACAGAAAACAGGCCTAGTAGTCAAATAATTTTGGAGAATTCTGAACGTTATGTTTCCCTTTTGAAACAGACAATACAGATTAGCACGTCATGGGGTCCTACAATTACAAACTGAATTTTGCACAACACACTGTTGCCCAGGGTTGCCCATCATTCTTAGACCACAAGATCATTGTTCTTTAATTGATTTTGTGGGGGAACTTCTCACAAAATCATTCGAGAAATGTTGAACTCTGGAGCATGATTCAGATAATGGTGGTTTAGGTATGAAAATCCTTATATCTTTTTTTTTTCCATAAATGAAAAAGATTTTAATGCTTGGCAAATAATCATTTTCATATCTGGAAATTTTCTTGATGATTGATTACATGGTATCAGGTGCACGTGTGTGCGTGTGTGTGTGTGTCTATATTTACTTCACAAATAATGCCAATTTTCCTGCTGAAGAAATGTTTATTCAAATGTTTTGTTTATTTCAGTGTTATATCATTCCAAGCAATTCCACAGCCAGCAGTGGTAGATGCCATTTACGTTTCCTCTTTCAATAGTAAATGCTGCAGCCCTTCTGTCTTTCTTAGTCAGACATGCCTGGCTACTTTCACACAAAGAAAATAACAGTATCTTCCAGCTGCTTGCTAGACTACTGTTTTAGTCTCATTTAATTATATTCTACAGGTATTTTTAAAGATTAATAAGAGAGGTTAGTTCATATTTTTTTACAGCACAATTTTCTCAGTTTTGTTGTTGGTTACTAAAGCCAAATTGAAAAAAGCTCCTTAAGAAACACAAAAATATCCATTTTTTAAAAGTGCAAATCATGTTGGAATTTATTCACAGTTTAAATGTTAGTAGCTTGGCATTATTTTTTTCTCTATCAAGTGTTACTTACAATTCTGATTTTTTTTCCTCAGAGGTTGATATTTATGTATTTTACCAACCCTTGTCTTGGCCTCATGTCAGGCTGCTGCTTCTGTCTCAGAATTATAAGAGAATATTGAGGCTGGGACTCTTCTGAGGCTTTACCAGATGTGTTGAGTTTAGCCTTTAGCAAAACTGTATTAGACCTTCATCAGCATATGTCTCCTTGTCATAGGGAGCCGATGAGAGGTTGCAGAGCAGCTTGAATTCCAGCCATTTTCACTAAAAGCAGCAAATAATGGGATTAAATATTTAATTAGACAGGGAAGATTCCAGATTGGAAGAGATTCAATCACAACTTTTACAGAGCAAGTATTCAATTTGCATTTCCCAGGGAAAAAACACTGTTAAGTGATCCCTCTGTAAATAATGCAGAAAAACTATTTCATTCCCCAGAATGTTTTCCAAGGATCAAATATATAAGTGTATATGCTGGAGATAACACTCTTACCTTCAGATAAGATTATAAATGAGTTTTACAGGATTTCCTCTTTCTCAAATGTGGATGAATAAAGTTTGTATGGATGGAGTCACTGAGTAAATCATTGGAAGGCAGTGTATTGCAAAAGTGAAACTGTTTTGAAAGATGGAAAACCTTGGTTCTTGCACCAGCTGTGGCTCTCGTTAGTTGTGCCACCTTGGAGAAGCCACGGCTGTCTGGGCCTTAGTTTCCTCATCTTTAAATTGAATGACTTGTCTGCATAAATTTAATCGACATCAAGATTCTTAAGACCTCACTCATATTTCTGCTGACTTCACATTCTCTCATTGTCCTCTGTGGGTGGCCCTATAGCAATATCTGTGGGAACTTGGATATACAGGTTCATGACTTACTGTACCTGCTGATTTAAAGCAAAACCCAAAGAAGGAAGAAAAGATAAACACCAAACTCAGAAACTTTATCTAATTGTTTTATAGTTAATAATGTAAAATATTTCATCATTTGTGATACAACTTTATCTTAACTCCTGGATAGACCCTTTCCCAAAGGCAAAGTGTAACTCCATTTCTAATTACTTATTAGTTGTTGATCATGAGATGTTTTTACCATTATATTGTCAATGCCTTAAGACTAGCCTCCATAGGCAGAGCCACTGGCAATGTAGACTATGCCCAATTTTACCTCCTTTCTGGATCGATCTTCATTCAGCTGGTTAAGAGGCCCACTGTTCTTGGCTTGCTTTTCTGCTGCTGTCAAATAATAGAACACACCCAGTTTCTACTCTATTTTGTCTCTTTCTAGAAGTCTGCTCACCTTTATATAGTTCTTCCTTAGTTTACTGACATAATTCATTTTATTTCTAGTAACTGACTGCAACATTTTTCCTTCCCTTTAACAATGGGTTCTTCTGAATTTTCCCTTTTCAAATGCTTCTAACTTAACATTTTCCTGGGCTTTTGAATATAGTTGTTCCTCAGAAGTATTTAATGGATGAATGTGAGATGAACATCATTGGTGATTTGAAAGGCTTCAGGATAATGAATGTAAAAGTGTTTTTTAAAAGTAAACATAATGTCGTATGGAAGCCAGGATGTCTTGGGAAAGACATAAAATACAGGATGTCTAGAAACTCTGGAAACACAGGTGGCTATATAATGTCATCAAGGACCTTTTCAATCTGTATAAGAATAATAGAGTATTGTATGTTACCAAGTTTAATGGAAACCCTGTATGGGAGATTCTGTGTTTTAAAATGTTGACTAACTTCTTAATAGAACATTTGTCTTAAGTTTATCAATAGGTTCCAGCTGTTTATAGGAGAAATACAATGGTGACAAATTATGTGGAAATGTATTTCTTTTATAAGGTCAACCTGGAGATGGCCATTCTGGGGCTGGGATGTTGTTTCCACAGTGTTTTCAGTGACAAATTTCTATCCTCCTGCTCTACCATTTTTATACATAGCTTCAATGTTCCATATTACTTCATAATAAATAAAATGACTGTTGAAAGAAGGAATAAAGGCAAAAAGCAAGAAGAGAGCACCCATCAGCTGAATCTGCCAGGCTAAGAGTCCCACACAGCACGTGAATTTGCATTTGATTTAACAGGTCTAGAGAGAGGCAAGGGAAACTTGGAAATACAGAGTGTTATTTCTGTTGCCATCTAAAAATGGGCTTCTTTTTCCAAGGAAGAAGGGGACAATGGAGGCAATAGAAATATCTTTAGAGATACAACAAGAAATCTCTACCTATACATGAAATCCCACATTTTATAATTGAGGAAACTGAATCCTGGTGATATAAAGTGATTTACCAAAGATTACAAGGGAATTAGTGATACAAAAGTTGAAATAAGTTATACAATACAATAAGCACAATAAGATGATACTTCTCCAGGTGGTATCATCTGAGGAAGACCAACTGACCACTTAGATCCCTCCTAAAATAAAGCATTTGCTTTGATCAATCTTTGTTAGCTTATGATGCCTGGACAAGCATCCTGAGAAACTTGCTAGAAATGCAGACTCTTAGGCCTCACCCCAGACTTGCTGAATCAGAAATTCTGGTAATGGGGCGCAGCAATCTGTGTTTCAAGTAGCCAATCAGATGATTCTCAAGCATTAATATTTGAGAACTGCACCTTTGATGATTTTATTGTGGCCCGTAGTCTTCAATTTAGCTCCTCAGTCTTGTTTTAATTCATTCAGCAGAATTAATTCAGAGGTGCTGACACATGCTCACAAAAGGCACAAAATACCAACAAAAATAAAGTCATTTCACTGATTTACAATAAAAAGTGGAACTGTCAGGCAGATCAGAAATACATGTCATTCTAACCAACACATTTTTCCCCCCTGAGGGCAATTTTATGGGAAACCAAATTATCGGAATGAAACTTGGAGAGCATTTTCTAGTTCCAAGTTTCAGGATTATAAATCTACATGTTTTATACTGTGGAGATCACTAAAGTCTTAGTAAATTTACAATTATATAAGCTAAGGAAATTGGAGGGACAATGTCTGTATAATCTAGACCGGTATTGTCCAAAACAAATATAATGTAAACCACATAATTTTAAATTTTCTAATAGCCATGTTAAAAAAGGAAATAGGTGAGATACATTTTAATATATTTTATTTAACTCAATACATATAAAATATTTCAGCAATAATCAATAAAATTATTAATGAGATATTTTACATTTTATTTTTTAACGCTTTGAAATGTGGTGTGTATTTTGCATTTATAACACATTTTAGTGAAGACCAGCTGCATGTTAAATGCTCAATAGCCATATGTGGTCAATAGCTACCATAGTGCATATTTTGGCCTGGATGACCTTTATACTCTCTCCTATTTTTATTATGAAATCAATTTGGTGAGTCATATTAACGGTATTAGTTTTTATTAAAGAGAATAAAGTAAATAAGAATGTGAGATGGTGTAGGCCCCCTGTAGGGGCCTGCTAGACTCCACACCCCTAGTATGGAGAAAAAGGAAAAATTTTGAGTCCCTTGAAGGAAATTTCACGCATATAGCTAGCCCTACAGCCAGCAATTACAGAAGTGAATGAATAACCTACTAAGTAAGAAGATAAAGAATAGCCACTCCAGTAAGCCAGAGCCACAAGATGTTTGTTTTGCTATAGAAACTAAAGATAACACCTTGACATATATCCTCGAGTTGTTTCTGAGAAACGAGGACCCCTACCTGATGGAAAATGTCAACTGTTGTCACATAGACCTCAGGCAGACTGGAACCAAAAAATGGATAAGGAAGTTCCAGAAATTTCCTAGCTCCTAACTCACTTTTTAAAAAATTATTTTATTATTATTATACTTTAAGTTCTAGGGTACATGTGCACAACGTGCAGGTTTGTTACATATGTATACATATGCCATGTTGGTGTGCTGCACCCATTAACTCGTCATTTACATTAGGTATATCTCCTAATGCTATCCCGCCCTGCTCCCCCGACCCCACGACAGGCCCCGGTGTGTGATGTTCCCCTTCCTGTGTCCAAGTGTTCTCACTGTTCAATTCCCACCTATGAGTGAGAACATGCGGTGTTTGGTTTTTTGTCCTTGAGATAGTTTGCTGAGAATGATGGCTCCTAACTCACTTTGAAACCCCCTTCCCCTCTGCCTTTAAAACACCCTCGTTTGTAAGCCACCAGGGAGTTTGCATCTTAAACATTAGCTGCCAGGTTGCCTTGCTTGGCTCCCTACAATAGATGCTTCACTTTCTCTTGCCGCAAATCTCCATGTCAGTGTTGAGCTTCTTCTTTGCACTGGGTGAGCAGATGCAAGTTTGGTTCAGTAACAAATAGTATAATATAGAATGGAAAATATAGAAATGCATTTGTTTAGGAATCCATGTGTATAGATGTGTGTTCTAGGTCATAATGTAAAATGTAGTTTTGATTGTTTGTTTTTTTTTAAATCATAAATCTCATTTAAAATTTGAGGGCCGGGCGCGGTGGCTCATGCCTGTAATCCCAGCACTTTGGGAGGCCGAGGCGGGCGGATCACGAGGTCAGGAGATCGAGACCATCCTGGCTAACGTGGTGAAACCCCGTCTCTACTAAAAGTACAAATAAAAAATTAGCCGGGCGTGGCGGTGGGCGCCTGTAGTCCCAGCTACTCGGGAGGCTGAGGCAGGAGAATGGCGTGAACCCGGGAGGCGGAGCTTGCAGTGAGCCGAGATTGCGCCACTGCACTCCAGCCTGGGCGACACAGCAAGACTCCGTCTCAAAAAAAAAAGTTGAAAAGCTTCTTTTTTATAGTGATTTAATCTAATCCCTTGACAGATTATTCCACAATATAGACATATTATGTTCTATTTATCTATTTCCTTATTGGTAGATATTTAAATTGTTTTTTCTTTTTCTCTTTTACAGAAAATACTGCAAAAACATGTCTTGTTGTATACTTGTTCTGATGATTTTCTGAGAGTAAATACTTAACAGTATAATTGCTATGTCAACTTTTAGGGTATGTGTTTTTTTTTAGTTGTATTTTAATGTCATCAAAATGCTCTCTAATGTGGCTGTATTTATATCAGCAGCAGCTTATGATAGTACTTGTTTTCATGCATCCTCACCAGCACTTTATAATTTCAAAGGTTTTAATTTTGTAAATCTGACTGGGGGAATACTATTTCCTTTTAATTTGCATTCCTGCCATTACTAGTGAGATTATGCCAACTTTACTTTTACTTTAAGCATTTGTATTAAGTTATACACTAATATAGTTAAGGAATTTTATAAGGATGGTTATATATATAATTGTGTATAATCTTAAGAAAATTGACCACTTCTTCCATCTCCTTAAGTAACCACTTCTAAGTCTTTTGTCTGTTTATTTTGATATTAGATAGTTGATATTAAATAATATTTATTAGATATTTTTATATATAGTTACTTAAATATGTTTGAATTAACCTTACAACAATGATAATTTAGCTCTCCTCCTCCCCACCTCCCATCCCAAGTCAGACTCACATCCTTCATATGCTTTTATCTTCCCAATATCATAATTTTAAACAGATCAATATTCAGTGCTTGCATTTTGTATTACTGTGTGAGCATTATTTAATGCTGAGTCATGTAATGCTATGAATACGTTTTTTTCCCTGTATGCTTTCTTTTGTCGCACAAAGTTAAATATTGGCTTGTTTCTTTTCACTGATTTTAAATTTAGATACTTATCATTAGTTCAGCCTAAGCTCTCCAAAAGTTGTCTAGATAGCAAGACTTTTAGATGCGTCACCGATTTGCTCTAATTCATCTTCTAAGAAATCTTAGCTAAAATATTTTTGACCTACTCTGATATCAACTGGCTTGTCCCCCATGTCTGGTCAATAGCTTTCATCATGGGAAATTTCTTTTGCTTTTCTCCTCTGTTGTAACTTCCTTTTCCTGCTTCCTTCTACTTTCTGATGTATTCCTTAAGTTTCATTGAGCAGAGTGCCTTTTAAAGAAATGATAAATGGAAGAAAACATTTAGAGAACTTGCAGGATTAAAAATACAATTTTTAAATGTTACACTTCATTGATAATTTGGTTGGATATAGAATTTGTTGAGTATAGAATACTTTTTCTTTTGGAAAATTATTTCCCTTCAGTAATTGGAAGGCGTTACTTCATTGTCTCCAAGCTCCCATTGTTATTGTTGAGAATTCCAAGGCCATTTTTAGCTCCTGATTGTTTGTTTGTAATTTTTGTTTTGTTTTGTTTTTAATTTCCTCCCCTTTGGTTTTCAATTTTCTCTATTTTAGAATGCTTATTTAATTGGATATTACCTATTGCACTAATTTCCAGTTTTCTCATTGTTTCTCTTCTGTTTTCCATCTCTCTACCTTTTGCTTTATTTTCTTGGAGAGTTTTTATTTTCCAGTGTTTCCAGTTTCCACTTCTTTTATCACATTGTAGTAGTCAACAGATTTTTATACTCTAGATTTTTTTTAATGGTTGAAGTACCTTTCAACACACACACATACCTGTGGTTTTTACTGCAGTTGTTTTCATTAATGTAAGTAATTTTTTTTCTTTTCAGACACGGTCTTGCTCTGTTGCCCAGGCTGGAGTGCAGTGGTGAGATCATAGCTCACTACAGCCTTGAGCTCCTGGGTTCAAGTGATCCTCTCACCTCAGCCTTTTCTGTAGCAGGGACTATTCATGCATGCCATCAATGCTGCCTTGTTTTGTTTTGTTTTGTTTTATAAAGATGGAGTCTCATTTTGTTGCCCAGGCTGGTCTTGAACTCCTGGCCTCAAGAAGTTCTCCTGCCTTGGAGTGCAAGGGTGCAATCCCAGTTCACTGCAATCTCCGCCTCCTGGCTTCAAACCATTCTGCCTCAGCTTCCTGAGTAGCTGGGATTACAGGCGTGCGCCACCACGCCCAACTAGTTTTTGTTTTTTCAGTACAGACTGGGTTTCACCATGTTGGTCAGGCTGGTCTTGAACTCCTGACCTTGTGATCCGCCCTCCTTGGACTCCCGAAGTGTTGGGATTACAGGCATGAGCCACCGCGCCTGGCCGACCTTTTTTAATTTTAATGACCTTGACACATTTGGAGATTTACCTGACTTTAGATTTGCCTAACGTTTTTCCTGTGACTAGATGGTGCATATAAGTTGTTGGTAAGGAAGACCATGGAGGTAAAACATTATTTTTGTATGTCTGATTTAAGAGTACATGCATTGGTATGTATTGACAATGTTAAACTTGATCATAGCATAGATAGTGTTTGTCACATTGGTTTCACTATATTCTCCCTTCATTCCCCTTTTGATCTGTTGTCATCAAAGTATAAAATAAAGTCCATATTCTTGGGTATATTCCAGTACTGTTTTATTTATTGTGTTGCTCAAATTGTTTCAAATTTGGCAATCGGACATTGTTTCAGTTAGTTCCTATGTCTTTTTTCTATGTGTTTTAAGCATGTCCTCACTTTGAACACTGGCACTACAAGATGTTCTAGGCTCATCTTTTATATTTTCATTCCCCAACTTAGAATCAGTCTTTTCTTCATGGAGCTGTAGGGCTTTTTTCCTTTTTTTCTTTCTTTCTTTTCATTCCTTCTTTTCTTTCTTCCTTCCCTTTTCTCTCTCTCTTTCTTTCTTGCCTTCCCTCCCTCCTTCCTTCCCCTTCCTTCCTTCCTTCCCTCTTTCTCCCCTTCCCCTTCACCTTCCCTTCCTTCTTTCATATATATGGCAGGGAAAAATACAAATATGGCAGGGAAGAACATATATATATATATATATATATATATATATATATATATATATATATATTCATATAGCAGGAAAAATATATATTTTCCCTTTTTTTTGTAAATTGTTTGCAAAATTTCTTCCATTATTACTCTGGTTCTAATACTTCTAAAACACATAATTAAACATTTACTTTTCTGTCAACATCTAGAATTTTCAATATCTATACCATAGTCCAAATGCAAATTTTAATGAGCTTTTGGTTTTCTCTTCTTTTCTTCACCCATCACAATTATAAAAATGGACTTACCTGAAGTTAATTTGAGAAAGTTATTTACACATATTTAATGGCTATATAATAAAAATTTAACTTCTTTGTTTACCTTGCCTCTCTTTTCATCCTTTTGGATTAATTCTTGCTGGGGTTCCTCTGGTACTTTGCTTTCACTCTTGAAAGTTATATTATCTGTACATAGAATTTCATTTTAATGTCACTTACATCATTGATACACTCATTTTAATGTATTCCTTTATGCATTAAGAGTTGTGAGCAATAATTTAGGCCTCAGTCAGTTTCTTATTCTTTTGTAGTTAATCTACATCATCTGCCACACATATTATTCACGGGTCTTTTAGGGTTAATTTTTTTTCTTTGATGCTTTACCTTTTTACTGAGATATATTTAGGTGTGGATTTGGAAAACACATTATATAGCTATACATTAAATATGATTAATTTACAGGCTTTTATCTTTTTATTGTTTATGACTATATATATTCATTTATTTAGATACGTTTATGTAGTAGAGTTGTCTCTTCTTTCTCCATTTTGTTCTTTTGAATCTTATATTAACAAACCTCTGTATTAAGGATAAACTTTAAAAAAATTTTAGAAAGATATGGAACCAACCTAAGTGCCCATCAACCAACGAATGGATAAAGAAAATATGGCATATATACACTATGGAATACTACTCAGCCATAAAAAGGAATGAAATAATGTCTTTTGCAGCAACTTGGATGGATCTGGAGGCCTTTATTCTAAATGAAGTAACTCAAGAGTGAAAAACTAAATACCATATGTTCTCACTAATAAGTGGGAGCTAAACTGTGAGGACACAAAGACATACAGACTGATATAATGAACTTGGGGACTGGTTGAGGGGGCAGTTTTTAGGGGGTGAGTGATAAAAACCTATAGGTACAGTGTACACTGCTTGGGTGATGGGTGCACTAAAATATCTGAATTCATCTCAAAAGAACTCATCAAAATAAGTTTTGGGGTAACCTGTACACCAAAAACTACTGACATAAAAATACAAAAATTTTTAGATTAATAACATACAATAAAATGGACAAAGCATAATTGTGCAGTTTGATGAGTGTGACAAATATTTAACACCTGCATAACTAACATTCTAGTCAAAACATCAGAGATATTTAGCATTCCCAAAAGTCTCCTGTGTCCCTTTCCAGGTGATCTCCCTTTTGCCCAGAGGCAGCCACTGTTTTGATCCATAGTTAGTTTTGCCTGCTTCTGAGTTTCATATGAATAAAATCATATAATGTATCCTCATTTGTGTATGTTTTATTTCTCTCAACATAATATTTTTGAGTTTCATCTGTTTTGTGCTGTGCACCAATAGTTCCCTTTTATTACTGATTGGTAATCAGAAATTCGTACTGTATGAATATAATACAACGTACTTACCCATTTTCTCCTGATTAACATTTGGATTGTTTCCAGTTTATGATATTTGATGATTGCTGCAATATGTCTATTATGAAAATTGCAAAAAAAATTGTTTTGTACAAATCTTTTTGAGGACATGCAGTTCAGTTTTCTTGGGTAGGCAGTTCAGAATAAACTTTCAGGGTCATAAATTAGGTATAAATTTGTGTAAAAAACTATTACACTTGGGCCGGGCGCAGTGGTGCACGCCTGTAATCCCAGCACTTTGGGAGGCCGAGGCAGGCAGCTCACGAGGTCAGAAGATCGAGACCATCCTGGCTTAAACGATGAAACCCCATCTCCACTAAAAATACAAAAAATTAGCCGGGCGGGCGTTGTGGTGGGCGCCTGTAGTCCCAGCTATTCAGGAGGCTGAGGCAGGAGAACGGCGTGAACCCGGGAGGCAGAGCTTGCAGTGAGCTGAGATCGCGCCACTGCACTCTAGCCTGGGTTACAGAGCGAGACTCTGTCCCAAAAAAACAAACAAACAAAAAAACAAAAAACAAAAAAAAGAATACTAAACTTTTCTAAAGCAGTTGTACTATTTTTAACATCCATCCGCAATAAGAATTCTACTTACTCACATCTTCACCAACATTTGAATTTATAATCTTTTAAATTTTGTGTATATAGTGGTTATCTCACTGTGGTTTTGATTTACCTTCCCTTGATGAGTAATGTTGAGCATCATTTTATGTGCTTACTGACTATTTTTATACATATATATATATTTGTAATGTATCTCAAATATTTTGCCCATTTTTATTGGCACATTTATCTTTTAATTACTTATAGACATCGTTTATATATCCTCCATACAGATCCTTTTTCAAATAATTTTGCCAATATTTTTTCCTGATTGATGACTTACAATTCTTTTTCATTTTCTTAATGTTATGAGTAATGAGAAATTTTTTGTTTTTATGAGATCATGAATTTTTTCTTTATAGTTGCCACTTTTTGTATTCTAAGAAGTCTTTCCTACTATAAAGTTGTAAAAATGTTTCTGTATTAACTTCAAAGAAACTGATTAGTCTTGATATTAGGGCTTATAATCCAGATGTTATTTTTTGCATATAGTGTGAGATGGGAATTGAGGTGTTTTATTTTTCTCCACAGATATTCAATTGTTTCAGAGTCATTGTTGAAAAGATGTTTCTTTTCCCATTGCATTATAATGGTGCATATGTATGTGTATATCTGGTTTTATTCTGTTCCATTTATCTGTTTGTTTATTCTTATGCCAATCCTGTACTCTTAATTACTGTAGTTTTATAGTAAGCCTCACAATTAGGTAGTGTAGGCCCTCCAAATTTGTCCTTGTTTTCAAGATGTTTAAGGCACATGCTTTTCAGTTGATGATTGTGATGAAAGCAATTTCTTTTAGAATATTTCTGAAAATATGAATTGTATTGATTCTAAAGTTCTACCTGTTTTCTCTACTTACTCTGTTTTCAGGACAGGCACTTAGGAACACTTGCTCTAGTGCACATGAGAGAGATCTTTTTTGGAGGTGAGATGCAACCAGTGGTTTCCATTTGGGAGCACCCCACCCTCTTTCTCATCCTCTTTATCAGTCTAGCTTTTCTGAGAGGCAAAAACGCTGCCATACTCCATTTTCTCTGAAATTGGCGTTTCCTCAGAGTGTGATGCTTTCGGATTCAGATTTGTTCCTGGGAGAGAAGAGGTCTTTGAACTTCGGCTCAGGTGGAAATCCTTGTTTCTCTGGGCTTCTGCTGTCATTGGAGAACAGACGGTCATTGTTGTACTTGAAGGAGGATGTTCAGGGCTTATATCACCTTACCTCTCCTGGCCCACTAAAAGAGGAAGGAGGTTTGTTTCCTTTCAGGTATGCCCAGGACTGAAGAGTCTTCCTAGGATGTGGGAATTTCAGTTTCCAAACCAGGAAAACAGGCAAACTAGGACCAATTGCTCACCCTACCCAGGTGTGGTACCAGGTACTGTAGAGACAGCATAACCTGCCTGGTCACCTCCCCTTATTTGAATGTTTATTATAACTAAATAATACATAATTTATATAATATATTTATTATTAGTTAACTATAGCCTTCCTTTTATTATTAATATAATTCTGTATTAATCCGTATGCATAGAGCAGGGAAAACAAATAGAAATAGTGGCAAAAGTATTTATGTACTTAATATTAAACATGACTTTCATAATTTAGCATTTCATTCCTGATAGGGTTAAGGATCACTGACAATCCAAGGTGCTTCTGAAAGAGCCAAGTTAGATGAAGAAACTGGAATTATGTGTCTTGAGCCGAATGCACCTTAATAGCTACACAGCCGTGAAATCTGGAAAGGCAGAGCTGCCGTATTTCTTGGGACTTATAAACCAACAAACGTCCTTCCTGTGTGTTGCCTCTTTCTCCCCTTTCCTTCTGTAGCCACTCTTCTATTCTTTATTTTTAATTTATTATTTTAACTTTTATTTTAGGTTCAGGGGTAAATGAGAAGGTTTGTTATATAGGTAAACTTATGTCATGGGGGGTTGTGTACAGATTATTTCATCACCCAGGTATTAAGCCTAGTACCCAGTTATTTTTTCTGTCCCTCTCTTTTCTTCCACCCTCCACCCTCTAGCAGGCCCCAGTGTCTGTTGTTTCCCTCTTTGTGTCCATGAGTTCTCATCTTGTAGCTCTCACTTGTAAGTGAGAACATTCAATATTTGGTTTTCTGTTCCTGCATTAGTTTGCTAAGGATAATGGTCTCCGGCTCCATTCATATTCCCACAAAAGACATGATCTCATTCTTTTATATCTCTGCATAGTATTCCATGGTGTACATGTACCACATTTTCTTTATCTAATCTGTCATTGAGCATTTAGGTTTGATTCCATGTCATTGCTATTGTGAATAGTGCTACAATGAACATTCACGTGCATGTGTCTTTATGGTGGAATAATTTATATTCCTCTGGGTATATACCTAGTAATGGAATTGTTGGATTGAATGGTAGTTCTGTTTTTATCTCTTTGAGGAATTGCCACACTGCTTTCCACAATGGTTGAACTAATTTACACTCTAACCAACAATGTGTAAGGCTTCTCCTTTCTCCACAACCTCACCAGCAACTGTTTTTTTTTAAACTTTTTAATAATATCCATTCTGGTGTGAGACGATATTTCATTGTAGTTTTCATTTGCATTCCTCTAATGATCAGTGATATTGAGCTTTTTTTCATATGCTTGTTAACAGCATGTATGTCTTCCTTTGAGAAGTGTCTGTTCATGTCCTTGCCCACTTTTTAAAGGAGTTGTTTTTTTTCTTGTGTGTTTGTTTAAGTTCCTTATAGATGCTGGGTATTAGACCAGTTTCAGATGCATAGTTTGCAATTATTTTCTCTGTAGGTTGTCTGCTTACTCTTTTGATAGTTTCTTTTGCTGTGCAGAACTTCTTTAGTTCAATTAGGTCTACTTGTCCATTTTTTTGTTGTTGTTGCAATTGCTTTTGGAGATTTTGTCATGAAATCTTTGCCCTTTCCTATGTCCAGGATGGTATTGCCTAGGTTGTCTTCCAGGGTTTTTATAGTTTTAAATTTTACATTTAAGTCTTTAATTCATCTTGAATTAATTTTTGTATATGATGTTTTTCCATTTGTTTGTGTCATCTCTGATTTATTTGAACAGTGTTTTGTAATTCTCATCTTAGAGATCTTTCACATTCCTGTTTAGCTGTATTTCTAGGTATTGTATTCTTTTGGTGGCAATTGTGAATGGCATTGCATTCCTCATTTGGGTCTCTGTAGCCTTTCTTCTTTCCTTTCTTCCTCTCCCTCTCCCTTTCTCCATCTCTCACTATTTTCTTCCACGTCTTTCCATTCTTCTTCTGTTCCTTCTTTCTCTGTGTCCTTTATTTTGAGAGTCTACAGGGAAAAGTAATTCCCAGAGAAGCTGTACTTGTGGCTGTTACTAACATCCCAAAAATAATATTGAAGGGTCTTTCACATGAAAAGAGTCTCCATAAGCTATATCTGTTAAGCTAAAGAAATTTTAAAAAATCAGCAATGCGTTTTTCTACTGATCTCTGATTCTATTGACAAAGAGTTTTGGCTCCTCAGAGCTTCCTGCTCCAGAGCAAGGCGCAAGCCTGGCTCACCAGACTTGCAGGGTTTTTGCATCCTGATACCCTATCATTAATTCTCTTTTTCTCTCCTTCACTCTCCTTTCTTTTTCATGTGGCTGGCATTTGCTTTTCTCCATACTAGGAAAATAACTATGTAGGAACACAGAAATCTACTCTACAGAGATGCCAAGAGATAACCTAATGCTCCTTCATATGTTGTGGAGAAATATCTATCTCCTTTCACCTCTGCACCGAAACCTCTTCCCTTGTCTGGGTTGTCTAAATTCTCAGGACAAGTACCACAGGACAAAGCAGTCTCCTTATTAATAGAGACACCCATCTTTTTAAAGGATTCAGAAATTTGTGGCAACTATGGAGATCCTTTTGGTTTATTACTGGGGATCACTTGTTTTAGTAACTTTTTGGTTTTGCTTGTAAGTATTTGCTTTCTTTCATTTCCCCATTCATCTCTTTTCTTTCCCTGAGGGTAGTCATTGCCTGAAACTTTGATGTCTTGGAATATATGGACATTTCACTTCTACTTCCTCAGAGGTAGGCTGATTTCCACATGCTTCTCTCTGTGTCTAAGTATTTGAGAGGAATTGAGAAATGAGTCATGAGCCTGATTAGATTCAAAAGGAGGAGGTATAGATAACACCTCACTACTCGATGAGTGCCAAAATATTTTTGGACATATTTTAAGACCGTCATTGGGACTTTAATCACAGTCCCAGAGGAGAGGAAGACCCAGACTGAAGGGGATTGCAGGGTGAGTAGAAGGTGAGAGGCACCAATTAAACACAGATTAATTTTATAATTAAAGTTAATAAAAAAAACTTAAAAATTTGAATAAAAAGACACTGAGAATATAAACAGATTTCAGTCCCTCAAAATTGGCACAGCTGATTTGAGTCTGCATTTGGAAACCATAACTGCACATTCAGCCTTTGAGTCAAGTATCTCAAAATATCTTCCAAGTAGTAAGATATTTTGAGTAAGATTTGTTTTTTAAATTGAGTTTCCAACTCCTAGTGCAGTAAGTGGAAATGATTAGCACACCTATTTAACACATGGGGCACAAAGAGGGTAAATAAATGTCTATGGCTTCTTAGTGAGGTTCTGACAGTGTCAAAAATAAAAGCAATACTTGTGATTAGTCTGTTTGGTCCTTCTATGTGAAGAGACATGCACATGAAAAGCAATCAAATCGTGCTTTCATAGAGTATTGTTCTAATTTCTTCAACAATTTTTGATTTTTTTTCTAACTTTAAGTTCTGTTTTACTTTAATAATAACCTTCAAAATTTATATGTACAAAATATGCATTTCACATATATTTATATATCATTGAAACTATGTGTTGACATAGCTATAAATATTCAGCTAATACCATATATTGAAAGAATAAGCAGAATTTTGCAACATAATAAATCCATCAATATCTTTTAGACTCAGCAATTATTTTTCTTTTTCATTATTTAGTTAAAGCTCCCAAACCTCCGTTAAATAAGCATTTTAAAAATGTATTTGTCATAAAATTTATCACAAATTGATTTTGGAGAACTAGAAGGTAGGTATCAAAGGTGAGCCTGAATTGCTTGCATTGTGCCTGGAAGGGTGCTGCTAGCTCACCAAGAGTTACAAAAAAAGAAAATTAGATTTAAAAAAATGTTTAAATGATATGCAAATGGCAAGTATCATTTAGCTGTAAAATATGTAAGCCCAAAACCTATCCTTATTGCTGTGAGCTTAAAGAGCAATGTCTTTCCCAAAAATTAGTTTTAAAGAGATTTCTCAGTGTCTTAGGGTGAAAACAATATTTGGAAGCAGTGAGGTAGATGAGATTAACTGAATTATTATTTAATATATATGATTTAAACTCAAATTTTGAAGCATGACTCACATCATTTTATTAACTAAGTGACTAAACCAGACTTAACACTTTGTTATGCCACTGAATAGTGGATGTTTTGGAACTTAAGAAGGGAGAAAGAATATCTGTGTCAGAGGTTGGAGTGTTCCTAGGGAAAGAATAACTCAGATTTCTACTCATTTTGCTCTTAGCAGATATGCTTTAAGATTCTCTTTAAGCAAGGTAAATAGAGGAAACTGAGTTAGCTATTTTAAAGAAGTTTAAAAAGGCCAGAAGGAAATCAGTTTTCACAGGTAAAATAGCAAACCGTGGTTTCCACTGTTAATATTCACTCCTTATCTTATTTTCCCCCTGTATTTCTTGATTAGGAGAAAAGCTATTTAAAATGCTGAAGAACTTTATAAACTCACTTCTACCAGTTACACAAGATCGTGGTTAAGGTGACACACAGCACCGACAAGAATGGCTAATTATGTCAAATTATAGCTTTTAAAATGCCAAATGAGACCTCATTTCAGATTAGGTCCTGTTCAGACCTCAGCTGGATTTCTAGTAGAAAACCTACCGTTTAAATTAGGTTGGAAATTTTAACTAGGGAAGGAAGAAACAGATTTCTGCAAAAGGACATGAATTAATGTCAGATATATGGTATAATCTCTTACATGGTCCATCTCCAACTGTAACCATTTATAGACTCTAAGAAATAACTGCAGAATCATTATGTAAAAAGGGTTGTTTTTATTCCTGTACCCAGGGGTTCAGTTTTCCTCAAAACTTTATCTAACACTAAGTTTAGTATCTTATAGATACATACTGTTTCAAGTTAGTTATTGCTATGAAACAGAACACTTCAAGACCTAGTGCCTTAAAACAAGATTTATTTATTATTTCTCAAAATCTATGGTACAACTGGGCAGTTCTGTTATCTAGGCTGGGCTTGGCCGATATCAACAGGCCTCAGTCCCGTGACTGCAGTGATCAGCTGGGGGCTGGCCAGTCTAGGAGGGCCTCAGCTGGGGTACTTGGCTCTGTTGGGTCCATCTAGTGGTAAACCCAAGTTTTTCTGATGCTTGTGGCAAGATTCCCAGAGAGATTGTGAATCTGTGCAAGGTCTCTTGAAGCCTGGGCCTGGAGATGGCATCTGGTGATTTCTGCTGCTTCTATTAGCCAACGCATGTCACAAGGCTAGCCAAATTTAAGGGGGGCAGAAAGAGAATCCACATCTTGATAGGAAGAGATGCAAAATCACATTTCAAGGAATGTATAGACAGGGAGAGGTGGAGAATTGGGGTCATTTTCCCCCTAATCTTCCAAAATATTCTCTTTTAAAAAATCAAATTGCCCACTATCATGTAAAGCCTTTGCATGCATTCTTTATTTTTTTTTCCCAGCAAGACATGCACCTATTCTTTCCACAATTTCTTCCACAATGTGTATTTTTTTCACAAATACCTTCAAATACTTGCTCTTATTCCTAAAAAAAAAAAAGTGATTATCAGCCTGAGCCCTCCACTTTTTATTGCCATCATTTTCAAGTTGCACAAACACTCTCTTGAATATGATGAACATTCATTTGACATTCCTAAGCAGGCTTACATTAATTTTAGTTCCCCACTGAATTTCAAACAGGAGCCTCCACATTGACATTAAAAATATTAACATCTGCAGTGGCACTGCAATCTGCTGAGGCGTGGATTGTTGCTCTGACTCGCCACATCTTTCCACTTGTTCTTTTTTTAGAAAGAGCAAAGCAGAGGGATTTGGCAGGGCTATTCAAACTGCCACTCAGAGCAGCTCTAGAGAAGGAAGGCTAGCCTGGACCCTATTGCGTTCTAGTTGGCAGCAAATCCTTCATTCAAGGTCTTTCTGTGGAAAGGCAATGCTGGCTTGTCCCCTCACCCACACTGACGTCTGTCCTGTGTGTCAGAGATAACTTTCCAGCCATGAAATGGCAGCTACTATTAATTTTACGAAGGCTTCTAAAACAGCTTTTCTTTAATCTGTTCTTTTGCCCCAAGTGAGATTTTTTCCCTCTTTGTTGTTTACAATAATGCAGTCAGTGAAAAGAAGCCAAGCTTCTGATTTAGGTGTGGTGGGATAAATTTGTTCAAAATATGTTTAAAAAATTGAGTCTTTTGTGCCCTTTGTGGACAAGGCAAACTATAATAGGGAGAACTTCCTTCTGAAGCTCTTTTCCACCCCTTTCAGCCTTGCTTATTTTTATCATGTCTCATCACCATTATTACCCATTATATTTATATCTGTGTTTAGCAGGCAGATTTGCTTGGTGTCTATAAAGGTGTAATGAGCAATTTGGGTTAATGATTTTCTGCAGCTGCTCAAAACAGTTGGTACTAACGTCATCGTTTATGCCTTCCAAAAGAAATTCAAGCAAGGCATCAGATGTGCACCAAATTGGCTTTGCCTGTTGAATGGAGGAAGTAGAAGCATAGACAGTGGTGGGATGTGTGTGAAATAACAATTCATGCATCTTTCATTTCCTAGTTGGATGAATGCTAGCAGGGAGCCTCTCTCATAAAAGAATCTTTGGCCTTGGGAGAAAAATCTGGGTTCAATATTTCTACTCAGCAGCATATGAGCTATGTGACCTTGAGCAATTAGTTTAACTTTCCTGAGACTCAGTTCCCTTCTCAGTGAAACTGGGAATATGGAATATCTCCTAGAATGGTTTCAGCATTAATTGACGGAAGTGTGTAAAGCATAGTGTACAGCAGCACATAGGGGTTGTTACTGGGATAAATTTTTAGAGGTGTTTTCGTTAGTTTATGTGCCCAAATGCAAATCAGGAAATCTCTCCACATATATTGACAGCAAGTTATCTTTTAAAAGATCTCTCTTACTGATGTTAGTTCACACTTTGAGTTTTCCCCCTTCTCAATTCCTGGTCCCTCCCAGGATAAATGCAGCATAACTTAATGACTATTTTACATTGTGTGGGTTATCTTCATATATTAGGAATCCAATACTTGACAGAAAAGTAATTTAAATTTGGCAGCCTGCAGACACACATAGAAACAATTCTGGATAAAATCTTGAAAGAGATGTTGATGCTGAATATCCTCCCAGCCTTGACCACCTCTCTCCAATCTACTCATGATGAGTGTGAATTCTTCAATACCCTCTTATTCAATACCTGTTCCCGTCTTTATGATAATCTGTATTCTGAACTCCACTTGATTTCCTCGTGTCGTAACTTGATCTGTGCACTTCCCAATGGTAGAAACTATGCCTACCCATCTCTAATTGACATCTGTAATCCAGAGCCAAGCATATATTGGACCCATAATCACTACTTCTTAAATGGGTAGACATGACTGTGAGCAGATTGCCAATCTGCCCAGCTAATTGGAGCTAAAGGGTTAATTAGTGTAAATGATTTCATGGATTGTGTATCCCAGTCTTCAGATTTGCCTTCTGGCTGTCACCTTACAATGTCATAATCTGTGGAAGTGGCAGATGGTAGGAAAGCTTTGTAACCCTGGGGTGGGCCTTGTGGGTGGGTGAGGTGGGCAGGTATTTCTGGACATGTAACCTTGATAGGCTGTTCTCAGTTTTGTGAAAGCTGAAGGCACACACGCGTACTTCTTAGATTGAAGAAATAGAAATTATTGTCCCCTACTATCACCCAAAATGCTTAGAACATTTTAATTCCACAGTTTCATAAATGCTATGAAAACTAATGACAAATATTTACTGAGTCCCATCTTGGCAGACAGTGGTGAAAGGGCACAGCATATGCAATTTTATTTAATCCTAATAAACAATCCTTTATGCAGGTTCAATTTTTAATTTCTCCTTTGTGTGTGGGGAAAACAAGATACAAAGAGATTAATAAATTGCATACAAAGTTACAGTAAGTAAATGGAAGAGCCAGGAATCAAATCCAAATATTTTGGTTCCAGGTTACATGTTGTTAACTATCACACTCTAATGGATAAGAGCACAGAAAAATCTGCATATTTTCAGATAACGTTAAGCTAAACATTTCCTGGAAACTTGGAGGGGACAACAGTGTGATTAATAAGTTGTTGTAGGTCTTTATGGCAACAGTGGGAAATATAGTTACACCATAAGAATTGAGAATGCACACATATACTTTCATGTAGAAAAAACCTGGAATTACTAAGGGCAGTTCCCAGAGACAGTGTCTCTGGCTTCTGTAGGGCAAGAATGTCAGGATATACATACAAATATGTTTGGGGTATAGTGTAAGTATTTTCAATAGGCAATTGGGAGAAGAGTTTTCACCATGAGACAAACTGGCGACATCCTCATGAAAGTAGAGAGCTTGACAAGGATACATACCTAAATAAAACGCCCACCCTAGACCCTAAGGATGTGGGTGAGAGAGTTCTCTCAGTTAGGATAAAGATTCCCCTGAAGAAGTAATTCTTGGTCCAATGTGGCTCCCACATAAATGATTAACAGGGCCCTCGATTTTCTTGCCAGCGGGTATTACTACAAAGACTTTAACACGGAAGACAATTTCAGTTATTACGACTGCTATCAAATCTCTCACAATTTCTGTGGGTCAGTAATTCAGGAGTGGCTCAGCTGTGCAGTTCTAGTGTAAAGTTTGTAATGAGGTTACAATCAGACTATGGTCAGGACTGAGGTCATTTCACTTATTCCCTCTGGTGTCTCGTGTTGGGATTGGAAAGACAAACAGCTGGAGGCTAGATGGTGGAGTGGTAATGAGATGGAGCAGGGACTCCTTAGCAGAGACCCCTGCTGGCACCCTCCCCCCCAACACACACCCCACCCAAAGCATAGAAATAAAAGAAAATCTTGAATTCCTTCAAGGGAAATTTCAGGCCCTTAGCTAGCCCTCAGAGGTAAATGAGTAACTTGATAAGCAAGAACGTAATAGTAGCTTAAAACAATAGTCAAGGATGTTAGAGTCATGAGATGTTTGGTTCCTGATAGAAACTAAAGATAATATGTTAACATATGTCCCTGAGTTGCTTTTCAGAAACCCAGACCCCCACCAAATGAATCCACTGGCATGTAGACTTCACATAAGGGGGACTTGAGTACTGAACTCTAACTGTTGCTCTTTGTTCTAATTTTTTTCCTGAAGGGCATGGAGGAAGTCACGTCCCTGGGCCAGACCCAATGTTCTTTTCTGCTGACCTCAAACCTTTAGAAAGCTTCCCTTCCTTAACCAATGGCAAATCAGAAAATCTTGAATCTCCCTGTGACCTGTAAGCTCTCGCTTCAAGATATCTTGCCTTTTTAAAGTCCAAACCAATGTGTAACCTCCATGTGTTGATTTACAATTTTGCCTGAGACTTCTGCTTTCCTGAAATTTACCTCTGCCTTTAAAAACTCTTGCTTGCAAGCCATCAGGGAGATGAAGTCTTAAGTGAGAGCTGCCTGATGCCCCTTGCTTGGTGTCCTGTAAATAAAGTCCTCCATTCTTCTACTGCAAAACCTCCATGTGGATGTTTGGCCTTACTGCACAGGGTGAGTAGATCCCAGTTCAATTTGGTGACAGTAGGTCCAATTTGAACCAACTCACAAGGTCTAATTATTAAACATTCAGGAATTTTGTGAGATGAGCTTTCAATTGTTGAAGCTTGAAATTGACCATGCACATAAGCAAATGCTACAAATGAAGGCTTCTTTTTTCCCTCAGAAAGCTGTTTTATCTACTCATCACTAGGACTAGAATATTAGATGTTCCTTGGGCATCTCTATCTTTATGTGGTTTCTCCATGTAATATCTCCAGGATGGTGGGTTCAGTGTAGCTGGACTTCTTTTACACACCCTCCAGATTCAAGAAGAGAGAATACGGACTCCGCCTCTCAATGGGGGAGTGTTGATGTCACATTGTAAGGATTAGCATGTGAATAGGAATGCTTGTTGAAGCTACCTTGGCAAAGACAACCCTCACAAAGACTTTTTCCATTTTTCTCTTTTTTTACTGTTTTATGGTTATACAATTAATGCTTATTGTAATAAATTATATAAGAAGTTAAAAATCACCTGCCTTCACCATGAAATAAGTAGCATTATTGTTTTGATAACAATCCATTTGCAAATCTCTTTGTGAATACATATATACATAATTTTGAAGGAATGAGGTTAAGTCATAAACATTGTTTTAATGTTTAGTGTCATAGGAACTATTCTACAGTTTTCTCTTTGGTTTCTTCTTCTTCTTTTTTCCTCCCTCCCTTATTTGTGCCTTGCTTATCACACTTACAATATGCCAAAAAAATCTCTAAATCAAATGATAAAGGCTCTGTTAGTTTCCCAATGCTGCTACAACAAATTAAGCTTAAAGCAACAAAAATGTATTCTTGCACAGTTGTAGAGGCCAGAAATCTGAAATCAACATCACTGAGCTGAAATCAAGGTGTAGTTAGAGCTGTGCTCCCTCTGGAGGCTCTAGGGGAGAAAGAATCTGTTGCTTGCTCCTTCCAGCTTCTTGTGTATACTTGCATTCCTTGGCTTGTGGCTGCATTACTCCAATCTCTGCCTTCATAGTCACATTGCCTCTTCTGTTTTTATCAAATCTCCCTCTGCCTCTCTCTTGTAAGAAAACATGTGATTGCATGTAGGGCCTACCAGGATAATCCAGTATGATCTCCTCATCTTGAGATCCTTATCTTAATCACGTATGCAAAGTTTTCCCATAAAAAGTTTTATATATAGGTTTTAGGTATTAGGACCTGATATCAAGTGGCCATTATCCATTCCACTACAAAGGCCTAACTTACTCTTTTTAATTATTTCTTAATATTATACAATATAGAAGTTACAATTAATTCAACAATGTCCCAAATAATGGCCATTTATTTTTATTGCCTAAAACATTTTTAAAACTTTATAAGTTATAAGAACAATAAAAAATTATCCTTAACTTTGCTTCCATTGCCTTTCCAAAGTACAACTAATTGTATATCCATTCATAATTTCCATGTATATACAGGTGAATATGTGTATATATATGTATGCATATCACTTTTATACAAAGAGGAAAAGTCATACATGTATTTTTGTTAGTTTTTAAATGTATTTATTTTACTAATCTTGGAAATTTTTTCCTATCTGCATATATAAATCATATAGATCCACCATAATCACCATAACCAGTTTCCTATTAATGAGTATTTAGGTTGTTTCACTATTTTTCAATTATAAACATTGCTGCAATAAATACTTAAATATGTGTATCTTTACACTCTGTATCCTTAAAATAAATTTTTAGCAGTGGAAATGTTAGACTAAGTGATATCTATCAACATTTTAATGTTGATAGATATTACTAATTTTCCTTTCAAAAAGTTACACTAATAAGGAAAATGTTAAAGCTATTTTTAATAGTCATATAGCTTTAGCGCGAGTAAAATGTGATTCTGCCCATAGCTGTTGTAGATGCTTCAGAGTAGACATTAAAGAGACACTCAAGGCTGGGCGTGGTGGCTCATGCCTGTAATCCCAGCACTTTGGGAGGCCAAGGCAGGTGGATCACGAGGTCACGAGATCAAGACCATCCTGGCTAACACGGTGAAACCCCGTCTCTACTAAAAAAAAAAAAATACAAAAAAGTTAGCTGGGCATGGTGGTGGGCGCCTGTAGTCCCAGCTACTCGGGAGGCTGAGGTAGGAGAATGGCGTGAACCTGGGAGGCAGAGCTTGCAGTGAGCCGAAATCATGCCACTGCACTCCAGCCTGGACAACAGAGTGAAACTCCGTCTCAAAAAAAAAAAAAAAAAAAAAAAGAGTCACTCAAGAATTTGTAAGAGCTCTCTAAGCAGAGAATGTAGTAAGGAGGGTATTTGATGGAGAGGGAATAGGAGGAACAAAAGAACAAAGATATGGAAATATGTGAGGCCTTCAGGGAACAACTTTTTGATTGTAAAGAGGAAAATGAAGTATTAATAAGAGATATTACTATCTTAATTACATTTAGTAAATACTTGATAAGCACATGGCTAGAAGCCCTAAGCTTCCATTAGATTTAAGTTTCTTAGGACAAGTGAAGCCAGCTGCTGCAACAAACATTCCCTAATATTAGTGGCTTAACCAAATAACAGCTTACTTATTTCTCTTATTGTCAAGGTGTAGGAGGGAAGGTTTGCTCTATCCAGTCCTTCAGGGATCCAGCATTCTTTCATGCTGGGGCTCCACCATCTCTAACCTGTAGTATCAAGGTTGCTCTGGTGTCATTTTGTTGTCTAGTCAGCAGATGGGTCAAGGAAGAGGGAACATGATAAAGCCCATTCACCTTTAGCTGCCTTATTAATTTTTCCTGCATAATGAGTTATGCCAGAGTTTATCAGGATGAAACAACACACGTTTATAATCTCACGTTTCTATAGGTCAAGAATCTGGGCATGACTTGAATGGGTCCTTTGTTTCATAGTCTGTCTTAAGGCTGCAATTAGGTTGTCATCCAGAGCTGAAGTCTCATCTGAAGGCCCAAATGAGAAAGCATCTTTATTCAAGCACACTTGCACTTACATGGCTGTTGGTAGAATTAAGTTCCTTTAAGGCTGTTGGACTGAGGGTATTAGTTACTTGCATATGAGGCTCTTCCAACATGGCAGCTCACTTCAACAAACTTGGTGAGAGAGAGCATCTGCTAGCAAGAGGGACATGATGCTCTTATATAATGTAATCATGGAAGTGACTTTGATGTATTTAATTGGGTAGAAGAAAGTCACTAGACAATCTCATATTTAAAGAGAAGAGATTAATATAAGGGAATCAAAATTGGGAGAAAGGCATTCCAGGAGACAACTTTAGAGTTGGCCTGCTACTACTACACTGGTCCCAAAGTGATGTATTACTTCTAATACATTTTATTGGCACAAAATTGTCACACTGGCCTTACCTAGAGGTAGAGGACTAGGAAATATAGCTTAACCCTGTGCTCAGGGAGAAGAAAAACATTTGATAAGCATCTACCCAACCTCTGCCACAACATTCTTAGTGTTCAAAGCTTCTGTGTTACTAGGTTCATAATGAGTCATTAAAGAAAATGGGAGGTCTGAGACCTGAACTAACTTTTCAGGCCGTGAGACAACCAGTATCACCACCTCTATTATCAGCAGTATTTCTTTTTTTTTTTGGAGATAGAGTCTTGCTCTGTCACCAGGCCGGAATGCAGTGGTGCAATCTCAGCCCACTGCAACCTCTGCCTCCCAGGTTCCAGTGATTCTCTTGCCTCAGCCTCCCAAGTAGCTGGGACTACAGGTGCATGGCACCATGCCCAGCTAATTTTTGTATTTTTAGTAGAGACAGGGTTTCACCATGTTGGCCAGGATGGTCTTGATCTCTTGACGTCGTGATCTGCCCTCCTTGGCCTCCCAAAGTGCTGGGATTACAGGCGTGAGCCACTGCACCTGGCCAGTAGTATTTCCTTAAAATCCAAACAAACAATTAATTTAGCTATATTATAAGCTAAATTTATTTATTTCCTAAATAACTCTACATTCTGAAAAATCTCTAATTGGCATAGTAATAAACTATATTTTCATAGATATGCTGCATATATATAGAAAATCATGAATCTGACATGAATTTGAAAAGGACATTTTTTTTTCCACAGGTAGGTTTTTAAAAATGCCTTTGATGTTACTCATAAGTAATTTCTTCTTGCCTAAAGGAAGTCTTCATTCCAGTAACAATAAAAGGGGATATTATCTTCTTACTATGCTAGCTACTTAGGTACATTTCTCTTTAAAAAGTATAGGGGAAAGGCTTAATCCTCATTTTACAAACAATTACACATTGACTGCTCATCAAAAATTTTGTTTTCTAATTATTGATCTGCCATTATACATCTATGTGAGATTTAGTAAGTCATTTAACTTTCTTGTTTAACTGAGATACTTAGTTCTTGATAATCTATATGTTCCTTCCAGTTTTTTAATTCTGAGTTAATGAGTGAAATCAGAAAATCTAATAACTTCAATTAATGGACATATTTACAATTTTCAACATAATGTTTTTTGAACAACTATCGAGACGAAATTTGTCTTTTTCTCATCTATTGCTATGTAGAAAACTTTTAGTGGCCTAAAATAACAACCATTTAATTAGGCTTACAGATTGTGCAACTATCTCAGATAGGGCCCTATAGGAGTAGCATTTTCTATTACACAATGTTCAGGAACTCTCTGTGTGGCTTGGGCTTCTCAGAGCATGGCCACTGGTTCTCAGGAAGGAGCATCAGTGAGAGTGGCCAGAAAGCAAGGATTCTAAGATAAAAAGGTGGAAACATTGTGGCTTTGAAACATTTATCCTTGGAAGACACATGATGGCATCACTTTTATAATACTCAATTGGTTGAAACAGAAACAATCCCGCCCAGATTCAAGTGGAGGGAACATAACCCATTTTTAATAGGAGGAGAAGTGTTAAATAATTTGGTGCTATGTTTTAGAAGTGCAACATTTTAAGCTAATTGCCATAAATTTTGTTTCTATTTTAAATATATTTGAATTTTGAGGGCTTAGTATAAGGGGAATAAAATAGTTTACAGGTCTTCAGATAAATATAGTGTTTAGTAATACTTTCTAGTAATAGAAACTTTTACAGTAGTCAAAAACAGTTGGTTAATAAATAGGAGCTAGTCTTTTCACTGCTCTGTTTGGCATCACTGTCTGTTAAAAGGCAATATAACTAGGCTGTTATTATGCTCAGTCAAAATGATAACAGGTTAGGGCTGGGCATAGTGGCTCATGCCTGTAATCCCAGCATTTTGGAAGGCCGAGGCAGGCAGATCTTGAGGTCAGGAGTTCGAGACCAGCCTGACCAACATGGTGGAACCCTGTCTCTACTAAAAGTACAAAAATTAGCTGAGTGTGGTGGTGCATGCCTGTAATCCCAGCTACTCAGGAGGCTGAGGCAGGAGAATTGCTTGAACTTGGGAGGCAGAGGTTGCAGTGTGTCCAAGATTGCGCCAATGCACTGCAGCCTGAGTGACAGAGCAAGATTCTGTCTCAAAAAAAAAAAAAAAAAAAAATGCAGGTTAGTACATATTGTTGTCCTGAATAGTTCATTTATTTATGTTACCTCTCTGGCTCCTGAGGGGACATTAGGATTTTCTTCCTGGATTTTGTAACTAACACGGTGCTTTTATGTAAACTGTATTATTTCTTTTCAAATAAGATTGCAAACTTAGGCATTATTAAACCTACTTAAAAATGGGGAAACTCAAGTTTAGAGGGTATGTCTCTTGTTTAAGATTACCTTAGAGCTGAAATATAGTTATTTTAATGATAATTTTAGTATTTGTGTCAATTAGGATGAGTTACTAGCAAGAAATAGAGAATAAAATTCAAAGTGGCTTAAAAATAAGTAAAAATATTGCTATCAGACATATCACATTATCCAGAGGTGTAAAGCTTTTGGGATGGTTAATTTAGATTTCTAATGGTTTTGTCAAAGACCAGTTTTGTTCCATCTGTTTTCTTGCTATCCTCAGCGTATTGGTTTTGCCACTAACACCATCCAAATTCATACAGCCTTACAATCAAATATGTCAGCTCCAGCAGGGTTGTTTTATCCATGGTTATCTCTTTTTAAATATTGATAAAAGCTTTCCCAAGAAAGGCACATCTTTAACGAATCTAACTGGGGAGGCGTGCAAAAACAGAAAATGATAATATAATGTGGTAAGTGCTGTATGAGAGACATGGACTAAGGGTCACTGGGCACAGAGGTTGCAGTTCCTGATGCTGTAGAATGCAGGAGTTCTCCAAGAGTAGTTCTCCATGGATTTCCCAAAGGATGAGTCAGAGTTCAACAGATAGGTCAGAGGGGCTAAGCTAGGGTTTTCACATAAAGGGAATAGCATGTGCAAAGGCAGAGAGGGAGTGAAGAGCCCATGCAGAGATTTTGCATTTGCAATAGGCAGAGCAGGCTCCTGCACAAGGGTGTGAGAGTAACAGGACTCGGGATAAATAAGAAGGGAAGGTCAAACAAAGTGGGTTTGCCTTGGATAAAAGCAAGGCAAATCCACTTTGCTTGTATTCAAAATAAATGAAAAACAAGGTTTTTAAAATTTATTTTTGGGGAGGAAAGAAAGAAAGTCGAAAAAAAAAATAGAGATGCCCTGAGTCTTTATTCCTTACAGATGGGCCTCAGGGGAGTTTAGACTCTGCAGATACCTCTGGGATCGATAATTGGCAAACACTTGTTTTTTCCTACTATAGTGTTTTATGACTTGCAAAATGAAGTAAACATCGAAAGTCCCTGCCCTTTATGAGCTTCTAGGTATAAAATAATAACATAGCAAAAAGGTTGTAAAAAATAAAGAAACACATAAATAAATATCTGTGGTTTGTTTTTTTTTTTTTGCTTGTTCTCTCTCTGTCTTCCCCAGGAGTCAGTCCTGTGCTGAGCATGTTGAGATGATAATCTGCTCATAGTGTGGGCATCTCAAGTCACATTAATGTTGCTTTAGGAAATTGTAGAGATAGTGGAATCATATGATATAGCAAAGGCTGGTAAAGAAACCTTCAACGAGGTCAATGATAATTTGTGAATTAGTATACTTTTTCTTGCAGAATATACACTCCTTTCTGTTTATTTCCACTGACATATTTTAAAATTATTTTAATGACCAATATCTGTTATAAACTTAAGACAAAATGGAAAAGGAAGTGATGACATAAATTAAATGAATGGCAAGCCACTATGAATGTTACAGTCAGAACAGCAAAAATGTATGTGAGAAACAATTCCGTATTTTGAATATAAGAACCGGCAAAAGGAACAACGTAACATCACACCTTGAGGAACTAGAAAACAAGAGCAAACAACCTAAAACTAGCAGAAGAAAATCAATAACCAAAATCAGAGCTGAACTGAACGAAATCTGAGATGCAAAACTACATACAAATAATCAACAAAACTAAAAGTTTGTTATTTAAAAGAATAAACAAGATTGACAGGCCTCTAGCTAGAATAATACAGAAAAAAAGAGAGGAGATCCAAAAAAATCTCCCAATCAACCAGAAATGACAGAAGGGACATTGCCACAGGCCCCACAGAAATACAAGAAAACCCTAAGAGACTATTACAAACACCTCTGTACGCAAACTAGAAAACCTAGAAGAAATTGATAAATTCCTGGAAAGATACAGTCTCCCAAGACTGAACCAAGAAGAAACTGAAATTCTGAACAGGCCAATAATGAGTTGCAAAATTAAATCAGTACGAAAAAATCCTACCAACCATAAAAAGCCCTGGACCAGACGGGTTCACAGCCAAATTCTGCGAGATGTACAAAGTAGAGATGGTACCAACTCTACTGAAATTATTCCCAAAACTCGGAAGGGACTCCTCCATATCTTATTCTATGAGGCCAGCAACATTCTGATACTAAAACCTGGCTGAGATACCACAAAAAGGAAAACTTCAGGCCAATATTTCTGATGAACCTAAACACAAAAATCCTTAAAAACAAAACAAAACAAAAAAAACAACCAACCAAACAAACACACAAGAAAAACTAGCAAACTGAATGCAGCAGCAGCTCATGAAAAAGCTAATCCACCACAATCAAGTAGCTGTATTCCTGAGATGCAAGTTTGGTCAAACATAGGCAAATCAATAAATGTGATTCATTATATAAACAAAACTAAAAACAGAAACCACAGAATCATCTCAAAAGGCACAGAAAAGGCTTTTGATAAAATTCAACATACTTTCATGTGAAAACTCTCAACAAACTAAGCATTGAAGGAAGATACCTCAAAATAATAAGTCATCTATGACAAACTCACAACCAGCGTCATATTGTACAGGCAAAAGCTGAAACTATTCCTTTTGAGAAAGAAACAAGACAAGGATGCACACTCTCACAACTCCTGTTCAACACAGTACTGGAAGTCCTAGCCAGGGCAAACAGGCAAGATAAATTAAAGGTATCCACATAAGAGGAAAGGAAGTCAAACTTTCTCTTTGCACACAACATGATTTTATACATAGAAAACCCCATAGTCTCTTCCCAAGGGCTCCTAGATCTGATAAACAGCATTGGCAATGTTTCAGGTTACAAAATTAGTAGCAGTTCTATATACCAGTAACATGGAAGCTGAGAGCCATATCAAGAATGCAATCCCATTCACAAGAGACACAAAAAGAATAAAATACCTAGGAATACAGCTAATCTGGGAGATGAAAGATCTCTACAATGAGAATTATAAAACACTGCTCAAAGAAATCAGAGATGACACAAACAAATGGAACAATATTCCATGCTTATGGATAGGAAGAATTAGTATCGTTAAAATGGCCATACTGCCCAAAGCAATTTACAGATTCAATACTATTCCTGTAAAACTACCAACATCATTCTTCACAGAATTAGATAAAAACTATTCTAAAATTTTTATGGAACCAAAAAGTGCCCGAATAGCCAAATAGCCATATAGCCAAAGAAATCCTAAGCAAAAAGAACAATGCCAGAGGTATCACATTACCCGAGTTCAAACTATTACTACAAGGCTATAGTAACCCAAACAGCATGCTATTGGTACAAAAAACAGACACACAGACCAATGGAACAGGTTAGAGAACTCAGAAATAAATCTTCACACCTACAGCTATCTGATCTTTTATAAAGTCAACAAAAACAAGCAATGGAGAAAGGATTCGTTATTCAATAAATGATGATGGGATAACTGGCAAGCCATATGAAGAAGATTGAAACTGGATGCCCTTCTTTTACCATACACAAAAATCAACTTGAAATGGATTAAGGACTTGAATATAAGACCTAAAGCTATAAAAACCCTAGAATAAAACATAGGAAATACCATTCTGGATATAGGCCTCGACAAAGATTTTATAACAAAGTCTCCAAAAGCTATTGCAACAAAACAAAAAGTTGACAAGTGGGACCTAATTAAACTAAACAGTTTCTGCAAAGCAAAAGAAACTGTCAACAGAGTAAACATAAAACCTACAGAAAATGTTGGCAAACTATGCATCTGACAAAAGTTTAATATTCAAAATCTATAAGGAACTTAAAAAACAACCGCATTAAAAAGGGGCAAAGGATATGAACAGACATTTCTCAAAAGACATTCATATGGCCAGCAAGCATGTGAAGACAAGGCTCAGTCACCAATCATTAGAGAAATGCAAATCAAAACCGCAATGAGATACCCTCTCATATCAGTCAGAATGACTATTCAAAAAATAACATTCTGGTGAGGTCGTGGAGAAAACGGAATGCTTATACACTGCAGGTGGGAATGTAAATTAGTTCAACCACCTTGGAAAATAGTTTGGAGATTTCTCAAAGAATTTAAAACAGAACTACCATTTGACTCAGCAGTCCCATTACTGGGTATATACCCAGAGGAATATAAATCACTGTGCCAAAAAGACGCATGCACTTGTAAGTTCATTGCAGCACTATTCACAATAGCAAAGTCAGGGAATCAACCTACATGCCCATCCACAGTGGACTGGATAAAGAAAATGCCCTGCATATGAAATACTACACAGACATAAAAAGAATGAAATTAAGTTATTTGCAGCAACATAAATTGAGCTGGAGGGCATTATCCTAAGTGAATTAACATAGGAACAGAAAACCAAATACTGCATGTTCTCAATTATAAGTGGTTGCTAAACACTGAATACACATGGGCACAAAGATGGGAACAAGAGACACAGGGCCCTACTTGAGGGTGAAATGTGGGAGGAGGGTGAGGGTTGAAAAACTACCTGCTGGGTACTATGCTGACTTGGATGACAAAATCATTTATACACCAACCCCAGCAACATGTAATTTACCTGTGTAACAAACCTACACAAGTACTCCCTGAATCTAAAAAAGAGTTGACAAATAAAATAAATAAAATTCTAAAAAAAAATTGGCAAAAGGACAGGATAAAAGTGAGGTTCAGCCACCCTTGACTAATTATTATTATACATCTTTTACTACTTCTAACTTCTTTCTAAATAAATGTTAAAAACCACATTAAATAATGGATTCAAATCTCTGTCTAAATAGAAGAATAGTGTATTTTGTTTATTTTAGAAACCTTTAAATGAATACGGATGTTCCAAAGTCCTGCTGCTCTACCTCACTTAAAGACAAAACAAAACAAAATTTCTTGCTAGACAAGTAGCTGCTGGAATTAACAAAAAGCATGTGAATATGCAAATATATGTTAAGATTATACTTATTTGACAATAATTGTAATTTAAATAATTATAATATAATATAAATAATTATTTTAAGACTTTCTTTTTTACTCATTTTTCACATTATCCCTTTCTCAGTGCTTTTGGAATCCTGAAGTAAAATGTTTGTTCTTTTTGTGTTTTTACTTTTTGTGTTTGCTGGACTGTTAATCTTAATTTCAAAATTTTATCTCTTGACATCGAACTTGGTTAGATGGTTGTTTCTCTGGCTGCTGCCTTAAAACTTCAGCTGTGAGAGAACATGGCAGGGATATTTTCTGACTGAGCTAGGCCTCAGGACCTGTGGTTGGCCTGGAATCAGGTCCAAATGATGCTATTTCCTGCTGCTTACTTTAGTTAGTGAGACTGTTTTTTACATTAGTGTTTTGGCTGCTTGACTCTGGCTTTGTCCAAGGAACTTAGATTTCTATTTTTGTCCAGTTTGTGACCCACATTCTCTAGAGAATCAAGATTTTTTTGATGAACGGCTACAACATCCTTTTTAAAAGCACTTTTCCCCTGTCCCATCACTTTTGATATTTGAAATATTTCCCGTGTTTAAGAGGGTGACTCTGGCTAAAGTTAGTAGCCACACAACTTTACATCCATGATATCTCTACTCTACACCCTCTCTCTTGTGTGGATGGCCACTTTAAACTGTGCTTAGTTTTTTGGCTTTATAATATCCAGAATCTCTTTTTTTGCTGGAAGTCTACAAAATCTGGAACATGCATATTGGGCATTATTTAAAGATTAACCTGGCAAGTTCACTTATTGACTAGCAGCTACAAACTCACATTCTGCCCAGAGTACTTGAGCACTAATACATTCAATAAAGATTTAGTGAGCAAATACTATGTGCCAACTTGGCACTGTAGTAGTTTTTGAGGATGGAAAGAGGAGAAAAATAAGATCTCAGCTTTTGTGAATTTCATAGATTGGTATAAGGTGACAAATACTCAAAAGACAACAGCAAAACAATGTGTCTTATGCTATAAGAAGGAATATAACTTGCCTTAAATTGACATCGTCTTTGCCTTTGAGGATGCACCTTAGTGGAGAGAGAAATTAGCAAAAAGATATCTATATAGAATGGTGCTGGGAACTAATAAACAGTCAACATATGTTTTTGAGTTAATGAATGTGGTATATATGCAAGGTGTTTGGTGTATGTGGGGGACATGGTTTCTTCCTGCCCTCATGTATTCTCCCATTTGCAGAAATTCCCCTGTGAAATTGATCCTTTTTCTTTTTTCATTCCAGAGGATTTGTGTGGGACTGTCCCCCTATCCCAACTTTAGTACTAAACAAATCAGTGTACTTCATATCTGTGTCTGTACTATGAGCACATGATCCAGGCCAGGTTAATGATATAAAGTCCTGGGACTTTTGCTGAAGTTGCAAAGAGAATATTTACTTTTCCTCTGATGTATGTGGGAGTTTCCTGAATCCATCTTTGCACATGAAGAAAGAACCTGGCTTAGAATAGACCAACACAGTGGTCAAGAGAAAGGAGAGGTGGAAAGATTGAGATTAAATTCTGACAACCTCACTGAGTCTTTCAGTAAAACTGGTTCTCTCCTTGGACTTCACAGTCATGTGAGCCTCTAGTATATCATTTTGCTTAAACCAGTTTGAATATGTTTTCTGCCCCTTGCTATCAAAATAAAAGTTCTATTTAACATATATAGGAACCCAAAGGTGAAATTATCTAATTCTGCTTAGGAAAAGATTTCACAGAAGCAAATCTCCAGCTGAGAGACAGAGGATGAGTAGAAGTTGAACAGATAGACAAGGAAAAAAAATTTTCCAGGAAGAGGAATCAGCACTCACAAATACAGAAGTGAGAAGAGCAATGTCATATTATTTCTGATTTATGCAGCAGATGTTACCTTTCCAATGTTCCATGACCTAGGTCTTCTTTCTTCCATTAATTAAAATTAGATGTTTTTATAAAAGAAATGGAGATATGCTTAATTGATATGAAAACAGGCTACTGAATCTCTAGAGGGCACAAGTACAATTGGCATATGGGTGTATTATTAGTTAGGATACTTTGAATGTAAGTAATCAAAAGTCTGACAAACACTGGATGTAGTGGTTCCAGGATTGGTTAGCAAACTCAATAAGTCCATCAGAGACTTATCTTTTCACCTTCCCATTCTCATAATGTTAACTTTGGCCCTCAAGCTGTTTTGCCTCACCATTGACAGATAATCAGACATTGCATTAATTCAGCATCGTTCCATCTGCGTAGTTCCAGACATTATATCATTACTCATATCATGTAAGGAAACATTGAAGGAAACAAAAGAGCTTTGTAATGCTTGCATCTCTATTTCTTTTTAAACCATGCAAGATAACATGGCCTAGAAGCTCCTCCCTCCAGTAGACTTTTCCTTATGGGTCATTGGTCAGGACTAGGTTACATGCTACTGTTTAAGGGAAATAGGATTGCTGTAATGAACTAGACCTGTCTTAATTCACCTCTTGGAGCTGAGCATATTGCCATTCAAAATGAAGTTAGGATTCTATTAGCTAGGAAACAAAGAAAATAGTTGCTACAAAGGAAATCAGCCGGATATGTCAGAAGAGTTGCTCTGAATGAGGAGTCAATATAAATACACCTGTTTTATTGGTTACAAGCTACTTCTCTCAGAGAGCTCGTTCTCACAGTCAGTACAGGCATATCTAGTAGATAATTCAGGTTTGGTTCGAGGCCATCCCAGTAAGGTGAATATCACAATAAAGCGAGTCACACAAAGTTTTTGGCTTCCGAGTCCATGTTTACAGTATACAGTTTACAGTTATTAAGTGTGCAATAGCATTGTGTCTAAGTGTGTTATTGCACGCTTAATAACTTAATTAAAAATACTGCTAAAAAATGCGAGTGATCATCTGAGCCTTCAGCAAGTTGTAATATTTTTGGTGGTGGAGAGTCTTGCCTTAATGTGGATAACTGCTGAATCATCAGGGTGGTGGTTGTTGAAGGTTGGGGCGGCTGTGGCAATTTCTTATGACAATGAACTTTGCCCCAGCAATTGACTCTTCACAAAAGATTTCTCTGTAGCATGATGCTGTTTGATACCATTTTACCCACAGCAGAACTTCTTTCAACATCAGAGTCAATCCTCTCAAAACCTTCCACTGCTTTAACAACTAGGTTTGTATAACATTCTAAATCCTTTGTTGTTATTTCAACAATGTTCACAGTATCTTCGCCAGGAGTAGATTCCTTCTTAAGAAACCACTTTCTTTGCTCATCCATAAGAAGCAGCTCCTTATCTGTTCAAGTTTTATCATGGGATTGCAGCAATTCAGTCACATCTTCAGGATCCACTTCAAATTCTAGTTTTTTTTTGCTATTTTTATATATCTGCAGCTACTTCTTCAATTGAAATGTTGAATCCCTCAAAGTTATCCATGAGGGTTGAATTCAACTTATTTCGAACTCCTGTTAATGTTGATATTTTAACCTCCTCCCATGAATTATGAATGTTCTTAATGGCCTCTAGAATGGTGAATACTTTCCAGAAGGTTTTCAATTTACTTTGTCCAGCTCCATCAGAGAAATCACTATCTATGGCATTTATGGCATGAAGGAAGGATGTTGTGTTAGCAGGCATGAAGACAAACCATGAATCTTGTGCATCTCTATTAGAGCTTTTGGGTGACTAGGTGAATCGTCAATGAGCAGTAATATTTTGAAAAAAATCTTTTTTTCTGAACAGTAGGTCTCAATAGTGGGCTTAAAATATTCAGTTAACCATGCTATAAACAGATGTGCTGTCATTCAAGCTTTCTTTTTCCGTTTATAGAGCACAGGCATTTTAGAGTTAGCACAATCCCAAAGGTTCCTAGGATTTTCTGAATGGCCATAAGCGTTGGCTTCAGCCTAAAATCACCAGCTGCATTAGCCTATAACAAGAGAATCAGCCTGCCCTTTGAAGCTTTGAAGTTAGACATTGGCTTCCTTTTAGCTAGGATATTCCTCCTTGTGATATAAGGCTATTTCATCTGTTGTTTAACACAGTCACCTTCATCTGTGATCTTAGCTAGATCTTCTGGAAAACATGCTGCAGCTTCTTCATCAGTACTTGCTGCTAGTACTTTTATGTCGTAGAGACAGCTTCTTTCCCTCGATCTTATGGACCAACCTCTGCTGGTTTCCAAATTTCTTTTTGTAACAGCCTCACCTCTCTCAGATTTCACAGAATTGAAGGAGTTAGAGCCATTCTCTGGATTAGACTTTGGCTTAAAGGAAAACCTAATCCAAAGCCAAGGTGTTGCCTTAGTGGCTGATTTGATTTTCCATCCACATCACTACAACTTTTTCCATATCAGCAACAAGGCTGTTTTGCTTTCTTATCATTCATGTCTTCACAGGAGTAGCACTTTTAATTTCCATCAAGAACATTTCTGGCCGGGTGTGGTGGCTCACACCTGTAATCCCAGCACTTTGGGAGGCCAAGGCAGGCGGATCACAGGGTCAGGAGATCGAGACCATCCTGGCTAACACGGTGAAACCCCATCTCTACTAAAAAAAAAAAAATACAAAAAATTAGCCAGGCGTGGTGGCAGGCACCTGTAGTCCCAGCTACTCGGGAGGCTGAGGCAGGAGAATGGTGTGAACTCGGGAGGTGGAGCTTGCAGTGAGCCGAGATCATGCCACTGCACTCCAGCCTGGGCGACAGAGCGAGACTCCGTCTCAAAAAAATCACAGTTTGGCTAATTGACGCAAGAGGCCTAATTTTTAGCCCATGTTGGCTTTCAGTGTGTCTTCCTCATGAGCTTAATCATGAGGATTACACTAGATTTTGATTTAAAATATGAGATATGCAACTCTTCCTTTCACTTGAACACTTAGAGGCCATTGTAAGGTTATGGATTGGTCTAATTTTAATGTTGTTGTGTTTCAGGGAATAGGGAGGCCTGAGGGGAGGGAAAGAGACAGGAGAACAGCCCGTCAATGAATCAGTTAGAATGCACACATTTATAGATTAACTTTGCCATCTTGTATGGGTACAGTTTATGGCACCCCAAAACAATTGCAATAGTAACATCTAGGATCACTGATCACAGATCACCATGAAGGATAATAATAATAAATTTTGAAATATTGTGAGAATTTCCAAAATGTGAGATAGAGACATGAAGTGAGTACATGCTGGTAGAAAAATGGTTCCCATAGACTTGCTTGATGCAGGGTTGTCATAAGACTTCAGTTTGTAAAAAGTGCAATATCTGCAAAGTACAATAAAATGATGTATGTCTGTATTTCACAGAATAGTTTTCAAAACCAACGTCATTCTCAGCAAAGCCTACTTGAATCTCACAAAACATTTAAAGTTTAAAATATGCTTCCTCTTTCATCAGTAACTTACATACATATTTTAGGGTACTCACTGCCCAAAGCAGAGAATTAAACAGCATCAATTATAAAAGCATAAGAGTTAACAATGAGTAATGGCATCTGTTTACTGGCTTTTCTTATTAACATTTATTATATAAATTTGTCTCATTGCATCTTACAATGACATCTAAGTGGTAGCTATTTTTTCAGCTTACCAATGAAGAAACTGAAACAGAGAAAGTTTAAATTACTTTTCTTTTTTCTTTTTTTTTTTTTTTTGAGACGGAGTCTCGCTCTGTGGCCCAGGCGGGAGTGCAGTGGCGCAATCTCGGCTCACTGCAAGCTCCGCCTCCAGGGTTCACGCCATTCTCCTGCCTCAGCCTCCCGAGTAGCTGGGACTACAGGCGCCCACCATCACGCCCGGCTAATTTTTTTTGTATTTTTAGTAGAGACGGGGTTTCACCGTGTTAGCCAGGATGGTCTCGATCTCCTGACCTCGTGATCCGCCCGCCTCGGCCTCCGAAAGTGCTGGGATTACAAGCGTGAGCCACCGCGCCCAGCCTAAATTACTTTTCAAAGCTACACAGTAAGTCAGAGAAAGAGCTAGGTCTGAGGTACCCTGCATATTCATTTGCAGTAGAATTGCAGTGAGTTGTGAGGGGTGTGATAGAAATATACATGGCATAGCAAGAAAAGCATTGGATTTGGGGCCAGAACATTTAGGTTTGCATTTTCACTGTGCTTTTTATGAGTGACTTGGGAAAGGCTTTTGGCTTCTCTCAGGTTTAATTTCCTCAGTCCTTATGTGGGGATGATGATGATGTTGATGATGATGGAGATAATACTGATAAAGAGAAGGGTGCTTTTTCACACTGCAGCTTTGTTGTGAAGGTAAAAGTTTGTGAATGTGGTTGCCAAATAATTTTCATTTTTCTTCACAATTTCCATTGCATTATTTCATCCTTGGCGTCTTATTGTTAACTTCATGAATTTGAAATCAAGATCTGGCTTTGTGTACTCAAGGCCTATATGGTACTCCTCCAAGAGCTGTCTACTTATGAGATAGACTTCTCATTCCCCTCCTTTTTAGTTCAATTCTCCTGATTTGTTTAACTTGGGGTTTCTCAACCTTGGAACTATTGACGTTTTGGACTAGATAATTGTAAGTTGTAAGGGCTGTCCTGTGCATTGAGGGATGTTTGTCAGTATTGCTAACCTTTACCCAGTAGATTCTAGCAGCAACCGCCTCCTGCCCCATCACAGCTGTATGCATCAAAAATGTCTCCAGGCATTGCCAAATATCCTGGGGTAGAAGAGTGCAGACAAAATTGCCTCCAGGTGAAAAACACGGGTCTAACTTTATGATCTATATTTTCCTCTCCCAGACTCAGAATTTGTGTTTAATTCAACTTCAATAATGTAAAATATATACTTCTTTTGTGCTGCGTTTTGTCCCAAAATAATGAATGAGCCTTTCAAATTATTTCATAATTCAAGACACTTTGTGAAATTATCCACATTGTGCTTTGAAAGTACAATATAATTGAGTTTTAAAATAACTAATCAAATTTTCCCATGGATTAGTTCAATCCATTTAAGTCACAAATATTTTTAAAGAAATCTGTACTTTGATTGTTAAAAACATATAAACCTAAATTTTTTACACTGAGAAAAGGAAATCTTCTTTATGTAGGCTTTACAAACCTAACAGATGACATTAAGCCATGACGATGTCTATTTGTACTGATGGTGAGATTATGACAGGAAAACATTTAAATAACATATACATTTGATCTTAAAATGTTTTAAAATTAAAATTAATGTGAGTTTAATAAGAAAATGTACTTCAAAATCTAGATGTCCTAAAAAGGCAGCTATAAAATATTCATGAGAAAAACATAAATTAATTTAATAGTTACCTTGACTCTTGTGGAACAAAGCAATTTTAGTACCCAGAGACTTAAATTTCCCTTGCTACAGACAGATGAGAAATTCATTGTTTGACATGGTAAATAGATCCACTCAGTTGATATATTTGAGGCATCTGTAACTTTGACATTTGAATTGTTATTGAAAACCTTTCCTCCCCCAACTTTATATAAATAGGAAAAAAAATTCTATTTGCTATTAGGGAAGTTAAAATGGCCAAAGGAAGTGACTACAAACAGATTCACTTCGTCCTTGTTGATACAGGTTCACCAGAAGGAGCATTTGTGTTTAAAAGCCTTTATGAAATATTTATAAGGGAATATTTTGAATTAGATGGCCAAGAACTGTGTGTGGGAATGTTTGAATACAGGTACCTTGATCTATTAGCTCTGGTCCCACCTCTAGATATCTTGCTCTGAAAGGGTATTGTCAGATTGCCTGTTTATGCCTGTGGCTCTTGCCCTAATTTAAACAAAGAGAAGTCATTTGTAATTTTGTTTCTGAAATCTATTTTTCCCCCTCAGATTTCTAGAAATCAGGCAGTTTTCTTCTAATACCTTCTAGATATTAGGTAGATGATAGCATGGTGAAAATTGGTAGCAAAAAGTGAACAGATCAGAATGTAAATCTTGGAGTGAGCCTAGAATGACATTTTGAGGGACTAGGGTCTTTTCATCCATAAATCTTCCATGCTTAAGGTTCCTTGAAGTTTCCTTCAGCTGGTTGAAAGACCCTGCCATATTGTGCCATACCATCTTCCCACAGATGAGTTTCTCCATCAGAAAATCCTCCACAGTTAACTTTCTCAGCGTTTCAAAGAACCGGAGCTCATCAGAGAACACTGGTAGCTAGGCCTCTGCAGACCACTACTTAATTTTCTCAACATTTGGGTTTCTTAGTTTCCTCCTACTATCGGAAAAAAAAAAAAAAGATTATGGATTACTGATTGTCTGGAGGTGAGGCCTTGGGTGAGAACAAGGAGTACTTGCGAGAGCAATGAAAACCTTTTAAAGCAATTCTGTGGCTTACAGTTTTATTAATAAATAAGATTAATCTGGCTGCTCTATGGAGGTGGATGTGAAAGGATCACAATGCATGTTGGGAGATGTGCTAAACCTTTGCAGTTGTCCAGGTGAGAGATAACGCTGGACAAGGATAATGATAATGGAATAGAAAAAAACATTTGAGAAATATTTTGGAAGTAAAACAAACAGAACCTAATGAATTTGATAACATGTATGAGAAAGAGTGAAATTAAAGATGGCACCTAGGTTTTTGACTTAAGCAACGGATGGTTCATGGTGCCATTTATTCACATAAGTAACCTTAGGAAGAAACAAATTTTAAAAGGAGAAATTTAAAATTTGAGTTTTAGATGTATTAATTTTGACAAGCCTGTAAGTCATGAAAAATATGCAGTTAGATATATGTCTGGAGTGCAGGGGAGATAATTACTGCATTTTGACAGGGTAATATGCTGTCTCCCATATAACTTTTTATTACTCTTTTTGTGAATGAGAGTTTTAAGAGGGAAATTTGGCTCTTTAATTCAACCTTCCTTTACCTTTCTGCTCACATAAACAGCATCAAAAACAGAAATTCTTCTCCGATTGGCATTGGTGTTCATGTTCCATTGATGATAGCAATATGTTTGTTTTCATGGTAAATGGGGTGTCTATCTGGTTATCTCAGATCAGAAGACTCCTTTATAGTTTAATCTCAAAGCTGAAAAAAGATTAATGGGAAATGTCATAGTGATACATCCCATGCTTAGAATCCAATAATTTCATTTTAATCAGTTGCACATTATTGGTAACACTGAATCATAGCTTTGCTTGCTTTTCAAAGATACCATGACCTTGCATAGCCGTATGAAGTGAATTAAAAAATCTGGATCTGTTTAGTACATTTTATTAGAACTATTGATGTTTTTATTTTCTCTCTCTCAAGAGAAACGTGATGCCTTTAAATTATCAACAAACTGTCACACAGCAAAATAAAACAAAAGAAAACAACTTTACTTAAGGGATTGTCTAAGAATCAGACAGCCTTGCACAGCATAATGAGTATCTCTGCCTCTAGAATACTGTATTAAACTGGAGGGGTATAAAAGAACCTGACTTTTACCACTTTGCATTTTCTTTATTCTTAAAATCCAACCCATATTTTGGGAGGTGGGATTTCATATTGACAGTTAAATATGAAGTCCTAATTCATTTTGGATAATTTGGAAATGAAATTGAAAAATACCTTTTGCTAACAGATAATTTACACCACAAGATTTACTTTACATAATATATCTTTATGAGAATTTCCGAATTCAGAAGAAAAGATATTCAGTATCTTCTACTGCATAATATGTCATCTCTGAATATTTTCTTTAATGTGTTTTGAGTTTTTTAGGCTTGGAAGGATTATTACTGTAAAAGTAATTTTAACATTCCTTTGATAAAATGCAAAGAAAAAGAGAACAATCAGTCTATTGTCAGAATACATAATCATATGGTTCAGGTTAGAGAAAAAAAAGCTTGACATTCAAGCAATGGGAAATTATCTTAGAACTCAATTAGCCTAGCATTTGCATTTTTCAAACAGCAAGTTTTTGTGTGTTTTAAACAAGCGACACACTGTCCCTGCTATTTTGATATATGTTATTTGAAGCTCTGGCTACTCTTTATCAAAAAGAAGAATCTAACTTATTTGGATAGAAGTTTTCCAATTTGATAGAAACAGCTTGGATGGAAACAGATCTTGGCTGAATCTGAAAACTGCAAGTTAAGTATAACCTATATAAAGACTTGAAGTAACTTGGTTTCTCCTCAACCATTTTTACTTGTCAATAGTATTTTGAAATTTACTATCAATACTAATAATAATACTTTGTTTTGGAGAGGGAAATTCAACTGTTATTCTGGATCTAAGTAGGCAAAAATCTTCAGCTTTCTTGTGGGTAGAAATGCCGAACATGAGTTCTACATGTCTTAAGTCACTAAGACTTAGGCTGATTCTCTGCATTTTGCCCAGCCTTGGGGCTCTTGCCTTTGGTTAATGTCAAATTAACACATTTGTCAATTATCAAATTTGATTTTTGAGTATGTTGGTGAGACGGAAAAGGAAATGTATAATTTTAACAGAGTCCAATTTGTTTTCTAAAAGGCTGTGCTAAAGTGCTTCGGGTTCAACTTCAGGAGTAACTGTTTGAAGTCTGCTCTTGCTACACATTAGCTGTGTGATATTGGGCAAGTTATTTAACCCTTTGAGACTCAGTTTCCTCATCTGTAAAACAATACCCATTTTATAGGGCTGATGAAATAAAAAAAGTGCCAGGAATAGTGCAAGCATCTAAGAAATAGTTGTGGTAATTACCATATTTAATTTAATAATAGTTATAATAATACTGTTATTATTATTATTATTATTATTATTATGTTTCCAGCTTGCCCAAACTGCTTATTGATTTTTCACTAACTCAAGCTAAATTACTAAAAAGAGTGTGTTCAGGAGAAAACGTAAATGTTGTTCAGCTGAAGATGGTATATGTCAGCCAGGCTAATGAACTTATTCTTCCAAAGTTTTTTTTTTTAAGTATTTTGAAATTGAATTTATAAGATTGTAAAGTGAGAAAGTCTTATTGCTCATGTTGTCCAAATGCTTATATACAACTAAAGAGTTTGAGTTATGGCTTCCTCACATTCACATAGCTACTTAAGAGCAGAGCTATTAGGCAAGCTTTCTGATTTCCAGTCAAGTCTTCATTGGTTATTACGTGCTGCTTCATGAAGTCTGAAGTGACTTGAGAAATAGGTTAACCCAAGAATGTGTGAATGTCTAAGTTTGACCTGCTCAGCTAATTCAGGTCACATATATAGTTGTCCCTCGGTATTTGTGGGGGATTGGTTCCAGGACCCCCACATATTCCAAAATCCATGAATACTCAGTTCCTTATAAAAAATGTTGTAGTGTTTGGATACAACTTACACATATCCCCCCCAATACTTTAAATAATTTTTAGATTACTTATAATACCTCATACAGTATAAATGCTGTAAAAATTGTTATGTTGTAATTGTTTAGGGAATAATGACAAGAAAAAAAAGCCTGTATGTGTTCAGTACAGATGTGACCATCTATTTTTTTTCTGAATATTTTCAATCTCCTCTTAGTTGAATCCATGAATGTGAAACACACAAATATGAAGGGCCATCTGTAATGTCCTTCAGAAGAAAATTAGCTTGAGTACTCATTTGCCAGATTACCAGAAATCAAGTAATTCCCTCAGGGCTCACTTTTCCCCACTTGAAAATCCAAGAACCCCAGGAATCTATGTGGTATAAAAGAAAGAGGGCTGTATCTACCCACTTATTTGAGCAGAACAGAGAGAACTTAGAATTGCATCAATCTGAATTGCCCTTGCTTCCTACTACCAAATGGAGCTTGTGCAGATAGACTGTGACGCAGTCTAACACAGGCTGCTTGTTCTCGACTGGTCCAGAATCCCCAAGAGAGGACCATTCAAGGTTAAACATCTTTTAGAGAGCATCATCTTATTCTCTTGGTTCTGAGTTAGGCTCAGGGGATCCTGATGTCTAAAGATGGCAGTTCTTCATGCTTAAATTTCTTTGTTCCTCCAGCAGTCATTCTCCGTGATGCTAGCTGTTCCAACGGCACAGCTTTCCTTTCCCTCTCTAAGATCCATGCAGCAGAAGTTCACCGTTTTCTCTTTTCAATCCCCAAAACAAAATAGTGTGTTATATGCTTCTGAGACAGTAGAGCTATCCATTTATGCCTCAGTTGCTAGCTACATCAACGGTCTCCAAGGAGCTCTGCTTGATTTTATCTTTGGAGAGGAGACCAGTGTCAGAGAACCAACTTCCTCTAGAGATAAAGGTGAATTTCTGGCAGCCCTCCTCAAAGTAGGGGAAGAGTGAAAGACATTCAACTTGGCAATTGAAGACTCTATTAATATTTTTTGAATGAATAAGTTAAAAAAAAGTAGATGTGAAAATCTATATCAGATCATCCAAGTGATAGGGTTATAAAACCTGAAATTTTATTGTACTTACTATACATATTTATAATTTCATATGTAGCTTATATAATTTTATATTTATAATTTTTGTCTTAAATCTTTGGCTAATCTCTAAGTGTGGGAGAGATTTTTGAGTAAATCTGCAGTATGATCCATTTCTAAACTAAATTTCTAACTATATATTCTAAATGTTTACGTGCAGTGTATGCATACATATTTTATAAACATATACTATACTATTTGGATTTAATAATATTTTAGAAGTTTTGTTTTTATTTTGGCCACATTTACAAAAATGTAAGTACAAATTTAAAATAAGTTTGTGTTTGCCCATTATCCAGCCACAACTTTAAAGCATGCCATACTTGATAAGTTTCTAGATGTGTTTTAATGGCAGAGTCTCATCTATGCAGCCAATCTGGATGATAAAGCAATGCCTATTTCAAGTGTTTGGCCTATGAAGAGAATAAAGTGGATGGCTGTGGGTCACACCTAGCCACGTCATTTAATTCTCTTGCCAGACAAGATTGGGAATTGCCTGGAGGAGGTGTTATGTTCTCTCTGGAACTATCCTTCCCTAGAAAAGAATGTGGCTGTTTGAAAAATCTATTCCAAGCGGGAAGCTACATCAATGGAGAACTGCTGTTGTTATTATTTAGTTAGTGTCTGGACTTGGCATTTGAGGTGAGATGCACGTGCTAATTGTCTCAAAATGGATGGAAAGGAGCCTTGAATATTTCCACATGCCTTCCTTGACCAAAGGTGCTTTCACAGAGTTGATAAATATTTGCTCAGTATCAATTTGAAGCTCAGAAACTCACAAACAAATATGTTCCTCTAAAGGGCAGAAGCAAACTTTCTGTGGGAACAGGCCAATATTCCAAACATGTGACATCAGCTTTTGGTGTGAGATTTTAGTTCCAGACCCTTGGAGTCTCTTCAGTAAACTTTAGCGTGCTCAGGAGAGTTTCCTATACATATGTTTCAAATGGTTTTCAAAATATATTTTTAAAAATACCCTGAAAATTTCAGGAATATCTTGATTTTGAAGAAGATAAATCTGTTAATTAGGGGATAAAACAGAATATAGTAATGATTTAGAGAGTTACTTAGTACTATAAATACTTCTGAAGACTTTTTTTAATGGAAAAGAAATTGAGGAAACAATGCTAATTATATCTTCCAACATCTGGACTGGGAAATTAAGTCAATGCCTAATTGCAGACCTAGTGATTATTCTAACTCCAGATTCTTATAAGCATGTCTGCATATGCTGGTTCTAAGTCTTACAGTTGAGATACAAAGGAAGATGAGGAGGAGGGGGCTTCTCATGGGTCTCCAGTCCAGCATTTTATTAGAGCTCTGCATTGATTGCCTGTTGTGCAAACACTATACAAGTGGTAGTTTATTGTCATTCTGCTATTGTGTCCACACTTTCTTTGGAAGTATTCTTCTGGGAAAGGTATGCTTTGGTTTCAGGATAGGATTTAGTCATTTATGAGTCCTTTGACTTTTCTTAATACTAAGTTTCACTCTTAATCACTAATATTAATGCATTTTTTATTCATCTATCCTTTCCTGTCATCTCCACATATTAAGATCTCATTTTTTTCTCATATTTTTAGTGTCTCCTTTCAAATTGGAGTATCTTCCCTGACTTCTAACATTTGAAGGTTTCTCCGTCTTGGAAAAACAAACAAACAAAAAACAAACCCAATGCCTTCTATTTGACCTTGATATCCTTTCTTTGGACACTCATATTTCTTTTGTTTCTTAACCACGCTTTTCAGACAGGATTTCTCTAATGATGATCCCATGCCTTACCACTTGCTTTATCTGGTTATCACTTAATTGAATCCTAAGACACCTGCAAATTGATTTTTTGATGTAGTGCAAGAGGTGTATAGGAGAAATGAAAGATGCCCTACCAGACAGTTCAAAGGTGAGCAGCTGGCAAAGGCAGACTTTACATCCTCTGGGACATCACTACCCAGTATGGTAGCGACTAGCCTCATGTGGCTATTGAACAACTGAAATATGACTGATGTGACTGAGGAGGTGTATTTTAAATTTTACTGCATTTTAATTAATTTAAATTTAATTTTAGCAATTGATGTCTACTTCAGTTATTGGAATACTTTTAAGTCTGTTAAGAACAAAGTATGTCAATCTACTTTTTCAACAATAAATTTTATGAAATCTAAATATAGAACAAGTATTTTTGTTAAAATTTTTGCATCCAAATTGGGATGCGCTGTAACTGTAAAATACATACCAGATTTCAAAGACTTAGTACTAAAAGAGAGAATATAAAATATCTCATTAATAATATTTCTAGGCTGGGCACGGTGGCTCATGCCTGTAAAGTCAGCACTTTGGGAGGCTGAGGCGGGCGGATCACCTGAGTGATAGAAGGAGTGATAGAAGGAGTTCGAGACCAGCCTGGCCAACATGGTGAAACCCCGCATCTACTAAAAGTACAAAAAAATTAGCCAGGCCTGGTGGCAGGCACCTGTAATCCCAGCTATTTGAGAAGCTGAGGCAGGAGAATCGCTTGAACTCAGGAGGCGGAGGTTGCAATGAGCCGAGACCATGCCATTGCACTCCAGCCTGGGCATCAAGAATGAAACACCATCTCAATAATAACAATAATAATAATAATAATAATAATAATAAATATTTCTAAAAATTTTGGTTACAGGTTAAATTTATAATATTTTGGATATACTGGGTTAAGTAAAATATATTATTAAATTAATTTTACCTCTTCATTTTTGCCTTTTTAATGCAGCTACTGAAAAATTTAAAATTATATATACACTTTGTATTATATTTCTATTAGATAGTGCTGCTCTGGAAACTCAAAAAGAACTGACTTCTAAGTTTTGGCTGGGGCTGGAGTTGCTAACTGCTACTCATGAGAAAATAATGAGTACTCAGCTACTGGTCTCTGCGGTGGAAGTAAAGGGACTGGTGAGAAAATTAGAGTCTGACCCAGGTGATAGGAAGCTACATTGAAAATACATGTAGGGCAAAGATTAAACTAAAAGGAGTACTCGGTGAGAAGCTCTGCACACAATGAGGAACGGTGGCCAGCTGTTCTGAATGGATTCGTTTAGCTATGAAGCAAATGGGTTACTGGAAATTATATAAATTTCATGAATCAGGAACAAAGTTAGCAGTTGTGACAAAGCACGGGGATTCTCTCTCATTTGTTTTTAACCAAAGCAAAAATTTCAAGGTGCTGAACCAGAAATTACCATTATAAACTTAATTCGCCCCCTTGCTGGTGGCCTAAGACAGTATCTATTGTAATTCTAGGTAAAAAGCAATTTGAAGGGGTGTTCTATACTTTGGCAGAGGAAACCCATTCCCTCTCAAGGTAAGGGCTAAAGCATTCAATTATTTTTTCTTGTATATTTAGTTTGACTTGACAATTCATTAAGATATTCCACATCTGTATTACTCAATGTGAATATTCTATTTTTAGACATTGGGAAAACTGAATAGAGGTGGTGCAACTCACCTAGAAGCAATATTTGTGAAACCCCAAATGCCCTTGGCATAGATAATTATTTTGCCCTAAAATAATGATTATGAGTATGGTTCTATGGGGAAAAACTGGGAACTCCCAATTTTCTTCCCACTTTCTGTTGTATCCTCAATAGCACCTGGACTGGGATTTCCAAAGGTGAGTTCTAGGATTAAGAGGTGATGGTTGTCCCAGGATTAAGGGCTTTGTTTGAGAACCATAATGATCCCATCCATTTAAATAGCTTGAACCTTTCTGGTCCTTTGCCAGCTATTGTCTTTTTCTTATAAGAAGAAGGGAATAAACTTTTAATGTGCACATGCTAGCCTCTGAAATCTGAGGCCTGCCTTTCCTCCTTACTAGATGCGTGTATGACTTTAAACACAGCACTTAGACATCTCGATCTTCAATTTCTTCATGTGGAAAAGATGAATTATATTAACATCTATGTCATGAGGTTTTCTAGGGATTAATGAGATAATGTCTGCAAACTCTTTATCACAATGCTTGGTATATAGTAAGAGCTTCACAGGTGTGAACTTTTGCAATTATTATCTATTAAACACTCTGTTGGATAAATTACTGTTTAATCTTCTTTAATCTCTATAACCATTTGCTGAGGTAAGGATTTTTATCCCTCTTTCATACATGAGAAAATAGAGGTTTAGAGAAGAGATAAACTAATTTGCCTGAGATTGCTACATTTGAAGGCATGATCCAGAAGCGTAAGAGACTTAAGAGCACAGACTGAACTCTGTGCTGTGTTGGAGAAGGTTATAGGGACTTTCTCTACCTCTATGTCTACGTCTATAAAAATGAGGAGAATAATTATACCTATGCCTAATATTTTTAAGAAGTTAAATAAGTTAATATTTATGAACATTTAAAATCGTGCCTGGGATGCACTAAGTGCTACATGTAATTTCTTATATAAAATATTATGTTTACTTCTATCTCTGACTTTAAAGAGTAAAATTGCCTAGGTTCTTGCTAAAGATTTCCTTCAGTTGTAGGTAAGAATTGCAGGTGTTTCAGAGACAAAGAATCCCTCTGTCATTCTGTTATAGCTCAAATCTGGTTAAAGCCACTTTGGGCACTCTCATTTTTATAATGATGCAAGTGAACAATAGTAACTCTATTTTTTGGTTCTCAAGCAGTGACAGCCTTTTGTAGACCATTGTAAGCCTAGGATCATACCTCTTTCGTATTTCTTCTGCAAAATGCCAGCCTTCCCCTGTGGCTGGGATTCTTACTCCATATGACTGACATCTAACACATGTTCTGCTGCCAAATGCTCGCTTTTCCTTTGGCTGAGTATCTGGGTTTGGCACCAGTTTTCATTTCACTTGAGAGATGTGGTGTCAATCAAGGCTGCATTGCTGGGTGAGATAAGTGGGCAGAGAACACATTTTAGAAGTCAGTTCATAAAGCTTTGGGATTATCACTGGGTTGGGAGATTTAGCAGAGAGATCTCAGGCTTTCCTTTGCTCTATGCTATACCACTAGAATGTATTGCAGGGAGGTTTTTTTGTTTTGTTTGTTTTGTCTTTTTTTTTTTTTTTTTTTTTTTTTTTTGCCTAATAAATGTAGCCTTTTTGAAGGTCAAATTCTTGTATGTATATTCAGCCAGACTTGTCATAGGAAGGGGACCAAAATGATTTATATAATTTCTATACTACACTTACTTTGAGAAAATTTTTTTGTAGATTAAGATAATTCTAATACTTGACGCTTGTGTTTCTAGCATTCTTTTAATGGAAGGATATGGAAAAAACAAGATTAATAGTCAAATAATTACAAGGAGATTGAATGTTAAGCCCGTGAACATTTCAACCAATGATTTTTAAAACATTTAAAAGGCAGCCCTCAGACTTTCTACATGTTTGAATGAACTCATCAGTATTTGATTAGGTCAGACTTCAGATATTTTTGAATGAACTTATCAAAATTCTGCCTTAAGAGACATATTTCCATACCACGGAGGGGCTGACAAACTATATCTTGATGGCCAAAACTGGACTGATGCCTTTTTTTTTGTAAATAAAGTTTTATTGAAACATAGCAACACATTTATTTAGAAATTGTCTATGGTTGCTTTCACATTGCAAGGGCAGAGTTGAGTTATCAAAGAGATAATATGGCTTGCTAAGACAAAAAAAGTTGCTATCTGGCCCTTTATATGTACTCAATTAAGCCCTAAGCAATATGTAAACGAATGAGCATGGCACTGTTCCAATAGAACTTTATTTACAAAAATTGGAAGTTTGCCAGATATGGCATGTGGCTACAGATTGTGGACCCCTGGTAGAGTGGAAATAGAAGGCATTTCAGAATCAGACACCAGTTATGTGACTTGAGAAACAATACTTAATCTCTCTGTACCTCAGTTTGCACATGTGTAAAGCAGGGATGTCAATGCCTATCTCATATGATTTTTGTGAGAATCAAATAAGAAAACGTATGATCAGGAACTAGCACATGTGAGATACTCTAAATGTATGTTAGTGCCTTTTTATTTAACACTTCATGCCACAGGCTATCTGCAACTTAGAATTACATAAAACGTAGGACAGTATCAGCTTCTCCAAACACCAAGGGAGGTTTGTCTCAGAAAAATGGGGATAAATAGAAGATTTATTTTTTTAAGCATGGTTTGTTTTATTTAAGAACTTTTGTTTGACTTATATGAGCATATATTGGAAAAGGAAGAGAAGAATTATGTTTAAAAGCCATATTATTTTGACATCACAGACTTCTCCAATTCTAATTTAATCCTAAATTTTGAAAAATATACCAAGTGTTTTGGAAAAATACCACGCTCTTAAAATACTCAAGAATTTAACGTAGCTTTACATTGTCTTTCCTGATTCTCAATGTTTGAAATACCTCTGCTACATCACTGAGCCAGCTATTCCCTACAATCACTTTAAAGAAGCAAGCATCCAAGCCCAAAAGCTGAAAAAGCACCGTATGCATGTTTTAAAACAGTGAAAAATGAAAGTGTCATAAGCAAAGTGATGTCTTTGGGCCATGGCAGGAATGCTGATGCTGAGAATCATCTATCACAAAACTCTGAATGTGGGATTGTGGAATATTTTGGTTAGATGAGGCTTAAAAATAATAATAATAAAAGAAGAATAAACATCCCTTGCTTTTATTAATAATCTACGTATTTTTTCCTCTAAGTCTAGTACAATCTACTTTCTTTACTTCCATAAAATCAAAAGCATCTGATGTAAAAATAAAAATTACATTGGAGCATCACCAGACAGATGGGAACTTCTGAGACATACTTGTGCTTCAGGGTTAGCTAAAACCTTTGCTCAGTTGTGCAAATTGCATAAGAAACCTAACTCTACTGGTCCTCCATTTTCTTCAGGTTTAGTGGGAATAAAATGCTCACCAACAGTGTTATTATAGATATTAATTATATTGTGAATATAAATGGCTACATGGTGGTGTACTTGATCCTCCATAAGTCTAATTCCTTCCTCTATATTATTTTACACTAAAGGGTATAGAGCATAATCGTAAAGCTGGGATTTGGGAACAAACAAAAGTATACAACGGTGTGATGGGGGCAACTGAAGCTTTAGGTCAGACAGTAAGCATCTTCTTTTTTTTTTTCTATCCTGCATTTTATTATTACTATTATTATACTTTAAGTTCTAGGGTACATGTGCACAACGTGCAGGTTTGTTACATAGGTATACATGTCCCATGTTGGTTTGCTGCAGCCATCAACTCGTCATTTACGTTAGGTACTTCTCCTAATGCTATCCCTCCCCCAGCCCCCACCCTCCAACAGGCCCCAGTGTATGATATTCCTTGCCCTGTGTCCAGGTTTTCTCATTGTTCAATTTCCACCTGTGAGTGAGAACATGTGATGTTTGGTTTTCTGTCTTTGTGATAGTTTGCTGAGAATGATGGTTTCCAGCTTCATCTATGTCCCTGCAAAGGACATGAACTCATCCTTTTTTATGACTGCATAGTATTCCATGGTTTATATGTGCCACATATTCTTAATGCAGTCTATCATTGATGGACATTTGGGTTGGTTCCAATTCTTTGCTATTGTGAATAGTGCCGCAATAAACATATGTTTGCATGTGTCTTTATCATAGAATGATTTATAATTCTTTGGGTATCTACCCAGTAATGGGATTGCTGGGTCAAATGGTATTTCTAGTCTAGATACTTGAGGAACTGCCCCACTGTCTTCCCCAATGGTTGAACTAATTTACGCTCCCACCAACAGTGCAAAAGTGTTCTGATTTCTCTACATCCTCTCTGGCATCTGTTGTTTCCTGACTTTTTAATGATTGCCACTCTAACTGGCGTGAGATGGTATCTCATTGTGGTTTTGATTTGCATTTCTCTGATGAACAGTGATGATGAGCATTTTTTCATGTGTCTGTTGGCTGCATAAGTGTCTTCTTTTGAGAAGTGTCTGTTCATATCCTTTGCCCACTTTTTGATGGGGTTGTTTGTTTTTTTCTTGTACATTTGTTTAAGTTCTTTGTAGATTCTGGATATTAACCCTTTGTCAGATGGGTAGATTGCAGAAATTTTCTCCCATTCTGTAGGTTGCCTGTTCACTTTGATGTTTCTTTTGCTGTGCAGAAGCTCTTTAGTTTGATTAGATCCCATTTGTCCATTTTGGCTTTCGTTGCCATTGCTTTTGGTGTTTTAGTCATGAAGTCCTTGCCCATGCCTATGTCCTGAATGGTATTGCCTAGGTTTTCTCCTAGGGTTTTTATGGTTTTAGGTGTAACATTTAAGTCTTTAATCCATCTTGAATTAATTTTTGTATAAGGTGTAAGCAAGGGATCCAGTAAGTATCTTCTTATTCATTTTGCTCAAAGTTTTAGTTAGAAAGTTGAGTAGCACAATTTAGAAACAATTCAAAACACTTTCATATGGAAACAAATAAAATCTTCCTTTGGAAATTCATGTGAAATAAATGGAAGCTTGAAAGATAATGTTTAAATACCAAGTAAATTTAATGGATTATTTAAAAGTGGTAAACAGACACCTGTGTTGATAAAGTCCTTTGTGGAATTGGTATGAAAGACCCTGAGAGAAAGAATGTGACATTTAGAGATTCAAGATAAAAATTTGACCCCTGGTTCTACTGGCTTCTTATTTTGAACCATTGAATAAATTTCTTAATCTCTTTGTCTCTCAGTTTCTGCATCTGTAAAATGCGAATCATGCACATCTGATGATAGCTTGTGATAATTAGGATTACATAAAAATGTAACCAGAGAGAATTTCTGAGAGTTTGTGAACAGTAAAGTAGTCTAAAGATGTAAGTTTTGTTGCTATGGTGTGTCGAAGCCTCCATTGTGCCAAAAAAGCGGACTAAGATGTCAAGCTCAAGGGAAGCCTTTCTTCGAGTCTGATCTCTGCTTGAAGTCATATGTTTTAGCCTTACTTTAAACACCTAAAGTGTTTTTTAGCTGAGTAGGGATCAAATTAAACCTCTTCTGATTTCTGTATCTGTAAATTGAAGAAAATAGGAATTACCTAAATGATTGTTCTGAGAATAAAAAGGAGAAAATGCATATAAAATTATCCTACAGGGGCTTACATATTGGACTCTCAAAACTGTAAATCCTTCCTTTTTCTCCCTGTCTATCCTTAACTTATCTCTTGCAAGTTTCTTTTAACTTGAAAAAAATTCTGAAGCCTAAATTCTGATTTTGGCTGTAGCCCTGGAAACTTGTTTCTGAGTGGCATGGCTTTAAAAACATCTTCTTGTTTAAGATTGTATATTCACCAATTACTTTGGAGAATTTTCTCAGATTAGCTTTTTCATGAAGATGTAGAATAAGGGGATTATAGGAAGACCACTGAACAATTCAACACAAACCCTTTATATTGTTAAGAAATTATTTTTCTCTGCTTGGGCTCTCAGTATTTGATGCTTACTTACATTGTGCCTGTTTACAAGTTATTAGCTGTTTTTTTGGTTTGTTTTTTAACACATCAATACTTTTTAGCATTCTTCAATCTAGAATTTTTACACTTACCAATTAATAAAATATCTTCAATTGTTCTTTTTTTTATTTTTGAGACAGGATCTCACTCTGTCACCCAGGCTGGAGTGCAGTGGCACGATCTTGGCTTACTGCAACCTCTGCCTCCGAGGTTCAAGCAATTCCCCTGCCTCAGCCTCCCAAGTAGCTGGGATTACAGGCATCTGCCACCATGCCTGACTAATTTTGTATTTTTAGTAGAGACAGGGTTTTGCCCTGTTGGCCAGGCTGGTCTTGAACACCTGATCTCAAGTGATCTGCCCACCTCAGCCTCCCAAAGTGCTGGGATCACAAGTGTGAGCCATTGTGCCTGGTCTTCAATTGTTTGTTAACTTATATTACATTAGGACTGGAGTTTAAATTTGTAAACAACATCTGCTAACTTTTTGCAAGTCCAGCTAGATTATAAACTTCTTAGATTTTTGTATCAAGCACACATGTCAGTTAAAGAGGTTTGGCAATAGTGCCAACTATGCATATTTATAGAAATTTTTTTTTTTTTTTCAGTTCTGGCTAAAATTTATTGCTTTTTACTAGATGCTAGGTCCTCTAGTAAGTACATTTCTTGTATTTTGTTATTTGGTTCCTCACAATAACCACAGAATAGATAAGATTTTGTAACATTTTCTTTACAGTTTTACCAAAGAAAAGTAAGGTTCAGAAAAGCTATGTTAAGGACAAAAAAAAAAAAAAAAAAAAAAAGGAAGAAAGAAAACACTTGCATACAGTTGTGCAGTCACTCAGAAAGTAAATTATGTATCAGTTAAAGTGGGTGACCAAAATTTATAGCTGTTGTCTGATCCTACTTTTGGCTAAAGTCTTCAATAGCCTACATTATACTTCCTCTTCCCGCCTCAAAAAATTATTTAATTTGAAATATGGAAAACCAGATCAATCCAACCCATTCTTCATAAATGCATGGTAGTCTAAGCAAGACACCAATCTGAGCTCCAAGATTTTATGAATAATCATATCTACTCAGTCTGTGTTACAGCAAAGGGTGGGAGCTATGCTCTACATTTCTCCTAGTATTTACATTGAATTCCGGTAAAGACTGAGTTGACCACACTACTCCAGGTACTAAAATGTGCAAGGAACTCTGTGTTGATCTCAGGGTCCCTGTCTTCCTGCACAAAGTCTCTCAATGCTGGCTTCTTAAAGAGACAGGGGGAGAAAAGATGTTAAAGTGTTTCTCTATACACTCACCAATTATTACCTTTCTATGTCAGGTTTAGTAAAGCATATTAACAAGAGCAAAATTCATACCTTTTGATGTACAGATCAATGAGTTTTAACAAACATATACAAGCTATACAATTGTTTTGCAACACCACTATCAGAATTTAGAATGTAGAATATTCCCACTGGCTCCTAAAGTTTCCTTCACTTCTGTAATCAGTCCCCATATTCAATCCCAACCCAGGAAACTACCAATCTGATATCTGACCCTAGAATTTTGCTTTTGAAAATGCCATATAAATAGAGTCATAAAGTGTGCAGTCTTTTGTGTCTTTCCTTTTTCATTTAGCAAAATCCTTTTGAGATCAATTTGCTGCATGTTTTCTGTAGTTCTTTGCTTTTATTGCACAGTTTTATTCCATTGCATAGGTGTAAAGCTATTCATATTTACCCATTCATTAATTGATAGGTGTTTGAGTTTTACTTTTTAGTGATAATGAAAAAAGCTGCTATAAACTTTTATGTACAGGCATTTGTGAAGCCATACGATAATACATAGGAGTGGGAGTGCTGGGTAATAAGGTAAATGTGTCTTTAACTTTAAAAGAAATTGTTGGTTTCCTAAAGTGACTATATCATTTTGCCTTCCCACAAGCAATGAATAAAAACTACTTTGTCCACATCCTCATTAGCACTTATTATTGTCAGTTTTTCGTTTTCGTTGTTTTGTAGCCATTTTAATAGGTATATGGTGGTAATTCATCGTAGTTTAGATTTGCATTCTCATAATAATGTGGAACATCTTATGTGATTATTTGCTTTTACATCTCTTCTTTGCTAAAATGTCCATTTTTTATTCATTTATTTTTGTTGCTGTTGTTATTATTTGTTGTGAGAGTTGGCTTTTTATTAGATATGTTTGCTAAAAATGTTTTCTCACAGTTCATAACTTTTCTTTTCCCTTATGGTGTGTTTCAAAATGCAAACATTTTTTATTCTTAATTTTGATAGTGTACCATATGTTGAGATTGTATTGAATTTATAAATCAATTTGGGGGAGAATTGATATACCAATAACATTTGTTGCTCAGATTGATAAGCCTGGTATATCTCACAATTTATTTGGGTTTCCTTTGGTTTCTCTCTCAACATTTTGCAATTTTCAGTATATAAATTTAACACATATTTATTTTGTTTATCCTTGAACATTATTTTTTGTGGTATTCTAAATGATTCTGGTTTTAAGTTTCAATTTCTAATTGTTCATTTATAATATACAATGATACAATCAATTTTTATATATTAAACCTGTATCCTGCTAAACTTACTTAATTTTAATAGCTGTTGTTTTTGAGATTCTTTGAGATTTTCTTCCTAAATAATTATGTTGTCAGCAAATAGAGACAGTTTTTATTCTTCCTTTCCATTTAAAGACTTTTGTATCTTTGTCTTGCCTTATTGCACTGGCTAGGATCTCAGTATGAGATAGGATTAGACAGAAAAGAGTGGACATATTTGACTTGTTATCATGGAAATAATTCAGTCTTTCATCATTAAGTATAAAGTTAGCTGTGGATTTTATGTAATGCCTTTTATTAGATTAAGTTCCTTTCTGATTCTCCTTTACTGAGGGTTTTCATCATGAATGGATATAGAGTTTTGTTGAATAATTTGAGATAATCAAATGGTTATTCTATTATATTCTGTTCATAGGGTGAATTATACTTGTTAATTTTCCAATATTGTGTCTCACTTGGTCGTGGTGTGTTTTTTTTATATATTGCAAAATCTGATTTGCTAATCTTTTATTAAATATTTGTATGTGTCTTTAATGAGTATTGGTCTATAATTTTCTTTCCTTGTGTTATCTTGGCCTGTTTTTAGTGTTAGAGTAATGATGGCCTTATAAAATGAGTTGAAGGTGCTTTATACTTTAAAGCAATACTAGAAAAGTTAAGATGGAACTTAACAAACCTGCTTGATTTTCCTTTCTTCATTTAGTTTGTTCATTCATTTGGTTGGTTTTTGTTGTTACTACCTTTCTGTCACTATCTAGATTATAAACCAGGAGAGGAAGCAGAAGGTAAGAACAAGAAGGTCTTTGTAAGATAATCAATAATTGGCATGACAAACATCTCTGAGCAACTAGTATGTTTGTAACAGTATCAGAAGAAAAGCTAAAAAGAGAACTGAATGATTTTTGATATTAAAGAAGTGAAGATGCATAGATTTTAATGAATCTATATTTTTGCTTTAGCAGTACACTGATGTAGGACTTCAAAGGTTTTATTGAGACCACTAACAATAAAGATTACATTAGTGAAAAGTAGACATAACTCATTGAATAGGATGTGAGGATGTATTAATAGTAAAATAGTGTCTCTCTGTTTCTAATTTGCGTCATTCTTTGTTATAACAATTCAGGAAGGTTCAATCTTGGAAAAGTTTCAGTCTTGTCTATTACCTAATATCAGGAAATCCTTTGAAATATTGTGACAATATTGCTTTCAAATTAAAAAAAAATAATATGGTCCTCAGGAATTGAATTGTTTTTCGAAGACTTCTAAGTTGGCTGCATTTAATCAATTTATTTATTTATTATCATTTATCCATTTAGAATGACTCAATAAACATTAATTGAACAAATAGTATGTTCCTATAATTGTATAAGTTTTGTCCTCAAGGAATTTATTTCCTAGAGGGCAGATAAAGAAAAAACAAAACAAAACAAAAAACATATTTGTAATAGAGGTAGGCGTAAGGTGATATGAAAGGACGTTAAAAGGGGACCTAATTTTGCTTGAGACAAGCTATCAAAAAGGAGGTATGATAGATCAATTGCAAAAAAAAGATGCCTAATTTTCTACCCTTCTTATATGCACATACTTTGCAATGTACTTTGCAGCTGCTCCTATTAAAAAGTAAAGTCTTATGTTGTTACCTTTCTAATCTGGCTAGCCTTATAGCTTGTTTTGGCTAATAAGGAGTTACAGAAATGATCATATGCCAGTTGCAAGAGTAGGCTTCAAAGGGCCTTGCATGCTTCCACTTTCTTTTTGTTGGAATTTTGATTCTGACATATGAACGAGCCAGAGGTAGCTTGCTGAAGGGTGAGAGGCATACATCTAGTCACTTCTGTTGTCATAGCCCAGAGCTAGCCAGCCTGCACAAAAAAACTTTAGATGCTCAAGAAAGCTCAGCTGAGAAAAGATGAACCATCTAGATGAGCCCAGCCTATAGTAACAACCCATAGACTAATGGGCTGTTGTTAAACACACCGAATTTTCAGGAAGTATACTATATAGCAATAGTTAACTGATAAGAGAAGCTTATACATGAGCTGAGTCTGAAAAATATATAGGACTTCATATTTTCTTGTACAATGTGTTATAAATATGTTAGACTTCCAAACTAGCCATGAGACACTAACCTACAGGGTACTTGAGAAATGAAACTACTTCTGCTTTTCATATTAATTCTATGAAAAAATCCTCAGGGTTTCAAACTCAGATTCCAAAATCCATTTTTCCAATGATGTAGGCCAAGTAGCAGAATGAAAGTATGTCATCGCCCTGCCCCCTTCTTTTGGGAACTTCAGCGTTCCTGAGCATTGAGGAGAAAATACTTGGAGATAGGAGATAAAATAAGGATAAAATAAATGGGAGAAAGTAACTTGGCATTACAAAAGGCAATGGGGACGGTCTCCAGGCACCCCCAAAGGAGAGGAAAGAGTGGGGAGAACTTCTGCAGTCATTGGAAGAAAGTATATCTCTGGGAACTATGGCCATTTATATATTAGGGTAATTTAGAAGTTGGTGCCAGGTGCTGATAAGTGAATGAAAATAAATAAAACAAGGTCGGTGGTTTACAGTGTTGTGAAATGATGTTCTGTTATATGAGGTGGTTGGTGAAGTCCCCTCTGATAAGGTGTTATTTGAGCAGAGATTTACGAAAAGGAAGGAGCAAGCATTTCAATATCTAGGGGAGAGCATTTTAGGCGGAGGTATCCTGAAGTGAAGGCTCTGAGGCAGTAGCATGCTTGGCTTATTTGAGGAGCATAAAAGACAACTGGGCTGGAGCTGAAGGAGAGAGGAGGAAGTGGCAGTAGATAAGATCAGAGAGACATGAGGGGCCAGATCATGCAAGGCCTTGTAGGCCTTAGTACGGACTGAAATTATACTCTGGATGAGACTGGAAGTCTTTGAAGACTTTCAAGCAAAGGAATACATGAACTCACTTACATTTTAAAAGGATCAATCTTCCTGCTGTGAAAAGATAGACTAGCAGACAATGATAGAAACAGGGAGATAAGTTAGGAGACTATTACAGTAGTCCAGGCTAGATAAGTTAGGAGGCTATTACACTAGTCCAGGCTAGATGTGACAGTGATGCAGGCCCGGGAAGAAGTGATGAGAAAGGCTTAGTCTCTGTATTTATTTAAAAAGCAGAACCAACAAGATCCACAGATAATTTGACATGGAGTGGGAGAGATGGAGATGTAAAAGATGACTCTAAGGTTTAGGGACCCATAAAGTAGAAAAGAGGAGTTACTAATTACTGAAATGGAACTGACTGAGGGAGGGGCAGGTTTCTGGAGAGGACTTCACGTGTTTAGTTTTGAATATGTTCGGACTGAGATGTCAGTTAGATCTCCAGGGCTGTTGGATATCTAAGTATGGGAAGAAAGGGACAAATTGGATGGGGTTTATAAATTTGGGAGTCAACAGCGTATAGATTGTATTCAGGAAGAGGGAAACAATTAACACAAATCTCAGTCAGAGCCTAAATAGTCCTTCGTTCATTCCTTGTGCTCTGAGATTCAGGTTATGGATGAAAATTCCCGGTGATTTCCTTCTCTGAAGGAAATCTTTCTCAGAAAGAGGTGAGGGTGACTTAAACCAGAATGATAGCCTTTGTTTCTCTTCATGAGCTTAGTTTCCTGTGTGGATTAGCAAAGTCATTCCATGACTTTGGGCTTGCTTTCAGCCTGCAGTACAGATGCCTCTGGGAGTTGTTGTGAATCTCGGTTTATTAATATTTGCAAAAGTGCTTTCAGGGCCTTTGTTGAAAGACATTATAGAGGAGCAGAGGGTTATTATTAAGGCTGACATTTGCTCATTGTGATTAAAAATGACGAAATGAAATTTCAAGTGCAGAAGTCAACACTGCAATTTAATGTACAAAGGTGTCTTTGTACATCAACATCCAGCCAAATAAGGTCCATGTGTATTACAAAGATTTTTCTAGTTGCTTTCAAATGAGGATTGGTTTTCAAGTGGGGATTCAATGTAAGCAGACATCATCAGAGGCCAAAAATATACCGTTTCAGCTAATTGCATCTGTTTGCACAATGTTTTTTTTTATTCACCCCCTCCTTAATTTATCATGGACTGCAAATGGAGCCAGAGAACTGTGCATTGAGATCGTGTCCAAATGGTTTTATTTACCATCGCACACAGAATTTTACTGGGCTATAAAATAAATGGATTTCCTTGGAAGCAATTAGAACAGTCCCTTCTTAGGCCACTGGGCAAATTAACCCATACCCATGGGCCCTTCTGTGGAAGAAGCCTGCATTATGCCGAGAAGGAATGGGGTAGGAGCTCAAGGAGAATGGTGGGAAGTTGCTACCCATATTTCTGTTACTTTCTTTGAAAATATATTTGTGACCCACAAGCTAAACCAGATGCAGGCTATATTTTAATAAGAAAACAGACTCAAGGCTGGACATGGTGGGTCATGCCTGTAATCCTAACACTTTGGGAGGGTGAGGCAGGAGGATCCCTTGAGCCCGGGAGTTTGAGACCAGCCTGGGCAACATAGGGAGACTGTCTCTAAAAAACAAACAACAAGAACAAAACAGACTCAAACACTTGGGCTTAGAAAGGTACTTGGCTGACAATATGCTTGAGGCAAAATTAAACATGGATGAGACTGGGGAGAGAAAGAGAAGACTTCCTAGAAAATTCATTTTGTTGAATTTTAATTCTCTTTCCCTTTCTTTAACCTGGTAAGGCAAATTATCCAATATGATATAATACACAGTTTGGCATAAATGCAAAATGCTAGAAAGCATTATGGCAGTGTTTCTGAACTTTCCACCACTCCTTTCAGCATCACCACTGAATAGCCAATTAACTTGATAAAGTTTTTTCACTGTATTGCTCTTGGCTCAAATCAGTTGTGTAAACAGTGGCTTTAGAGTGCAACCCTTCTTCCCTTAGTTTCACTTGGAGACCACCTCAATACATATCAAGAACACAGCAAAAGCTGGAGATAGAAACCGCCGTTCTTTACCTACACACATACGCATGAGGAGATGACACCATGAGTCTTCTCAGTAACTTCTAAACCTCTCAGTCAGATCAAGAATTAGAAACAAAGAGTTTTCAGAGATCTGAGAAGGAGGTTGGAAAACAGGTTTCTTTGGAGACAGCGTATTGCTGAGTCTATTGTTCCCACCAACACTTGGGAAGAGCACAGTCCTGCCACTTTGGAATTATATGTTTAGTGAGGGGGTCCTAAAAGAGTCAGTTGCTCAAAGAGTATGGGCATGTATCACCTCCAGTTGCCAAATTTATGCCTCAAAGGACAAAAACAGATCATGGACTGGGACCTGACTGTATCCAAGATCTCTAGAGGAGATTGTAGGATTTGGCAGAGGTTCCAGGAGAGTACTGCTGTATTGGAATTGTCCTGACTTCCCTGAGTATGTTTGTGCTAAAGATGTTTAAGCATTTTTAAAGATTATGTAGACCATGGAATGTGGGGGATAACATAAAATGATTGTATTCAATTTCATTATACTAGGGTAGACTTAGAGGGTTAAGGAGACTTCAGCTTTAGTTGAATGATGGAAATAATCCACCAACAATTAGCTGGTGTTTATTCAGTATCTTACACATTCCAGATATGCTTTAATGGCAAAAACAACTTTTAGATGCAATCTACCTACTGTCTCTTCTATTCCTGCAAAGGAGAAGCTCTGATATGGGTTGAAGACAAATGAACCTTCATTATACAAGTAGGTTACACTCCTGGAGGGTAAAGTTATCAATCCATGGGAGTGAAAAAATTATAAACGGTAGTAATGTTGGGCAAATGTTCTCTTTAGTGTGCTGTCTCTTAATTTTTATTGTGCTCTTGAATTTTAACTTTCTTCTCTTGTGCAAGACCTTGATGTACCTTCTGATTCTGAGTTGCTTCCATTGCTTGGAAGGATTATAAAAATAGTAAACTCCCACTAAAAAGGGAGAAATGAAACCAGTAGCAAAGACTAGATTTTGAGATGAATGTGTGTCTTAGTCTGTTTTGTGCTGCTATAATAGAATACTACAGACTGGACAATTTGTAATGAACAGAAATTTATTTTTCACAGTCTGGAGGCTGCGAAGTCCAAGGTCTAGAAGATAGCATTTGACAGTGGCCTTCTTTGTGTGTTATAACAGGATGGAAGACATCACATAGCAGAAGGGCAGAGAGAGAGAGAGAGAGAAAGAGAGAGAGAGAATGAACCCACTCTCATTCATGAGGGTAGGAAGCTCTCATGACCTAAACACCTCTTAAATGTTCCATCTCGTAATACTGTTACAGTGACAACTTCAACATGAGTTGTCACTCATGTTGTCACTCAAATTTCAACATGAGTTTTGAGGGGATAAAAATTCAAACAATAGCAAGGTGAAAACTGTTCGGAATGTTTCTTTAGGGTCTAGCCCAGCACTCTATGGTACAGAAAAAGTAGGGAGGGAGAATGGAGTGGAGTGTCTAGGTTCTTTTTGATTATGGACACAGAAGGCATAATTTTCTCAGATTAAACATCATCCTGGGGATTCTTTCTTGCTTTTACATTTTAGGTATAGAAAACTTGGGGACCTGTGGGGAAAGCAAAAGAGACAAACACATGTTACTATTTTGCAATATGCCTGACATGATCTTGGCTGCTTTTAATATGTTATCTTATTGGATCCTTATATCAAACAAGGCTATGAAATAGCTGCTAGTGGGCCAAGTGTGGTGGCTCATGCCTGTAATCCCAGCAGTTTGGAAGGCTGAGGCAGGTGGATCACTTGAGGTCAGGAGTTCAAGATTAGCCTCGCGAACATAGTGAAACCCCATCTCTACTAAAAATACAAAAAATTAGCTGGGCATGGTGGCACACACCTGTAATCCCAGCTACTTGGGAATCTAAGGCAAGAAAAATCCTTGAACCCAGGAGGTGGAGGTTGCAGTGAGTCAAGTTTGTGCCATTGCACTCCAGCCTGGGCGACAGAGCAAGACCCCATCTCAAAAAAAAAAAAAAAAAAAGAAAAAAAGAAAAAAAGAAAAGAAACGTCTGCTAGTGTATTCATAAAACCAGTGAGGAAAAAGAACCTTAGAGACGTCGAATAAATAGTTAAAATCTCTCATTTGTAAATAGAATACAAGGGATTCAAAACCTGACATATTTTATCTGAAAGTCCTAAAGCCTAAGCCCTTTCCACAAGGGAATGAATGAATGAGCAAATAAATAAATGAATATTATAAAAACTATTTATTTATTTGATCATGTTTATTTTGTTCCACTTTGACACAGGAAAACATTAAAAAGCTACCATTGACTTTCTTCACAGAGTTAGAAAAAACTATTTTAAATTTCATATGAAACCAAAAAAGAGCCTGCATAGCCAAGACAATCCTAAGCAAAAAGAACAAAGCTGGGGGCATCATGCTACCTGACTTCAAACTATACTACAAGACTACAGAAACCAAAACAGCGTGGTGCTGGTACCAAAACAGACACATAGACCGATGGAACAGAACAGAGTCCTGAGAAATAATGCCACACATCTACAACCATCTGATCTTTGACAAACCTGACAAAAACAAGCAATGGGGAAAGATTCCCTATTTAATAAATGGTGCTGGGAAAACTGGGTAGCCATATGCAGAAAACTGGAACTGAACCCCTTCCTTACACCTTATACAAAAATTAACTCAAGATGGATTAAAGACTTAAACATAACACCTAAAACCATAAAAACCCTAGAAGAAAACCTAGGCAATACCATTTAGGACATAGGCATGAGCAAAGACTTCATGACTAAAACACCAAAAGCAATGGCAACAAAAGCCAAAATCGACAAATGGAATCTACTTAAACTAAAGAGCTTCTGCACAGCAAAAGAAACTATCATCAGAGTGAACAGGCAACCTACAGAATGGGGGAAAATTTTTTCAATCTATCCATCTGACAAAGGGCTAATAATATCCAGAATTTACAAGGAATTTAAACAAATTTACAAGAAAAAAAAAACTCCATCAAACAGTCGACAAAGGATATGAACAGGCACTTCTCAAAAGAAGACATTTTTGGGCCAAAAAACTCGTCATTACTGGTCATTAGAGAAATACAAATCACAACCACAATGAGATACCATCTCACGCCAGTTAGAATGGCGATCATTAAAAAGCCAGGAAACAACAGATGCTAGAGAGGATGTGGAGAAATAGGAACCCTTTACACTGTTGGTGGGAGTGTAAATTAGTTCAACCATTGTGGAAGACAGTGTGGCGATTCCTCAAGGATCTAGAACCAGAAATACCATTTGACCCAGCAATCCCATTACTAGGTGTATACCCAAAGGATTGTAAATCATTCTACGATAAAGACACATGCACATGTATGTTTCTTGCAGTACTATTCACAATAGCAAAGACTTGGAACCAACCCAAATGCCCATCAATGATAGACTGGATAAAGAAAATGTGGCACATATACACCATGGAATACTATGCAGCCATAAAAAAGGATGAGTTCATGTCCATTGCAGGGACATAGATGAAGCTGGAAACCATCATTCTCAGCAAACTAACACAGTAACAGAAAAACAAACACTGCATGTTGTCACTTATAAGTGGGAGTTGAACAATGAGAACACGTGGACACAGGGAGGGGAACATCACACACTTGGGTCTGTTGGGGGATGGAGGACTAGTGGAGGGATAGCATTAGGAGAAATACCTAATGTGGATGACAGGTTGATGGGTGCAGCAAACCACCATGGTATGTGTATACCTATGTAACAAACCTACATGTTCTGCACATGTATCCCAGAACTTAAAGTATAATTAAAAAAAAAAAAAAGCCAGAATAATGGAGATACCATTAGGGACGTCAGAAGGAGAGCAAGTTTGATTTCAGATACACTGAGTTTTTAATGTCAAAAGAGATTTAAGCTAGGCTGGGCGTGGTGGCTCACACCTGTAATCCCAGAACTTTGGGAGGCCGAGGCAGGCAGATCACGAGGTCAGGAGTTCCAGACCAGCCTGGCCACCATGGTGAAACCCCGTCTCTACTAAAAATGCAAAAATTAGCCGGGTGTGGTGGCAGGCTCCTGTAATCCCAGCTACTTGGGAGGCTGAGACAGGAGAATTGCTTGAACCCGGGAGGCGGAGGTTGCAGTGAGCCGAGATCATGCTACTGCCCTCCAGCCTGGGTGACAGAGCATGACTCCATCTCGGGAAAAAAAAAAAAAAAGAGAGAGAGAGAGATTTAAACTATACAATCAGAAATAAGGTCCTAGCATTTAGAAGTCAGTGCAGCAAGATATAAATTTGGTCATTATCTGTATGTATTATATTTGAAAACACTGAAGTGAATGAGTGTCAAATGAATTAGAGTGTCAAAAAAGAGGATCTAAGTAGATTTAAATTTTTAGATGGTAGACATTAAATAAATGTCTACAATTGGTAGATCCATTTTGATCTCATAGCATTAAATGCCATTTATAAAAATTCCAAAAGAAGTCTTTGAGATTTTGAATAGCTCCTTTATAAAAAATTAAGTTGCAGTAAAAAAAATAAATGATACAATGATTGAAACAACAAAAATCTAAAGTGTTTTTGAAACCCATTATTAGTAACACTATTTAATGTGAACTGAACACTGAACTTATTTAAACAGAGTATTCGAAAGCATTAGTAATCTCAATATGTGGCCCTTCCTCAGTTCCTATTTCAGTAGAGTCAAAATTTCTTCCTTACTAATTATTTGGTCTATTTTATCCTCTGAAATCTGGGCAAGTGGCACCTCCAGGGTGTTATAAGCAAATTAGATACACAAATAGTAATGAATAATTTTCCACATCTTATTTTCTGGGCTGTCAATCTTGCCTGAGATTTTATAGGTGGATTCATTTCAATTAAATACAATTCCTTTTAGGGCTTTTATAAGAGAAAGAATAATGTTGCTCTCCTATCAATTAGTCCTGAACTCAGTTTTGTGTAAGATGTTTTGAATGGTTAAATGCTGTCATGTTTGGCATTTGATAGAAAAATAACATGATACCTTTGTATTGTTTTTTAATCAGGCCATAACATTCACCAAGCCCTAGGGATATTAGAATAAAACTATTAGAGAAGTGTCAATCACAACATTCTTTCCTTCTTTCCCAGAGGTAGTACCTTATTTATTAGGTACTACCTCTGCACAGAGCTTTCTGATGGGTACAGAAGATGAAGTATAGGAGAAGGAATTCCAATGATAATGTGAAGAGCCTTCTCCTTAAGAAACCTACAGATTGGTAAATGAGATAAATGGGTATGAGAAGAGCTGACATGTCATAATTTTTTTCTGTGCGGCAGGGTAGAAAGAAACCTGGAAGTATTTAAAAGCAAGAAAGATTATTTCCAGCAGGGAGATTGAGAGAGACTTTGAATAGGAGGTTATAAAAAGATTGCAAAGTAAAAGAGCTAGAATTAGGTCATTTCTTTGAGTCAAGAAAAATACACTTGAAGACTCTGTGAAGCAAATCCATTAGTGGAAGCAGAATTCTGTTATTTGTATTTGTTTTGGTCATTGTAGAAGCACCAGAGATTGCTAAACAAAGGACCTGAAAAATGCCCAAATATGCATTTCCAGTTTTCATTTGGTGACTTACTGATGATTTGGGGGAAATTTATTTATTTATGGGTTAGAAGGGCTCCTTGTACAAAATAGCAGAGTAGTTTATACATTATTATTTAGTTTATTCATTCTTTCACTCATATGTTTTCTAAAACCTAAAACATATTAATCTATCATCTGTGATGTAGAAGGCACTGAGCTAGATACTAGGGATACTGTGGGCAGAGTGACTGGACCTAGTTCCTGCCCTCATAACATATACTATGCAGATCTTTGTTACTCCAAGTGTGTCTGGTTGACTGGAAACATCAGCATCACCTGTGAACTTTTGAAAAAATGCACAGCCTCTGCCTCAGCCTTATGGAATCAGAATCTGCATTTTAACTAGATCCTCAGTTATGTTTTATCCATATTAAAAACTGAAAAGAAGTTGGATCTGTAGCCCTAAATAGAGCCAAGCAAGTAGTCTGCAAGCTCAGGTGTCTTGGTCAAACACTCAAGAGAACAGGGAAAGGATCTATCTGCAAGGATTTTCTTTACTGAGAAAGGGTTATAGGTTTCAAAATCAACTCCACTTAACATGGCTATATGAAGGGGAGAGCTAAATCCAAAATATAGCAAATTTGAACACTATAGAGTAACAAAACTGATGAGTTCAGATCTCTTACTCTAAACGGAACTAGAGAGGAATCTTAGAGTGATCTCCAGCAGCCTAATAATTTGTTTCTGCAATTAAATATGATCAGCTGTTCTCTTTCCTTGCCTAGAACCTACCCTTTGTCAGTCTCACCTTGGGCAAATATTATCTAACCTTCAGTAACCAGCATGAATAATACCTTCTCCTTGGAGTCTTTCTCAATATTCTAGTTACAGCCAACCTTTTCTGCCTTTGAATTACCCCAGCAATTTACGTGCACCTCTCTATGATATTGACATATTCTATCTCAATGTGCACATGTGCAAGTCTATGACTTATTTCCCTCTCCATAATGCCTTTAAGAATAACAGGATGATGCCATATCTCTAATATACATAGCACTTGACATGTTATTATGTACGCAGTAGGTTAATTATGCTTGTTGGATGAACTGAGACATGTAAATCACAACTACATTTTTATACGTATTTAAGTAGAGATTCACACACATTAACAATGCTTAGTGATAGGCCTTGAGAAGTACAAAATAATATTATTCACTAAAATTTTCCTTATTATGGTTAAGAATTATATCCAGAGTTATATCGTGTGCAGTAGAATTACAAATGAAATCTACAAGGTGTTTTGCATCTAGTTGAAGAGGCAAGGCATTTTACCCCAAAGAATATTTAATGGCAACAGACTGAAGAATATAATAATACAGTTACTAACTGAGCATAATTAAATGCCAAAATGCAAAATAAGGACTATGAAGATTTGGAGGGTAGGAGGGATAAATCAGTGTTGGTGAAAGTTTCCCAAGAAGTGGGTAGAATAGGTGAGGCTTGAGTTGGGATTTTAAGAATAGATAGTATTGAGTTTAGGAAGATAAGTGTGTAAAATCTTTATACACAGATATTATAAGTGAGGGAAGAGAAGAAAAACAGCTTCTCTCAAAAGGGGACTTGATGTGGTAAGTCTTGAAGGGAAGACACTTATGTCAGGTTGAGTTTTCCAGAGATGGCCACAATAATATCTCTTTTCCGCATGGTCGTCTGAACTGTGATCTTGTCAATTATCAGTCAAAAGGAGGGTCTATGTCTCCTCCCCTTGAATCTAAACAGGTTTGTTATTGATTTAATCAATGGAGTAGAGTGGAAATCATGCTAGGTGACTTCCAAGGCTAGGTCCTAAGAGGCCAGGGAGTGTCTGCCTGATCTCTTGGAATGCTCTCTCTCTGATGCTTTCTTTCTGGGATGATCCCTCTTGGAACCCAACTGCTGTGCTGTGATAACCCCAAGTCATATGAAAGGTTCATCTGTATGTGTTCTGGTCACTAGCCCAGCTGAGCCCAGTCTTCAAGTCATCCAAATCCAGATAAGAGGCATATGTGTAAAAAGCCTCCAGGTTATCCCAACCCCCAACCATATTGAATCACTGCTAGCCCTTTTAGTCTCCCCAGCTAAAGTTCCAGACATTATGGAACACAGATAAGCCATCCCCACTGAGTCCTGCTCAAATTTCTGATTCATGGAATCTATGAACATAGTAAAATAATTATTTTATACATGTCACAAATTTTTTAAAATGCAGAATTAAATAATTGAAACAGGCTGGACACAGTGGCTCATGTCTGTAATCCCAACAATTTGGGAGGCTGAGTCAGGTGAATCACTTAAGGTCAAGAGTTTGAGACCAGCCTGGCCAACATGGTGAAACCCCATCTCTACTAAAAGTACAAAACATTAGCCAGGTGTGGTGGCACATACCTGTAGTCCTAGCTACTTGGGAGGCAGAGGTGGGAGGATTGCTTGAACCCAGGAAGCAGAGGTTGCAGTGAACTGAGATCACACCACTGCACTCCAGCCTGGGTGACAGAGACAGACTCCATCCCACCCCCCCCCCCCCACCCAAAAAAAATAATTGAAACAACTCTGATTTTCCATCTTTTGAGGGACAGTATAGCATGATGAAAGAGCACATATTTTGGAATTGGAGTATCCTGGGTTTGAATTTCAACTCGCTCATTTGCTTAGCTCTGGATATTAAGTAAATTAAACAGTTTGAGAATCAGCATTCTCATCTCTAGAATGGGGATGGCCATACTACAGAGTCATTGGCAAAATTAAATGAGATAAAACGTATGAGAGTCCACATACAAAATAGATGCCCAATGTGTTATAGGTATTATTACTAGTATTAAAATCTAAAGTGGTCTTACCATAGGGATCGCCACCATTTACATGAGCTGTGAGGATACGGGAAGAGAATGCATGTGGACAATGGTTCTGTGTGTGTAAATGAAGGCCTTTTCCCTTGTAAGAGTTTACTCAAGAGCTCCTAAATTATACAAATAAGAACATTAATAATTTTGAAACTTAAATTACGTTTTATAGTTTATGCAGGGTTTTAGCACAGTGGTCCCTTATCATTTTGGCACCAGCGACCAGTTTCATGGAAGACAGTTTCTCTACTGGGTTGAGCAGGGGAGGGGATGGTTTTGGGATTAAACTGTTCCACCTCAGATTCCACCTCAGATTATCAGACATTAGTTATATTCTCATAAAGAACACAACCTAGATCCCTCGCATGTGCAGTTCACAATACGGTTCATTCTTCTATGAGAATCTAAAGATGCTGCTGATCAAGAGTTGGAACTCAGGCAGTAATGCTCACTGGCCCACTGCTCACCTCCTGCTGTGCCGCCCAGTTTCCAACAGACCACTGGTATCAGTCTGTGGCCAAGGGGTTGGAGCCCCTTGCTTTGGCAAATGTAACTCTATTTGTGTGTTGGCACAGCCTTATTAGGAAGATAATCCAATTACACCATTTTGTAGATTTTTATAAGTAGCAGCTGTGGTGAGTAGTTCAGCGTTGGGCCATGATGCCAGTTCCTGAATTCAAATTCCAGTTTCCCCTCTCATAAGCCATGTGACATGGAGAAGGGTAATTAAACTTTCTTGCCCCTCAATTTTATCACCTCTAAAGTGGCAGTATTGTACTATTTTTAGAACTGTCTTGAAAATTAAATACAATCATACGTGTAAAGCACTTAGAACGGTGCTGTGCATAGAGTTGGGTGTTCAATAACATGTTATTGTTACAGATTAGGCTCAAGAGGTTACATTCTCTAGGGCTGCACAGGTATAAATATCATCAAACCTAGGCATTTTGCTCTAAGTCTTATACTACAAGTGATTCATATTTTCCTTTTAATTTTTGTTTAGTTGAAGGCTGATCAATGTGCCTCTTGGGATAATGGCCACTATTTTAAAACACTTTTTTTCTTTACTCTCTGAATGTTCTTCTGGAAGCTATTTGTGCAAATTCAGATACTACACTACTTAGGAATTTTACCCAAGGATGATAGAGGCCAGTAGCTCTTGTAGTTTATGTGTTATCCTTAGCAGGAATGCTTTCCTTAGAAAGACTGCCTTGAACACAAATTCTTGACTATTAAAATTCCCTTCGTGGGTGCTTCATCTTGATAAAGCAAAGACCTTGTTTCTTCCCACGTATTGGGAGCATCGTCCCCTGTCCTGTTACAGTTAGATCTTGAAGGTGCTTTTTAGTTTATCTAGGTAAAATGTTGTTCCTTGAATGAGCTTCTTAATTCTTAATGCTCTTTGTTTAGATTTTCATCCATCTCTGCAGCCTTTCCAGACAGTGGTTCATCTCCTAACAATGGCCTCCCTAATGCATGAGACATAGTAGTAAAACCTCATTGAACCTCATTATCATCTCTTTTGCATGCTCCTCTATGAACATGCAAATAACCTTTTAATCATCCCTATTTTGTTGTGTTGTATAAAATATATATGGCTTCTCTATTCTGCACTTTTTTATTTGTGGGATGTCATATTATCTGTCAGTGGAAATGGAATGCAAATACATTGCTGAAGGTGACTTATCTCAGACCTTGTTTTCTTCCACAGGGGGAGAAAAATGTCAGTCTTTAATGAACTCGGAGCTAAAGTAGATTAGCCATTTTCTTCAGGTTAGATGGATGATGCTATCAAAATTATTAAGTCACTAGGTCTGAATTTCTCTGTATGTAAATCCAATGTAATAAGCGCTATTAACATACTTGCCAATCTATCTCACTGACATATTTTAGTATTTTGGCTAAAAACTAAAATAATACTAGTCCTGATTAAACAATTTACTTCAATCAGTTTACCTCTTACCTATTATCATTTGGCAATAGGCACTATTTCTCAATGAGCTCAAAATATACTACATGACAGACAGTTTGTCCTACTTCTTAAAAACAGTTGCTATATCAGCAGATGAATGAGAAATCTCTTTAATGTAACTTCCCTTTAAGAAGTTTAGTAAGGATTTTTGTTTTAGTTTTTATGTTTATATAAAGTATCCCTTCAGTATTTTTGCAACCCTCTCTAAGAAAAGAGCAGCTCATGGTAGAAAAGAATGTTTTGGGCTATGATGGCAGAAATGGATGGATGACCATGCCTTTCTGGAAGAGATTATTCCTTGCAACCATTGGACCTATTACTGCAAATAGCTGAGAAAAAGGAACAAATCAGTACATTTAATCTATGCAAAATGGGTGTTAGGGAAAGCAAGTTAAGGTAAAGTTTTCAAAAACTATAATAATATCTTCTGCTATAGGCTGTTTCCTTTATTTACTTATAACAGCATTCTTCTGCCAATGACCCAAGCTGCCCGTTTCACTCACTTTCTTTATGAAAAGAATATTCAAGTGAAAATTCAAAGAAAACGCTTTTAGAGTTTTGCTGGCATTTGCAGTATTTTATCCCTTTGCTTATGGAGATATTTTAGTAAAAGTGTAACATTTTCCATTTAATAGTAGGTGGACTTACTGCTTCCTAAGGCGAAATTTGTTCCTGGGTGACTCTGTGTAACTTCTCAGCAAAGTTTTGCCTTCAGATTTTTCTTTTTTGGTTTGAATCCAGTTTAGGAATTGGTGAGAGCCACTTGTGCTATTAGATACTTACTGATCCTTATTTGCTGACATAGTGAGTTAGGAATGACCACTGAGAAATCGAAATTAGAATTTGACTCTTCTGACTTCTAATAGGAGGTAGAAGTTGAATATTTGCAACATAATGTCATTTCATTCACTAAAGAAATGTGCTTATGTTAATATATGTAGTGCAGAATTCTCTTGTTATTATTAGAAATAGGCTGGGTGGAGAACTAGGAGCAAAAATGGAAAGGTAGAAAACTGTCCACTGACTCATTCCTAAATTTACTTGGAAGGAGAAAAAAATTAATGGAAATGACTGTTCTTTTATGGTGTTTCTATTCCTTAAAGAAATGAAGAGCTGAGCAAACAAAGAAAAGGTGCTTGCCTATATTTTATCTCTCATTTACATATAAATATGGTTCTGATTAAAATACATTTTGATGGCACTGACTGGGTAGAATTTATCTGTGAAAAAAAACCTGAAAAGGATAATGTTTTATTGTTTGGTATTATCAATACTACAACTCCAATTCTTTATAGAGTTTAGTCCTGTGCAGATTCTGTAGAATTATTAATGCCTTATATGGCTCACATCTTTACAGGGGAGCTTAATCTGAAGTTTGGCATGCTCTTTTCATCTGTGTTTTGTTTTCTGTTTGCATGACAATTTCTTCTAACATTTTCTATTTTCTCTTTTCTAATGATTTTAATCCATGGAGGTCAAAAAGCTCTATTGATACTTTCTGCTTTGCTTTAGGTAAATTTAGGGTGCAGTTTCTTTGGTGGGAGAGAGCCATGGGAACATTATTTCTTGCCATCTTTTGGAGAATGGGAAACTTGAAAGGACAATTACATCAGTGTAAATATGACCAGCTGGTCTAATGGCCAAGTGGTGCTCGTTCAAAGTGGCCTACCTTTGTGCCATACTCTTGTTGCTTATCTGAACAGTAAAGGGGATTCAAGATGTTAGGTATTTCTGCTGTGGAAGTCATTAAGCTCAATGGATTGGGTGTAGTAGGTATGTAATCTAGAGTCTTGCTTTTCAAAATGTGGTCCATGGGCTAGTAGCAGTGACATCACCTGGGAACAGGTTGGGCATGCAGAATCCCCAGTTCCACCCAGGCACTACTGAATCAGAATGTGCATTTCAATAATATCTCAGGTGATTTACATATGTGCATTAAACTTTGAGAAGTACTGGTCAAGAAATCCTTCTTGGCTGGGCGCGGTGGCTCATGCCTGTAATCCCAGCACTTTCGGAGGCAGAGGCCAGCAGATCATGAGGTCAGGAGATCGAGACCATCCTGGCTAACAGGTGAAACCCACTCTCTACTAAATATACAAAAGTTAGTTGGGCATGGTGGCATGCACCTGTAGTCCTGGCTACTTGGGAGGCTGAGGCAGGAGAATTGCTTAAACCTGGGAGGCGGAGGTTCCAGTGAGCTGAGATCATGCCATTGCTCTCCAGCCTGGGTGACAGCGAGACTCAGTCTCAAATGAAAAAAAGAGAAAAAGAAAAAAAAAAAGAAATACTTTACTCCCTTAACAAATTCTCCAACCATAATAGTTGTAATAACAGCACTAATAATATTTATGTACCAGAAATCATATCATTTAATCTTCGAACTGTACCTAAGTGGCATTTTTCCTGTCATCGCCCTTTGATAGTTGGTGCTCAGAGAGGTCACGCAGGAAGGCATTTATTCATGAGGTTACTGAGACAGGGTCTTCTTCACATTGGCTTTTGTTCTCTTTTTTAAGTTTTTAATTTTTGGGGGTATATAGGAGGTGTATATATTTATGGCATTAATGAGAGATTTTGATATGGGCATGCAATGCATAATAATCACATCAGGATAAATGGGGTATGCATCACCTTAAGCATATGTTTTTTGTGTTACAAATAACCCAGTTATACTCTTTCAGTTATTCTAAAATATACAACTAAATTATTATTGACAAGAGTCACCCTGTCATGCTATCAAACACTAGCTCTTATTCATTCTTTGTGACTGTTTTTTGTACCCTTTAACTATCCCTACACCACCCTACCCCTTCCCTTCTCAGCCTCTGATAATTATCCTTCTACTCTATCTCCATGAGATCAATTGTTTTAATTTTTAGCTCCCCTAAATAAGTGAGAATATGCAAATTTCATCTTTCTGTACCTGGCTTATTTCCCTTAACATAATAATCTCCAGTTCCATCCATGTTATTGAAAATGACAGCATCTCATTCTTTTCTATGGCTGAATAGCATTTCATTGTGCATACGTACCACATTTTCTTTATCCATTCATCTGTTGATGGACAATTAGGTTGCTTTCAAATCTTGGGTATTATGAATAGTGCTGCAGTAAATGTGGAAATACAGATATCTCTTCCATATACTGATTTCCTTTCTTGTGTATATATACTTAGCAGTGAGATTGCTGGATCATATGGGAGCTCTATTTTTAGTTTTTTCCGGAAAACTTCAAACTGTTCTCCATAGTGGTTGTACTAATTTACATTATCATCAACAGTGTACAAGAGTTTACTTTTCTCTACATCCTTGCCAGCATTTGTTATTGCCTGTCTTTTGGATATAACTGGGGTGAGATGATATCTCATTGTAGTTTTGATTTGCATATTTCTCGTGATCAATAATGTTGAGCACCTATCCATATGCTTGTTTGCAATTTGTATGTCTTCTTTTGAGAAATGTCTATTCAGCTTTTTTGCCTATTTTTTAATCAGATTATTATATTTCTTTCCTATAGAGTTATTTGAGCTCTTTGTATAGTCTGGTTATTAATCCTTTGTCAGCTGAGTCGTTTGCAAATATTTTTTCCCATTTTGTGGGTTGCCTTTTCACTTTATCAATTGTGCCCTTTGCTGCACAGAAGCTTTTTAATTTGATGTGACTGCATTTGTTCATTTTTGCTTTGGTTGACTGTACTTGTGCAGTATTATTAAAGAAATCTTTGCCCAGACCAGCATCCTGGAGAGTTTCTCTAAAGTTTTTTTTTTTTTGAAGTATTTTTATAGTTTAGGACTTAGGTATAAGCCTTTAATCAATTTCAATTTGATTTTTGTATATGGCAAGAGATAGGATTCCAATTTAATCTTCTGCATATTTATGTCCAGTTTTCCCAGCACTATTTATTGAAAAGTCTTTCTTTTCCCCAATGTATGTTTTTGGCACGTTTGTCAAAAATGAGTTCACTGTAGATGTGTGGATTTGTTTCTGGGTTCTCTATTCTGTTCATTGGTCTATGTGCCTGTTTTTATGCCAGTAACATGCTGTTTGGTTACAATAGCTCTGTAGTATAATTTGAAGTCAGGTAATGTGATGTCTTTAGTTTTGCTATTTTTGCTTGGGATAGCTTTGGCTATTCTGGGTCTTTCATGCTTCCATATAAATTGCAGGATTACTTTTCCTATTTTGGAGAAGAGTGTCATTTGTATTTTAATATGGATTGTATCAAATCTGTAGACTGCTGTGGGTAGTATGGACATTTTAACAATATTTATTCTACTAATCCATATACATGGAATATCTTTCAATTTTTTGTGTTCTCTTTCTTGCATCAATGTTTTATAGTTTTCATTGTAGAGATCTTTTACTTCTTTGATTATTTCCTAGGTATTTAATTTTATTTATAGCTATTGCAAAATAGGATTACTTTATTTCATTTTTAGATTGTTCACTGTTGGCATACAGAAATGCTACTTATTTTTGTATGTTGATTTTGTATCCTTCAACTTTACTGAATTTATCAGCCCTAATATTTTTTTGACAGAGTCTAGGCTTTTCCAAATAAAGGACCATATCATCTGCAAACAAGGATAAATTGACTTCTTCCTTTCCAATTTGGAAGCACTTTATTTTTTCTCTTTTCTGAGTACTCTAGCTAGGACTTCCAGTACTACATTGAATAACAGTGGTGGCAGTGGGCATCCTTATTGTGTTCCGAATCTTGAAGGCTTTAAGCTTTTCCCCATTCAATATGACACTAGTTATGGGTCTGTTTTATATGACTTTTATTATGTCAAGATATGTTCCTTCTATACCCAGTTGTTTGAGGGTTTTTATCATGATGGGATGTTTAATTTTATCAAATGCTTTTTTAGTATCAATTGAAATGATCTTATGATTATTGTCCTCCCTTCTGTTGATATGATGTATTACATTGACTGATGTGTGTGTGTTAAAACATTCTTGCGCCCCTAGGATAAATCCCACTTGGTCATGATAAATGATCTTTTTAATATGTTTTCGAATTTGGTTTGCTAGTATTTTGTTGAGGATTTTTCTGTAAATATTTATCAGAGATATTGGCCTGCAGTATTCTTTTTTTGATGTGTCTTTTTCTGTTTTTGATATTACGGTAATACTGGCCTTATAGAGTGAGTTTGGAAGTATTCCCTCCTCCTCTATTTTTCAGAATAATTTGAGTAGGGTTAGTATTAGTTATTTTTTAAATGTTTGGTAGAATTCAGAGTGAAGCCATTTGTTGCCAGGCTTTTTTTTGCTGGGGTACTTTTTATTATGGCTTTGATCTTGTTACTTGTTATTGGCCTGTTCAGATTTTGGAATTCTTCATGGTAAATGTTGATAGGTTTTTAGTATCTAGGAATTTATCCATTTCTTCTAAATTTTCTAATTTATTGTCATGTAGTTGCTCATAGTAGCCACTAATGATCATTTGAATTTCTGCTGTATCAGTTGTAATGTCTCCTTTTTCATCTTTTTTTTTTTTTTTTATCTATTTGGGTCATCTTTTTTTTGTGGTTAGTCTGGGTAAAGGTTTTCCGATTTTGTTTACCTTTAAAAAATAACTTTTTAAAATTTATTTTTGTATTGTTTATTTCAAATTCATGTATTCATTTATTTCTGCTCTGATCTTTATTATTTATTCTATTAATTTTGGGTTCAGTTTGCTTTCAATCTTCTACTTCTTTAAGATGCATTATTAGGTATTTATTTGAAGATTTCTTCTTCTTCTTTCATATTTTATTTTATTTATTTTATTTTTTTTGAGGCACGGTCTCACTGTCACCCAGGTTGGAGTGCTGTGGCATAATCTTGACTCACTGCAGCCTCAACCTCCTGGGCTCCAGCAGTTGTGCCAGCTCAGCCTTCTGAGCAGCTGGGACTACAGGTGCATGCCACCACAGCTAGCTATTTTTGTGTGTTTTTATTTTTTTGTAGATTTGGAGTTTTGTCATTTTTTGTTGTTGTTGTTTGATGTAGGTGCTTATGGCTATAAACTTGCCTTTTAGTACTGCTTACCCTGTGTCCCATAGTTTTTGTGGTATGTTGTGTTTCCATTATAATTTGTCTCAACACGTTTTTCAATTTTCTTCTCAATTTCTTTATTAACTCACTGGCCATTAAGGAGCATATTGTTTAGTTTTCATGTGTTTGTATAGTTTTTAAAATTCCTCTTGTTGTTGATTTCTAGTTTTATTCCACTGTGGTCAGAGAAGATGCTTGATATTATTTAAATTTTTTGAATGTTTTAAGACTTGCTTTGTGACTTAACATATGGTCTAGCCTCGAGAATAATCCATTTGCTGAGGAGAAGAATGTGTATTTTGTAGCCACTGGATGAAATGTTCTGTAAATATCTATTAAATGCAGTTGCTCTATAGTGTAGGTTAAGTACGATGTTTGTTTGCTGATTTTTATGTCTGGAATATCTGTCCAATCTTGAAAGTGGGATGTTGAAGTTTCCAGCTATTATTGTATTGGGGTCAATCTCTCTCTTTAGCTCTAATAATATTTGCTTTATATTTTTGGCTGCTCCAGTGTTTGGTGCATATATATATATGTAATTGTTGTATCTTCTTGCTGAATTGACCTCTTTATCATTATACAATTATAATTCTTTGTCTCTTCTTATAGATTTTGTCTTGTAATGTATTTTGTCTATTATAAGTATAGCTACTCCTCTTTTTTCATTTCCACTGGAATGAAATTACCTTTTTTCTTCCCTTTATTTTTAGTCTGTGTGTGTCTTTATAGGTGAAGCATGTTTCTTGGAGGCAACAGATCAACGTATCTTTTTTTAAAATTCATTCTGTCACTCTATGTGTTTAGATCGGAGGGTTTAATTCATTTACATTCAATGTTATTATTGAAAAGTAAGGACTTACTCTTGCCATTTTATTCTTTGTTTTCTGGTGGTTTTTCCTTCTTTCCTTCTTTCATATTTTTCTTTTAGTGAAGATGAGTTTCTTCTTCTCTAAAGATGAGTGGTATGATTAGTGATTTAATTTCTTGGTTTTTACTTTTTGTATATTTGTTGTATGTTTTTGATTTGAAGTTACCATGAGACTTACAAATACTATCTTATAATCTATTATTTTTAACTAATGACAACTTAACCCTGATTGCATAAATAAACAAACAAGAGAAAAGAAAACTAATAAAAGCTCTACAGTTTAACTTTTTCTACCCCCCACTTTTGACCTTTTGGTTGTTTCTACTTATATCTTGTACTGTGTCTTGTAAAGTTGTTGTAGTTATTATTTCTGATTGGCTTATCATTTAGTCTTTCTACATAAGATAAGAGTAGTTTACATACCACAATTACAGTGTTATAATATTTTGTGTTTTTCTGTGTATTTACTATTACCAGTGAGTTTTGTATCTCCAGATTTTTATTATTGCTCATTAATATTCTTTACTTTCTGATTAAAGAGCTCCTTTTAGCATTTCTTTTATGATAAGTCTGGTGTTGATGAACTCCCTCAACTTTTTTTGTCTGGAAAAGTCTTTATTTCTCCTTTATGTTTGTAGAATATTTTAGCTGTAGCTAAAGTCAGCCAGGCTTGTGTTCTTCCCTTCAGGGTGGTGAGTTTCCCTAGGCCCCCAAAGGGGTCCAGAGATGCCATTTTTTATTCCAGGAACTGGAGTAAATAAACCATAGAAATTTACCTGGTGCTCTATTCTACTACAGCTAAGTTGGCACTGAAACTGCAAGACAAAATCTTTCCCACTCTCCTTCACTTTTCCACAGGAACAAGAGCCTCTTCCCTTGGCCACCACCACCATAGACCCACAGTGGGTGTTGCCAGTCTCCTGCCAATGTTTACTTAAGGACCAAGCACTATTCAGTTAGTTTGTAATGAATGCTGCCAGGCCTGAGACTCACCCTTAAGGTCAGTGGGCTCCACTTTGGCCCAGGGCTGGTCCAGAAATGCCAACTAAGAGTCAAGGCCTGGAATCAGGGATCCTAAGAGCCCTCTTCGTTCTCTACCCCACTGTGGCCAAGATGGTACCTAAGGTGCACGACAAAGTCCCCTTTACTTTTCCCTCTGCTTTTCTTAAGCAGAAATAGTCTCAGCCTAGCCACTGCAGCTAGGAATATGCTGGGTTTCACCTGAAGCCAGCCCATTTCAGAGTCTCACCCAAGGCCCATGGTGTGCTTACCTGGGTATCAGTGGTGGTTTTTCAGGGCCCAAGGGCTCTTTAGTTAGTAGGTGATGAATCTTGCTAGAACAGGTACCTTCCTTTCAAGGAAGAGGGTTTCCTTCTGGCCCAGGATGTGTCTAGAAATGTCATCTGGGATATAGGGTTTGGAAGAGGGAATTCACAACTCTGCCCCATGCCTTTCCCTACTGTGGCTGAGCTGGCATCCAAAATGCCAGATAAAGTCTTTTGTATGCTTCCCTCTCCTCTCCTCAAGAGGAAGGAATGAATCACTTTTGTTGATGAGAGTTGTGCTGCCAGGTGCTGGGGGAGGGGTGGCACAAGCACTTTTTTAGCTGCCCTGGTTGGTGTCTCAGTAGGTACATGCCTGCCATGTTTAGCCCAGCCTAGCACTGGAATTTGCCTAGAAATGGCAGTCCTTGTAGCCAAGACAGCTTTTCAGGTTTATTTAGCAACCCAGAGCAGTTTAGCCCATGGTTTTGTGGCTTGGAACTCAAGTTCCAACCACTGAAATGGGTGATTCTCCTCTGCCTGTGGGTGGTCAAAATCCTCCCCCCATGGGTAGGCATCAGCTGAGTTCTGCTCAGCTCTGCTTTCCACTGGGACAGGGCAGCACCAAATTCAATACAAGGTCCCACAATCTCTGCACTCTCCCTTCCCCAACTACACAGATTCTTCATGCCATGTGACCTCTACTGGGGGGATGGAGGAGGGATGGCATTGGTGATTCAAGACTGTCTTTCCTACACTCTTCAGTGCCTCTTTCAGTGATATGAAGTTAAATCCAGGTACTGTAATTACTCACCTGATTTTTGGTTCTTATAAATATGTTTTTTTGTGTGTGTATAGATAGTTGTTAAATTTGGTGTTCCTGCAAGGGTGGGCGATTGGTGAAGGCTTTTATTCTGCACCTTGTTTTGCCCATGATCCACACTGCTTTTTGACTGTGGGTCTTCAGATGATCAATTTCTCAATAGATTCATGCAAATTAGACTTTTTAGAGACTGACTTAAAAGCAACAATACCAGCATATCTCTTTATAAAGAAAAAAGTAATGGCCACATGGACCAGATCACTGGTTGTGGGCACATTGACAGTCTCTGTTGCACACCCTGAGAGGATACCAGGGTAAAACCAGGAGGCTTTTCATTAGCCTGGAGAGAAGCTGGCTGGTGATAGGGGAAGTTAGTTGATAGTTTTAATATGTAATGCTACGAACTAATGATAACTTGATGTAGCTGTCTCTGCTCTAGGGCCATATATATGCGAAGGACACTGGCAACTTGACCTTGATTGATGGTATTTTTTCCCCTCGTCAAGCTTGGAGATTCAAGGTTCAATCCTACTTCTATGAAAATTTTGTTTTCATTTACAGAATACCATTTTCTTGTAATGTTAATGCCACAGATTTGCCAACAGTCAAAATCTTGCTCTTGCATTTTACTGAAGCCTATTTCTAATCTCAAGCCATTCTGAGCTGACTTTCCTAATTTCTCTACTAAGGTATACCTTAATGTTTTGGAGAGTTTTACTACTCTCAATCCATGTTTTCAGATAAGAGAAGGTTTACAACAATCGTTTCCTTGTTTGGAAATTTTAAATAGCTTTGGTATTTACCCTATTAACATGGCATTGAACATGATATGAACAGATATGTATGCTATTATGTATGTTAGCAAATACTGTATACTTATAGTTGACTATAAACACAAAGGCAATAGCTGTTACTTATCAAGCCTGTATCTTCTGTTGGGAACTGCCATTTATTATGTAACTACAACTCTAACAGGAGATATTTCATTCATTTCTCATGACATTTTTGTAAGGTAGATATTAACATCCCCATTTTACAGAGAAGCAAACTGAGTTAGATTGAGTTTAAATAACTTACTCTAGGTCATATAGATGGTAAGTGATGGGTATAGATTTTGATATCTGTGACAAAAATCTCATATTCTTTCCAATTCCTTACCTTCCATATGGTGCCTCATCTAATAAATGCAGCTAATGGTTATTTATTGTGGTTAAGATTCTATTAGGAATATATAAGCTGTATTATAGAAGTGTGACTTGTGGACACATAGGAGCCAGATAATCTCTAGTAGTCTACAGGTTTGATGGAAGAAAATCTATCAGTATTCCAATCTAACAATGTCTTGACTGAGAATTCCAACCTTTTTTCAGAACAATTTTTGTGCTCTAATACCTTTTTTTTCTCATTAGAGAGGCCATAATCCAATTTAAACAACTTTGGACATTATACAAAATAGCTTCTCAAGTTATTTCTATTTACCACATGAGTCTGTATGTACTAGAAAATTGTGTGAGTTTTTTAATCAAACATAATTAAAGTATTCATTATGTAATAATATTTTATCCTGTTTAATAGGGAAAATAATTACACTCAAATTTAATTCCTTATGAAGGAGATAGTTCTGAATTAACAGATTTCCCAATCTCTTAATAATAATCAAGATCTTCTAGCTATCCATACCTGTGATACACCCGGCACTGTTTTTGGCAATGTGGTATTACATAAACAAAACATACAAGAATACCGGATGTCATAAAACTTAACTTCTTGTAAAAGGCTACAGAAAATTTTTTAAAAACACAATTAAGAAAATTGTGTCATAATTACAACCAGTAAATATTATAGAAAAATAATTTTAAAAGAACAGGAAAGAAAAAGTGAGAATGCTGAGACATTCTCACTGAGTATTATGTGAATTGGTTAGAGTAGACTTCACTGAAAAGAAGAGTATTGAATAAATGAAGACAAATAGAGTTAATCAGGCAAATATCTGGGAAAGAGCATTTCAATAAAAGCAATAGCTTCAACAAAGGCTTAAAATGGGAGCAATGAAAAGCAAAAAGGTCAATGAGCTTGGAGCGAAGAGAGGGAGAGAGAAAAAAAGTTGTAGGAGACAAGATAGAGAACCAGAGGCCAAATCATGTAGGCATTTGTTGGCCCTTATAAGGACTTTGGCATTTACTCTGAGTGAACAAGGATTATTGGTGCTTTGGGGCAGAAAACAATATTTGACTTACATTTTAAAAGATCACTCTGGACACTCTGGATAATATGTTGAAGATAACCTACAGAGAGATAAAAGAAAAATCAGTTAGGCAACTACTTTAATAACTCCTTAATGTGATAATGGTGCCTTCGATAAGAGAAATAGCAGGCAGATGGGGAGAAGCATGCAGATGATAGACATGTTTAAAATTAGAGTCAACAAGATTTTCTGATGAATTGAGTATGAAGCATAAGAGACACAGAGAAGTCAAGGGGGACTCCAACGCAATTGGCCTGGACAATTTCGATGATTATCATCCACTGAAATGAAGAAGGCTGTGAGTATAAGATGTTTCAGGGGAGGGAGAAAGATGAGGAGTGCAGTATTTGAAGATGTTGAATTTGAGACATTTAGTGTATATACAAGTGTGTATGTGTTGGTACACAGTTGGTGTACAAGTCTAGAATTTGAGAACAAAATATGGGCTAGAGTTTTACATTTGGTATTTTGGGGGATGTAGATGGAATATTAAAGCCCTGAGACTGAATGGGATCATGTAGGGAGTAAGTGTAAATAGAAAATCAAGTACAACAAAGGGACCAAACCTCTAAATACTCTAACATTTGAAAATTGGAAAGGAGGCCGGGCGCAGTGGCTCACGCCTGTAATCCCACACTTTGGGAGGCTGAGGCGGGTGGATCACGAGGTCAGGAGTTCGAGACAAGCCTGGCCAACATGGTGAAACCCCATCTCTACTAAAGATACAAAAAATTAGCCAGGCATGGTGGTGTGCGCCTGTAATCCCAGCTACTCAGGAGGCTGAGGCAGGAGAATCGCTTGAACCTGGAGCTGGAGGTGGAGGTTGCAGTGAGCCAAGATTACGCCATTGCACTCCAGCCTCGGTGACAGGGTGAGACTCCGTCTCAAAACAAAACAAACAAAACGTGAACAAATAAAAAGAAAACAGAAAGGAGAGAAGGAATAAGCAGTAGACACTGAGAGTGAACAACTACTCAGGTAAAAAGAAAATTGAAATTGCGTGGCATCCTAGAAGCCAAGAGTACACAGTGCGTCAAAGAAGAGGTAGGATTTTCATATCTGACTGTAATGAACAAAATTGCAAAACACTATCCCTTTCATACAAACCAAAACAAACTAGGTAAGCTACCAAAATCACTGATTAAAAAAAGTCATCAGAAGCTTCAGATATAAAGGAACATAAATTAATTAAATTTCAGAAAGTAATGAGGAAAGCAAAGGCTCATAGTTGTTCTTAAAACCAGAAGTACAAGGGAAGAGGAAGAATATGATATAGATGTCCATAAGAGCTTAAGTCAGATTAACTTTCAACAGACTTCCATTGGCCACATGGCATGTCAGATTAGAATTCTGAGGAGTCTAGTCATACAGCAGGTCTACATCAACTGGCCAACAGTTTTCAACGAGTGTTTGTAAGTATACAGGTAGTAAGCTAAAGGCTGGAGATAAAGAAGAAAAGCTGAGAGAGACCCCTGCTGAGGCATGCCGGATCTCTGTGTATGGCCTGTTCTGTGCAGGCCAGGGCACAGCCCACCGTACTGTAGAGGCTGGATACGTGATAGTAAAGCTAAGAGAAATCCATCTGGGGCACTTGTCTGAAGACTGAAGAGCAGAAGGTCTGAGAAAGATTTTCTGTGAAGCAGAAAACTGAGGGCAGGAATGAAGAGTAAAGTGACTTCCACAAAGCTCCAGAAGCTGGCAATCTGGCTGTCAAGCAGAAGATTTTCCATTGTTTGGAATTCTGTCAAAGAATAAGAGCTGTCTGTAATATCACCAGTTCCTTGCAAAAAGAAAAAATCCTGATCCCACCTTTAAAATATTATACTATTGCTGCAAGAAAAACCAGATTCAGCTCAAGTACAGATAAGATTGACTCAGCAGCCTGACGGAAGAAAGGGTGTGCCCGTTTCTGGAGGTGAATATTATTCAGTTCAGTCTCTAATGTCATTTTATACAAAAGTTACATTATAAAATAAAAAACCATAAGACATTTAAAAAATGAAGAAAATGTGATTTATGTTAAATAGTAAATAGGAAATAGCAAAGATAAATAGATAGGGAGATCGCTCAGACATGGTAATTATTAGAGAGGAACTTTAACACAGCTTTGATGGGGTCTGCTGGAAGAGATTAACATCATGCACGAAGATATGAAGTATTTCTCCAGAGAGATGAAAACTATAAAAAAGAATGAAAAGAAAATGCTAGAATTTAAACAAAACGGTGAAAAATAAAAAATTTATCAGATGGAGCAACATAACAGCAGTCTAGAGGGTGGGATAAGTGAACTTGAAAGGCAGGTCAATAGAATGTATCCAAACAGAAACACAAATAAGGAATATAAAAGATGGAACAAAGTAGAGCAGAACAACTAAGCTCTGTGGGACAATATCAAGTAGCCTGACACGTAATTGAAGTCCTGCTAGGATAGGAAAGAGATAATGGGGCAGAAAAATATGTTTAAGGGAATAATAGACAAGAATATTCCAACAACAATGAAAGATGGTCAATCCAGAGAGCCAAAGACTTCAGCAAACCTCAAGGAGTATAGATAAAAAAAGCATACCTATGTAAAGCATAGTAAAACTGATGAAAACAAAAGATAAGGGGCAAATCTGTAATATAGTCAAATAAACCCTCCCAAGTATAAGAAATAATCAATGGCACAGTAATCTGTGGTAACTGAAGTCAAAAAGTGGTGAAACTGCCTTTGCAAAAATTATAACCAAGGAAATTATGACAGTGAAAGAGATCAGACCTAACCGACTCCATCTTGCTTCTAACCTTTAAGTTGTCCTTATTCATTCCTGGGCATAGGCCAAACTAACCTTGGGAAGGAATTCAGTTTATGATTTGACTCTGAAACAAAATTGATAATAGCCCTTTCCCCAAAAGACCCCTTTCTTCAATGGGGACCAGTCTGCTTTGCAGGACTAACAAATTAGCTGCAAGATTAGTAATTACGGTTTAGGGGTTATGCTGCAGCCTCTGGCTGCGAGTCGGAACTTCCTCAAATTGCTCCTGGGGATAACTAACAAGTATTACAAAACCTAAGATCAGTGCTTGAGATATGTTGCAGACCCTGCACTGGATGCATTCAGCTGGTGCATCCAGTGCAGGGTCTGCAAAATATCTCCCACCCAGACCGATAATCTGGTTCAGCCAGTTCTGTGATCCCACCCAGGAACAGAAGACAGCAAGAAAACCTCACTTCGACCCCCTGTGATTCCATCTCCAACCTGACCAGTCAACACTCTCCACTTTGCCAGCCACCAAATTATCTTTAAAAACTTTGACCCCTGAATGCTTGGGGAGACTGATTTGAGTAATAATAACACTCCAGTCTCCTATGCAGCTGGCTCTGTGTATATTACTCTTTCTCCATTGCAGTTCCCCTGTCTTGATAGATCGGCTCTGTCTAGGCAGTGGGCAAGGTTAACCTGTTTGGTGGTTCCAGTGCACCTCTGAAGAGTATGGAGATTGACCAAAATGTGACACAGAGGAACTTTCTGGGTGATGGAAGTGTCCTGTATCTTGTTTTGGGTAGTCTTCATGTGAATATCTACAACTGTCAAAACCCATTGAACTATACACATCAGATATGTGCGTTTTATTTTACTCCTTTTTTTTTTAAAAAAAGAAAAATATGAGAAAGCATTATCGACTATGCTAAGTGTTGCTAATAGGTCAAGTTAGAAAAGGACTAGAAATCTGCCTGTGAATATAGCAACCTGGAGGTCTTGGTTATCTTGAGGAAAGCAGTTTGGATAAAGTGTTGGAAACAAAAGCCTGATTTCTTAAGAAGACATTTACCCTCTTCTTCTGTACCATTGGCTAATTTGTTGTAAAGATAAGCTTCATGGAAAATCCTCAGAAAACATGAGTGTTCTCATTCCTAAACATTCTCTTTTTAAACAGAAGAGTTTTGATAGACATGTTAATGGTTTAGATTTTTAAACTCTCAGCTCCTTCCAGGTAATCTCAGCCAGTGTTAGGGATCTATTCTTCAAATTCCCAAGAATTTCTTTCCAGCTTAATTAAAAAAAATGAATACAGAAATGTGAAAATTGACTGAAGTTTATAGCAGCTTTGTAGATTTTGATAAGCTGGCTATAATGATAACTCTTTGGTTAAGGATATCAAACATATGAAGAGCATAAAACTTGGGGATTTGCTATCCTTGATAAATGTTGTCTTTATTCAGACAGTCCTTCATTACACACACACACACACACACACACACACACACACACACACATTATTTAAAAGCACCCAGTTTAACCTAGATGTTAGGATTTTGATATAATCCATTAAAGTGCCATGAATAACAAAAGGAATTTGAAAAATAAATCTTAAAAGTAAAGGCATGTAAACCAACATATGTTTTTAAAAGTAAGAGTTATTTGTTCTAGAGAAAGAAAGGCTGGGCTGGTGATAATGTTAATAACATTGGGAGACAGTAAAAGATGTATTAAGGTGGGCTGTCTTATTCTATTGTTGAGAGTGAGAGGCACAGGGAGGGAGGGAAGGATGGAGAAAATTAATTGTTGTCTTTTCTGGATTATATAATTGTAGTCACATTTGAAGACTAGAACATGAACTACAAACATATCCACTAGAGTTGTCTTAAATAATTTTCCCAGTTAAAATATTAAATAATAATATAGACATAGGCTTAAAATTCAGTATTAATAAGAGTAAGCCTTAGTAGAAATATGTATCATCTAATTAAATCCCCTGAATAAAATCGATGCTCAAACTTTTGTCCTATGACTAGCAGATATATGAACAAAACTGCGAAACCAGCAAGCTGGCTCTTTCACAACTACAATTTATTATTTTAGTTTCACTTTTCTATGGCCATTTTCTGCTTTGTCCTTCCTCTGAGATTTGAAAAACTCTGCCTTGCCTAGTATATGGTAGGAAGACCTACTCCTGTTCTCAAAATGCCACTGATTCAAAATTCATAGCCATAGTAGTATGTCTGAGAAGTACCCTGCAACTGTGCCAGCCTCCAGAGTGTTACAGAAAGAGCTTATTTTCCATCCATTTTCCATATCTGAAATAATCTTGGCCTTGAGAAACCAAGTGTCAGATTTTTTATAGCTAATAAATTCCATGAATGAGAGCAGACTGTTGTTGTGGTTATAAGTGTTTGGAATACTGTGTTTGGACTGTCCCATAATTTCACTCCTTTCCCTACAGGTTAACAAAAACTATTAAGATGAAAAATAGGGCCATCTGGTGGTGTGTACCTCATAATAATGAGAGGGTCAATACAGGTCAAGAGGGCAGACCTGTTTCTAAAAATTGGAAAACAAAAACAAAGCTGTTTTTACTTTCTCATTGTAGGTATATACCTACAGAACAAGGAAAAAAAAAGTCAGAATCATATTTTGCAACACAGGATGGAAAGAATGTCTTACTCATGGAATTTAATAACACATTTTATTTTGTACTATGGATTTTACTTATATTTATTGAAGGTTGAAATAAACTAGATAATACTGATCTTAATTATTTTCTAATTTAGTCATCTCATTTTTATACCTATTTTAGTGATAACCAAAGAAAATGCCATCAAAGAAAATAAATGAAACATGTATTTAATTGTAATATAATGAAATTTCAGCCTTTGCCAAATGTTGACTCTGGACCAAGAGTATGCCAAATATTTGCAAACATAAAATTATTTCGTCCCCATACATTTCTAAGACATTCTTAGTTTAATCCATAAAGAAACTGAGGCTTGCAGAGTGAATGCAACTTGGCAAGGTGACATAGCTCTAAAAAGCCAGAAATAAACTCAACGTTTTCTTTGTCCAATCTAAAAACCATGTTCCTAACCACAAAATTATGGTGCCCAGCAACACTGCAATAGCTGCATCTGTCATATCTACATGGTAATGGTCTCTAGCAGTGAGTACTCATGGATTCTTGTTTTATTCAATGAGTTATAATCATTTCTATCATAGTTTAATTTTAATATTCTAAAGATAATTTTAATGGGTTGTAAAGTTTGAGAAACTCTACTAAGTCAGTTACATTTATGCATCGATTTTCATTTTCCAAAATTTCCTCGTCAATTCTAGTTTACTATTGTCTCTTCTCCTATTCTCTTTTGCTTATTTTGGAGAAATTTCAGAAGATAATGGTAACAGTGCTGTGTTTATCAGCCATGGTTAGCCAGAGGGTTTTAATCATTTCAAAAAATAAATGTTATTAGTTATTGCAAAAAATAAATTTTGTCTGAAGACAAACACACATATGTATGTACACTAGTAATTTGAAATTAATAAAGGAGATAAGTGTTAATCTTCTTTTGAGATAGGTGCTAATTTGCTTTTACTGTGTTATTTATGAATAGTTTATATACAATATTTATTTTGCATCACACACACACATGAATATGTGTATATATTTATTTTTTCAAAACTTCCAGATTTTATCAGGTTATACCATTTCTTATCTAAAGCAGAGGAAGCATTGCGTTGTTTGAACTGTGTAAAGTGCATATAGGAGAGACTCACTATCTTGCTAAAGAAAAAATTAATCCAAATTCCATTTGAGACTCTGGGGCAGACAGCAATTCAGATCTGCTTTTCAAAAACTGGTAGCAACTCTTTGATGTACCTGAAATTGAACAAGCTCAGCTCTTGGATGATGTCACCTGTTTATTGCCACAATTTAGTATTTGAATAATGTAATGGAAAAAAAATCCCAGAAATAGCACAAAAGGGAAATAAACCAGCCAGAGAATTCCAATAATGACCAGACATACTTACTCAAACTGTCTCTCTTTGTACCCTTGTCTAATTTCCTTTCTTAGCATGAAATATTGAGTGACCTTATCTGTACTCTATTACTCAGATTTGTAAATAATTACAGAATGCTTGCTATGAAAATTTCAAAAGTATAGTTTAATGTTTTGAAGAGAATCTTAATGAGCTGGAATAGTTATTCAGGCTCAGCCTATGGTATTTTGGTGGTAATGTAGAATCTTTTAACTTGAAAATTAGTTGGCAAAATGCTGAGCCACAGAAAAATTCACATTGACTGTATGATGAATGGTTAAGTGTCCCAAAGGTTCAGTAAGCCAAGATATTCCCTACTGAGAGCTTTTTCTGACAGTTCTTAGGCAGGCAAAATTCTTTCTGAAAGAAATGCCCTTTACCAAGAGAAGCCAACTCTTTTCCCTGTCCAGTTCACACTGACAATGTTTCCTTCCTATAATGTTTGGTTCAGATAGCTTTTTGAATACAGTGTCCTCGTGGTTGATGCTTCTGAAATAATTATTCTGATTTCTATATGGACACTTGAAAACTCCTGGCTCCAACCCCCACTCCACACCCCTACCCCCTCTGCTTTCCCACTCTAACCATTAAGGAGGCGTTCCCAACATATTTAAAAGACCATCATATTTATTCATAGAGGACTCTAATCATAGGTGCTTTGGTCTTAAATTTAAGTTTGCATGCTACAAATGAGACAGTAGATGATGAGGGCAACATCTGGAGTGTGAATACAAAAGAGACTACAAATAAATAATAACATAGGTGATTACTCCAGGCATAAACGTATGCCTTGGGTATGAGTAAGAGATGGGCAAATGAATTGATGCTCTTAGTTTTATTTTCTCTGATTTCTCACAGAGTGAGAAAAATTGAGGCCAAATCAGGACAAACTTGTAGGCAAAACCTTTGGATTTGATGTGTGAATAATTTTAAGGTATTCTCTACCATTAAAAAAAAAAAAAAAAGCCAGCATACCAGAAAAAAAACCCACATTTTTAAGTGTCCAGGAAAATGAGTGGATCTTTGAAGAGAAAACTTACAAAATAAGATCCTTAAAAAATAAGCCAACAGAGAGGAACTAATGGTATCTTCATAATTATATACATGAAATCATATTTAGTGCTCTGTACAACAGAAGACAAAGACTGAAGACAGCAGATAGGAAGAGCCAGCAAACTGTAATATTTGAAAATTCCTTGGAGTGTTCCAAGCAGAACATTAAGGTAATATTTTTGTTCTGGAAGTAGTCATATGGAAAAAAAATTCTCAATGAGTGTATTTTAAGGGTGACTTAAGGTGTTTTAAAAGTGCTGTTGACAATATACAATTTTACCTAGTCTGTCAAGTTTAGCATCAAATATTTTAATGAAAATTTCCTTCTCCCCAAGAGAAGTTTCTGCAAATATTTTAATATATAAAGTACTTTGAGTTAATTTCTTCTAAACATTTCTGTGAGGTGAGCAGCACAGCCATTACCATCCCTACTTTACCAGAGAAGAATTTTCATGACAATAGCAACTTGATACTCTGTTACAGTAGAATTAAGGCAGGACTGATTTTCAAGCCATTTGGCTTAGAATCCAGTGCCCTTTCTTTCACACCCTGTTACTGCCACAGTTCAGAAGTTTCTCCAGACTTTTCTCACTTAAGTCTTCTTGTAATCAAGAATCCTGTGTACTTGGAATGAGGGAGGCAAAAACATATCATACTGACTTCATTGATAAAAATTTATTCAAACCTCCTCATTATGACTGCACTAACTGTATGCTGGGAAATTACTACTAGAAAGTAGGTTTTGGCTGATCCTTTAAAGAGACCCCAGGGAGCGGGGGCTGACAAATGGGATCTGTATTTATTTAGGAAGATTGCAGTTCTACCTCTAAAATAGCAAATAGCTCCTCGGTTTGTCCTTTGTTCTCCATTTGTCCTGCCACTGTTTCAGTTCAGGCTCTGTTCAACTTTTATCTGACACATAGTAAGTGCTAGAAAACAAAAATGTATAGAAATAAGGAATGATCAAACTATAGCACATACCTCCTAATCAGTTTTATCTTTTTTTCTTTTGAAAAAGTCTTGGAAGAAGCAAAGCCAGGACTCAAACTACAGTTAAAGGGATTTGGAGTACAAGCTTTCAACCACTACACTGTTCTCTGATCATTAGTCATTTTTACAGCCCACATAATAGACTTGAGGGACATGGCTTTTGCAGGACCAGCAAGGGGCTCTTAAACACTTTAGATTTATTATTTATAAAATTCAACTCTTCTACAATCTATGCACTCCATTTAACTACTATACTGAAATTTCCTAGGCAAGAAAATGACCATATTCAATGAGGTTGTTAATAAAATCTTGGCATTCTCTCAATGTTAAACTTCTTATTTTGTTTATATCATAAGTTCACAAAGAGAGATCTTTAAGGGTTGAAGATTCAACTCTGTAAGGATGGTTGGCAGAGCCCTAGATACAATATTACTTGCCAATCTGCTCTGTGCCTGGGGCTCTTACAGAAACTCTTCAATCACTCCTTTGGGAAAGGAAGGCTATTTAATATTCCTTTATATTCTGTAGCCTTCTCTGCAGGAAAGCAACCCTATGGGGATCAGTCAAAAGCAGAGCCAGTCAAGCTGTCTTTTGCTTCCTTTATTCAGTTAGGTCACTTAGAAGCCACGAGTGTGAAGGGATGTTGTATAATTCTAACAGGTCCCTACAGAGCCTCAGTTTTAATATTAATTTAAGATACTATTATTCTACCAGAAACTTCTAGATACTTTGCTGCCTGCCAAGGATCCCTTTGTCACAACTTTGGTTTCAGAATGGGCTCAAATTCATTTGAGTTGAAAAGCAGCATATTTTGGTTATGTAAAAATAATATATACAAGTTGCTCTAATAAGGAGATGGTATTGTGTGAGGATTTCCGGACTGAATCACCTTGGTCAAGAAAAGAGAAAACTATGTCAGAAAGTGCTCTTCGTTCCCTGGTGTCCATTCTTCTCTGCTCCCCTTTTTAGTAATGGAAACTTTACTAAATTTTAGCAAAGCCGATAGCTACTCAGCCAGAGACCCCTTGCAGCTTGTGGTGGTCACTCAATTAAATTTTGGCCAGTGGATTCTGAGTATAAATAATACATGAAACTTGCTTATTGCATCTCTGAAAAAGGAGGCAAATAGCCCTCCATCCTCTCCTTTACAATTCCTGTGAGCTAAAGCTTAATCTATGGTGCTGACAAGCTTGCTATAACTAGGAAGATGAGGGCAACACCCTAAGTTACAGTGGGTGATGAAAGAAACCTGAGTGTCTCGACAACAGGTATAGCAGAACTGCTTGTTGATTGTATACCCACTGTTATTTTGAGAGAAAATAAGCTTACACTTTGAGTTTCTGTAGTTTCGGGGCTCTTTGTTGTAGAAGCTTAGTTTTTGACAAACACAGTCTTTTTTCTACAGCTCTAAATCTTCATGGCAGTATCTTTTATTGACTCAAGTTGGCCTTGGTCTGATAACCTTAAGATATCCTGGGAGCTAAAACACAGTCGCAATGGAATAAAAGCTGGTATATCTTGGGAAAGTAGAAAAAAAAAGGAAAGATAATGTGGTCAAGTGGCAAAATATATGTTATGGCACTAGATGGATTTACTCCTTATTTATTTTCCTTTTGTAACTTAGACCTTTCTGAACCTCTGTTTCTTCATATGTAAAATAATGAAAATAATATATGCCTCATAATATTGTAGTGACATTTTAGAGCAATAACATATATAACATATATAAAATATATGGCACAAAAAGTTTCTTAGCAATGATAGTTTTTTTCTTCCAATGATTCTACTTATTTCAGCTCTGTTTGTTTTGGGGATATTTAGAGTATGGTTTTGCTTTAGTTAGGCCATATGTTCTGTCTTCTAGAGAAGAAAGGTTTTTTTTTTCTTTTTTTTACATAGTGTTAATCAATGGAACTTATCTGTGGTTTTGGGGCTCATGAAGAAATTCTGTGAGCTGAAGTAGTCAGGGCCTCTCACTAGTTATTTCTTTTCTCTTCCTTCATGAATAGCAAACTTTGGAGAAGTGTGTGAAGGAGAAGAGAACTGGCAGTATAAAATGTCACATGCCTGAGTGTTGGCATCAGAGTTATCAAGTGTTTTTATCTTTTTTATTTTTATAGATTTATTTTTATTGAAACAGAGTCTCACTCTATCACCCAGGCTGGAGGGCAGTGCCATTATCTCGACTCACTGCAGCCTTGACCTGGGCTGAAGTGATCCTCTCAGCTCAACCTCCTAAGTAGCTGGGACTACAGGCAAGCACCACCACGCCTGGCTAATTTTTGTATTTTTTGTAGAGACAGGGTTTTTGCCATGTTGCTCAGGCTAGTCTCGAACTCCTGGGCTCAAGTGATCCACTCACCTCAGCCTCCCAAAGTGTCAGGAGTGTTCTTCATAGAAGTCCAAAACACCCAAAAGCAAATGAAAAATGACAGAGACTCCCGAGTCCTGTCCATGACATAATCTATCTCTTGACAAAATTTACTTTCAGCTTTGACAGGGTCTTCTCTGCTTAAGGATTTGCTGTGTTGACAAGAGTACTCAGTATTGATCAGAGCTAATCTGGTAGTCTGCTTGACATCTCAATTCCCTGATCTTTATATATTTTTTTAATTAAATGAAAGCCTTTATAATCTAGTCATTTCCTGTTATCTCTTTGGTCTAGGAATCCCTGGGGGAAGTCAGCCTTAAGTTAACCTTAGGAAATGTGGTTCATATAGGATAGGTCAGTATCTGAATTCAGAGGAGAAAATGGGCAACCTATATTGTGGTGCACAACCGTTTTTTTTTTTTTTTTGTTTTGTTTTGTTTTTTTTTGAGACGGAGTCTCGCTCTGTCGCCCAGGCTGGAGTGCAGTGGTACCATCTCGGCTCACTGCAAGCTCCGCCTCGCCGGTTCACGCCTTTCTCCTGCCTCAGCCTCCTGAGTAGCTGGGACTACAGGCACCCTCCACCACGCCCGGCTAATTTTTTGTATTTTTAATAGACATGGTGAAAGTGTTAGCCAGGATGGTCTGGATCTCCTGACCTCGTGATCCACCCACCTCGGCCTTCCAAAGTGCTGGGATTATAGGCGTGAGCCACTGCGCCTGGCCGCTGCACAACTTTTAATGGAACACTACAATATGATCCTTCCGTTTGAGGAAGAGCACAGAGTATAGTTAGACAACTCTGGTGCCAAACCAAACCTAGTTCAAGTATTTCTCGCTCATTGGCTCATTCTTTCTCTCATTTACCAAAAGTTTTCGAAATTCTCTGAACCTCACTTTACCAATCTCTAAAACAGGAGATGACAGTGTCTCTACATTGGAGATAATAATTCTTACCTTGACGTATTGTCACATAGGTTAAATGACTCAGTGCATACAAGCTTCTAGAACATAATAGACACTCAAAGCATTGCTATTTTCTTTCTTTTCAGGCCATTTGTAATTGAGGCACTTCTCACTTACTTTTTGACTAGAGATGCCCTGTAGAAGGTTAATCCTGAATCATTTTGAGCAAGTGAGATTCATCCTATGGATATATAAATTCAAGACACTTTCCAAAATCAAATATAAGTGAAGAGTTTATATTGCATTCAATTTTAGAGTATCAATACTCCTGTTTAATTAATCTGAAAGTACATATCTACATTCTCTTATAAGCCATGGAATCATGCTACATTCAAGATTCTTTACTTGTAACACGTAGTACTTTAAATTCCAATTTATTCGTTTATATATAAATAATATGGAAAATTACAAAGAAATTTGTGGCAGAAACTATATACTGGCTGACTCAAAATCTATTTTCCATCCCTCCTATCACACTTTGCTTACTAAGAAAATTACACTGGATTGCCAGACTCTTTTGCAGGCCCAGGGTATCATGAGACACAGGATAAATAAAATGAAAGTGGAAATCTACCATAAGGCTTAGGGAAACATATATTATTTAGAATAGAAAAAGAGGGTAGTATATTTTAAAAGTTGGTTAAGCTTTGGCTTTATCGTGTTTTTTCTTTCTGGAATGTGAATTGATGCTTTTAAGTGGAACAGCCATCCTAAAACTCAATACGCTAAGAATAGTGGCGCTAAAACAAAAAAGGTCATGAGTCCTGATGATCATCACTGAACATCTAAAATAAAATTTCGACCATTTATTTCAGCATCAATAAATATTTATTGAGAACCTACATCTTACAAATATACTTTTTTAGAAGCTGGAGATAAGCAGTGACATAAATAGACAAAAATTCTTGCTTTCAGAATGGAATCTTACATTCCAGTGTTGGAAGAGAAACAGAAAACAAATTTGTAGGAGAGTGTGTGGGAGTATGTGTGTGTCTGTGGGTGCATGGTATGTCAGAATGATTTAAAAAATCCTGGGGAGAAAAATGAAGCAAGAAAAAAGAGTGCTAGAAAGTGCTAGGATGTGGTTATGTTTTGCTGCCAGAATACCCATATAGAGATTAGACTATCTATATGGGAAAGTAAAAATGACTAGAATTCTGGGCTTACTGTAATATAATATAAATTAGGATATTTACTGATGTGGAGACTGTGGAAGGGGTAGTCTTATTCAAAACCATGCACTTAGATTGTTGCTAGGTTCTCTCCTGACTCCAGCCGCTATGTGTTAGAAAAAAGGCTCATCAACTTTTTGCTTAATATGTAAAATAGACCATAATGTGTTTAAGGCACTGCACATTGGATACTCTGTTACCTGCAACTATAAATATTTCTAATTGAAACAGATACACCAGAAAGAGGGAATGTTTCAAACACTAGGCTAAGCCACTTACATGTCACTGCTTTTGATCTTCAATTATAACATTACAGGATGGATACTTTTATTATCATTTTATAGATAAGGAAAATTAAAAACTAGCTCCAGTCTTTCAGTTAGTAATTGGTATCCTAGATTTGAATCTAGATATTTTTGTCTAAAAAATATCCCTGTTCATTTTCTTATTTATCTATTCAACAAAAATTTAATGAGTGTTCTGCTAGACACTTCAGTTAAGAATAGAATGATAACTGGGCAATGATAATTTGGATTTGATGCCAAAATCATCAAATTTTCTCAGGCAACTAACATGAAAATGGACAAATGGGATTACCTCATATTAAGAAGCTTCCGAATCCTATGGAATGGAAGAAAATATTTGCAAGACATACGTCTGAAAACAGGTTAATATCTAAACTATATAAGAAACTCAAAATAACTCAATATCAAGAAAACAAAGAATCCAATTTAAAAATGGGCAAAAGACCTGAATATTTTTCAGAAGACATACAAATGGGAAAAATGCTCAATGTCACTAATGATTAGGGAAGTGCCAATTAAAACCACAACAAAATATCACCTGACAACTGTCAGAATGGCTATGATCAAAAAGAGGAAAGACAGTAAGTGTTGGCAAGGATATATAAAAAAGGGAATCCTTGTGCATTAAGGATGGGAATGTAAATTGGTGCAACCATTATGAAAAACTGTAGAGAGGTTCCTCAAAACACTAAAAATAGAATTCCCATATGATCCATCAATCTCACTTCTGAGTATATATCTAAAGGAAATGAAATTAATATATCAAAAAGATATCTGCACTCCCATGTTCATTGCAACAGTATTCACAATATCGAAGTTACAGAATCAATCTAAATGTCTATTGACCGATGAATGGATAAAAATGTGGTATATATACACAATGGAATACTATTCAGCCTTAAAAAAGAAATAAATTTTGTCAATTGCAACAACAGGAATGGAATTGGAGAACATTATGCTAAGTGAATAAGCCAGGCACAGGAAGACAAGTAATGCATGTTCTCACTTACATGTGAAATCTAAAGCAATTGAATTAAAGAAGCAGAAGGTAGAATGGTGCTTACATTCTAGTGTCCCAGGCTGGACACTGGGGGAAAAGGGACATGTTGTTAAAGGGTCCAAAGTTTCAGTTTGAGAGGAACAATAAGTTTTTGAGACATATTGTACAGCACAGTGACTATTGTAAATAAGTGTATTTTTTATATATTTCAAAAATTCTGAGAGTCAATTTTCAATGTTCTCACCACAGAAAGTGATAAGTATTTGATGTGATGGTTATGTTAATTAGCTTGATTTAATCATTCCACATTGCATGCATATAACACCATTTTGTGCCCAATAGTATATTCAATTACAATTTGTCAATTTACAATAAAATTTAAAAAATTATAAAAGCCAAAACATTTTAAATTTCAAAAACAATTTGAAAAAGAATAGAATGATAGATAAAACAGCTGTGATTTTCAAGAAAATCTCAAAGTAGTAGGTAAATAGGTAAGAAAAACATAGCACAATTTTAAAAATTAAGTTTTGTTAACTCAAACACTTAGGAAGAACTTGTGATATGCCAGAAACTGCGAAAGGCACTGAACTGATTTACAGAAATGTAATAGAATTTTTGTTCATGAATATTGTATCATCCACTGGGAGAGGTAAGCCTTAAGCTAGAACTGCCAATAGGACTTGAGGTATCTTTTTAAGAAGTAGCTGCTAAGCATGGAGGGACCATAGCAGAGGGACTGGGGTTAGAGAATGAATAGGCAGAGAAGGTATTGGTATTCCCAACAGAGAAAAGTCATGTGAATAGGTGTTGAAGAGTGAAAGGGCATGGTGCCTTTGGGTTCTGGTAAGAATCTCAGTAGAGCTGGGCATTTCAAGGCAAAAAATGGAAGCCAACATTGGAGAGATAGCTGGGCCCAATGGCAAAAGATTATATGGGTAAATTTAAATGGTTTGGGTTTTCTCCTATAGGCAAACATTTTGAATCAAATGGGTGAAGTTATCAGATCTGATCTTAGAAAGTAAACTGCAGCAAATACAGAATGGGGCAGACATCCTAGGTTTTACCTTCCTACACATTGAAGTCTCCCCCACCCCTCCATTTTTTTAATTTTTATATTTTTATTGAGACAGAGTCTCACTGTTTCACCCAGGATGGGGTGCAGTGGTGCGATCTCGGCTCACTGCAACCTCCGACTCCTAGGTTAAAGTGATTCTCCTGCCTCAGTCTCCCAAGTAGCTGAGAATACAGTCGCCCGCCACCACACCCAGCTAATTTTTGTATTTTTAGTAGAGACGGGGTTTCACTATGTTGGCCAGGCTGGTCTTGAACTCCTGACCTCGTGATCTGCCCACCTTGGCCTCCCAAAGTGCTGGGATTATAGGCGTGAGCCACCGTGCCCAGCGAAGTCTCCTTTTTGTGTAATTCAGGATATAATCTTTAGATAGCCAATCGTTTAAAAAAAGTTATTATACTGATGAGGCTGAAGCTTCTCTTTCATGGGGTAAAATAAATTCTGCCCCCAATTGAACAATGGTAAAATGGCATCACACACAATTACAAACACTTGTCACCCCTGAAACCATTTAAAATGCCATTCCCTGTCTTCCAGGGAAAAGATTCAGTTAGTCTTGACTGGATAAATAAAGAGCCGATTAGAATGTTCCAGGGGAAAAAAACAAGAATTATTCGTTCCTTGCATACAAATGCTTCCTGCTTAGTTTGAGCAGATTCCTATATTGTAGTCTAGTTACTTCCCTCCCAAATGCAAGTATACAATGAGTGTATAATGCCACAGCAATAAAATGCAGTATGTCTGTAATATTACTACCTTCTGTTATAAAAGAAATAAACATAAACAAAATAAAAACAAAAGCGAACTCATGCATTTGGAAATATCAAGGGTTCTGATGTCAGTTTTATCCTCACCAGGTAATTCTCCCAAGCCTTGCTTCAGCTGAGATTTGCCACCATTCTTTGTCTCATTTTATGTACATCAGGATTGCTTTATCATTGCAACACTTGGCAAAATACTTCTCTTTTACAAGTAATTTAGATCCGTCAAGCTGTCTAGTTCTACAACATCAGTCAGTACTTTGTAGTTTATTTGGTGACAGTGACTGCCAATAAAATAATGCCATAAAATATTCTAGTGTGAGGAGGCTAATTCAGTATAGGTTAATAAAGCTGCTGTGATTCGTCTTGCCGTGTAGCATGCTTTTTATGCTGGGCATCTTTTAGGTGGATGTGCAAAATCACATTGAGGTTAGCTGGAATTTATGCTGTATGGAGGGGTTTACTTAATTCATATATTTACTTTCTTTCAGACCTACATTTTAAATAAAGTATATAGGTTTTTCTCCAGGATGATGGAGTGTATTCAGGAGTGAATTCTGAACAGGCTTGTGAACTCAGGTAATAAAACAGAGGCAAAGAGGCAAAAATGACAGCCCCGGGGCTTGCTTTATTACAGCTTCTCTCTGAATTCATGCAAGGCAGAAGTTGTACCCAAACCCTTGTAGAGAGTATTTCAACAGCCTTTTTGAGAACCCTGCTCATGAGTATTTTAATGACCTTAGTTCAAACCAAGAGCAATAAATGTCTCAAAAAGAGGCTGTTAATTGAAAAGACCAGTGATTTCAGAGGGATTAATATTACTGTCAGACCCAGCTTGCTTTCTTTCCCTTTTAATTTAGCCTTCTGTTTTAATTTAGAAACAGCTATGCAGCTTGGAGTTATAGAAGGCAGGAGCAGGAGTGGTAAATAGAATATATCTAGGGCACTGTGGACCAGAGTTAAAATGTTAAGGTACAGACCTAGTCTCAGCTCTGCCACTATTTTCTTCATGTGTAAACTGGGTATTTTAGTGTTTTTTAGAATGTCTTATAATGTTTCTGTAAAGATTCTTTATCTAATTGGCAAGAAAATGCTCTGTAAAGTATAAGTAAAATAAAAAAAGGAGTAAACAGATTAAAATAAACATGAGATTTTTTAAAGATTTAATTAAAATATTTAGTTTCACCAGCTTGAAGCACAACTATGTTTAGATCACTTCTGTTGTTTTCATTAATTACTTGAGCTCCCACAGACTCTATTAACAAGCAGTCTAATACTTCTTACTTGAAACTCTCCCACTTCTCTCAATCCTCAAGTGATAACACAAACTCTAGCTGCTAGTTCAGTCCAATGGGGCAGATGCCAAGCCTAGAGAATTAGAGAGTTTAAGCAGATCTGTTCCTGCTGTGGCCTCTCCTGCTGCAATAACATGGATTCACTTTTGAAAATACATCTTACACAGTCTAGTGAACAGCCACTGGTGCAATATTGCCTTGCTCGAATTTCAGATCCTTGTGTGGGTTGCAATGGTGCCCATACTTGGGCTCCCAAAGTTAGATGTCTTTCAGCTGTACACTCATAGGCAAAGTTACTATTTATTTGCAGGGACACCATGAAACACAGAATTCTGTCCAAATGGACTTCGACCTGTAGCCCCCATCCTGTTTCTAGGTACTCAGTGCTAAACCTGAGGCCAGACCATCTATCTTATTTAATGCTCACATCCCCCTTGGGTATGTAAAGACTATCAAAGAGGCTCTACTACTATTGACTGGATGGATGGTCTTATATCCCTTTCCATCCAAGAAGACTCCTCAGCTCTAGTACAAATGTGCCACTTACTTTCCAGAGGTTTACCTGGCTACCAAATAGATAGGAAGAATCAGCCTTTGCCAGGTGCAAATTGTCCTAGTCTTTCTTCCCACAGAGGTAGATGTCTACTGTCTTTATATTTGCCTAATCACATACCGCTACTCAAGTATTCTTGGATGAGTCAAAGAGGTTGTGTACCAAGAAGACTTTCTCTGTAGATGAAAAAAAATTCAGACTTATTTCAGTAAAATAACGTTCTAAGTAATGCCTCATAGAGCCCCTGCTATACAAGTAATTTTCTGTAATTTTTCTACTATTGCAGTTTTCAAATTCACTCCCTAAGTAGCCCATCTCTGTTTTAAGATTTGGTTCCAAAATCACCTTTCTCTCTCTGACCAAGGATTTCTTTCTTACTACCCCTACTCCCTATGCTGGGGCTTGGTATGTTAATGTACTTATAAAATTGGTGAAAACAAGTTATGTATTGATGAATATGAACCTATAGAGTTAAATATAATGTATCAGTTGTGTTTCCTGGGTTAGAAGTATGCAGTCTACATAAAAGGGATTCTTTATCCCTTGTCTTCCCACTCCATCATAGGGTTTGAATTCCAGGCCCTGACACATCCTGATTATATTGCCTTGTTGAGGAAGGAAAATATTTGACTTAGTAGAGTTTCTGTCTTTGTCTATTTTTAATCATTAAATACTGCTGCTCTTTTTTTTCCTTTTCAACATCTCTTGCATGGATTATTATAATGCTTCACTAACTGGATTTCTTCTCTCCAGTCTTACTCTTCTCAAATCCATCCTCTGTATTGCAATGATCAACTGATTTAGAGTTCTAATATCACTATGTTCTATTTCTATTCTCAGTAAGTCCCCGTCATATTCAGACAAAGGAAGCCAGTTTCTCAACGTGGCTTACTTCACTTACCATCCCAGTGCTTCCTCCCAATTTACACTGTTCTTTATCAAATTTCTCCCTTGCTTTTTTTTTTTTTTTTTTTTTGACAGAGTCTTGCACTGTTGCCCAGGCTGGAGTGCAGTGGCGTGCAACTCTCTCGGCTCACTGCAACCTCTGCCTCCCGAGTTCAAGCGATTCTCCTGCCTCAGCCCCCTGAGTAGCTGGGATTACAAGCATGTGCCACCATGCCCAGCTAATTTTTGTATTCTTAGTAGAGACAGGTGTTTCACCATGTTGGCGAGGCTGGTCTTGAACTCTTGACCTGGTGATCCACCTGCCTCAGTCTCCCAAAGTGCTAAGATTACAGACATGAGCCACCATGCCCGGCCTCTGCCCTGCTTTTCAAAGTTTCCCTCAGATACTATGTCATTCCTTGTCTCCATTTCTTTGGCTGATGAAAATTTCTCCCTGGAATTCTCCTCTTCCTTTCCTTACTTGATTAACTCATACTCACTGTTTAAGACAACTTTCGTAGTTGCACATTCTCATGATTCCCATAATATTGTGATCTATTTCTGTTGCCGAACTGCCTTATTATTTCATCACTATCTGTTCATATTTCTCTGGCAGGAATGAATGAGTGATTTGAGGACACAGATTCTCTTTTCAAACTTTTATCTTCAGGGACTGGTGCATAGTAGAAACTCAATAACTGCTGAAGAAATGAATCTTTAGTATGGAAGTCCTAATGTCTAACTCAAAGGTTAATTCTGAAACTTAAATGAGGTAACGTATATTGAAATGGCTGGATTTGACTTTATCACATCACAGTCATTCAGTACATGTTGTATTTTCTTCCACTTACAATGAGCTGCATAAAGCACATATTAAAGTTTAGGAAAGAAGGTTCACAATTGAAATTGTGCTGATAATACTACTCGTATTTCTTCTAAAGCCTTGTGGACATTTTGACTACTAGTCCTGAAATTGACCTATTGGAAGACTTTCAAAAACATCATCCATGATGACATTACATGACCATTTTAACAAAAGACAGTACACCCTAAATTGACAGCCATTGGGTTCAATTTCTCTCTTGTAACTGATCTTACCATTATTTCTATGTTCTACAGCTCAGATCAGCAATCATATCCTAACAGAAAATAGGTCACTTCTCAGGTCTGCTATGCGACTCTGAGTTAACTGGGAAGCTTAAGGTAGGATGAGTTCAATGTAGCTCAAAGTAGCCAGTGGGGAAGACTGGGAATTGGGAAAGTTGAAGGACTTGTTTCTCTCACTTTTTTGTTTCTAGCTTTAATGGGGTATAATTGACAACTAAAAGTTAATTGACAAATAAAAGTTGTACATAGTCAAGGTATACAACAGGATTTTATATATGTATATATTATGAAATGATTACCACAATCAAATTAACACATCTTTCTCCACACATAGTTCCCATTGTGTGTGTGTGTGTGTGTGTGTGTGTGTGTGTGTGTAGTGAGGACACTTAAGATCTACTGTCTTCACAAATTTCAAGTAAACAATAAGCAGTTATTTATCTGAGTTATGCTTACAGCATTTTTTCTCTTCTTTCCATTTTATTTCTCTTCCAAAAAGCAGAAATGAATGGTATCCTTCTGTCTTAATGTGTGAACTCTACCATTTATTAGCTGTATAACTCTGGTAAGGCCTTTAACCTTTTTGAAATGAACTTCAGTTTTCTCATCTAAATAAATGGAATCCTTATGCCCATCTTATCCACAGAGCTATTGTAAAAATGTGTATATAAAAGCCCTTTTTAAGCCTCAAAACACAATGAACAGGTAAGGGGCTACAATTAAGTTTTCCCTTTCAGAAAAATTTCTCCCTCCCATAATATTTCGATGGCTTTTAGAATACGGATTAAGCCATGAATTGTCTTTTATGAGTTTTGTAAGCTGGCATATAGAGCATGATAATAAATTGTAAATAATCACAAAAACATTGTCTCAGTAGGTAAATTTGGCCTCCCAAAGTGTCTTTTGTGTAGTCAAATGTTGCCTTTTATCCAAATGTCTCACAGCATTTTGAAAGTAGATTATGTGTGACACATACCAAACTCATTCTGTCCCCATCACTCTATCACCACCTTTCTAAAGAAACGGTTGTTTAAAACCCCAGGCTACCATCAATCAGAAGCAAATAAAGAATATTTTCACCTTCTTGAAAATGACTGCAGCAGGCTGCTAGTAACTAGCTGATACTAGAGCCAATTCTTTCAGCGAGAATTATGTTCCAGGTGGCATGAAAGCTTACAGATGCATGTGACTTAGCTTTCTGGAATAATTTAGACATATCTTTATTTCAAGTTAGCAAGTGATGCAGTGATAGCAGGGATGAGGCTGGGGTAAAAGTCAAGAGGAAGAGCTAAGGAACAGCTGGGACCCATAGCTGCAAGATGGCTTCAATTTACCTGCCATTATGAGCCGGCAAATCGAATGCCAATGTGTGCCCAAGGTCAGAGCTCATAGATGAATAGCACCACAGTTACACAGAGTGTGCTAGCATCAGTAATCAGAGTTGGAAGCCCTCACGTATTTCAGAGGTATTTCTGAAGTCCTTCCACTTAAAGAATTCTGTCCTACAAACATGACATGTTCTCACTTATTTGTGAGATCTAAAAATCAAAACAATTAAACTCATGGACATAGAAGAAGGATGATTATCAGAGATTGGGAAGGGTAGTAGTGGCATGGGAGGAGTTACGAATGGTTAATAAATACAAAAAATAGAAAGAATGAATAAGATCTACTTGATAGCACAACAGGGTAACTATAGTCATTAATAACTTCATTGCACATTTTAAAATAACATAAAGAATGTAACTGAATTATTTGTAACTCAAAGCATAAGTGCTTGAGGGAATGAAGACCACAATCTCCATGATGTGCTTATTTCACATTGTATGCCTGTATCAAAACATCTCATGTACCTCACAAATACATACATCTACTATGTACTCACAAAAATTGAAAATAAAATAAATAATAAAAAAATTCTGTCCTGACTTCCTGATGCTTCTACAAGATAAAAGCCTTCCTAGGAAAAACTTTAAAAACATTTTTTAGGCGTAGGGAAAAAGCAGGACATGAGTAAGAGAAAAAGGTAAATTTCCGATCAGCAATTGCTTGGACGTTTCTCTGTCTTTCAAGTCCATGACTTGTGTTTCTAACATCTCAGTATAGTACTGCCGCTGGTCTCAAGAAAGAGAGAGTTTAGAGCAGAGAGTCTCAAACTTGAGTGAGTATCAGAATCACCTGGACAGAGCTTGCTAAAGTACAGATGGCTGGGTTGGATGGACCCCACCTCCAAGGTTTCTGATCCAGAGGGTCTGGGGTGAGGTCTCAGAATTTGCATTTTTAACAAATTCCCAAGTGATATTGATGCTTCTGGTCCTCATACCACACTTTAAGAAACACTGGTTTAGAGTCCACTGGGCAAACCACAGACTTTTTGTTTGGGGGAAAGACCACTATCAACATGTAGTGGTCTGACCATGGCATTTCTCAGTAATAATTTCAATCATATAGGGAGAATTGTGGAGAGCAAATAGTAACTCTTTAGGTAATTGAAATCTGTAGAAAAGTCTTATGAAAAAAGGAAGCAACTGATAGTTCATAGCAGTGAGTAGGGCTCTTCAATTTATGCTTCAAGAGACTATTTTCTCTGTTTTTATTTATTTTTATCTCAGTGCTGGAAAGTTCTTGGTTTAAGCCTTCAACCAGCAACTCCAGAGAGCTTTTCAATCTTGAATTTGCTAATACTCAGACCATGTTATGATGGATTTTATTCTTCCCTCTAAGCTAAGCAGTGTAATTACAAAGCCAGCCCACTTTTTTTTTTGTTTGTTTTAAGAGAAAGTAACCCACTGTTCCTATGCTCTTTCTCATGATTACTGACATTGGAAAAGGGAAAGAAACTGAGATTAATTAGATCAGAGATGTTCAAACATGTTAATAGAAAGCCCTTATTTAGAAAAAATCTTTATCAAGACCTCAATGGCAAAAACAGTTATATGTAGAACTACTCTGATAAAACACATAGTAGAAACTCCAGGTTATGTCAGACATATCTCCAAATTCATGATGCCAAACAACCCCTTTTTGCAAACCCCTTAAGTTTGCAGGTGACACTTAACCCTTACAGTGACTAAGGTCTTGCCAATGTTCTAGAGAGAGCGTAAAGTCTAGGGAGGGGTATCTTAAAGTCAAGATCAATGACTTTTTGAACAATGCCTAGATTTTCCCAAGCTTTATTAGACATGGAAATCAGCAGTCTCTTGAGCAAGTTTCTAAGTGAGTGCAACACCATTCTTCCACAAAGATGCCTAAAAGGAACTCAGACCCAAGGGAACAAATGCAGGAGCAAGATCAGAAGGGGCTGCCCTTCACCTCCTCTGGTAATGCTCTAGAGAAGTGTTCAAAAAACTTTTTTGTGAAGGGCCAGATAGTAAATATTTCAGGCTTTTAGTGCCATGTGGACTTTTTTGCATCTGCTCGACTCTGCCAGTTAGCACAAAAACAGCCACAAGCAACATGTCAACTTGGCTGTGTCTCAGGGAAACTTAATTTACTAAAATAGTACATGGACTTGGTTTTGCCCACAGGATCCAGTTTGTCTATTCTTGCTCCACAGCAAGACTGTTTAATAGAACTTTTTGTGATAAAATAAATGTCCTGTATCTGAGCTATCCAATATGGTAACTGCTAGTCACTTGTAACTATGAGCACTTGAAATTTTTAATTTCATTTTTAATGTTATGCTATTTTAATTAATTTAAATTTCATTTTTAATATACACATGTGGTTAGTGGCTACCAGATTGGACAGTACAATTCTAGATCAGATGATCTAGCTAAGTTCAGTGCCTAATGTTAAATGCCTATGTTCCTACTTTTTTGGTTCCCAAAACTTTATTTCTTAGAATACTGAAAATAATTTTATTTATACTGAGGGTTATTTTGTCTTGTGGTGGCTCTACTAACAGTTCAACTAGGATTCTACAGATCAGTTGATTTGCAGTTTTCTTCAGTTAGATTAACGCACAATATTTTGGAGCTGAATTAAAAAGTATAATTTCATTCATTATTCAACCAATATTTTATTTGAGTCTACTATGCACCAAACTCTCCACTGTGTGCTGAACTTATAACTATAAATTAGGTGGGCATGAACCCTACTCCTACAAAACTTTTATTTTTCAGAAACATGGCATATTTTGTTTATTTTTTCTTTTATATTCATTGATATAGTTTTATAGTTTTCTTTGCATAGGTTCCTTACATGTTTTGTTGAATTTGTTCTAAGATATCTACTTATTTTGTTTCATTTTTTGATTATGTGTAGCCTTCTTTTAAATACCGAGGCGGGCGGATCACGAGATCAGGAGATTGAGACCATCCTGGCTAACGTGTTGAAGCCTGTCTCTACTAAAAATACAAAAAATAATAATAATAATAATAATTAGCTGGGCATGGTGGCAGGCGCATGTAATCCCAGCTACACGGGAGGCTGAGGCAGGAGAATCACTTGAACCCGGAGGGCAGAGGTTGCAGTGAGCCGAGATTGTGCCACTGCACTCCAGACTGGGCGACAGGTGACAAAGCCAGACTCTGTCTCAAAACAAAACAAAACAAAACAATAACAACAACAAAAACAAAAACAAATAAATACTATTTTCTATGCATTTATTGCTGAAATATAAGGATGCTATTGATCTGTGATTATTTACCTTGCATGTAGTTGTCTCTCTGAAATTGTATCCTTTGAGGACTAGGAAAGTCTAGTTGTCAATGGACATAAGAATATTATTTTAACAGTAATAGATATATGAATAATCTATCCCTACATAACTTGAAGCTGTGAGTGGAGTTTGGTAAATTTTCAACTAGAGTAAAAGATGAAAGCAAATGAACTGTCTAAATTTTCTAAGAAAAAATATTTTTTAATAAGAAAAAAATTAAACATAGTGAAGTTTTCTGAATGTTGTCAAGAAACAGGAATAAACAAAATGGGAAAGCAGACAACTGTGGACTAATATCAACAAACTTTTGGAAGCTAGAACACAAATGTCATCAGCTCTCCTATCTCTTTTCAAAGTGCTTTTCAAGTGCTGGCAGAAGGGATGCCAAATATTCTGATCTAAGCTGCTGATAAAACAAACAAAATACTTACTGTACCTCAGAAGTTAAACTGGGGACTGCTGCTGAAAATAAAGGTGGTGTTTTAAAAGTCTGCACAATGTGCTGGTATGTTTCCATCCCTCCTTTCCTCTTGTGAATCTTGGATGCCACCTGTCCCGGAACAGCACTAGACATTAGAAGCTTATTCTGAGAATATATTGTACCAGAGATGCTCTAAATTCAGGACATCAAACACAACAGGAGTTAAGGGAGCCTGCCATATTGAGAGGAATGAGTGAAGGTCTTTCTAACTGAATGGGGAGACCAACAAACCCTTCTCATACTCACACCTAATAAAGCTAGTTATTGGGCTTATGTCTCTACCCTTTCATGCCACACTGAATATTGAAACTGTTCAATTTCTCCCAAGACAAAATTTCTAGAGAAACCCTATTGATATGACACTTGTTAGGAGTCCATCCAAAAAGCTTGCAGGATCTGATCAGGTATCCAGTGGAACTGTAGAAGAAAAACACAGGGCTCCAGAAGAGATGGCTCCAGGAAGACAAAGTATTAGATTTTTTTAAATTGTGCAATCACTTGCTAAAAATTATTTAATTATTTTTAATTGACAGGGAATAATTGTATATATTATATATTTATGGGGTACAACGTGATGTGTGTATATATATATATAGAAATATATGATTAAATCAAGCTGATTGACATAAGAAATACTACTTAGATTAAATTTTTAAAAATTGAGGAAGGCAAGTATGCATTTTCTATTGGCTGAAACTCAGCAAACCGATATTCTAAATTGACTAAAAGAGTTTTAATAAATCAATGAATAAGAAAATATACACTGTATTATTAAAAAGAAAGGATTAAACCACACAGGACACAAATTCAAAAATATTAGAAATAGAAACACTAAAATAAATGTGAACATAAACATGCATGAAGAAAAATGATTTGCCATATGTGTTAGAGTGTCAAGGATTTATTAGACTTACTGAGATCATCACTGCCACTAGAGATATTTGGGTGTCACCACTATGACTAATATTTACTAAGCAAAGTAGGAAGTTGATAGGCTATTTATACCACAGTTTATATTACACCAAATTCTTAAGGGTTTGTTATCTCAAGTCTTACTTTTGGATATTTACATACTATTTTAAAGACATTAGCCTATTTTCAGGATGAGAGATTTTTTATGTTTGTTTTTATTATTGCCATTGACTATTACTTTAATGGAATTTGTTTATGATTTGTAAAATATTGTTGTATCTTTATAAATGTTTTTTCTCTTATCCCATTCTAGATAATATTTTCTTAGCGGCTAGTCATTTTCAAATCGCTTTGGGAAATATGGGTTATTTGCTGATGTTTCTCAACAGTGGCTTCCTTTAAATTTGTTTTGCCAAAATGATCCTTCTACTCTGCAGGAAAACTTCCAAACTCCTTGACTCAAAAAGTCATTTGCAGTAAAGTGATTTTCTGTAGTAGTATGTTTTGATTCCTTGCTTTTTATTTTCTGTGTATCTATTTTATGTTTCCGTTTTGTTGTTATCATGTGGCTTATGAAAAGCATCTTATACTTGCAACAGGTTATTTTATGCCAATTACAACTTAATTGCAAAAATTCCCTAAGCTATGCACTTTTACTTCACTGTCCCCACCTCACTTTGAACTTTTAATGTCACAATTTACATCTTTTTGTATTGCATATCCCTTAAAAATTGTTGTGAACTGGTCACAGTGGGATGTACCTGTAATACCAGCTACTCGGGAGGCTACGCAGAAGGATTGCTTTAGCCCAGGAGTTTGAGACCAGCCTGGGCAACATCATGAGACCCCCCCCCATCTCAGTTTTTAAAAAATATTGTGGTGATTACAATTTTTAATAGTTTTGATTTTTAACTTTCATACCAAAGATATAGGTAATTTTTATATCATCATTATAGTATTAGAGTATTCTGAATTTGACTGTGTCCTTAATTTACCAGTGAGTTTTTATGCTACTTATGAGCCACCTTTCCTTTCAGCTTGAAGAACTCCCTCTAGCATTTATTCTAAGGCAGGCCTAGTGATGATGAGCTCCCTCAGCTTTTGTTTGTCGAAAAGTCTTATCTATCCTTCATTTCTGAAGGACAGCTTTGCTGGATGTAGTATTTTTAAACAACAAACAAAGACAGTAAGAAAGAAGAAATTGAAGAAACTATACAAAACAACTAGAAAACAGTGAACAAAATGGTAGTAGTAAGGCTTTACCTATCAATAATTACCTTGAGTGTAAATGGATTACATTTTTTCCAATCAGAATACATAGGGTGGCTGAATGGATAAAAAAACAGAACACAACAAAACTATGTGCTGCCTTCAAGAGACTCACTTCACCTATAAGGGCACACGCATAGTCTGAAAGTGAAGGGATAAAGAAAGATATTCCATGCAACTGAAAATCAAAAGAGAGCAGAGTAGGTGTACCTAGGTAAAATAGACTTTAAATTACAAGCTGTAAAAAGAGACAAAGGGCATCATATAATGATAAGGGGGTCAGTTCAGCAAAAGGACATCACATACATATGTGTATATATATATATATTTGTACACACATAACATATTATATATATATATACATAACATATTATATATATATATGCACCCAACATAGAAGCAACTAAATATAAAAAATCAAATATTAATAGATTTGAAGAGAGAGATAGACTGCAATACGATAATATTGGGGAACTTCAATTCTCAACTTTCAGCAATGTACAGATTATCCAGACGGAAAACCAGCAAGGAAACATCGGATTTAAGCTACACTCTAGACCAAACACACCTAAGAGACATAAGCAAAACATTTCATCCATTCGCCACAGAATACACATTCTTCTCAACTGCACATAGATATCACCTCACTTCTGGTAGAATGACTATCATAAAAAAGACGAAAGATATCAAGTGTGGGCAAGGATGTGGAGAAAAAGAAACCCTTGCACATGCTGGTGGGAATATAAATTAGCTCGGCCATTATAAAAAGCAGTATGGAGATCCCTCAACAAATTGAAAATAGAACTACTATGTGATCCAGCAATTCCAGTGCTGAGAATATTTCCAAAAGAAATGAAATCAGTATATTGAAAATATATCTATACTCCCATGTTTATTGTAGCACTATTCACAATAGCCAAGACATGAAATCAACCTAAGCGACCATCAACAAATAACTGGATAAAGAAAATGTGGTATATATACATGATTGAATACTATTCAGCCACAAAGATAAGGAAATCCTGTAATTTGCAACAACATGGATGAACTTGACAAAATCATGTTAAGTGAAATACTCTAGGCACAGAAAGACATACTGCATGATCTCACTTATATATGAAATCTAAAAAAAGTTTATTTCATAGAATTAGAGAGTAGAATAGTGTACTGGAAGAGTGGGGTGGTTAAGGGGAAAGGGGATTTTAGGAGATATTGGTCAAAGGATACTTAATTACAGTTAAATAAAATAAAGAAATCTGTTATACAGCATGGTGACTATAGTTAATGACAGTATATTATTCTTGAAAAATGCTAAGAAAGTGGGTATTAAATGTTCTTATTACAAAAATGATAACTATATGAGGTAATGCATTTGTTAATTAGCTAAATTTAACCATTCCTATTGGAATTATATATAATTATTTACCAATTTTTTTCTACCATTAATCTATGGCACTCTTTAATTATTCCTATAGGAATAAATTTAGCTAATTAACAAATGCATTGTATTATTATAATGTTCTATTATATTACAGTAATAATGTATTATATATATTATTCCTATTATAGGAATGATTATATTTAGCTGTTTAACAAAACATTAAATTATACATGATAAATACCCACAATTATATATGTTAATTAAAACATAATTTGAAAACAAAGTCATTTTCTTTGGGAGTAACTATTCTAAAACCAATTTTAGAATAATTTATGACTTTTTAGATTTGCATAGTTTGTATTAGTTACCTGGAACATCTAGACCCTACTCGTTTGCTGGACAAAGATTTGCCCAACCTTCAAAATTCAGCTAAAACACCACCTTCTCTGTGAGGTTCTCTGTGGAGTTTGTGCTTTCTTTCAGGTATTGCCCTGACACCTGCACCTTAAATGCGCACTGAAACAAGGATGCCAGGATGCAAATTTCCTGGAAACTTGAAATTGGGACATAATATCTGTTGGAATCCCTAATTTAGGTTTGACATAAAACTAGTGAAGTGGTGTCTGTATCTATTTAGGCATAAGTGCATCAAGAAAAGTGAATAACAGAGAAAGAGAGGAATAAAGTCAACTTATAGAAACAGAAAATGCCAGTACTTTGGGAGGCTGAGGTGGGTGGATCACCTGAGGTCGGGAGTTCAAGACAGTCTGGCCAACATGGTGAGACCCTGTGTCTACTAAAAATACAAAAATTAACTGGGTGTGGTGGTGGGCATCAGTAATCCCAGCCACTCGGGAAGCTGTGGCAGGAGAATCGTTTGAAATGGGGAGGTGAAGATTGCAGTGAGCCGAGATCACGCCACTGCACTTCAGCCTAGGAGACAGAGTGAGACTCCATCTCAAAAAAAAAAAAAAAAAGGAAAAGAAAAAGAAAGAAAGAAACAGAAGACAGAACCTCAGGGTGAGCAGGTGAGTGACCGAGAGAGAAAGAGCCCACAATATGGATAATTTTTCTGCCTCAATTCTTGGTGACCTTTTTAGAATATGGCAGTATTACTCTGGATTTCATAAAATGTGCTTCTATCTATGCAATAAAGTATCTGCCTCATTCAAGCCACCTTGAGTAATTTTTGTTTTGAAATCAAATAATCTCCCATTTCCAATCATATATACCACCTAGTAGAGGAAGTGCTCTTGCGTCTGTACTATTTTAATAGTCTGTGCTTCTTCCATTTCTGTAGTATGCTGTAATTATTTGCTGGTTTCTTCTCTCATTAATCTATGACACCCTCAAATTAGGACCACAATTCATTCATTCTTACACTGTCAGCATCCAATATATCACTGACCTTTAGTAGATATTCAATCAAGATGTATTGAATGACTGAATAAATGCACTCTTCATTCTATAACAAATTTCATTTTTGGGCAATAATAATAATAGAGCCTGTAATTAATCATTATAAAATCTAGTAACTCAGACGGGTGGCAGAAAGCTTTTAGAAGTGCTTGCTCTTCCTCCCCTGAATTTTCTCAGGTTTTGAATGCCTAGATAGTTGCTTAATGGAATTTCTACTGTCTTCTCTGATAGTTTTGTAGTTCCCACAAATTAACTTCAGATTATCATTGTTATCTGTTGAATCTCTCTGGTAGCAAAGCATTCATCTATGCAATCTGCTTCTTTAAAGCGTAAGGCAGAAGTATTTATAATAAAAAGCACATCACAATAAAGGAGATGACAGATAAGCATGTAAGTATCTTCTGCTTCCCTTTTTAAAAACATTCATTGAAAGTTTTTCTAAAAGATGCAATATTTGTGTGAGCTTTCCTCTCTCAGTTGAGTATGGACTAGGTAATTTCCTGAGTCCTATTGCATTGGGGTTGGTCATCGGCCAATAAAAATCTCTGGTTTCTACTAGATAAAAGTTTTGATTTTCTCCTTTTTTACCCCTCTGTTCTTCTTCCTGTTGTTTCTTCTTTTCTGCTTATCATTGTAGTATGATATGCATTCAGAAATTTGTAGGTAAGTATAGAGTTCGGTGACTTTTTGCAGGCTGAACACGCTTGTGCAACCAGCATCCAAGAAGCCCACTTCCTGCTGCATTCTTGTCACTACTACTCCACTTCCAAGGGGAACCAGCATCCTAACTTTTTTTTGAGACAGGGTCTCACTCTTTCATCCAGGCTGGATTGCCATGGTGCTATTACAGTTCACAGTAACCTCAAACTCCTGGCCTCAAGCTATCTTTCCACCTCCATCCCCTAAGCAGCTGGAACTACAGGTGCATGCCACCACATCTAGCTAATATTGTGTGTGTGTGTAAAGATGTGTCTCATTATGTTGCCCAGGCTGCTTTTTGGTTAAAAAATTATTGTACATATTTATAGAGTACACACGATGTTTGATACATGCATACAATGCATAATCATCAAATCAGGGTATTTAGAATATTCATCACCTTGAATATTTATTATTTCTTTGTGTTGAAAACACTTCAGATCTTCTCTTCTAGCTATTTTGAAATATATAATATATTATTAACTATAGTCACTCTAGTGTGTTATGGAATAATATAACTTATTTCTTCTATCTAACTGTCTGTTTGTACTATTAACAAACCTCTCTTCATACTCACATCTTTCCTAGTTTCTGAAACCTATCATTCTACCCTCTACCTCCATAAGATCCAATTTTTATGCTCCCACATATAAATGAGGGCATGTGATATTTGTCCTTCTGTGCCTGACTTATTTCACTAATGTAAAGACCTCCACTTCTATCCATCTTGCTGCAGATTTATAATATTTCATTTTTATAGCTAAATAGTATTTTATTGTGTGTATATCACATTTTTCTTTATTCATTTGTTGATGGACACTGAAGTTGATTCCATATCTTGGCTCTTGTGAATAGTGCTGCAATAAACATGGAGGTACAGTTATCCCTTTGATATACAGATTTCCTTTCCATTGGATAAATACTCAGTGGGGATTGCTGAATGGTATGATATTTCTATTTTTATTTTTTTGGGAAACCACCATACTGTATTCCATAATGGTTATACTAATTCACATTCCCACCAACAGTATAGAAGAGTTCCCTCTTCTCCAATCCTCACCAGCATTTGTTATTTTTTGTCTTTTTGGTAATAGCCCTTGTTACTGGGGTAAAAGGATGTCTCATCATAGTTTTGATTTGATTTTTTCTGATGATAAGTTATGTTGAACATTTTTTTTCATATACCTGTTGGCCATTTGTATATCTTCTCCTGAGAAATGTTTATTCAGAATCTTTGCCCAGTTTATAATGAAATTTTTTTAGGGCTTTTTTTTTCTTTTGAGTTGTTTGAGTTCTCTCTATGTTCTGGATAATAGTCTCGTGCTGAATAAATAGTTTGCAAATATTTTCTACCATTTACAAGTTGTCTCTTAACTCTTTATTGTTTCCTTTTTTGTGAAAGAGCTATTTAGTTTAATATAGTCCCATTTGTCTATTTTGGGTTCTGTTGCCTGTGCTTTTGAAATCTTAGCCATAAAATTGTTGCCTAGGCCAATGTACTGCATCAATTTTTCTATATTTTCTTTTAGTACTTTTATAGTTTTGGGTTTTACATTTAAGTCTTTAATACATTTTAAGTTGATTTCGGTATGTGGTGAGAGACAGGGCTCTAGTTTCATTCTTTTACATGTAGATACCCAATTTTCCCAGCAGCATTTATTAAACAGGGCATCCTTTCTTCAATGTAAGTTCTTAGTGCCTTTGTTAAAAATCAGTTGCCTGTAAATATGTGGATATATTTCGGGATTCTCTAGTCTGTTCCACTGGAGTATGTGTCTGTTTTTACACCAACACTATGCTGTTTTGTTTACTATAGATTTATAGAATATTGTGAAGTAAGGTAAAGTGATACCTCCAGCTTTGTTCTTTTTACTCAGCATTGCTTAGGCTATTTGAGGTTGCTTGCGGTTCCATACAAATTTTGAGGGTTTTTTTTTTCTATTTCTGTGAGGAATGTGTTTGGTATTTTGATAGAGATTGCTTTTAGTAGTATGATCACATTAACAATATTAATTCTTCTTATCCATGAGCATGGTCTATCTTTCCATTTGTGTCCTCTTCAATTAGTTGCATGAGTGTTTTATAGTTTTTCTTGCAGAGGTCAGTCATCTCCTTGGTTAAATTTATTTACAGTTATTTTATTTTTTGGTAGCTATCGTGAATGGGATTGCTGTCTTCATTTTACTTTCAGCTTGTTCATCATGCATAAAAACGCTATTGATTTTTGCATGTTGATTTTGTATTCTGCAACTTTACTGAATGTGTTCATTAGTTCTAGGAGTTTTTTGTTGATCTTTAGGTTTTTCTGTATATATGATCATGTCATCCAAAAGAAGAACAATTTGACTTACTCTTTTTCAATTCGAGTGCCTCTTATTTAATTCTCTTGCCTGTTTGTTCAGGCTAGAATTCCAATACTGTATTGAATAGGGGTAGTTAAAGTGGGCATCCTTGTCTTTTTCCCATTTTTAAAGGAAAGGTTTTCAGATTTTTCCTATTCACTATGATGTTAGCTGTAAGTTTAAAATATATGGCCTTTATTATGTTGAATTATTTTCCTTCTATGCCTAATTTATTTACACTTTTTATGAAGGGATATCGAATTTTATCAAATGCTTTTATTGCTTCTATTGAGATAAAATGTTTTTTGTCCTTCATGATGTTGATGTGATGTATCAAGTTTATTGATTTGCATATGCTGAACTATTCTTGCATTCCTGGGACAATTTCATTTAATCATGGTATGTTGTGTTTTTGATGTGTCATTGAATTGAGTTTGCTAGTATTTTGAGAAGTTTTGCATCTGTTTATCAGGGATATTGGCTTGTTGTGTGTGTGTGTGTGTGTGTGTGTGTGTGTGTGTGATCTGGTTTTGGTCATAAGATAATGCTGGCCTTGTGGAATGAGTTAGGAAGAATGCTGTCTTTTAAAAAACGTTAAGAATAATTTGAGAAGAATTGGTGTTAGTTCTTCTTTATAAGTTTGGTAGAATTCAGAAGTAAAGCCTTCTGGTCCTGGGCCATTTTTTTATTGGGAGACTTTTTATTACTTATTCAATCTCATTGCTCATTATTGGTGTGCTTATGTTTTCTTTTTCTTTCTGGTTTAATCTCAGTAGATTGCATGTGGCTGGGAATTTGTCCATTTCCTCTAGGTTTTCTGATTTGTTAGCATAACCACCGTTCTTATTTCTAACAGCATAGCATACTTTGCCTGTTTTTGTACTTTATATAAACAGAATTACATAGTACACAGTCCTTCATGTCTGCTTTTGTTTGCTCAATGTTTTGTTATGAGGTTCATCCATGGTGTTGTTTGGAATATGATTTGCTGTGCTCATTGCTATATAGTACTCCTTGTATTAATACGCCATAATTCACATATATATTCTACTATTTACTAGCATCACAGGACTGCTATGCATAATACTGGTATAAACAATTTTGATACATGTTTTCATGCTTGGTTCTTAAAAAATTTATCTGAAGTCCCCCAAATGACCCAAACACTTTGCATCAACATAATAACCACTCTAAAGAAGACATGCAGTGCTTAGGTTTTTACACACTTCTGAGTGAAATGTATTGCTTGAGGAAACTTCCTGTCCTATCTTTCTCAGTCAGGGAAAAAACGTGTGCTCTGACCCCAGATTTAATAGGCCACTAGAGGATTCTGATTCTCAAATATCACCCTTTCAGATGATGCACAAACTGATAAGCGACAAAGAGAGTGCTTCTCACAAAGCCAAATTATCTGTGGTTGAAAAAGCAGGCAGAATATGACAGCTTAGAAGGAATGAGGCTTTAGATAAGGGAATAATCTATGGCTCTGTTCTTTTTGGCCTTCCTGCCATGGGGAACGAGATTGAGCTCTCCCCCTCTTCCCTGTCACCGTCTCTATCCAATTCTAACCATGTATACGTCAAGTAGGCATCCCCCAAAACTAAGCACAAACAATGAAGAATGACTTCCTGATGTTATACGTTTTGCTAGTCATGAATCACTCACTCATCCCTTATTTGGATAAGATAAAACTCCCGTCTTTCAAACTCCTTTAGAATTAGATTAGGGGAAGAGGATGAATTTTAAGGAGAAATCTCAAAATATTATCCACAATGGCTCTTCTCAATGAGATATGATGGGAGGTAGTGATAACTTTGAGTTCTTCTACTAGAATTTCCTGGACAACTTGTTCAAGGTGCAGAATTAGGGCTCCATCTCAGTCAATCAGACTTACGCCCTTAAGACCCCCATGTTCCCAGGGTTTTTATTTGCTTAACCTTGGCTATCCTACTCCCTTGGCTTGGGACACCCACTTGTGGTATCTTGCCAAGTAAGAAACTACTGGCATCTACAGCAACAGTATCCAGTAGGAACATAATGTGAGTCACAAATGTGAGCCGTAAAGCAAAATGTATCACATTAAATACACTAAAAAGAAACGAGTAAACTTATTTTTGATGATATATTTTATATAACTCAATATATCTAAAATATTGTTATTTCAGTATATAATAAATTTAAAAATTATTAATTTGCATTCTTTTATTTATAATAAGTTTCCACAATCTGGAGTTTATTTTATGCTTACAGAGTATTCAATTCTCCAGTTACAACTCAGACTAGTTACATTTCAAGTGTTCAACAGCCACACAGAGCTAGTGGCTACTGTACTGGGCAGCACAGATATAAATAATCTAATAAATAGCCTACATAATCAGACAAAAATGATCAAGTAAATGAATTACTAAACAAATAAGTAGATAAGTGAAAGTAGCTTCCCTCAGATTCTGCATTTGTTATTTATCCTCTATATGTCTTCATTTTTTATCATTAGTGGTGGGTTTGTGTTGTAAGTTTGTGAGGGAAAGAAAGACTGGGACAAAAGGAGAAAATGTGACCAAATTTTAATTATTTCAAAGTCCTCTTATTTGTTGCCTTTTTTGTTTGTTTGTTTTTATTCTTGAATTTTTTCTTAATGAATGAAGAAAATGAGAAAGAAGGAAAGGAATGAAGAATAAAGGAAGGAAGGAAGGAAGAGAAGAACTTGCATTAGAAGTTGAAGGAAGACTTATTTTATTTAATCCAGTTTAATTAGAGCAGTGGCTTTTTAACTATAGTGTGCCTCATACTCATAGTGATCTGGGGAATATATTTGGAATGCAATAGTATGAGCCCCATCCCAGAAAACAAATGGAATATGGCAGAATTGGGATGAGCACTCTAACAAATACTCTGGGCAGTTCTTATGTAGCTTGTGCAGGTAATAATTTTAGGAACATGGGTTAGAAACAGTCTAGGACTGGCCAATAAGATATGTTTGGTAAGTAAATGTTCCTCTTAGAGCAAAAATATTAATTTCATGGTCTGACAGAAGAATCAGCTGTCATTGAAACAGACATTGTCTCTCATCTTTGAAACTTACTGAGCAACATTTAAACGCACTTTGGTCCTAGCAGGCTCAATCAGAGATACCACTGTCAAAAAGTTCTTCACCTTAAAAAGCCAATGAGAAGCATGGACCTATGGATACCCCCACTTTCACACAGCTAGGTGTCTTATCACTACACATGCCCCTGAGCCAACTCTAACTCAAGATACACACCCTGTAAGGGAGGTACCAAGGTAGAGCTGTGGAGGTGCAGAGGACAGGAGGAGGCTCAGGAAGGCTTTTTGCAGTAGGCCCCACTGGACGTGTGTCTTGGATGGTGGAGAGGATTTCATCAGGTGAAGACGGGAGGGACATTCTAAGCAGAGGTTTGCAATGGAAAAACTTAAGAACATCTAGGAAAAGTTTTCAGAGTGTCAGGGGAACAGAGTAGAAGTTAAGTATTAACTCATCATGAGGAAAGTCAAATTTTCTCGGGTCCACATTTAGATTAAAGGTTGTAAAGGTTTTACATATACAGGGGAACCATTTGTTGCAGTTTGTACCAGACAGTTCTACTTTGTGCTCCTTGTCACAATAAACTTATTAATAGTGTCCTCTTTATTCTCATGAGGGTCCCATTTTAGATGTAAATTATATGGCCACTGTATTGTGGTATAATGATTTTCTCTCCAGTAATGTCTCAGGAGACCAGGGAGAGGGAGAAGTTAGAGACTTATCCAGTGAAACCTAAAATATAGTTAAAGCCCATATAAAATGTGTACTGGACCAAAGTCACTAAGACAAAGGAGCTGACCCTTTTATAAACACTTCATGAAGAACAAATTATTTAACCTCTGTAAGTCAATTTTCTCTTCCTTAAAGTTTGAATAACAATAATTTATAAACCCCTAATACCTTTTCCAAAAACCTTGGGACCAGACAAATTTTGAAATTTAGGATTTTTCAGGAAACCTTCTTTTTTCAGATTTTAGAAAGGTAATTATATACCTTCCTTCCCATGATATACAGCACCCAGTAATCATCACAGCACTGTTTCTGCAGTAAATGTATGAATATGCACACAAAGTGGGATAATAAGCATTTTTAGCTTCACATCAGTTCTAGTCATGTTTTGCCACAAATAGGTTTGTCACAAAGGTGGTGGGGAGAATAAGTTATTTTGTTTTGTTTTAAGAGCCCATTGTATGTTAAAATTGCTAATAAGGGACTATGGAATTTTATTTTACTCACAGAATGAAAAATATATTAAATTAGGTTTTTCATGTAAAGTGCTTAGCAGAATGTTCAAGGAAGGCAAACTACTAACAATGCTTATTATTGTTATTTCCTCGAGATCCCAGAGAAAAAGTTGTACAAGTTGATCTTCAGCTGTTACTCGATAGTGAATATTACTCTTTGTCTCTGCTCTGAATCACAGACTTTTCCTCAAATGATCTCAGTCTCACAACTTCATCATCCATCAATCAGGATGAGCAGTGACCCTCCATTGGCTCCCTGAGTCCACACTCCCTAATGTGATAAAGTGAAAATAAATAGGGCCTTATGCAAATTCTATTAAAATCCAATCAAGGAAAATGAACTGCAGACATCTGCTCTTCCCTGTCAGTGTCATTTGAATGTTTTTTCCTGGTCTTAAAATAAAAACAAGAACAAAACAAAAATTAAAAGCAAACAAAAAAAGATTGTTTTTGTTTCTTGAGTGCCTGCCAGGCTAGCATTCAAGCATTTGATCCACTAAATAACTATTTGAACAAGAGCAGTGGAAAAGTAAACAGTAAGGTGAAGGGGACACAGGCTATATATTAGCTGGTTCTTTTTTTCTCATTCAAAAATGTATTGTTGGTGAGCTCACTTTTCTTTCAGATAACAGTGAAACAGTGGTTTGCATCTGTTTGAAAATGGTGGTCCAGCTTTGTATTGAAACCTATAAACCATGAGTGAAAAGAAAGTCATTTTGAATATCAAGAAAAAAATAAAAACACATCTGACTGGGTCTACCTGGGTCAAGTAAATATCTGATCGGTTAATCTGTGTTGTCTTCCCCAACTAGGAGAGGCTTGTATTCTATTTCTCCATACTTCACCTCTGTAGGGTTATTGTGTGATTTCTCCAGCCAATGAACATTCAGGTTTCCAGTGATGTGTGAAAACCACAACAAGCCACAGTCCAGTCCACATTAGTCACTTCTGAGAGGATGAACACTCTGGACACTATGACCCAGGTATGCTGTTGGCACAGTTGTTTTCTCCATTCTGGACTGAATATCTACTCAGGGCAAACTGAACGCTCAGATCGCACTGATTGGACCCAGTATGTGGACTGGTCTGAACTAGTATAAGTTTGCCTTATTCCAATGTTTCAGACTAGTGAGTGATGGCCCAGATACACTTAACACTACAAATCCCAGTTAAGAAAACCAATACTTTGATTTCTCCAGCTACGTGGACAACTGAGACACATGTCCTATTCCACATACTCCAATGACGTTGTCCTCATTGACTTTCACATTCTTATCAGCCAGGGTAAATTTACATTTAGACACTCATCACATGGAACCACAGATCAGCTTCTCTCTCTCACCCAGCACTTTATCTCAAGACTTCAAGACCCCTCTGCTAGTCTAGCCCAAGGTATTTCCCAAAGGAAAGTGGATTGAATTAAGATGGCTAGGAGTCCCCAGTAGCTAACTTCTTTCTTTTATTTACAACCCGAGACTCATCTGAGATAGTTAAACAAAATCCATCCATTTCCTTCTAAGACTTACATGAGCTTCTTGGTTTGTCACAGGGAGAGGTGCAGGCCATTTATGTTTCATCTTAAGGGATTGACCGTTGAAAACAGTAAGCATTGTGTCTAAGAAGAATGGGATTATGATTTGTGCTTATAATAAAATATAAACAAATTAAGAAAACAGTAATGTTTTAATAATAACTGTTAAGAGATTCTTAAATGGCTTATGTTATTCTGGGTAGAGCTGGTTCAATTTAATAACATAATATGGATAAATCAAGAAAATAGAAAGGCAAACACAAAACACCAGTATTTATTTAATAGTTGGCTTCTGTTCTACCCAAATTATTAAATTACCTGCCCTAGTTCACCAATTCGCTTCTTTGGAGTAAACATATTTTTTGTCAAAGTAAATGATCTGCCAAAATGTGAGTAGTTATAAATCCATTTAGCAAAAATCCCCTGTGAAGGCTTAATAACTGGTTTCCATGATTTCTGTGCAACAGGGTAGAAAAACCCTCTTTTATTTTAGTGCCCCTTAAACAAGATTCCAGTTTAATGCTGAAGAATTGTGTGGGGAGAGAAGCATGATTTTTGCACCCAGGGGACATTTGACAATGCCTGAAATTGTTTTTTTGGTTGCCAAAACCAGGGTTCTAGGGGAGGGTGCTACTGGCATCCTACAATGTACAGAACACCCCCTATAACAAAGAATCATCTGGCCTTAAATGTAAATAGTGCTAAAGTTGAGAATTCCTGTTGTTAAATAATAAAATAAAATGTAAAAATTTCATGACTGGTTCTCTAAACAAATATTATAACAATACAATGACTTCCATCTACTACATGGCCGTGGAGTAACTATTAGTCTTTTCAGAAATGGAAAAGAGACACAAGAGAAAGCACCAATAGCAAGAAGTGTGCTAAGACGTTTGCAAACCTTTTCTTAGTAATTCACATTACAAACCTCCAAGACAGAGATGTTAATATGTTCATTATATAAATGAGGAAGCTGAGACTCAAAAAGATTAAGAAATTTGTCAAAGTTTACAGTAAGCAGTTGGCAAATCCTGTTTTTGAAGATAATGCCTTCATCGACTAAGCTGCATTGCTGCATATCAGCAGAGAGGATAGAGTTACTGGACTCTGGCAGGATGCGTGATTGGTATGCTCCAATTTCCAGAGCAGAGAGATATTTGTCTGATAGCCCTGTGGGATCAGGGGTGTTCACTTTGTGAATGAGAAGATATCTCTTTGGAAAACTCTGCCTAATGTCCAACATCATGGAAAATCACCATTTTGCCATGATACTCAGGTAGAATAGTTGGTCCTGTGTATGGTACAGTAAAGTATGTCATACAATCAATTTTAATTCTAACTGTATTACTTAATTGACCTCGGAATCATGATACTTAGCCTATCAGATTTAATTTTTTTTTTTTTTTTTTTTTTTGAGACAGAGTCTCACTCTGTCACCCAGGCTGGAGTGCAGTGGCACGATCTCGGCTCACTGCAAGCTCCACCTCCCGGGTTCACACCATTCTCCTGCCCCAGCCTCTCGAGTAGCTGGGACTATAGGTGCCCGCCACCATGCCCAGCTAATTTTTTTTTTTTAAATTTTTACTAGAGACGGGGTTTCACTGTGTTAGCCAGGATGGTCTCGATCTCCTGACCTCATGATCTGCCCACCTCGGCCTCCCAAAGTGCTGGGATTACAGGCGTGAGCCACCACGCCCGGCCCAGATTTAATTTTTTAATCTACAAACTGAGAATGATGATTACAGCTTCTGATTCTGATTCCATAATTCTGGGGTAACGGCTGAGAACTTGCATTTCTAAGTGATGCTTGGTGTCACTGTTGGAAGACTGTACTTTGAGAGTCACTGACTTAGGACATGAGGAATTAATTCTCCCTCATAACCTCAATTGAGAACTCCACAAATTCTAGCTGTTATTTTTTCTTCAATAACTGTTTAGCAATCTCACTATTTATATTTATTGTATTTATTTTCTGCCTCTTTGATAAAATTTGATGTAATACATTATCCTGTAGCATTTTGTTGGTTTGTATGTGTAAGGTACGCTGCTTTGTTTGCATAATGCTACATGCTTTAGCTTTGGAGTATTTCTCTTCTTCTGTTATTCCTTGGCAATATGGAGCATCTATAGCCATTTTGCCAGGCCACCTGCATCTTGGTCACACAAATTGCAGCAGGCATAGAATGTCCTCCTTTCTGGTTTCTGTTGTTTAATTTTCTTTCAATACACTGCGCCCAGAATCCAAAAAGCAGGAAGTACAGAAGGCCCAGCCACACTTCAATGCTATATATGCCTTTAACATCACTCACCATCTGTTTTTCCAAGAGGCTGAAACAAATTTTTGTTTTGCTTGACTTAATAGTCCTGGGCAGCAAAAAATAAGACCCATGCCAGAATGTCTTCCACTTAGTAGTCTCTTTAAAAAGGATGTCTAACTCAAGGTGTTTTTTTTTTTTTTTTAAATGACAAGAAAGATTGTTCCCATTTCCTACTTGGAATGGTCATGAGTGTGAAAGAGGGAAGACAAGGCTGAGAGCTGCTGCAAGGACTACTCAACCTCATTTTTAAAAATCCTATAATCCACCCATTCTTTCCAGGTCTAGCTAAAACTCCATAATATCTGTATCAATCAGGATCTAGCCAGAAAAATAAAATCAAGTAATTCAATTAGAAGGAATGCTGTATGGGGAATTAGTAAAAAGGCATTAGAAGAGCTAAAAGTGCATGTAGGAAAAGGAAAAGCAAACCAGACAATAGCAATTCCTAGAAGCTGTCATCAACCTCAAGTCTGAAGGGACAGAGGGAGGGGTGATGTAACCATGGCTTAGAGCCACTTGGCAGAAGCTAGAACTAGAAATGGACCAACCTAATGGGACTGGGAAGAACTGTGAAGTCACAGGTCTACTGCTCAAGGAATGAGATACTGCTCAAAAAAGAGAAAGGGAGAAATATCCTGGTTTATCTCATTTTTCCATCTTCCTCTCATCGTCTACCAGTGAGTACTTCCCATTGTCCCAACCTAGGCAGAAAAGGAGTCTGGGAAATGTGGTTTGCAGGGTCAGACCTCTCTGATTGACTATAAGGGATCTGAATGCAAAGAAGCAAATGGATGTCATAATGCCTCACCTATCAGTCTTTCATGTACTCAAAGTTAAAAGTAGCATTTATTAAACCAGTTATTTCATTCTGCTTTGACTCTAATTAGCTGGTAACTTATCTGTTGGATTTCATAAAATGCAACAGTTAATAGTAGGAAGTGCATGCTGCCTCACCGTTTACTGGTTCTGTGGCTTTCATCAAAAGACCTCTTTGAATCTTAATTCCACCATCTGTAAAATTCAGGTAATACTGTTACTATATCACAGGGTTGCTGTGGGGATTAAATAAGATAATGTTTATATGGCAGTTAGCACAATGTCTGGCACACAAACAACACTCATTATTAAGGGAACAGATCTTGTCTCATTTGTTTTATGTATTTTATAGCACTATGCACATCACAGACCCCTCAAATAGTAGTTGAAGACAAAAGTCAGTGATCTGTGACATCTACCTGTTTGCTTCACTTTCTGGCTAATTGTAATTTTTATAAACTGATTCTTGTTTATTCAAGAAGAGTTGGAGAAAGTATCAAGTGTATTGGGATATCTCAGCACTTCAGAAATGTTTCATACTTAGCCATCTTAGATAAAATTGAGTTTTAAAGTTGGAATTTTTCATAGTGGTTTGATCTTTAATGTGGAGCCTTTCAACAGTTCAAGTAAAATATGCCACTTGGATACCAATTATGTTGTCATTGCAGTTATTACTTTAGAAGAATAAGTCAATTTGCCTTTTGTTTGCCCTAAAAGAAAGCGCCAAGCAGGTCAAGTTGGTCATCACTTTATGTTATTTTGTTTGAAAAATGCACAGTGAGCCTGTTTGCAATGCAAAGCAATGAACATTTCTAATTTCAGCATTTCATTTTCTTAGGGTATCTGTGCTTGTCTAGAGTCATGTCACTTACACATTTAAGGCTGGTTTACAGCTTCAGAAGGGCTGAGCAACCTGTCTCATTTGTATAAAGATACATTGAAAGCAAGAAGGATCAAGGCACCACCCATCTTTTGGTTCTGGCAAATCCTTTCATTATTCATTTTGGAATGAGTTGGGGAAAAAACAACCCATTTTTGTTGTTTTATAGCTGATCATTGGCAACATGATGATAAATGGATTTAAAAGTCACCACAAAAATAAAAGAGTAAAAGTTGAATTTTACATTATTGAGTTATTAAGACAAATTCTAAAGCTAAAACATTATACTCTTTTTTATATTACCATATTCATCTAGATAAAAGTCTTATTTTTTATTCTAAATGCAACATTTTTAAGAGATTATATTTTGCAGTTTTAGAGAAAGGTCATTGAAAGGTGGAGAATGAACCACTAGAATAAGAAAGAGACATATAAAAGTCTTAAATTCAAGTAAACATTGTCTTGATATCTAAAATTTAGACTGTAGCATTGCATTCTACATACCATTTAGAGAGAGCCAGTTCCTGCATTTGAACTTAGATTCCGTAAAAGCATGTGAAGCATCATTAGAACTTTATGGCTATGTTGCTTTTCTTGATTTTTTTTTGTTTTCTTACAATAAAGAGACTGTCAGGCTCCCTGTGGCTTGAGTCCAAGGCTCACAACTTACAATATAGTCATGTACTGCACATCGATGTTTCAGTCAATGACAGACTACATACATAACGAAGTTCCCATAAGATTAAAATGGAGCTATGGAGTGGCTAAGATGGCCGACTAGAAGCAGCTAGTGTGTGTGCCTCTCATGGAGAGGAACAGAAAGGTCAAGTGAATACAACACCTTCAACTGAAACATTGAGGTACTTGCATTGGGATTAATCAAGGAAACAACCTGGTCCATAGAGAATGAAGGAAAACAAGAGAGGATAATGGCCTACCTAGGAACAATATGCAGCCAGGGGATCGTCCCTTGCCCGGGGAAGTAGTGAATGAATGAGTGATCCTAGGAAACCATGCTTCTCCAACCGATTTTTGCAACCCTCAGGGCAGGAGATCTCCTTGTGAAATCACTCCACCAGAGCCAAGTTTTCAGTCTGACAGACACAGTTATGTGGAGTCTCAGCAGAGCGGCTGCTCAGGCATGTGTAGAGACCCTACAGCCTTAGATATTCCGGCTTTCCAGGAAAAGTAGCTGCAGCTCCTGAAAAGTAGGAGGTTAGACTCCTGTACACACCCCTAGGAATGAGGCTAAAACCAGGTGGTTGAGTAGCAACAGCTCACAGACCCCACTTCCATGGCACCTCACAAGATAACAACTGGGTGGGAATTCCAGCCAGCTATGAGTAGTGGTATTGCACCCTCCTAAGAAGGAGCTCCCAGGGAGGGGGGCGGGCCACTATTTTTGCTGTTTGGGCACTTTAGCCATTCTAGCCTTCAGGCTTTAGAAAGTTAGAACCAATCTAGGGTGGAATGGATTCCCAAGCACAGCACAGCTCTTCTACCAGACAGTTGCTTTAAGCAGGGGTCTGATCTCATTCCTACTCACTGGGCAAGAACTCGCGAAAGGGGTCACCAGCCACCCCGACAGATGCCTTTGGGCCAGCAGCAGGTTTATACCTTCCTGGGACAAAGCTCCCAGCAGGAGGGACAGGCTGCCATCTTTGCTGTTTCACAGCCTTCACTGGTGATACGTCCAGATTCTGGAAAATCTGAGATGACTAGGAACTGGAGCAGCCTCAAGGATACTGCAGCAGCCCTGCAGAAAAGTGGCCAGAATGTTACCTGAGTGCCCATTCCCATCTCTCCTCTTTGGGCAGGTATTCCAGGCCTGGGCCTCCAGCCACCCACTGCCAGAGCTATTGAGCCAGCACCAACTCAGCAACTTTCTGGACAGAGCCTCCAGGGGGAACTTGAAAGCCTCTCTGCCACTGCCTCTGCAGTGGAACTGTGCTTGCCACCCTCAGACTAACGAAGAAGCAAAGACCCTAAGTGCCTTATCCACACCTTCAACAAGTAGAAGTTGACCCAAGGAGAGGAGGCCAGTCCATTTCCCGTGGGTCCCATACACCCCTCACAGCTTGTCATCAGACAGGGAACATCTGGCTTGGGACCACAGCACAAACCCTCCATCTTGGGCTGACTGCACCAAGTGATTGCTGATCTGCATCTGTCTGGGTGGAGTCCCCAGGAATCAAGCAAATGACCCTCGGCCACAACCACTACTAAGATCTCTTCTGCTGCCTCTAAGCTGGACAAGAAACATAAACACTTAGATTGCCCCAGAGCCATAGTAGGCAGCCCAGAAGTGTAAAGTTGTGAACTACAGCCGGGACTCAAGGAGGAGAGGAACCCACACTTTCAGAGAACTGAGAGGAAACACGGCTCCAACTATGAGGAAACCTAGGGGATCCACACAACTGAGCAAGAATCTACCAACTGACCAAAAATTCTAAGTGCCAGCTGCTGGATCACACCCCAAAGCTTCAACACCAAAAATACCTCACTAACATACCCCACTCTGAAATCAGATGCAAGAAGTCAGCTTGAAATAAAGACCCTGCAGAAAGCCTCAGCCTGGTGAAAACATCCAAAAAAGAAGTATATTGACTGCTCTCGGTCTACACTGAAGTTAAAAGAACATCCACACACAGAGATGAGGAAGAAAAATGCAAGAACTCCAGTAACTCAAATGGCCACAGTGTCATCTGTTCTCCAAATGACTGCACTAGTTCTTCAAGAAGAGTTCTTAACCAGGACTAACTGGCTGTAATGACAAAAATAGAATTTGGAATATTTCTATAGATAGGAGCAAAGATCATAAAGATTCAGGAAAATGGGAAAACCAATCCAAGTAAAATAAGAGTCACAATAAAGTCATACAGGAGCTGAAGGACAAAATAGCTAGTATAAAAAAGAAGCTAGTGGGTCTGACAGAGCCGAATAACACAATACAAGAATTTCACATGCAATCACAAGTATTAACAACAGAGTAAACCAAGCTTAAGGAAGAATCTCAGAACTTGAAGACTGGTTCTCTGAAATAAGAAAGTCAGACAAAAATAAAGAAAGAATAAAAATGAATAAACAAAACCTCCAAGAAGTATGGAATTATGTAAAGAGGCCAAATCTATGAATCATTGATATCCCTGAAAGGGAGGGGGAGAAAACAAACAATTTGGAAAATATGTTTCAGGATATCATCCATGAAAACGTCCCCAGCTTTGCTAGAGGGATCAACAGTCAAATTCAGGACATAAAGAGAACTCCTCCAAGGTTCTATACAAGAAGATCATCCCCAAGACACATAATTTTCAGATTTTCCAAGGTTGAAAATGAAAGAAAAAATGTTAAAGGCAGTTAGAGAGAAAGGGCAGGTCACCTAAAAAGGGAACCCCCATCAGCCTAACAGCAGACCTTTCAGCTGAAACCCTACAGGCCAGAAGAGATTGGGAGCCTACATTCAACATTCTTCAAGAAAAAAAAAAAAATTCAATCAAGAAGTTTATATCCAGTCAAATTAAGCTTCCTACGAAGAGGAGAAATAAGAGTCTTTTGAGATAAGCAAATGCCGAGAGACTTCATTACCACCAGATCTGCCTTACCAGAGATCTTGAAAGAAGCACTAAATATAAAAGGAAAGACCACTACCAGCTAATACATAAACACACTTAAACACACAGACCAGTGTCACTGTAAAGCAACCACACAAACAAGCCAACATAAAAACCAGTGAACAGTGCAATGACAAGATAGAATCCACACATATCAAAACTAACTTTGAATGTAAACAGGCTAAAGAGGCCCCACTTAAAAGACACAGAGTGGCATCCTGGATAAAGAAGCAAAACTCAATGGTATGCTGTCTTTAGGAGACTTATCTTAAATGTAATGACAGTCATAGGCTCAAAATGAAGTGTTGGAGAAAAATCTTCCGAGCAAACGGAAAACAGAAATAAGCAGGAGTTGCAATCATAATTTCAGACAAAACAGATTTCAAAACAACAAAGATAAAAAAGACAGGAAGCGCATTACATCATGGTAAAGGGTTCAATTCAATAAGAAGACCTAACTATCCTAAATACATATGCACCCAACACAGGAGCACTCAGATTCAAATAGAAAGTTCTTAGAGACCTACAAAGAGACACAGACTCCCACACAATAATAGTGTGAGACTTCAACACTCCACTGAAATTATTAAACAGGTCATCAAGGCAGAAAATTAACAGAGGTATTCAGGACCTAAACTCAGCATTGGACCAAATGGATCTGACAGACATTTACAGAAGCCTCCACCCCAAAACAACAGAGTATACATTATTCCCATCACCACAACCACATTCTTGGACCACAATTCAATAAAAATAGAAGTCAACACAATGAAAATTGCTCAAAACCATAAAATTACATGGAAATTAAACAACATGCTGCTGAATGACTTTTCAGAAAATAATGAAATTAAGGCAGAAATCAAGAAGTTCTTTGAAAATAATCAGAACAAATGTACACCATACAAGAATTTCTGGGACACAGCTAAGACAGTATTAAGAGGAAGATTCATAGAACTAAATGCCCACATCAAAAAATCAGAAAGACCTCAAATTAACATCCTAACTTCACAACTGAAAGAATTAGAGAAGCAAGAACAAATCAACCCCAAAGATAGCAGAAGACAAGAAATAACAAAAATCAGAGCTGAACGTAAGGAAATTGAGACACAAGAAACCATTTAAAAGATCAACAAATCCAGAAGTTGACTTTTTGAAAAAAATAAAATAGACCACCAGCTAGACTAATTAAGAAGAAAATAGAAAGGATCCAAATAAATACAATTAGAAATGACAAAGACAATGTTACTACTGACCCCACAGAAATCAAAACAACCATAAGAAACTACTGTGAACACCTCTACACACACAAACTAGAAAACCTAGAAGAGATGGATAAATTCCTGGACACATACACCTTCCCAAGACTGATCCAGGAAGAAGTTGATTCCTTGAACAGACCAATGATGAGTTCCAAAATTGAATCAGTAATAAATAGCCTACCAGCCAAGAAAGCCCAGGACATGAGGGATTCACAGCCAAATTCTACCAGATGTACAAAGAAGAGCTGGTGCCATTCCTGCAGAAACTACTCCAAAAACATGAGGAGGAGGGACTTCTCCCCAACTCATTCCATGAGACCAGCATCCTCTTGATACCAAAACCTGGTAGAGACACAAACAAAAAACATAACTTAAGGCCAACACCCTTGATGATTATTGATGCAAAAATCTTCAACAAAACACAAATCAAATGCAGCAGCACATCCAAAAACTAATCCATCATTATCAAGTAGCCTTCATCTATCTCTAGGATGCAAGGTTAGTTTAATATACTAAAATCAATAAGTGTAATTCATCACATAAACAGAACTAAAGACAAAACCACATGATTATCTCAAGAGATACAGAAGAGGCTTTTGATAAAATTCAACATCCTTTCATATTAAAAATAATAACAGCCATCTATGACAAATCCACAGCCAACATTATACTGACTGGGCAAAAATTAGAAGCATTCTCTTTGAAAACTGGCACAAGACAAGGATGCCCTCTCTCACCACTTCTATTCAACATAGTATTGGAAATCTTAGCCAGAGCAATCAGGCAAGAGAAAGAAAGAAATGACATCCAAGTAGGAAGAGAGAAAGTCAAACTGTCTCTGCAGAGGACATGATTCTATATCTAGAAAACCCCATAGACTTGGCCCAAAAGCTCCTTCAGCTGATAAACAATTTCAGCAAAGTTTCAGGATACAAAATCAATGTACAAAATTTACTAGCACTCTTATAAATGAACCACAATGAAACTGAGAGCCAAATCAATTTCATTTGCAATTGCCACAAAAAAAGGAAAAAATAAATAAGTAAAACTCTAGGAATACAGCTAACCAGGGAAGTGAAAGATCTCTATAATGAGATTACAAAACACTGTTGAAAGACATCAGAGAAGCCACAAACAGGTGGAAAAACATCCCATGCTTATGGATTATGGATAGGAAGAATCAACATGATTAAAATGGCTATAATGCTTAAAGCAATTTACAGATTCAATATTATTCCTATCAAACTACCAACAACATTCTTCACAGAACTAGAAAAAATTATTTTAAAATTTATATGGAATGAAAAAGAGTCCAAATAGCCAAGACAAAAAGGACAAAGTTGGAAGAATCATGTTACTCAACTTCAAAATATACTACAAGGCTGCAGTGACCAAAACAGCATGGTACTGGTACAAAAACAGGCACATAGACCAATAGAACAGAATAGAGAGCCCAGAAATAAGGTCAGCCACACATCTGCAACCATCTGATCTTACAAAGCTGACAAAAACCAGCAATGGGGAAAAGACTCCCGATTCAATAAATGGTGTTGGGATAACTAGCTAGCCATATGCAGAAGATTGAAGCTGGACACCTTCCTTACACCATAGACAAAAATCAACCCAAGATGGATTAAAGACTTGACTGTAAAACCCAAAAGTATAAAAACCCTGGAAGACCACCTAGGCAATACCACTAGGAATGGGTGTCTTTCATGACAAAGACACCAAATCAATCATAACAAAAGCAAAAACGGACAGATGGGATGTAATTAAAGAGCTTCAGCATAGCAAAGGAAACTTTCAACAGAGTAAACAGACAACCTATAGAATGGGGGAAAATATTTGCAAACCATGCATCTGACAAAGGTCTAATATCCATCATCTATAAGAAACTTAAATTTACAAGAGAAAAACAACCCCATTAAAAAGTGGATGAGGGACTGAACAGACACTTCTCAAAAGAAGACATACATGCAGCCAACAAGGATATGAAAAAAAGCTTAACATCACCATTCATTAGAGAAGTGCAAATCAAAACCACCACGAGACCATCTCAGACCATTCAGAATGACTATTATTAGAAAGTCAAAAAACAACAGATGCTGGTGAGGTTGTGGAGAAAAAGAAATACTTTTAAACTGTTGGTAGGAGTGTAAATTAGTTCAACTGTTCTGGAAGACAAGACAGTGGTTCCTTAAAAACCTAGGGGCAGAAATACCATTAGACTCAGCAATCCCATTACTGGGTATATACCCAAGGAAATATAAATCATTCTATTATAAAGATACACGCATGCATATGTTTATTGCAGAATTACTCACAATAGCAAAGACATGGAATCAATTTAAATGCCCATTAATAACAGATTGGTTAAAGAAATTTGGTACCTATACACCGTGGAATACTATGCAGCCATAAAAATGAAGGAGATAATGTCTTTTGTGGGAACAAGTATGGAGTTGGAGGTTATTATCCTTAGCAAACTAATACAGGAACAGAAACCAAATACTGCATGTTTTCACTTATAAGCGGGCACTGAAGGATAAGAACTTGATGATTAAAAAGAAGGAAACAGCAGACACTGGGGTGTACATGAGCAAGGAGGGTGAGAGGAGGGAGAGGAGCAGAAAAGATAACTATTGGGTACTGGGCTTAATACCTGGGTGATGTAATAATATGTACAACAAATCCCCATGATACGTGTTTATCTGTGTAACAAACCTTCACGTGGACCCCTGAACCTAAAATAAAAATTACCAAAAAATGGAGCCGAAAAATTTCTATTGCCTAGTGACCTCATAGGTATGATAATGAGTGCAATGCATTACTCACATGTTTGTGGTGATCCTTGTGTAAACAAACCTGTGTTGCCTGGCATGTAAAAGCATAGCATATACAATTATGTACATTACATAATACTTGATAATGATAATAAATGACTATGTCCCTGGTTTATGTGTTTACTGTACTATACTTTTTATCATTATTTTAGAGTGTACTTCTGCTGATCAAAAGAAGGTTAACTGTAAAACAGCCTCAGGGAGGTACTGCAGGAAAAATTCTAGAAGAAGTCACTGTTATCATTGGAAACGACAGCTTCACATATATTATAGCGCATGAAGACCTTCCAGTGACAGAGGATGTTGAGGTGAAAGACACTGATATTGAAAATTCTGATCCCGTCTAGGTCTAGGCTAATGTGTGTGTTTATGCCTTAGTTTTTAACAAAAATGCTTAAAAAGTAAAAAATAAAAATAAAAATAAAAAAAGAAGAAAATGTATAGAATAAGGATATAAAGAGAGAAAATATTTTTCTTTAGCTATACAATTGTTTTTGTTTTAAGCCATGATTACAAATAATCAAAAAGTTTAAAAATGTTAAAAGTTTAAAAAGTAAAAGTGTTACAATAAACTAAGATTAATTTATTTAAGAAAGAAAATTATTTTTAATAAATTTAGTGTTGCTTAAGTATACAGTGTTTCTAATGTCTGCAGAAGAGTACAATAATGTCCTAGGTCTTCACATTCATTCACCACTCACTCGCCAACACCCAGAGCTACTTTCAGTCCTGCAGGCTCCATTCATGGTAAATGCCCTATATAGGTATCCTGTTTTTAATCTTTCATACCGTATTTTACTGTATCTTTTCTACATTTAGATACACAAATATTTATTACTGTGTTACAACTGCATACAGTATTCAATACAGTAACATGAACATGCTGTGCAAACTTATAGCCAAGGAGCAATAGGCTATATCATATAGCCTAGCTGTGTAATAGGCTAAACCATCTAGTTTTGTGTGAGTGCATTCTAGGATACTCATGCAAGAACAAAATTGCCTAACCATGCATTTCTTAGAACGTGTCTCCGTCATTAAGAGATACATGACTATATTGAGCATGCCTGAGTCGCTCATGTTGCAGGCTCTGATGCCAGGAGTCTGATTTCCTCTGCTGGACCATGAGAAGTTACCTTGGAATTAGACTTGTGAGTCTTTTGGAGGATACTGTATTTTTTTCTAGGTGGAATTAGATTAGTGGCATAATCTTTATTGAAGTCAGGTCCTTTTATATTCACTCATGAAGATTCTGTGGCAAAATGATTGACTGGTTCAGGGAAAAGTCCAGATTAAAAGGCTTTATTCAACAGAAAAAGCTCAGCATGTTCAATAGTTCTAGTTCTTATCTATCTTGGCCTAACCGTCTTTGGTTGTCTAGGACTTTGTTTGCTCTCATTTAGCTGCTATTGGATCTTATCCAGAGCTTATGTTACACTAAGCATTAAGGCTTATATTAACCCTGAGTCTATTCAGCCCTTTAATATCATGCATTTTTTCATCCGAACATCCATTTATTTATTCTTGCGATAATTCACTCCACAAATATTTATTGAACCCAGTTAAATGCCAAGTTCTCCGAGTGATGCTGGGGATAGATTGTCAGTATACTTTGCTTTTCAAGCAAAGCAAAACACAGTACCAGCCCTCATGTAGCTTACAATGCAGGTGATTTTTTTTTGAATCACACATATGAGTTTAAAACTATAGCTGTGATAAACTCACAAAAGAGATCTTCATAGTGCTATGAAAACCTAGAACAGAGGGATATGATCTACTCAAAATCAGATGTGCTTTAGATGAAAAATAGCAGGAATGAGAAGTAGGGTGTTTTAAGCATAGCACAAGGCCTTGCAGTAGGAAGTAACATATCTATGTCAAAGAACTAAAAGCACCAGTGGCTGAAGCACCAAGCAGGGGACAGCAAGATGATAAGTGATTCTGGAAAGACTAAGAGGACTTTACAGGCCATATTGGGGGATTGGGGCAATTACCTTGAAACCAATGATAGGTTATTGTGTGATTTAAGCCAGGATTGTGACAGGATGGGAAGTTTATGTAGGGATAAGGACATAGAAAGGTAACGTGTTCAGATACAAATTTTAAAAAGATCATCTGAGTACAATGTAGAAAAGGAGTACACCAATGTAAATGCTAAAGCAGTGGTAGAAGATAACCTGGAGTATGTTCCAAGAGAGATAAAATAATGGAGATAAAATATGCTGATATGGTTTGGCTGTGTCCCCACCCAAATCTCAACTTAAATTGTGTCTCCCAAAATTCCCAAGTGTTGTGGGAGCAACCCAAGGGGAGGTAATTGAATCACGGGGGCTGGTCTTTTCTGTGCTATTCTGGTGATAGTGAATAAGTCTCAAGATACCTGATGAGTTTATCAGGGGTTTCTGGTTTTGCTTCTTCCTCATTTTCTCTTGCTGTTGCCATGTAAGAAGTGCCTTTCACCTCTTACTATGATTCTGAGGCCTCCCCAGCCATGTGGAACTGTAAGACCAATTTAACCTCTTTTTCTTCCCAGTCTCAGGTATGTCTTTATCAGCAGCGTGAAAATAGGTTAATACATATGGTGAATGGAGGAAAAAAGCAAACTGAAGGATGTTTCTTGGGGTATGCCTTGTATAACCGAGTGTGTGATTATGCCATTAACTGAGAAGATAACACTGGAAAAGGACTAGGACTATCTTGCTTGCCCACCTCCCCTTTGTCCACAGAGCATATCCAACATGGCAACATGCACATCCATTGGCTTTTATTACAGAATACGAGGAAGGCAAATGCAATGACCATTGGTACACCACACAATTGAAACTAACTTGTTCTACTGATATTTATTATAGCCAGTCAGTGTAATGTAGTAGAAAGCATAAGCTTTGTAATTATACACACTGGATCTGAATCCAGGCTTACCACTTCTTAATTTTGAAATTGTGGAGGTCTCTCAACCTCAACATGGTTTACATTTTGGGCTGGATAATACTAGTTAGAAGGGGCTGACTATGCATTTTCGGGTAGAAGCATCCCTGGCTTGTACTCACTAGGTGCCAGTGGCCTTGCCCCCTTATTGTGACAACCGAAAAGGTCTTCAAACATGGCCAAATATCTCCCAGGGAGACAAAACTTCCTCCAGTTGAGAACTCTTTTATTTTCCTTGATTTATATTTATATTATTTTAAAATAGCTATGATCTATTTACTTTCTTGTCATATCTACTTAATATATAGGGAATTAGAAATACAAAATTCAACATGAAAGTAAACATTTAGAATAATCTAATAATCATAACAATTTATAAATTTTAAAATTTACATTAACATAACAAAATCAAAACACTTTGCTTTTGCTAGCGACCCTTTCAGGGCCTTGGAAGAAGGTCCTGTACCAATGAAGCACCATGAGACTCTTTTTAAAATTTTTATTTATTTATTTATTTTGAGATGGAGTCTCGCTCTGTTGCCAGGCTGGAGTGCAGTGGCACAATCTTGGCTCACTGCAATCAGCACCATGGGACTTCATGAGCTTCACAGCAGGAAGGCCTCAACAGAATTCATCACATCTGAAAAATGAAAATGGGATGAGAACAAATGTCCTGTACTCCACAGTCTGCATGGGTTTTCTCTAGCAGGGTCTACTTTTGACTGTGCTTAAAGGTAAAAATGTGCTGCTTCTGTTCTTGTTCGCACACATTGTGTACTACAAACATCCACAACAATAATCTTTCCATTATTAAACCAGTTATTGTATGCTAGAAGAGACTAAAACTTCTATTATCTAATGTGTCTCTGAAAAAGAACCTTTTGTTATTTTAACATACCTCTTAATTATCAAGTGACAGCTTGTAGGCCCACCTTAAAAGCTCGTTGATTGGAAGATTGATGGTTCAGTGACTGAAAAAGCAAAAAATCAGGCTGCAAACATTATGGGACTCCTTCTAAAATTTAACACTGATCTTATCACCTTAGAAACAACTTCCTCTATGGTGTTTTTATGGGATTCATTGAAGAAATAGTTGCCTGTTCTAAAATCTGTTGGAATTTGCACAAGTGTCTAAAGATCTACTAAGAGATTAAGGTTTCAAGATAAGGCAACTACTGGTTATACAGTATGTTTATGAAACCCTATATAGTCTGACACTTGGTTAGCATAAAAGTGACCTCTCTTTCACTATATGTAAAAATAATTGTAGTCTTTTCTGTTAGAAGAACTTCTTTTGGAATAATTAGATTTACAATAGTTGCATTAAATTTTTTTTCTCCAAGATGGTGAATTAGAGGGTTTCAGTGAGGCTCGGCCCCTTGTAAATAGAACGACAGTGCATAAAGATCAACTCTGCAAGCTTTCATTCAAGAAGGAAAGTGAGAATCCACCGGAATAATGGAAGACAATCCCAGGTCCAGAGAAGAGAGTGCTGGCAAACATTTCCTGTGACAGCGTCCAGCTAATAAAAGTGAGTGCAGCCCCAGTGTGTGAGAGAGACAGAGGTTCTCTCTCTGTGACTCACCTTCCCACTGGGGATCCAAGCAACCCAGGCCAAGAGAGAGCACTTTGCTTCCCACCTCCTGGAGTTAAGGAGAGGCTTGGAGATGCTGTGTGGGAAAGACACTGGGAATATCTGCAGACATTTTCCCAGATCCAAGACTGAGAGCCGGATGCCATTTTTAATACAGATGCATGCAAAGTCAGCCATTTGGTGACCCAGCAGTGTGACTGTGCAGGCATTTTCATCTAAGGGCAGAAATTGGAGCAATTACTCTGAAGTGGGTTAGCCAGAACTGTGAAAAGCACCTCAGTAGTAGGTGCTAGAATTGTGTTCTCCCCTCTTGTAGGCCTGGGATTTGAGGAGAGCTGCTATAGCTGAAGTTTCTCTTGGGTGCTGAGACTTAGTGCCAGGGCGAGCTTGTTGACTTGGAACTGATCTGCATATGCCATTGCTGTGTGCCCTACACTACTTCCCTGAGAACATGGTGTAGCAGGGCCCTCACTGCTTCACCACAAGCAGAAATTCAGGCATTTGGAGCACCTACTTGCCTGGGCCAGCAGCCTGAGCTGCCCCACCCTTCCCAGACATAGGTCTTTGTGCAGGAGGACTCTCCACTCCATGCCCAGGCAGGTTTCCAGGCATTAGGAGCACCCTAATTCAGCAGGCTGAGACACCTCATCCTTCCTGGCAGAGATCCTGGTGCAGGGGGACCCTCTCTGCTCCACACTTAGGTAGATCTCCAGTCATTTAGAGCACGGGCTTTCCTGGTGCAGCAGCCTAAGTTGCCCCATTCATCTTGTGCAGAGATTCTGATGCAAGGGGGGCCTCTCTGCTCCACAACCAGGCATATCTCCAGGCACCTATAGCAACAACTCTCCTGGAATAGGAGCTTAGGCTATGCCCTGATCTCTATGCAGGGAACTTGGAGCAAAGGAGGTTGCCCAGCTCCATACCTAGGCCTACCTCTTGGTACCTGGCAGCCACCCAGTAGATTCTCCCTTGGCACTGGTTCTTGTGCCTGCCATTAGAGGACTTTCAGGCAGACCTGCCCAGTCTGGCCCTACTTTTCGTGGGTCCTGCCTTTCTACCCCAGAGATGAGCAGGGAGCTTAGACCACTATGCATTCCACCAGTCAGCCCATTGCTTGATTAAACAAGGATCAGGTATATACATAACCATGTTGGCTGTAGTCAGCTCATACCTATAAGTACCATCTATGGGCTTGTAGCACAAACTGCATATCCCAATACAAAACCTGATGAAAGAAATGCCTAGAATTATAGAAGCAAAGCCAAAGACCCTACCCAGCATTTTCTACAATCACATTCCCTAGGGAGAGGAGGAAACAAAAAGGTAAAGAAAAAAATTAATAACATTAAAGGGAAAGAAAGAAAAATAAAAAAATAATATTCACACTAAAATCATTACAAAAATTAGAAGTGCCAGCATCTCTAGATGAGAAGAAACCAGCACAGAGTTTGAGCTCCATGAAAAGTCTGAATGTAGTGACACCATTAAAGGATGATACTAGTTCTCCAGCCATGGTCTTTAGCCAAAATGGAAACTCAGAAATAACAGATAAAGAATTCAACACATGAATTGCAAGGAAGGTCATTGAGATCCAAGATGAGGTCTAAAATCAACACAAAGACACTTCTAAAGCAACCCAGGAAATAAATTAAGAGATAAACATCTTAGAAATCATTCAGAGCTTCTGGAATTAAAAAATTTACTTAAAAAATTTCAAAGTACAACTGAAAGCTTTGTCAATAGATTGGATGAAGCAGAATCTCAGAACTCAAAGAATGGTCTTTTGAACTAATCCAATCTGATAAAAATAAAGAAAAGATAATTTTAAATTTTTTTCAAATACGTGGTTTTATGTAATGTAGGCCCAGTGCAAGTGTCATTGAGCTATATCTGTTTAGTGTAGTATGGTCACTGGTTAGCTTCTGTGAAACCTATATAGTTGCCTACTATTTTAAATCACAGTTTTTCATGATGAAAGCAACCTAATTTTTGTGAGAGATATGGATTTTAGTAGTGACATATGAGCAAGTATTATTACTGCCTAAACTAAAAATGATCAGATTTTAAGCTGTTCAGGGTAAATTCATTGTGTGCCTGATTTTAAGGACACATAGTCCTAATAATCAGAACTCTCAGTTTCTGAATATTTGATATTATAACTTGCAAAAAATTTTACTTGAAATTTACTCACCACACAAAATAATCTATTGTAATAAATATGTATGTATATGCTACTGAAAATATTTTAGTTACACATGAGTTCCAGATGAGAGGTTGCAGAGTCCATTGGATTCTTAATATAGCTGTTTTTCCACGAGGATTTCATGTCTTATTATTGTTTTAATGTAGGGTACTATATTATCATGTGTTTATTATGGTTTTAATATAGTCTCTATTATTCTCCTGTGTTTCTAATGGTTTTAATATAGTCTCTATTATTCTCCTGTGTTTATATAAGTATCGTCCAAGCAGGCGGAAAGGCTCTTTAAGAGAGTAGGTGAGTCTAAGAGACCTAGAAAATTGTATAGATTAATAGGAAACTTGGAAATAATAAGAGCTATTGAGAGAAGTGTGAATATAAAAGGGATTGAATCAAAATTTAAAATCATAGATCCTGCTAAAGAGTCTGGATTTATTGAAATGGATGTTCAAAGTATTGAAGAACTCTTAGCATCAAATAGTGACAAAATCACTCTCTAGAGAAACATTCAATTTGATGTTCATCACTGGTCCAAGGAGAAGAAAGATGAAGAGCAAATGATAGTAAAGTTTTAAAATAAATTTTATAACTATGTACAATGTGGTTGTTGAAAGTGAGTGATGGTGTCCTGAGTAGATGAATCACATCCAAAAGTTGTAATTGTGTATGTAGCATGTGTCTTTGTTTTGTTTCTGTGACAAAATACCAAGGACTGAGTAACTTATAAAGAAAAAAAATATTTCTGACAGTTCTGAAGGCTGGGAAGTCCAATATCAAGGTTCTGGCATATAATGAGGGCCTTCTTACGATGTCACTCCCATGGTGGAAGTCATCATATGGGGAGAGAGTGTAAGTGGACAGGAAAGAGAGCAAGTGAGGGTTAAACTCACTTTTATAACAAACCCACTCCCATAAAAACTAACCTACTCCTAAGATAATGACATTAATCCATTCATGACAGCAGAGTGCTCATGACACAGTCACCTCTTTTTAGGCCCTACCTCTCAACACTGTTGCATTGGAGATTAAGCTTCCAACACATGAACTTTGGAGGACATATTCCGACCATAGCACCTTGTGTTGTCAGGAGGAAAGGGAACACAAATGTGTCTATTATGAAGGTTTGTTAGCTTCTTTGGCCCATTGCTTCATACATGGCTTTAGTCAAAGATAATGGTCATCCAATTTCAGAGTCTTGAGGGTCAAGAAGAAAAGATTACCTCTTCTTCCTTAGATTCAGAAACTTGGAAATTTACTGTTTTACCTATTCTTTCATCAGCTCACTCACATTCACCCCTACTGCCACCAAATAGCAAGACTGACTACAGTCTCCAAACCTCTCTTCTTGCTAATAAACTAGAGAAACTCTTCTATTTGCAGGAAACCATTAAAAAGTGCTTTACCAAGGATGACATTTCAACCATTGGTTATCTATAACATATTTGACTATTTGTATTATAGCACATTTTCATTGAAATACAGATGGAAAATATAATTATACCTGATACTGTGCAGTATCAAGTTGTTTCAGTGGTAGATAATTAGGAATTGATAATTGCTTCTGCATCTCCAGTGTTTAGACATAGTAGGAGATCAAACTTTTGATGAATCAATGAATGAATAATAAAAGAAATAGCTAATCCTAAGATCATCATCTCTTAGGCTGCCTGGTAACTTCATCATTGTATGAACCTTGCTTTCTATTAAAAAATGTATTCAGAGTTACAAACATATTTTACATAAACTTTTTTTTTTTTTTGAGATGGAGACTTGCTCTGTCACCCTGGCTGGAGTGCAATGGCTCAATCTCGGCTCACTGCAACCTCCGCCTTCCTGGTTCAAGTGACTCTCCTGCCTCAGCCTCCAGAGTAGCTGGGATTACAGGCACCCGCCACCACACTTGGATAATTTTTGTATTTTTAGTAGAGATGGGGTTTCATCATGTTGGCCATGCTGGTCTCGAACTCCTGACTTCAAGTGACCTACTCACTTCAGCCTCCTAAAGTGCTGAGCCACCGCGGCCGACCTACGTAAAGTTTTGAAACAGAAAATCTCATGTCAGAATTTTCCTGTTAGAATTTTCTATGATTCCCTTATTGAGACCTATGTTTTCTCTTCCTACTCAATCTGTAATTGCTTATTTTAGTGTTTTATACTTTAGATGCAGACTTACTTTCACTCTCTGGATGAAACTGCTCCTTCTGGAACTATGTCTAATGTGCTACTCTACAAGCCAAAAGATCACATAGGCATAGTCTAAGAGAAAAGTCATATGTAATTACTTGCTGCACAAATGGCTTTAGATCATGACAGCAGATCCTTTATTCCACTTCATAAACTTAGACATTTATGCTATGGCTCCAGCTCTACCACTCCTTTCTCCAAAGACACAAGAGTTCTCCCTCACTGTAATGCAGAAATCTTATGACAAGCCTTCTCTTTTGCCCTGGGTGCTGACATTATGGTGGACTATCACTTCATTTCCATGTGCTCTTTCCTCTGGAGAAGTTTTCCGGTGCTGCCTAACTAGAAGGCTGTCTCCTCTCCTCACAAATTTAATTGCTGCGTATGGTAAGTATTTCTTTCTTTCTGTTAGGGTTGAGGATGGAAATTTCACTCAGATTTGCAGCACAGTAAAGAACAGTTTTCAAGCCTTTTTTTTTTTTTTTTGGAAAAGCTAATTCACTGAATTTCTCAGGAAAGCATTTAGAAATTTCTACAGTTTGAATAAGTCCCTCAAAAACCATGTGTTGAAAACGTAATCCCTAATGCAGTGGTGTTGAGAAGTGGAAATTTAAAAGGTGATTAGATAATCACATGAAGGCTCTGTCTTCACGAATGGATTAATTTCATTATTGTGGAGTGGTTTCCTGAGAAGAAGGATTGAGTTTCCCTCCCTTTCTTCCTTGCTTTTTTGCCCCTTCTTTCTTTCACATGCATTCTCTTGTCTTTTCCTCTTGCTATGAGATAATGCAGCACAAAGACCCTCACCAGATGCCAGTGCCATGCTTTTGGACTTTCCAGACTCCAGAACAGTGAGCCAAATAATTTTTTCCTTGTATAGTATCCAGTCTCAGATATCCTGTTATAGCAGCAGCAAATAAGCTAAGACAGGAATGCTGACCTCTTTCTACTTATGTATTTTTATTTGGTTTCCAGGAATGAAAAGCTATCAAATAAGCATGCTTCCCCTGGCCATAACAAAATTAAGTAATTTGAGTGTGTCCTGCTGCTTTATTTTCTTATCTGCCTTTCTTATCTTTAATGAACTTGGAAATTATTTTTCTTTTAAAACCACATATGCAACATCTTGTGTTTCTGTCTATTTCGTTTCTGTTGATATTTTCTATTGACCAAAAATCTTGAGAAGTAAATAGAAATTTGTAGCTTTTATATAATAAAAGAGGAAGCTACATTATATTGAGCATAAACAGTTTCTTAACAATGACACCATATATTTTTAAACTATTAATTCAGAACAAACTTAAAAACCTCTGTAGAAATTATGATTCTTGCCAAAGATTATCAATGGTTGCTAACATCACACACAAAAAAGCAAAAAGACATTATGTGCCTCTTATAAATCACAATATTATCACCAAAATATTGTTGCCACAAAATTAAAGTTTGATCAAGTCTACATCTAACTAGCACTTTTCAGGAAATGCAGGGACAAGGGACATGCTAACATCACAGGAATGCCATCAGTAAAATCCAGAACTTTCTTATTCAACAAATAAATTGTAAGGAGAAGAAAAGGAGTTGGAGAAAAATTATAAATCTAGAGGCTCAAAAGATTCATCAACCAACATTCACCTAGATCCTGAGAGAGGAAAAAGTTGGAATTGTTGCCCAAATTTTTCATTTGACTAATAAGAGAATGGAGCCTTAGAAAGACTAAATAACTTGGCCAAGTTCTTACAGCTACAAGAACCCTGACTGCCAAAACTCCTGTTTTCTGAGGCGATATGGCTTAGAAGCAGAATGGAATATCTTACAATATACATGTAGGACATGATTTCTTACTTCTGAGCTCAAATAAAAAGTGAATAATTGTATAAAATTCTATTTGATCATATAAATAAATAGTAGCATTAATTTGTCTTATTCAATTTAAATTTTATTATTGGTTATATGTAACATCTGTAATATCCTATCATATTCTACATTGAAAAAGGAATTAAGATAAAATAGAAACAGAAACATCTCACATATTTTTTACCTCAGGGTTTAAATTTACTCTTTTTATGTGCATGGCACTAGCTAAGGAGGATGTACATATAATGCTAAATTTGCCTTTGAGCCAAATTTATAGCAAATTTGGTATACAACAAAAACCAAAATAACTTCATTTGATTACTACTCTTGTTCATGAACTAGAATTAATATAGACCAGAGCTTCCCTAATCATTTTTATAAATATATTTGAAACTGATGTTGCAGTTTACTGTGTAAGGAGAAAAACTTTCTCTTCCTTTAACATAGTTAAATCTCTTATACAAGATCTCATTCTTTATACCTTTTATGAGAGTGAGCAACAGGAGAAAATCAACCTTGGGAAAGTAAACATGCTCAAGGGAAGATATGGTATAAAAAAATCTGCTTCATTTAAAAAAGAAACAACTCTGCATTCATACTTACCCATGTGTGTAAGACGAAAGGATTCAAAGCATGAGAAGATTCAATGAATAGAGAAAAGATTCTAAATGTTTTACTATTTAGTCAACAAAGACTGCATTTATAATATGTTTTAAAAATATGTATAAAGGAAGACTTTTTTGCCACTCCTTTCTCATTATGGCCATATTTTTCTTAACTTTTGAACTTCATAAAATGTCCATGACTATATTCCAATCATATATTGAAAACATAATGATTCTACCAATGAGATAGTGCAACCATAAGGCATATTTGTTCATCAGTCATGTAAAAAGAGTGGCTGGCAATAGATAGCACATAGCTTCTTGAGTATAAAAATACAATTCATTTGTTGAACAATTTAGATAATTTAGTAGTTTTGGGTTTTGGGTTTTCACTCAGGAAATAATCACTCTATATTCAACTGATAAATGAGAAAATCTGGAGTGATTCTGAAGGAAGTGAGTGAACAAATATTTATTGAGTGCCTATTGTGCATAAGGCACAGGACTGTGTATGCCCTTTTGAGAAAGTAAAATGAATAAAACGGCGTTTCAAATGATAAACATTTGACATGATAAATATTGAGATGATAAACATTAAAATGTCAAGTATAAGACAGAGAGACGAGGGCCTATAGACTTAATATTGTGTAGAGGAACCAGTTAGAAATATTTTCTGGTTTGGAAGTTATATCTGTAACTGAATCAAAGTGCATATTTTAACTTTTGATCTAGGTTAATAAAGTTTTATGGTAAAATGGATAATCCAAAACAGTAGACAACCATGGATCTTGCTCTAGCAGTTAATTCATTTATTCATTCACCTATTCATCAAATATTTGAGTGACTCTTTTATGCAAAGTATTGTATAATTATCTTTTCTTATTTAATCATTTTCCTCTCATTAGACTTTTAGCATATTCATAAATTTATGCCCAACCCACTTTTAAAATTCCTTGATTTCACTCTTTCCCCATGTTTCTATTTTTTTAATTTTTTTTTTCAGCTTTTATTTTATGTTCAGGGGGTACAAGTGCACATTTGTTACAAGGGTAAATTGCGTGTCACTGGAGTTTGGTGTGCAAATAATTAAGTCACCCAGATAATGAGGATAATACCCAATAGGTAATTTTTCGACCCTCACCCTCCTTCCACTCTCCACCCTCAAGTAGGCTGTGGTGTCTATTGTTCCCCTCTTTGTATCAACATGTACTCAATGTTTAGCTCCCACTTATAAGTGAGAACATACAGTGTTTGGTTTTCTGTTCTTGAATTAATTTGCTTAGGATAATGGTCTCCAGCTGCATCCATATTGCTGCAAAGGACATGATTTTGTTCTTTTTAATGGATGCATAGTATTCTATGGTGTATAAATACCATATTTTCTTTATCCAGCCCAATGTGGATGAGTATTTGGGTTGATTGCATGTATTTGCTATTGTGAGTAGTGTTGTGATGAACATACAGGTGCTTGTGTCTTTTTGGTAGAACGATTTATATTCTGTTGGTTATATACCCAGTAGTGGGATTGCTGGGTTAAATGGTAGTTCTCAGTTCTTTGAGAAATCTCTAAACTGATTTTCACAGTGGCTGAAATAGTTTACATTCCCACTAGCAGTGTATAAATATTTTGTTTTCTCTGCAACGTCACCAGCATCTGTTATTTTTTCACTTTTTATAATAGCCTTTCTGACTTGTGTGAGATGTTATCTCATTGTGGTTTTCATTTGCATTTCTCTAATGATTAGCAATGTTGAGCATTGTTTTATATGCTTGCTGGCCATGAGTATGTTTTGTTTTCAGAAGCATCTTGTTCTTCACCCATTTTTTAATGGAATTGTTTGTTTTTTGCTTGTTAAACTGTTTAAGTTCCTTATAGATTCTGGATATCAGATCTTTGTAGGATGCATAGCTTGCAAATATTTTCTCAATTCTGTAAGTTGTCTGTCTACTCTGTTGATAGTTTCTTTTGCTACACAGAAGCTTTTTAGTTTACTTAGGTCCCACTTGTTAATTTTTGTTTCTGTTGCAATTGCTTGTGGAGACTTTGTCATGAAATCTTTACCAAGGCTGATGTCCAGAATGATATTTTCTATGGTTTTATATAGTTTTAGGTTTTACAGTTAAGCCTTTAATCCAGCGTTTGAGTTAATTTTTGTATATGTTGAAAGAATGTGTCCAGTTTTAATCTTCTGCATATATGGCTAGCCATTTATCTCAGCACCATTTATTGAATAGGAGTCTTTTCTTCTTGTTATTGTTATTTCTTGTTATTGTTAACTTTGTCAAACATCAGATGGTTATAGGTATGTGGCTTTATTTCGGGGTTCTTTAATCTATGTGTCTGTTTTTGTAACGATACCATGCTGTTTTGGTTATTGTAGCCTTGTAGTATAGTTTGATGTTGAGAAATGTGGTACCTCCAGCTTTGGTATTTTTGTTCAGCATTGCCTTGGCTATTCAGGGTATTTTGTGGTTCCACACAAATTTTAGATTTCTTCCCATTTCTGTGAAAAATGACATAGGTGTTTTCATAGGAGTTAAATGGAATGAATAGATTGGTTTGGGTAGTATTATCAGTTTAACAATATGAATTATTTGATTTCTTTATTTTGCCTTACTGTTCTGGCTAGACTTCCAGTAATATGTTGAATAAGAATGATGACAGTGGGCATCCTTGGCTCATTCCAGTGCTTTTTCAGTAAGATGTTAACTGTGGGTTTTTCATAAGTGGTCTTTATTATGTTGACATACTTTTCTTTTATACCTAATTTATAAAAGTTTTATCAAGAAAGGATGCATTGCAGTAAGTGAAGACAGTGGTCAAAAGAGAAAGCCCTCTTATTGGAAGTAGATTTGGTCTAGATGAAGAAAGCCCAAAGCATAAAGACACATGCTTGTGAATGTTCATTGCAGCACTGTTCAAAGATATGGAATCAATCTAAATGCCCATCAATGACAGATTGGATTAAGAAAATGTGGTACATATACACCATGGAATACTATGCAGCCATAAAAAGAATGTGATTATTTCTTTTGTGGAAACATGGATGGAGCTGGACACCATTGTCCTTAGCAAACTAATGCAGGAACAGAAAACCAAATACTGCATGTTCTCATGAATAAGTGGGAGCTAAGTGATAACTCATAGACATAAAGTGGGGAATGATAGATACTGGGGACTACTTGTGGATGAAGGGTGGCAGAAGGGAGAGGATCAGAAAAAATAACACTTGGGTACTAGGCTTAGTACTCTGGTGATGAAATAATCTGTACAACAAACCTCCGTGACATGAGTTTACCTATGTAAAAAACCTGCATGTGTACCTCTAAATCTCAAATAGCAGTTTTTAAAAAAGAGACATTAAATTTTATTAAAAGTTTTGTTCTGAATCTATTGAGATGGTCATATGTTTTTTCCTTCATTGTATTGATGTGACATATGGCATTTACTGATTTGCATGTATTAAACTGTCCTTTTATCCCTGGGATAAATCCTACTTGATCAGTGTTTATGTTGTTGGACTTTGCTAGTATTTTGTCGAGGATTTTTGTGTCTGTGTTCATTAGGGATATTAGCCAGTTGTTTTCCTTTTTTGTTGTCTCTTTGTCTGGTTTTGCTATTGAAGAGTTATCTGCACTCTCATATTTATTGCAGAACTATTCACAATAGCCATGACATATTAAACTTGGTGTCCAACAACAGATGAAAGGCTAAAGAAAATGTGCTGTATATACACAATGGAACACTTTTCAGTCATATAAAAGAATGAATTTTTTTTTTTTGAGATGGAGTCTTACTCTGTCACCCAAGCTGGAGTGCAGTGGTGCAATCTCAGCTCACTGCAACCTCTGCCCCCTGGGTTCAAGCAATTCTCTTGCCTCAGCCTCCGTAGTAGCTGGGATTACAGGCATGTGCTATCATGCCTGGCTAATTTTTGTACTTTTAGTAGAGATGGAGTTTTTCCATGTTGGCCAGGCTGGTCTTGAACCCCTGACCTCAAGTAATCCACCCACCTTGGCCTTCCAAAGCGCTGGGATTACAGGCATGAGCCACTGCGCCCAGCCCTAAAAGAATGAAATTCTGTCATTCACAGCAACATGAATGAAACTGGAGGACATTATATTAAGTGAAATAAATGAGGAAAAGAAAGTTAAACACCGTAAGTTCTCACTTATATGTAAAAGCTAAGAAAAATAACTGGATCTCATAGAAGTAAAAAGTAGAATAGAGGCTACTAGAGGCTGGAAAGGGTAGTGGGAAGGACTGGATCGGGAGAAATTTATTAAAGAATACAAAATTAAAACTATATAGAAGAAATAATATATAATGTTCTATACCACTGTAGTATGACTATAATTTCTAGTGTTCTATACCACCAGAGTATGACTATAGTTAAAAATAATATATTATAGAATTTCAAAGAGCTACAAAGAAGATATTGAATGTTTCCAATGCAAAGAAATAATAAATGTTAGAGATGATAAATATGCTAATAATTATCCTGATCTGATCACTATACATTATATGTATCAAAACATCGACTACATACTGCATGAATATGTACAATTATTATTTGTCAATTGAAAAATAATTTTAAAATGGACAAAGGACCTAAATAGATATTTCTCAAAAGAACATATGCAAATGACCAACAGGTAAATTTAAAAATGCTCAATGTCACTAATCATTAAGAAAGTACAAATTAAAACCACATTAAGATATCATCTGATACCTCTCAGAAAGGCTATTATTATTAAAAGGAGGAAAGATATCAAGTTTTGGAAAGGATGTGGAGAAAAGGGAATTATTGTATCCTACTGATGAGAATGTAAATTCATACAATCATTTTAGAAACTACATGGAATCTCCTCCAAAAACTAAAAGTAAAAATACCATATGATGAAGCAATCTCACTTTTGGGTTTATATCTAAATGAAATTAATATATCAAAGAGGTATCTGCTCCCCCATATTCCTTGCGACAGTATTCATAATAGCCAAAATATGGAATTAAGTGTCCACCAGTAAATAAATGGATAAGGAAAATATAGTGTATATATACAATAAAATACTATGCAGTCTTAGAAAGAAGAAAATTTTTTTCCATGCAACAACATAGATGAACATGAAGGATGTTACATTGAGTGAAATAAGACAGTAACAGAAAGATAAATACCACAGGATCTCAGTTAAATGTGGAATTTTAAAAATGGGAACTCACAGAAGAAGAGGGTAGAATGGTGTCTACCAGGGGCCAGTAGGGGTCTTGGTGGGGGAGGTGTTGGTCAAAGAACTTAAAATTTTAGTCAGAATGGGAGGAAAAACTTCTGGAGATCTATTGTGCAACATAGTGACTATAGTTAGTAAAAATGTATTGTATTCTTGAAAATGTCTAAGAGTGTAGATTTTAAGTGTTTTCCTCACGAAAAAATGATAAGCATGAATGGTAACGCATATGTGAATTAGCTCAATTTAGCTATTCCGCAATGAACACATATTTTTAAAACATCATGTTGCACATGATAAATAATACAATTTTATTTGCTAATTTAAAAATAAATTAAAAATTAAATAGTGAATGAAGGACTGAAACAAAAATTTTGTTAATGAGTTCTTATGAGATAGCCCTTGTTATCTCCCTACCCTTGTCTTCCAAAACTAACCTGCATTCTCATCATCAATCATTGTGCTTGCAGTTCCAGAATGGATCAATATATTTGCCATCTGTCGTTGCTGTGAACTTTTACAAAATGTCTTTTTACCCTCTCAAAATATAATTTTGTTGTATTCCCTATATTGTTTATTGCTCTTATGTATTTTATTCTCTGAGTACGATATTTCTGAGTATCACGACAGCCTTCCTTTCTTAGAATAAATCATGCTTGATCATGATAATTATTTTTAAAGTTGAATTCTATTTATTAAATTTTTGCATCTATATTTATAAGGGACATGGATGTAGAGTTATTTCTTTTATTATTGCTGGGATTTGGTATCAAAATAATGCCATCCTATTGCAGGAATTGAAAATTTTTCTATCTTTTAATATGTGCTGATATATTTTATATTACATTTGAATTAGCTTTTCCTTTAACATGCAGTAAATAAATAACAAAAACCCTCAATATAAAGTGGTCTGATACCAAAGGCTTATTTGAAGATAATCATTATTTTGTTTTATTTTTTAGTTTTTAGAGATTCAGGGATATATATGCAGATTCGTTACATGGATATGTTGCCTAATGGTGAGGTTTGGGCTTCTACTGTGCACGTTACCCGAATAGCAAACATTGTACCACGTGGCTACTTTTTCAACCCTAATCTCTCTATCCTCCCTCCTTTTGAATTCTTTTGTGTCTGTTATTTCCTTTTGTATATTAATATGTACCTATTGTTTAGATCCTACTTACCTTCCTGTTTTTGATTTATTTTTCTTAGCATAATAGCCTCTAACTTAATCCATGTTGCTGCAAAATATATGATTTCATTATTTTTTATGGCTGAATAGTATTCCATAGTGTATATGTACAACATTCTCTCTGTCCAATCATTCATTGATGAATACTGAGGTTTCTCTCATGACTTTGCTATAGTGAATACTACTGTGATAAACATATGAGTGCAGGTGTCTTTTTCATATAACAATTTATTTTCCTTTGGGTATATAACCAGTAATGGGATTGCTGGGTTGAATGGTAGTTCTACTTTTAGATCTATCTCTATACTGTTTTCCATAGAAACTGTACTAATTTACATCCCCACCAAGTGTATAAGAATTTCCTTTTCTTTACATCCTTGCCAACATTTGTGGTTTTCTGTCTTTTTAATTATAGCCATTCTGGCTGGTATGAGATGGTATTTCATTGTGATTTTAATTTGCATTTATCTGACAATTAGTAGTGAGCATTTTTCATATGTCTGCTGGCCACCTGTATGTCTTTTTTATGAGAAATGTCTGTTCATGTCCTTTGCCCCCTTTTTAATAATGTTATTTGATTTTTTTTCTTGTTGAGTTGAGTTCCTTGCATATTTTGAATATTGGTCCTATGTCAGAAGCATAGTTTTCAAATATCTTCTCCCATTCTGTAGATTGTCTGTTTATTGATTATTTCATTTGCTGTGCAGAAGCTTTTTAGTTTAATTAAGTATCATTTGTCTATTTTTGTTTTTGTTGCACTTACCTTTGAGGACTTATTCATACATTCTTTCCCAAGGTCCATGTTGATTATGGTGTTTCCTAAGATTTATCCTAGGATTTTTATAGTTTCAAGTCTTACATTTACATCTTTAATTCATTTTGAGTTGTTTTTCGTAGATGTTGAAAGATAGAGGCTCAGCTTTATTCTTCTGCATATGAATATGCAATTTTCCCAGCATCATTTATTGAATAGTTTTCTTACTTTGTTATATATTTTTATTGACTTTGTTGAAGATTATTTGGTTGTAGGTATGTGGTTTTATTTTGGAGCTCTCTATTCTGTTCCCTTAATCTATGCATTTATTTTTATACGAGTACCATGTTGTTTTGGTTACTATAGCCTTGTAGTATAGCTTGAAGTAAGGTAATGTTATACCTCAAGCTTTGTTCTTTTGCTTAGGAATTGTTTGGTTGTTTGGACTCTTTATCTTTTAATTCCATATGATTTTTAGTATTGTTTTTTCTCATTCTGTGAAAACTGATGTTGGTAATTTGAAAGGAATTGTGTTGAATGGAGATAATTATTTAATAATGTTTGTTGCCTATATTACTAATATTTTTCAGACTATTCCTTCTTTTAGAATAATTTTGGAATGATATTTTCCCAAGGAAATTATATACTTCATGGATATTTATTTTAGCTTTCTTAAAACATAATTGAGAATATTATTCTCTGATAATGTTTAATTTCCTTTATGTCTATTATTACTGACAATGTTTTATTTCATTTTTATTGATTAATTTCATCTTCATGTTTATTATTTGATTTCCTCTGCCTTTCTTACAATCTTGTTTTCTTTATAAATTTGCAAATTAATTTTCTAAGACAACCACCAAAAACAAAAACAGTTGAAAGAACAAAAGCAGAATATAAAAAGTAACAAAAAGTAAATAACTATATGGAAGAAATACATATATATTATATATACATATAAATGCATATAAAGAAACATAAATAAATTATAAATGGAATAAATTCATTAGCCAAAAGACACACGTGGTCAGAATACCTAAGGAATATAAGGAAAGTTACAGGAAAATAGAAAGTAAAAAGATGGACTAAGATAAATCAGGCAAATGCTAACCAAAAGAAAGTTGGTTTACTTATATTATTATCAGGGAAAATCGACCTTAAATTAGAATAATTATTCAAGATAAAGAAGGTAACTACACAATGATAAGAGCTTGATTTCACGGAGGGAAGTTTAGTAACTTAAAATTTATATGCATGTGATATGAATTCAGAGGGGCAGACTGCAATACCTATTCTGGTAATTGATAGATCAAGCAGACAAAGCATTAGGAAGGGTATAGAACATGTGAAAAACAATTAACAGTCATGATATAATGAAGATACATAGATTCCTAAAGGCAACAAATAGAGAATACTCATTTCTTTGAAACACACATGAGATTTATGAAAATTGACTGCAAATTATATAAAACAAACCTTAACTTAATTTCAAAGAATCAAATTTTCTTTAAAAGCACCTGTTATCTAAAAGTTATGTGTACTCTATCTCTCAGAATCTGCATCTAAGGGCTGAGTGAACTAGCCCTCATCACCACTGCAGAGAATCTTTTATCTTTGAACAAAGTGCTGCAAAAGACAGAGACAGTGTAATCCATCATTGGAGTGTTGTGATTTGGACCCACTACTTGTGGTTGAAGTTGGATGGAGCTATCAGTGTAGGTTCTCAGAGCTGGAGGTTGGAGTCTTCTGATTTTAGTTTCCAGCCATAGGCCTATACCTGAAAGTCACCACTGATTTGGCAGAAGCAAGTTCCAGAAGTCAAAGCAGGAGAGTTTCAAATTGCCACCTTAACTGGAGTCATATTGCAAATCTCCTATCAGAGTGAATATCAAATTCTTACTGGACCAAGATGAACGTGATGATTGTCTTCATGTCAATTGGCTTTCATCACATTTGGGCTAAATTCTGTCTTTTCTCCTTTCTTCATTATACAGCCAGGTTCTTGAACACTGCCCAACCATGCTACTTATGTTACAGAGTAAACTCATATCATAGCTAAATCATTCAAGGTAAGCACTTTTGTTGCAGCCTGACCTTTGGGCTGACATCTGACTTCTTTCTATACCTTGGATCCATCTCAGCAAAGTGACTAGAATCCTGAATCTCTGATTCTGTAGGTCAAGTCTCAGTGAAATTGCAGTTTCTCTGAACTATTGGAGCCTAAAAATGGCATACACTGGGGAAACTAAGGTCAAAATAGAAAAAAAAAAAAAAAAAAAGAAAACATCCAATTATAAGAAAACTCTAAAATGCCACTAGATTTACTCCTTTTGTTGCAAAGGTCATTATAACTTCTATGGTATTTCTACCAAGCATTTTCAAGTATTTCATCTATTATAATTGAAAGAGTATACAATGGGAACTATGAGGTTCTGTTGCATTGTAAAGCGCACCATGGGGGATTTCTGGGTGGTGTGATGTATTCACGATTTCATACCTTCTGTAAAGAAAGTATAGATGATGTTTACATAAATTTAAAAATCACATATCACAGAGTGTGTACAAATAACAAAAATGTAGCAAATCAGTTAAGTGTTTAAAAGTTATTTAAGAAAATCTGAGATCATCTCAATACAACATATATTAAGCCCCATTCTGTGCTTTGTTAGGCATCTGTTAGTATGAAAAAGCCAGAGTTTATCTGCAAGAAGCATCAAAAAAAGGCCTAAAATGAATTATAACAAGTTATCCATTCTACTGAGAACATATATAAAAATTAATTCCTCTTTGGAGGAGAGATGGGAGGTTTATAAAAACATAAAGAGCAAGTGATATTTGAATTAGATAATAAGATAAACAACTAGTGACAATGTTAGCAGGTGTGTTCCTGTAGAAAAAAAAAAAAAAAGGTAAGAAGGGAGTGCAGTATGAAAGGTCCTACAAACATTTGTTCCTTATGTTAATGTTTGGATTATACAGCACACTCACCTTTCAAAAAGTTCGTACGTGGACCACCTCATTTGTTTCTGTTGACAGCTCCAGACAGGTAGTCATATGATATCATCATTAATACGTTACAGATAAACTCAAGCACAAGTGTTCTCATGAAGCATTTAATAGGACAACAAAAGAACTGGGACAAGAAACTGCTTTTTGCCATCTTGAAGTTCAATGTTTTTTTGCCATACTCCAATCATTTTACACAATTATTATTTTTCCTAAGAACTGTGAGAGGCAATTAATGACAATTGTTACTGATTTCATTCACATGCCACAGAATTAAATAGAAATTCAGCAGTAGCCCTGTAGTCAACGAGAAGTATATTTTGTTCCTATTGAAAGAGTTCCTATATTGAAAGGGAAAATAATTTTATGGCCATAAATATAAAGTTGTTGCATTTTTTCTGGAGGTAATATTAAAGAATAATTAGTCCACTTGCTCTTTTTTTCTCTGTTGAGTTAAAACATATATAGATAAATGTGTACAGATATGAGCGGTCAGATATATGAGTTCTCACTAAGCGAGTACACTTGTGTGATAAGCAGTTGGGTCAAGGAACAGATGATGACCAGCTCCCCAGAGGTCATCCTGTATACTGTCTTCCAGTCACCAAGGTTAATCATTATTCTGACTTCTCACATCATAGATTGGTTTGCCTGTTTTTTAACTTTGTGTGAATGGAATCATTCACTATGTCCTCTCTTTTATCTAGTTGCTTTGGCTCAACATTATATTTCTGAGATTTGTTTATATTGTTGCATGTAGTTGTATGCATTCATTCTCATTGCTGTATAATATTCTACTATGTGAATATATTACAGGTTATTTCTCCTTCTACTATAATAGGCATCTATTTTGGACTATGAATAGTGGCATTATGGATATATTGTACTATCTTTTGTTTTGCCTGATTTCAAAATTATGTAGAAAAGAGCTTCATTAGATAAGTTTAAAAATGTAAGCCAACTTTGTTACAATTTTTCTGAGTAGTTCAGAAGAATAGAAATAGAAATGGTTAAAAAGAAGTAGATGGGAGAGAGAAAACAGTTTAGGAGAAAATGAAAGAGGGTACCACCTTCATTGTGATCTCTAGTATATAATTACCATGATAATTATGATAATGATGGTGATGGTGATGGTAGTAGTAAGTATTGAGTATTTGGCAGGTACCAGATATCCTACTAAATGTTTTATATCTGTTATCTCCTTTAGTCCTCAAAATAGTCTATGGGAGTTTTACAATAATTATACACATTTTATGGAGGAAACTGAGGCTGACACATATCAAATTACTTGCTTAAATCACACGGCTAGAAATGGATGAAAGCAGGGTTTGAGTTCTGCCTGTTTTCTCTAAATGCACCCCACTAAGCTTAACCACTATATTCTTACATTGCTTTTTAAGATGTAGATAATTTTATCCCTATTTTACGGTTGCGGAAACTGGTTCTGGATGGTAACTTGTTCAAGGTCACATAGATAAAAAGTGGTAGAATCAGAGTATGAAAAAAATTAACCCAAAGTCCAGATTTTTGAAAGTGCTAGAACAGATAAGAGGGAAAGTAAAGAGGAAAGATACAGGATAGAAGAAAAAAGTTATTTAGCACATTCCTCAGTAAGTGTTCAAACTGTAAAAGAAAAATAATGAAGTATTTTAAAATGGCAGAGTTTAATGGAGGGAATGAGTTATACAGGTGATGCAAGAATTGATAAGCCGAACAGTGGACAGTGTGGCAACTAGTGATAAGCATTCATGGCAAAGAACTAAAACAAGGACAAAATGAGCAAATGGTATCAGATCTTAGAGATGTGGGTCACCCATTGGAAGCTGGAACCATAGGGACTAATTTGGTGTGAAAGGATGGAGAGTATCAGACGTAAAATTATACAAATTAGATGGAGAAGACCCAAGAATTAACAAAGGTGTTTCTAAGGCTGTGGGAGAAATTTGGGCTTGTAGGAATCTCTGGCAAAGGGAAAATTATTAAAAAACTTACCTTTCTAGTAGAGATAGTACTAAAGGGAAATAGTGAAGGACGATTAAATGTAAAATGAATCCAGAAGATTTTGATTTCTGAAGGATGCACATACTTCAGCCTAGCACATCTCGAAATCTAGTACATGGAGATTCTGTTGGAGGGCTTGTTAAAGCAGGTAGACAGTCCTGGGCTCAACTCTGGAAATTCTTACTCACTGAGTCTTGGATGGGACCTCGTATTCTGCATTTCTAATGAGATCCAGGTGTTGCTCATAACAGTTGACTCACAGAAGGTATGTTGAGTAGTACTGTTTCAGCATTTAAATTCACCACTTACTGATTGAGTGAGTAAATAAGTGGTAGGTCTTCAGAAGATCTGATCACCTAGAAGAAGATGAATATTATTATACCCAACATATAGAATATCACCTTCTCTTCTCACAGTCACCCCCATCATACAAACAAAAAGGTTGGCATGCAGTAGCATTTCATTTGTTCATTCAGCTACAGATAAATATCTCTGCCAGACAAAACATTATTTTGATACAATTTGTTCCCTTAAAAATGAAAATAAAAGTCAATCAACCATTATTTCAAAGTATTGTCATGATCATATTAAATAGTTAGAAACCTAAGCCAGTATGGTGGTTCATGCTTGTAATCTGGCATTTTGGGAGGCTGAGGTAGGTAGATGGTTTGAGTTCAAGAGTTCGAGACCAGCCTGGGCAACATGGCAACATACCATCTCTACAAAAAAATACAAAAATTAGCTGGGCACTGTGGCACATGCCTGAAATCCCAGCTACTTGGGAGGCTGAGGTGGGAGGATCACCTGAGCTCCCGGAGGTGGAGGCTGCAGTGAGCCCCAGTGGCTCCACTGCTCTCCAGCCTCCAGCCTGGGCAATGGAGTAAGATCCTGGCTCAAAAACAAGACAAAACAAAAAAAGTTAGAAACAGCATCTTTATTTTTCAGATTATGAAATTGCGAACATTATGGCATTTTTATTTTATTAACACTGACCTAATTTCTCAATTTAGGATTTGACACACAGATAGGCTAGTGTAGATTTTCAATGTTAATGTAATGCCTTCTTGAAATATATTAATGTGAAACTTGCTAAGCTTTATTTTGTAGTAAATATCCATATTGTTATTTTTAGTGCCTCCCTGTTCACAGTCTCCACATTATTTCCTCTCCTATATACAGGCATGAATTCGCTCATATAGATAAATACATGCTGCCCAACCCCAACAGCCTCTCAGACATACATATTTTATAACTTAGTAAATCTTAATATACACAGACACTCTCCTCTTTTCTGAGTTTTCATTTTCTTGATCTCTCCCTCTCACAGGAAGGATTCTAATCCCTTTTTCCTTCTAGAATGACTCATTATTCATAAGCATTGATTGAACTTCTCTTGTCATTTGGTCTAGGCCCTTTAAAAGATTTGAATCTATTTTGCATCTGTAACTCAGGATTCAGATTTCCTTTCCAATTTAGGATGTTATTCAGCTCCTTAATCATGTGCTCCTTTCTAGAACTAGCATCCATTTGTTTCCTGTTCTGTCTTCTCTGAGCCAAATTTCTGGTTTATTTTATGCTTATGCTTCAGAGCACAGGCATTGAAATTTTTTGCAACACATGTGCCATGCTGGAAGTATTATCATTTAACATGGATCTATTTATTTTCAAGTTATTATAGATAATGAGAATTTTTTAAAAAAAATAGTATATCACCAAATATAACTATTTTTTATGAAAATGTTAAATGCCAGTTTGTTTTTTATTTTGGGGAGCCTTGAAAAGCTTAGGAAAGTAGAAGAAAGTGGGAATTGCAGCAAATTTCATTTATAAAAAGCAATATACAAAATAGATGATTCAGCAAAAGAGGAGATAAAAAAGGCACTCATGTGAAATAATTTTGATCTCCTCCAGGTCGCTAAAAGCTACAAGGAGCCACGGTTCCCACACAAAGCCATACTTGAATTCTTGGGAGTATGGAACCTTTAGAAATTATTGAATTTTTTCTTGTCTTTAGGCAAGGACATCCCTAAGCCAAATTACAGACATAACCCTCTTCCTAAGTTAAAATTGCCTGGAAGAAAAGACCCCGCAGCCTTCTTTGCAATCTTCAGTTCGATATTTGGGAGCACTCACTCTTCTTTCTTTTTATTACCCTTGCATTAATTTTCTGTGCATACGCAAGAATTTTACTGACTATGCCTTATGTAATTTGTATGGTTGATGCTGAGAAATGTATCGCCATTCATCTTCTACAAAAAAAAGGTGTAATGCAGAGCAGTTACACACAGTAACATAAGTACACAATTTTAAACTAAGTGTTTTTGCAGGCTAGATTTTGTTTTTCAAGAAACCACAGAAACAATGTCCAAGATTCTCAGTGTGAATATTTGCATGTTTCTGAATTTTTCAACTGGCTTAAGAGATTCAGACATTACACATGAGAATTTGCTATAAAATGGCATAAATAACTTCAGAGTTAGGAAATACATGATAAATTTGGCAGCTGTCTTGCGGGCAATCAGCATGCTTTCCTCCTTAACTCTTCATTATTGACTAGGAGAAGCAGTGGACACAGTCTCCGAAGTTGAGAGCCATTTGAGAATCAGTTGAGAAGTTTGAGAACCAGGTATGTGGGGTAAGTTCAAAACCCTGTCTTAACTGCTCAAGCCCTGCTGTGAACCACATCATTTTTTCCTTTTGTCCTTTCTCCAGTCTGACATGGAGACCTGATTGAATTCTCTTTAGAGTTGGGTTGTGAATTCCATGAGTGCAAGAACTGTATCTGGCCTTATACTTCTGTATGTCTATCATTGAATATACTATCTGGCTCAAAGTAGAACTTTGCTTAAAAAATGAATTAAGCAAAAGATAGAATTCAGGAGCTAAGGAAGCAGATAAATGCATTTACTTGACTTTTTAGATCAATTTTCCTATATGCCAGGGTTTTCTTTTTTACAAGAATGATTACCACATTTAAAAAATTGAGATATAATTTGTGTACTATAAAATTTATCCTTTAAAAATTCATCATTTAGTGGTTTTTAATTAGATTCATAAAATTGTGCAACCATCACCACTATCTAATTCTTGAATATTTTCATCACTCCAAAAAGAAATGCCATATCCACACACACACACACACACACACACACACACACACACACTTTTACAGCTAATAAATAAATTCAGGAAACTCACAGGATGCAAGATCAACACCAAAGTCAATTGTATATTTATACACGAGACATGAATGCCCTGAGAATGAAATTAGAAAAACAACTTAATTTATAATGTCATAAAAAAGTGCTCAGGAATAAATTAACTAATAGTATGTGTGTGTGTGTGTGTGTGTGTGTGTGTGTGTGTGTGTGTATTTCGTAAGAATTTCTACATGCAAAATAATGTCATTTGCAAATAGAAATAGTTTTTCTTTTTCCTTCCCAACCTAGATGATTTTTATTTCTTGTTTTTTTGCCTAATTGCCCTTGCTGAACCTTGGGTACTAGGTATAGTAAATGTGGCAAGAGATGACATCCTTTTCCTATTCTTGTTTGAGTACCACCTCTCAAAAATAAAAACTACATAGATTTATACTTCCCAGATTGTTTGGCTCATTATTAAACTTTCTTCTCAACCAAACTTTTAATTATGACTTCTGACACCGAGCAGTATTCATTTATTAGCATTGAGGGGAACGTGATAAAGTTCAAAGCATCTAACTTATCTTAAAAACTCAACTCTTACTGGAGAATGAGAATACATTTTTATAGAGGGCAAAGCAATACATGTTATAAGAGAATTACAAGGCTTTCACAAGAAGGAGAGAAGACATTCCACGATAAATCATCAAAGGCACTGAAAAGAAGAAAACACTTCATTTGGGTTTAGTAGAAGAGGCAGGCTTAAGAATTTGTTTTTAACTAAGGTAAAAAAATCATAAAATATGAAGCAGGACAGCATGAAGCATGTTTTCGGACCTCTGAGTAATCCAATTTGAGGAAACTTAAATTGGCCTTGGGAAGTAGCCAAAAATAAGTGTCAGGAGTTTCTGAGAAACAATTACGCACGTAACTGCAGTGATCAGAACCAACCACTTCTGCGAAGCTTACAGAGAAGCCATGTTTTAGTAGCTCCTCTTGGACCTTCATGCTTTTCACCAGGCCTATGTCGGTGGGAGTGGGTGGGTAGGTGGGATAGGGTCTATCATAAATCATTCTTGCTACTCTCCATGAAAAGACTAGTGGCTGAACCCAAAGATGCTCATATCCTTCTAAATGATTACTGAGCTGTACTGATGGGATCATTTCCATTAGACTACTTGACCTTCTCAATTTCAAAGTTTGTACCCACTGCTTGATGGGTCTTTTACACATGTGGCTCTGCCTTCTGACCTAAGAAATTTGCAGGAATTCTGGCAGTCTTCAGGCTATTGCAATGTGAAATTAGAAGAGGTGATGATAGCTGTAAACTCCAGAAGAAACCACGTTTCTTGAGCCAACTCCTCTGAAAGCTTCTGTAATGAGTACGCTGTGTCGCATTTAGGTCTTGCTTTAGGCTTGTAGGCTTGTTTATTCAGGGGGAACATTTTTGAAACCCCACAAACAGACTTGAAATCCATTCCTTCTAAGTCAAAGCTACTCTTATTAATTTGGTACGTGACATATCTGTGTCAGACAGTCCTCATATGTAAACAGAAAAACTAAGTGTTAGCTATTAGTGTTGAAATATATGAACATTTGCTGTAGTTTTGCTGAAGCATTTTAAAATATGGAAAGGTAGAACGGTTATTTTCCTTTTGGCAGTTTTTCCTAAGAAAGGATCCCGCAACATCAGTTCCAAGAGATGATAGAGAGAAAAAGATTCTGGGACTGTACACAATCTGACTGCTTTTGGGATGCTCACAATGCACATTAAAAGAGAAGAGGTTCTGGAAAGTCCTGCAGTGAAGGAACCACTTAATCTAGGGTTTTTCAAATGTATTTGAGCACAAAAACTTTATTTATCTAAGAGCCATTCACATTCCGCAGGACTCATTTTCTGTGAATAGATTTAGGAAACTTTGTTCCAGAATGAAGAACGGAATAGGAGTTTTCTTTAAAAATAACATCATCACACAAACAAAATGCTTAAAGTTCTTGAGCTATAAAGTATGTGTGCTTAATTTAATTGCTGCAAATGGTTAGGAAAATAGCTTAATAAAAAACAATAGAGCAGAAGAAGTGAGAAACAAAAACCACATATAATCCTCTTGCAGCCTCATCATGCTTTCCTGCATGCCCATGTTGGGCCTCTTTATGAGACCCAGATGACAGCTCTCCCCTCACCCTTGTTCATGACACTGCTTGTGCTGGTTCTGTTCTTGCTCCATGGTAAACTAGACACAAAATGAAATCCCTCAAGATATCTCCCTAAGGCTTCCATATGCATAGCATAACAGTGTTCGAGAGGAATGTGCTTGTTGATTGAAGCATTTGTGGAGCACACAGAGAGGCAGGTTTTTAATCACACATCAAACAAACATCTATTTTTTTTTAATTATTCCAAGGCTTTTAGCTTGTGTCCTCAAAGGAGGTTCTTTACCCTTCCCTTCCAGGCTTCCATTTCTTCCACACTCAGATCCTCCTGGAGAGCTCTAGAGGCCTCCCCTCCCTACCATATTGAAAATTCTGTTCTCTCCTTGCTACTGCTCCAGATTCATATACCCCAGTTCATCTATATACATAGAAAAATATAAAAGAACCTCTGTTTACTCTGATGTTCCATGATGCAGGTAGCAATTCGGTGGTTGTCTCTTTCTATTTAAGTAAGCTTTTTAGGATCTCAACCCCAATCAGCATATCAAAGTGTTTTTTTCCCAAAGAGACACAGTGGTACACCCATTTAGCATTCTAGTGAATGAAGTTTTGTCTGTTGATTTCGTCTTAAAAATTAGAAGCTAACCATGATTTTATAAGTTTCTACTATTGCTCTCCTCAGTTGCCTGACAAAAGGAGCTTTTACATTAGCTTTTAATAAGATACAGTTGAAAGGTTACTTTAAAATATTGGTGTCTCTAAGCTATTTTTTATTTGTTTACTTATTATTATTATTATACTTTAAGTTCTAGGGTACACGTGCACAACATGCAGGTTTGTTACATATGTATACATGTGCCATGTTGTTGTGCTGCACCCATTAACTTGTCATTTACATTAGGTATATCTCCTAATGCTATCCCTCCCCACCTCCCCCAACCCCACAACAGGCCCCGGTGTGTGATGTTCCCCTTCTGTGTCCATGTGTTCTCATTGTTCATTTCCCACCTATGAGTGAAAACACGCGGTGTTTGGTTTTTTGTCCTTGTGATAGTTTGTTGAGAATGATGGTTTCCAGCTCCATCCATGTCCCTACAAAGGACATGAACTCATCCTTTTTTATGGCTGCATAGTATTCCATGGGGTATATGTGCCACGTTTTCATAATCCAGTCTATCATTGATGGATATTTGGGTGGGTTCCAAGTCTTTGCTATTGTGAATAGTGCTGCAATAAACATACATATGCATGTGTCTTTACAGCAGCATGATTTATAATCCTTTAGGTATATACCCAGTAAAGGGATGGCTGGGTCAAATGGTATTTCTAGTTCTAGATACTTGAGGAATTGCCACACTGTCTTCCACAATGGTTGAACTAGTTTACAGTCCCACCAAAAGTGTAAAAGTGTTCCTATTTCTGCACATCCTTTTCAGCATCTGTTATTTCCTGACTTTTTAATGATCACCATTCTAACTGGTGTGAGATGGTATCTCATTGTGGTTTTGATTTGCATTTCTCTGATGGCCAGTGATGATGAGCATTTTTTCATGTGTCTTTTGGGTGCATAAATGTCTTCTTTTGAGAAGTGTCTGTTCATATCCCTCACCTACTTTTTGATAGGGTTGTTTGTTTTTTTCTTGTAAATTTGGTTGAGTTCTTTGTAGATTCTGGATATTAGCCCTTTGTCAGATGAGTAGATTGCAAAAATTTTCTCCCATTGTGTAGGTTGCCTGTTCACGCTGATGGTAGTTTCTTTTGCTGTGCAGAAGCTCTTTAGTTTAATTAGATCCCATTTGTCAATTTTGGCTTTTGTTGCCATTGCTTTTGGTGTTTTAGACATGAAGTCCTTGCCCATGCCTATGTCCTGAATGGTATTGCCTAGGTTTTCTTCTAGGTGTTTTATGGTTTTAGGTCTAACATTTAAGTCTTTAATCTATCTTGAATTAATTTTTGTATAAGGTGTAAGAAAGGGTTCCAGTTTCAGCTTTCTACATATGGCTAGCCAGTTTTCCCAGCACCGTTTATTAAATAGGGAATCCTTTCCCCATTTCTTGCTTTTGTCAGGTTTGTCAAGATCAGATGGTTATAGATGTGTGGTATTATTTCTGAGGACTCTGTTCTGTTCCCTTGGACTATATCTCTGTTTTGGTTACTGTAGCCTTGTAGTATAGTTTGAAGTCAGGTAGCATGATGCCTCCAGCTTTGTTCTTTTGGCTTAGGATTGACTTGGCAATGCGGGCTCTTTTTTGGTTCCATATGAACTTTAAAGTATTTTTTTCCAGTTCTGTGAAGAAAGTCATTGGTAGCTTGATGGGGGTGGCATTGAATCTATAAATTACCTTGGGCAGTATGGCCATTTTCACGATATTGATTCTTCCTACCCATGAGCATGGAATGTTCTTCCATCTGTTTGTGTCCTCTTTTATTTCATTGAACAGTGGTTTGTAGTCCTCCTTGAAGAGGTCCTTCACATCCCTTGTAAGTTGGATTCTTAGGTATTTTATTCTCTTTGAAGCAATTGTGAATGTGAGCTCAGTCATGATTTGGCTCTCTGTTTGTCTGTTATTGGTGTATAAGAATGCTTGTGATTTTTGCACATTGATTTTGTATCCTGAGACTTTGCTGAAGTTGCTTATCAGCTTAAGGAGATTTTGGGCTGAGACGATGAGGTTTTCTAGATATACAATCATGTCATCTGCAAACAGGGACAATTTGACTTCCTCTTTTCCTAATTGAATACCCTTTATTTCTTTCTCCTGCCTGATTGCACTGGCCAGAACTTCCAATACTATGTTGAATAGGAGTGGTGAGAGAGGGCATCCCTGTCTTGTTCCAGTTTTCAAAGGGAATGCTTCCAGTTTTGTCCATTCAGTATGATATTGGCTGTGGGTCTGTCATAAATAGCTCTTATTATTTTGAGATACATCCCATCAATACCTAATTTATCGAGAGTTTTTAGCGTGAAGGGCTGTTGAATTTTGTCAAAGGCCTTTTCTGCATCTATTGAGATAATTGTGTGGTTTTTGTCATTGGTTCTGTTTATAGGCTGGATTACATTTATTGATTTGCGTATGTTGAACCAGCCTTGCATCCCAGGGATGAAGCCCACTTGATCGTAGTGGATAAGCTTTTGATGTGCTGCTGGATTCGGTTTGCCAGTATTTTATTGAGGATTTTTGCATTGATGTTCATCAGGGATATTGGTCTAAAATTCTCTTTTTTTGTTGTGTGTCTGCAGGCTTTGGTATCAGGATGATGCTGGCCTCATAAAATGAGTTCAGGAGGATTCCCTCTTTTTCTATTGATTGGAATAGTTTCAGAAGGAATGGTACCAGCTCCTCCTTGTACCTCTGGTAGAATTTGGCTGTGAATCCATCTGGTCCTGGACTTTTTTTGGTTGGTAAGCTATTAATTATTGCCTCAATTTCAGATCCTATTATCGGTCTATTCAGAGATTCAACTTCTTCCTGGTTTAGTCTTGGGAGCGTATATGTGTACAGGAATTTTTCCATTTTTTTTAGATTTTGTGGTTTATTTGCGTAGAAGTGTTTATAGTATTCTCTGATGGTAGTTTGTATTTCTGTGGGATCAGTGGTGATATCCCCTTTATCATTTTTTATTGCGTCTATTTGATTCTTCTCTCTTTTCTTCTTTATGAGTCTTGCTAGTGGTATATCAATTTTGTTGATCTTTTCAAAAAATCACCTCCTGGATTCTTTGATTTTTTGAGGGTTTTTTTGTGTCTCTATTGCCTTCAGTTCTGCTCTGATTTTAGTTATTTCTTGCCTTCTGCTAGCTTCTGAATGTGTTTGCTCTTGCTTCTCTAGTTCTTTTAATTGTGATGTTAGGGTGCCAATTTTAGATATTTCCTGCTTTCTCTTGTGGGCATTTAGTGCTATAAATTTCCCTCTACACACTGCTTTAAATGTGTCCCAGAGATTCTGGTACATTGTGTCTTTGTTCTGAATGGTTTCAAAGAACATCTTTATTTCTGCCTTCATTTTGTTATGTACCCAGTAGTCATTCAGGAGCAGGTTGTTCAGTTTCCATGTAGTTGAGCAGTTTTGAGTGAGTTTTTAAATCCTGAGTCCTAGTTTGATTGCACTGTGGTCTGAGGGACAGTTTGTTATAATTTCTGATCTTTTACATTTGCTGAGGAGTGCGTTACTTCCAACTATGTGGTCAGTTTTGGAATAAGTGCGATATGGTGCGGAGAAGAATGTATATTCTGTTGATTTGGGGTGGAGAGTTCTGTAGATGTCTATTAGGTCCACTTGGTGCAGAGCTGAGTTCAATTCCTGGATATCTTTGTTAACTTTCTGTCTCGTTGATCTGTCTAATGTTGACAGTGGGGTGTAAAGTCTCCCGTTATTATTGTGTGGGAGTCAATGTCTCTTTGTAAGTCTCTAAGGACTTGCTTTATGAATCTGGGTGCTCCTGTATTGGGTGCATATATATTTAGGATAGTTAGCTCTTCTTGTTGAATTGATCCCTTTTTCATTATGTAATGGCCTTCTTTGTCTCTTTTGATCTTTGTGGGTTTAAAGTCTGTTTTATCAGAGACTAGGATTGCAATCCCTGCCTTTTTTTATTTTCTACTTGCTTGGTAGATCTTCCTCCATCCCTTTATTTTGAGCCTATGTGTGTCTCTGCATGTGAGATAGGTCTCCTGAATACAGCACACTGATGGGTCTTGAGTCTTTATCCAATTTGCCAGTCTGTGTCTTTTAATTGGAGCATTTAGTCCATTTACATTTAAGGTTAATATTGTTATGTGTGAATTTGATCCTGTCATTGTGATGTTAGCTGGTTATTTTGCTCGTTAGTTCATGCAGTTTCCTCCTAGCCTCGATGGTCTTTACAATTTGCCATGTTTTTGCAGTGGGTGGTACCAGTTGTTCCTTTCTATGTTTAGTGCTTCCTTCAGGAGCTCTTTTAGGGCAGGCCTGGTGGTGACAAAATCTCTCAGCATTTGCTTGTCTGTAAAGTATTTTATTTCTCCTTCACTTATGAAGCTTAGTTTGGCTAGACATGAAATTCTGGGTTGAAAATTCTTTTCTTTAAGAATGTTGAATATTGGCCCCCACTCTCCTCTGGCTTGTAGAGTTTCTGCCAAGAGATCTGCTGTTAGTCTGATGGGCTTCCCTTTGTGGGTAACCCGACCTTTCTCTCTGGCTGCCCTTAACATTTTTTCCTTCATTTCAACTTTGTTGAATCTGACAATTATGTGTCTTGGAGTTGCTCTTCTCAAGGAGTATCTTTGTGGTGTTCTCTGTATTTCCTGAATTTGAGTGTTGGCCTGCCTTGAGGTTGGGGAAGTCCTCCCGGATAATATCCTGCAGAGTGTTTTCCAACTTGGTTCCATTCTCCCGATCACTTTCAGGTACACCAATCAGACATAGATTTCATCTTTTCACATAGTCCCATATTTCTTGGAGGCTTTGCTTGTTTCTTTTTACTCTTTTTTCTCTAAACTTCTCTTCTTGCTTCATTTCATTCATTTGATCTTCAATCACTGATACCTTTTCTTCCAGTTGATCGAATCGGCTACTGAAGCTTGTGCATTCGTCACATAGTTCTCATGCCATGGTTTTCAGCTTCATCAGGTCTTTAAGGACTTCTCTATACTGGTTATTCTGGTTAGCCATTTGTCTAATCTTTTTTCAAGGTTTTTAGCTTCTTTGCAATGGGTTCAAACTTCCTCCTTTAGCTCGGAGAAGTTTGATTGTCTGAAGCCTTCTTCTCTCAACTTGTCAAAGTCATTCTCCATCCAGCTTTGTTCCATTGCTGGTGAGGAGCTGCGTTCCTTTGGAGTGGGAGAGGTGCTCTGATTTTTAGAATTTTCAGCTTTTGTGCTCTGTTTTTTCCCCATCTTTGTGGTTTTATCTACTTTTGGTCTTTGATGATGGTGACATACAGATGGGGTTTTGGTGTGGATGTCCTTTCTTTTTGTTAGTTTTCCTTCTAACAGACAGGACCCTCAGCTGCAGGTCTGTCGGAGTTTGCTGGAGGTCCACTCCAGACCCCGTTTGCCTGGGTATCAGCAGTGGAGGCTGCAGAACTGTGAATATTGCTGAACAGCAAATGTTGCTATCTGATGGTTCCTCTGGAAGTTGTGTCTTAGAGGGGTACCCGACCCTGTGAGGTGTCAGTCTGCCCCTACTGGGGGGTGCCTCTCAGTTAGGCTACTTGGGGGTCAGGGACCCACTTGAGGAGGCAGTCTGTCCGTTCTCAGATCTCAAACTCCGTAGAACCACTGCTGTCTTCAAAGCTGTCAGATAGGGACATTTAAGTCTGCAGAGGTTTCTGCTGCCTTTTGTTTGACTATGCCCTGCCCCCAGAGGTAGAGTCTACAGAGGCAGGCAGGCCTCCTTGAGCTGCGGTTGGCTCCACCCAGTTCAAGCTTCCTGGCCACTTTGTTTACCTACTCAAGCCTCAGCAATGGCAGGCGCCCCTCCCCCAGCCTCGCTGCCACCTTGCAGTTTGATCTCAGACTGCTGTGTTAGCAATGAGCGAGGCTCCGTGGGTGTGGTACCCTCCGAGCCAAGCACGGGATATAATCTCCTGGTGTGCCATTTGCTAAGACCATTGGAAAGGTGTAGTATTATGGTGGGAGTGACCCAATTTTCCAGGTGCCATCTGTCACAGCTTCACTTGACTAGGAAAGGGAATTCCCTGACCCCCTGTGCTTCCTGGGTGAGGCGATGCCTCACCCTGCTTCTGCTCTTGCTCAGTGCACTGCACCCACTGTCCTGCACCCACTGTCCGACAAGCCCCAGTGAGATGAACCGGGTACCTCAGTTGGAAATGCAGAAATCACCTGTCTTCTGCGTTGCTCATGCTGGGAGCTGTAGACTGGAGTTGTTCCTATTCGGCCATCTTGGAACCTTTTTTCTCTCTAAGCTATTTTGTAGTAAAACTTTGATAAACAGAAGAATCCCTAGGGAATCTCCTTTGGGACTTTACTGACACGTGTCCTTGTAACAAAGTTTGTCCAAAGCAATTCTGAGCCAAGTCTCTAACAAATATTTGAATTTTGACACCTCCATTTCTTTCTCCCGGTAGGCAGTGGTCAACTGAGCATCACAAAATGCAGAGATCAAGCAAGCTAGAACAATCCTATTAAAAATTAGGAGCCTCATCAAAATGCTCATTAGAATAAACGGCTCATCACTAGTATCTGAGTTCCTTCTATCCTTGAAATTACCATGAAAACCACAATAAAATGCTTACATAAAGTAAAAATAATGTCATATCCTCTTAGATATATGTCCCCGAATGAGAGTTCTATAATTATATATTTCTCTGTATAGCACCTATTCATTTAAAACACTATCTAGTCTATTGATATTTTCTTACTAAATAATCTTCCACAGCCATGCCTAATCAATATTTCTGGCATGAAAACAAGGATGTTTTTGGATTTATAACTTTTATTTATCAGAAGTTATATCAACATTCCTTTAACAGGAATGAGAATAATGACATGATCAAATATTGTTTTCTTCATTTCTTGATTTCTTTTTATTTTCATGGCATACCTTGTTTATTATTTCATCCCTAAACAATGAGATCTGCTGCACCCTAGACCAGCTGAATTAGCACCATTTATGAACTTGCAGGAAACCAAACTGCAGTGACAGCAGGTTTAGCAAAGCTGCCTTTAAAAATGGAAAGTGACTTTAAAAATGGCATAAAGAAGGCATGACACAAATGTGAATTGAGACATATCTTCACTAGAGACTTGCATAAGTATTTAAATTTCCTGTTTCCAGATGTCAAATTGGTAATATATTCTCTTCAAAATTGTATTATAATTACCACATGTGTCAGTCACTCTTGGCAGCTGGTGTGTAGGTACACTGTGTTTGGATCTAACTTCTCATAAATATATGGTGTGAATAGTTTTTCATTACTTGGAGACTGAGTGAGTTTTTTAAAACCTGTCCAGTTTTCCTTTTCAGAAAACTTACTGGGGGTGGATAAAGAATGGGAGCTCTTTTGGAGCATATTGATGGACTGGATAATGTTTTAATTGTATAGGTGCTATGTAGGAGTCGTTTATAAATGTATACACCTCATAAAATACATCAGGGCTGTATGTCCAAATGCTAGATGAATATTAGATACATTATCTTTTTTTAAAAAAAATCTTTCTCTCCTTATATTCCCAGTGACTTTTTAAAAAATGCTAATTTCATGATTTTTTTGTCCTGAGATTCATTACCTGTGCATTCACACTTTCCCATGTACAAACAAGAAAATACATTTCAGAACACCTCGGGAAAATACATTATAACGTATTTCTCAATGTGAAAATAGAAAAACAAATGTTTTTTCACTATTTCACTTAGGATGTAGATGTGATAGGTACCTGTCCTTGTGTCAGGACCACAGAGTTCATTTCTTACTGCTGTAAACTGGGTTGGCATGGGATTGAGTAGCTTTATGTAAATGATTTTCCCAGGGTTTCCACTTTCCAATGTATGACATAGCTAAATAAATTAATTTGTTAGGTTTTTCTTAGAACTAACTAATATTAGAAACACCCTCTACTATTTATTTCCTAAAGCCCAATTTACTTTTTTCTCCTTCCTTATGAAGGAAGGAAGGGCAGCCCTATAGCCACATGGTTCTTACACAATAAGAATTCTTCCCTCGCATCAAGCATGGTCCGCCTCTTGAATGTTATCTCACCGTGTATGTATTTTGTTTCCCAATTTATTTATAGAAAACGTAAATTCTGACCTCTAGGATTATTTCCTGACCACAGCCTTCCACTTGTGCCCTTAGAGTTAACAACGGACCTTATTCTTTCAGTATTGGGCCTCATCCCCCCTATTTAGTTATATATGAAGAGCCTGTGCTGGGGCTATTTCCTGGGAGGAAAAACAACAACAACAAAAAATGTGTGCAAACCACTTCTCCACAATGTTTGTCACAAAGTCTCAGCTAAAATGGTTTGGATTGGGTCATGGGTCAAGTGTATGTTGCAATTTTGTAGTCAAACTCCCTGATTTTTTAATTTCTTACCTCCAAGTTATCACAGCTCATGCCTCTTACTTTTTGCTCCCCTTCATCCAAAGTAGATTTTTATTGCTATGCAGTTAGGATTATATACCTCAGTGATGGTTGGTTAGCTAAAAGTTGCATGATACTGTAGAAAAAGTTCAGATTTAGGGCTAGAAAATCTGTCATCTCATCTATAAAATGAAAATAATGGCAACAATAGTAACACCTAACTTACAAGGTAGTTGTAAGGAATCAAAAGGAATTGCTACATAATCGTGAAAGCAATTGTTGGTGGTAGAATTCTAAACTCACTTTAATTTCTGTTCACCTCACTTCCTTCTTTTAAATGGCAACAACTATGATATTCCTGTGATCTCTACCATTTTAGCACCTCCTCATTTCCCATCACACCGTAAAAATATAAAAATGTTGCCCTTTCTCTTTCCAGACAAGTTCCATTACTCCCAACATTGGGTGGTGAAGGTAACTTTTCAGGTCTTTATGTACAGGATGGTAATGACAAAATCTAGAATTGACATGAGGTACAGGGAGATAAAAATATTGAAGATCATATCTTGTTATGGAAAGAACATAAGATTTAGAACCAGACAGACCTGGGTGTGAAGACTGTCTCTACTATGCGCTAGCTTGCTATGTGACCTAAGACTTGCTATGTAACCTCCCTTAACCTGTTTCCTCCCTGGCCACAATGGAGAATAAGTTCCATTTGTAAAGTAGCACATTGGACAATCATCCCATGGTAGATGCTATTATTCACATTCATGGAGTGTCTCTATAAAAAGTTTGTCAAAAGCTTTTATTAGCTTTGTCATGTGAGGGGGTATTCCAGCCTGGAGTGTTATAAAGGCAACAGATGGCCTTTTAGAGCTCTCATACTTAATACACGCATTCCTGAAGAGTCCTAGTCACAGATAATTTCCTCAGGGCCAATGTGAAGTGACAATCCAGCTAACACTTCAGAGTGTGATGTTTCATTTTTGGAGGGCATATAAACCAGCATTTTCTGCTGGGCGCGGTGGCTCATGCCTGTAATCCTACCACTTTGGGAGGCCGAGGCGGGTGGATCACGAGGTCAGGAGATCGAGACCATCCTGGCTAACACAGTGAAACCCCGTCTCTACTAAAAATACAAAAAATTAACCGGGCATGGTGGCGGGCACCTGTAGTCCCAGCTACTCGGGAGGCTGAGGCAGGAGAATGGCGTGAACCTGGGAGGCGGAGCTTGCAGTGAGCCGAGATGGTGCCACTGCACTCCAGCCTGGGCAACAGAGCGTGACTCCGTCTCAAAAAAAAAAAAAAAAAAAGAAAAACCCTGCATTTTCCTCACCAAAGAAATATAGGTAGCCACATTAGGATTTAGAAATCATGTATGGCAAGAATTTGGCAGCAGAGATGCTTTTCCTGGAACTCTTCAAATACTTTACTTTGCCCAAGAACAGATAAAAAGGACCTAAATCTATCTAGTTACAGATGACTTACCAGTTACTGAATACCTACTATTAGCAGAATGGATACATTTCTAAAATTTGAAACTGAACAGCTTGATGTAGCTTTTAAGAAATTTAACATTTTTTTTAAATTTATTGTTTATTATTATTTTTTGAGACGGAGTCTCACTCTGTCGCCCAGGCTGGAGTGCAGTGTCGCCATCTTGGCTCACTGCAAGCTCTGCCTCCCAGGTTCACGCCATTCTCCTGCCTCAGCCTCCCGAGTAGTTGGGACTACAGGCACCCGCCAAGAAATTTAACATTCTTTTATGATGCATTAATAGGTATGAAATTATTCAGAACAAAAGCACAATTTAGTTTTCTGTTCTTAGAAGAAAACAAAATTTTGTTCACTTGGAGGCATCTCAACTTACAAGGAACTAGGTAAGTTGTTTTGCTTCCATATTAGAGTGGAGAAAATTGATGTGAAGTAGAGGTTAGCTAAATAAACTAGATTTTATTAATCTTGTAAAATTAGCCTTCCATTTTAGCCTTCCGGAGTCAAGTAGCTATCAAAAGCTGAAGTTTGAGGATTCTGTGTGGGTGAGCCTGAATTTAGGGAAGGGCTTCAGCCCTTATGTAAGATGAAAGCTCTCTTTGAGTAATCAAGGATAAGCTCAGTCATGGTTCTGAGAAGGTGTGTCAGAGATTGGTGGAAGCCTGAACTTCAGAAAGTATCCAGTTGATGAGGGCTCATACCAGGACCATCCTATACTAAGCTCATAGTGCAACTAAGCTCAGATGTTACTTGCTGATTTGGGGTAATGCTCAGAGGATGTTGGCTGTCTTGGTTACAGTTGGACCGGGAAGGACAGGACACTAAGTATGTATATGTTCAACCTCAGGGACTCCATCTGAGCAGGCAAAGGAGAAGAGCAGCTGTTGAAAATCCTAATGAGGCAATTAGTGGCAAGACACCTTTTGAGACATTTAAAAAGGAGTTGTATGATCATGAAGTTTGGCTTTAGAGAAGTGATTGTCGTATTTAGGAGCATTTGGACAAGATGGGTATTACGACACTGTTCAACTATATTTCATGATTCCATTATCAATATCCATGTTAGCCTGAATCTATTGATGCATTTTATTTGCCTTTACATTTTTCCCTTTATCCTGAGGACTTTGCCAATTTTTTGAGACAAATCCTTTCCTAAGCATATAGTGGTAGGAGAATCTCCTTCTCCTTTTTTCCCTTTAGAGAAATGCAAAATGACCTACAAGACTTGGCAAGCACATGGTTTCCAGCACGAGGTAAATTCAAAGAGATTTTGTGAACAGTAAAATTCAGCCAGCTGGGAATGAAGAACAATATACTTTAAAGAATGCCCGGAAGTCAAATAGAGAAGGAGGGAAAAATGGAATGGTTTGTTGATCTCTTTGGTACACAGGCTGTGCTCAGAATAGATATCATGAGGGCTGTAGGTCTGAGAAGATAAGGCTGCTTTCCTTTTATTGAGCAGTTCTATTGTGAAAGCAAGGTCAAAAATACTAATAAAACAGCAAAAACCTGAGTCCAATAGTATAGATTACAAGGGCCTGTTCCTGGATGCTAATTAATGTTATCACAGGAGATGGCTAAAATGAGAATATTACCTACTAGTAAATTAACAGGATATGCTGAAACATACCACAAGGGAGGAACTGCCTATGCTAATATCGTATAAAAGAGATTGCTGCTGGCAAGTGGTCCATGGTAAAGAGTTTTCTACATTATGTATAAACTCGAGGAATTATGACTTAAAGTATGCAATGAATCTTTAATTGGGAGAAATCATTTGTACACGATAAAAGTACGATGGGAAACCCATGTGTCCTTTTTAATTATCTATAACGAATGCTGATTGTGAGCCATTTGAAAAGAATATGTTGCACTAAATCACTATGCCATAATCAAGTTAGCTCAGCAACGTATGCACATACATTTGTTATAGAAGTCAACAGGTTATTTCTATTCTCAGTCATCTTTGACTGCGGTCTAATTGTTAGCTGGAGTTACATGGAAATTAAACTAGGTTGATTCTTTCCTGGAAGCCAATAAAATCACTCTATCTCAATGATTTCACAAGTGAGATCTAACTTATTTTTAATTGTGAATTGAAGTTTTCTTAGATTTTTCTCAATAGTAGAGAGAGAAGGTCTTGATAAGACAGAGAAAGTGAAAAAATACCCCCCAGATTGTGGAAAAAGAGTTAAAAAAAATATATATATGCATATATATATATGTATATATATAAAGGTTGATACAGCAGTTCCTAGATTGTGTCTCAGACCTGAAGCACTAAAGTAGATTGAAGTAAATTTACTGATATCTTTCAATGGTCATAACCTATAGGACCCATGGAATAGTAATTTTAAAAAGAAGGTAATAAGCATGTACCTTTCCATCATCTTCTCATTCTCTCAGATTCCAAATCTGTGAGGCAATATTTTTCCTAGTTTTTTCCTCTGTTTTGTTTTTGTACCTTATGTGACAAACTGGTCTACCAGATTCTATATATTCTTTTGTTGTTGTTTAAATGTTCTCTCTTCATTCCTTCTGTCATTATCCTTGATCGTGTAGTTTTTATCAGTCATTAAACCTCTCTCTTGACAATTTTGGTCAGCAGCTGCCATTCTTGATCTTAACCAAACTTCTTTATAGCATTCCTATTGATCATTCTCACCCGACCTTATGACTTCTATACCTACAAGCTCCTACTTTTCCTCTCATTTTTTCCCCAACTCTTGACTTCCTATATAGGAACATCTATATTTTTTTGCCTACTTTAAAAATATTGGATTTCTTTATGAATCTCAGTCTCTCCCTCTTCTATAGCTACACAGTTTTCCTGATTAGGAAGTAAGCTCCCAAAATCCTATGATATATCTTCAGTTATCTGAAGGAGATTGATATTTCCTAAATCATTATCTCTAGATCAAATTCATTTTCTGACCTTAATACTGGCTTACAATTAGGTTAGCTTGGTCAGTCCGCAGACATCTCAAACTCCACTTGTCTAAAACAAAACACATCATCTTGTCTCCATTTTGCGTAGTCTCAGTTCCAGAGCTGAGTGGCTCCATGCTCTACACAGTTCCCCAGAACCCAAATCTCAAAGTCATGTATAAGCCCTTCCTCCTGTTACCTTGAACATCCAATTATTTTGCATTCTTTTGATTTTGCACTTCCTAAATATGTCTTGAATTCTTCCATTTCTCCCCTTCTCCCTAAAATACTATATCTCACCTAGATTCTAATAAGTAGAACAGCCTCCTATTTATTATGCTCCAAACTTGACCGAACTCAAAGTATTCACACTGCAGTGATCTTCCTTAAATACAATTTTAGAATATGTCATTGCCCTGCTTAAAATCTTTCAGTGGATCCCCAACACCTTTAAGTTCACTAACATTGATTGCAATCCCTTCGTTTTCTGTCTTTTTTATATTCCATAGTGTATTCTTTTGCTTCTTTCTTTCCCTAAAATACACTCACCCTGAATGTCTTAAAATGTTCCAAACATTTGATATCTGTTCCATTGTGCATACTCCTTCCTGTGCCTAGAACACTCTACCCTGTTTCTCCTTTCCTTTCTCGCCACTCTTTGCCTGATTAATTCCTGGTCTTCTGTTCTCAGCTCTTGTGTTATCCTTCTAATCTCGATGACTTAATATTTCCTCTATGTGAACCCTGTGATTATTCACTGTATGCTATATTATAATTTTCCGCTCATTGATATATCTCCTCTAATAGATTTTAAAGTTACTGAGACCAGGGAATGTGCCTTTCCGCTTTTTCTTCAGTGTCTAGATTAGTTATCAGTAAATATTTATTAAATGAGTAAATAAAAGCAGAGTCCAAAGTATCTCAGTTTCCAAATTCCATGCATACTACTGTACTAGAATTTCACCTACCATATCGACTCATCCACACTTTCAACTGAAATTTAGAGTTTATTTGCAATATGACTCTACCTCCCAAATCCTACTGACTCCCCACCACTTCCTCACTTGACATAAAAAGTATTGAAGTAGCTAATCTGCCATAATAACTAAGAACATGAACTCTTTAAGTTGTCAGGTTTCTTATTATTTTTTAATGTTGCTATTGGCATAATACCCTCTATTAAAAATATTTTATTGTGATACATATAATACATAAGATTATGAATAATATATAGGTACATAATAAAGCAAAATCCAATGTATCAACTACTTTGCTTAAAAAATAGAATATTAGCAACATCTTTCAAGACATTGTGGGCCTCTCCCAGATTATAATTCACTTCTTCCCTCCTTAAATATAACCGCTGACCTGAATGTAATATTTATTGTTCTCTTGCTATACTTTAAGTTTTAAATATTTAAGCATGAATCTTAAGCCATACATTCTTTAGTATTTTATCTTTGGCCTTTTTAGGAATAAAAACATTAAGTGTATTTCTTTGTTCTTTTTTTCTTCACTGTTATGTTTCTGAAATTCACCCATACAGTAGTTATGTTTCATTTATTTTCATTGCCATATAATTCAATTTAAATATATGTATGTATTAATGTATTCTTTATTATTGAATTGAGGATGTTTGTTTTTAGGCCCATGAAGGAGATTGTTCTAATTTTCCTTTCTTACAATTTTATTTTCTTGTTTTGGTGTGTGTTATGTTCACCTTATAAAGTGAGTTGGAGAATATTTCTATTTTCTCTTTCTGCCTTGAAGAAAGAAATTTTCTGTTCCTCAAATGTTTCGTTGAGTTTATCTCTAAAACCATGTAAGTCTGGAAGTCTCATTTGGGATAGTTTTCTACTGAAGATTCAATTATTTTATGATTACAGGACTAATTTAGATTCTTTATTATACCTTGAGTTCGTTTTTGTAATCTCTTACAAGTTTAATATTTAGTATTTTTACTATGCTTTAGTGCCAAATATTTTTATTTATAAAGCTATTTATTCTTTGACATTAGATTCTATTATTTAAAAGTTTTGTTTTTAATTTACAAATGCACAGGCCTTAAGAATCAACTTTGTTAACTTTATTCAGAATGTTTTACTTTGCAGTCAGAGAATATAGTCATTTGTGATATCTTTTGTTTTAATTTAAGATTTACTTTGTGGTTAGGTATATGTATGAAATATGACTTATTTTAATCAATGATGCATCAATGGTTAAACCTTCTGTTGTGTACATTATTAATGTCAACCTTGTTCATTTTGTTATTTAATTTAAATTAACTTTTTCTTGTATTTGTGCCAGTTATTTCTTCGTATATTTTGACTGCGTTATTATGCTCATACATATATAGAATTTTTTTTACCAAAAAATTAAACCTCTTATTAATGTATGTCTTCTTTACCTCTAGTAATTTTTGCTTTCATTTCTATTTTCTTTCATGGCAGTTGAGCAAAAATAAGACATTTTCTTGTTATTAGCTCAGCATGTTTCTTTTGTTATTTTAATATCGACCTCGGTTCGTAGGGGTTTTAGAACCCTTCTGGGTTCTAAACTACAGATAATTTTTTAAAATCACAGACTGAAAATATTTGTATTTTAACTGGAGATATTAGATCATTTTGTTTTTATTTTGATTACAAATTTTAAAAAAATCTAAACTATTGTTTGTGCTTTTCATTTATTCTTTTTATTCTCTTGTATTTTAAGATTGAATGAGTTTTGTTTTAACAGTAGTCATAATTATTATTTAATATCTTTTCTATACAGTTTATACATTAGTGGTCACAGTAGAAATTTTAACATGCAGTTTTTTTAAATCATTACCCTCTTCTCTTCCTCTGCCCTCAAGTAGGCCCTGTGTCTGTTGTTCCCTTCTTTGTGTCCATATGTACTCATTGTTTAGGTCCCACTTACAAATGAGAACATGTGTATTTGGTTTTCTGTTCCTGTGTTAGTTTGCTAAGGATAATGACCTCCAGCTCCATCTATGTTCCTGCAAAGGATATGATCTCATTTTTTTTATGACTGCATAGTATTCCACGGTGTATATGTACCACATTTTCTTTATCCAGTCTATCCTTAATGGACATTTAGGATGTTTCCGTGTCTCTGCTATTATGAATAGTGTTGTGATAAACATATGCGTGCATGTGTCTTTTGGTAGAATGATTTATACACTTTTGGATGTATACCCAATAATGGAATTGCTGGATTGAATGGTAATTCTGCTTTGAGTTCTCTGAGAAATTGGCAAACTGCTTTCCACAATGGCTGAACTAATTTACATTCCCACTAGTGGTGTATAAGCATTCCCTTTTATCTGCAACTTATCAGGTACTGTATTTATTACCTGGGTGATGAAATAATCTGTACACCAAACCCCTGTGACATACAATTTACCTATATAACAAACTTGCACGTGTATCCTTAACCTAAAATAAAAGTTAAAAAAATAAATATTAACATGCACATTTCACATACAAAAGGTGGACCTTTGAGGTGATTCTCTCTCTGAGGTACATCCTTTATCATTTCTTTAAGGAAGGATCTATTTGTGAAAAGCTTACTCGATGATTTTCATCTCTGTTTTAAACTGTCTTCATTTTATCTTTTTTCTCAAAAAATATATATTGAAGGGTATATAGCTCTAGATTTTACATTGAGGATATTATTCTGCTGTTTTTTTTAAACATCTAGTATGTTGTCTGTGGCCAAATTGCCAGTTATTTGTTTACTGTTCTATCATTTTGCTTGCATTTAATGTATTTTATTTCCTTAGGATTCTGTAGTTCTCTTATGGTGTAAATACTTGTGGATTTTTTTTTTAATTTATACTGTTTGACAGTCTCTGTGGTTTCTTAATCTGAATATTTGTGACTTTCATCCATTAAGAAAAATCTCTCTTCATTCATCTCCTCAAATATTTTCCATCTCTTCTGTCTCTATATATTTAGACATATGGCATACTTAACCACTCTATCCTCCTTATCTCCCAGCTTCTCTTGTTTCCATCATTTTGCTTTCTGTAATATTCTTTTAACATGTTTATTTCTGTCTTTCAGTGCACTAGTAACCTGTTAATTTGTGTTTAATTTACTCTTTATCCAATTCGTTGAATTTTTACACTCTCTTTTAAGAAATCTGCTTGTTTCTTTTTCAAATTAAAGTACTTGTGTTTGATTGCTTGTATGTCTTTAAATTCCTTTTTATAATGTTTCTTTTTAAAATAATATAATATAAACATATTTACTGTTTTATATCTGATAACTTTGAGTCTATAGTTTGTGTGGTCTAATTCATTTATTTGGGTATTAATTTTTCATTGCAAGATTTTTTTCTTCATGTTATCAGTATAATTATTTTGAGGGCTGGTCAAAGTATGGTCCTCCAGAGAAAGTTATCCTTTATTTCTGCCAGGTTCCTAGAGGCACTACCACTGAGAATCGCTCCAACTTAAATTTATTTCCTTCTTTGGATAGCCTGAGTAACCCAAGTTGTATGCATACTGGCCTTTCACCAGCACGTAGCTAGAAATTTTCAGGAAAAGTTTTCTTTTGGCCAAAAGCTAAAGTAAGCAAGTATTCCCACTTCTTTCTCTTTCTTCAAAACAGTCTGCCTCACCCTGAAGATGCTGAGGTTATCACTTTTTGGGAGTCCTGGTTTTATGTATTTATGTGGGTGTATTTGATTTAAGCTTCCATTATATTCAGGACCCCCAAATTTGACTTTGACTCCTAGTATATAAGTGACCTTAGATTGGCACATGCCTCCAGGGAAAATGCCAGATTCAGTGGTAGCTTGCTTCTATGGATATTCTCTTTCTTGAACTTTTTAATAAGCCATGCAACTTTGGTTATGCAATCAATTCATTTAAAACCTCTAAGTCTGGTGACTCTTTGCCTTTTAATGAAGGAGAGTTACAGTAGGTGACCTTCTATTTTATGGCATTGCTCAAATATTTTTTCACTTACTTTATGTATGATTTTCAACAACCTTCAAACTATATATTTTAGGTGTGGGTTAGTTGGTGATCTTAATGGTAAAAAGAGGAAGTCGGCATACCACACTTTGTGAAGAGTTCTCTGGGGACTTCACTGAAGGGGCTGGCCCCATGGAAGAGAGTTCCAATGCTTCTTCCTGAAATGAAGTTTACTTGCAACTCTGTCATCTATAAACAAATTCCGTATGCTGATGATAGCTAATGTGTTGCTTCTCCCAGAAAACATCTTGCATATTAAAAAAGTTACTTTAAGATAATCATTCAAAGAAGAGACTTAAAATGTAAAACTGCCAGGTAGTCCTGCAAAACTTTTATGCAGAGAAAATTTATTTTATGTCACTCAAATTAAGATTACGAGGTAAAGCCAGTTCATAGATATCAGTATTGAGGTAGAGATGCCAATATGCTTTCATCTGTGGCCAATAGACTTTGACCTAGTTTTTCTAGAACAGGTGTAGGCAGCTTTATTCATTCAGCTATCTCCAGGAATTAGTGACCATAGTTAATAGGATCATCAAAAATAAACCGCGGTATTGGCACATAAAAGAAAACTTAAAATAAATTGAACTAAAGAATTACCATTATAATCATTTCATTATTCTTTCTTTATAGACCTTGAGTAAATGAAAATGCTTCTTTTGCTCCATAAAGATAAGCAATTTCACTCCCCAACCTGAATAGGATGACACTGATGAACAGCTGTGAATGAATCAAGTGCAGGGTAAATATACAAGGCAGCAAATGATTTTTAAGCTCAACAGCCCATGAACAGTAACTGTAATTAAACTCAATAAAGAACAAGAAAAGAGAAAAGATGTAGGGTGAAAAAAAATAACAACAGCAAAATAGCCTGTAAAGATTGAAGGAAACCAGCAGAGCACCAGAGAATTGCTGAAGCCACTTTGCTTTGTGTTCATCATAACTGATCATTTTGTGTCAAATATCCTTTTCTTTCCCCAAGGAATAGAAAGGCTAAATTCATGGTCAATACGTCCTTGGATATATTTACTGGATTTTGGAGTGTATAACAAATGACTAGGAGAAATAAAGCACACTCAAATTTTTTTCCTCTCTCCCTCTCTCCCTCCCTCTCTCTCTCTCTTTCTCTCTCTCGGTATCATTTTAACAGGCAATTTTCTGCAGTTCATGGAAACACAGGATCTGAAAATGTCTTGACTAGGATGGTTTATAATTTCCTATGTTTGTTCCTAGCTTCTGTGTATTCAACCCATTTGACTCGGACATTATTTATCTATTGTTTTTCTCGCTGGTCTCATTTTTTGTCTTCTTGTCATTCTTTGTGGGATGGGCCTGATAGTTCACTGATGCTCTTATAAAACCTGACCGTTGTATTTTCTAGATGCAACATTTAGAGCATATTGAGAAATCGCAAGAAATATATACACACAGCAGTGTGATTTGTTCCATAAGAGGGCAAGGAACTAGAAGGTTATCATGCCAATTTAAGTAGTCACGTCTGTCTTATTAATAGGAAAGAAAAATAATCCTTTTTTTTTTTTTTTTTGAGACGGTGTCTCATTCTGTCACCCAGGCTGGAGTGCAGTGGCACCATCTTGGCTCACTGCAACCTCTGCTTCCCAGGTTCAAGCTATTCTCCTGCCTCAGCCCCCAAGTAGCTGGGATTACAGGCGCATTCCACAAGGCTCATCTAATTTTTGTATTTTCAGTAGAGACAGGGTTTCGCCATGTTGGCCAGGCTAGTCTCAAACTCATGACCTCAGGTGATCCACCTGCCTCGGCCTCCCAAAGTGCTGGAAAAATCCTTTCATGTTTCTGATTTCTCCCTCAAAAAGCATCTTTCCCAATGTAAACTTGATCAATTTCAGGAAGCTATAATAGTCCAGTTGCAACTAATGAAGGATGTTAGAAAGATGTGAACAAAAATCAAATCAATGCAATGCAAGGGGTGATGACCCTATTTTGTTCATAAGCAATGGGAAATAAAACCTACTTCTCTCTTTTGTGAAGTGAATCAAATAAATTGAATAAAGCCATTTTGAATTAACCAATGATAATCTCTTTCTGATGTGGCCATGACATTAACAGAAATGATAAAAAAAAAAAAAAGGGATTCAATCCAAATTGAAAACTGCTTGAACCAATGAGTATTTTGTTGTCACTGAATTTTCTGCTTGGCGAGAGGATGGCACTCAACTTTGCAGTATACTAAGTAATCACCATAGATATTTGTGAAGGTTTTGTCATAATTTTGGAGACATGATGCAACAAAAAGGGTCAGGGTTCTTAGAACCCATGGCTCTAGATTCAAATTCCCATGGAATCTATATAACTCTAGCCATTGTCATTTACAATAGCTGAGATTTCTGTTGCAAAAATAAAGATAATAGTAACTAGGATAATTCTGAAAGAGGGTGCAAGATCATATATATATATATATATATATATATATATATATAAAATCATACATAGACTATGCAAGATTATATGGAGTTTATATATAGCATATTATACATATAGCACATATCAGGAACTCAATAAGTGGTAAAACCAAGCCTTACTCCCTTTTCCTACTTGCAGGCTAACAATAAAAGCTAATGTTAATTAAATACATCTTATATGCCAAATAATTCACCTTTATTTCACGTATTGCTCAGCATAGTTATTATAATCATTTTAAATATTATACTACTTTGCTTTGAATTTCTTATGCTGCATTCACTTTTGCTATAAAGTAGCTTGTCCACAGATGCACTGCTATGAAGTGCCAGAGGAATTAGAACTCAGATTTGTCTGATTTTAGGACCCATGTTCTTAACCACACTAAAACTTCTCTGCTTCTCTAACATACTGAAAAGAGACAGAAGGTTTGCTTCAGCAAAATCACTCTTTTCATTACTACACAAGGTGCTTACCTGATTCCTGGACTCCATGGATGACCTCCTGGCTCTAAGCAAATCTACTGCTCTGTATTAGTTTTTTATTATTGTCTAACAACTTACCACAAAACTGCATGCCTTAAAATAACACATATTTACCATTTCACAGATTCTGTCCTCCAAGAATCTTGGCCTGGCTTATTTGTGTCCTTGGCTTTATAATTTTTCAGAATCCCAAAATCAAGGCATTGGCTCAGGGTCTGCAGTCTCATCTGAAGACTCAACTGGGAAAGAATCTGTTTCCAAGCTTACTTATTGCTTGTTGGCAGCATTAAGTTCCTAGTTAGCTAATGGACTGAGGGCCTCAGATCCTCATTAGCTGTTGGTGAGAAGCTACTGTTATGAACTGAATTGTGTCCCCTTACATTTATATGTTGAAGGCCTAACCCTCAAGGTAACTGTATTTGAAATAGGGCCTTTAAGGAAGTAATTAAGGTTAAATGAGATAATAAAGGTAGAAATCTAATCAAATAGGACTGGAGTTCTTAAAAGGAGGGGAAGGCCAGAGATATATTTCTCTCCATGTGCACACCAATGAGAGGCTATATAAGGGCAAAGGCCATATGCCCATCTGCAACCCAAGGAGAGAGGCTTCACCAGAAACCAACTCTACAGACACCTTGATCTTGGACTTCTGGTTTCCAGACCTGTAAGAAAATAAATTTCTGTTATTTAATCTACCCAGTCTGTGGTATTCTGTTATGGCAGCCTGAGAAGACTAACACAGCTTCCCTTAGCTTTCTGCCATGTAGACCTCTCCAACATGGCAGTTGGCTTCATTAAAGCATGCCAGCTGAGAAAGCAATAGTGAATCTGTTAGCAAGACAGAAGTCATAATATTGGAAACCAATAACAGAAGTGACATCTCCTCCAGGTTATCTCATTCTGTTGGTTAAAAGCAAGTTAATCAAAAGGAGATTTCACAAGCCTGGGAATACCAGGAGGTAAAGATCATTTGGGCCACCTTAGAAGCTGCCTACCACACTCCCTGACTCTTAAGAGGCATGCATGAACTTGTTTCTCACTTTGGACCTCATGGTTAATGGTAACGCTTGAGTGCTAACTAGGTTTCCTGTCCATCTGATTATGCTATTACTCGGTCTTTGTTTGATTATTTGGAATTACTTTGTGAGGTTATAGGGATACCCTTCCCAGCAGTCTCTTCCTTGAGTTCAAATGCAAAGCAAAATAGAGTTCTGTCTACCAAGAGGATTCCTTTTCACCCATCTTACACATTTTCCTGCTTGAGGGCTTGAACTTGGAAAAGCAATGTTTAAACATGTCTTTCATCTCCTCTTTTTCTTAACTTTCTCTTTTTTTTCTCCACAATCTGTCAGGACTGGAAATAGCTTATCCTCAGTTTTCTTCCTGTTTGGAAAAGAATTCCACTCTGTAAAGCTGTACGGTCATGTTGACAAGGGTTACCACTTTATATTTTAAATAAAAGAAAGATGATAAGAACATGAATGCAAACTATTTTTATAGACAAACTCTAGTTTGCACGGTTGACTTTCTGGAGACTTTAAAATTTAATAGTAGTTGGAAAAAAAGAATCTTAACTGTAGTCATGCTGTAATTGCTGTAGTACCCTCCTGGCACTTCCCTAACCCCTGGCCTTGAAGTAGAACCATGCCTTGGGGCAATAAAGAAAAAAATATGTATAAGGAAATATAAAGAGTAAAAAGCACATAAATATTTTAAAAATATTATTTGTTGCAAGGGTTTTTTTTTTTAAGTAGAGAAGGACGAAAAGATTTATAACCTAAAGAATTTGTCTAATTATTCTTTGTACACAAAGCTTTTCTCTAACAAAACTGGTATATGTGCAAGGCACAGTTTGGAGCAAAGCCAAAGCACTCGAATTCTGGCAATATAGCAGTACATCTGTTCCCAGGCTAATAGAAAGACTTGTGAAATCATAATTTCATATTTGAATCAATCACAGTTTCTTAATCAGTGATTAGGAAAAGGAGTGTCAGGATTTTAGTGACACTATTTCAGAAAGTGTCAGAGTACATGGCCTTTCAGGCCACATGGATATGAGCCAGAACCACCAGGGTGCCCATTACCTAAAACATTAACAGTCACTTTGGAAGCACAGATGCTGGGGCACCTGACCAACTCAAACTGCATTGCCTTTGTGTCTGCTTTCTTATAGAGACAGAGGCAGACTATGCATGCATTGGCCTGCAGTCTCAGAGGGAGTTGGAAGATTTTTTTGCCAAGAAACAGAATCGAAATGAAAATTATATCTTAGAAAGGTCTTTGGAGGATTTATATTAGGAACCTGATCTTTTCACTATCTACTAAGTTTATAATCTCATTACCTGACTCAAAGCATCCAGCATTTTGTTGAACCTCTGGAGCACAATTAGGAAATGTCCCTTGGGGCCTGAGTTATTAGTGACCATGACATACAGATCTGTGCAACAAAGATCAGAAATTATGAATCTAGTTATACTATAGCATGGGAACGTCACATATATTATTATTCTGTGTTTGCATCCATGATTGCAAAACTCAATAAAATAGAATTGTCTTTCCTAGGATTTCAAGAACACATCTGTGTGCTATTTCAGACTGTGCCAACTATGTCATACACACATGCATTTTTTTCAACCATTCAAGATTCAACAGAAATTTACTGAGTAGTTACTACATTTTAGGAACTATTGAGGGTAGCAAAAACTTAGGTGCATTATGTACTGGATGGTGATTCCAGCATAACAATAATAGAGATTTTCTTCTTCTTCCTTCAAAACACGATTTCCTACAAGGTAAGTTCATTAAACCTTGAGCAAATTATTTGCCAAGAAAGAAAAGAAGACCTCTAATAATGGAATATTTTCTAGTAGCAGAGTTTATAAAATTATATAATGTTAGTTAACGAGGCAGATATTTCTACAAAAAATTATCTGATCTTACAACATCTTAGAATTGGAAAAGATTTTAAAAACCATTTAGTTTATCTCTTTAGAAGGCAGAATTCAGTAGACTATATGAAATTCAATGAGAAGGATTAGGCTTATTTTGTTTAGTTTCAAGGTATTCATTTGGCCCAGAATTGACACAGTTGAAACAAAATCATCTTTGATCTATTATTTCCCATCCAAAAGTATTTTCCTCTATGCCCACAAAAAAAGATTAGAAGGTAGGAGGGAAAAAAGCAATACAATGGGGCAAAGTAAGACCTCACCTGATATAACAACATACAAAGGAAAGACATTTTGGCAAATGTTATCCAAAGATAGCCATCATCAGTCCCTTTCCTTCTTATGTGCACATGTTGCCTTTCACATAAAAGGGCATATTAAAAGGTGTATCCCCTTCCCATAGATGGAGAGTAGGCTTAGTGACTTGCTTGAATAATAGATCTTGGTGAAAATGATGTCTGGGACTTCCCAGGTCAAGTCATGAGATGCTTTAAAACTTCTGCTTTGTTGGCAAGCTCTTGGAAGACTTGCTCATGGATTCTAGCTCAGGCCAGGTGCAGTGGCTCACATCTGTAATCAGCACTTTGGGAGGCCGAGGTGGGCAGATCACCTGAAGTCAGGAGTCTGAGACCAGCCTGGTCAACATGACAAAACCCCATCTCCACTAAAAAAAAAAAAAAAAAAGGATTCTTGCTCTTGAAATTCAAACACCATGCTTGCAGAAGAAGCCCAAGTCACATATAGAGAGCATGTGTACTTTTCATACTTAAGTGCCTAACTAAACATCCAAACAGCAGCCAACATCAACTAGGTCAGTTTTCAGGTAATTCCAGTACCAGCATCATTTGACAAACACCACATGAAATATCCCAAGCAAGAAATGCTACATTGAGGCCAGTCAACCCAGAGAACCTCAGAATATAATGAGATGTTGTTTTAAGCCACTAAATTTTGATGTTGTTATGTAGTCCCAGCTGTGTACATTCTAGGCCTAATCAATAACTTAGGATTAAATCAGAAGGTTTAGTCCTTCTCATGGAGTCTCACAGAATCTATTGAACATTGCTCTCCGAGAAGCTAAACTAGGTGATTCTTAAAGTCTCTTTCAACTCTAAGATTCTTTTAATAAATATGATTTTCTGTAGAAATATTATAATATCAGAATAAATGACCACTGGTCTTGAGGTTTAGATTTGTTGCCGAGGTGTCAAATGTTTAAAAATGTAATTAATTGTAATTGAAAACCTTTTCTCAAATTTAACAAAATATTTCTAATAAATATAAATACCCCAACACTCTGCCTAGACCCCAAACACCATACCATGTATCATTTATGTACAGCAAGAATATGAAATCATGGTTTCTAGTATAATGAAAGGCAAATTTGGACATTGAGCAAAATTATTGTATGTAGTCAACAGTTTTTATTCATTTTCCCTTTCCTATAAAGCCCAGAATTCTGAAAGCCAGAATATCAGTGTTTTATATCTCTGTAGCTCTTGACTCACCATCTTCTTTATTCTGACATACTTGCTTCTTACTGTTTTTAAAGAAAGCAGCATATATAGGATACTTTGTATTCAGAGCTGGATTAAAATCTCAGTTGTGAAACACAGTTGTATGATTTTTAAGTAAAATGCTTTTTAAACTTCTTTTGACATCATGGTTTTCATCTACAGTAGGAATTAAAAATTCTGTCTCCAATGCATTTTGTTAATTCTGATTTTTAGTTTGTTATCAATAAAGCTGTTTATCATCTTATAAAAAGTGAGCATTATGGTAAGACTATGGAGTGAATGAGACTGCCAATCCAACTGGAAATAACATGATCTTTTTAATGTATCCCTCAAAGACTCCATCTCATTATATTATCACTTGTCACTGATGTCTTGCTAAATTTTCTTCGCTTTACCTACTTGTCTTTCTCTTCATAGCATTCTGCCCAAATTCTAGAATCAGCTAGCATTACTGGCTGAATTAATAACCATTTTACCTTCTGAAAGCTTTGCCTATGATTATTTTTTCCACCTCTATGTTATCGGGAATTTATATGTTGCTTAGGCCAGAATAGGTGCTCAATGAGTATTTTTAGAATAAGTGAATGAGATGCAAGTGTGATAGAGACATGACTAAATGACCTATTTGTTACTCATTGTGAATTAGATGAGATAATTTATTAAATAATTCCGGTTCTAATTCTAGCACATAGTTGAAGATGTCAGAAGGTATTCGTTTCCTTATTGACTCTTTAGTTCCTTTTAAATGAATGCTGTTGTTTCTATTTAAGAAATTACAGCAATAAAGAAAAAGTTTTGGGAAAAAGAGACTTCCTGGTACTTCTAAAATATACCATCTGGGGAGTCACCTAATTTCTTATGGGATGGAAAAAACTTCTCACAGGGCAACAGTGTTTAGTTTTCTAGGCAAAATGATTCTGTGAATACAGTATTCTATGATTCCGTATCCCTTTTGCCACTTTTGCTTGCATTCACTGGTAATCTTCAGAATAGTGAGTATTGTTCAAATTCTAGAATATTTTTCCTCAGGAAAAGACAACAATTATATAACAGCATGGCATTCCCAATTTTTGGAATAAAATACTGAAAAATAATTTAAACTGCATCTTCTTAGCGTAGTTATTCCATTTTAATTTCTATTATCAGGATACTTGAAGAACTTCACTGTGAGATCAAGCTGGTATTGTGGGTGGTTGTTGGAGGCCGAAAGAGCGAGGGTTGTGATCAACTTGGTGTACCACTGGAGGCTATATGAATAAACAGCAAACTGTTTGTCATAAATGCAGAATGCTGGCAAACTGACAAACTGCATCTGCCACCCAGAAGGAATGCTGAGGGCAGTCACACCCCCAAGCGCAGTGTTTCTTGCAATTAGGTACATCTGAAGCCTTTTAGTAATAATATGAACCTGTTATCAATTAAGCAGCTGACCAATCATTACCTCCTCCTCCCTGCTCTTGCTACCCAATAAACAGAAAGGGCTGTGGAAGCTCAGGGGCTGCTTTTGATCACTAGAAGCAGGGAGCTCTCTTCTTCTTGCCCGGTTCCCCCTCCCTTTAAAACAGTTTCTTTTGTCTTAAGTTTTCATTTCTATGTTCGTCCCTTTGTTCAGTCTCGTAGTGACCTAGTCACAGTCTCAAGTAGTAACAATAATAACTGTCGTAATGTCATCTCAAGTAGTAACAGTAGTAACTGTCACAGTGATGGTCTCAAATAGTAACTCTTGCAGTGAAGATCTCAAGTAACCGTGGCAGTCTGCCACAGGTGGTGGTTAAGATCTTTTGTTTTTAGGCACAGAGATTTCGGCAGGAGATGGTCTTTCTTTCTTGTTCTCTCTCTCCCTCTCTCTTTTTTTTTCAGCCATAGTTTGTTTCTGGTAGAATCTTTGCCTTCAGAGAAATTGTGTTCCCCCATACCAGAGTTCCATCTCAAAAAAATTAGATTCAACTGTGCTTCTGGAATCTTTGCCAAAGACACAGAAAGATTTTTGTTAGCTAGTGTCTTTTGGATTTAGATCTTCTCCTTTGACTTTTAAATTTTCTCCTTTGATTCACTACTGTCCTTGCACAGCTTTGGAAATGATCCAAGGTAGCTTGCAAAAGTGCAAAAAAAAATGATAAACTGAATGATTATATGTAACTTTGCCGTTTTTCCTTTCATAGCACCATTAAAGACTCAGACACGGGGAATTCAGTGGGACTTGCTGGGAAAAATATGCTATTTCCTATGTTTGGCAACTAATACTGGTTGGTCATTTTTGTTAGCACATATTTAGCCTGATAGCAGTTTATAGACAGAAATGGGATGGGCACACATGTCCTTGCTGTTTTAGCAGATCCACCCAATAAGCCTACTTATGATACAACACTCAGCACTTTCAGGATTTTTCTCTTAGACTTTGTCTTAATATATTATTGATGAATTTGAGGCAATCATTTCACAAGCTTGTACTAGATAAGAATTCTGTCATCTAGGAAGAGACTCTTTGAAGAAATCGGCCCTAGAATATTTATTTTACAACACAGAAAAACTCTAAATATTAGCATTATGTTTAATGTTCCTTTGCAGCCTCTAATCCCTTGAGCCAGCTTACTCCCATAAACAGCTGTAGGGAAGTCTAGATGAGACTGGTATACAATGAATTTTAGAAAAAGAATTGTACAGACCCCCCTCCAAAGAAAACAAATATTATTCATGTAGAACAGGACTGCTGTTCAATAAAGATTACTGAAGCAGAAAATAAGCAAGGACTCAGCATTTTTTGAAACTAGCTGATATGTGTACTGTATGCTTTCATTATCACAAAGAAAGAGAAAAGGTTATTTCCATTTTTGCAGAGTACTAACCTCTTTACCTCTGGCCCACATCAAGCTTGGAAAATAGAAAAATCAATTTATAAAGATAAACATAAACCCTTTTATCTTTTCTCTATTGGGCTGAGCCAGTGAGATGGAATGAATAGCATTATATATATACATATATGTGTGTGTGTATATATATATATACACACATATATATATACACACACATATATATACACATACACACACACACACAAACACACACTATCCTTAAGTTACACAATGTGTACATGAATTTTCTATCTAACTTAAAATGCATGTATGTCAGAAATATACATGTAAGACTGATATATGACCATGTCTATAAAATTCATACTTTGTAATGTTTATAAACTAACATCTATCTGGAATGTTGTCGGTAAACATCACCATTTTTTCTTGGCAACATGTTGCATTTCTGCCCCTGGAACTCTACAGGCATGACAACACTTTCTGAAAAGCAATGAGAAATGCACACGTGAAAGTGCTATAAACCTGGCAGATCAAATAAAGACAATAAAACTAATGCGAAGGTGCTAGAAAGGTAACTGGGTTTTGAGTTTTCTGTATTTTCCCTTCCACAAAAGAGTCAGCGTACTGTATTCTAAGATGCTTTGAATTGAAGCACAGCATTTTTCTTTCCTTTCTGGATAAACTGTGATTGCCATTTTCTTTTTTCTAAATCAAACCTTTCTTAGGCTCATTTGAAAAATTTGTTCTGGCAAGAACTGCCTCCCTTTTCAATAATAGGGGGCAACATTTTTATAGAGCTTTCCACGGCCTCTGCATGAGTAAAATTTTTTGTAAAAATATTTTTATGAAAGTATATAAAATACACAAAGGGAAGAAATATACCTCTTGATGACAGAGAGAAGAGTAAAGGAGAGACTGTGGACTCTTTTTCTTTGCTCACTCTGCAAAGTTAAGTAGGTCCTGCTCGCACACAAATAGCTAAATAAATGAAATATTTTCCTTTACATACTCCCATTATTTATCAGGGTATTGCATACAGAAGTAACACTGCAAGTAGCCAATATACGATACAACTCAGGAAACACTGAAATCTCCACATATGTGTAAGTTAATCCATCTGACCCTATAACTTAAGGCTAAGGAGAACATTGGCTTTTGTCTGCATAAGAAAAGAAATATTGGAGAGCATATGAATTATGGTTCTATCTGTGTGTCTTACCCTTCCCAATAAACAGATATTTACTGAACATTTATGTGCCAGGCAGTGTGTTAAGTGTGGTGATCACAATAGTGAGTAGAAGGAATTTGATCTTTGCTTTCAGGAAGCTTACAAACAATGATAGTATCTTACTTTGAGGGATTATAACCCTATTAGAACTCTAACAGGCAACAAAAAGTGGAAAGATTTTATAATTTTAATGTGCACTCATGTCAACTTACAGCTTGTCAAAGATAAATGAAGCTGAACACTAGTAAGAACAGATTTTAATCAGTAATAACTATTGCAGTAGGGAAATGAGTCCAGCATGAACTGAACTCAACTTTGACTTGTATAGAGGTAAATGCATATCTTGAAAGGAAAATTAAGGAGTAGAAAGTGGGTCGAGTAGGGGCTTAGCAGAGTTAGGGAAGTGAAAAATGACACAGGATCGATCAGTGTAGATGCCATTAGAAAAGCAATATCTACCAGCTGGCAATAATCAAGGACAGGATTCATCTTTTCACAAAGAATGGAACACAGAGGCCCCAGTCGGCATCCTCAAGTGTTGGCTAGAACAAACAGTAAAAATTTTTTGGCAGCCTTGAGTTTTCTTAGCAGGCAATTTAAGGGTGGTTACTAGGATCGTATTAGGGAGGTGGTCTTGAGCTGTTAGAAACTGTGTTAGGGTTTACTCGAGTCTTTGTAGGCCAAAGTTGAGGCTTAGTTGAGAAGAGGGCTCAAAGAAGTCTGGCTGGAGTTTGGTCAAGGAGAGAATCTTTGTCAAACTTTGCGTGTAAGAGAGGGCACCTTTCTCAGTTTTCAGCTGAACAAAAGTAGATAAATTAGCACCTCTCTGAGTCCCAGTTTTCTCATCTGTACAGAAAGGCTAGTGGTATCTACCTAGAGGATTATTCTGAGGAAAATGTCATCATGTATTTGAAAATTTAGGATTATTTCTTGATGGAAAAATTTGTGGATGTTTTATGTATTTCCCTGCCTTTCTGCTCTGCCAGTGGTAGTCTGTAGGGCATTTTTCCTTTTAAGCATAACCAAAGGCAGAAACAAATACTCAAGAAAACATTTGCCCTAAGGTCTAAATAAAAAGAAATGAATGTAAGGTTGCAAAGTAAGTTTTTCTATCTCAAAGGCTACATAACAATGAGCCTGAGAGAAGGAGAAGACAAGATGAATGTCTCTGAGTGATCTGACTCCTTCATGAGGGAAGGGTGAAAATAATCTTTTGTCAGAAGGCTAAGGGAAAAACATGGAAGGAACGCAGGGCTCCTGAGCTATCCTCCAATATGGGATGCTTCCTCCATTTCCCGCAGACAACACTACCATGCACCTGTCTTAGATGCCTGTGAATTCCCTTTAACTGAGGGTGGCAGAATGAAATGTTTTGTTTTGTTTTGTTTTGAAAAATGAAGACATGAAAAGAAAAGAACTCTCATCTCTTAACCAAGACAGAATTTAGAATTTCTATATAAACTGAGGCAATAAGGCCATACAACAAATGTTATAACTAAATTACTGAATACATAGTAAAATATAATTAATGTGTTAATATTGTTTCAGACTAGTGTGTTTCTCTGCTTCCCCACCCCTAACTCAGTCAACATTCTGTGCACTTGTTTACCCCAATCCTTCACAAGTCAAGTATGACCAGGAGCACAGTTCGCAAATATGCTGCTTGTTCTTCCCTGTTGAGGACATCTGCCATGTTTGCTCTTCACTGTGGCAGCAATGTTCTCACATGAATGGGCCACAGCATGGGTGAGCCATTTGGTGCTTCCCTTCTCAGTGATCATGGAGGTATGTGGAACATTCAATTTAGCAGTAGCCATCCCTGCCTCTTACAGAGACTGCTAACATGAACAGATGGACCTTTCTACAACCCAGGTGGCCGCCCTATACAGATACAGCTTAAAAGAATTCTTCTTGGAAATGGTTGTGCCTTGCTTTCTGTGAAACTCAGTTTCAGGTGGGAAACTGCTTCAATCCAAAAGACAAAACCTTCCAAAAGCACTGGTATCTAGTCACATTGATTTCTCTTTTTTCTGAGGACAGAACCACCATCTGTTTTATGTCACAAGTATCATATGAGAGAAAAGAGTATACAAAAGGAAAAAATATGTATCTATATATATACATACAAACACACAGTCTATTTATGCGTAGTTTAAATACCCAGAGGTTTCAGTCGTCATCAAAATACTGTTATTTGCCATTCTCTTTGATTCGGCCTCTGTTTTACGAAGCGCCTTTAGAAATTTGTGCTCATTTGAAAAGTCTTATTCTTATGAGGTCTAAGCTTAAATATCTTGTGTTTCTTCCTTAAAGAGAGACAAGGGTGGGGAAGAGAGTTACAACGTTCAATCAAGAAATATTTCGTAGACAAAAATATTTCAAAAAAAATTCAGACTTTGGACTCCTCAGCATGGGTTGGTCCGAATAAAGCACAAAGCTTTTGTTTGCTTCTATTTGCCAACTCACATAAGGACTTGGTAATGACATTCTTTCAAACCCATCTGGTGATTTAGCCAGGACTGTTGAAAAGCTTCAGTTAAAATTCTGAAGAAGAGATATAAACTGTGCTGTCATAGGACACTGTCAGCTAGTTCCTTTTTTTTTTTCTGCACACTTTTGGGCAGAACTTATATAATAAAACTTGGTAGAAAACAGTTCTTTAAAAAGTAGCTTTATTATTGCTTAAACTGGATAATCTCACTTTCTGTCTTTTGCTTTCAGGTCTTATTCCAGCCCTAAAACAGACTTGTAGAGCTTAGATTAGTCCTTTCAGAGATAAAATTAAATGTAGGGCAGGGCTGGAATTGTATATACAAATAATGTTATGGGATTCTGTAATTGAGCTTCCTCTGAGTTTCATCTTAAAACAGAAGAAATAACATAATAGTCCAATAAAACAAATGATAAAGAATGAGCTACAGTGCTTTTCTCTCCAAACTTCCAGATTGGAGAACCCATAGTGCTGGTATAGTTGTTAATCTGGCCGTGTTCCACACCAGCTTTGGGACTTTGGAAATATCAATTCTTCTTCCTAGTCTTTATTGTTGAATTATGTGATTCATAAAGTTCATAAATATGAGGAAGGAATTTAAGTAACGCAATACTTAGAGGAAAAAAAAATCAGTTGATCCTGAAATCTGAAGATCTTAGCTCTTCAAGTCATAAGTTTAAGATTGACACCAGTATGGAGAAGGATCTCTCAGGTTAACAAATTTAAATGGATATTAAAATTTTAATTTTTACTTAAAGAATCATTTTTTTACTACAAAACTTTCATTCTCCAATACTCTCCATACTTTTGGATGATTTTTACTTTTACTTTAAGATCAATTATTGGATGTCTATAATTTATTTCTTTTCAACTAGGCTGATAATTCTTTGAGATCAGAAGGCAAAGCACATTTATCTTTATATTCTCAGCAAGTAGTACTGTACAACAGGGCCTCTGTATCTGTGGGTTCTGCATCCATGGATTCACCCAAACATAGATTGAAAATATTTGGAAACAAAAGGATGATTGTGTCCGAACAGAACATGTACAGACTCGTTTTCTTCTTTTTATTATTCCTTAAACAATACAACAATTATTGACATAGCACTTTTATTGTATTAGGCATTATAAGTAATCTAGAGATAAAGCGTATTGGAGGATGTGCATAGGCTGTATGCGAATACTATACCACTTTATATCAGGGACTTGAGCATCTGCAAATTTTGTTTTCTGCAGGGGGTCCTGAAACCAATCCTTCGTGGATACCCAGGGACAATTCTATCTGGTAGGTAGTAAGGGCACAATATTTATTTAATTCAACCATCCACAGATGTTTGTGGAAACAATTTGTTCACAAGACGTAGTGGGAATAAAGGCAATGCAAGACAGAGGCCATCCTTAAAATAACTTACAGAATAAAACACAGCAAGATTTTATTAAAATACCATGAAACAATTATCTGAACCTGTTTATGGTTTTGGCATTTTCATTGTTCTTCTGACTCTGTCCTTATTTAGATCTTCTTTTAATATTTAATAATGCTACATGTGCTGTTCATGAGATAGCCTTTTGGTGTTCCCTTTTTTCTATTATTTACTGCATCTCTATGCTTTCATGAACCAGTTTCTTCATACCACTTCCTTTGTGCCATCTTGACTTGTCCCTGACTTGCCATACTTTATTAACTCCCTTCTTTATGCTTTTTCATTTATCTACTTGTCTATTCTTCTCTCCTTATCTCTATTTCTCTCCACATCCCTCCTCACACCAAATATTGCATTTTGAAAACTATTTCTGAAATTATTTCTTTGTGTAAGAAAATCAGCAGTTAAACCAAACACTAGATGTTAAGGAAAATGCATTAATCATAGTAACCTCTTTGTTAGATTGAAGGCTTCACGAATAACTGTTCTACCTGAGTAATTTAGTAAGGTAATTAGAAGTCTCTGGGTTTAAGATTTCAGATTGCCACTTCATTTTCCATTTCCTGATACCCTTTGTTCATCTCTGCTAGTCTGCTGCTTCCGGCCACCTGCTCCAGTTTTATAAAGCCTACATCTTCTACTCCTTTCAGGTGCATACATTTCTGATTTCTAAACAAGTAACTCTTTTTTCTTATTTTCATAATCATAACTTTTTCAGATTTATGTCCTTGCAATGGACTGAATTGTGTCCAGTCCACAAATTCATATATTGAAGGCTTAACCCACAATTTGACTTAGTATTTGGAGATAGGGCCGTTAGGAGATAATTTTGATGAAATGAGGTCACAAGAGTGGGGTCCTAATCCACATAAAAAGACCCTTATAAAAAGAGGAAGAGACATCAGAGCTCTCTTTCTCTGCCATATGGGGACACAAGAAGTCGACTATCTGCAATCCAGAAGAGCCCTCAACAGAAACTGACCCTTGGATTTGCCAGACCAAGAAACTATGAGAAAATATATTTCTGTTGTTTAAGTTATCCAGTAGATGGTATTTTGTTATTGCAGCCTGAGCTGACCAGTGCAGTTATTTTTTCTGAATTTTCTGACTAACTACTTTGTAATTTGTATCTCTTTGGAATAAGGTTGTTGTGGCACTTTCCCCTCATTTTAAAAATATTTGAAAATTAATTCTCATCTGGAGATTAGTTGCCCTTGAGTAAGTTTATTGCCCTTTCTCTGATGCAGAGGTTGGAGGCTATATTAATATGCAGAGTCCTTAGTTCACTTACAGTATGTCATCACTTGTGCTACTCAATTTAATTTCATCTGAAATGAAATTGGTGAATATCCTTCCAAACTCTCGTGAAACAATTTTAGCGGAGATGAATTAAGTTGAGTAACATACACACAACAGAGTTACTGAGATAGGACACAGAAAGGACAACAGTCTGGCCTTCCCACAGAGACAATAATTGACTTTCAAAGTAGGTTCCTGTATTTCTCTTTTCGTAAGTTCCTCCTGAGTATTTTAATGGATAATTGGTTGCAAATGATAATAGTAATGAGTCTTAGTCTATTTGTGTTCCTATAGAAGAATATCACAGGCTGGGTAATTTATAAAGAAAAAAGATTTATTTGGCTCAGGGTTCTGCAGATTCTACAAGAAGCATGGCATCAGCATCTGCCTCTGGTGAGGGGTTCAGGCTGCTTCCACTCATGGCGGAAGGTGAAGGGAATCTGGTCTGTGTAGAGATCACATGATAAGAGAGAAAGCAAAAGAGAGAGGGAGGAGGTGCCAGGCTCATTTTAACAACCAGCTGTCATGGGAACGAATAGAATGAGAACTCCGTCATTACCACGAGGACTGCACCAAGTCACTCATGACAGATCCACCTCCATGACCGAAACATTTCCCATTAGGTCTCACCTGCTACATTGGGGATCAAATTTCAACATGAAGTTTGCAGGACAAACATCCAAACTATGGCAACAAGTTAATATTCATTGGTGCTTATTATTTGACAAGCACTGTTAAATGCTTTAAAAGCAGTACAATATACAATTCTTCTAATAATTCGATGTGAGCCACATTGATAATATTATTACTAGTCCCATTTTATAAATGAGGAAGGTGAGCCATAAAAAGGTTTTGTAATTTTCTCTAACTCACACAATTAACAAATGACAGAGCTGGGATTTGACCCTCATGAGTCTGACTCCAGAGTCTATCATTTTAATCACTGTCTTAAATAGCGAACAATTTTCACTTAATGCCAGCTTAAACAAAATATTTCAATCAGGTATAATGCTACTATAGACCTTTTCTCCGTGTTTCATGGTAAAATATAAAATATAACAAGCGGCTGTTTTGACATAAACAATAAATACATCTTCAATTGATGCTGTTAAGGTTAGAAGTGCACAAGAAGAAACTAAAGCTGCCAAGTCACAACTAGCTAAGCTGCCACAGGTTTCTTTCAAAGGAACAAGCCAGTTTGTCCACAGTGCTAGTTTTTCTGGCATAATGATTGACTGCTAGATGCCAGCATTAAAACAGGCTGAGGAGAATGGTGTGAGTTTTTACTGATATCATTCTTCTCCATTCCAAGGAGGGCAATCTCTTTTCCTTTGAAAGACAATGCAAAGCTTCCACTCATTTCTATGTCCTATTTCCAATTTACTTTCAATGTCTCTGTTGATTGAAAAAGTAAACATAATCTTTGAAGTTTAGTAAGTGTAATTTTGTTTCTTTCACTGTGAAGTGTTTCCTAATGAAAGCAGAAAGAATATAAGTTTTGCATCTTTCAGAAAATGCAACTTTCCAAACTTGGAACAGCTTTCTTACAAAGCTACGTACTTCCTTCCAGATTACTTTCCCTTCTATTATTTCTTTGCAGAAAAGAAAAAAATTATTTTCACAGAAATTTCTGTTTGATTACAATTTGCTGATCACATTGTATTTGCCAAATGCAGTGCTAAATGGATGAGGCACTGGTTTTCAGTGAATCACAGCCAGTTTGAACTTTACTTCCATCACTTCCTAGTTGAAAGCTCTTGGATATTTTACCTAATCTCTCTCTGAACCTGTGATTTATCATTTCTAAAATGGACTGAAAGACCTTCTTTTAAGTTTGCTGCCAAATGAAACAAGATATGGGTAAAGATCTGGGCACATAGCAGGAATTCAGTAAATGTCATTTATTTTTCTCCGCCCTCCCATGCCCTATGCTATTGAGATATTTTACGGTAAAAAATACAAAATTGTCTAATGTTAACATGTGAAAAATAAATGATGATTCTCATTTAGTCAGACCAGAAAGATATATATTCAAAACAAATGAGTTTTCTACAAAATTGCAATTAGGAAATATTCATTCTCTCTGCACATTTGACCAAAAAAGTAGCCATTCCCATTATATACATAAAATGTAAAAATATACATGTTAGTATAAGAATTGCAAAATTGGCTTTTAAAAAGCTGAGCTAAAGCAATTTTTTCACTGACTATATAAAGACACATTTCATCCAGAAGAGTTACATAAGGCAAGCACCATTTTCTGGTTGTATACCCAAAGCAATTTCTCTTCTTTTTCTTCTCAAGAAAATTTTTCTGTTTTCCCTGCTGCTGTAGCCTAGCTGCAATGTTTTAATAGCCCATTCAGTTCTTAGAGGATTTCATCATATTCCAGTTGACACCAGCTGTTCTGAGGAGTCCTAAGGGCTCACTTTGATTCCCAATACATAACCTGAGTTCGGCAAGTCTAGTTTAACATTGTCCACATCAATGTAAGAATTAAAAGGAATCTGAGGGTGTTAAATCAAAAATAGTTTTCACTTAGGCAAGGAGCTGAAGATGAAATGAAGGCTAAAGGGTTGTATGCTTTTCCAGAAGATCAGTGAATCCCACAACAGAGCACTTGTGTCACATAGAATCCTTATCGAGCAAGTTATCTACCCAAGGGGAAAAGTGCTACAAGTTTCCATTAGGAAGATTCATTTGCTATTTGTTAAGTTGCTGGAATTTTCAGCCTTCTCAGTGAAACTTTTAGCTGGTTAAATACATGGCATACTGGAAAAAGCTGAAAAAAAGTAAGGCTCAAAATTTCTAGTTAAGTTTTTTAACCTCTCCTCTCACTCATAATGTTATTTTGACTCAGTTTTCTCATCTGTAAACTGGCCAAACTAAAATCAGTCCTTCCTACTATAGCCCTATGAGTATCAAAAGAGATAGTAAATGAGATAAAGAATGTGAATGAGTTAAAAGAGTTGTAAGGTATTTTACAAATATGGGTTGTACAATGGTTTTCATACAATAACGTAAGTTTTGCATTCAGGTAAATGTGGAGGAGAAAAAAAAATCTATGCCTGAGGAATAAGTGTGTGAGAAAAATAATATAAGGTACATTAAGAGTGTGATGAATAGAAGAGTGTATGTCAATGTATACATGGAAGAGATGAAGTTAATCAGTAACGTCAAGACTGGACTTTGAGGTATCTGAATGCTAGATGAGATAACTGGATTCTATACTGTAGATGACAGGGTATCATGCAGTGCTTTTGAGCAAAGAATAGGAAGACTAAAACTTGGTAATGAAACTGTGGAAGCTTAGAAGATTGATGACAGGGAGTAAGCCTGGCTCCAGAGTTCAGGTGGTAAATAATAGTAATCATTCAGGGATAGATAAATGATGATTTATATTATGATTTTGGTACTAAGGATGAAAAGAGGTAGGTGAGATATATTCTAAAAGAAAACCATCCCATGTTTTGGTCAACTTTGAACTAGGAGCCTATACATCCTGTTCACCACTGTATTTCAATACCTCAATCAATACTCAACACATCTGTACTCAATGACTAATAATGAATGGTTGTTTAATAATGAATTAGAATGGAAGTGAGGACATGAAGAGAACAAAAGAAGATCCTGAGATGCTCATCTTGAGTGATCCAGAAAAATAGTGGTATAACTGATAATCTGTACAGTTAGTCAGTAATTTTGAAAGAGAAACTAGCTTTAGGAAAAGGACAGTTCAATATTATGCACAATTACAGTTTGCATATCAATAAGACATCAAGATAGAGCTGTTAAGAAAGTGGTTGAAGGTGCCAAATAGAAGAGGCCTGAGAGAGAAATTTGAGATTTGAGATGTAAAGAACATTTGGTGAGATGATAGATGGAGTCCACAAAAATCTTTTCCAGATGCTTGGAATTCACACACATGTACTCACACAGAAGGTTGGCAGAGATCTTTAAGTAACTTGAATAAAACTAGTTCCTGCTCCTGCCCTAGACCTACCTAGATCTTGTGAAAATGCCTTGAAAAGAAATGCAGTGCTGACCTCAGACTTTCTTGAGGAGATGATCAAAGGGGATTACATTTGTCTACGGATAATAGAACTTCCTCAAAAACTTGTTTTCATCCATCTCTTTCCCAAGCCCCGCATAGCCCAATCATAGTTCCAGTTTCTTTCCCCTTTCTCATATGCTCTTCTCCTGACAACATTTTCAGTTCTGAGGCCTTTTCTCTTTTTCTCCTTCCCTACTGCCCCCTCCCAAACTCTATGACTCTTCTTTAGTTTTTCAGCATTACAAAGAATAGCACCAAGTTTGGTGCCACAAAGGATCCTTTTTCTTTATACAAATGAAAGAGTGAGAGAGTTGTAAATATTTACAGTTCAATACTGTTTTTCTTGTCATGATTTAAAATTCTACAGTGGCACTTTGACCCTGCTCTATGCTGTGGTAAGAACAAAAAGAAAACAATGCGAAGACCATTCAAAGTTCAGAGCTTTCTCAAGAAAAATGGCTTTGTTTTGAAGCCAAAGCATCATGCATGATGTTCTTTAGTAAAACACAAATAATATGACCGCTTTATCTTCAAGAACTCTTTCTTAATCTCACCTCTAGTTTCTGAAATTCTGGAATTAACATCTAATGTTGTAATGGCTACAGGTAATGCTATTATTTTCTGCCTCAATTCAAACCCATACCCGACAGCTCCAACTCTTCAAGATAGCTAATGATTATGACAAGTGAATAAATATCAATAAATCAATAAAATATAAGCAATACATAAATTATTAGGGACTTTTTTGAGGGACTCACTTTTCATTGTTTGGAGCTACCAGGGTCTGGTGCTAAGAAGTTCATTGTCACCCCAGAGTCACTGTCACCCCAGAGTCATTGTCACCCCAGAGTCATTGTCACCCCAGAGACACTGTCACCCCAGAGTCATTGTCACCCCAGAGACACTGTCACCCCAGAGTCACTGTCACCCCAGAGACACTGTCACCCCAGACTGTCACCCCAGACTCACTGTCACCCCAGAGTCACTGTCACCCCAGAGTCATTGTCACCCCAGAGTCATTGTCACCTCAGAGTCATTGTCACCCCAGAGTCATTGTCACCCCAGAGTCATTGTCACCTCAGTCATTGTCACCCCAGAGTCATTGTCACCCCAGAGTCATTGTCACCCCAGAGACATTGTCACCCCAGAGTCATTGTCACCCCAGAGACACTGTCACCCCAGAGTCATTGTCACCCCAGAGTCATTGTCACCCCAGAGACATTGTCACCCCAGAGACACTGTCACCCCAGACTCACTGTCACCCCAGAGTCATTGTCACCCCAGACATTGTCACCCCAGAGACACTGTCACCCCAAACTCACTGTCACCCCAGTCATTGTCACCCCAGAGTCATTGTCACCCCAGACTCACTGTCACCCCAGTCATTGTCACCCCAGAGTCATTGTCACCCCAGAGACATTGTCACCCCAGAGTCATTGTCACCCCACAGACATTGTCACCCCACAGACATTGTCACCCCAGAGACATTGTCACGCCAGAGTCATTGTCACCCCAGAGACACTGTCACCCCAGAGTCATTGTCACCCCAGAGTCACTGTCACCCCAGAGTCACTGTCACCCCAGAGTCACTGTCACCCAAGTCATTGTCACCCCAGAGTCATTGTCACCCCAGAGACATTGTCACCCCAGAGACATTGTCACCCCAGAGTCATTGTCACCCCAGAGACACTGTCACCCCAGAGTCACTGTCACCCCAGAGTCACTGTCACCCCAGAGACACTGTCACCCCAGAGTCACTGTCACCCCAGAGTCACTGTCACCCCAGAGACATGGTCACCCCAGAGTCATTGTCACCCCAGAGACATTGTCACCCCAGAGTCATTGTCATCCCAGAGACATTGTCACCCCAGAGTCACTGTCACCCCAGAGTCACTGTCACCTCAGTCATTGTCACCCCAGAGTCATTGTCACCCCAGAGTCATTGTCACCCCAGAGTCAGTCATTGTCACCCCAGAGTCATTGTCACCCCAGAGTCATTGTCACCCCAGAGTCTTTGTCACCTCAGAGTCATTGTCACCCCAGAGTCATTGTCACCCCAGAGTCACTGTCACCCCAGAGGAGTCATTGTCACCCCAGAGTCAGTCATTGTCACCCCAGAGTCATTGTCACCCCAGAGTTGTTCATTGTCACCCCAGAGTCATTGTCACCCCAGAGTCATTGTCACCCCAGAGTCAGTCATTGTCACCCCAGAGTCATTGTCACCCCAGAGTCATTCATTGTCACCCCAGAGTCATTGTCACCCGAGTCATTGTCAGCTCAGAGTCATTGTCACCCCAGAGTCATTGTCACCCCAGAGTCATTGTCACCCCATTGTCACCCCAGAGTCATTGTCACCTCAGAGTCATTGTCACTCCAGAGTCATTGTCACCTCAGAGTCAATGTCACCCCAGAGTCATCGTCACCCCAGAGACATTGTCACCCCAGAGTCATTGTCACCCCAGAGACATTGTCACCCCAGAGTCATTGTCACCCCAGAGTCAGTGCTTTGACCTTTGATTCAGGAGTTCTTCCCTTCCTCCCTCCCTCCCTTATTCCCTTCCTTCCTTCCTTCCTTCCTCTTTCTTTCCCTCTCTCTCTCATTCTTCCTTCAATGTTATCATTGTCATTTGCGGTCTGAAATTTCCTTTTAAAAATAAAAGTAAGTGCATATAATAAAATGTATAGTATTATAAAAGAAAATCAATTCTATTTAAATACAGTTATAAAAATATTTTAACAGCTTGTCATATACTAACATATATACTTCTTTATTAGCACATTAAATAAGATTTAGCAGTGGGTATGAAAATATAATTTTGAAGTCAGCAATGTAATATTTTGAGATACCTACAATGATTGTAAAGTAATAGGAAACATTTGTGACTTTAATTGATGACAAAGACAAAGATACTCTTTTACTCCAATGTTATTATTTTTGCCAATATTTATAATTACAGGACATGCTATATATTGAATATAGGTTATTAAAAATTTGGATACATTTTTCTCCCATTTAAATTGATGAGTTAGATGCAAAGAATCACAGAGACTGCAGGATAAGAATCCTACTAGGTTTTATTTCTTGGCTACTTTCTCAAAGCTGGGGACTAGAGCATTGACAACTACAGTATTATCAAGAATGATGGGATGCTTGTTGAGTGAGACCTTGACAGAAGCTATCATAAGCTAGGACCTATGTCTGCTAGTCATTTAAATTATTTCTATGGTAACAAATGACGGGTAGTGAGATCAATACTTCTACTTTGATCATACTGATTTTTTTTTTTTTTTTTGGTTTGTGTAATCTGGAAAGGAGACAATAAGATGTTTAAGACTGGGACTATTTCTTTAGCAGCTTTAGACTGACATATGTTTATTTCATCTTACCCAGCAAAACTGTTGAAATAAATTATGAGGCACAAGAAGTGCTGAGTGATTTTGGTGCAACATGGCAAACTGAGGCAACTGGTTATTGTGAATTGCACATAGGTGGGCTTGAATCATGGCTTTCTGTATCCTTTGGAAAATTGCTTTACACCTCTCAATGTATCATAGTTTTTAATTTCTGGACTAGAGACAATATTCACTTGCTAAGGTTGACAAATATCTAAAATTCTACCTAGAGTTTGTAGCATAGTGCTCAGTACTTAAAAGGCACTGATGTATTATTATTATTGTTCAAGTTTATACAACTAGTTACCTAACAAACACTTATGAGTTCTCACTGTGTGTCAATCACTATGCCAAACATCAGATTACTTCATTGTCTCAACAAACTTGTGAAATAAAATCTATAATTATCATTCAATTGCATATGAGTAGTTTGAGATTTCTAGATGTAAAATAATTTGCTTAAATTTAAGCTGCATACATTTAAGAGTCATAGAAACTGGAAGCCATCTTCCCCAAGGTGAGTCATAGAACCAGATTTCCTTTTCCCCAAAGCCAGTCATAAAATCTTAAAATATTACTCTTTTTCTCTGCCCTATTTGTGTAAAAACTGTCTATAAAGAAAATATTTGACCTACTTTGTTTGACTACAGCTCATACGACCCTCATTCCAGAGAGGGTGCTGCTCCACACTCAGAAGGAAGGAATGCCACAAAGAGAGGCCAAGAAGAATCTAGACAGATAAGCCTTGCTGGGTTTTCCTATTCAGTCCATTAGTATTAGATGATACACTTTTTGTCCAATCATATTTCTAAATGGCTTTCCATACTTCACTGAACCTAAGCATAAGAACGGAGAGTGTCTCCTATACGTCTGGGTCTTCATTCTGAAGGCTGCCATATATACATGTTACATAAGTTTGTATGCCTTTTCTCCAGTTAATCTGCCTTTCACAACTTTACTTGTCAGTAAATCTTCAGAGGGCCAAACATAAGCTCTCTGTTGACCCCTACAGAGCCCATGTTCTTAGATTCCAACTTCCATTCCCTATTCCCACACAGACACATAAAATATATCTTACCAGCTACATTTGTGGCAGGTCATTTGTGTCACAAGGTGACAGAATTGGAAATTCTTCTCTTAATGCACCATAGTTTAAGTCTTTATAAGTTCCAACACTATACTCCAAAAGCACTTATTTCAATATAAGATTATTCTGTATTTGAACTTCCTCTTTTGTGCTTATGTTAATGGCAGTCTTTTATTTATTTATTTATTTTTGTAATTTAGTTTTGAAGCTCATCCCACAAATGAATTCCATTTCCTAAAAATGTATGAACAGGCTGTTCTTTTGGCTATTGACATTCCATTTTGGATTTCACAAAAGGCTTTAAACACAATCACTTTTACAAGCCTGTGATGCAAAGCAAGTGCCTGCCTAATGTTATTAAGCAGCCAAAGGGCAGGTAAATTGGCTCTGTTTTCTAAAAATGACTTTCATTTCTATCTAGAACATGATTGCACATTGTCATATAGCACAACGAATAGTCAAGCACTGAAAAGATAAGCTTTAAAATAGAATATAAATTCTTAAACCAGAAAGGCCATGGTTTTGTAAAAAATAAAAATAAAAAAGTACCTGTCTGAAGCATCTTTCTAGCACAGCACTGAAAAGAACTTTGCATGTCTCTCAGGCGTTTTCCACTTTTTAAAGCTAGGTTAATTGCAGTGTTACTTTTATTTAACAATTTCCTTTGAGTAGATTTTTGAGCTTAAAAAATAGTGACTGATCTGGGAAATGAAAAACTATGACAAAGAAAGCTCGGCTAGAGCTAGAGGCCATAAATGTTGTTCAATAGAATCTTTCATATTTTACACAACCTATAATTGATGAGTGATAAAAATCAAGAAAGGTTCTTACAATGGTACAAAGTCACTATTTTAAAAAATAGCTAAAACCTATTGCTATTTTTAAAAATCCTAGTTCTTTATATTCTATGAGAAAACTACTATGATTCCACAGCTTCAGAAAGAAAACCTATTCATTAATCACAAAGCCAAATGTTTTAGAGGAATGTAGAAAAAATGTAGTTTTTAACAAAGACTTTAAAAATTACAATTATTTCCCTTGACTGTTATTTATCAAACCAAAATGGCAATGCAATTTAACAGATTTTAAAATTATTTTAGAAGCTAAAATGGACATATTCATGATTCAAATGGTTACATTACTTGTGGCTATAGTGTACTAGAGAAAAGTCATTGGGAATAATCAGGATAATCAAATAATATAAAATTTGATTTATTGATCGTTTTGTCAGTTCAGTGAGTACAACCAGTACATTTATTAATGAACATCCTAAGAAAGGGTCACTGGGCCTGGGAAAAGCTTCTGTTCATTTTTGCATTTGTTTGTTTAATCTGTTTTGATATTTGATAGAGTCCTAGAGAAAACTAGATAACTTCCAGTCTCCTCAAAGTTGGGGAAAATCTGTGTGATGTCCCTTGTCTACCACATCTTAGTCTGCCAGTTGCTCTAATGGTTGTCAAAAAACAGTTTGAGGTATCTACGTCTCAGTCCTGGCAGGACTGGGGGTAACCTTCTTATCATGAGCTGAGAAAATAACTCATTCATTTATGTACTTATTCATTCAAAAAATAATCATGGGGCAACTTCTGTGTGTTTGCTTTTCTGGAACTTCGTAGTATGGGAGAATGGCAAACAGAATTAATCAAAAAGTAAAATAAAGTATAAAGCAAAAATTTCAACAAGGACTATAAAGATAGATGAATGATGCTATTGAAGTATGGAGGACTGACTTGGAGGACAGCCTCAATTCACTCTCAGCTCCTATATCCATGCACTTTGGGATGTATCTTTGCAGCTCTTCCTAATAAGAGGTAAATTTATTTATACACTCTGAATCTGTGCAGACCTTGTGACTTTCTTTGGCCAACAGAAAGTGACAGAAGTGACATCACAACAGTTCTGAACCTAGACCTCAAGAGGCCTGTGAGTTTCCTCTTTCTGTTCCTCTGCCCTCATCATGAGAACATGCCTAGGACACCTCTACTGGATAAAAGAGATATGTAGAACAAGGTGGAGTCAGCCCAGTTGTCCCAACAAAGGCTCTGACACACGAGAGAACTCAGAGAAGATCAGCAAAACTGCTTAGGTAACTCACAGCTGACCACAGATACATAAATGTGTCCAGCCAAGCTCCTCTCTGGTCAGTAGAATGTGCCACTGAGGTTCCATTATTGTTTCTTATGCAGCTCTAGTATGCAAATACATAACAGACTTTGGAATATTTGTTGAGTTCAGGCACAGCTTTACTGGGGAAGGTATTCTTCATTCTTATGTAAAGAACGTTTTTAGAAAGACTGAAGATTAACAAAGAAAATGAAAGGAGAAAAGAACATTGAAGGTAGATAAAAACAGAGGTAAAAAAAACTATTGGCAACATTTATAAGGAGGCTGGGGTGGCAGGCAGAAAAGTTGGAGGTGAAGGTTGCAGTTGTAAGACTTCGTAAACCATTTTGAATTATTTTGTCTTTAATCTGAAAATAATGAAAAGACTTTGAAGGGTTTTAAGCAGAGACAGAACATGAGTAAGATGCATTTGGCTACAAGGACAGAACATTGGTAAAAGAATGGCTTCCCAGGAGAAAACAAGAAGAAAGTGGTGGGTTATTTTTAGTTTAGGACAGTGAATCAAGTCATCAGCCTAAACTTAAATCATCATCATAAGTTTATGATGGGTCTTCATATCTTTGTCCTAAATTACCTTCAGTCCACCTTGTGAGGCTGCATGGTATAGTTAAAAAAACAACAACATAGGTTATGGAGTTAAACATAACTGAGTTTTACTTCTGCCTCCTCCCAGTTATGAGCTTTACTTCTTTAGTTTGCTTGAAAAAGTAAAATTCCCCCTTTCCAGCATACCTCTACATGGATCCTCCAAATTGCTAATTTATTTATTCATTCATGATCACTCTCTGTCTCCTATCTGTGCTCCTTTTGCCTCCCAGATAATGTAATATTTTATTCTTTTGTAAACTATAAAGTATACAAAGGCATTAGTTTTAATTACCTTGGCTCGAGCCACACCTCCTCTATAAAGCCATTCCTGATTATTCCCAATGACTTTTCTCTAGTACACTATAGCTTGTTCCTACCATCTAATTAGCGCTTTAAAGTGATGGTCAGCAAGGATGCTTGTGGCTGCAAATATCAAATAACTTTATTAAAGTTACTTAAGTAATGCAGTCTTTTTAATATCTCTTAAGGACAACATGGAAGTAGATAGATTCAGGCTGGATCAATGCCTTCAAAGCTTTAAGTTAATATCTCTGTTATCTTCATGACCTTGTCTTTTGGGTTGCAAAATGTCTGAAACTTCCTCTGAGGTTCTGTTGGCCAAAATTGGGTCATATGCAAAACCCACAGATCAATATTTGGCAAAGGAAAATGGAATTTCCCAGACTGGCTTCGTTTCTCCATTACTCAACTTCTCAGCTAGACATTGAAGGTATGTTGGAAGTAAATGACTATTGGGTACGCAGCCAACAGTGACTGCTGCTCGTGGCTTAATGATCATTCATGTTCTGATTCATCTACCTGGGTGCTTCTCTAGATTTTTAACATCCAGATAAGGCAATTTCCCACAGCTCTCTGAACATACGCTGATTTCTTTCCCTGTACCTTAGCACATGCAATTTTTTCATGTGGAATGCCAACATTTTTCTTATTCTATTTGCCTAAAGAAAGATTTGACTTTTTAAGCCCTATACAATCATCACTTCTTCTGTAAAGCCTTCATTGAATCCCATACCTAGGTACATATATAATCACTTCTTTCTTTGTATTAGTTGTGTTTTTGTATATACCTGCATTATTGTACATATTGTACTGCATTAGGATTTACTTCTTTGTCTGTCCATGCTTCAGCATCCCCATCTGTGGGTATAACCCATTGTCTTTGTCGAAATTCTCTGTTATTTATCCTGAAGTCTAGCACAATTCAAAGCATTTGGGGTAGTGTTAGGCGATGAAAAACTTGTCAGGACATAATTTTCCATTGACAGATATTTAAATAGCAAACAGGGTGTATTAGTTCATTTTCATGCTGCTAATAAAGACATACCTGAGACTGGGGAATTTACAAAAGAAAAAGGTTTAATGGACTTACAGTTCCACATGGCTGCAGAGGCCTCACAATCATGGTGGAAGGCAAAGAGGAGCAAGTCACATCTTATGTGGATGGATGCTGGCAGGGAAGAAGAGAGAGAGAACTTGTGCAGGGAAACTCCCATTTTTGAAACCATCAGATTTCATGAGATTTATTCATTATCATGAGAACAGCATGGGAAATACCCACCCCCATGATTCAATTACCTCACACTGGGTTCCTCCCATGACATGTGGAAATAGTGGGAGTTACAATTCAAGATGAAATTTGGGTGGGGACACAGCCAAACTATATCATTCCACCCCAGCCCCTCCAAATCTCATGTCTTTACATTTCAAAACCAATCATACCTTCCCAACAGTCACCCAAAGTCTTAACTCATTTCAGGATTAACTCAAAAGTTCACAGTTCAAAGTCTCATCTGAAATAAGGCAAGTCCCTTCCACCTATAAGACTGTAAAGTTAAAGCAAGTTAGTTACTTCCTAGATACAATGTGGGTACAGGCATTGGGTAAATACAGCCATTCCAAATAGGAGAAATTGGCCAAAACAAAGGGGCTACAGGCCCCATGCAAGTCCAAAATCTAGCGAGGCAGTCAAATCTTAAAGTTCCAAAATGATCTCCTTTGATTCCATGTCTCACATCCAGGTCACAGTGATGCAAGAGGTGGGCTACTATGGCCTTGAGCAGCTCCACCCCTGTGACTTTGCAGGGTATAGCCCCCCTCCTGGCTGCTTTCACTGGCTGGCATTGTGTGTCTGCGGCTTTTCCAGCTGCACAGTGCAAGCTGTTGGTGGATCTACCATTCTGGGGTCTGGAGGATGGTGGCCCTCTTCTCACAGCTCTATTAGGCAGTGTCCCATTAGGGACTCTGTGTGAGGATCCAACCCACATTTTCCTTCTGCATTGCCCTAGTGGAGGTCCTCCATGAGAGCCCCAACCCTGCAGCAAATTTCTTCCTGGACATCCAGGCACTTCCATACATCCTCTGAAATATAGGCAGAGGTTCCAAAACCCCAATTCTTGACTTCTTGCACTAGCAGGTTCAATACCACTTGGAGGCTGTCAAGGCTTGGGGCTTGAACCCTCTGAAGCCACAGCCCAAGCTCTACATTAGCCTCTTTCAGCCACAGCTGGAGTGGCTGGGACACAGGCACCAAGTTCCTAGGCTGCACAGAGCAGAGAGAACCTTGGCCCAGCCCACAAATCCATTTTTGTCTCCTAAACCTCTCTGCCTGTGATGGGAGTGTTTGCCCCAAAGGTCTCTGAGATGCCCTGGAGACATTTTCCCCATTGTCTTGGTGATTAACATTTGGCTCCTCATTACTTATGCAAATTTCTGCAGCCAGCTTGAATTTCCCCAAAGAAAATGGGGTTTTCTTTTCTATCACATTGTCAGGCTGCAAATTGTCCAAACTTTTATGCTCTGTTTCCCTTTTAAAACTGAATGCCTTTAACAGCACCTAAGTCACCTCTTCAATGCTTTGTTGCTTAGAAATGTCTTCCAGAGATATCCTAAATTATCTCTCTCAAATTCAAAGTTCCACAAATCTCTAGGGCAGAGGCAAAATGCCACCAGTCTCTTTGCTGAAATATAACAAGAGTCACCTTTGCTCCAGTTCCCAACAAATTCCTCATCTCCATTTGAGAGATGCCTCAGCCTGGATTTCATTGTCCATATCATTAACAGCATTCTGGTCAAAGCCATTCAACAAGTCTCTAGGGAGTTCCAAACTTTCCCACATTTTTCTTTCTTTTTCTAAGCCCTCCAAACTGTTCCAACCCTGCCTGTTACCCAGTTCCAAGTTCTCTTCCACATTTTCAGGTATCTTTCCAGCAGTGCCCCACTCTACTGGTACCAATTTACTGTATTAGTTTGTTTTCACACTGCTAATAAAGACATACCTGAGACTGGGCAGTTTACAAAAGAAAGAGATTTAATGGACTTTCACTTTCACAGGGCTGGGGAGGCCTCACAATCATGGTGGAAGTCAAGGAGGAGCAAGTCACATCTTACATGGATGATGGCAGGCAAAACGAGAGAGAGAGCTTGTGCAGGGAAACTCCAATTTTTAAAACTGTCAGATCTCACAAGACTTATTCATTATCATAAGAACAGCATGGGAAAGACCTGCCCCCATGATTCAATTACCTACCACTGGGTTCCTGCCACAACATGTGGGAACTGTGGAAGTTGCAATTCAAGATGAGATTTGGGTGGGGAAACAGCCAAACCATATCATAGGGAAAGCAAGCCAACTACATAAAATAACAAAATGGATGATGTGCTTCCACATCATAGGGGTGGGAGGCATATATGAAAAACACCTGGATACATCATGATGACCTATGACATACACTTCTGGCTAGGAAACATGGGGCCTTCTGGGCATAGCAGGATGGTTGAGAAAGAACTTTATTATTCCACAAGAGTAATAGCAATTTGGATATTTGAGTTGGCCTCTGTGTTATTGAGGAGTTAGGTCTTCAGGGGAAAAAAGAAGCCTTAGAGGAAGGCAATAAGACAGGGCCAAAGTTGGGGCAAGCCCTGTGCATTCCCTTTGGGAAGAGTAACCAATGATATAAAAAATGATGATTAATGTAAGTTGTTTTCTGTATCATTCACCCTTAATCTAAACTTTCATTAAAAACACACTTCACACAACAGCTGTGACAGTGGGAGTAAATCAAGAGTCGCATAATGTGGGGAGCCTTATGTGAAGTGAAGTTGGAAGGAAAGAATCAAGAAATCACAGCCACCATTACATAGTTTGTAGATGGCCCTCTCACAGAGCAGCAGTATTTTAAACAGAATCTCTTAAATTTATCTAATAGCTAATATAATAAAGTTAGTATAGAATGTGCTATAGTTAGGTATAGAAATGTGCTATATCTTTCCATATTTTGTTCTGGGTTGTGGTGGGGAGGTTGTTGGACAGAGAAAAAGAAAAGAAATACAAAAGTAGAGCAACTTAATATAAAGCTAAGGGAAACACAAAATAGAATTTAGATGCTCAGATTCAATTTCCCTCACTTATCCTCAGGATTACTCTAAAGCACCACCAACACTGCCACCACCACTCCCAACAACAACAACAATAAAACTTCATTTCCCCTTTACCCTGATGATGCTTTTGTCTTAGACCAAAAATTATTAATATTTTACAGGTTTACAAAACATACCAATGCCAATTATGAAATACTCTAAACTTATACCAACATATCAGTTATTTAAAAACTCACCTTCTGTCACCAAACCCTTAGAGCCTAGTGAATAATAATTTTCTCAGAGGGAATTGCATGTGGAAGCCAAAGAGATGTGATGTGTATTACCCACAATTTGTTGGCTACATTAGTAACTTTCCAGCCTTGAAATCCTGTGGCTGAGGATGCTGTAAAATAGGTAAACGATAAATGTCAGGGTTGGTGGGCACTTTACAGTCTTTGGAATCAAATTTTCTTATTTGAAAAACAAAACTAACAATATGAGTGAATTCTGAGTCTTACTGTGAATGGGGCAACTTGTCTTTTCAAAATGAATATTACACTATTTGGCAAAAAGGCTCTGGAAAAGAGAACACACTACATACACTGTCTTAAAGGCAGAGAGACATGCAGGGATATAGCACAGCACTGCTCAAACTGGCCTGTAGAGCAGGGCCAATTTGTGATCTGTTTGCTAATGGTCTGTAGCATGGTAAGCACAGACTTTGGGAGTAATCCTTTAGAAACTTTTGTAGCAATTTGTTAATGTTGAGTCTAAGAATGAAATAAAAATAGGTTTGCAGTTTTATGACCTTATTCTTTTTTTTTTTTTAGTTGATCATTCTTGGGTGTTTCTGGCAGAGGGGGATTTGGCAGGGTCATAGGACAATAGTGGAGGGAAGGTCAGCAGATAAACAAGTGAACAAAGGTCTCTGGTTTTCCTAGGCAGAGGACTCTGCGGCCTTCTGCAGTGTTTGTGTCCCTGGGTACTTGAGATTAGGGAGTGGTGATGACTCTTAACGAGCATGCTGCCTTCAAGCATCTGTTTAACAAAGCACATCTTGCACCGCCCTTAATCCATTTAACCCTGAGTGGACACAGCACATGTTTCAGAGAGCACAGGGTTGGGGGTAAGGTCATAGATCAACAGGATCCCAAGGCAGAAGAATTTTTCTTAGCACAGAACAAAATGAAAAGTCTCCCACGTCTACTTCTTTCTACACAGACACAGCAACCATCCGATTTCTCAATCTTTTCCCCACCTTTCCCCCTTTTCTATTCCACAAAACCGCCATTGTCATCATGGCCCGTTCTCAATGAGCTGTTGGGAACACCTCCCAGACGGGGTGGTGGCTGGGCAGAGGGGCTCCTCTCTTCCCAGTAGGGGCGGCCGGGCAGAGGCGCCCCCCCACCTCCCAGATGGGGCAGCTGGCCGGGCGGGGGGCTGACCCCCCCACCTCCCTCCCGGACGGGGTGGCTGGCCGGGCGGGGGGCTGACCCCCCACCTCCCTCCCGGACGGGGTGGCTGGCCGGGCGGGGGGCTGATCCCCCACCTCCCTCCCGGACGGGGCGGCTGGCCAGGCGGGGGCTGACCCCCACCTCCCTCCCGGACGGGGTGGCTGCTGGGCGGAGACACTCCTCACTTCCCAGACGGGGTGGCTGCCGGGCGGAGGGGCTCCTCACTTCTCAGACGGGGCGGCTGCCAGGTGGAGGGTCTACTCACTTCTCAGACGGGGTGGCCGGGCAGAGACGCTCCTCACCTCCCAGACGGGGTCGCGGCTGGGCAGAGGCACTCCTCACATCCCAGACGGGGCGGTGGGGCAGAGGCTCTCCCCACATCTCAGATGATGGGTGGCCGGACAGAGACGCTCCTCACTTCCTAGATGTGATGGCGGCCGGGAAGAGGCGCTCCTCACTTCCTAGATGGGATGGCGGCCGGGCAGAGACGCTCCTCACTTTCCAGACTGGGCAGCCAGGCAGAGGGGCTCCTCACATCCCAGACGATGGGCGGCCGGGCAGAGACGCTCCTCACTTCCCAGATGGGGTGGCAGCCGGGCAGAGGCTGCAATCTTGGCACTTTGGGAGGCCAAGGCAGGCAGCTGGGAGGTGGAGGTTGTAGCGAGCGAGATCAGGCCACTGCACTCCAGCCTGGGCACCATTGAGCACTGATGAAGGAGACTCCGTCTGCAATCCCGGCACCTCGGGAGGCCGAGGCTGGCGGATCACTCGCGGTTAGGAGCTGGAGACCAGCCCAGCCAACACAGCGAAACCCCGTCTCCACCAAAAAAATATGAAAACCAGTCAGGCGTGGCCGCGCTTGCCTGCAATCGCAGGCACTCAGCAGGCTGAGGCAGGAGAATCAGGCAGGGAGGTTGCAGTGAGCCGAGATGGCAGCAGTACAGTCCAGCTTCGGCTCGGCATGAGAGGGAGACTGTGGAAAGAGAGGGAGAGGGAGACCGTGGGGAGAGGGAGAGGGAGCAACCTTATTCTTTATTTCATCTAGTAATTCACTTTTATTTTATTGTGTTTTATAAAAGTCCATGACAGATTGAAAAGATAGATAGAAGGATAGACAGAATGATAGAGAGATAGAACTAGTTCTTCTTCACCACAGCTTGAGAAGCACCACTCTAGCAGGCATGCATCACCATTTTCCTTGGGTAATATGAAGCCATGTCACTCCTCAGTTCCAATTTATTTATTTTTATTCTAAGCTTACTAAAAACCATAAAACATTAAAAGAACCTTAAGTCCCATGATTCCTCTTTGGCTGGTTCAACTGAACAAATGAAGACAAAAGATAGGGACCACTTTGAGGAGGAAGGATGTTCTGTAGGGAGAAACTAGCAAGAGGATAAAAGAATAGACCCATCAATGGAAGAAAATGAGAAAAAAAAAAAAAAACCCACAAGGACTATGTCTTACTCTCATGTACAACCTCAGCAGCTAGCATAGACCTGGCACATAGTTGGCACATGGTAAATACTTGTTGAATTAAAGTAATTCTAAGTGTCATTATTGTGGAAAAATGATGAAAAATGAAGCAAAATTCAATATATCAGAATCTGTATTTCTTAAGGAAAGTATTTAAATGTAAAAGCCTAGCAAAACTAAAAAGAATTTATTTTAAATAAGCTAAGGCCTATTAGGGTTCTGACATTTATGTTACTGGATGTTGATATTGTTTTCTACATTGCTGTGATTGTACAGTTTTGGAGGAAGAGTCAGTATAATTAGAAGAGCTCTTATTCCTCAACTTCCTAATTTTCCTCCTGTAAATGAGAGAAATATAACAGGGTATCAGCAACCTGACAAGGTTGCAAGCAATTGTTTCATGTTGGTGCCAGCTTCAGAAACCCTTTATGATGAATGCATCACCAGCCCTTCAAAGTCATTTTTGATTTATGTATAATTTTAAAGTAATATGTATGGTCCTATTGAGAAAGTTTAAAATACATAATAATTTAAAGAATGAAATAGAAATTATCTCTAATTTCAAGCATAACACTAATGTTTTTAATATTTTGATGTATTTTTTATCAGTTTTTCATAAATATGAAAGGCAAACATTAAGTCCCATAGAAAATTTGTTCTTATGTAAAATTATCTCGTCAATTTCTGAGATAGTGGGTCCTAACAAATGGGCAAGTTTTTAAACTATTCTACCAACACTTCCTGATCTATAAAATGGGCATGATAATAGGGACTTAAAACAAAGGTTATCATGAAGATTATCGAGTTAATATCTGTATGACACTTAAAAGAACTAGTTACGTATACTGAGTGCTGTATATTTTGTATTTTTTTTTTGGAATGGAGAATCTTTTGATGCTATCTCTTGCATTCCTAAAAACAATATAAAGTGGTGGGAGAGTGGTGTCTGGTGTGAGCCTGATGATGTTAAATTTCTTTGCATAAGAAAAGAGGTGAGAAATTGAGACACTCACAGGGAAAATCTAGCCTATTACTGTCCATGTGAAAAATAATGCAAGCCACATATCAACTTTTAAATTTTCTAGTAACCATAGTAAAAAGTAAAAAGAAACAGATAACATTAATTTTAATAATATATTTTATTTAAACCAATATATCAACAATATTATAATTGCAATAAAAATCATAGGATATTTTATATTATTTTATTTGTACTAAATATCCAAAATCTGATAAAATGAAGCCAGTTCACTCCTCAGTCCCAATTTTATTCTAAACTCCAAATTTTGGTTTTGTTTTGCCTTTACAGTTTCTTGCAGTTAATTTTATATAAGTATTTATGTGAGCTATGATTTATGGAGATAGTTCATGTTGAACATGCAGCATATTTGTTTTATTCGATGGCCTAATTTCAAGTGCATAGCAGCCACAAGTGGCTGAGTGAGAGCTATCATACCGCACAGATTGTAGGACTTGTAGGACAAGAGCCAGGACAGACTCAGTGCCTGTAATGGTGCAAGGGAACAAGGTAGAGAAAAGGTTCTTTGATGAGCAGAAGGTAGACATCAGGGTGAACAATGGAGAATTTCAGAGGACAATCATGTTTTCTGTGTGTACCCATTACCCCACTCACAACACACACACATTTTAATGAATCTTTAGTTAAATATCCATGTATCAATAAATTTCTGGTGAATTAAATTTTTTTTTTTTTGGAAAAGCAGGAAAATGTTAAATCCCATCCCAAGGCTTTTTAGCCACAAGTATATTTGTGAGATGTAAACATGTAAAAACCTACTGCATATAATACTCATAGGCTTTGATTTTGGCTTAGGTGTTGTCTTTATAGTTTCCTGTCGTTAATCTTATAAAACTATTTATGTGAGCTATCATTAAGTATGCAATTCTTCATGTTGAGCATGTAGCATATTTGTATTTTTATTGTTACAATGACATTAAACAAACACCCTCATGAATAAGTCTGTGTGCTCATCTCTGATTATTTCCTTAGGCTGGATTCTGGGAAGTGAACTTATGGAATCAAAGGTTATGCAAACATGTAAGTTTCTTGCCATATGTCTTCAAATTTATTCTCATAAGATACACAGTGTATGCCAGGATTCAGTTTAGACACTATATTCCTTAAATAATGACATTTTTGATGGAAGAAAATGGCATATTATTCATATTATTGCTGTTGTTATTGTTTTCAGTTTCAAGTGTGAATATTTATGTTGAACATTTCTCCTTGGTCTTGTTGGTCCAATTTTTTCTTTTGAATTGCTTGTTTATATCTTGTGCCTGCAGGCCATGTCATTACTTTTTCATCAGACTCCTAGGATTCCCTGTTCCATCTAGCCAAGTGGGTATGCAGAGAGGTAATGTGATGAGGAGGCCCTGCTGCCGGGCCTCAGAGATCTCACTACCGGATGGTAGTCATGATAAAACATACTGCAGTTACAATCAGTTAAATCTGAGTAAGCAACTAAGCTAACCTTTGGAATAAATTCATATACCCCCGAGGTCTGTCTGCTATAATAGCACTACTAAAAAGCAGACAAATACTTTGAGTTTTATAATTTAAGCTTTGCCATCCCCTTAGAAGAGGTTTGACTTTATGAAATATATCTGTCTGCAAACAGCCTTGGGGCCTGTGTGCTCCTTTTGCATTTAACCAGCTATTAAAAATCCCTCAGAAGCTGTGACCTGTATAGGTTCAATCTGCTTTGGCTAGTAAATCAGTTAGGCTGGAAGTTCCCTACAATTTTTTTAAAAGACATTGGAGATACTAAAAATAATTCTTCTGTCTTTGTAGAGGTGAGGAAAATAATTCAAAAGTGGTTCAAACATAGTCAGAATCTGTCCATCATAACTAATCACTCTTTCCTGCCAAAATACACTTACTCATTTATACCATAAATATTTGCATGCCTGCTCTGTTCCATGTAGTATATTAAAAAATGGAGCCAACTATAAATTAGACATTTCTTATCCTGAAGAAACCAAGTTTGGTGAAATAAAGAAAAAATCATAAATAAATGCAATATTAGGTGATAGATGCTACAGTAGAGTTGTGGTCAGGAACTATACGATCATAGAGGAAAAGAATAACCACGTGGATTGAAAAAAAAAACCTTAAAAGAAAGTTGATATTTGAGCTGAATTTTGGGATATGGGTTGAAGTACCCCCAGCAAAAAGGAGGAAAGAGAAGGGTAGATCTTACGGAAAAGAAACAAGGAATCCCCTCCCTACCCACTGCCAGTGAAGGGTATATTAGAGAATTTTAAATAGGAAAGTGATGGTAATCAGAACACATGAGCCTTTTTCTATGTCTCTTCTGGGTTTCTATCACTACCCAACTGTGATGGTTAATAGTGAGTATCAACTTGATTGGACTGGAGGATGCAAAGTATTGATCCTGGGTGTATCTGTGAGGGTGCTGCCAAAGGAGATTAACATTTGAGTCAGTGGACTGAGGAAGGCAGAAACACCCTTAATCTGCTGGGCACCATCTAATGAGCTGCCAGTGAATATAAAGCAGGTAGAGAAAGATGAAAAAGCAAGACTGACCTAGCCTCCCAGCTTACATCTTTCTCCCATGCTGGATGCTTCCTGCCCTGGAACACTGGACTCCAATTTCTTCAGTTTTGAGACTTAGACTGGCTCTCCTTGCTCCTCAAGCTTGTAGACAGCCTATTGTGGGACCTTGTGATCATGTAAGTGAATAAACTCTCTCTCTCTCTCTCTCTCTCTCTCTCTCTCTCTCTATATATATATATATATATATATATATATATATATATACATCCTATTATTCTCTACCTCTAGAGAACCCTGACTAATACAGATTTTGGTACCAGGAGTGGTTCTAGAGAAACAGAGTATTACAGATGGATTTCTTTCATTGGTTTTGGGGTTTCTGGAGTTGGCTGCTTAATATGATTAGACCTAAAACTGCTAAGGACTCTGTTTCTAATAGTATGGAGAACACTAATAGTGCTTGGCATGAACTGTTTAGAGAGTTATGCAAAACAAATGCATTTGACACTCCTGATTCACTGCTCATGAGAGGGAAGGAGTTTAGTGACTCTATACATAATACCTTTGACCGTATGTGGAGAACCGAGGAATGCAATGAAGCTGGTTGGTTGTTCCTAAGTTCAGTGGACAAAGTGATGAAAGAAAATGATGAACTTAGGGATTCTGTCTCCTGGCTTCAGAAGTAGATGATGACCCTCAAATCTGCTAAGATTTCCCTGAGTTAGTCTTATCTCCTGTAGAGAAAGAGCTGAAATTGTGGAAAAACAGACAAAAACTCTTATCATGTGAGTGGCTGACCTGCAATGAAAGGTGCATGCACAGCCTCGCCAGGTGTCTACTGTTAAAGTGAGGGCATTGATTGGAAAAGAATGACACCCTGCGACTTGAAATAGGGGTGTGTGGGAGGACCCTGATGAAGCTGGGGACATTAAGTTTATAAACTCTGATGAACCTTTTTTCCAGAAGGAACAGCTTCCCCAACCCCAAGAGTGGCAACATCCCCTCTCCAACCCATGCTGCCATCAGCCTTTCCACCTTTGTCTGAGGAGATAAACCCTGCGCTGCCTGAAGCAACAGTGATGGCCTCCTCTGAGGCAGTTGCCAGGCAAAATGATGTTGATTCTCCTCAGGAGGATTCCCAACACCCCTGTTTGCCTTTAGACCTATAACTAGACTAAAGTCTAGGAGGAAATACTAATGGCAGGTACAGTTCCTGTTTCTGCAGCTGGTCACGTGGTTGTAGCTGCTATTGATGACTACCTTCTTCTACTACCCATTCTGTATTCCCTTTGCCTTCAGCAAACACCTCAGCAGGTCATGATTTTTTTCCTGGTGGAGTAACCCAAACCTTCATTCTTGAGGGATCTGGACCATTTGTAGCCCTGCGTGGATTGGGCTGTTGTAGTTTCCCATTGACCTTAATCACAGGGCATGGTTATTACCATGATGCCCTAATGGATCTCCTGTATTCCATGCACACTCTTCATTACTTCTGTTATGGAGTAGTAGACTGATTTTATCTTGATAGTCCAGGTCAATCACCCCAGCCAACACTTTAACTCCCTTCTTAGCATGTTGACTTAAAGGTAGGAGCCCAAAGTCCAGGTGGCGATCTTAACTTCCAGTTTAATGGAATAATTGACGTGTCTCTTGGTGGCAGCATTCCAACCTCTGGAACTAAGACCTCTAGGCCAGCAGAATGTAATGTCGTGGGAACAGGAAGCACAAATTTTGCTAATGGATCACTAGGAATAATGGTGAGTGGTGCCACTTCCACTTCCACCCCTTGATTCCCAAACCTTTGAATCCTGGCTATGGGAGAAACAGTACCATATATTGAACGCTGATACAGAGAATACATGGCCTTCTGGAGAACTTTGCCCCAGCCCTGGAAAGTATTGTCACTTAGTTGGCATTGTGATTGTGATTTCAAAAGGCCACTCCACCGTTCCATCAATCCAGCTGCTTTGGGATGATGGGGAACGTGGTAAGAACAGTGAATTCCATGAGCATGAGCCCACTGCTGCACTTCTTCTTTTTTTTTTTTTTTTTTTTTTTTGGCTTTAATCTGCCTTTGTACATGTTTATTTATTTATTTATTTACTTTTTATTATACTTTAAGTTTTAGGGTACATGTGCGCAACGTGCAGGTTTGTTACATATGTATACATGTGCCATGTTGGTGTGCTGCACCCAGTAACTCATCATTTAACATTAGGTATATCTCCAAATGCTATCCCTCCCCCCTCCCCCCAACCCCACAACAGGCCCAGGTGTGTGATGTTCCACTTCCTGTGTCCATGTGTTCTCATTGTTCAATTCCCACCTGTGAATGAGAACATGTGGTGTTTTTTTTTTTGTCCTTGCGATAGTTTGCTGAGAGTGATGGTTTCCAGCTTCATCCATGTCCCTACAAAGGACATGAACTCATCATTTTTTATGGCTGCATAGTAATCCATGGTGTATATGTGCCACATTTTCTTAATCCAGTCTATCATTGTTGGACATTTGGGTTGGTTCCAGGTCTTTGCTATTGTGAATAATGCCGCAATAAACATACGTGTGCATGTGTCTTTATAGCAGCGTGATTTATAATCCTTTGGGTATATACCCAGTAATGGGATGGCTGGGTCAAATGGTATTTCTAGTTCTAGATCCCTGAGGAATCACCACACTGACTTCCACAATGGTTGAACTAGTTTACAGTCCCACTAACAGTGTAAAACTGTTCCTATTTCTCCACATCCTCTCCAGCACCTGTTGTTTCCTGACTTTTTAATGATTGCCACTCTAACTGGTATGAGATGGTATCTCATTGTGGTTTTGATTTGCATTTCTCTGATGGCCAGTGATGATGAGCATTTTTTCATGTGTCTTTTGTTTGCATAAATGTCTTCTTTTGAGAAGTGTCTGTTCATATCCTTCACCTACTTTTTGATGGGGTTGTTTGTTTTTTTCTTGTAAATTTGTTTGAGTTCATTGTAGATTCTGGATATTAGCCCTTTGTCAGATGAGTAGATTGCAAAAATTTTCTCCCATTCTGTAGGTTGCCTGTTCACTCTGATGGTAGTTTCTTTTGCTGTGCAGAAGCTCTTTATTTTAATTAGATCCCATTTGTCAATTTTGGCTTTTGTTGCCATTGCTTTTGGTGTTTTAGTCATGAAGTCCTTGCCCATGCCTATGTCCTGAATGGTATTGCCTAGGTTTTCTTCTAGGGTTTTTATGGTTTTGGGTCTAACATTTAAGTCTTTAATTCATCTTGAATTAATTTTTGTATAAGGTGTAAGGAAGGGATCCAGTTTCAGCTTTCTACATATGGCTAGCCAGTTTTCCCAGCACCATTTATTAAATAGGGAATCATTTCCCCATTTCTTGTTTTTGTCAGGTTTGTCAAAGATCAGATGGTTGTAGATATGCGGCATTATTTCTGAGGGCTCTGTTCTGTTCCATTGGTCTATGTCTCTGTTTTGGTACCAGTACCATGCTGTTTTGGTTACTGTAGCCTTGTAGTATAGTTTGAAGTCAGGTAGCATGATGCCTCCAGCTTTGTTCTTTTGGCTTAGGATTGACTTGGCAATGTGGGCTCTTTTTTGGTTCCATATGAACTTTATAGTAGTTTATTCCAATTCTGGGAAGAAAGTCATTGGTAGCTTGATGGGGATGGTATTGAATCTGTAAATTATCTTGGGCAGTGTGGCCATTTTCACGATATTGATTCTGCTGCACTTCTTTAGCCATAAAGTGAGTGCCTTTGTCAGAAGAAATGATGTGTGTAGTACCATGACGGTGGATAAGGCATTCAGTGAGTCCAGGGGTGGTAGTCTTGGCAGAAGCATTGTGTGCAGGATGGGCAAACCCATATCAAAAGTAAGTGTCTATTCCCGTGAGAACAAACCTTTACCCTTTCCATGATGGAAGAGGTCCAATATAATCAACCTGTCACCAGGTAGCTGGCTGATCACCCTGAGGAATGGTGCCATATTGAGGGCTCAGTGTTGATCTCTGCTGCTGGCAAACTGGGCACTCAGCAGTGGCCGTAGCCAGGCCATCCTTGGTGTGTGGAAGTGCATGTTGCTGAGCCCATGCATAACCTCCATCCCTACCACTATGGCCACTTTGTTCATGGACCCATTGGGCTATGACAAGGGTAGCTGGGGAAAGAGGCTGAATGGTGTCCACTAAACGAGTCATTCTATCCATTTGATTATTAAAATCCTCATCTACTCAGGTCACCCATTGGTGAGTACTCACATGGTATACAAATATCTTCACAGTTTTTGACCACTCAGAGAGGCCCATCCACATACCTCTTCCCCAAATTTCTTTGTCACCAATTGTCCAATCATACTTCTTCCAAGTCCCTGACCATCCAGCCAAACCATTGGCTGGAGCCCATGAATCAGTATATAATCACACATCTGGCCATTTCTCCTTCAATGCAAAGTGCACAGCCAGGTGCCCTTCTCGAAGTTCTGCCCACTGGGAAGATTTCCCTTCATGACTATCCTTCAGTGAAGTCCTAGGAAAAGGCTTGTAGTGCTGCAGCTGTCCACTTTCGTGTGGTATCTGCATATGATGCAGAAGCATCTGTGAAACATGCCCCAGTCTTCTCTTACTCTGTCAGCTGATCATAGGGAACTCCCCATGAGGCCATCAGTGCAGGCTGGAGGATAGGAGGCAGGATTGCAGGAGTGGAGACCAGGGGCATTTGAGCCACTTCCTCATGTAACTTACTTGTGCCTTCGGGACCTGTTTGAGTCCAAACACGTATCTACCACTTTCATTTGATGATGGAATGCTGCTGTCCATGACCCATTTTATGGCTAGATGGGTCAGAAAGCATCCAGTTCATGATAGGCAGTTCAGGTCGCATGGTGACTTGATGACCTCTAGTCAAACGTTCAGTTTCCACCAAAGCCCAATAATAGGCCAAGTGCTGTCTCACAAAAGGAGAGTAGTTATCTGCACAAGACAGCAGGGCCTTGGTCCAAAATCCTAGAGGCCTCTGCTGTGATTCACCTATGGGGGCCTTCCAAAGGCTCCAAACTGCATCCCTATCTGCCACTGACACCTCAAGCACCATTGGATCTACTGGGTCATATGGCCCAAGTGGCAGAGCAGCTCACACAGCAGCCTGGACCTGTTACAGAGCCTTCTCCTGTTCTGGATCCCACTCAAAACTGGCAGCCTTTCAGGTCATTTGATAAATGGGCCAGAATAACATACCTAAATGAGGAATGCATTGCCTCCAGAATCCAAATAGGCCCGCTAGCCATTGTGCTTCTTTATTGGTTGTAGGAGGGGCCAAATGCAGCAACGTATCCTTCACCTTATGACAGGTCCCACACCACTGGACCCCTAGAAATTTTACTGAGGTAGAAGGTCCCTTAACTTTAGTAAGATTTATTTCCAATCCTCTGGCATGCAAATGTCTCACCAATAAGTCGTGTGTCTTTGCTACTTCTCACTCTCCAATCAGCATAATGTCATTAATGTAATGGACCAGTGTGATATTTGCAGAAGCAAAAAGCAATCAAGTTCTCTTCGAATGACACAAAGTCAGAGAGTTGATATACCCATGAAGTAGGACACTAAAGGTATATTGCTGGCCTTGCCAGATGAAGGTAAATTGCTTCTGGTGGGCTTTATGGGCAAGAATGGAGAAAAAGACAATACCAGCTATGACCACGTGACCAGCTGCAGAAATGGGAACTGTACCTGTCATTAGTATTTCCTCCTTTTTTGTTAAAAACATGCTTGTGCATGTATACATTTGTACTAAGAAAATATCTTCATTTTATTTCCTTTTCCTTTATCATTTGACATAAAATTTATTGACTTCATATCAGCATTTAAGTATTGTTAAGTTTATGTAATAGTATTTGGGTTGGGGATTGGTGCATTTCCTGTTGTACAAAGGATAGTCATATTATGTTAGGCGTAATTATGACCTTATTATTGTCTTTATTTGAAGATTATGCATGATCTCAGGAGATATGTATGGGTTCAAGTTGACAAGGGGTGGACTTGTGATGGTTGTTACTGAGTGTCAACTTGATTGGATCGAAGGATGCAAAGTATTGATCCTGGGTGGGTCTGTGAGGGTGTTGCCAAAGGAGATTAGCATTTGAGTCAGTGGGCTGGGGAAGGCAGACCCCACCCTTAATCTGCTGGGCACCATCTAATCAACTGCTAGCAAATATAAAGCAGGCAGAAAAACATGAAAAAGTGAGACTGGCCTAGCCTTCCAGCCTACATCTTTCTCCTGTGCTGGATACTTCCTGACCTCAAACATCAGACTCCACGTTCTTCAGTTTTGAAACTCGAACTGGCTCTCTTTTCTCCTCAAGCTTGCAGACAGCCTATTGTGGGACATTGTGATTGTGTAAGTTAATACTTAATAAATTCCCCTCTCTATATAAATACATCCTATTAGTTCTGTGCCTCTAGAGAACCCTGACTAATACACCAACTACTTTATGCTTCAAACAGACTTGAAACACTTGTACATCAGCTCAGAGTGTGCATTGTCCACTGCAAATACTAGTGCAAATTAAGAAGAAGAGAAAAAAGAAGGTCCACGAGCTACCAATGACATCTAGGACTGCTTCTGTCTCATAGCACATACTCCTCCCACAAGGACTACAAATGACAAGAGAAAATTTGTATAATTGGAATTCTGGACATTTCTCAAATGCTCATTGACTCAAATACTTTCTGCTGTATTTGGAATTTTCAAACCAAAACATGATAGCAACCAGACCAGAAAAATGTAATTGACCAGAAATGTCCTACAATATTTACAATATACTCATTTTTCTGCATGTTCAATTTTAAAAGTTGGGTATTCTGTACTGGAATCTAATGGGATTTGACTAATAATCCTCACAAAAATGATGCCAGGATGTTCTTCAGCTTTTGATAGACTTTAAAATACACAGGCAGCATAATCTTGAGCAAGAAAAGAGCTGACTTTCTGTACAGGAGAAATAAAGAATAGTGTAGCACTTGACAACCTTGAAGGTGACTTTTCCAAGTCATTGATTAACAGGTCCATGCCCTGAAATTCAAGTCATGGAGATTTGTTACAGTTCTCTCAGTCACTAGAGTATTAAAAACCAAAATGCATCATTAACTCAGAAGCGGCCTATGCCATTTGGCAATAAGGGATCGTTTTCACTTTGGGTGACAAAGCCATCTGTGCAGATTCTTTGGACTTTAATACTAAAGGATTGTTTTTTGGGTTAGAGATAAAAGCAATCATTTTCCCACTATTATTCACTTTTATCTGTTTAGTCAAAATGTATAGATTGCTGGGAAGAACCTTGGTGTAGATCAGCTCTAATGAACAAAAACAGTGTTGGAGAGTGTCCATGAAAGGAAATTCAGCAGATTTCCATGGCAATAGTCTACCAAGATGTTTAGCTTTTTTCTTAGAGGGATTTAAGGAGTTGAGGACTTGGGGAAGTGGAGTGGCCAGCAGGAGGTACAGAGAACAATTTCTGTTTCCTTCTCTCCCTATTGTCTGAAAAACCAAAACCTTAGTTAAAAGCTCTTTTCTCTCTGATTTTGTAAACAGCACTGGAAATTACACAGAAGGTAAGTAGCATTAGCTTTAGTAAAGCTGGTTTTCAAAAAGTATATAATGCTATTCCAGGAAATCCTTATTTCCAAAGTAATTAAAAACCAGCCTTTATTCATTGTGATATTTTACTTCTCATGGATACTTTCATGTGATGTGTCAAGGAGATTACCTGGGCACTCAGTCAGCAATTTAAGTCAAATCCCAGCATCTAAGTATCTCAGGGAAGCCTAGTTCTTGCTCCAACTTTGATGAGCCTCAGTTTCTTTACCTGCAAAAAGGGGAGATTGTAGCACTTCTTTTCCTTTCTATGCAATGCGTGATTCCAAGTATCAAACTAGAGAATGAAAACATGTGGGTGCCAAAACCTCCTAAGCTATATAAAGTCTGCATATTCATATTCATCCTGTCAAATAGGCATTTTCAAGTCCATTGTCTTATTTAACCTTCAAAACAACACTGTGAAGTCAGTGGCAAAGCTCAGAGAAGTTTTAACTTAATAAAGAGGTGTTATGCTTCATTTTAGATTTTTGTGATATAAAGATGATTACAACACAACCCTTCAAGAAATAAACCATCTGTGGGGATATAGATGCAAGTAAGTTGCAATATAGTGAGATAAATAAAACAATGAGATGAAAAGGATAGAAATGAGACTATGTTTGGACATAGGAGTATGAGCCCCCTCTGCTTGCCTAGAATAGAGGGTAACTGAAGAGGAGGATGGAGGTTGTGAGCATACATGAGTGTGTCTCTGTGTGTGTGTATGTGTATGTATGTGTGTTAGTATATAAGAAAATGTTTCCTAGTGGAGAACATTAAAGTGCATTTTAGAAGGTTGATAAGTTCACCCAGCAAACTGGAGGACATTTCAGGTTGGAAAAATAAGAGTATTCAAGTAGGAAGATAAATGGGCTTTATACAAATGTTAACATGAAGTTAACTTGTATTAGCACAGGTGCTTAATAATAAAAGAATGATGTAAATTATGTAGACAAACAGGAAAAGTTAGAATTTATCCTTCATTTATGACCAACAATTAGATGTTGCTTGAAGACTGAACAACATAATGTTCAAACATATGAATAGTTTTTACCCTTCTCTTTCTTCCTTCTGTTTAAGTAGCATTTATTTCAAAATTATTCAGCATTACTTAGAGACAAAGACACCCCCATATCTTTCTTTTCCATGGCTTTTATGGCCTTTAATAAAAATTGATGATTCTTTTCCCTCCCCTCATTTGATGTAAAAAGTCAGGCAACTTGGACATTTCAAAAACCAAGGCAGCCAGCTTGGTGCCATAAAGTCTGAGATGGTCAAAAACATCTCAAGACGGGATAGAGCTGTGTCTAATGGATAGCAAAATATGGAGCCATGAAAAATGAACATTATAACAGTGGTATATTGCATCATTTCTCCCAGTTATCCACTCCTTTGGCATGTCTTTGCATTGCTTCTGCTTCTAAACCAGGTGTACTTTCTCATCCCATCAGTGCTGACCTTGGACAGGTGATTTGGTCAAGACATGATTTGAGCAAAGTATGTACAATATATTTGTGTGATTTGGTTTGCCTTATGTGCTCCTTGATTCATGTAAAGACCATTTCTCAGATCGTGGTTCCCCCTTCAGCCTGAGATCAAGAATGAAACACAGTAGAGCAGAGCCAAGCCCTGCTAAGCTTGTGGAAATTACCCAAATCTCAGCCAATCTAAGGGTCTGTATTTAAACAAAATTTATGTTTATTTCTATGTAAGTTGGTGATATTTGGTGTTGGTTTTCACACAACAAAAATCAGTTAATACTATTCTTTTGTTTTTGTACAGTTAGTGGCTCAGTAATTTATTTTTTTCTTTTCATGACACCCCAACTGTAAAAAAAAAAAAGCTAATGGTTCAATTTATGAAATAGGCAAAAACAACTAATAGGTATTTATATTCCAACAACTTAGTAGCTGTATATTAAAGTAATTCTTATAAATTTAAAAACATTTTTATTCCATTCTCAAATAACTGCAGCTACTTATAAGTTGAGTGCCATATAATTTTTTGAATCTTGTAATCAGATTGATCAATTTCCTCTTCCACATTTACTCTTCCATATTGAGTTTCATGCAGTGCTGGCTTTCCAACACAGCAACTACTGAGAAGTAGATTTCTTAAATATATGGCATAATTGAAAGAAATGTAGCATGATCTAATGTTAAAACTTTGAGCTACCTCAAGCTAATAGTTCATGTAGTGCCTGACATGTGCCATTCTGTTTTCTTAATAAATTTAAAATATTCCTCAGTATCACTTTGGTAACCTCCATGGGGAGCATGAAAGAATACAAGAAGCCACTCTACCACGCAGTATTTTTGGAGAGTAAAGTCTTTGAGATCTCTACAAACATAGGTTATATATATCCTTTTGAAATGAACTTGAGGCACCACATTATTTTTTTCCTCATGATCTGCCTTAATTTAAAAAGCGTAATACAATCTCCAAAATCTCCCAGTGTAGGACCTCAAAAAACAGTGTTGGGGCCCAAAACCTTAAAAGCAAGTCCAAGGATTCTTCTCAAGGAAAGTACCAAGAATGAACACGGGGAAGAGGAAAGATGTTCACAGCCTGAGTATATTGTATGTGCTTGAATCTAGGTTATGGTAATGATTTATTTTGTGCACATATGGTTCCAAACATTTGGGGAAAGATAAATTGGTCATAATATGGTATAAAATGATCATTTACACTCAGATGCAAAATGAGTAACACCTGGAATCTGTCTTCAAATAGGATGAATTCAACCTTTTTGTTAGCATTACATCAAAATTTTTTTAAAAAAAGCATTTAAGCAAGGTTTGGATATGCATATCTTCTTGGTCATATCAATTAAGAAATAAAAGGCATGGAGAATTTCTGTGTTCAGACAGCACATGAGGAGTGTGTCACAGAGGCAATGAAAAAAGATCATATGAGTAGCCAGAAATAGATTAATTCAGTTAATTTTGTTATACACAATTTCAATGATCTTATAGTAGCTATGTTCAGGGATTTTCTACAGGTTGCTTAAACTTTTAGACATCAGTTCCTCATCTTTAAGTAAAATGATAGCTTTGATTAAAACTATGTATTACTCCATTCTCATGCTGCTAATAAAGACATACCTGAGACTGGGTAATTTTTAAAGAAAAGAGGCGTAATTGACTCACAGTTCAGCATGCCTGGGAGGCCTCAGGAAATTCACAATCATGATGGAAGGCAAAGGGGAAGCAAGCACCTTCTTCACAAGGCAGCAGGAAGGAGAAATGCTAGCAGGGGAAATGCCAGATGCTTTTAAAACCATCAGATCTCTTGAGAACTCACTCACCATTATGAGAACAGCATGGGGGAAACTGCCCCCATGATCCAATCACCCCTCACCAGGACCCTCCCACGACATGTGGGGATAATGGGAAGTACAATTCAAGATGAGATTTGGGTGGGGACATAGCCAAACTATATAAGACTGTCTTTATGTCCTTGTCCAAATCTCACTTCACATAATTTTATAAAGAGCTATATTATGAGACTATTCAAATAACTTCCAAAAATATTCATGTGGACAATTCAAAAATTCCAAATTTATGTGATCAAAAAATGATTCTTTTATAGCAATGTGTGCTATATTTTCATATTAGACTATTCAGCATTTCTAAAAATGCAGACACAAAAACTCTTTTCAAAAATACAAAATGTGGAATTACAAAGTTTAAAAACATACAACAATCCAGTGATGATTCTTTGGTTTGGGAACTAGTGGAAGTAATTTTGCATCTCCTAACCATTCTGCAAGAAAGAAAGAACATCTTTGCGGTGTGAAAAGTAAATGTGTAGAAGCTGCTCTTTTTTTATTCTCCTCTGAGGCAAAGAAATGATTTTTTTAAATGTAACATATCAAAGCTAGAAAGATAACAAATTCCCAGATTCAGCTATTTTCATAGACAGTGGAAGTATCCACTGTAATAAAAATGAATAAAATACTCTGCCAGCATCGACTCAAAGAAAGTAGAAGGAAAGTTTGCTGGCTTTGGGACTAAGGTGCTTATCCCTCCCACCCCCCAACTTTTACCACAGTTGTCTATTATAACCATTGCTAGGCTCTTCTATTCTGTGATAAAGCTTCTTTATCAAGTTTAAGGAATAAAATACAAGCACAAGTGGTGATTTTGTAATACAGGAGGTGGTCCTTTCTGATAACTGCTGGCTTCTATTTAACTTTCTAAAATTTCTGAATTTGTCTGTCCCAAAGTGGTATCTGCATGTGTGCCTGTGTGTGTGTGTGAGTGTGTTTATAATTGTCCTAGGTATTGGCAGAATTCTACAAAATTATTTTATTTATTATTTTATTTTTGGATTAACATAAATAGTTTTTGAGCTCCTGATATGCTCTGGCCATTGGAGATATCAACATACAGAAAACACAGTCAGCTTGGAGAGAGCAGCATGTAAAATGTTACAACAAACTGTGATGGCTCTTCAGGGGTCAGAGGGAAGCAGGTAAAGGATAAGCAGAGATGCATGGTGATTTGCAAGTGAGAGACTGTGATAGTGCAAATCTACCACCTTTCTACTCAAAATGTGGTCCATGAAACATCAGCCTGCACACCATCTGGAAACTCATTAGAAAGTCAGAATCACCCTTGAACTACTGAATTTGATGAGATCCCAGGTATTTACCATGTGTTAAAGTTGGAGAAGTTTGAGAAGATCTGTTCTACATAAAACTTGTCATTTTTTTCTGTTAAATAAGAGAAAAAAACATTCAGAGAATATGTGTATGTAGACTACTGAATCAAGTGTGGAGGGGTAAATCCCTATCCAATGGGAGATTAAAGAAAATGTGAAGACAAAATAGATACCTTGGGAGTGGAAGTATGGCCAAATGGTGATTTCAAACCTAGGAAGCCATATCAATAGATACCCACATCTACACAGTTTTCCTCAAGACCTCATTTCTAGCTAGTTAACATACTGGAGAAATCTTGTCTAGGGCTACTCCCAGACTGGGAAGTCAAATATTAACGTTGTCATTTCAACCAACTGAATAATTGATTAACTAGTTAACTAATTAAAGATTAACAAGTTTTCATGTCAATATATCTAAAGACGAATGGAGGCACACAAAATGGATGGAAATTTACTCTTTTGAGCAACTGTCGTTTTAGCCCATGTACAGTATAGAGTTTGTTGAAGTAATTCAAGTTTACTGCAATGGAAACATTCTGAGGGTAGGTTTAGAGTCCATGTATAGTGTGAAAATTCTGTATGATCACCGTAATCCTTGGAAGTCCCTTAAACATGTCTTAAGCCAGCAAAAGCAGTGGCAATTGATTCAGGAATTCCAGCTTCTCCACCAACATAAAAAAAAAAACGATTATTTTCAATTCTGAGGAGTGCTATATAAACTGAATTAACTGTTTATGGACAACTTTGTATGGAAAAAGGAAAGCCTTTTAACTTTTGAATCACAGTCAATCTTCAACCTTTATAACCAATCTCAAACCCTTTCTGATATAATTTTTATAAGCAAATACTTATCTGATTTGGCTCCACTCTGTCAGACTCATTGATCCACCTGAGTTGTCTCCTCTCCACCCTCAATGGATCCCACTGAAAAACCAAAAGATATAGTGTGTCTTTATTGGGATATTGAAAGGAAGTATCATCTATTCTAATCAATATTAATTTACTTTACTGAGATGCAATTATCATACTAAAAAATGTATAGAACATACATAGATTGTTTGTGATTTCATAGTTAAATACATTCATATTACCACCACCAAAAATAAAATATAGAATAATATCTCACTAAAGTTTCTTTCTGGTCATCCTCCTTAACCTTTATTTTTTATTTGTATCACCATACATTAATTTTGTCTGTTCTTGATTTTTCACAATGGAATCATACAGTATATATTTTGTTTGTATGTGTGTCTGGTTTATTTTGCTTAACATGATATTTTTGTAATTTATCCAAGTCATTTTGTGTATGCGTAGTTCACTATACATGGACTCTAAACCTACCCTCAGAATGTTTCCATTGCAGTAAAATTGAATTACTTCAACAAACTCTATACTGTACATGGGATAAAACGACAGTTACTCAAAAGAGTAAATTTCCATCCATTTTGTGTGCCTCCATTCATCTTCTTTAGATATATTGACATGAAAACTTGTTAATCTTTAATTAGTTAACTAATTACTTAGTTGTTCAGTTAATTAACTAGTTAATTAATTATTCACTTTCTTGTAAACTACACATACACAAAATGTTGGATAATATTCCATTATAGAAGTATTTCATAATTTATTTATTCTTCTGTTAACGGATATTAGGGTTGTTTCCCATTTATGCCTATTACAAAAAAAGACTTCTATGAACTTTGTTATGTACTTTTTAGTGAAAATATGATTTTTCTTTTCTTGGTTAATAATTTTACATAGAAATTTGAAATAGTTCATCAAAGAAGCAACCAGCAAAATATAAAAACTTTATATTCTCACTGACATTTGGTGTTGGTCTTTTCTATCTACTCCAGTATGGATATGGTAGTGTTTCTGTTATAGTTTTAATTTTTATTTTCTTTATAACTGAGAACTTTGATTACATTTTTGGATGTTTATTGTATAGTTTCTTTTGTGAAATGTCTAACTATTTAAAATATTATTTATTGAGTTGTCTTCTTCTTATTGATTTGCAGAAATTTGTTATATGTCCTGATATCATTCCTTTGTCAGACATATGTTTTGCTAATATTTTTCTTTCATTCTGTAGCTTATATACCATTTCATTAACAGTGATTTTTTAGATAGTATATTTCATTTTGATGAAGGCCAACTAATCAATTTTTATCATTTATAATTAGTGCTTTATGTGTCCTGTCAAAATGTTTTTTTATCTTAAGTTTTCCAAGAATAGTTTTTGTTTTGTTCATTATGATTATAGTTCTAAAATTTAGATCTGTGATTCATCTCAAATTAATTTTTGTATAAGAAATGTGATCGAGATTAATATTCATTTTTTCCAAATTAAATATTTAGTTGTTACAGTAATATTTGTTTGGAAAAAATAGGAAAAGAAGAAAGTAAATGAAGACTTCTCTTTCTTCATTGAATTAACTTCACACCTTGGTTGAAGATAATTTTGTTCTACATGCGTGGGTCTATTTCTGTACACTTATTTTTGTTCCTTGATCTATTAGTCTGTCTTTATGTCAATAGCACACTATCTTCATTACTATGGCTATATAGTTTGTCTTGAAATCAAGAAGTATAGATCCTTCAACTTTGTTCTTTTTCAAGATTGTTCAGGCTATTCTCAGGCCTTTGTATTCTCATATAAAATTAGAACTAGCTTCTCAAAAAAGCCTAATAAAATTTTGATAGAATTTGTGACGAGTCTATTAGTCAATCTAGAGATAATATTGAGTAAAAATTGTCGAGATTTTCTTTGTGCATAAATTTAAGTCTAGTTGTATAATTAAAGTAAGAAAGTAGAGAAAATAAAATTACAGTTTAAAATGTTTTAATTTTTTTAGATTAGAAAAATATACATGTATTCTTCTTTTCTGTTTTTACAGTGAGACTGACTTTTTTTTAATTTGCAATATTGTCATAGCCATTGAAATAGAAAACAGAAATTTTTCTTTCCTGTCAAACATGTTGCAATTCTTGATATTAATGTTTCTTGTTGGGATATTTTGAACCATATTCTGATTATTTTTCCAAATATATGATTGAAAACATGAATAGTTCATTTGGTATCTTTAATAATAATTTTATAATAATTTTATTGATATTGGGAATGACTAATTTTCCTTATTTTCTAAATTTTACTATACATTGTATGAGTAAGGAAGATACAAAAGTGTCTTGGGGATTTGTTATTCTTTGTTAGTGTATGTTCAGATTAATAGAATTACATTTCTTTTCTTAAGAAATAACTGTGGACTTTAATTTTCCCACACTGAACTCTCACACTGACCCTTTAGCAATCCATGTGATTTCTTGTACATGGGCCTTTGTATCCCTTCAGCTTCCAGTGCTATCCAGTTGGATCTTCCCCTGGTAAACAGCTTCTCATTGTTCAGATGTCAGCTCTAATATAACCTCAGGATGCTTCTCTAATGTAATACTTACATTTATAATTCTCTATTCCAACATCGTTTTTCATTACCTGAAAACACATATTTATTTGTTGCATGTTTACAATCTCTTTCCATCCATTCAGATGTAAGCTGTAAGAGGCAGGAACCACATTATTCTCAGTATGCCTGGCACCTCATAGCAAGATAATACATATTTGTTGAATAAATTAATATATTTTAAAATGGATTATACTATTTTAACTTACCACCAACATTGTATGAATTCATCCATGCTACCTTTTCAAATTTGACCTTTGAAAAAAATCAACATTTGTTGATGATTATTTTTATTTGTGTTTCTGGGATTATTGATTCAGGACCTTTTTTACATAGTGCACTAATAATTATATTTTAAATAACAATTATATTTACTCTTGTGTGATGAAGTGGAATTGAATCTGGCCTTACAGTCAAAACAATGGGTTCAAGTACTGTATTTTTTCATTTACAAGTTGTTCAAGTTTGCAAAAGCCTCTTAATCTTCCTGTGCCTCAAATTTATCATATGTAGATTTCAGATGACAATACTAGCTCTCCTCAGTCCATAAGATTTTTTTGAAGGTGAAATTAGGTAATGTATTTGTGAAAGCACTTTGCAAATGGAATATGTAAGGTCTTATTATTAAATTTAATGTACTAATTCATTGCCTAATGGACCAAAAGAGTTAATTGTTCTTCCAAAATTATGTAATTTATTTTCAGGGTTGGGGAGAATTTTATGCAAGTTGCTACTAATAGATAATAATAGCTAATTTGTTCCTTTATCACACCTTTACTTAGAAGACTCAGAGAGTTTTATTCTATCTCATTAGTCCTTAACAATGCTTCTAAATCATTAGACAGCCAATGATAAGCACAGTTTTCCTGATTTTTACAGCTGGAACAAATGAGGCACTGAGAGGTTATGTGACTTTTTCAAAGTCACACAGAAATCAATACGGCTGCTGTGGAAAGGGGCTTGGGACTTCTCACAGCATCTTGCCTTTAACTGACCTCAGTAGACAGCAATAGACAGTACCTAGCATGTATCATTACTAAGGTCTAATAAGAAAGCCACAGAAGAACAGGACAGGTGTACTGTCCTCAATGAGCTTTATTCTTAGAGTGGGAAAAGGAAGGTAAATTGTTTAAGATGAAGCAGGATTAAAAAGCCATGAATGAATTTTTCTTAAAGTGCTCTGGAGGTTCAATGTGAGTAGATCACATTAGTTAAATCGAGATAAACTTCAGGGAGAGGGTGGCAATTCTGACAGACCATAAAATATTGGTAAGTTTTCAAAGGAAAAAAAGTGGAAGAAATATATACTAAGCAAATGAAACAAAACATACTAAGCAAATGGAAAAGAATGAACAAAACATAAGAGAAGTCAAGGGACATGTCTGAAGAAAAGTAACTTATACTGAATGATTTAATACATGCAAATAACATAATAGTGCTACCCAGATACTGTTAAAGAAAAAATTATTCAATGATACTTGATAAAGCACAATAAGGCAAACTTTATTCAAGGCTGTTGTGATACAAATAGGGACCACAGCAATGAGATTTTGCAGTGGGAGAGAGAGATTGGGCTTACTAAAATTACCTCAAAAAAGAAATTATTATTATAAGTACTTACAATAATTATTGATTCATAATCACCATTAGAATTAAATCATTTTATTACCAGTAGTCATTGAACACTAAAGGGAGTGTTAAATAAGGAAATAAGGCTGCCATGATAAATTGGAGTGCAGGCATCCCCAGGTATCTGTGGAGATTGGTTCTAGGACCCCCTGGACACCAACATCTGTGTATGCTCAAGTCCTTTATATTGAAATTTGCAGTTGATTGAATCTGCTGGCTGCAGATACCATGGATATGGAAGACAGACTGTGCCGTATAAATATCTCCTCCTCCCTTTTGTGTCAGAGTGTACTTCCCTGCCCAGACCTTGGATTTGTGGTTCAACCATGGGATTTGCTGTGGCAAATGGAACATGATCAGATGTAACCCAAGCTGTGGCTTTAAATGTGCTTGTGTAGGTGGGCTTGCCTATTGCTATAAAAGAGGCATCAAAGATAAATCCCCAAGGGCAGCTTCTGGTCTAAAGACGGACAGACTTGGACCCAGTGCACACACTGAATCCAAAGCCCAGCCTCAAGCAAAGCTATTCCAGCTGATTAGCAAACCGTTATGTAAGAAAAATAAGTGCTTATTTTTACCAATTGTTGTGCTGTGGAGTGCTTTGTTATGTAATTGTAGCTGACTTGTTCAGCTGGTTATGTCTAGTAGGGTATGTTATATAAAATCTTGAATTTCAAGATGTGGTTCTTCTCAATTTAATGAACATAAAAGAAACGTTATAACAAGAGTCCTTATTAGCACTTTGCTCACTGTCAAGAAGCCTATGAATGGACTCCAGGTCTCATAATGGAATAAAATGTTAATTTAAATGCATATATGCATACATATGAACAAGAGAGCAACATAGTTAAATCTCAACTTCAGTAGGAATCATTTGGCTGAGTGTGTAGGACAGATGCAATACTGGGGGTCCAAACTGGAAGGGATTGCCAATGTCTAAATAACAGGCAAAGATTAACATGGGTGAAGGTAGAAAAAAAAATGACAGGAAGCAAATGCTTGCAAGGAGACTTGTTGGAGTTGGCTCTATTTGATGTGGCAGCTGAGTGAATGTTTAGAAAAGATAAGCCAAAAGTGACTTGAGTCTTTGAGGCAGTTGTTGGTTGTCAGACTGGTGATGACATTCTCCATAATGACGAAGGCAAAGAAGGATAAGTCGGTGGTTTGCATAGTGAAGAGATAATGAGTTTCATTTTTAACAAGTTGAGTTTGAAGTTCAGACAAAAATTTCAGGAACTGATGTAAAAGGTAAGGCCTCAGACTCTACCTACTTGATTGTCAAATGCCTTTTAATGGACTGTGTCTTTCATGCCCAGATGGAAAGCAGTAATTATCTATCATATTTCAAACCCTAGAAAGGAGTTTGAAGAAGCAAAATCAATGGACTTCTGCTGAAAGCCAAGAACATTAGATTGAGGGCCTGACTTTCATTGTAAGTCTGTTGCCAGGAATACCAATAATCTCTTCTGACTGAGAGAGGAGGCTTGGTTTGGCCATCCATGCTGCCTTTGGGGGATATTCTAACTGCAGAGCTGATGGAAAAGGCTCCGCACCCATATATATCAGTTTAAACCTAACTTTAAAATTGGTTTTATATTTAAATATAAAAGTGTAATGTTCCATATCTTTTAGTAGTCCATTGACGACAAATAATTTTGTAGATGTTTACTGTATTAGTAACTTGAGACATTTTAACAAGTGATAATTTATGACTTATCAACTTGTTATAAAAGCACAGCCGTTAAAGACACTGGCTTTAAAATGTTGGTTTGAATCTGTACTCTGCCTGTGACAGCTTGTTGATTCATTTATTTAACAGATGTTTGCTGAATTCCTACCGTGTTCTATGCACAAGAACAAAAACATATGGAGACTGAAAGACTGCTTTGGGGAGTTTACATTTCAGTGGAGGGAGATATTTAATAAATAATAAACAATAAATTTCAAAAATATTAAAAAGTTATAAGTACTATGGAGAAAAGAAAAAAAGGAAAAGTATAAGGAGGATTGGGAGTTTGGTGCAAATGAGGGACCAATTGCATCATTATTAAATCTGGCAGTTAAAATACATCTCATTAAGATGCTGATATTTGAGCAAAGACTCAAAAGATTTGTGAAAGTTAGACAGGAAGATATAAACAGATAAAAGATCTAGAGCACAGTGTCTAAGGTAGGGGTGTGCCTGATATATCTGAGGGACAATAGAGAGGCTAAGGTGGAGTGACGTATGCATAGAGCAGTAGGAAATGAGGCTGGAGAGAAGAAATGGGGGCCAATCAGGTGGGAATTTTAGCTTTTACTCTGAGTGAAAAGGAGAGTTATTAGAGGATTATCTTTCTTTTTTTGTTACATAAATTGTCAAAACCATAAAAGTGGAGACACTAATATAATTAAACCCAATGATCCAACTAAAATAATTATGAGGGCAGTCTTGTAGATTGATTAATTGATACAGAAATAAAGTTACATAGAAGAAATAAGTTCTAGTGTTTCCTAGCACAGTACGATGCTATACTTAACAATAATTTATTGTATACTTAAAAAAAAAACTACCAGAAAGATTTGGAATGTTCCCAACAAAAAGAAATGATAAAAGTTTGAGGTGATGGATGTTCAAATTGCCCTGATTGCTCACTACACGTTGTGTGCATGAATCAAAATATCACATGTATCCCAAAAATATGTACAATCATTATATATCAATAAAAATATAAGGCCCATCTAATTTGTTTTATTTCATCCATATTCCTGCCCAGCCCCCTGATTCCTGATTATGTTAAAACAGATTCAAGACATTATATCATTTCACTTGTAAATAATTTAGTAATATCTTCAAAAGATAGGACCTTCATTGTTTTAAACATAACCACAAGACCATTATTATAACTAAAAATAAAGACCTTACTTTTGTAAGATATACAGTACGTGTTCACATGTCCCCAGTCCATTTAGAGACTTTTCTTCTATTGTTGTTATTTGTGTGAATCAGGCATTGTAGAGCGTCTTGAGCAAAGAAGTAACAGGAACACTCTGGCTGATATATTAAGTAAGAATAGCCTGTACGATGGCAAAAACAGAAGCAGGAAGAACAGTTGGAAACTGCAGCAGTCATCTAAGAGAGAAGAATGATGGCCCACACTAGGGCAGTAGCTGTGGAGTTGGTGATGAACGACTGATTTCTGGACTTATTTATTTTAAAATTTATTTTTATTTTTATTTATAAATTTGTTTAAAAATTAGAACCAGTAGATTTTCCAAAGGGGTTTGATGCAGGATGTGTGAGAGTGGAATCAAGGGTGACTAGGAGGTTTTTGGATTAAGCAGGCTAAAAGGATTAACAGGTTTATGAGAGATGAGGAGTTAAGTTTGTACACATTGGGCTGTGATAGCAATTGAGAAGTTCAAGATAAATCACAAAAATTAGTCTTTACCATATTGTGAATGTACAGAAATATGAGACTGGATGAAATCACCAAAATATGTAGTGTAGATTGAAAAAAAAAATGACCAAAGATATAGCCCTGGAGCTTCCAAAATTTTGAGTTTGAGGTAGTAGGAAGAACCAGCAAAGGATACTGAGGAATGAACAATGAAGCAAATGTTCTAGAAGTCAAATGGAGGAGGTGCCTTCTGGAGGAGGCAGCCATCCACTGTGCCAAAGTTGTTGCTAAATCAACTAAGGTGAGAGCTGCCGTAAGATCACTTATTCATTCTTGTAATTTTGTTTATTTGAAAACTATTTAATGCCTACATACTATATTCCAGCCACTGCATGAGACACTTCAGATAAAAATAGGAATAGTGCAAAATTTCTACCTTTAGGAATCTTATTTATTGGTGAGGATATAGACAATTAGAAGAAATTATAAAACATCATTGTAACTGGCTTATCCTTTTTATGCTACAGTCGGCTGACTTACAAATTAGGGCTAAATCATACCTTATCATATGCTGTTATGGGAATTAAACAACATTGTACTTACATAAAAGTGTGAAAAAATTTTCTCTGAAATTATTTGGTTAACTACCTTTCTTTAGAAGAACTATCAGTACACTTACGGTAAAGGATGAAACCCAGAGGTCAAATTTAATGGACAAAAGACCATCTTTAAATCTTAGGCTTAAGAGGAGAAAACTGTGTCTCTGTAAAGAACTTTGGAAGCAGTATGGGGAAGCCCACAATAAGAATAAGTGGATAGAAGATAAAGTCATTGGTTGGAGAAAGGCCAGAAGACAAAGGTGTCAATAGTCTGGGGCCGAAACAGAAACGGCTAAGAGGAAATTGAAAGGCTAAGAGGAAGTGGATCCTTTTTAAGCTGTGGAATTGGATTAACACAATGAAAATTGGGACAGCTTGCGAAGACCAAATTATCTAAAATTCATAAAAATTAAGACGAGGGCCAACATACTGTCCTAAGACCTAGAATAAGGGTTCAGTTCAACTCATTAAAGACTTTAAGAGCCCAAAAGAGCTGAGGTGGCCATCTGGCCTAAATACGTAGAAGGCTTAACACACAGTAAGTATTCAGTAAATGGCAGCAATAGCTACCCCCCTACACCTCTTCCCCTCAAAACAAAATGAAGTCTATGTATTAAGGTGTTGGTAGTAGCTTGGTTTTTACCTGTGATTTTTTTTTTTGAATTTTGCTAAAATAAGTCCATATTACTTTTATGTTAATAAAAACAATATTGAAAACTTTATTGGAAGAAAAATAAGAGCTTATCTAGTCCTTATGAAGCCAACCCAAAAGTGAGAATAAATATGACTGCTGCAGTCACCTTGAATAAAATTTTCTAACACAAACCAGACCCTAATGCCTTCCAGGCGCAATTGCTATCACAGCCCAGACTCTAACAGTGTCACTAAGCCTTTGCTTTGTTTTTTTGAGACAGGGTCTCATTCTGTCTCCTAGGCAGGAGCACAGAGGCATGGTCATGGCTCACTGCATCCTCAAACTCCCGGACTCCACCTCCCAGGTAGCTGAGACTAAAGGTGCACACCACCACAGCCAGCTAATTTTTGTATTTTTAGTAGAGATGGGGTTTCGCCATGGTGCCGAGGCTGGTCTCAAACTCCTGATCTCAAGCCATCCACCCACCTTGGCCTCCCAAAGTGCTGAGCTTACAGGCATGAGGCACCACACCTGGCCAAAGGCTGGTACCTTTGGAAAAAAAACAGAACAGAAATAAAATTAAACATGATAGACTATACTTCACCTCATAATTTTCTGTAATTGGTGGATACAAAGATATAACTATCTAATTTGGTGCTCAACATATGTTGAAGAAATACTTAAGAAAATTGTGCTTAAAAAGCAGGGAAAGTAAAGGGGCCTCAATGCAAGTGAGGTGTTTATTTCTCACTGGAAATAGTAAAAAGTCGATACCATTACACTGTGATAAGCTACATATGTAAATGGTAATGCCTAGACTAATGACTAAGAAAAACGTATAAAGTAACATAATAACAAAGACTATAAATAAAAAAAGGGAACCCTAAATATCTATGAGTAACCCACAGAAAGGCAAGAAAAAAGAAATTAAAAATGAGAACGAAAGGTAATAAATAGAAAACACATAATAAAATGGCAGGCTTAGGCCCTGACACATCAATCATTACTCTAAATGTTCTATTGCACAGTAGAGTGAGGATGGTTAACAGTAAGGCTTTGTATATTACAAAAGAGCTAGAAGATAGGCTTCTGAATGTGCTTACCACAAATAAATGCTAAATGTATGAAGTAATAAACTTGCTGAATGTTCTGATTTAATCATTATACAACACATCGCTTATGTATTAAAACATCAGATTGGACCCTATAAATATGTACAATTACAGTGTGTCAATTTAAAGATAAATAAGTTAATTAAAAAATAAATAAAGGCATCAATAAAAGAGATGAGTAGAGTGAGGAAGTATGACCTAGCTTTTTGCTATTCAAATATAATGACGTAGGTAGGCAGAAAGTACAAGGATGGAAAATGAAACGTGATGAAAATATTAGATGAAGGCAGAATTGGTTGTATTAATTTCAGGTAAAATAGACTTCAGAACAAGAAAAATTTCTACTGATAAAGGGAGACATTATATCATAACAGGAGAACAAATTCACCAAGATCATATAGCAATCCTAAATGTGTACACACAAAAGAGTTTCAAAAAAACATGAAGCAAAAACTGATAGAGCTAAAAAGAGAAACAGACAAATTTTCAGTTACACTAAAACTCCAACATCCCACTTGCAGCAATTGATAAAACTATTGGATAGACTTCCAGAAAGAATACAGAAGAGCTGGACAACACTATCAACTCAATAGGATCAAACTGACAGTTATATAACACGCCATTCAACAACAATAGAATACACGCTCTTTTCAAGCACCTATGAGACGTTTACCAAGATAGACTATATCCTGGACCATAGAACAAATCTTAACACATTTTAAAACAATGGAAATCATACAGTATACATTTTCTGACCATAATGAAATTAAACTAGAGGTTAATAAGAGAAAGACGAAAGATTTCTAAAACACTTAGAAATTAAGCAACACATGGTTAAAGTCTCAGAAAAAAATTTTAAATACATATAACTGAACAAAAATAAAAGCACAACATATCAAATCTGTACAAAAGTGTGCTGAGAGGGAAATTTATAATCCCAAGTGATTACATTAGGAAAATACGTCAAATTTATAATAGAAATTCCTAATTTTAGAAACTGAAAAAGAAGAGCAAACTAAAACCAAAGCAACCAGAAGGAAGGAAACAACACAGATAAAAACATAAATCAGTGAAATTAAATATAGGAAAACAATAAAGAAAAATAATTTAACAAAACATTGGTTTTGCAATGAGAAAATAATAAAATAATTGAGACGCATCTAGCAAGACGGATAATTCATCAACATCGAGGATAATCTAGAGACATCACTACAGATCTAATAGTCACTAAAAGAATGATAAGGGAATAGTACAAACAGCTATAGACTCATCAATTTGACAGCTTAGAAAAAATGGACCAATTCCTTAAAAACATAAGCTTCCAAAACTCAGCCTAGATAAAAGAGACAACTTGAATGATCCTGTAAATATTAAAGAAATTGAATTAGTAACAGAAGAGTTTCTGAAAATTATTCTAGCCCATCTGGCTTCAATGGAGAACTGTACCCATTTCAAAAATGAATTGAAACCAATTTTGTGGCCAGTCATGGTGGCTCACGCCTGTAATCCCAGCACTTTGGTAGGTTGAGGTGGGTGGATTACTTGAGGTCAGGAGTTTGAGACCAGCTTGGCCAACATGGTGAAACCCCGTCTGTATTAAAAATACAAAAATTATCTGAGCATGGTGGCACACGCCTGTAGTCCCAGCTTCTTGGGAGGCTGAGGAGGGAGGATCGCTTAAGCCCAGGAGGTGGAGGTAGCGGTGAACCAAGATCATGCCACTGCACTCCAGCCTGGGCAATAGAGTAAGATTCTGTCAAAAAAAAAAAAAAAGTTTTGTATAATCACTTCCAAAAAATAAAGACAAGTATTATCTTGACATCTCTCAAGAACTAAAATGTCAAAATCTGCGACAAGATTTCAGCAAATTTATGGCAAAAAATGAATAAAAAATACAATATGACTAAATGAGATTTATGTCAGGTGTTCAAGCACTGATATTAAAAAATAACTCAATGTAGTCAGTCCACTCTAACAACAGACTATGGAAGAAGAATTATATGATCATATTAACTGACAAAGAAATGTCATTCGACAAAACTCAAAGACCTGTTCTTGATAAAACTATCAGAAATAGAGGGGGATTTCCTCAACCTTATGAAGAGTATCTCCAAAAACCTACAGCTAACATCATAATTAATGGCTGAAGACTGAATGTCCCTGTAAGATAAGGAACGAAACAAAGATGTGTGCCTTCAATTCTCTTATTCAGTATAATACTGGAAATGATAGGTAATTAAATAATGCAAGGAAAATAAAGGCACACAGATTAAAAATAAACAAATAAAACTCTGTTTGTGAATGAAACGATTGTCCACATAGAAAACCCCAAGAAATCTTTAAACATACCTCTTAGACTGATATGTTCAGTAAGGTTGCAAGTTACATCAACACAAAAATTACAATTATATATACTGATGACAAACAGGTGGAAACCAGAATTTTAAAATATGCAAGTATACCACATACAATTGCTCCAAAAATTGAAATACTTAGATATACATTTAAAACAACATGTATAGATTCAATATAATAAAATTATAAAATTCTGATGAAAGAAATCAAAGAGGACTTAAAATCTTTTAGAGACATGCCATGTTTTAAAATTGGAATATTCAATATATTAAAGTTGTCTGTTCTCCCTAAATTGAGCTATAAGTTTCATACAATTCCTATCAAAATCTTGCAAGTTTTTGTAAACACAGACAAGCTTATTTTAACATTTATATGAAAAAGTAAATTTCCTAGAATAGCGAAAACAACTTGAAAAATAAGAAAAATGTAGGAGGAATAAACATTGTTCTCAATGTTAAGGCTTATAGCTGAAGTAATCATAAGAGTGCGGCATTGGAGGATGTGTAGACAAATAGATCAGTGAAACAAAAATAGTGAACACAGAAATAGACCCACAGGAATATGCCTGCCTAATTTTTTCAAAGGAATAAAAGTCATTCAATGGTCCTGTAGCAATTTGATAGTCATCAGCAAAAAAAAAAATGAATCTTCACCTAGACCTCAGCTCTTATGCTTACATCAAAATTAACTCAAAATGAATCATGGACTTCAGTGTGAAACTTAAGTTCACTAAGAACATAGGAAAAACGTCTGGGGGCCTAGGACTAGATAAAGAGTTTTCAGATTTGAAACTAATAACATGACCCAGAAGAGAAAAAAAAATGCTAAATTGGAACTCACCAAAATTTTTTAAATTTGTGCTGTGAAAGACCTTACTAAAATTACTAAAAATATAACTATAGACTGAGAGATAATATTTTCAAATCACATATCTGACAAAGGTCTTGTACTTAGAGTATGTAAGAACTCTCAAAACTCAACAGAAAAAAACCCACAAAAACAAAAATAGCTGATCCAATTAGAAAATGGGCCAAGGCAAATGTGCACAGATATTTCGCTGATACAGAAGAAGATAACAAAGGCAAATAAACACATTAAAATATCTTCAGCGTCATTAGCCAATAGTGAAATAAAAATGAAAACCATAATGAGATATTACAGTACACCTATTGGAACAGCTAAAATGAAAAAGTGACACCACCTAATACAGGCAAGGCTGTGAAAAAACCTGGATCGCTCATATATTGCTGGTTTGAATGTCGAATGGTATACCACTCTGGAAAATAGTTCCTCTAAAATCTAAAAATATACTCACCATACAACCTAGTAGTTGTGCACTTGGGTTTTACCATGAAGAAATGGAGACTTAATAGGCCATGTTGGTGTGGTGGCTCATGCCTGTAATCCCAGCACTTTGGGAGGCCAAGGCAGGTGGATCACTTGAGATCAGGAGTTTGAGACCAGCCTGGCTAACATGGCAAAATCCTGTTTCTACTAAAAATACAAAAATTAGCCAGGCATGATAGTGTGCACCTGTAATCCCAGCTACTTGGGAGGCTGAGGCATGAGAATCACTTGAACATAGGAGGTGGCGGTTGCAGTGAGCTGAGATTACACCACTGCATGCCACCTTGGGTGACAGAGGGAGAGACTCTGCCTCAAAACAAAAAAAAAAAAAGAAAAAGAAAAGAGAAAAAGAAATGAAAGCTTATTATATTCATGTAAGAACTTGTATGAATATTCCCAGTAGCTTTATTTATAAATTTATAATAAGCAAAAACTGGAAACTATCTAGATGTCCATCATAGGTTAAATGGTTAAACACACTGTGATGCATCCATATCGTGGAATATTACTCAGCAATGAAAAAGAAATGAACCATTTATATACTTAACAACTTTGACCAACCTCAAGAAAATCTATGTTGGGTGAAAAAAGTCAGTCTCAAAAGGATACATGGCTGCATGATTCCATTTATATAACATTTGTGGAATAACACAATAATAAATATGGAGAACAAATTTGTGGTTGCTGGGGGTTAGGGATAAGAAAGAATGGTATGGGCTGGGTGTGGTGGCTCACGCCTGTAATCCCAGCACTTTGGAAGGCCGAGGTGGTAGATCACCTGAGATTAGGAGTTCAAAATCAGCTTGGCCAACATGGCGAAACCCCGTCTCTACTAAAAAAATACAAAAAATTAGCCAGGCATGGTGGTGGATGCCTGTAATCCCAGCTGCTTGGGAAGCTGAGGCAGTAGAATCGCTTGAACCAAGGAGGCAGAGGTTGCAGTGAGCCAAAATAGCGCCACTGCACTCCAGCTTGGGCAAGAAGAGTGAAACTCCACCTCAAAAAAAAAAAAAAAAAAAAGAGAGAAAGAGGAAAGAGAAAGAAAGAAAGAAAGAAGAAGAAAAGAAAAAAAGGATGGTATGGCTATAAAGGGTAACACAGGAAAGTCTTATGGTGATGGTATAGTCGAGCATTCAATCATAGTGGTGGTTATGCAAAACTACATATGTGACAAAATGGTGTAGTCAAGCTGTATACACAAATGCATATATGATCAGTTAAATCTGAATCTGTTCTTTGGATTGTGTCAATGTCAATTTTTTTGTATTTGTGTTTGTAGGGTCCCCTCAATCTCCTCCCCATCCCCAGCCTGCTTGCTTTCTGTATCCTGACCGAAAATCACAAGAGTGACTTGAGCATTTTGTGACCCAGACAGGTGCAGGTTTTTTCCAGTCAGCTTGAACCCGAACTGGAGCCTTGAACATTCTTGGGTGCTGATAAAGATATCTAGGTTGTTCCCCAAAACATTAAAAGAAACTGTCCCCAGCCCTCAGCCAAATCCCTTAAAACCTCATATAAACTGTATACCCTGAAGTGCACTACTTGCTGTCATAACCAGGCAGAATACCCCTTTTCTCTTGCTGCCTGTCATGAGACCTAGTAGATGCTTTGGATTCATTACCATGAGTTCATTATCAAACAAAGTGCTTCTTTGGAATCCCAACTGGCCACATCTTGGGGTGGCTTGGGACACTTCCTTGTGGGAACTCCCCTGCTTACCTCTTTTGGGGAGATTCCATCCACGGATTTGGTGGGAGGAAACAATATTGTACTGTGGTTCTATGGGATGTTGTCACAGGAAAGGGCCTGAGGGAGGAGTGCGTGAGATTCCCCTGTGCATTTCTTTGCAAACTCCTGTGAATCTATAATTATTTACAAAACAAAAGTGATTTGCTTTTGATTTTAAGGTTATGAGTGGAACTGATGTTTGAATATGAGTTTCATTTGTCATCTTTGAAAACAGTCACAGTTTTCTTAGTCTTGGGTCCTAGAGTCCTTTTTATATAAAAAATATAAAATCTTAGCAACACAAGCTGAGGTTGTCACCAAATACTTACATTAAAAAAATCTTTCCAGGAAACTGATGTAATATAACTTTCACTTTTGCTTCCTTTTATCATCAAGACAAATCAACTGGATAGGGAAGGAGAAGGAGAACTGGTGGAGAAATGGGGAAAAATAAAATAAAAAAGGCCAGTAAAAATTAATACTAAGATGGACTTTTTTTTTGAAATAATTGCCCAAATCTTTGGATTTGGAGTAATATTTTCTTTTTGTCTCAATGAAGCCAAAATTTGTGTCCATGTGACCATTTTATTTTTAATTATGTTTTAATTGTGTAATTTTTTGTTACTTTTCCCCAAAATCTTTAAATTATGTATCAATATATATTAAAGTCATGTTTCTTAATGCAAATAAATAAAATATCTAAGGAAAACTTAAGAATCCAGGTGAAATATATTTTAAAGACATAGGAAGTAGATATAGGAGTTCTAATAGTCTTACATTGAACTTCAATGAGCTTTTCTCTTACTCTTAATTCAACTTTTGCTTCTTGAATTTTAATATGTATTCTTCCCTTTCTTCCCAATGGGAAAGAACACAGAGTAGAGGTCAAAAAGTTAGAACACATGGTTCTAGCTCCGTCGTTTATTAGCTGTGTTGTCACTGCTTCATTAGCTTCAGCTTCTTCATCAGTTTCATTTTGAGAATGAAGATGGGACTATAAAGCACTTTATAATGATGTAAAAACTTTAGAGCGCTATTAATAGTAGCTTCTTATCTTCTAGTAAACTGGTCAGTGTGAAGAGAAAAGAGAACAACTGAAATATTCAGATTAAGCCAAAAATCACTGTTAAGGACTTCAATAAAAGATCTCTGGGAGCCTAAAGATAAATCTGTGGCATGAAATTCTTCTTGTCTTATATAAGGGATACATGGCAAAAGGGTCTCAGAGCCTGGAATATTGCCTTTTCATAAAAGTTTTGTGAGTATTGATAAGATCAAATATATGTAGAGGACATACCACTGAAAAGAAAATTTAGATATTGTTGTTTCTCGGTATCTGTAGGGGTTAGTTCCAGGACTTCCATGGATGCCAAAATCCGAAGATGCTCAGGTCCCTTACATGAAATGGCACAGTACAGTATTTGTATATAACCTAAGCACATCTTCTCATATACTTTAAATCATTTCTAGATTACTTATAATGCCTAATACAAAGTAAATGCTATATAGATAGTTGTTATTCTGTATTTTTTATTTGTATTATTTTATTGTTGTATTTTTTATTCATTTTTTTTCTATTCATGGTTGGTTGAATCCTCAGATGTGGAATATGTGTATACAGAGAGCTGGCTAATAATGTTTAAAATATGGTTTTTAATATAGTTTGACTCTCTGTCCCCACTGAAATCTCAAGTCAAATTGTAATCCTTGCATGTCGAAGGTAGAGCCTGGTTGGAGGTGATTGGATCATGGAGGTGGTATCTAACGGTTTGGCATCATCCCCCTAGTGCTGCCTCATGATAGAGTCTCATGAGATCTGTTAAGATCTGATGGTTTAAAAGTGTGTGGCAATTCCTCTGTCTCTTTCTCTTTCTCTCTCTTGTCGCCATGATAAGACATGTCTTGCTTCCCTTTCACCTTCTACCATGACTGTAAGTTTCCTGAGGCCTCTCCAGCCATCCATGCAGACATGTAAGTTAATTAAGCCTCCTTTCTTCATAAATTACTCAGTCTTAGGAGTGTGAGAATGGACTAGTACAGTTTTGAAAACATGACTAACGAACAACAAGATGATTAAGAATAGGAAGATATGAAATACATGCACTATGTTACATGTTCTGAATCTGTGTCTTAATTAATAGTTTTATATGAACTACTTGCTGTAAGTTGGACATCAGTAATATATTTCCTTTGTAATTCATTGATTTTATTTGTTTTGAACTATTTGGGTTCTGAATTTTCCTTTGAGGACTTGCTAACTGCCGTGCATAAGAAACCACCATGTGTACAAAGCACAGTTTACCCTTAGGTGCCATGCCTGCACTTTGATTTTCCTACTCTATTAGTACAAAATAGTAATCAAGTGAATTACCCTTTCAAACCCAGAAGTAGCAAAACATTGAACCAGACCTTAATGAAAGATAAATGGTGAGATGTAAAATATTCCACAGCAAAGAACTTAGTGCAATGAACAGTTTCAGAATAAGGAAAGGAATAATTTTGTGAGTCAAAACCACAGGTGAACAGTAGCTACTGTGTGCTGCGGTTCCAGTGAGAGACAAAAGAATCACCAGTCTCACAGATCAGCCAGAACTATGACATAGGTGGCTCAGAGTCTGACAGGGCCAAGACCCAGCACTGGTCCAATGGTACAAAATGGCTGACACAATTTGCCAGGTAGAAGAGATCACAGCCATCATCTTAGAGAACTCAGATAGTAATTTACTAAAATAGGCCATTTAGAGAAATGGAACCAGGATAGGCCATTTCCCAGAAATGAATGGCATGGCCTTTCTCTGTGTGGCTTTGCAAAAGAATAGTCTGAAAAGTTAGAGGATGTTGGAGGAAGACCCTGAAACAGCCAAAAGGTCATGAAAATTGAAAGACAGGTGATGGGGAAAAGATTTGAGAATCTTAGTTTTCACAGAGGCAGCAGGAGGCATTAGAGCAATTCTAAGGCTTGCAGCATGTGGCATGTAGAGTCTCCTCTTATTGGCAAAGGATTATTTAAAAGTTAATAAAATAAAATTAGTCATCTAATATCATTTTGCTTGATAGAAAAGAATTTAGACTTGAGGTAGTCAATTGATTCTGGTACTAGGACCCCAGGTATAAGGTAGCCCCAAGTTTGTCTTTGCTGACTTCCTCCCTTGTGCCAGACCCTTCCTCAGATCCCTGTAACAAACCTGTGGAAAAGAGAAGACGTAAAATATTTCTTCTACATAAATTTTCTTTTTCTCCTCTGGCTGACGTGAGAGATTTTCACTGGAGAGCCCTGTGCACAAGTCCAAAGATTCAATATAGATTCTTAGTGGAGAATGAGAAAGCTTATTGCTGCTTTATGATACCTTCACAAGGCCATCTCTAATCTTGTTCAGTCTGTTCCCTCTGCCTGGAATGATGTTGCCTTCCTCGCCTTGTTCACATTCTCCTTACACTTCAATACCTACCTCAATCATATCTTTTCCCCTGTGAAGTTAACTCTAATCTTTATCCTTTTCCCACTCAAGGAATACGTTGTACTTTCTGGTATTCCCTTGGTAATTTATTCATGCAAGAGCATTTTTGCTCTTATTATTGTATATTATTTCTACCTGGCTCTCTTCCCCACCTGAACAGAAGAATAAGCTCTGGCAATAAAATTAGAGTAAAAATCTTGACTTGGTCACTTCATAGATTAATAATCTAAGACAAATCACTTACTAACCCTTTTGTGCCTCAGTGTCTTTAAGTATAACGTGGGAACAATAATAACAATGATAAATATGACATAGGGTTATTGAAAATATAATATAAGCAGTACAATTAAAGTACTCCCCAAATGTCTGGTATGTAGTAAGTGCTCAATAAATGTCAGCTATTGGTATATTTATTATTTCCTTTAAGGATCTCCAGATTTTCACAGTTATTGACAAATAATACGTCCTCAACAATGTTTGTTTATGACTGAGGCATACTAATCCTCTAGTAAATATAGTCACTTGATTAATGCATCTTTGGTGAGACAGAAGAACAATGGGCTTCTCTGATTGGTCAGCACTATATTGTGGATCACTTATATTCTGAAAAATTTGGAATCCATATTTGAAAACTAATAAAAGGTGAGACAAACAGCACAATTTTAAGGCAGTAAGAGATTGTGCCCCATGTTCCTTTGCCATAACAGGGGCATATGAAGCCATGAATCTGAAGATGTAGCTGGGATCAGAGTTTAGGCATAAGATTAAATGCTAGCATCTCCCTAAGTTTAGAATAAACAAATACATTGGCACAGGAATCCTGAGAATCAAGCTGGATATGGACCGGGTATGGGCCAGATGCTGACATCCAGAAGATGAAACAGTCAGAAAAGTGTGAGTTAAAGCAGCATTAGACTTTCTAGGCTGAAGAGCTCAGGTTGAGCTTTGAGATAAAAAGTAAGAAGATAAAATTTTAGCGGAGAACCTAAAAATAGGGATGCAATAGGCCGGGACACAGAAATGTGGTTTGAATCTTCAAGCTTAGCAATGCTCACTGGCTGTCTCCCCTGGCTCTAAACAGTCTCCCTGTTGTGTGCAGATAAGAAACGGCAGGTATAAGCTGCTTTCAGGAAGAAAGGGAAGGTTTTTGAAATGCCAGTGCCTGCAGGGAAGGTGCTTCTCACCAGCTAACTAACAACTGATTTTAAGTACCCAAAGCTAATGAAGGATCCCTAAGGGCAAAGACACACTGTACTAAAATGCTAAACCAAGGATTAAGTTCAAACATTCTAGGTAAATTTACCTTTAAAGTCAAGATGCTTACATGAATTTGTTCAATCATGCCTTCATTTTCACGATTCTTTCTTAAGACAGAGTCTTCTAAATTTCAATCTGTATTCAATTTATTTACTCAAGTTTCTATTCTTCGTTGCCCTCCTCTTCCTATTTTGTTTGTGTTATGCAACTGAGGTTACTTTTTTGTAAAATCATATTAGTGAATGTCTAGCGTAAAGAGATAACTATTTTTTTTTCTCCTTATCGCTTCACTCATATTATGGAAACTTCCCATATGCTCTTCTTAACGTCTTATTCCGCAACTCATGATGCTTGAGGAGTGAGTCATATGAACGACCTATCTGCTCATAGTCACCTGATCCAATAAATGAGATTCTCTTTCCTTGGATTTTGTAATTGATTTAGAGACTCTTGTTACTTCCTGTGGAACCCGTGGATTGGAAGGTTATCTAGGCTGCTGCAGAACTCTTCCACCCTGTGCACAGAGAAGTACATAAAGTGGTAAGTGAAATATTTTTGGTTGCAAAATAGAAACCAGACATATTAATTTAAGCAAAAGAGAACACATTGCTTCACCTAACTGAATAATCCAGTAGTCTCAAGAATAGCTAGATCAGGGTGTTTACGCATAGCTGTTAAAAACTTTTCACCTCTCAGTTCTGCTTTGTTTCTATTTGCCCTATTCTTTTTCTGGAAAAATGGCCCACACAGATACCGTTTAAGTGATTTTTAAACCTTTGTTCTGAGAAAAAAGTGAGATTTCTTGTATCTAGAATATTTAAAGAACATTTAAAACTAACAATAACACAATTTTAAAAGACGAGGTTTGAACATCACACCAAAGAAGATACATAGATTGCAAATGAGCCCATAAACAAGTTCAATATAATTAGTCGTTAAACCCAATATTATAGTTAAAATTAACAAGATAGACCATACCCGGTATTGGAAAGAATGTGGAAAAACAGAAAGTGTGGCATTTTGAAAAGTTTAACAAAATTGAATAAACTATTAAGAAGACTCAGCCAAAAATAAATACATAGAAAAGAAAATAAATCACAAATGTGAGAGGGACTGTTACAATAGGTCATATAGAAATTTTAAAAACATAAAAAGTAATATTATGAAACTTTTTCTGCAGATAAGTTTATCAACTTGAATGAAGTGGATAGTTTCTAGAAACATGCAGCTATCAAAATTGAATAAATAGGAAATCTGCATAGCTATATATGTTTTTTAAAAAATGAGTTGATAATCAAAATTCCTCTCACAAAGGAAACATCAGACCCAGTTGGTTATAAGCTGTATCAAAATTTTAAGAAATAGTACAGTTTTTATAAAAGCTTTTTCAGAAACTAGAAAGGGAACTAACAAATTCCACCTTATGGATTCAGAATAACCCTCATAAGAAAACATGACAAAACATTATAAGAAAAAAAATTACAGGATAGTGTTTCTTATGACTAAGTGGGATTTATTGCAGGAAAGCAAATTTGGTTTAATGATTTACACACACACACACACATCAGGCACAGTGGCATGCACCTGTAATCCCATCTACTTGCGATGGATGAGATGGGAGGGTTGAGGATCACTTGAACTCACAAGAATCCTATCTCAAAAACAAAACAAAACAAAACAAGCAAAGTGATTTTTGTCCTTTAAGTAATAAAAATATATAAATTGTAATTTTAAAATTTGAAGAAAAAGAAGTTAACGTAATTCAGCACTCATTCATGATGAAAAAAATAGCATGTAACTATGAACAGAAGGGGCCTTTTTGTTTGGGAAAAAATCTACTAAAATCTACTGATAACATTTTCCTTAATGGTGAAATATTGAATGCTTCCCCCCAAGATTGGAAACAAGTCAAGAATGTCAATTCTCACCACTTTTATTGGACATTGTACTGGAAGGTTCAGCTAGTGCAATAATATATGAAAAAGAAATAAAATCCATATGCACTGGAAGGAAAAATGTGAATTGTTTTTTATTTGTAGATGATGTAACTGTATTTTGAACATCATGAGGTATATACATCACAAATACTAGAAATAGTAAGTGACTTTAACATGGTTGCATAATACAAGATCGATATATAATAATTAATTGCCTTTACATATAAAGGCAGCATACAATTAGAAAGTAGAATTCAAAAAGCTGTTTCATTTATAATTACATCAAAAGCATTAAATAATTAAGTGTAAATTTAATGAAATATATGTACATGTAAACTGAAAAGTAAACACATTAGTGAGACATATTAGAGTCCTATGTAAAGGGAAATGCATTGGGGGAATAGATTTATTCACTCAATATAGTTAGGATGTAAATTCTCTTCAGATTGGTGAATATATTTTATACAAATCCAATCAGAATCTCAAGACTTTTTCATAGCAATTGACAAGCTGGTTCTAAATTTATTTGAAAAAGCAAAGAATCTAGAAAACTAACAATATCATTAACAAAGGAAAATGAAGATAAAAGGACTGACAATACCTAATTTGAAAACATTGTATAAAGCTACAGTAATCAACACAGTAAGATCATGGAATCAAATTGACAAATATGTCGCTAAACAGAATAGAGAGTCCCCAAATAGACCCACATATATATGGTAAATAGTTATTTGATAAAAATCCTAGGCAATTAAATATGGAAAGAAAAGGATTCTCAAAAACTTGTGCTAGATCAGCTGTATATCCATAAGGGGAAAAAAATGAACCTCCACTTTTTTTGTAGTACCAACAAAAGCTAATTTAGGTTGATTACATACTTTGTGGGTGGACAAATGAAATAGCCTGACCTCCTTGGAAACTATTTGGAAAATATTTGTCAGTTGCTCATATAGTTAAAGCATAAAAACTAAAAATAAAAAACCTCTAAAAGAAAGTATTGAGGAATACATTCACAGTCTTGGGGCAGGCAGATATTTCTTAGAGAACACACAGAAAGCACTAACTCAAAAAAAATAAATTTGTCTTCATCAAACTTAAAAACATCTCTTTGCTTTATACCATTATTACAAAGCCAAAAAGGTATGCCACAATCTGGGGTAGAATTTTCACAATAAATACTTCTGAAAATCTAATTATATCCAGAATATATAAAGAACTTCTACCTACAAATCTAAAGGAGAAAAATAATATGAAAATAGGAAAAAGGCTTTTAGAGACATTTAACAAAAGATATTAAAATGGCCAATAAGCACATGATATGTCGCTAGTGAAATACAAAAGTAAACTCACAATGAGATGCCACTATACACATTTTAAAGTGGCTAAAATTTTAAAAGCTGACAATATCAATACTGGCAAGCATGTGGTGTGACTAAAACTATTATACATTATTGGCGCGAATATAAAATCATACAGCCGTTTTGAAAACTGTTTTGGCTGTTTCTTGTATCGTTAAATATTCATCTGTCCTTACAATCAAGCAATTTCCTTTCTAAGTTTTTATCCAAGAATATTGAGGACATGTCCTCAGAAAGACCTGTACAAGATGTTCAGAGCGGCTTTACTCACAATAATTTAAAAAACTGGAAGTATAATTCAAATGTCTATTAATAGTTGAATGTATAAACAAATGGTGAAGTAGTCATATAAATGGATACTACCTTGCAATAAAAGAGAATTTAACTACTGATGTGTGCAACAACATGGATGTATTTAAAAAATATTAAACAAAAGAAGCCAGACACACAAAAGCATACTATTATCTATTCATTTAAAGCTCAACCACAGGCAAAACTAATTTATAATCATAGAAGTCAGAAAGTGGTTGTCTGAATGGTGGAACTGACTGGAGAGAAGCAAGAAGAAATATGTTGGGTTGTAAAAATATCCTATTTTAAGTGTGAATATATAGGTCTATGCAACTGTCAAAACTTACAGAGGTAGACAAATATGTGTTTCATTGTTTGTGAAGTATTCTTTCATTTTTTAAAAGTGAGATATATTTCAACACCAGAATTAACAAAAGAAAACAATCATCAGGACTGAACTAAAGCCAATTATCTTTCCATTTGTTTTTGTGTTGAAACTTTTGAGCAGCTTGGAATAACTGGCCTGAATTGCAGGTTGTTATACTGGAATTTTGTTTTTCCTTCTGCTTTTTGACAGTATGAACTTGGGCTAACGTCTTTATCTTTTTTGACTTTAAACTTTGAAATGAATAAATTAGTTTAAATACTCTGTATGTTTCCTTCAAATGTAGAGAAATGCATTTTAGATATATGCTGAATGTTCAGTCCCATTCAGTCATATGACACTTAGCCAAGTATCTTACTACTGGCACATCACTCATCATCCAGGCATTTGTTATTTTAGTCCAGCACTGTATCTGTACCAAACCAACAAACATCACAAATTATTGACCATCGAGATAGAACCTTAGAATTGTCTTTGGCTAAGAAGATACATAGATGATCCAGGAAATTATTGACATGGGAGCTCTTATTTACATTTCCTTTTCGTGACGGGACAGTTAAGAAACAGAAATAACAAGGTGTCCCTAGGTGCAGAGTTGAGCTCTTCCTATACTATACATTGAAATTCTTTCTTGCAGAGGCATTTAGTCATAGGAAAAAGGAATGTGACTCTGTAGCTTGTTTTGAGTTTTACAAAGAAATTGGAGTAGCTGTTTAGAGTTCCAGTCTTAGTTCTGTGACTTTGAATGAGTCACTTAAAAATAAGCCACTAGGCTTTATTTTTATTGTCTTCAAAATAAAGAAGTTTTCCTGGAGGATATCCAAAATTCATTACAGGTGTAACAAGTCCTCTGTAAGAGTCTCTGCACTTCGAATCCATCCTTAACATTCTGAGATAATTTTTTTTCTAAAATGTCAAACTAATTTTCTACTCCTCAGGTTAAATCTTTTATTGAGTTCCCATTATACCAATGTACCATGCAGAGTTTTGCACCTGCACATATTACCTGTCTTATCTTCAATTATATATCCACCTGCAGTCTTTTTGAACCATTAAGCATTAGGTGTAGTTCCTCAAATGTACTAGAAAGTCAAAAGTTTCCTTTAGTTTGCTCATCAGTTCCTTCTGCCTGAGAAACTCATCTACAACTTAATGAATTTGCAGATTTCTATCTTCAAACCTCAGTTCAAAGTTTTTCCTTTAAAGAATCATTTGACCACTTGCTTCCCCTTCTCCCTAGCCATCCTCTTATCCAGCATCATGTGGAGTTAGTAGTCCCTTCATCATGATCTATTTTCCAGAAAATTCCCACAGCTTTACACATCTTTGTTGAGAGACAAGACACCCTTCCCCTTACATTAAGCAAACACACCAAGAAGCTGAATTATTACTTGATAAGTACAATTATTAAAGTCACTTGATAACTATGCCTACGACACACTGAAAAAGCAGATTCAGTCTTCTCTAAGGTTATAAGAAGTTTGATACTTAGGGATTATCTGACTTTCGGAAGTAACAGAGTGTAGGGACTGGCTGACTTTCTTATGCATGGATTTTAAAAAGAGGCTATCACTAATGGGGTGGGATGAACACTGGTTCTGTGGTCATTTAAAATTTTGGACTAGCACCAATGAAAAGGTATTTTTAATTCCTAGCTTAATCATAATACTTAACATTTTTTATACTAATCATTAATTTTTTTGTCTGTCTTCTCACTAGACTTAAACTCCTTCAAGGTAAGAATGCTGCCGGTTTCATCTTTGTATCTCAGAGGTGCTCAGAGATAAATATTTTAAAATATTGATACTAAAAGTTTAAAATTTAAAAAGTACATAATGTATCTACGTATGCCAAAGGAAACACACAAATCTAGCCCTGATATAGTGGCCCTAACTCAGCTTATGAAAGTATTTATTAAGGTAGATAAAAACAAATGATATGAAGAGCATCGCTAAAAATTTAGTACTAGTTGTAAAATTCTGATATTGGCAATTTAGCAGATTTTTTTCTAATGCCTCCCTCACCCATTTAAAAATGCATTTCGAAGTTACACTATTCTATGTTTAGTTATTTATCTATTATCTGTTTATCTCTGCTTATTATTCCTGTTGAGAATAGAGGTGATAGAGAAACAAAGAAGAGGCCCATAATTAGGGGACAGGCAGTCTAAGGATCAAGGAAGTGTTAGATTTCTTTCTTTTGTGTTTAGGAGTTTAAAATCAAGAAAAAGAAGTCAACCACAAGGAAGGGTGTGCAAGTTGCTTTGTCATCAGATGGTTTTCACTTGTGAAGATGTGAGAAAATGAAGGAATTCTACTTCCATTGGTGCCAGGGATGCTATTTGACATATCTTATTTGCACAATCTCATATTTGCTAAAAACACCTTAATAGGTGTTTTCAGGACTGCCTGTGGAAGGTGATTTTCTTGGTGTCTCCTATCTGTAGAATGCTAACGGTTGAGATTTACCTGGAAAACAATATTGCTTAGAAATGCAGCAACACATCAACACAGAATCACTTAAATGGAAATAAGTGGTATGGCATTTTTGCAATGAGAGATTATTTTTAATATGAAATAATGAGACTGAAGAAGTAGAGAACTGGACAGCTTATGTTGGCATTCAGTTTTACACCATTTATTTTGTTCTATTAACAGTAACTTTCCTAAAAGGGATCATGCTTATTCTCTGTCACTTTTTCTACCTACCTAAATAGCAAATTTAGACTTAAGAATTTTATACTTATATGAAAATGCTAGTTAGGGAATTAGCCGTGTTACTATTGCAAAATAGTTTTCTCAATCATGTTCCAAGACACATGGTCATGAACTGCACTATAAGGAAGTAGCCCCTCAAGCATCTTTGGCTTTATTTGAAAGAACCTTTGAAATTTGTAATAGATGAACTTGTCCCACTTCCCCTCAGGAGTTGTGATCCCACAAAATGGTGCCAGTAGGCATTAGAAGGTATTCAGAGAGAACTTGATTTGGGACAACATTTTTGTACTAAAGCAGCAAGGTTCAGCAGACTCAATCTTTGCTTTAAAATTCAATGTAGTATTGAACTTAAGTCTTGTTTTGTTGTGGGGAACATTTGTGTGGCTGGTGTTCAGTTCCAGACTGGGTCCAAATTTCTATATGGCTTTGGGGATTCTAGGATAGTAATGGTGGGCCATCAAGTATCCTATTTGCAATGAAAGCTCCATTAGATTTGCCTATCTGAAGCTTTAAGGAAGATTATGAGTCAAAATTTTCATATTAGGGCTTCAGGACATCCCTGAGAAGATAACACCTGAAACGTATGTTTGGAGTATAATCCTGAAAGACACAATCCAAAATGCCATAATCCCAAATGTTCCTGAAAGCCAAATTTTGGGGAACAGATTTGTGTGTTTTGAAGTGTATTCAGAATAGTTACATCATATTAGTTGCATTATGTTAGGCCGAAATATTACATTATTATTGTTTTTATTTGCATTTCTTGGAAAATTCAGAGTCATGGATTGGCCATGTGATATTGCAACAGTAAAAACTTCAAGTTAAAAATGTGTCATTTGCCTACATTGGCATTCTTTCCAGCTGATGACATTGCAGGAGCTCTTTATTAATTAAAGCTGCATTTGCCTGAGGAAGCCAAGGAAGTTACTGACTACTTTAAAAGTTTTCACCAAGTTTGTGGTCTATATAAGAGTGTATGTGGAATGGATTTCTGAGTACTTAAAACAACATGGAAGCGTGGCAAAAGATGGGAAAATTGAATAGGGAATGCTCATTTTGGTGGATATCCATTTATAGAACGATTTCAAAAAAAGCAGTGCCATGTAGGAAGTGATCATATTCTCCAAGGAGAGTCATGTCCTGAAAGAAAGAAAGAAAAAAAACAAACAAAAAAAACCCCAGCTAGCTATTCATTGTGATGCAGGACTTCAGACTATAGCTAAAGATTATGAAAGTTGGCCAGCTCTTACAAACTGCCTCTGTGCCAATTGCCCATAATCTGTCCTAATAATACAATTTTCATTTATTAAATTTTAAATTTCGTTTTTAGATTTTTTTTTTTTTAGTTTTTTTTCACTATTTTAAATTGTCAGAATTTTTTTTCTTTTACAATTAATGATGCTGTGTATTTCATCTTCACCTCGTTTCCAATACTGGAAGTATAAATTGTGTAAAGACTTTTAGAGAATTCTAATTTGTTTTATGCACTTTTTGCAAATTTAAGTCCATGAAAGTGCATTATCACAATGTTGCCCTTGTGTATAAGAATTGTGTATATACATAACGTTAAATTTTCTCAACATGTACAAAGATGTTCTTTGTTATGTTTATATTTGTGAAAGATAAAATTTCTTGAGATCTTGGCTCTTTAAGTGACTGCATATGCAGTGGTGACCCAACATAATTTTTGATTTGTGTTGTTCATCATGGTATTTCAGATGACCACAATTGTAAAGCTAGGTGCACACAATTACCAAACATGGTAACGTGTTTATAGTTTCTTTTTGGACCTATTCTTTTATAAATATGGTTCATTTGCTCATAACTATTATACCCATATGACTGTTGTTAGTATACCCGAGTGTTTATGTTTGCAAAAATATCTAAGCTTTTTTTTTTCTATTTTATTGTGCAAAGTGGCCTATGAAGTATTCTGCCATGTTTTTATCTGTTTCTCAGATAAGTCTCCTTTGACACTTGCAAAGAAATGTCTTTTAACTTTTTTAAAATTATTTTTCCAGGATTATATTTTCAGGATTTTGATGTTTCACAATTGTGATTTGGGGAATTTTTGACTTTAAAGATTTTGATGTTTAAAATCATTCAGGATTACGGTGTTTGGGACTGTTTTGGAATTATGATTGGCTCCCCAGAAACACTACTCTTGAGAAGGGTGCCTTATCAAAGTAGTCTTTCCCTCAGAAAAGCTGGCTTCATGGATATGAAATCTGTACAGTCACACATGTCCCTCACTTAGAATGGAGGCCCCGCTCCTAATGTAATGTCCTCTTGTTTACATCATGAACTTCTTAATATATTTTTTAACAAGTGTCTGACATTTTTATCTTGCTTTGGGTTTCACAAATGATGTAGCTGGTCCTGCCTTTTAAGCCAAGAGAAATCCACTGGTGTCTGTCTTGTTCCAGGATAACAAAAGTGTGTGGGAGAGAAGCATTTCAGTAACGTGCTAAATAGGTTTACTAATCTGAGACCATAAAAAAATTGATTTAATTCATTCAACATGGGAAACTGTAGAAAATCTTTCCAGAGAAAGGTAACTCCCTGAAATTTGCATCTATGCTGACAAGAAGAAGAAAGGCTGTTTTGGGCCAGTGCTGAGAGACCACAAGCTTGAAAACAGCCCTACAGATGAGGTCTGCAGTGTCTCTGGCTGGATATACTCACATGGATTTAATTTGAGCCACCCGGGACTCAAATTAAAGAGAATAATGCGAAAGAGATGACTGACATGATCTTCCCACCAGATGTGCACATTGTAACACAGTGGAGGTACTGCAAGGGTAGGAGGAAGGGGACCTACTGAAAGCAGAAGTTACACATTCTGACTAGAGCTGGAATCCAGAAGAACAAGGAATAAAATTCAGATGGAGACTTGCCTCTGCCAGGTATTATCTTGGAAACAAGTATATGAGTTAAAGTTTCTGTGATTTAAAACATTGTGTAAAAATAAAGCTGCTTAGAGCTTGAACGAAGTTGAGGAGAGGCCCTTAGGGGGAAATATCAGGAGCTCAGCTTTGCATTTTTATTACATTTTGTGAAAACTCAGAGGAAATTATCTATTCTGTGCTTTTTGTCTTAGTGAAAATCCAAGTATTGTGAGTATATACACATGTGTATAAAAAAGGCTTTATGAGAAAGGTTGCAAAATTGGAAATTTGTAGAGAGCCCAGTAGATGTGTAGACGTAAGATAGGTCTATCACACAAGGATCAATATATTTTTTAAATATGTCCATAAAGCAGACTTGGACCCTGTTATAGAAACAGACGGTCTTGTAGACAGTTTGGATTGGAGTGAAAAGAAGTGTTGCTTGCTGTGAGATGGCCCAGCATTCAAATGAGAGCTACTCCTCAGTCTAAATGCAGGGTTAAAATCTGACCAAAAAAAAAAAAAAAAAAGGCAAACAGGAGCCGACTTTATACCTTGGGTACTTTATACCCAAGGACAGAACCTTTATACCTTGAGTACTTTATACCCAAGGAATAAAGTATGCCTTTATACCTTGGGCACTCTATACCCAAGGACAGGACCAGTACCTGCCATGGTGCTGTTGGTAATGAAGATGCATGGGTCATGATGGTGAGCAGAGATGTGTTCCTGAGTAGCAGCATCAAAGAACAAGTTAAAAAGATAATATTTTAACAAGTCATATAAATTATTTTGCTTGTATGATAAGGTGGGGCTACAATTTTTAAAAGTCTAATTAATGGTCAGAAAGCTTCTCTGAATTGATCAGTGTCAGGCTGGTGTTGTTTCTGAAACATTTTTCTTTGGTTAGATATCATGATATCTGAGGAAGAATCTCTACCAGAGAAATTCTGCTCTGTCATTGTAATTCAAAGGTAAAACAGATGACAGCAATTAGTATATATTCTCCATCTAACTGCTTCAAAAATAAAACATCATGTATTACCATTGCTCATTTGTAAGACAGACCTCTAGATTTCAGGAAGATGCCACTGTCATTGGCTTCATATGTATCGATTGACTTAAGACATTAACAAATGTGAGAAACTCCACAGCATGTAAGGCAGCATGGCATAGCACAAATGACATGGGGTTTTGATAAAATAATCTTGGGTTTGAATAGCAGTCCCATCAATCAATAGCCATTTTATATTGGAAATAATTTATTTTTTCTCATCTATCAATGAACATTACATTATTCAGAATAAGGTGTATTATGTTGTTGTAACAACTACATCAAAATATCAGTGGCTTTACAAAAAAAAAATGTTTATTTCTTGCTTATAACACTTGTTCCACCTGGGTTGATGGGAGTCTGCATGCTGTAGTCACTTGAGGATGCAGGTTTACAAAGATTTCATCATGATCGGTGCTTCCATGGAAACATGGAAAGGGGAAATGTTCTGCATATTGTGCATTAGATCTTGCAACTTCCACCCAGAAATGACATATGTCATTGTCAGTTACATTTTGTTAGCCAAACAGGTTGCATTGCCATGCCAAACCTCAAATGGAGTGGGAGGATGCAATCATACCTTGTGCCCTAAAGGAGAAGAGGACTTGAAAATGTGTGATGAATATCAATGACTACCACAAATAACACTAGTACAATTGTCATTTAATCATTTATGTAAAGCATCTTAACAGTAGTATGAGCTCAGTGAATGGTAGTTATTATCAGAGGTAGGTTTGATTAAATGAAACATTTATAACCAAGACTTCCAAGTAAGTGTGAAAGATTAAATACTCATTCTTAACTGCAAACTACCCCCAAATTTCACTTGTTATAATGATTGACTTTTAGTTCGAAATCCACAATGATAAGGAAAATGAGAGAATGAATGAGAGAAGAAAAATCTCAAAGACTATAAAGGTGGAAATAGAGAGATGGGCAATGACTTACTCACCCGAGCAGATAAAACCAGAATCTGCCTGCAGAACAGAATCCAAAGAGAAGCTAGTAGATAGGAGCATTACAGCCTCAGAGTGGCTCAAATTAGAGAACCGGTTTCAAGTATAACATAAAGCTGAAAAGAAGCCATGAAATGGACAAGATAATGCAAAATGCGGTTGATTATAGATAAATTGCTACAAACATATCTTAAATATTTCTCAGTTTTCAAGAAATAATAAGTATTCTTGAAGCATATATAAAAGAGAGCAATCAATGAAAGCCAGGAAGCAAGTGTGGATGCCAGGTCTATCCTGGAATTTTACAAACTTAAAATTGTGGAAATTCTTAATCACAAGGGAATTAGAAGACTAGGCCTTAGGAAAATGCTGAATGGAAAACTGGAATCTGAGATTCACACATTTTACTGGTATGTTAAAAGCCAAGAGCTTCTATGACATATGGTTTAGAAAAAAAAAAATTGTCCGCCAGCAAACAAAGTACACAGGAAATCTATCAATTTCTGTCACAGTTCCAAATGAAAAAGGACTAACAAAAATATTCTCCTGAGGCAGAATAACTAGCAGCTCCCACTTGGATGGATGGAGCAGCATGTGAAGACTCACATTGTGAGCTTTTGCTCCAAGAACTAACTCAGGAAATTAGCAGGAAAAGTGAGAGAATCCACAGACCTTTTGTCCCAGGCTCCATGGGACGGCTGAGAAACTGTGAGTTGGCTTGCTTTCTCAGCTGGGGGGCTTGTAGCCTAGGGCAAGTTCTCAGCCCTGCTCACCAACAGGCTGGATATAAAGTCAGTGCTGTTGTAGGGGAACAGTGGGAGTGTGATCGGCCTTTCAGGTTGCAGACTGCATGGGAGCTAGGTGAGGCCCGTACCTGCTGGCTTTCCCCCACTTTCCTGGTGACCTGTGCAACACGGCAGAGGCAGCCATAATTTCCTCGGGAAAATAATTCCTTTGGCCTGGGCACTATACCCCTATCCCTCACAGCAGATGCAGCAAGCCTTGCCCAAGGAGTGGCTGAGCTCAGACAAGCCTATCCCTGCCCTGACCTAGTGGTCTTTCTCTACCCTCCCTGGTAGCCAAAGACAAAGGTTATAATCTCTTGGGAGCTCCATGGCCCTGTCCACTGCTTGGTCCTCCCTATATTACTGCAGCTTATGTGCTTTGAAAGTGCCGCCTTCTGGCTGGAGGCCAACCAACAAAAAATGAGCACATTTAACACAAAACAACCAAGGACCCTCACAGAATCCACTTTACTCCCCTGCTACCTCCACTGGATCGATAGGGTGTTGATACCCGTGCCCGAGAGACCTGAAAACAGATCACATCATAGGACTCTTTGCAGACACTCTCCAGTACCACCCCAAAGACTGGTAGTTTGCAGGCTGAGTAGATCCAGAAAAGAAATTATAATCACTGCAGTTTGACTGTCAGGAAGCCCCATCCCTGGGGGAAAGAGGAGACCACCACATCAAGGAAGCACCCTGTGGGAAAAGAGAATCTGAACAGCAGCCCTTGAGTCCCAGATCTTCCCTCTGATATAGTCTATCCAAATGAGAAGGAACCAGAAAAATGATTCGGTAGTATGATAAAATAAGGTTCTTTAACAGTCTGCCAAATACTGTCTCACCAAAAATGGATCCAAATCAACACAAAATCTCTGAAATGCCAGAAAAAGAATTCAGAAAGTTGACTTATTAAGCCAATCAAGGAGGCATCAGAGAAAGGTAAAGTCCAACTTAAATAAATCAAAACATGATACAGGATATGAATGGAGAAATCTCCATTGAAATAGAGAGCATAAATAAAAAACAATCGCAATTTCTGGGAATGAAGGACACACTTAGAAAATTGCAAAATACACAGGAAAGTCTCAGCAATAGAAATGAACAAACAGAAGAAAGAATGTCAGAGCTCAAAGACAAGGCTTGAGAATAAACCCAATCCTACAAAGACAAATAAAAATGAATATTAAAAATGAATAAAGCCTCCAAGAAGTTTGGGATTGTGTTAAATGACCAAACCTAAGAATAATTGGTGTTCTCAAGGAAGAAGAGAAATCTAAAAGTTTAGAAAACATTTGAAGGGATAATCAAGGAAAATTTCCCCAACCTTGCTAATAATCTAGACATCCAATTTAAAAAAACTCAAAGAACACCTGGGAAATTCATTGCAAAATGATCATCACCTGGGCATATAGTCATTAGGTTATCTAAAGTCAAGATGAAGAAAATAGTTTTAAGAGCTGTGAGACAAAAGCATCAGGTAACCATGAAGGAAATCTATCAGATTAACAGCAGATTTCTCAGCAGAAACTCTACACACTAGAAGGGATTGGATAGAATTCTATCTTTAGCCTCCTTAAACAAAACAATTATCACTAAGAATTTTGTATCCAGCAAAACTAAGCTTTATAAGTGAAGAAAAGATACAGTCTTTTTCAGAAAAACAAATGTTTAGAGAATTTGTCACTACCAAGCCAGCACTACAAGGCTGCTAAAAGGAGTTCTAAATCTGGAAACAAATCCTCAAAATACACCAAAATAGAATCTCCTTAAAGCATAATTCTTACAGGACCTATAAAACAACAACACAATGAAAACAAAACAAGGTATTCAGGCAACAAATAGCATGATGAATAGAATAGTACCTCGCATCTCAACACTAATGTTGAATGTAAATGGCCTAAATGCACCACTAAAATAATATAGAGTGGCAGAATGGATGAGTTAACCAACCAAGTATCTGCTGTCCTCAAGGGACTCAACTGACACATAAGAATTCACATGAACTTAAGGTAAATGGATGGGAAAAGATATTCCATGCAAATGGACACCCAAAGTGAGCAGGAGTAGCTATTCTTATATTAGACAAAACAAACTTTAAAGTAACAGCAGTTAAAAAAGTCAAAGAGGGACATTATATGATGATAAATTAACTAGTCCAACAGGAAAATGTCACAATCCTAAATATATATGCACCTAATACTGGAGATTACAAATTTATAAAACAATTACTACTAGACCTAAGAAATTAGATAGACAGCAACACAATAATAGTGGGGGACTTCAATTCTCTACTGAAAGCACAAGACAGGTCATCAAGACAAAAAACCAACAAAGACACAGTGGACTTAACTATACCCAAGAACAAATGGACTTAAGAGATATTTACAGAACATTCTACCCAACAACTGCAGAATATACATGCTATTGATCAGCACATGTAGCATTCGTTCTCCAAGACAGATCATATGATAGTCCACAAAATAAGGGTCAACAAATTTAAGAAAATTGAAATTATAGCAGGTACTCTCTCAGAACACAGTGGAATAAAATTGGAAATCAACTCCAAAAGGAACCCTCAAAATCATGCAAAAACATGTAAATTAACCTGCTTCTGAATGATCGTTGGGTCAACAATGAAATCAAGATGGAAATTAAAAAATTCTTTGAAATGAATGATAATAGTGACTTGATCTATCAAAACCTCTGGCTATGGCAAAGGCTGTGCTAAGAGTAAAATTCATAGCATTAAATGCCTACAATAAAAAGTCTGAAAGAGCACAAGTAGACAATCTAAGGTCACACCTCAAGGAACTAGAGAAATAAGAACAAACCAACTGAAATTGAAACAAAAAGCAATAATACAAAAGATAAATGAAACCAAAAGGTGGTTCTTTGAAAAGATAAGTAAAATTGATAGACCATTAGTGAGATTAACCAAGAAAAGACAGAGAGAAGATCCAAATAAGCTCAATTAGAAAAGAAATGGGAGATGTTACAACAAATACCACGGAAATACAAAAGATCATTCAAAGCTACTATGAACACCTCTATGCGCATAAACTAGAAAACCTGGAAGAAATGGATAAATTCCTAGAAATATGCAACCCTCCTAGATTAAACCAGAAAGAAATAGAAACTCTGAACAGACCAACAGCAAGCAGTGAAATTGAAATGGTAATTAAAAAGTTACCAACAGGCTGGGTGCGGTGGCTCACCCCTGTAATCCCAGCACTTTGGGAGGCCAAGGTGGGCAGATCATCTGAGGTCAGGAGTTCAAGACCAACCTGGCCAATATGGTGAAACCCTGTCTCTACTAAAAAATACAAAAATTAGCCGGGTGTGGTGGTAGGTGCCTGTAATCCTAGCTACTTGGGAGGCTGAGGCAGGGAGAATTGCTTGAACCTGGGAGGTGGAAGTTGCAGTGAGCCAAGATCAGGCCACTGCACTCCAGCCTGGGAGACACAGCAAGACTCCGTCAGAGAAAAAAAAAAAAAAAGGTACCAACAAATAAAAGTGCAGGACCAGATGGATTCACAGCTGAATTCCATCAGACATTCAAGAAATTGGTACCAATCTTATTGACACTATTCCACAAGACAGAGAAAGAGAGAGTCCTCCCTAAACTATTCTATGAAGCCAGTATCACCATAATACCAAAACCAGAAAAGGACATAGCAACAACAACTATAGACCAATATCCCTGATGAACATACATGCAAAAATCCTCAACAAAATACTGGCTAACCAAATCTAACAGCATATCAAAAAGATAATCCACCATGATCAACTGGGTTTCATACCAGGGATGCAGGGATGATTTCACATCCCCAAGTCAAAAAATGTGATACATCACATAAACAAAATTAAAAACAAAAATCACGTGATCATGCCAATAGATGCAGAAAAAGCATTTGACAAAATTCAGCATCCCTTTATGATTTAAATCCTCAGCAAAATTGGCATAGAAGAGATATAACTTAAGGTAATTATTGCAAGATCTGGCCAGCAGCCTGCAATGCAACCGGGCTTTCTCTTTGTTCCCAGGCAGGTCGGCCGGTCGAGAAATAATAGACACATACAAGACAGCGAAAGCTGGGTCCAGGGGGTTCACCGCCTTCTGGTCCCGCGGTGCCAACAATGCACTGGATATACCAGCATTTATTATTAAGTTTAGTGAGGGTGGGGGTAGGTTAGTGGGGGATTTAGGGTCATTTGATTATGAGGTGAGATGGTCACATGGGGATGAAGTAATTCTTTAACATAACATCTGTATGCAGAAGTATAGTATACAGGGAGAAGAATTTACAATATAGTGTGTGCATCAGTAATTTCTAACAGAGCCTTAAAACAGAAACACAGTCTTTCCATAATCTATGATTAGCAAGATATTAATCAGCAGTAACAGTTGCAGCAAAAGCTGGTTACAAGCAATCCATAGAAACAGGATGTGAAGCTAGACAACCGGTTAGACCAGAAATTCTCAGAAGGGAGTGTGCCTTAACCCTAAAGAGGCCTAGAAGAGCCGTGACAAGATGAGGGCGTTTATAGCCCTATCTTATCCATATGGACAGGCGCCCCTCATGCATCCATTTATAGGCTCTCCACAAGTGTCACATTCCATTCCCAGAGCTATGAACATTTGCTTTTCTGGTATAGGAACCTTGGTGATGTGAAACCTCCCTGACTGCATGTCCATTCATAGGCTCTCTTCCGGGGGAAGCACATCATGTGCTGTTGGCTCATTCTGGCAGTCCAACCTGGCATTGTCTTTACACAATCCTGCATGCAATTTTTTATTTACAGTAATCAGGAGCATTTCATCTTTTATTCCATAGCAATAGTTTCAGGGGGTCTCCCTACAGTAATAAAAACCATCTATGACAAACCCACAGCCAACATTATACTAAATGGGGAAAGGTTGAAAGCATTCTCCCTGTGAACTGAAACAAGACAAGGATACCCACTTTCACCACTTCTATTCAACTGGAAGTCCTAGCCAGAGCAATGAGACAAGATAAAAAAAAAAGGGGCATCCCAATTAGTGAAGAAGAAGTCAAACTGTTCCTATTTGCTGATGACTTCATTGTATACCTAGAAAACCCTAAAAACTCTTCCAAAAAGCTCCCAGAACTGGTAAATGAATTCAGCCAAGTTTCAGGATATCAAATTAATGCACACAAATTAGTAGCCCTGCAATACACCAACAGTGACCAAGCCGAGAATCAAATCAATAAGTCAGCCCCTTTCAATATAGCTGAAACAAACAAACAAAAACAACAACAACAATAATAACAAAAAATCTTAAGAATACACCTAACCCAAGGAGGTGAAATACTTCTACAAGGAAAACTACAAAAAACTGCTGACAGAAATCATAGACAACACAAACAAATGGAAATACATCCTAGGCTCATGGATGGGCAGAATCAATATTCTGAAAATGACCATACTGCCAAATGCAATCTACAAATGCAATGCAATTCCCGTCATTATTCCTCACAGAACTAGATAAAACATTCCTAAAACTCATGAATCCAGAAAAGAGCCCACATAACCAAAACAAGACTAAGCAAAAAAAAAAAAAAAAAAAAAAAAAAAAAAAAAAAAAAAATCTGGAGGCATCACATTACCCAATGTCAAACTATTCTGTAAGACCATAGTCACCAAAACAGCATGGTACTGGTATAAAAACAGGCATATAGACCAATGGAATAGAATAGAGAATGCAGAAATAAAGCCAAATACTTACTGCCAACTGATCTTCAACAAAGCAAACGAAAACTTAAAGTGGGGAAAGGACACTCTATTCACTAAATGGTGCTGGGATAATTGGCAAGCCACATGTAGAAGAATGGAACTGGATCCTCATCTCTCACCTTATACAAAAATCAATTCAAGATGGGTCAAGGACTTAAATCTAAGACCTGAAACCATAAAAGTTCTAGAAGATAACATTGAAAAACCCCTTCTAGACATTGGCTTAGGCAAATACTTCATGACCAAGAACCCAAAAGTAAATGCAACAAAAACACAGGTAAATAGATGGTACTTAAATAAACTAAAACACTTCTGCACAACAAAAGAAATAAGCAGTAGAGTAAACAGACAACCCACAGAGTCAGAGAAAATCTTCACAATCTATACATTTGACAAAGGACTAATATCCAGAATCCATGAGGAACTCAAACAAATCAGCAAGAAAAAAACAAACAATCTCATTCAAAAAGTGGGCTAGGGACATGAATAGACAATTCTCAAAAGAAGATATACAAATGGCCAACAAACATGAGAAAACACTAATGATTACAGAAATGTACATAAAAACCACAATGGGATACCACCTCACTCCTGCAAGAATGGCCATAATTAAAAAATCAAAAAATAATAGATGTTGATTGATGCAGGGAAAAGGGAACACTTTTACACTGTTAGTGGGAACGTAAACTAGTACAACCATTATGGAAAACAGCATGGAGATTCCTTAAAGAACTGAAAGTAGATCTACCGTTTGATCTAGCAATCCCACTCCTGGGTATCCACCCAGCAGAAAAGAAGTAATTATACAAAAAAAGTAATTGCACACACATATTTATTATAGCACAATTTGCAATTGCAAAAGTATGGAACCAGCCCAAATGCCCATCAATTAATGAGTGAATAAAGAAAATGTGAGATATATATATCACACATATATATATGTGTATATACACACACACACACACACACACACACACACACGCACACACACCATGGAATACTACTCAGTCATAAAAAGGAAAAAAATAATGAAACTTGCAACAACTTTTATGAATTGGCTACCATTAGTGATACAGTGGACTTTGGGGACTTAGGGGAAAGGCTGGGAGGGGCATGAGAGAAAAAAGACTACACATTGGGTACAGTCTACACTGCTTATGTGATGGGTGCACCAGAACTTCAGAAATCACCACTAAAGAACTTATTCATTAGCCAAACATCATCTTTCTCCCAAAACCTATTGAAATAAATAAATAGATAAATAAAAAGAAACATTTTTCTATAGAATTTTGTCAACCCAAAATATATGAGACAGGCCTCAATAAATTTAGAAAGTGTATTTTGCCAGGGTTAAGGATGTGCCTGTGACACAGCCTCAGGAGTACCTGACGACCTGTGCCCATGGTGTTCAGGGCACAGCTTGGTTTTATACATATTACGGAGACATGAGACGTCAATCAATATGTGTAGATGTACATTGGTTCTGTCTGAAAAGGCGGGATAACTCAAAACGAGGAAGGGTGCTTCCAGGTCATAGGTAGGTAAGAGACAAATGGCTCTATTGTTTTGAGTCTCTAATTAACCTTTTACTAAAACAACAAGGCAGAGGAAGCAATCAGATATGCATTTTTGTCCCATGAGCAGGGGGATGACTTTGAGTTCTGTCTGCACAAGGAATTTGCTTGTGGGCAAATTGTGAGTGAGGCACGTAGCTTTTTAATCTTTGTATCTTCCTATTTAGAAATAAAATGGGAGGTGGGTTTGCCTAATGCAGTCCCCAGCTTAACATTTCCCTTTGACTTAGTGATTTCGAGGTCCTGAGATTTATTTTCCTTTCACAATTTGTAACAAGGATTCCTTCCCAAGCTGGTCTCAACTCTTCATCTATACTAACTAAACAGTTTGGGAAATTCAGAGCACAGACATTAAATTGATGTGGTTCTTGGCTGGTGGCTTCCCTAGTGCCCAGTGGAAGCAAATGCAAATATTCTCTACAACAAAGCTCCTGATTGTTTAGGTTATTCCCATGGGTTAATTTCTGCCAAAGCATCAATTCACTGTAAAAAAATAACACACACTCACAGGGAAAAGCCAACATGAGCAACAGTAAAAGTAAAAAGTCCCCAGAAAACAAAAACCTCACAAAATTTAGAACTGTGATTGGCAAATAAGCACCCATGGGGCATATTTAGCCTGCTGCCTGGTTTCATAAACAAATCTTTAATGGAACAAAGCAAGTTAGTAATAGAGTTATCCAAGAAGTATTCTGAAGGCACAATAATAGGAATGCCTATATTTTTGGAAGAATCCAAAATTTGATTCATTATGTGTGTGTGTGTGTGTATACAACAAAGCATAGTAAGTTATGGCATAATAAAACTGCTGCATGGTATACTTATTTGTGAAGTATCTCATGTTGAATTTTATAAAATTACTTGACAAATAAGGGTGAAAGTGATGGGTGTAGTGTAATGAGGATCATTAGAGGTAGTGTCTCAGCTAAGTCATAATAGAGAAGAAGCATAGCATTGGTTTGCAGTTAAGTGAGAATTCAAATCATTTATTAATTTATGGATTATATAAGTATTATATAAAATATCTGTATACGTGTTATACAAATATTACATACATTATATGTATTTATATAATTCATTCAAATATATTATTATATTATTCCAGGCATTGTTACATATGTATGCATTATATATGTATTATGCATATATAATGTATTATATATTATATGTATGTATATATTAGTAAGTCATTTTTTCACAATACTAGATATTAATAGCTATAATATATAATTACATGTATATTAATCTTATGTTTTATAAACCAGAAAGGGAATTCATGAGTTTATTTATATAGATATATATCTTTATAAGAAAGAAGTTCTATAGGAAGGTGCTTAGTGGCCTTGTATTAGTCCATTTTGCGTTGCTATAAGGGAAAACCTGAGACTGGGTAATTTATAAAGAAAAGAAAAGAGGTTTAATTGGCTCATGGTTCTGCAAGGCTGTGCAAGCAGGCACCGGCATCTGCTTGGCTTCTGGTGAGAGACTTCAGGGAGCTTTTACTCATGACAGAAGCCTGAGGGGGAGTAGGCAGACTGGTGATAGAGGGAGCAAGAGAGGGAAGGGGGAGATCCCAGGCTCTTTAAAAAAAACCAGATCTCCTGTGACCTGATTACCACAGAGAGGGTATCAAGCCATTCATGAGAAATCCACCCCATGACCAAACACCTCCAACTAGGCTCCACCTCCAACACTGGGGTCACATTTCAACATATGTTAGGAAAGGACAAATATCCAAATTATATCAGGCCTTATGATAAATACTTTTCTTCTTATTCATTGTAAGTTTTAAAATAATTGTTGTAAGGTTTTTTTTTAAATTTACTTTTTAAAAATTTCTGCTATATTCACATTCAAAAATTATATAAAAACATTAACTCTTCTGCATAGAATATAATGAGGTATCCAGATTAGTGTCAGCCTTGTATCCAAGAACCAGGTTCTTGACTTACTCTTGTGGAAAATGACTTCTCATTGAATCATAGAATGATTTCAAGCAGGCATTCATTATGATTTGATCTAATTTTTGAAAAGAAAGCTTTACAGGCCGGCGCAGTGGCTCACACCTGTAATCCCAGCACTTTGGGAGGCCAAGGTGGGTGGGTCACCTGAGGTCAGAAGTTCAAGACCAGCCTGGCCAACATGGTGAAACCCCATCTCTACTGAAAATACAAAAAAAAAAAAAAAAAAAAAAAAAAGCCGGGCTCAGTGGCTCACGCTTGTAATCCTAGCACTTTGGGAGGCTGAGACGGGCGGTTCATCTGAGGTCGGGAGTTCAAGACCAGCCTGACCATCATGGTGAAACCCGTCTCTACTAAAAATACAAAATTACCCGGGCATAGTGGCATATGCCTCTAATCCCAGCTACTCGGGAGGCTGAGGCAGGAGAATTGCTTGAACCCAGGAGGCGGAGGTTGCAGTGAGCCAAGATCACACCATTGCACTTCAGCCTGGGCAACAAGAGTGAAACTCCATCTCAAAAAAAAAAAAAAAAAAAAAAAAAATTAGCGGAGCGTGGTGGTGCCTGCCTGTAGTCCCAGCTATTTGGGAGGCTGAGGCATGAGAATCGCTTGAACCCAGGAGGCAGAGGTTGCAGTGAGCCAAGATCACATGACTGCACTCCAGCCTGGGCAACAGAGTTAGACTCTGTCCCAAAAAAAGAAAAAAAAAAAAAAAAGCTTTACATTCAAAAAGCATGTCTGACTCCAATGATGATTGTTCTCTTCATGCCCCACTGCATTTGCCTCAAAGCTTAGATTTAGCTCTAGCCTATCTATCTATCTATCTATCTATCTATCTATCTATCTATCTATCTATGTCATCTTTCATCTATCTATATCTATCTATATCTTTCATCTGTCATCCATCTATCTATCTATCATCTCTGTCTCTCTTTCTCTCTCCATATGTATATATCCATAATCAAATGAGGTCAGACATTTCAGAAGTGTCTTCTCAAATACATGTATCCTTAACAGAGCCCTAGAGTCACTTTTTCACAGTCCATCACGTCTCTTTCAGCACTTCCCATCTTTAAACACTGCGAGCACTTCAGGCAAGGCCAGTGTAGCAAAAGTAAAATAAAATACCCTAAAGGATAATGCCAGGTTTGATTTGTTTTTGTGTTTTCCTTCTTCGAGTTGACATGTCCTGTCCCAATATTTGCTTTTGTTCTCACTTCCGATTTTGACGATGGCCATATACTGGACTCATAGCTTTAAGGATTTTTCTACAGCCCCCTTAAATCTCATTTTTGGTCGTTATCTTATATGACTCAATATACTACGTGTTCTCATTTCTGTTCCCTGCTTCTAGACTTATTGCTTTCCCAACGTGTATGTTCTGCTTGAGCATATTTTCTCATCTGGGGATATATAGCTTGAGTTTCTGGGATTGCTGATTTTTGATATTTTATATTTCCTGTTCTTTTAAAGTTATTTACCTTTACAATGAGCAAAAGATGTTTTAAAAATGACTCTTGAAACATAATCATTCCACTAGTCAAGACTTTCCATCATAAACCCTCTCTATCTCCTAATATTAAGCTACTCTTCTCTCTTGTGCGTTGCTCCTTTGCACATCTCAGTGTTGTGATCCTTTACAGCACTTACCTGATCACTGCTCTAATGTGACAGCACCTTCTACAGAGCCTTTGGCTTTAGAGTGAAATTTTACTGGAACTGTGTATATTTACATTTAATATGCTAGGAGAGAAGGAAGAAGACATCTAAACTTTACTTCTCCCTAGAGAATCTTCACATCGTTGCTCATTGTTTAATCTTTACTCTCTGAATTAAGTATGTTGTTAAAGCTATGTTATGTAAAGCAAGGAAAGGGAAAATTAGTTGTTTTTCTAAGAGAGAAGACAAAGATACAGAAAAGAAAAATAATGGGAAGAAAAAAGAGAAACATTTGTTAAATATAATGTATCTTCATTTTTTTGCTTCACTGTCACAAATAATTGATCAGCTTACTTTTATTTTTTAACTCTCTAGGTGTAATATAGACCACTCTCAGATTTTAAAAGTAAGCAGGACTGTGTACAGGAAAGGTTCTAATCATGGTTCAGGAGACAATCAGCTGTGAACTTGAAAAAGTGACTTTGACTTCTTGAGCCTTAGTTTTCTCAACTCTAAAATTATTTCCAAATTATATTACTGGGAATCTTGGATGTTTCATGGAAGGAGGTGTTTGGGGACCCATCCGCAATGATACTCACCAGAGTCACTATATGTTTAACTATTTAGATCTATTGTACATCTGCTTAAGAATTATTCTGGAGGAAAAACTCTACCACTAAAAATGTTGAAGCTATGCCTCTAGACAATCTAAATTTTCTTTCTCCAACATCTTTTGAGTCTATGAAAGCTACCACCTCAAGCGTTATTATAAAACAAGCTGTTGGTACCAAGTCACTGATTTTCAAGTCTGTCTACATATCAAAATCACTTTGGAGGTTGTTTGTTTGTTTTTAATAACAATTCCTACCTTTCCTTTCAAATTATCAAATCAGAGTCCTTATGGTGAGGGCTGGGCAACTGCAGTTTTTTTTGTTTTGTTTTAAACCTATCCTCAGGTCTTTCCCATTGCAAGCAATAGTAAAACCATTGCCTAAGGACCAAAATGTGGACCTAAACTCAAGAAGTCAAATGAGCCCTACCTGTACTTAATATAACTGATAAATTTTTATTGATGTAACAATTTATATAACAAATAAATTATTTTCGTATAACAAGAAGAATCTTCATATAACAAGAAGAATCATGATATATATGATAACAAGAAGAATCTTTATATATCTGCTATATAAATTTTTATATCAAAAACAATTTATCTGTTATAGCAAGTATAGGTACAAATTATATAACAATGTATATAACAGACAAATTCTTTTTGATGTAACAGATAACAATTTATATGCTTTACATATGTTACCTATTCATCCTGAAGACTCTGATTCAGTAGGTCTGGCATAGGCCCTAGGAAAGTTTCGGAAATAAAGCATTAGAATACATTTTTTTTCAACTCTTTTCTTTGTAATGAGCTGTACTTGTAAATCACGTTTTCGTTTATTTGCTTGTTTTTGCCTTTCACACATATTGAGGGTTGTTGGGTGATCCAAAATTTAGCTAAAATTCAAAATAGCTTTACTTAGTATTTAATTACAGATGCATAATAGATAACACCTGTTGAATAATTGCTAGGTACTAGTGTCATAATTGTTTCTTAATGTATTATTTTACCATCATAACAATTCTGTGAGTTAGCTCATTATCATGTCTATTTTACAGATGAGAAAATAAAAGCACAGTGTATACAATGCATAAACAGAAGCTTGCAAAACTAGCAAGTGTCAGACCCGAAATTCAAACCCAAACTCTTCCTTATAATACACAGATTCTAATTTATTTTGTCTCACTTCAAAACGATTTGGAAAGTACTCCTCTGTGACAGTGCTGCCATCATCTGGCAAAGTACCCCCTTCACATGGGAAGAGAGGAGGTGAAGATAGATTAGCAGCAATTGATTCATAAGGCTAAGTGTTACATAAGACGTTTACTCAGACCCCTGGACAGGTAGTATCTTGGGGATGGGAGAGGTAAGGGACAAAAGTAAATTTGTTATTTACTCACTATTTATTTCCACAGGAGCATGGAAACATGCTATGGTTAAAGAACATTTAATAAGCAGCAAGAATGAAGTTTTTGGTTCAGACTTTACTTAGGGACCGAATTCAGAGAAGCTTCTTGTATTTCATATTATTATAAAGGGAAATTTTAAAACTTTATCCAATTTTATAATTTGCTGGAAACATCGAAACTTGGAATTAGACAACAGTCTGTAAATTTGCAAAACCACATTATACAAATCTTTCCTCTACAATGTCTAAGCAGAAAATATTCTTTTATAATATGGAAAGAAAATTTTGTGTACATGAGGACTGATTATTTAGGCTTCTTTTGCTAATCTTACTTTGGCTTGTTAGTCGAAAATTGCACAATTAAATATTCTTTGAAAGCAGTTCCATAGCTTGAAAATATGCTTGTCTTGGACTCCCTGTAACTTCTTGCCTCTATATTACATTAAATGTTGTTAAAACATTTTAAGAAAAAAATGAATCGAGGGTGTGTCTAGTCTTTGGTGCGAATTGGTATTATTTGGTCTATGAAACAGTGAGATCAAGGAAGAAGTTGAGCTTCCATCTGATGCCTAGGAAAGCCTACCCTTCCAATTTGAGTGACTTTATTGATTTCTAGCCCTGGATTTGAGAAGAATGTTTGTAACGTGTATATTATTTTCCTTTGGATGGAGTCATTTTAAGAACATTCTTGCTTCAATAGATTTGATCAGATAGATGTCCATACCCTCAGTTCTCTGAAAGCTGTCGTGACTGGCTTTTTCTATAAATTAATTGTGGAGAATGTCTTGACAGTGTATATGTCATGCTTTTTATACTCCACTTTGCCCCACCCCTTCAATAATGTTTTTTTTCCTTGGCTTATCTCTTGCAATGGTCTCCAAGTTGGTGAGAATGTACAATTTTTGTCAAATAAATGCTAAATGGCCACCAATCCCTCTAATGCTTGAGCTCAGAATACAAATGACCCTGCAGTCCCTCTCTTTTCAAGTCAACTCTTGGGCTCTTTTCAGATTCTATCTGGGCAGGTTTTATGATTCACCTATTTTCTCTCATATCAGCCTGAAAATTCCTGGCATTCACACAATTTTAACTTGATTAAAATTTGGCCTAAATATGTCGGCTGTTCTTTTGGCACAATATATTACCAAGGTGGTAAGGGAAATAAAAGTACTACCTGCAATTTCTCTTAAGTTTGTTGAATGGTGGACTGTGTGGTATATATCTGTGTGAGTATGTTTTTTCCCAATTAGCATATACAAATCTGATTTATTTGCTCTTAAAGTGCCATAGAACTGTTCTGTATGACAACTGTTTATTTGGAATTATTTAATTCAATGAATGTAAACTGATGCATAAAATGATTTACTTGGATGAAAGATAATTATGTGACTAAAGATCCTGATTAATTGTATTATTCAATTCACATCAAATCTGAATCTAAAATGTGAAACCATTTTATTCCATTTAAATGGGGGGGAACTAGGATCATTTTTTTAAGAAATGAGAGTTGAAGACAGGGCCTTTGTTGCTATGATTATGCTTGTGATTTTAATTGCCAAGATATTCATGTTTGAAAAGGATCTGCTGTCAAAGCAAAGAAGCAGTAAATGTTCATAACACTTTTCTACAATGGCAATTACATTGACAATCCATTTTGAGAATAACCATAATGGTTCCATTTAGCGTGTGTTCTGTGAAAGAGCATCAGGGTCAATATCATGCCTATGAAAACTTCTGATATAACAGATACTTCTATTATGTCATTTCCATTGATGTTATGGAAGGAAAAATGGAGACCTGAACCCTGAAATAATGGAACAGGAAAAGAGCCTTTTATTATGCTACTATTATCACATCTGAGAGGCACTCTGGTGGGAAGCCATGCAGCAGAAACTTCTATTTGAACTTTTTAATGCTGTTTTTTAGAAAATTGAAAAGGGGTGGGGAAAACATTGATTTGAAAAAAATACACGAAGACACTCTGGGAAAATGTTGAGTTGTAAAGTCAAATTAGTGACCTAACTCTCTATTATTTCTTTAATGAAGTATTGCTTGGAGACTAGAGGAAGGATAAAATGAACTTTCTGACCCATTTTGATTCTCAAATGATCTGATACAGACAAGCTTTTTAAAAACCGAGAGCAATTAACATCAGCCTTGAAATAAAAACTAAACCAAAATGCAAACACACACACACACACACACACACACACACACACACACACACACCCTAAATAATCCCAATTAGTTTACTGAACTCCAAAATATTTTAAATAGTTTTGTCTTGCTACTTTCAAGAACACTGAAAGTGAAAGCTTTTAGAAGCGAGGTCAAGAGAGGCAAGAAACATTCCTAGACTTCTGCTCTTCCCTTTCAAGGTGGAGGGAGTAAGCCCTAAGGACAGTCTGGCATGTACGTACCTATGTTGGTGTGCTTTCGCGAGCCTCCCTGGCTCAGGAGGGTCAATTTTTAATTTTCAGAAAATTTGCAATTCAGTTGTTCAACAAAACCATAATTTGAAAATAAACTATGTAAATATGAAATTAAATGATATTGAAAACAAAAGTAATAAATATTCAAACTCATCTTTTTCCAATTAGTTTATTATATTTTATGACTATCTATGCCCTTGAGGTCATTTATATTTATTGTATCTGTATGTAGAAGATACCATAGAATGGTATGCTACTGCACATTTCTTCCCAGCACTGTATTATGATGTCTTGGTAGCTTGAAACTAAAAATGGTGAGAGTATTTGAAAATGGTCAAGGTAGTAGTATTTACACCACAGATATCAGATATCGGCAAATGCTACAAAGTCTTGATTTACTGTTTTGTTGATGGTCTAGACTTAAGAAAGTGCTATATGATGTTAATAATTCAGATTAAATTTAAAAGTGTGTGGTGTGTATAGCTATTACATTGCTTATAAGTCTGTAGGTTGCCTGAGAGTTAACTGCTGTAGGCTGAGCTCAGCTGATCTTGGCTGGGCTCTCATGTGTCCACAGGCTGGTTGGAAGCTTTGTTTTAGTAAAGGCTGAGCAAAGCCAGCTTATATACAGCAGCTCTGCTTCTCACGTAAGGCTATTTGGGACACCTTTGGTTAAGGCCCTTTTTTTCATTCTGGTCATTGAAAGCAGCCTAGTAAGTACAGGCTTATATACGTATGCTGCATGGTATGCCTCCTTTCCCTGGGTGTGCAGACTTGCTGGGAGGGCTCTTAGGGAACGTAGATATGTATTTGTTTGGCATATAGGTGTTGTTCTGAAACCAGTAGGCAAACCCAGGCATGTCTTTTGATGGCCATGGCTTTTTTAAGCATCTACTTAACAAAACGTTTGCTAATGTTTCACTAGGCAAAGCCAGCAATACCATTTAACCCAGACTCATAAAATAGGGAAATATGCTATACCCATAGGGAGAGGGCATTGTAAAGGCTTTTTGGTAAAGAAGTGTACGTGAGGGAAGTGAGTATGTGAGGCTAATGCCACCTACCTCAGACACTGAGGCTGAATGACCAATAGCATTGGAAGAAAACAGAGAACGTGCTGTCCTGGAGGCAAATGAAGAACATATATGAAGGAAAACATGATCTTCTATGTGAAATGTTGCTAATAGGTCAAGTAAGATGAGCACTGAGCATTGAATGTTAGAAGCCATTAGTGACCTTTACAACAGTTTCGGTACAGTGATGGGGATGAAATTCTGATTGGTGTAGATTTAGGAGAGAATGGAAGGAAATTGGAAAGAATGATTATAAAATAATATTTTCATGGATTTTAGCTGCAAAGGAGCATAGGAAGGATAGACTAGTACCTGCCTGAGATTGGGGTCAGAAAAGATTTTGAAGTTATTTTATTTATTTTAATGTGAGATAAATAATAGCAAGTTTTATATGTGGTGAGAATCACTCAGAAGATTGCTGCTCTGCAGCAGGGGTCCCCAGACCCCTGGCTGTGGACCAATACTGATCTGTGGCCTGTTAGGAACCAGATTGCACAGCAGGAGGTGAGCAGCGGGCAAGTGAGCATTACCACCTGAGCTCCACGTCCTGTCAGGTCAATGGTGGCACTAGATTCTCATAGGAATGCAAACCCTCTGTGAACATTGCATGTGAGGGATCTATGTTGTGTGCTTCTTACGAGAATGTAACTAATGCCTGATGATCTGAGGTGAAAGAGTTCCACCTGAAACCATCCCCCTCCACCTGCTGGTCTGTGGAAAAATTTTTTCTTCCATGAAACTGGTCCCTGGTGTCACAAAGTTGAGGACCACTGCTCTACATAGAGCAGAGTATTGTTGGCATGAAGTTTTTGCATAAGCAGAAGAGAGAGAATCTGGTACACAGTTGGAGATTTGTCTTTAGGTGGATCCTGGGGAGTTTATAGTAGCAGAAGAGAGGGTAGAATATGCTGGTATTGAAGAAACGTGGTTATGTGAGTCTAAAGAAGCTCCACAGACTTCTAAATTCTGGAATTGTGTGATGTAAAACAGAAAGGACTATTAGCATAATTATCTACAGCTGATAACATTACTGTATTATTACTACTGAATCGTATCCTCCCAAAATTTTCACTTTCTTTGGCAACTCTCAGTTTTTCTTTTTGTGATTTTCAGCTAGCATATGTATACACTGGGTGTCAGCATAAAAATGTTCCTCCCTCTGCTCCAAGGACAAAAAATCATATTAAAGCACATTCATTTCTAAATGTTGCTTTATACCTGAGAGTTTAAAAGTATTTTTATACCAACTGAAACCAAATTCATGGTTGAAATTACTCTTGAAGTATCTCTTCAGGATTTAACATCTGAAACATTCATTGACATGAATCAACCACTGATAGCGATTGGCTATTAAGTTTTCTTTTTTGCAGTAACTAGGGCTTGACTGACTCAATGGATAAGAAGCCCCAAGTACTTGTAGCAGTCACACACACACACACACACACACACGCGCACACACACACACACACACACAAACACTAAATTAGGAGAAAAATAAAAGCTAAGGATGAACAAAACATCTCAATATCATAAGACCTAAGTGGAATTTGCTAAAGAATGCTATTTGTTCTCCTTATTATGAATTTTATTTTCAAAAAGCAACAAAAACTGTAACTGTTCTCAAGTATTGCAGTATTTAACTAGAGCCTTTTCATATTAAAGTTGCAGAATCTATACTTTATTATTTTTTTTATTCTGCCAGAAATGAAAGTGGCCTCTAGCAATAGTCAGGGGTGACCTTGTTTTCGGACCAGATTGCTTAGCCCAGTGTTTGAATGAAAACAGATAATGCTACGATGTAAATCTGTTCTAATAATAAAAAATTGGAGATAGTGAAAGGTGACAGATGGATTTCAAACTAAAGTTATAAAGAAATCCATCCTCCATGAGTTTTGGCATTTAAACAACAAATTCTATGCCAGGGATAAGAAGGGCATTTGGGACACCTTTGGCCAAGGCTCTTCTCTTCATTCCGGTCATTGAAACCATCCTAGTGACTACAGGATTACATACCTATGCTGCATGGTATGACCTCAGCCTGACTCCTTTGCCAAGCTGTGCAGACTTGCTGCGAGGGCTCTCAGGGCCCTTAGGTATTTGTTTGGGTAGAGATACCACAATGTTTTCTAGCTCTGTCTTGTAGCCTGCTATTAAGAAATCATTTGAATGACTGCTTTAAAGCTGAGCTGTCTTTGAAAAAATTTTGAAATTTATGTCTTTTACCAAAAAAAGGCATAACCTTTAAAATTAAAACCAGCCTTCCAAATGAGCTAAAACTATTTTCTCTTCATTTTGACTAATGAAGTCATGTACCATATACCTTTTGCCAAGTCATGTATAAGGAAAATAAAATAGAGTTTCCTTAGAAAGGAACTGGGCAGTTATATGCCAAGATTGTTCATGACAATGTCTGGAGACATTTTTTGTTTGTCAAAATGATGTAGAGAACTTGCTCCTGACCTCTGGTGGGTGGAGGCCAGAGATGCTTCTATACATTCTACAATATATAAGACCCCTCCACCATTCCCATACCATCACCAGGAGAAAAAATTATCTAGCCCAAAATATCAAAGGCTCTTGCTGAGCTTGAGGAACTCTCTGTAAGATGATAATCATGTCAGATCTTTATACCATCTCCTAGGGAAGCAACAAAGTTAACTTTTTCCCTACAGCATTAAACTAGATCCTCAAAGGATTTCTGCTTCCAATGTAGTATGTGAGAAGGTATAGAAAACCTTCAGTCATAACACCAAGTAAAATATGGGTGGTATAAACATCATACATATTTTTGTAACCTTTGAATAATTATGGATGCAAGAAAGTCTTGAGAAAATAATTTCCAGAGAATAGAGTCCTGCACAGCTGAGCAGTGAGCTGGAGTAGCTTCTGGAACAAAAATTGGACCTGGTTGCAGAGAGATGATGGAGAAGGCAGGCAGGAAACCTAAAACTTTGAGTTTGAGAAGGTAGCCAAGCCACTGGCAACAGTAGGAGCAGGTGGGAGATACTGGAATCTAGAAAATCTTCTAAACAAAGTAATAATTTGCCTGGCATAACAGAGCTACCTGCCTATCCATTTCTCCAATTTGTGTGAAAAAAATAAAGCTAAAATAGGATTAAAAAGAAGAAATAATGCAGAGCAGGTGAGACCCCCAAACTGGGGCTTAGCCCATCATTTCTTTCTCACTTATAAGTGAGAATATGTGGTATTTGGTTTTCTGTTCCTGTATTAATTTGCTTAGGTATATGCAGTTGTAAAAATTCACTGTATATACTTAATATCTGTATATGTTATCTCATACAAATATACCTATATTTTGAAATGTTAATTATTATAACATGAAAAGCAAAAATGTTTATTTTTTAGAGATATACAGTGGGATATTTGTAGATCAGTGATGCACACTTTGAAATTTGCTTCAATGTAACAGAGTATTTGGGAAGTGGGTGGAATCATAGATGAACCAAAAGTGGCCATGAGGTAATAATTGTTGAAACTGAGGAACTGGTACGTAGAGATTCATCCCATAATTCTTTATTCTTTTATACATTTTAAATATTTCAGTAAACGACTTTTTAAAGTTTTTTTTTTTTTGCTTGAATACTAGCTGGTGTAGAAGACTTGCTATTAAGGATATATATTTAATACACAACAAAATAAAATGATGATACCATCAGAGGCATTGTGGGAACCTAATAAGATGTAGAAGTGGCATCAGAATTTTGGAAATCCATCTCGTGTTCACTTCAGGGTGTAGAATAATAAATGACTCTATTTATTAACAATCCTTCTCTTATGTATGATCTTAAAATAAAATAGTAGTGTCAGAAGTCAATTCAATATAGAATTTTCAATGGCAAATTGCTACTTGACCTAACATGTCAGGTACATGTTAGGTAAAAATACTCTGATATCCATTGGTTCTTAAACTTTTTCTCTTTTATTACCAAAACAGCTATAAACATGGGGCTTCCCCATTACAAATTAACATCTGAAAATACTGTACACCCGCTCCTTTCCACGACTAATCTGTGCATATGGGTTGAATAAAGTCTCTTTCAGAGTGTAGTCACATATATTCACTCCCATTCTTACCCTGATAACAAAATAACAGATTTGAAACTTAACAGGCCATTTCAAACATTTGCTATTCTTTGATGAAATTATAAATTAGAAACTTTTGCAACTTCTGGTTTGGGTAGTTTTATTTTTCTTACTTAAAAGTTTTCTCTTTATTTTTAACATTTTGAAGTATAATATACACATAGAAAAGTGCACAAATAAAAAAACTTCATGAATTTTCACAAAGTGAACAACACGTCCATGTAACCATCATCCAGACTGATAAATAGATCAACTTAGAAGCTTTCAATGTGGTCAGATCTAGTCACCATACTACCTACAAGGGTAATTATTATCCTGACTTGCAAAAGTGTAGTTTATTTTTACTCTGTTTAATACTTTTATATTTATGGATCTGTACACAGTGTGACATTTTGAGTCTGTCTTCTTTTGCTTAACAATATGTGCATTAGGGACTTGTGTATTTAGTGCATAATAATATATTACTCAATCCCATGGTTGTATAGTATTCCATCATGGAAATATGTGACTTTATTTATTTCCAGTCAGGGGCTATTATAACTAGTGTTGCTATAAACACCATTGAACATGTATTTGGATAAACATTTATCTGAATTTCTATTACATATATACCTGAGTGGAATTACTGGGTCATAAACTATATATATATGTTTAGCCGATCAGTTATCTAATGTAATTATATCAAATTACACTGCTACTGGTGGTATATGGGAGTTTCGTTTCTTTCACATTTGAAGCAACATTGTATATCACTGCCTTTTTCATTGAACTGTTCTGTGTGTGTAGTGGTATTACATTGTGTGTGTGTGTGTAACACTTTTATTAAGATACAATTGACTTAAAATAATCTGCACATAAAACACACCATTTGTTAAATTTTGGCGTGGGTACTGTATGCATCCTTGAAACCATTACCACAATCAAGGTAAAATAATAAATATACTCATTATCCCACAAATGTTTTCTCATGCCCTTTGTAGTTTCTCCCTTCCGCCACACCCCCACTCCCACGTCCAGTTTTTTGATTGTTTCAGGCAGAAGGGTAGATCTGATTCCTGTTACTTTTACCTTAGCAAAAGTGAAATTTGCACTGTGATTGTAACTTGCACTTCTCTGATGATTAATAAAATTGCATAGTGTTTGATGGACTTATTTTTGATAGCATTATCTTTTAGCTTTATTTTGACCATAAAGAAAAGCATAAATGGAAGAAAACTTGCTATAATCTCTAAGATAGCCACACAGATGGAAAGTTTATCATTTTATTGAATGAGATCATAGCTCAGCTGTCATCTTCACCTTGTATCAACGTATTTATATTTTATATACATTTATATACTTATCATATTGGGTATCCAAATGTCCCAATGATCTTATAAACAATGCTCTATAGATCTCAATTAAAAAATGTGATTAAATGATAAGGCAATGAGTTTCATAGGTCATAACATTTGGGGGTATTTGATTTGGCTACTTACTAACTAGAACTCTTATATTCTACTCTTGTTATGAAACAATTGACAAATAAGACCAAAAAAAAAGGAATGAGATAAACAAAAGTCAAAATGTCACCCTTATTAAGCAGATAATGGAGAAGATGATTTAGATAATTTTGCAATTCTAAACCAAGACTTAGACAGATTGCTGCACTGCATCCAGGCATAACTGGACTAAAGGCCTTTATTCACATGCAGGTAGGAAAGAGAGTGCGGGTCACACACATCAGACTTTCCCCCTAAAGACAAGAGTTTTATGAAATTCTTTCCTGTCCCCAGGGTAGCTGTGAGTGATAGGGTGAGAGAGCATTGTTATTGCCAGTGGAACTCAATGAATGGATGAAAACGTTGGAGGTTCCCAAGAGTGAGAAGCAGCTTTTTATTCTTTTAATCCACTGATTTAATCACTAAATCTTTGCTTAACTAAGAATGAGACTATCTGGAGATTTCTTTGAAAAGAAGAAAACAGTTCCAAAAAACATAAAATAAGGAGCCAATGTGGTGTAGTCTATGTGTCTATGTGCACTGCATATTGGAGCTACACTAGGAATATTGATAATATATAAACCATTAATACTTTTCTCCAAGCCTGGAACTCTTCCCTTGCCATAGACGTGCCTGCTTAGGAAAAGATGTGCTTATTATAATTCAAACTGTAGCAACTGCATCATGATATAATAAAATAGCTTCCATTTAGTGAGTATTTCCTATGTTCCAGGTATTGGTATCACTTACGTAAAGTACTTTTCGTTAACATTTTATATAGTAGGTATAATTATCCCTATTCGGTAGACATTGAAATAGACTCATAAATGTTAAGAAAATTGTGCAAGCACATACAGCCAGCAATGGATGAAGCTAAGATTCAAATTCAAGAATGTAAATATGATACTAATCAGCACATATAAGAAGATGTACAGAATAAGGTGCACAGAGACTCTGGAGTATCACATTGTCCATGAGAAAGGGCAATAAAAAAACATTCTCAGGTCTAATGGGACTTGATACCTGAGTGGAGCGATTTTAACTTGACCTTGGAGAGTGACAGCAACAAAGGCATTTAGAAATTTAAAAAAAAATAGCAGTCTTGTTAAAAAGTAAAAAATAAAACCAAAAAGTCAGCTGGGAATGGCTCCAAAACTTTTAAGAAAATTCCTGCAGCTCTCAGCTTCCAATAGCAATTTGAGGTCCCATTGCAAATGACATGTCTCAACATTAATGGCCTTTCTTAGCTTCTTTTCCTCCTTTGGCTTGTTAAGTCCTGGAAGAAACTTGGGTTTTGGAGGGGTATTTGGGTTATACTATTAAGGAAAACTAAGTGAATCATAATGGGAAATTCTTGACCTCTTTTACTAGAGGTTTGTTGGAGTATGATTCTTATTCTAGAAAGAAGATTAATAGGGGGATTTCTCCTATTACTCCTATGCTCTCAGAGACTTGGGAATTCTAAGGGTCACTTGATTCCTCTTCAGGGACCTACGAAGAGAAGATGTGTAGTGAAGTGCGTTGAAGACATTATTGCACAGTCTTTTATAGTTATCCTGCTACAAGCAAAGAGATAAAATGGAAATTGTCCCAAGCCTTGTCTCATATAATTTTATTTAATCTTTTCTTCTTAAAGAAAGCATAACCAAACACAGTGAAGAGACCTTTAGAAACTTCTATATCTAGTAAGCTGAATTAAGAAATGGTGATTAAATAAGTAATATTTATATTATTAGTACTGATCATTAATACTATTATTAATACTGCCCATTTTCTACATCTGCTTACTGGTTATTTTAATCATTTTAGAGTAGAAATAATAGTTATTGAGCTTAGAAATAGAAGTCAATGGAAATAAAGATCAATTATGGCTTGTCCAAGATTACAAAAATGTAACAGTTGTGAAAGGGTTAGTTTGGTTTCAGGTAATCTAAGTTGACTATCTTACAAAGTCCTTCATTGGTTATTTACAGGTAGTGATACTCTTTCTATGTGTCCAGAAGCATATGGGACACAGTTGCATTTTTAATACATCACATAAATAAATAGTGTAACAGCCACTTTGAAGGTGGTTGAAGGAGAATTAAGGTAAAGAAATTCAGATATAAAGATGGTTGTAGTGCTCTTTGTTTTAAATTTGAGTATGGTTTCATTCTTACCAATAAGAAAAAAATGTCATTTCATAAAAACTAGTAGAATTTTTTTAAATTAAAAAAGTGTATCTTACAATAATTTAAAAATTTATAGAAAAGTTGCAAAAAATTGGAGTCATATTATACTCTTCATCCTGTGTTATGGGCTTATTTATGTCTCCTCAAATTTATATGTTGAAATCTTAACTGTTAGTACCTCAGAATGTGACTGTATTTGGAGATAAGGCCTTTAAAGAGGTAGTTAAGGAATAATGAAGTTATAAAGGTGGGCCTTAATCCAATATGACTGGTGTCCTTATAAAAAGAAAACTAGGTCACAGTTACACAGACACAGAGACAACCCTGTGAGGACACAGTAAGAAGTCAGCCATGTGCAAGCCAAGGAATGAGGCCTCAGAAGAAACCAAATGTGCAAACACCTTTTTCTTGGATTTAAAGCCTCCAGAATTGTAAGAAAGTAAATTTCTGTTGTTTAAACCATCCAGTGCATGGTAGTTTTTCACGGCAACCCTTGTAAACTAATGTTTCTAGTTTTCTCCAGTGTTAATGCCTTGTATTATCATGGTACATTTTAAAAACTGACATGGATACATTACAATTAACTAAATTCCAGACTTCAACTTTCAACAGTTTTTCATTAATGTCCTTGTCCCGTTCCAGAATTCAATTCAAGTACCACATTGCATTTAGCTGTCTGATCTCCTCAGTCTTTTCTGGTCTATGGTGGTTTCTCAGTCTTTCTCCGAAAATTCAGTAGGATTTTGCCAGTGCAGAAAAACTATATGGAATATAGAAAAGGGGGAGGGTTAGATACGTTGCTTTCAAAAGTAAAGAGAGAAGAAAATGAAGAGGGGAAAGAGCCCAACTATTATTGTTGGGGAAAAGGGGATGTTTACAAAATTAGAATCTTATCTATCAAAATATATTGTAGGAGAAAGGAACAAATTCTTACAAATTACTTTGAAAGTTTCATACCTCTAGAAAAAGAGGAGAGTTTGGATTTGTGAAAGCATTTGGATTGTGAAAGATTTGTCCTGGAATTTAAGACATAGCTCTTCTTATGTCCTATTTAGACAAAAAAATTATGCAGTTACCCTAATGGCAATTCAATAGGGTGTGAAATCCTGTAACTCTCAGGAATTTCCAGATCATGTCTCTTTTCCCAGAGGCATGAAAAGACCATTTGATCCTTTACATGTTATTAAGTTGAAGGAAATAAAAGAAGCTAACACTGGAAATACGTCCTCTTTGATAGATTACTATTGGAGGAGTTCATTTAGCCACACGAGTCAGTCACTGAAAACAATGGGACTAAAAATTACTTTAATTTATGTCATCTTTAACATTGAAATATAACATCTTCACTGAACCTGATTGGAAAGCTAGTTCCTGTCTGAGTTTGGAAAGTCTTCACTGCCTTGACACAGTTTAAACTTTATTTGAACCTAAGTCTTGTAAAGTGTATTTAAAAACACAGAAATGGATATCTCTCACCTGGCTAATGTCTGACCCAATCAATGAGCTTGGAGCATTCTGAATCAATCAGAATTTTGGAAACAGAAGAAAACTAATTTTAGCTTGATTGACTATAATAGTATATCTTCAACTCTTTCTTTTTTCACATACTTTACATATTGCATCTGTTTAGGGATCTTTCTCAGTGGAGCAGTATATAAAACAGATGCAGACTGAAGGATGTTAGAAGCACAAAGAAGGTCATGTGCACGACATTCAGCTGAGTACAAAATTCAACATCTGGAAGAGGTGAGTTTTGATTCCAGTTCTGCCATTGCCTTGCAACATCACTTATGAAAAATCCATCCTTTCTTCTGGGCTCCAAAACCATTTCTTAAGAATGGGAAGCATCCTGACATAAATTTTATGAGTTGAACACTGAATGAAATAGCTCATCTCAAAAGGAGTGAAAATTCTTACAAAAACAATGTAAACTATTGTTAAATTTAGGCTAAGGTACACATAATCTATCTTTAGAAATTTTATTGATATTGGCCGGGCGCGGTGGCTCACGCCTGTAATCTCAGCACTGTGGGAGGCCGAGGTGGGCGGATCACGAGGTCAGGAGATCGAGACCATCCTGGCTAACATGGTGAAACCCCATCTCCACTGAAAATACAAAAAATTAGCCAGGCATGGTGGCGGGCACCTGTAGTTCCAGTTACTTGGGAGGCTGAGGTAGGAGAATGGCGTGAACCTGGGAAGCGGAGCTTGCAGTGAGCCAAGATCGCGCCACTGCACTCCAGCCTGGGTGACAGAGGGAGACTTGGTCTCAAAAAAAAAAAAAAAAAAAAAAGGAAAGAAATTTTATTGATATCATACTCTGCTTGGTAGTGTAATCTACATATTCTGCTCTAAGAATTTTTTCAAGATCTTTGGATAAGAAGTTGGGGAGACGCTCATTCCATGTAACTCCCTCAACAGATTATTCCTGTTCTGAGGCTTAGCCATATTGTTAATTCTAACCCTAAATTTGTGCTGTCCCATGTCATCACAAAACCTTTCCTTAATCTGATATTAAAAGTAATATATTTTATTTTAGAAAATACACAGTCTTAAAAATTAAATTACCTGTTATCTCCTTGCTCAGATTTAACCTCTTTTAACACTTTGTATTCTTTGTTTCCTTTTTTTGAGTAAATCTGTCTATATATAAATAATACATGAGGATATATGTGTAAATGTGACTGTATGTGTGTATCCTACACTTCTCTGGTTAATGCACGCTTTCACTTTTTAAGGCAGCTTGATTCCAATTTTTTCCAGGCTCTTTAAATTTTTAATGCTATGTCTGTCTCTTCCCTCTCAACACATTATCTCACTTTTAATATTGAGAAATAAGAAGCCATCAATTGGGAATTTTCTCAACTTCTTCCCACCAAACCTACAAATTTGGAACATCTTCAACTATCTTTCTATGCCATCCATTTACACTTGAGAACGTGTCTCTTCCCTTCCACGGACAATAGATTCAACTGTGCATATTCTGAAGAATCTTGTAATTGTTCTTTTAGAGTCTTCCTTTTTAATTAGTTCATTCACATTGGCATTTAACTTTTTTTCAGATGTAGAGTGTTATTTCTATGAGTTTCATGTGCATATTGGAGTTATTCATACTCCTCAGTTCATCACTGGCAATCAACAGTTTCACATTTTGTTCCTTCAAATCCTAATTCTGTTTTTTTTTTTTTTTTTTTTCAGCCAGGACTTGATCCAAACAGCTTATCGACACACACATTCTTATTCTTGTAAAATATATTAAGTATTTGTGGTGTTGAAAGTTTTTGCCTGAGATTAGAACAAAGGTATTATCAGAAGAATATGAAAATATTAGTTTTAGAACTAGTAGAGAAAAAACAAAGTGGAGTTTTTGTCTGTGTTACGTGGTCAAATGAACTTCCTTACAGTTTTGTCCACATATCATCTTGTATTTCTTGTTATTTCTTGCATTATCACACAGGGTGGAACCTCTAGTAAAATTCTGAATCACAGTTATTACATTAAACATTCTTACTCTATTCTCGGTCTTGGAGAAAGAACATTTAGTCTTTCACCGTCACTTATGATAATAGCCCCAGGTTTCTTTGTAGATCCCCCAACTTTTTCTTCAGGTGATCAATTTTCCCTTTTGTTCCTAGTTGAGTGATAATTTTCATCAAATTTTTTCAAATTTTGTCCATTGCATTTTCTGCATTTATTAAGAATATTATGTGTTTCTTTCTTCTTAAATCGGTTAATATGATGAAGTGTATTGACCAGTTTTCTATGTCAAATCTATCATGCATTTAGGGGATAAACCATATTTGGACATGATCTATTTATCATTTTCTGGATAATGGATTTAATATATATTCTGTCAAACAATTTCTTGTCTCCATTCCCAAAGAATATTGATCTGTAGTTTACTTGTGATGTCTTTGTCAAGTTTCATACAGAGTATGTCTGAGATCATAAAATATATTGAAATATGTTTTTGTATCTTTCGTTTTCTGCAAAAGTTCGTGTAGAATTGGTATTTCTTCTTTAAATGTTTGTTAGAAGTCACCACTTAAGACATCTGGGGCTAGAATTTTTCTTGTGCATTTTATAAACAATTTAATAGCTGTAGGATCTGAAATAATAGCCTCTCCTTTAATCTTTTCCCTCTTTCAATCTTTTTCTAGATTCTTAAGTTAGAAACTCAGATGATTGACTTGAGATATTTCTTTTTTTCTAATATAATTGTTTAGTAATATTATTTCCTTCCTAAAAAACTTAACTGCATCTTACACACCTTAATTTGCTATGCTTTGATTTTCATTTAGTTAATTTTTTTCTAATATTTTTCTAATTTTCTTTGTGATTTTCTTTCATCCATGAGTTATTTTGAAGTTTGTAGTTTAATTTCAAAATACTTGGCAATTTTCCAGATATCTTTTTTATATCAATTTCTAGTTTAAATCAGTTTTGGTCATAAAACACACTTTTCATTATTTCAGCCCTCTTAAACTGAACAAGATGTGTTTTATGGCCCAGACCTATATATGACCTATATATGTTCTATCTGGATGAATATCACATATTTATTTGAAAAGCATGTGTAGGCTATTGTTGTTGGGGGCATTGTTCTATACAGGTTAATTAGATAAACTTTTCTGATAGTGATGTTAAATTCTTCCATATCCTTACTAAATGCCTATCTACTTTTTGTATTAAGTAGTGAGAGAGGAGGATTAACATTCTCAACACTATTTATGAATTTCTATATTTCTTCTTTTAGTACTATCATTTTTTGCTTTCTTTATCTTTAAATGTTATTAGGTGCATGAACATTTAAGAATTTTTATATTCTCTTCATGAATAAACCCCTTTATTATTATAAAATTTTTCTCTTTAACTCTGGGATTGTGCCTTTCTCTGAAATCTTTTGGTTAATATTAATAGGATACTCTATATTTCTTTCAATTTGGGTTTTCACGGTCTAGATTTTTTACTATTTTTTATTTTTTTATTTTTAACTTTTAGGTTCACTGGTACATTTATAGCTTTGATAGATAGGTAAACTCATGTCATGGGGGTTTGTTGTACAGATTATTTCATCACCCAGGTCCTAGGCCTAGTACTCAATAGTTATTTTTTCTGATCTTCTCCCTCTTCCCCTGTTCCACCCTCAAGTAGGCCCCACTGCCTGTTGTTCCCCTCTTTCATCATTCAGCCCCCACTTACAAGTGAGAACATTTGGTTTTCTTTTCCTGCATTAGTTTGCTAAGAATAAAGGCCTCCAGCTCCATCCATGTTCCCACAAAAGATATGATATTTTTCTTTCTTATGGCTGCTTAGTATTCCATGGTGTATATGCACCACATTTTCTTTATCCAGTCTGTCATTGGTGGGCATATAGGTTGATTCCATGTCTTTGCTGTTGTGAATAGTGCTGTAATAAACATTTGTGTGCCTGTGTCTTTATGGAAGAATAATTTATATTCCTTTGGGTACATACTCAGTAATAGGATTGCAGGGTCAAAGGGTAATTCTGTTTTTAGCTCTCTGAGAAATTTCTACTCTGCTTTCCGCAATGGTTGAACTGATTTACACTCCCACCAATCTTACCAGCATCTGTTATTTTTTTGACTTCTTAATAAAAGACATTCTGACTGTTGTGAGATGGTATCTGATTGTGGTTTTGATTTGGATTTCTCTAATCAACAATATTGAGATTTTTTTTTCATATTATTGTTGGCTGAATGCATGTCTTCTTTTGAAAAATGTCCGTTCATGTCCTTTGCTCACTTTTGAATGGGGTTATTTGTTTTTTTCTAATAAATGTACTTAAGTTACTTATAGATACTGGATATTAGACCACTGTCAAATGCAAAGTTTGCAAATATTTTCTCCATTATGTAGGTTGTCCGTTTACTCTGTTGATAGTTTCTTTTGCTGTGCAGAAGCTCTTAAGTTGCATTAGATCCCATTTGTCAATTTTTGCTTTTGTTGTGATTGCTTTTGGTGTCACCATCTTGAAATATTTACCCATTTGTATGTTCAGAGTGGTATTGCCTAGGTTGTTTTCCAGGGTTTTTATAGTATTTTATAGTATTACATTTAAGTCTTTAATCTATTTTGAGTTGATTTTTGTACATGATATAAGGAAGGGATCCAGTTTTAATCTTCTGCATATGGCTAGCTCATTATCACAGCACCATTTATTCAATAGGAAGTCTTTTCCCCATTGCTTTTTTTTTTTGGCAGCTTTGTCAAAGATCACACAGTTGTAGGTGTGCAGCCTTATTCGTGGGCCCTCTATTCTGTTCCATTGGTCTATGTGTCTGTTTTTGTACCAGTACCATGCTGTTTTGGTTACTGTAGCTCAGTAGTATAGTTTGAAGTCAGAAAACGTGATGCCTCCAGCTTTGTTCTATTTGCTTAGGATTGTGTTGGCTATTCAAGTTCTTTTTTTATTCCACATGAATTTTAAAATAGTTCTTTTCTAGTTCTCTGAAGAATGTCATTGGTAGTTTGATAGGAATAGCATTGAATCTATAAATTGCTTTGGGCAGTATGGCCATTTTAATACTGATTCTTCCTATTCATGAACGTGGAATGTTTTTCCATTTGTTTGTGTCATCTCTGATTTCTTTGAGCAGTGTTTCATAATTTTCATTGTAGAGATTTTTCATCTCTCTGGTTAACTGTATTCCTAGGTATTTTATTCTTTTTGTGGCATTTGTGAATAAGATTGCATTTCACATTTGGCTCTCAGCTTGGCTGTTGCTGATGTATAGAAATGGTAGCAATTTTTCTACGTTCATTTTGTATACTGAAACCACTGAAGTTGTTTATCAGCTCTGGGAGCTTTGCGGCTGCAACTATGGGGTTTTCTAGACATAGAATCATGTCATCTGCAAACAGTGATAATTTGACTTCCTTTTTTCCTATTTGAATGGCTTTTATTTATTTCTCTTGCCAAATTGCTCTGGCCAAGACTTCCAATACTATATTGAATAGGAGGGGTGAGAGAGGGCATCCTAGTTTTGCTTGTTTTGCTTGTTTTGTGCTGGTTTTCAAGGGGAATGCTTCCAGCTTTTCCCCATTCAGTGTGATATTGGTTGTGAGTTTGTCATAGATAGCTCTTATTATTTTGAATTATATTCCTTCAAAACCTAGTTTACTGAAAGTTTTAAACAGGAAGGGATGTTAAATTTAATTGAATGCCTTTTCTGCATCTATGAGATAATCATGTGGTTTTTGTCTATAGTTCTGTTTATGTGATGAATCACAATTATTGATTTGTATGTGTTCAACCAACCTTGCATCACACGGATGAAGGCTACTTGATTGTGGTGGATTGGCTTTTTGATGTACTGCTAGATTCAGTTTGCAAGTATTTTGCTGAGGATTTTTGCAATGGTGTTCTTCAAGGATAGTGGCCTGAAGTTTTCTTTTTTTGTTGTGTCTCTGCCAGGTTTTTGTATCAGGATGATGCTGGCTTTATAAAATGAGTTGGGGAGAACTCCCTCCTCCTCAATTTTTTGGAATAGTTTCAATAGAAATGGTACTAGCTCTTCTTTAGTTCTGTATATTTTCCTCTTAAAACTGCCTTAGCTGTGTCCCAGAGATTCCAGCTTATTGTGTCTTTGTTCTCATTAGTTTCAAATAACTTCTTGATTTTTGCTTTATTCACTCAAAGGCCATTCAGAAACATGTTATTTAATTTTCATGTTATTACATGGTTTTGAGTGTTTGTTTGAGTCTTGGCTTCTATTTTTATTGCACTGTGGTTCGAGAGTATATCTGGTATGATTTCAATTATTTTGCATTAGCTGAGGATTGTTTTATGTCTGATTATGTGGCCTATTTTAGAGTATGTGTCATGTGACGATGAGATTGTGTGTTGCTTTTGGTTGGAAAGTTCTGTAACAGTCTTTCAGATCTGTTTGGTCCAACCTGGTCTTGGTTGAAGACCAGGTTCTGAATAGCTTTGTTAATTTTCTGCCTCAATGATCTGTCTAATATTGTCAGTGGTGTGGTGAAGTCTCCCACAATTATTGTGTGGGAGTCTACATTTTTTCATAGGTTTCTAAGAATTTGCTTTATGAATCTGGATGCTCATGTGTGTTGGGTGCATATATATTTAGTATAGTTAGGTGTTCTTCTGAATTGAACCATTTGCCATTATGTAATGTCCTTCCTTTGTCTTTTTGGATCTTTGTTGTTTTTAAGTCTGTTTTGTCTGAAATTAAGATTGCAACCCCTGCTTTTTTCTGTTTCCCATTTGCTTGGTGTATTTCCCTTCATCCCTTTATTTTGAGTCTATGGGTATTATCTGCATGTGAGATAGGTCTTTTGAAGAGAGCATACCATTTGGTCCTGTTTTTTTTTTTTTTTTTTTAATCCAGCAGTTCACTCTGTGTCTTTTAAATAGGGTATTTAGCTTTCTTATATTCTGGGACAGTATTGATATGTGAGAATTTGATACTGTCATTGTGTTGTTAGCTGGTAATTATGCCAGCTTGTTTGTGTGTTGCTTTATAGTCTCACTGGTTTGTGTACTGAAGTGTGTTTTTGTATTGGCTGGTAATAATCTTTCTTTTCCAAATTTAGTGCTCCTTTCAAGATTTCTTTTAAGGCAGGTCTGGTGGTAACAAACTCCCTCAGCATTTGCTTCTCTGAAAAGGATTTTATTTCTCCTTTGCTTAGGAAGCTTAGTTTGGCTGAATATGAAATTCTTGGTTGAAGATTTTTTTTAAAAGAATGTTGAATATAGGCTCCAGTCTCTTCTGGCTTGTAGGGTTTCAGCTGAGAGGTCCGCTGTTCGCCTGATGGGGTTCTCTTTGTAGATGACCTGCCCTTTCTCTCTAGCTGCATTTAACATTCTTTCTTTCATTTCTCCCTTAGAAAATCTGATAATTATGTGTTTTGAGGATGATCTTCTTAGACAGAATCTTGCAGGGGTTCTTTGTATTTCCTGAATTTGACTGTTGGCCTCTCTGGGAAGGTTGGGGAATCTTTATGGACAATATCCTGAAATATGTTTTCCAAGTTGTTTGCTTTCTCCCTGTCCCTTTCCAGGATATACTGATTAATAGATTTGGGCTCTTTATATAATCACATATTTTTTGGAGGTTTTGTTTATTTTTTCTTATTATTTTTTCTTTATTTTTGTCTGACTGTCTTATTTCAGAGATCAGTCTTCAAGTTTTGAAATTCTTTTCTCAGCTTGGTCTATTCTGCTATTAATGCTTGTGATTGCATTGTGGAATTCTTTAAGTGTGTTTTTCAGCTCTATCAGATTAGTTAGGTTCTTTTTTATACTGGCTATTTTGTCTATCAGTTCCTATATTGTTGGGGAGGTTCCCCTAGATCTGTGTCACTCCCAGGTCATTCTGCCTTGCTTTTCTCCATTCTCCATGGGTCAAGTTGTTTCCTCAATGAGTCTCAATGCAGGTACCTGGATGTTTCAGTTGAAGGTGCTATATTTACTTGCCCCTTTCATTTCTCTCCAAAACAGTGGTCTACACTAGCTACTTCTAGTCAGCCATCTTGGCCACCCTCATTATTTTACTTTCAATCTATATATGTCTTCGCATTTAAAGTGTGTTTCTGCCGGGCGCCGTGGCTCACGCCTGTAATCCCAATACTTTGGGAGGCCGAGGCAGGTGGATCATGAGGTCAAGAGATCAAGAGCATCCTGGCCAACATGGTGAAACCCTATCTCTACTAAAAATACAAAAAAAAAAAAGCTGGGCTTGGTGGCACACACGCCTGTAGTCCCAGCTGGGACTACTACTGGAAGGCTGAGGCAGGAGAATCGCTTGAACCTGGGAGGCGGAGGTTACAGTGAGCTGAGATTGCGCCACTGCACTCCAGCCTGGCAACAGAGCGAGACTTCGTCTCAAAAAAAAAAAAAAAAAAAGATACAGATTAAAGTGTGTTTCTTATAGACAACATTTGGTTAGATTTTTGTTTTTAATCCCATGTGACAGTTTCTCACTTTTAATTAAAATGTTTAGACTATTACAGTTAATATAACTGAATAAAATTATTGACATTTTTGGGTTCAAATCTTACATGCTGTTATTTTTCCTCTATCTATCTACTCCTCTTTTCTTTTTCATTTTTTTCTACATTCTTTTATTATTCTGCTTACCTACACTATTGGTTTAGTAAGTAAACACCATTGTTTAATTTTTAACAGTTTTTCTAAGGTTCACCTATAAATCTTTAAACTATAACAGTCTAAATTCATATAGTATAATTCCAGCATATGTATAGTATAAAATCTTATAAAAGTATACTTTTAATCTTCTATCTTTTTTGTGAACTTTAGTAAACATTTTACTTCTACAACATCTAAAAACCTAACAGTATTTTATGATATTTATAATTTTTGCTTTAAATAGTCAAATATATTTTTAAATGTTTTTCAAATATGAAGGTGTAATAAAGACTTCTTCAGGCAAACATGTTGAGAGATTTATCACCAGCAAACTATTATTATAAGAAATCTTAAATAAAGTTATTTAAGGAGAATACCAACAAAAATTTAGATCTACACAAAGAAATGAAGAGTATATATATGTCTTAAAATATATTTGACTGTTTAAAGAAAATGTGTTGTATATACATATTAGAACACTATTGAGCCATAAAAAGAAACAAAATTATATCATGTGCTGTAACATGGATGAGCTTGAAGGACTTTATGTTAAGTGAAACAGCCAGACATAGAAAGATAAATACTGCATGTTCTGACCCGTATATGAAAGATAAAAAAGTTGATTTCATAGAAGTAGAAAGTAGAATAGTGAATACTAGAGGTGGGGAAGGGTAGGGAGGAGGGGAGATAGCCATAGCATGGTTAACAGATACAAAAGTATAGCTAGATAGGAGAAATAAGTTGTAGCATTCTGTAGCACTATAGGATGACTATAATTGACAACAATTTATTGTATATTTTTAAATAGCTAGAAGTGCAAATTTTGAATGTTCCCAACACAAATTATTACACATTGTATACATGTATTATTGATTATTGATTATTACACATTGTATACATGTATCAAAATATCACACTGTATTCCATCAATATGTATAATTATTATGTATCAATCAATAATAATAAAAGCAAAAAGCTTAAATATATATATTTCCACATTTTAACTATTTGTTACACTGTTCATTTCCTTGTGTAGATCCAAATTTTTATCTGGTATTCTCCTTAAAAAACTTTAAGATTTCTTGTAACAACTGCTGCTGGTGATAAGTTCTTTCAACATATGTTTGCCTAAAAGAGTCTTCACGCTACCTTCAAAATTGAAAAAAAGTATTTTCACTTAATAAAGCATTTCTTGTTTTTTTTTAAATTTTTCCACTTATGCAGATGTTTTTGCATTGTATTTTGACTTACACAGCATTTGATGAGAAGTCTGTTTTCATTCTTGTTGTTTTTCTTCTATTTTTAATGTATCTTTTTCTATGTCTGCTTTTCAGAGTTTCTCTTTATTGCTAGATTTCAGCAGTTTGATTACAATTTACCTTGATTTGGTTTTCTTTAAGTTTCCTCTAAGTGAGAGGTTTATTGAGCTTTCTAACTCCATGGATATGCAGTTTTCATCCAATTTGAAAAAAAAAAATTGTGAATATTCCTTCAGGTGTTATTTCTGTTGTCTCATATTTCTCTTTTTTTTCTGAAATTCTAGTTACACACAAGTTATCTCATTTTATATTGTACCACTGATTACTGGTATTTTTTTTTGTATTTCAATCTTTTTCTTCCTTCTTCATTTTGGTTAATTTTTATTGCTATTTTTACAACGTCATTAATCACTGATCATTTGTTCTGTAATGTCTTTTCTCTTAACTTCATCCACCGTATTTTTCATTTCACAAATTACATTTTCTCACCTCTAAAATTTTTATTTGCACATTTTATACCTTAATTTTCTCTCTTTATTATAGTAATATTTTCTACTTTCTCAAATATATAGAATATCTTTATAATATCTGCTTTAACAGCTTTGTCTGCTATTCCCACTGTACCTCATTCTTAGTTCTATCATTGATTTTTATCCTAATTAATAGCTATCAATTCCTGTTTCTTTGTGCGCCTGATAATGTTTTATTAGATGCCAGATATTGTGAATTTTCTTATTCTTTCTGTTTTGTTGTATCCCTTTAAAGAGCATTGGTTTTTGTTCCAATAAATTTTTGGAAAATAGCTAGATCTTTTTGAATTTGTTGAATTATTTAAAGCTTTGCTCTTAAGCTTTGGTAGGACAGGTTCAGAGCAGCTTTAATCTAAGGTTAAAATAATCCCACTTACTAAGGCAATACTTTGTTTTTTAGACGGAGTCCGGGTCTGTCGCTAGGCTGGAGTGCAGTAGCGCGATCTCGGCTCACTGCAACCTCCTCCTCCCGGGTTCAAGCGATTCCCCTGCCTTAGCCTCCTGAGTAGCTGGGACTACAGGCGCAAGCTAACACGCCAGGCTAATTTTTTTTTTTTTTTTTTGGATTTTAGTAGAGACAGGGTTTCACCATGTCACCATGTTGGCCAGGATGGTCTCGATCTCCTGACCTCGTGATCCGCCTGCCTCGGCCTCCCAAAGTGCTGGGATTACAGACGTGAGCCACTGCGCCCAGCCAGGTAATACTCTTCTACATTTTCTATATGATGCCCTCATGAGTTACAATTATTCCTAGCCCTGTGTGAGCTAGTGGAATTGTTAGACCTACTCCTTTGTACTACTCCCCTCTGGGGGTTCTTTTTCGAGTCTTGGGTAATCTTTTCTCCCATTGCAGATATCCATATTTACCTAAATACCCCAGCGGTCCATCTTCAGATTTTCAGCTCTCTCTCTCTCTCTCTCTCTCTCCCCCCACTATTTTTCTTTCTCTCCAGCTCCCTAGTCTCCAGTACTTCACCCTACAAGTTCTGGCCAACTTGGCCTTGCCAAACTCCAAAATCTGTTTCCTCAATTGAGTGATATTTCCAGACTTTGTTTGGGTACATCTCACTCTGCTGTGCCTTAAAAATTGCCTTTCAGGTAGTAAGTTGGTACAACCATAGGCTCACATTGTTGCTTTGTCTTTTCTTAGGGATTATAGTCCTGCATTACATACGGTCTGATGCCTGAAATTATTATTTTCCATATATTGTCTAGTAAGGTAAATCTGAAGTCTTACTATACTCCTTTTGCATAACTCCGCTCTGCCATTATGCTGTGTAATTTTCATTAACATGCTTTCTTTTTCCTCCTTTTCTCTCTCTCATTAAATGGCTCAATATTTTTTTCAGCTCTTTTGAAAATTCAAAGTCCATTTTATTTAATCTACTTTATTTTCCTTTAGGTAGTTATCCTTAATTAATTATAATCAATATTTTGGGTTATTTTTACCCATCATTTTGTTAAATTTACCAATATCTATATTTTGCCTCAAACTAGATACTCTGGCAAGTTATCTTTTTCCTCTTGTTTTTCACCGACCTGCCCCTGTTGCCTAACATTATATTTTTATCTAAAACTTCATATCTGGATTGTTATCACTGTACAATTTGGATTTGTTTATTTAGATAATAGTTGACATAATTATGATATTTTATTACCCACTTTAGAGCATCCTCCTATTTTTATTTACATCTTTCTGGTATACCTCCTCCAACAACACTTTCAGAGAGGGTCATTGTGTGATAAAGTCGTTGAAGCCTTTTATGAGTGAAAACATTACTCTTCTTTTGCTTTTTTGGATCTAAAGTTATCTTTAAATTTGCCCTGAACATATGAGGGGGCTCAAAAAGTTCACAGAAAAATGTGTATTGTGAAAAAACTATGCATGGATTTCAAAATATTTCTGGCACCAAAATAAGCTTACACTAACTTGTTATAACATGTCTGAACAGGATCTAGTTTGAAGCATTAAGAAAGATAAGACATCAGTTTGAAAAGAGCCCCCATTGTAGCAACATGAATTCAGCTGAAATTGAAGCAGGAACTTCAATTGTGGTGAAGCTTGGGTGAAAGAATGGTAAAATAATTGATGCTTTACAAAAAGTTTATGGGGACAATGACCCAAATAAATCAACAATTTACAGATGAATAACTCATTTTAAGAAGAACAAGATGATGTTGAAATGAAGCCCACAATAGCAGACCATCCACATCAATTTGTGAGAAAAAAATTAATGTTGTTTGTACTCTTGCGCTGATTGAAGAGAACTGACAATTAACCGGAGAAAAATAGTCAACACCATAGATATCTCAATTAGTTCAACTTACACAATTCTGACTAAAAAATTAAAGTTGAACACATTTTCCCCTCAATGGGTGCTAAAACTGTTGTGCTCATATCAAGACAGAGAACAAGCTCTGTCTTGTGCAGACAAGAGCAGAGCTTTCAATGGAAATTTTTAAAAAGTGGGATCAAGATCCTGAAGCATGTCTCTGAAGAAGATCCTGAAGCATGTCTCTGAAGACCTATAATAGGAGATGAAACATGACTTTACCAGTACAACCTTGAAGACAAAGCACAATCAAAGCAATGGCTACCAAGATGTAAAAGTGGTCCAGTCAAAGCAGAAGCAGACAGGTCAAGAGCAGAAGTTATGGTAACAGCTGAAGTGCCAAAGAATAATAACATCTGCTTATTATGGGAGTGTTTTGAAAAAGTTAGCAAAAACTTTAGCAGAATTAGCAAAAGCTTTAGCAGAATTAGCAAAAGCTTTAGCAGAAAAATACCCATGAAAGCTCCAACAGAGTCTCTTGCCACCACAACAAAGCTCCTGCTCATTCCTCTCATCAAACAAGAGCAATTTTGCTAGAGTTTCAATGGGAAACATTAAGCGTTCACCTTACAGTTCTGATTTGACTCTTTCTGATTTCCTTTAGTTTCCTAATCTTAAAAAAAAAAAAAACAGTAAAGATCACTCATTTTTCTTTAGTTAGTAATGTAAAAAAAAAAAATGCATTATATGGTTGAATTCTGAGGACCCCTCAATTCTTTAGGCGTGGGCTAAATGGCTGGGATCATTACTTACAAAAGTTTCTTGATCTCAGTGGAGCTTATGTTGGGAAATCACGGTGATATTTTTAATTTTCAACTTTTAATTCCATTTTTCCATGAACTTTGTAAAGCCCTTCATATTATTCCATACTCTTATTTATCTAGCACAGTTGCCAGTTAGTTTCTTGTCCAGTGGTCAGTGTTGTACTGTTACTTTACTAAAATGTATCGAAGTTTCTCTTTGTGTTTGATACTCTTAATTTTTTACATTGTGGCTGGGCACAGTGGCTCATGCCTATAATCCCAACACTTTGGGAGGCCAAGGCAGGAGAATTATTTGAGCCCAGGAGTTTAAGGCCAGCCTGGACAGCATAGTGAGATTCCATCTCTACAACAAAGTTAAAAAACAAAAGTGCTGGGCATGATGGTACATGCCTGTAGCCCAGTTACTTGAGAAGCTGAGGTGGGAGAATCACTGGAGCCTGAGAAGTTGAGGCTGCAGTGAGCCGAGATCATGCCACTGCACTCCAGCTGAGTCAAAAATACGTGATGAGGTATTGAGCAGAAAATATATTCTAATGTAGTGGCTACGGGGAATTAGTGAGAATGACACAGCTTTGGTCTCATTAAATATTACAGACCATGCCTGTGTGGAAATTCTCCTATTATCCTCACGCTATTTGTGGAGATTGGTGGACATTTTATATAGTGTTTTTCTATATACAGTTCTGCTATTCTGCCTAAGGGCTTTATTATAACTTTTCTTAATGAAAATAAATTCCATCTGTAATATGAAAGTTCATTGACTAATGCTTGTTTCTGTTTTAATTTGGGAATTTTTTAATGTATAATTTGGTAGGAATGTAGGAAAGGCCAAATCAGGCACTGCTAGAATTTTACCATAAAAATCTGGAAACCTTAACATTTCTGTGCCTCATACATGTGATTCACTCCCTTCTATAGTTCCTTTTGAGTCCTGTACTGGACAACTGTTGTTTTGTTTTACTTTCCCATCTTTCTTCCATTCTTTTTCTTGGGAACTACTGCCTCTCCATTCCCTGTGTAGCGGTAGTCATCAATGTGCTTCCTTTTGCCAGTAGCTCATCCTACCTCAGGTAGGGGGTGAACACTATCTTTTGTAAAGTGTAGACAATGAGATTCTGTCCTGGGAATTTGCATCTTTAACAAACTGATAAAATAATGGAAAATGTTGAAGAATTTTAGAGGGTCCCTATTCCTGTCCTTTCCAAGGCATGTTTGTAAAATCTTTAATCTATGAGTGACTTGCCATCCTTCCAATAAATTTCTTTTTTTTTCTTATGTAAGCCAAAATGTATTATTTTCTTGGAAAGAAAGAATTTAACTGATAATGAGATTTGTGTCAAAGAGTTGGCTGCAGGAAACAGATCCTCTGAGACACTGCAATGTTTGGAATTAGTTTTTGAATAGAGATAAAATGAAAGACATTACGACTTTTCTCATTTTTATGGAAGTAAATTAGCATCCCATGGCACACAATTCAGAAACAGCTAATTATGGTCTGTCAACAACTGAAATCATGTAGGTAGCTCTAGGATACCAGGTAGATGTTGCCATAACAAAATTTAATGGGAGATAAATTGTAAGAAAAAAATCACAGTGTAAGATATTTGTTTCGGATAAGAATAGATAATTCAAAGCAAGAGAATGACAAGAAACAAGGTCAAAAGTCTTGCCTTAAGGCAAAGAATGACACTCAGTTGTGAAAGTATTACATACTCCTTGTATGTTCAGATCTGTGAGTTTATAAATACTAAAGGCAAATTCAGTGATTAATGTCAAGTTGCTGAGTTCTAAAAGTAGGATTCACAACCTCTTAAGCTTCTTATGTGAAAGTTATGTTATTGATCAAGAATACATTGAACCCTAACAGTTGAAATGAAAATATTTAAGTATTCCAGTGAGTCACTGCAATACTCTGAAAAAGTTCAGCTGCATTTTCCAAGTCTGATGATTAAGTTTTGCTTTTAAGAGAAAGTTAAAATGGTTCTCTTTCATTGTTTCTTACCCTGTAACTAAATCCTGGCTTCATTGTACCCTGAGAAAATATTTAGAATCAGAGTGTTTAAGAAAAAGAGAGACAGAGAAGGGACATAGGGAGGGAAAAATAGAGGAACTTCTTGTTTACAATCTAAGTGCTGTGGTTTTGATAATTGTACTACAGTTATATAGGATATTAACCTTAGATGAAGCTGGTGAATGATAAATGGGAAGTCTCTGTTAGTAAATATGTATCAGTTTGCTAGGGTTGCTATAACAAAATACCACAAACCAAGTGACTTAAACAACAGAAAGTTATTTTTCACAGCTCTACAGGCTGGAATTCCAAGATCAACATGGCAGACTTGGTTTCTCCTGTGGCTTCTCTCCTTGGCTTGGCAATGCCTGCCTTTTTATGTGTGCTTACCTGGTCTCTCTGTGCATCCATGGTGTCTGTGTATTCAAATTTCCTACAAGGACACCAGTTAGATTGCATTAGAGCCCACTCCAGTGGCCTCATTTTAACTTAATCACCTCATTGAAGGCCCTATCTCCAAACAAAGTCACATTTTGAAGTACTGAGAGATAGGGCTTCAACATACAAATTTTGCTGTACACAATTCAGCCCATAACATAGTCAAAAGTTATTTCAAAGAAGAAGTTTTTAAAAATCTGGGTATTATTTATGAGATTGGATATTAAGATAATTGCACCAATAAAACAAATTCCATATGACTAGATTCATTGATGTGGGTAAACTGGCCAAAGTCTCCCTTCAAGGATCCAACAGGGGCCACACACTAATGTAATTGCTTGCTGAGTTGAATATTGCCAACCTGCATTAGCCTAACTAAATGGCATTTAAGAGCCAGAAATGTTTCTTGTCATAATCTATAGGAAAGCATTGAAAATATTCTGGAATTTAAACAACCAAAAGTGGTTGTTTAATCTTTATTCATCTATGATGAGCTGCAGCTGAACCCAGGAAACTTTACCTACAGCTTTGGCTAAAGAATTAATTACGGGGTAAAAATACCAAAATATTTTCAAAACGCTCTAGGGCCTGTTCTTTAAATGGTCTAAATTCTGGGGGAAAGAGTTGCTGTTGAGTGGGCTTTCCACTGTCTGGAACCTGGCAGAAATACAGGTTTTTGACCTAGGAATAGCCTAAGTCAAAACAGCTGCACATACTGAGAAGGCATTGTTTTCAGAACATGGAGTCAGGAAGGGAAGTGTTTTAATTGTAGGCTTGTTCTCATCAACTTTTTTCATGTGTGCTTTGTTCACAAGTTTAGAAAAATGTTGTCATGTAGAAATTATTGAATAAAGGTATAAACTATAATAATATCTGAGTTTTAAGGAGGGCTTACTACATGCCAAAACTTTTTTTTAAAGATCTCTTATGTGTTAACTCATGGAATCATCAAAACTTCTCTATTAATATTGGGCCTTTATTTTCTCCACAGTGCACATAGGGAACAATTATTTTCCCATTATTTCCTAGGTGATTACTGGTACAACTAAGACTTGACCCCAAGTTCAAGATAGGCTCAAAAGCCCATGTTCCTTAAAACTATTTATATTATTCTTAGCATTTCCAGAAAGAACCTGTGGACTTTTATCCACATAACTATATTCTCATCTGGAAGATTAGATGGCTAAAGTGAGAATCTGTAAAAATTTCCTACTAAACTAGCTGGAAAGTTAGGGATCTGGAAAGAGTAATATTGATTGTGTGAAAGGAAAATAAAACTTGGAGCCCCCAAATCACTAAGCTAAATGGAGAAGTCAAGCTGGGAACTGCTTAGAGCCAACCTGCTTCTCATTCTATTCAAAGTCACCCCTCTGCTCACTGAGATAAATGCGTATCTGATTGTGTTCTTTGGAGAGGCCGATCAGAAACCCAAAAGAATGTAACAATTTGTCTCTTCTCTACCTATGACCTAGAAGCCCCCTCCTTGCTTTGAGTCTTCCCACCTTTGCTTTGAGTTGTCCTGCCTTTCCAGACTGAACCAGTGTTCATCTTACATATGCTGATTGATGTCTCATGTCTCCTGAAAATGTATAAAATCAAAGTATGCTCTGACTACCTTGGGCACATGTCATCAGGGCCTCCTGAGGCTGTGTCATGGGCGTGCATTCTCAACCTTGGCAAAATAAACTTTATAAATTAACTAGACCTGTCTCAGACATTCAGTGTTCACATTTTGGTAACCGTGAAGGGATTCTGAGTAGAGATGCCCCTGACTTTTGACAAATCTCCTATCGGTGCTTGGTACCAGCATGAGCTAACTTTATGATTCAAACCAATAGGACAATTTGCTGAGGTCTGGGAGCACCTGCTCCAGAGAATCCGTGATCTCACAAAATTAGGCTGAGGTCTAAGGTTTATTTTGCTGTACAACTCCTCTCTTTTTGGAGTTTTACTTGCTTCCAACAAGGAAGGCAAGATTTCCTGCTTCTATGATGATGGAAGGCAGGTAACTCCTTTATACAGTTTGAGCTCACTCCCATCAGGGAAGATGAGTTTGCTTTTTTTTTTGTTTTTTTCTGCTTCTAGGATGGTAGAGTGCAGACATCAGCCTGAGACCTATCCCTGGGCAAGTGACTGAATTGGTGTTTTATTTTGGCTAACATTAAACAACCAGCTGGTCTTAATTTCTCCTTACCATTAGAGTGCTCAGTAACAATATAAGTCGTGTGATACTTTGTTTTGCATAACTGTTTTTGTTGTTGTTATTGTTTGTTTGCTTTTGTTTTTTGTTGTCGTGGTTTTTTCCCCATTGGGTTTGATCAACTCTGTCTGACTTGATCAAATCTGAAGGAGAGTTCCAAATTATGGGGAACAAGGCCTCTGAAGTGCTTAAATTTCCACCACAAAAAGAGGAAGAAAAAAGGAGATCTGGTGGGGAAGAAACCATTGTCAAATATAAAATGGTATTTGGTTTTCTTTGGAATGTATTTGTATAAATATGTTATAGGTGTGTGTGTTCCAAAATCATGGGAAACTCCTATAATTCTGATATGACTTAGTGTCCATTATCAGTAATAATTATAAGTGTTATGTTAAATTATTGTGTGCCACAGAGGTAACAAATGTCCTTGTCAATTGTGTCTTTGGCTATGTCTGCTCTGAAACTTTTTGTCCTTTACAGACAATTGTTGTCTTGTTTTGGTCCTCTTTAGAAGGTGGTTTTAAAATCAGCTATAAAACTCTAACAGGTGCTCTTGAATTCAGGTTTCTGATAATTTTTGAGATTATGACATTAGAATAGAGGAAAAACTTTCAGGACTCACGGAAAGCTAAAATATTCATGAATATCAAGCAGAACAGGAATTAACTGCATGGACTGAACTAATGTAAGACTGAAGTAATCTTTTTGACTTTTTGCTTAAAATGTTGCTGATGCTGTGTTTTGTTCTTCAGAGTCAAGAAAACTTTTCTTTTGAGCTGTTGACAGCTTTTAACAATTTAATATACTCCTATGAACAAAATTTGGAGAACACTTGTTTCTCTCTACCTGATTGTAGAATTTGGAAACTATTTGTGAGTATTCTTAACTTACGGTAATACAGTTATTTGCATAAGTGCAATAAAAATCTGTGTTCGGCTAGGTGCAGTGGATCATGCCTGTAATCCCAGCAGTTTGGGAGGCCGAGGTGGGCGGATCACGAGGTCAAGAGATCAAGACCTTCCTGGCCAACATGGTGAAAGCCTGTTTCTACTGAAAATACAAAATTAGCTGGGGATGGTGGTTTGCACCTGTAATCCCAGCTACTCAGGAGGCTGAGGCAGGAGAACGTCTTGAACCCGGGAGGCAGAGATTGCAGTGAGGCGAGATCACGCTACTGCACTCCAGCCTGGCGAGAGAGCAAGACTCAGTCTCAAAAAAAAAAAAAAAAAGTCTGTTTTCATTTGTAACAGGACACAGTTGGAGAAACTGGTTATTTTATCAAGGCTTTGATTGGAATAGAATACTTGTCTTTAAGAAATCAAACTTGACTTATGGAACCAATAAAGGCCCCTGGGGAAAACTGACCTCATACCTTGTCTACACAGTCCCTGTACAGGGTTCCTGACCTGTGATAAGTAAAGAATGTCACTTTCTGACAGACCCAGGAGCCCCAAGTTTATCTCGGAAACTCAAGAGGAGAGGAATTCACCCAACTCATTGGTATTTGAGGGTACAAACCTATGGCTGGGCTTGGCTTTAAAAACGTCTTATCTGAGATTCCTTCTATGGAACAAGGTTCCATCAAAGCCAATTTACAAGCCTATGTGAAAAATAATTGTTCTTGCTGCACTGTATAGAAATAATCAGGCCAAGTGTAATGCAGCAAATTCATCCTATCATGATTTGTCTTTAGTAAAAATGGAAAACTGGGGAGAGAAAAATTATGTCTCAGAAACTATAGTACACCTGTTGTTACATTCTAGTCTTGCCTATGTTTTTCAATATGTGTTATTTTCTACAGTTTGGACTGAGTTATAATTTTTCTTGGCTACAAGTCTGAAAAATAATGTTTTCAATTTTTTTCCTCCTTTTTTCCTGATTTTTTCTAACTTGGAGTCACCAAAAACTAATCTGTACTTTTGTAAAGCCCTGAACTGAAGCTAGACAACTTAAACTTCAGAAGAAAATAACAGCCACCTATTTACATACATAAAACCACCTTCATACCTGCCTACTGATATATGGACCTCAGAGTAATGCGGAGTATATCAATTTTCCAGGATTGTTCTTTTGTTTGTTGTTGTTTTTCTCCCTTCCTCCCCCTATTTTCTCTTCATAGGACATGAGACTTCACAACCTGCTAAAAATGAGCTTTCCTAATAACTCAGGACATACCCATCTAGGAATAAACCATCCTAGTCATGAGAGATGAGATGAAACCTGAGACCAGAGATTCTTTTTCTTCTAAAATGCTTTCTCCTAAAGATTTTCTTAAAAGGAGGTGAAACATGAAAGCAAAAAAATCTTGGGGCTCTGAAATCACTAAGCTAAAGGGAGAAGTCAAGCTGGGAACTGCTTAGGGCCAACCTGCTTCCCATTCTATTCAAAGTCATCCCTCTGCTCACTGAGATAAACACATATCTGGTTGCCTCCTTTGGAGAAACTCAAAACAAATGAAGCCACTTGTTTCTTCTCCACCTATGACCTAGACACCCCCTCCCCACTTTGATTCTTCCCACCTTTGCTTTGAGTTATCCTGCCTTTCCAGACTGAACTAATGTTCATCTTACATATGTTGATTGATGTCTCATATCTCCCAAAAATGTATAAAACCAGTGTGTGCTCTGACCACCTTGGGCACATGTCATCAGGACCTCCTAAGTCTGAGTCACAGGTGCACGCCTTCAATCTTGGCAAAATAAACTTTCTAAATTAACTGAGACCTGTCTCAGACATTTAGGGTTCACAGTAAACTGGTTATTGTGAGTCATAACAAGAACATTCTGGAAGAATAATCCTATTTAATTTTTTATTTATACAAATTTAAGAGGTACAAGTGCAGTTTTGTTAAAGTATATATTATGTAGTGGTGAAGTCTGGGCTTTTAGTGTAACTACCATGTGAATAATATACATTGTACCCATAAAGTAATTTCTTATCCCTTTCCCCCTTTCCAGCCTCTTGAGTCTCCAGTGTCTATTAGTCTATACTCTACGTCCATGGGTACACATTATTTAGCTTCCACTTATAAATGAGAACATGCAGTATTTGACTTTCTGTTCATGAGTTGTTTCACTTAAGATAATGACCTCTAATTCCATTCATGTTACTACAAAAGACATGATTTCATTCCTTTATATAGCTGAATAGTATTCCAATGTGTGTGTGTGCATGCATGTGTGTATGTGTGTGTGTATACATACACTTATATATATACATACCACAATTTCTTTATCCATTTATCCACTGATGGAAATTTAGATTGATTCCAAATATTTGTTATTGTGAATAGTACTGCGGTAAATATACGAGTCCAGGTATCTTTTTTGGCATAATAATTTCTTTTCCTTTGGGCAGATACCCAGTAGTGGAATTGCTGGATCAAATGGTAGTTCTATTTTTAGTTCTTTGACAAATCTCTATACTGTTTTCCATAGAGGTTGTACCAAATTACACTTGCGCCAAAAGTGTATAAGTGTTCTTTTTTCTCTGCATACTTGCTAACATTTGTTATTATTTGACTTTTTCATAATAGCCATGCTGCACTGTATAGAAATAATTAGGCCAAGTGTAATACAGCAAATTCATCCTATCATGATTTGTCTTTAGTAAAAATGGAAAACTGGGGAGAGAAAAATTATGTCTCAGAAACTATAGTACACCTGTTGTTACATTCTAGTCTTGCCTATGTTTTTCAATTTGTGTTATTTTTTACAGTTTGGACTGAGTTATAATTTTTCTTGGCTACAAGTCTGAAAAATAATGTTTTCAATTTTTTTCCTTCTTTTTTCCTGATTTTTTCTAACTTGGAGTCACCAAAAACTAATCTGTACTTTTGTAAAGCCCTGTGAACTGAAGCTAGACAACTTAAACTTCAGAAGAAAATAACAGCCACCTATTTACATACATAAACCACCTTCATACCTGCCTACTGATATATGGACCTCAGAGTAATGTGGAGTATATCAACTTATGTCTCATCATAAGTTTAATTTGCATTTCTCTTAGTGATGTTGAGCATTTTTACATATGCTTGTCAGCCATTTGTATGTCTGCTTTTGAAAAATATCTATTCATATCCTTTGCCCATTTTTTAATGGCATTATTTGATTTTTGTTATTGTTGAGTTGTATGAGTTTCTTGTAAATTCTATATATCAGTATCCTGTCAGATTTATAGTTTGCAAATATTTTCTCCCATTCTGAAGGTGATCTGTTCACTCTGTTATATCTTCTTCTGGCAGAAGCTTTTTAGTTTAATTAAGTCGCATTTGTGTATTTCTGTTTCTGTTGCCTCTGCTTTTGAGGTCTTGGTCATGAAGTCTTCGCCTAGACCAATATCCAGAAGAATTTCCCCTAGGTTTTCTGCCAGTATTTTTCTAATTTCAGGTCTTACATGTAAGCCTTTAATTTATAGTGAATTAATTTTTGTAATAGGTAATAAATAGGGGTCTGGTTTTTTAATGGTAAATTTTTGTAATGGTAATAAATAGGGCTCTGGTTTTATTCTTCCATATATGGCAAACTAATTTTCCCCTCACCATTTATTATAAAGAGTATCCTTTCCCCAGTGTATGTTTTTGTCAATTTTGTCAAATATCAGCTGACTATAAATAGCTGATATAAAGGACTCTTTTCTGGGTTCTTTATTCTGTTCCATTGAACTATGTATCTATTTTTATACCAGGGCCATGCTTTGTTGGTTGCTATAGCCTTATAGAATAATTTGAGGTCAGTAATATGATCACTCTAGCTATGATTTTTTTTTTTTTTTTTTTTTTTTTTTTTTGCTTAAAATTGCTTTGGCTATACATGCTATTTGGTTCCATATGAATTTTAGGAATTTTTTAATTCTGTGAAGAATGATTTTGGTATTTTAATAGGAATAGCATTGAATCTGTAGATTGCTTTGAGCAGTATGGTCATTTTAATGATATTAATTCTTCTGATCCATGAGCATGGGACATTTTCCTACTTGTTTGTGTTATGTGCAGCTTCTTTCATCAGTGCGTTGCAGTTTTTTGTACAGATTTTCCTTGGTTAAATATATTTCTGGGTATTTATTTTTGTAGCCATTGTAAATGGTATTGTGTTCTTGATTTGGTTCTCAGCTTGATTGTTATTAGTGAATAGAAATACTACTAATTTTGTAGATAGATTTTGTTTCCTGAAACATTGCTGAATTCATTTATCATATCTAAGAGTATCTGGAAGTTTCCTTAGGAGTTTCTAGGTATAAGATCGTATCTGTGAAGAGAGATAATATGACTTCCTGTTTTCTAATTTGGATGTCTTTTATTTCCTTATTTTACCTGATTGCTCTGGTTAGGACTTCCAGTACTATGTTGAATAGGAGTGGTGAAAGTTGACATCCTTGTCTTGTTCCAGTTCCTAGGGGGATTTCTTTAAACTTTTCCCCATTCAGTATGATGTTGGCTGTAGGTCTGTCATATATGGCCTTTATTATTTTAGGGCATGTTCCCTCTATGCCTACCTTGTTGAGGGTTTTTATTATGAGGGGATGCTGACTATTGTCAAATGCTATACTATTATTACTTATATAATTTGGTCAAATTATTTTTTATCCATTCTGCCAATCTATATCTTTTACATGGAGCATTTAATCTATTTACATTCAAGATTAATATTTATATGTGAGGTTTCATTCCTATCATAAGGTTAATTTTAATCTAGTTGTTTCATAGGTTCTTTATTCTTTTTTTTCTTCTATATGTTTGTCTTTCTGGTTTCATGGAGTTCTGTCATGCTGCTATTTTATTTCTTTTTATTCCTCCTTTGTATAATTTTTTATAAGACCTGAGAATTTTATACTTCCCTGTAGTTTTATGCTGGTGAATATTGACCTTTTATTTCTGTGTTTAGAACTCCTTTTGGACTCTCCTGTATGGCTGGTTTAGTGCTGATGAATTCTTTCAGAATTTATTTGTCTGGGAACAATTTTATATCTCATTTTTTAAAGAAGCTTATTGTACATAATATAAAATTTGTGATCGATAGCTTTTTTCTTTAAGAACTCTGAAAATAGTACTTCAAATTCTTATGGCCTGTAAGGTTTCTGCTGAGAAGTTCACTGTCAGTTGGATAGTGCTTCTTTATAGATTATTATATGCTTATCTCTTGCTGAATTTAGAAATTTTTTTCTTCACATGGACTTTAGACAGTTTGATGACTATATCCTTTCATGCGCGTCCATGTGAAGAGACCACCAAACAGGCTTTGTGGGAGGAACATGGCTGTTTATTTCACCTGGGTGCAGGCAGGCTGAGTCCAAAAAGACAGTCAGCAAAGGGAGATAGGGGTGGGGCCATTTTATAGGATTTGGGTAGATAAAGGAAAATTACAGTCAAAGGGTGTTGTTCTTTGGTGGGCAGGGGTGGGGATCACAAGGTACTCAGTAGGGGAGCTTTTGAGCCAGGATGAGCCAGGAGAAGAAATTTCACAAGACAATGTCATCAGTTAAGGCAGGAACAGGCCATTTTCACTTCTTTTGTGGTGGAATGTCATCAGTTAAGGCAGGAACCGGCCATCTGGATGTGTACGTGCAGGTCACAGGGGATATGATGGCTTAGCTTGGGCTCAGAGGCCTGACATTCCTGTCTTCTTATATTAATAAGAAAAATAAAATGAAATAGTGGTAAAGTGTTGGAACGGCAAAAATTTTAGGGGATGGTATGGAGAGATAATGGGCGATGTTTCTCAGGGCTGCTTTGAGCAGGATTAGGGGCGGCATGGGAACCTAGAGTGGGAGAAATTAAGCTGAAAGAAGATTTTGTGGTAAGGGTGATATTGTGGGGTTGTTAGAAGAAACATTTGTCATGTAGAATTATTGGTGATGGCCTGGATATGGTTTTGTATGAATTGAAAAACTAAATGGAATAACGGAGAAAAACAGGTATAAAAGGTCTAAGAATTGGGACGACTCAGGATATCTGATTAGAGAGTGCCTAAGGAGATTCAGCATAGTCCTGCCAGCAAAGATTATTTATTTACTTTAAGAGTTAAGAGTGGCAGTTTGGGGATAGCACCAGGAGATATCAGCTGTGATGGCTTGAAGAAACAGTGTAAACCGGCAGTGTAAACAAGAGCGGGCATGTATGAGTAGTTGAGAATGGTGAATAGGAGTATGACTAGACAGAAGATAGTAGGGATGACAAGTTTTTGGGGGCACAGTCTAAGTTGGTCTGATGTCCGGAATGAGACTGGGGCCTAATAAAAAGGAGCATCTATACGGGAGCTTAAGTAGGCTGTACCTTGTAGCATTCTGAGGACAGGTCTGACTTCTGAGAAGGGAAAGTGGTAAAAGTATTGTCCAGTCCTTTTTAAGTTGGTGGCTGAGCTTGGTGAGGTGTGTTTTTAAAAGACCTTTAGTCCATTCTACTTTTCTTGAAGATGGAGGACCGTAAGTGATATAAAGGTTTCACTGAATACTAAGAGCCTGAAAAACTGCTTGGCTGATTCGACTAATAAAGGCTCATCTGTTATCAGACTGTATAGAGGTGGGAAGGCTAAACTGAGGAATTATGTCTGACAGAATGGAAGAAATGACTGCGGTGGCTTTCTCAGACCCTGTAGGAAAGGACTCTACCTATCCAGTGAGAGTGTCTACCTAGACTAAGAGGTATTTTAGTTATCTGACTCGGGGCATGTTGAGTAAAGCTAATTTGCCAGTCCTGGGTGGGGGCAAATCCTCGAGCTTGATGTGTAGGGAAGGGAGGGGGCCTGAATAATCCCTGAGGAGTAGTAGAATAGCAGATGGAACACTGAGAAGTTATTTCCTTGAGGATAGATTTCCACGATGGAAAGGAAATGAGAGGTTCTAAGAGGTGGGCTAGTGGCTTGTACTATAGCATAGCCTGCCTTTGCTAGTGTGTGGCAATTAGGCCTGGTGGAACCGCCGTCAATAAATCAAGCGTGATCAGGGTGAGGAACAGGAAAGAAGGAAATTTGGGGAAATGGGGTGAATGTCAGGTGGATCAGAGAGATACAGTCATGGGGGTCCGGTGTGGTATCAGGAATAATGTGGGAGGCCAGATTGAAGTCTGGGCCGGGAACAATGGTAATTGTAGGACTTAACAAAGAGTGAGTACAGCTGAAGGAGCCGGGGAGCAGAAAGTATATGCGTCAGGTATGAGGAAGAAAATAGATTTTGGAAGTTAGGAGAAATGTAGGGAGTGAGTTGAGCATAGTTTGTAATTTTTAGGGCCTCTAAAAGTATTAAAGCAGCAGCAGCTGCTGCATGCAGACATGAGGGCTAGGCTAAAACAGTAAGGTCAAGTTGCTTGCACAGAAAGGCTACCGGGTGAGGTCCTGGCTCTTGTGTAAGAATTCTGACCGCACTAACCATGCCTAGGAAGGAAAGGAATTGTTTTGTAAGGGATTGAGGTTTGGGAGATTAATTGGACCCGATCAGCAGGGAAAGCACGTGTGTTTTTATGAGAATTATGCCGAGATAGGTAACAGATGAGGATGAAATTTGGGCTTGACTGAAGTAATAGGAGCTGTCTGTGAAGCCTTGCGGCAGGACAGCCCAGGTAATTTGCTGAGCCTAATGGGTGTCAGGGTCAGTCTAAGTGAAAGCAAAGAAAGGCTGGGACAAGGGGTGCAGGGGAATAGTGAAAAAACCATCTTTAAGATTGAGAACGGAATAGTGAGTTGTGGAGGAAGGTATTGAGGACAAAATTGTGTACAGGTTGGGCACCACAGGGTGGATAGGCAAAACAATTTGGTTGGTAAGGCACAGATCCTGAACTAATCTGTAAGACTTGTCCGGTTTTTGGACAGGTAAAATGGGGGAATTGTAAGGAGAGTTTATAGGCTTTAAAGGGCCGTGCTGTAGCAGGCGAGTGATAACAGGCTTTAATCCTTTCAAAGCATGCTGTGGGATGGGATATTGGCATTGAGTGGGGTAAGGGTGATTAGGTTTTAATGAGATGGTAAGGGGTGCATGATCGGTAGCCAAGGAGGGAGTAGAGGTATCTTATACTTGTGGGGTAAGGTGGGGGAATACAAGAGGAGGATGCAAAGGAGGCTTTGGATTGGGAAGACAGGTAGCAATGAGATGTAGCTGTAATCCAGGAATAGTCAGGGAAGCAGATAATTTACTTAAAGTGTCTCGGCCTAATAAGGGAGCTGGGCAGGTGGGGATAACTAAAAGGATTGCTTAAAAGAGTATTGTCTAAGTTGGCACCAGAGTTGAGGAGTTTTAAGAGGTTTAGAAGCCTGGCTGTCAATACCCACAACAGTTATGGAGGCAAGGGAAACAGGCCTTTGAAAATAAGGTAATGTGGAGTGAGTAGCCTCGGTATTGATTAAGAAGGGGACAGACTTACCCTCCACTGTGAGAGTTACCTGAAGCTCAGCGTCTGTGATAGTCCTGTAGGCTTCCGAGGCAATCAGGCAGCGTCAGTCTTCAGCCGCTAAGCCAAGAAGATCTGGGAAGGAGTCAGTCAGAGAGCCTTGGGCCAGAGTTCCAGGGGCTCTGGGAGTGGCTGCCAGGTGAGTTGAACAGTCTGATTTCCAGTGGGGTCCCGCACAGTTGGGACGCGGCTTAGGAGGAATCCTGGGCTGCAGGCATTCCTTGGCCTTGTGGCCAGATTTCTGGCACTTGTAGCAACCTCCTTGGGGAGGAGGTTCTGGAGGAATGCCTGGCTGCTGTGGCTCAGGCGTTTGGAAGTTCTTGTGTGCTGGAGATGTGGGTGGGGTGTGTCTCACAGTGGAGGTAAGGAATTGCAACTTTTTTCTGTTATTGTAAACCTTGAAGGCGAGGTTAATTAAATCCTGTTGTAGGGTTTGAGGGCCGGAATTTAATTTTTGGAGTTTTATTTAATGTCGGGAGCAGATTGGGTAATAAAATGTATTTTGAGAATAAGACGGCCTTTTGACCTTTTAGGGTCTAGGGCTGTAAAGCGTCTCAGGGTTGCTGCCGAACAAGCCATGAACTGGGCTGGGTTTTTTATATTTGATGAAAAAGAGTCTAAACGCTATTTGATTTGGGAGAGGTCGGATAAAGAAAAAGGAGCATTAACCTTGACTATGCCTTTAGCTTCAGCCACCTTTTTAAGAGTAAATTGCTGGGCAGGTTGGGGAGGGCTACTCACGGACTGAAACTGTAAACCGGACTGGGTGTGAGGAGGGGAGGTGATAAAAAGATTATAGGGTGGAGGAGCAGAGGCTGAGGAAGAATTGGGACTTAGCTCGGCCTGGTGATGAGCAGCCTGAGGAGGAGGGGAAATATCAGATGGGTCTGTAGAAAAGGAAGACTGGAAAGACTCAGCAACGCTTGGGGTTGGGACTGAGGGGACAACCTCAGTCAGGAGAGAAAGAAGGAGGATTTGGGAGGAATTGCATTGGGAACAGAGACTAGAGAGGGACAGATGTGTAAAAGAATGCCTGGATGTCAGGCACCTCAGACCATTTGCCCGTTTTATGACAAGAATTATTTAGATCTTGTAGGATGGAAAAATTGAAAGTGCCATTTTCTGGCTATTTGGAACTACTGTTGAGTTTGTATTGGGGTCAAGCGGCATTGCAGAAGAAAATAAGATGCTTAGATTTTAGGTCAGGTGAGAGTTGAAGAGGTTTTAAGTTCTTAAGAACACAGGCTAAGGGAGAAGAAGGAGGAATGGAGGGTGGAAGGTTGCCCATAGTGAAGGAGGCAAGCCCAGAGAAAAGAGAGAGTAGGGACACGGAAGGAAGGGGTTCGGGGGTTCTTACCCTCCAGAAAAGTGGGAAAGGGGTCAAGGCACAGAGATACAAGGTCAGGGCACGGAAATAAGGGATTGGGGCACAGAGATATAAGAGGGTGGGGTGCGGAAATAAGGGATCGGGGCACAGAGATATAAAGGGTTGGGGTACTTGCCCCTCCCATAGAAAAAAGTGGGACTTGCCACTAAGGGTGAAGGAGAAGGGGTTGGGGGTTTCTTGCCCCCCAGTAAGGCGAAGAAGGGGTAGAGACATGGAGAGAAGGGGTTGGGGTACTTGCCCCTTCCCTCAAAAAGTGGGACTTGCCACTAAGGGTGAAGGACCAAGGCAGGCATCGCTGCATGGTCTGACACCTCTGAAACCTGAATAATCAGAGAGGCCTCCCTGCAATGATTAAACACCAAGGAAAGGCTGCCTTCCCTAGTCCGTGACCGGTGCCAGAGTTTTCGGTACACAGATAAAACGTGTCTCCTTTGTCTCTACCAGAAAATGAAAGGAATTGAAATTAAGAGAAGGGAGAGATTGAAGTGTGGCGCTAAGATTGAAAGGAGAAAGAGGTTGAGGGATAGTGAGGGAGGTTGGAGAAAAGAGTAAAAAGAGGCCGCTTACCCGATTTAAAATTGGTGAGATGTTCCTTGGGCTGGTGGGTCTGAGGACCTGAGGTCGTTGGTGGATCTTTTTCATGGAGCAAAGAACAGGAGGACAGGGGATTGATCTCCCAAGGGAAGTCCCCTGATCTGAGTCATGGCACCAAATTTCATGCACATCTGTGTGAAGAGACCACCAAACAGGCTTTGTGTGAGCAACATGGCTGTTTATTTCACCTGGGTGCAGGCAGGCTGAGTCCGAAAAGAGAGTCAGCAGAGGGAGATAGGGGTGGGGTCGTTTTATAGGATTTGGGTAGATAAAGGAAAATTATAGTCACAGGGGGTTGTTCTCTGGTGGGCAGGAGTGGGGGGTCACAAGGTACTCAGTGGGGGAGCTTTTGAGCCAGGATGAGCCAGGAGAAGGAATTTCACAAGACGATGTCATCAGTTAAGGCAGGAACAGGCCATTTTCACTTCTTTTGTGGTGGAATGTCATCAGTTAGGGCAGGAACTGGCCATCTGGATGTGTACGTGCAGGTCACAGGGGATATGATGGCTTAGCTTGGGCTCAGAGGCCTGACATATCCTATGGTGAAGTCTTCTGCAATGTATTTTTCTGGTGTTTGCTGAGCCTCTTGTATCTATGTGTCCATATATATCTTTCAAGGCAAGAAAGTTTTTATCAGTTATTTCCTTAGATATGTTTTCAAATGTTTTGCTTTTGACTCAGTAATACCAATAATTTGTAAGTTTAGTCATTAGGCAGTTCTGTGCTTCCTGATAGCTTTGTTTGCTCATTTTTATTTATTTTTATCTGGCTGGGTTAATTCAAAAGACCTGTCTTCAAGTTCTGAGATTCTGCTTGGTTTAGCCTATTGTTGAAACTTTTACTTTTAGTCTGTAATTTCTTCAATGACTTTTTCATTTCCGAAAGTCCTTTTTTGTTGTTTCTTTTCTTTCTTTCTTTCTTTTTTAAGACTATCTATGTCTTTGGTAAATTTCTCTTTATATCCTGAATTGATTTTCTGATTTCTATGTAATGGTTTTTAGATTTCTCTTGGATCTCGTTGAGCTTCTTTAAAATAAATATTTTTAATTTTTATCTGGAATTTCACAAACTTCATTTTGGTTAGGATCCACAGCTAGAGTTAGTGTTGATCTTTTGAGATTCACTCTGCTTTTGCATACTTCAAGTATTGTTACATTTGTTCTTTTATTTTTGCATATGGAGAAAGAAACACTTCTTATTTTTGAATTTACTTTCATTTGGACAGGATTTGTTTTCTTCTTCTCTTCTTAAGAATGCAACTATAATATATTTTAAGTAGTACAGTTTGCTTTGCTGATGTGCGTACTCAGTTGAAAAAAGTGTGTAAAAATTGTTTTACTTATAGATAGCCTTCATGTGGTGGCTTTCTCAAATGTTAGCTGTATTATTGGTGTACTGAATGGGTGAGAAGACTCATAGCCTCCTGAGACTCCATGCTGGTGGAGGTCATGAGAAGCTTATCTCATTCCTAAGCACTGTGCATTTATGTCCAGAATTTGTAGTGGGTTGTTAGGTTGACTTCCAGGATAGTAGGTGGCACTCACAGGTAAGAGCTGGCTGCTGTGGTACCTGTAGGATTTATGCTTAATTGTTTACTAGAAGAAGTTCTCTGGTGCCACAGGCAATAAGCTGATCTGTAGAATACGCAGTGGTCTCTGTCCCATGTTTAGCCTCAGAGAATGAGGGTGTAGCTGGGCAGAGCTGGACCAGGCAAACTCACACTCAGGCTCCCCAGTGTCGGGTGCAAGCACCCTCACAGGAATGGCAGGGAAGTCATCACGTCCCTGGTGAAATGACCAGAGGTCTCTGCATAGTGAAGAGAGGGACTGCTCTAGCACCATAGCCTAGGCAGGAGGGAGTGTTATCAGTCTTCCTGTCACACCCCATCCCAGCACATGGGATATCAGTTTAATCAGACACTGCTGTTTGTTTATAGGCTGCAATGTAGCTAAGAGAGCTATAGGAGATGCCAGCTCCCTGGCTCAACAATGAACATCTGTGCCATCTGGTAGTGGCTGCGGTGCAGAGTCTTCCACCACACCCCCAAACACACAGCTATCTGGTACTCCTGCTTTTCATTGCAGCAACACTGCAGCTCTGTGCAGAGGAGGGGAGGGACCATTCTCTTCTCTCAAATCCAGAAGTGAAGGTGACTCTGACAGTGGGGTTGCAGTCTCCCCTCACAGCCCCAGATAGGCTTCCTTCCAATTTGCCTATATCAAACTTCATATGGGAGCAGTAGCTGCTATGTCTCTAGCAGTGTGGCAAGTGGAAAGAGAAGTTCCCCTCTCTAAGCCTGGTTTTGAGCACAGAGTCCATTTGGCTGGTGGGATGGGATTTCCTTCTCACTTGCCAAGCCAGGCATAGAGTTGTATCCCTGTTGGAACTGGGGCCACCCCTCACAGCCCCAAGCAGGGAGCTCTCAGGCACTGGAAAGTGTATGTTTTGGTTTCTTTTGGCCCAGGAGTTTTCTTCTTGGTGCATTGCACTTTCTCTTCCCATAGGAGTGGCAGTCCCTGAGGGCTAGATTACTGGAAACCCTGCAGCTCATTTGATTCCTGCCAGCACTGTGCGGCTGCAGCCATCTGAGTGGGTACTGGGTAATGTCAGCAGAACCTCCTGGGATAGGCAACAAAGGTTGACGTTCTCTGAGCAAGATACAGTCTCCTTATGGCTGTGCTCTTACAATGGCATCCTGGCCCAGCCACTCAAGTCTTGGGGCAGAGTGAGTAATGCAATGTGCGTTTATGGTCTGGTGTAATACCCTCCAGACATCCCTAAATCACTGCCAACACTAGTGTTTGGGTGTGCAAAGGTAGAGGAGCTCTCTCACAGTTTGGATACTGGCAGACCACAGCTAGGATGACAGGAGCCAAAATAGTCTCATTTACTTTTTCCACTTAGCGCTAAGTCCTCTGGGGCTTACGTCAATCTTTGCCAGCTGAGTTGGCCTCTCATTTCCTTCTTTTCCTGCGCAGGATTTTTCCTGTGAATTCTCCACTGGGCTCTAGTATTCTGTTCTTGATATCCTTTTGGAGTTAAAATTATCTATTGATGCTGTTTGTTCTTCTTTGTGAGAACAACTGGCATCTGATATCTCTAGTCAGCAGTCTTTCTCATTACCATAATGAATCTTTTTTTTCTTTTCTTCAGAAAAGAAGCAGCTCTAGTTTGGCAACTGAGTTTGAGAGCAGAGATTTTTTTAAAGAAGAATTTGAAAGAAAGATGAACTGTTAGTCACATCAGGAAAAATTCCAGTGCTGTGATTACTATGATCCATGCACAGCAGTAGACACCCAGATATCCCTGGTTTGACAGTCAGAGTGCACAGAGAGATTTATTGCTGGAATGAGCAGTTCCCCTGACATTGGTATTGAGCTCTAGCTGATCAAACATCAATGACTATAGGCTGTAACCTTATCCTGGGCACTGCTTTGTAAGAGATGATGAGTAATGACGTAGTGAAATATTTTATGGAATTTTGTTTTATATAATTCACATACTTCGTAAGAGGGTTGTATTGATTTCTCTCTGTATAATTTGGGGTCATTGAGACTAGGATCTGGTAAGTTGGAGAGTCAGGCATTGGACTGAGCAAATCAATAGAAATACTTCTTCGTATGGGGGTTAAGAATCATGTTAAGAAAAGAGTGTGAGATCCACTTCTTAAATAATATTTATATGAGCTCTACGTTCAAAAGCAGAATCCCAACTTGAACTAGCTTTTCTGTTCCACTAAAAAACATGAGCAATACTTCCATTAGGATAGCTAACTAATCGGATGGGACAACCAACTTTTTACTTAGCTCCTCCAAAATCATCCTAAAACAGTCTTTAAATAGTTTTTCCAAGAATTTGAGGGAAACAGTGTTCAGACAAGAAGCTCTAATTTTATTTCAAATTTGAAACTAAAAATTGTATTTTAGCCCTACTTTTGTTCTAAGTAATTCATTGGGTTTGTGTAAATCACTGTCATATGTTTGCAAAGCACTCCTGATAAGCAAGAGTTATTTTACTCTCTTTCTTGGTAGCAAGAAAAATGCATCCCTGGTAAATTAAATCAATGAATGGAAAGAACACCAACTTTTAATCAGAACAAACATGACTTCAAATCTAGGCTTAACTAGCTGCATGACTTTGAGTATGTTACTTTACTTCACCAGCTCTCAGTTTTGCCACAAAGTGAGAATTTTAAAAATGTTTATTTTCATGCGCGAGCATGTGAAGAGACCACCAAACAGGCTTTGTGTGAGCAATAAAGCTTTTTGATCACCTGGGTGCAGGCGGGCTGAGTCTGAAAAGAGAGTCAGCCAAGGGAGATGGGGTGGGGCCGTTTTATAGGATTTGGGTAGGTAAAGGAAAAAGGGGGGTTGTTCTCTGGTGGGCAGGAATGGGGGGTCACAAAGTGCTCAGTAGGGGAGCTTTTGAGCCAGGATGAGCCAGGAGAAGGAATTTCAAAAGATAATGTCTCAGTTAAGGCAGGAACAGGCCATTTTCACTTCTTTTGTGGTGGAATGTCATCAGTTAAGGCAGGAACCGGCCATCTGGATGTGTACGTGCAGGTCACAGGGGATATGATGGCTTAGCTTGGGCCCAGAGGCCTGACATTTATGTGTTGGAATTTTGAAATATTACTTGGGTATAACATAAATAAAAGTTTGGCTCATAGTAACAACTGATTAATATAAATTTATTTTACTTTTTGTATTTTTTTCCTGAGAGAGATAGACAGAAAAATCATAGGGCTCGAGGGAAAATAGATAGCAATGCAGTCCTAGATCACTGGAAAAGAAAATGAGAATAATGTGGAACCACATTTTAGGATTTCCTATATAAAGGTGGAGCAGAAGTGAGAATGAGAATTGTTCAGGTCATACATGAAGTGGAAAATGACTGCGCATCATCCACTTTGCCTGACTTCCAGGAACTCACATGTTGTGGAAGAGCTCTAGTGTTCCATTTACAACTAAGTACTAGTTTCTTGATGTAAGTTTTCATAAAATAAAATTTCACTTAAAAGTTAGAAAATGTGAGTGATTAATATATTTTATTTTCACTTTTTATGTCAGTTTTGTAAAATTGTGCTTCATTAAGAATTTGAGTATTTAATTTTTCAAATTTCATGACATAAATTGTGGATAGTATCTTACTAAATTATTTTATTTTTGTAAGATCTTTAGTTACGTCTCTTTTTCCCATCTAAATATTAATAATGTTTGCCTTTATTCTCTTGTTTTTCTTGCCCTCTCTTTTTAGAGATCTATACATTTTCTTAGACTTTTCAAAAACTTGTTTTTATAAATTTTCTTTTTGGTATGTCTATCTATACTTCAATTAATTTCTACTCTCGTCCTTATTATTTTCTCTCATCTATTAAATACATCGGAGGGGTGAGGGAATTATTTTACTATTATTTTCCTGATCTCTAGAAATGATATTTCCTGATCTCTAGAAATCTCTAGATTTCTGATTTTCAGATTTTCTTAATTTCTAATGTGAATTAAGTTTTAACAGAGCTTTAGCTACATCTAGTACCTTTTGACATATCGTATTTCTCATTCATTTAGTTTAAAATATATTCTAATTTTCTTTGACACCTGGGATACTTTAATACATATTGCTTAACTTTCAATTATTTGAGAACTTTTTAATTTTTTTTGTTATTGAGTTTTAGTTTAACATTAATGTAGCAGATAACATTTTCTGAATTATTTTAAACTTTGAAGCTTGTTGAGACTGGCTTTTTGACTCAGTCCATGGCCAATTTTGTTTAATGTTCCATATACACTTGAGAAATAATAAAGATGTATTATGTAATCATTCCATATAGTATTTAATTTTTATCAATTAGATTATATTTATTAATCCAATTGTTAAGAACTTCTAAATACAGAGTTTTTATCTGTTTAGAACATAGTTTTGTTCTACTACTTTTTGAAAAATGTGTGATAAAGTTTTTGAAAAATGTGTGATAAATGTATAATTAAATTATACACTTTAATAATTGCTAGTGTATATGTATTCACATATTTATACATGATATATAATATATATAGAGAGACAGAGACAGAGAGAAGTGAACATAACATAACATAAATATCAATTTTAGTACATTTTCATAACGTGCACCCACCATGTACTCAGCTACCAGATCAAGAGTGAAATATTATCAGCACTCAAAAAGTTAATTTTGTTCTCCCTTCCAGTCACTATTTCCTAAAGAGTAACCACAGTTCTGCCTTCTAATAGCATATGAACACTTTGCATGTGTTTTTAATGTTTTAAAATGAAAGGAATCATACTGTGCGTTCTTTTGTCTGTGGCTTCTTTGGTTCCACATTATGCTTTGAGGCTAAACCACAGCAGTGGTAGTTGTTATAGATCATTTATTGTGATTGTTGTATACTATTTCACTTTGTGAATATACTATCATTTATTTGAATGCTGATGGAAATTTGAGTTATTTCCAATTTGGGTTATTTCCAGTAATACTGTGATAAATATTTCAATATTAGCCTTTTGGTAAGCATGTGTGTATAAATTTGGGGTGAATATATACCTAAAAGTAGAAGTGATGGGTCCTGGAGTTCAGCTTCAGCAGATATTGTGAAAGAGTGCTACAGGGTGGCTGTATCAATTTATACTCTTCTTCAGCAGAGCATGAGAGTTCTGGTTGTTCTGCAACGCTCAAGAGTGATTACTTTCTGACTTTTTCATTTTAGCCATTCTGGTAGTCATGTAGTGGTTTCTCATTGAGTCTTCAATTTGCATTGCCAGTGAAGTTTAACAACTATTTATATTCGAATAGCCTCTTTTGTGAGATGTCTGCTCATCTCCTTGGCCCATTATAAACACTGATTTGTAAGAGTTCTATATTCTGAATATAGGTCTTTTGTTAAATATAAGAATAGTGAATATAGTCTCCCATTTCATGGGCTGCCTGTTAATTCTACTAATAATGTCTTTTGGTAAATATAAATTATTTTCGTATAATGTAGCCATTTATATTTCCCCCCCTATGTGGATAGAACTTCGGGGGTTCCATTAAGAAATATTTTCCCACATTAAGAAAATTGTCTTCTGTTTTTCTATAAATGGTTTATTATTTTACATGCCATATTTAATATTCAACTCATCTGGAATTTATATCTTGTTTATGATATTAAATGAGAGCCAAAACACATAATTGCATATGGCTACTTCATTACAGTGTTATATTTTTGATTATTTGTAAGTTATAATCCAAAGACCCTGATATGAGATCAATATTAGGATATTTGAAAGACTTTTTTCAGATTTAGGAATTCTCTAGTTTTTCTTAAAAATACACACAGTGGGACTGCTAGAGAGATGATAGTGTTATATTTAAAATCCCCAGAAATATGGTGAAGAAACCAACAAAATACATATGTACCAATAATTTGAGGGAAAGATATCTCAATGAAACTTTAAATATAAATGGTTGAAGACAAAGCAGTAATGGTTAAATAAGTACTATAAATATTTGTGTGTGTGTGAAACAGAAAGAATGAATAAGATACCTTAAGAAGCTAAGGCTAACAGAACACAAGCAGAAAACAGGCACTCAATGCAAAGATCAGAGAAGTAGTTTGAATACAGTAGCTGAAACTAAAATGCTATTGCACACTGAGAGAAGTTCGTGGTAAGGTCTGAAGGAGCTGAAGCAATCTATGCTCTCCCTATGAAGTGTCCAAACCATGAAGCCAAGGCTACCTTCTCAAAGCCAAGAACTGAAGAGAGACTACTGTGATTTGGATCCATATGAACAGCATAAGACAAAAGAAGGAAAAGGCTCAGACAAAAATGAGGAAGGAAACCAATGCCTGGAGATATCTGCAAGAATAAAACCCATATTTTTGATCCCTTCACAAAAGTAAGAGAAATGATAATGTTGAAGTGCAAAGCTAAACAATTATCTTGACCCAACCCTCCTTCTTAAAGTTCAGGAAAATTAAAATTACATAAAATTTGGGAATAAAAATGTTGTGTTTGCTTTCCGTGGAAACATACTGCAAGAAAAAAGTTGGAGGAGAAGGAAGAAGCCACATAACAGATCTGTAGACAGAAAAATGGAAAACCAAACAGATGAAACTATAACCTACTATTCCAAAATGGGCTAAAATGGACAAGAAAATAAAGAGAAAACATGAAAGAACAGTACAGATTGCCATCAGTAAAAACTCAGAAATGAAATCACAAAAATCAAAAAATAATTAAACGGAAAATATTTCAAAAATCAGTATTAAACTAAAAAGAGAATTAAAACTAGATAATTCCTCAACATAAATAAAAGATGAATAGAAAGAATACTAAAAGCAAAAAAGAAATGACGTCTCAGATAAGCATTGAAAAAAAGTAGCAAAGGAAGTATATATTCAAAGAAAATCTAACGTATGTATAATGCAAATTCTCAAAAAGAAAAAATCAAAGGAAATAAATATTAATAATAAAACTTCAGGAAACTGGAAAGTCACTAGCATGATTAACATGGAGACTTAGTCTAGTAAAAAATAATAATAAACTTTAAAATTAGTCTTTAGATAGCCAAACAAAAAGAGGAAATCAATTGTAAAGAAGATAAAATTATCTTGTCATCAAACTTCTTAAATTGGAGTTGTTTATGTCAGATGCCACTGCTTAACCAAGGAAACATATTCATAGAAAGAATAAATGAATCAATTATATTACATCCTTCTAAACTGATTTTCAAAATAAAACTTCATTTATAGTTATGAAAATGAAAATCCCAGAAAACTCTATTTCCATGAGATTCTTATAATGAATCTGCTAGAGGATGAGCTTCAGATTACCCAAAACTTTCGGAAGATATATATTAAAAGTCTATGAGTATTATATTTATCTACATATCTATTTTACCTATCTATGTATTAATATCTATATGTGTTTGTGTGTGCGTCATCTAGAAGAATAAATTATAAAGTATTTGCTTTGGCAAAAGATATAGTTGAATTATTACAAAATAAGAGAATAAGGAAAGTTTGTCAAAATATGTAATAGCAATTATTACCTGGAGGTAAAATACTTTAACTTTATATGCTGTGTAAGAGGTTGGAGCAGGGAAAGAAAAGTTTATTTGTTGATTTCAATCTTGTTCTCAGTAAAGCACTAGTAAAAAAAATTATTAAAGGGATGTCATAAAATGGTGTTATTGTTAAACATAAAAATAAAAACACAAAAATCCATAAAACAAACCATATATTACAATAGGATATGCTACTTTCTACCTAAAGAGTGGTATTGTATAGCTATTTACTTTTCTTAAAAATTGATAGGAAGAAAAAAATGATAAAACAATCAATCAAACAATAATTTAGCTTGTAAAAGTGAAAGAGAATAGAGTAGAGAAAACAGGGAAAGAGGTTGAAATTCTTTAAATATGCCTTATTTTATAAATTGGACTTGGAACTATGTAAATATTTTATGTAAAAATAGAACATTAAATATTTTTAAAATTTCTGAAGTTAACATTATAATAAATTAAATGAATTAAATTGGCATGTACTTCAAGGCATAGAAAGGGACTATTCTAAGTGATTCTGAACACATTAATTTGATAATAACCCCACATTAATTGGATAATGTATTACATTGAATTACAAGAAAAGTTGCAAAATAAAAATTTATATAATTTTTAACAATAATATTAGTAGTAGTGCCAGTAGTATCATTTTGTTTTCCCTGTTTGTAATTTGGGATAAAATTATGAGTAATTATGTCATATTTTAATTCTAATATTTGCAGCACTTTTGCCAACTGAGATTTTTCAGCATTGAAGAAGGTAGATGAAAATGTAAGATGCAAGAAGTTATGTAAAAGTCTGTAATCCTGACTTTGATTTTAAAATATCCACATAAACGTATTATTATATCACTAAAATCTTTATTGATCTATCCAATGAAGAAGGCTAAAACAACAAATAACTCAAAAGTAATGATTATATTCAATTCCCAGATTGTGAGCACATCATAAGGAATCAAGGAATTTGGAGAAATTGCTGATTTCAGATCTAGGGCAGCAAGTCTGGAATAACTTTACAGATCTGATAGCAAGAAGGTTATCAAAAAGCACTAGAGATGAGCCAAAAGAATTTAAAAGACAAATTGAAAGAGGCTCTCAATTCAAAATTAAGACAATTTGTGATTCTACACAAGTAACAACTACAGAAGATTCAGAATTTCACGTGTGTTTTATCCATTGAATCCATCTGACAATCATTTGAGAAGTATTGGCAACACTTAGAGAAGGATGGTGAATCAACATATTATTTTTAAAGCTGTTAAATAAGGGGAAAGAATCATGCATTTATCCTTCCCTTCCTATATGAACCATACCACGGGGTAAACAAATAGTTGAAGACAGTGTCTCTTTAACGTATAGTCATCCCTTTATACATGGGGGATTTGTTTGAAGATTCCTCCCGCACATAGCCAGATCTGTGAATATCTAAGTCCCGCAGTCAGTTAGCCCCGCAGAACCCACTTTACTGTATGAAAAGTCAGCCCTCTATATAAATGGGCTTCACTTTCCACCACTACTGTACTTTCTGTGTGTGTTATTCTCCATGTATAAGTGGTCCTGCGCAGCTCAAACCCCTGTTGTTTGAGGGTCAACTGTATTCCAGCTAATAAATGAAAATGGAATAATAGAATTAGGATATTGCAATTTTGCTGAGTGTATGCTATTGTATATATACATGCCAATCTATATGCATTTTATATGCCATTTTGCAACCTTTAAGGGCTTACAGGATTTAGGCCCTGAAGATCAACAGCTGCTAATAACATAAAAGTAGAGGTAACAAGACATATATGCCCCGATAAAAAAAAAAAAACTCATATTCTCTGAAGTAGTCATGCCAAAAAACAAACCAAAATGAAAACAATTTCGAATTTGATCAGGACTCTACATTCAGCTTTCATGTTATAGGACATTTGGAGTAGTGAAGACCATTTTAATAAGAATGTAGACAGCAAAATCTAAACTATGGCAATTCCAAAGGACCATATTTTTCTTTTTAAATTTTTAGAGATGGGCTCTCACTCTGTTGCCCAGGCTGGAGTGCAGTGGTGTGATCATAGCTCACTGCAGCCTCAAATTCCTGGGCTCAAGGGATCCTCTTGCCTCAGCCTTTTGAGTAGCTGAGATCATGGGGTTGGGGGGAGCCACAGCACCCAGCTAACATTTCTTAAACAAATAAATTCCAAGAAAAGAGATAGAGACAGAAGGAGGGAGACAGGAAGAGAGAGAGAGAACCTAGAGAGAAGAAAAGAGATTTTAAAATATTAAACAATTGTAATATGTGGGCATTATTTAAATCCCGCTTCAAAAAAAAAAAAAACAAAATATAAACATAAAAGAAAACATCTCTGACATTTATGGGACAACTAAAAATTTGAGCTGTCTGCACAACTGATGATATTAAAAGATTGTTGTTAAATTTTTGGAAGGTTTCATGATGTGACTGTTAAAAAAGGAGCTCTAATATCCTAGAGAGATACAAAAATTTTGACAAATGAAATTATATGATGTTTAATATTTGATTTAAACAATTGGAGATGTGGAAAATGGGTGAAAATCAGATGAAGCAAATTTGGCCATGAATTGGTAACAGCTGGTTGGTGGTATATGAAGGGACTTTTAATATTCCGTCCACTTTTGCATATGCTTGAAGTGCTCCATAATAAAAAGTTAAAATAATAATAATGGTAAGTATATATGCCGATCTTGAAACTAGCGGAGTGCACACGTGGCACACATAAAAAACAAACCTATCTTGTCTTTTTCCCTGGGTCTGCACTCAGGAATTTTAAAATTCATCTTTTTCCAGAAACAAAATCTTTATTTTTTATATGCCATATTTGCTCAGAGCTGTTCAGACTTTTCTCATGAGACACCAATCATAGCATCTCATTTATTGCTTGTTATTTTTGTCTGTCATTTATAGAGCTTGTCAGCCTTTTACTGTGTTTATTACAATAGAGCAAACCTTTTCCCTGGGACCATCTGGAGTTCTGCTCCTTAATAATATTTCTTTCAACACCTACTAGCTCTGAGGTGGTTGTGAGCATGCTCATAGGCTAAAATAGGCATCTATTTCATGGCCATGTTCTGTCAAATTCATTTATTTGAACGTTGTGGGATCAATTTGTTATGGACTTTTGGTTAGATCAGTGTGTTTTAATTGGCACTAGACATGAGCTGGGTATTAAATGTACTCTTGGCATCCCTAATTGCAATACAACTGTTGCCCTATTCTGGTAAACACCTGCTTTAGAGCAGTCATTCTGTACAAACTTCAAACACGTCTGCCAAGTGTTTCTAACAGACAGCACAAGTCACTAGGCTAGAAATGACAGTCATTTAAAGTCCTGTGTAATTATGGATCCTCCAAGACTTTAAAAGAAAAAGTTGGCATTTGGGGGAATAACTTGGAAACATTATACAGTCTAGTTTGAATATTAGCTCAGTTCTACTAGGCCAAGTGGACTGGTGAGCAAGAAAAGAATTAACTTCTAAAAAATGAAGAAGATAGTGCCATAATTCATTAAGTTTTTAACCAAGATTAGTGATAAGTTTTCCCTTAGGTTTCATAATGAATTTGATTCTTTAACAGCAATAATTTTTTTCAAATTTTCTATATTAAAAACATTTTTTCTTCAAGATGACTCAACTTCAGGATCCAAAAAAAAAAGTCAGAAAATTAGATTTCCAGTTACATCAAACCACAAAGTTTATCATTGTCCAATAATGTGAGGTGCACATTTCCTTGTAGTTAATTTCCTTAATAATTTTACCTTAAGGTCTTCCTCTGTGATGACCTTGGCAATTTTGATCATAGCTAAGGTTATCAAAATATTTACAGTGGGTTGCTAAGTCCAAGGAGGCAACATTATATTGTATCCTCCGAAGTACAAAGAGTGCTGCTCCTTGCAGTTGTGCAAAATAGTAGCACTGATATTTAGACTATATAGAAGAAAATACCTATGCCAAAAGGGAACAAATTATCTTAGCATGTTCCACACACCTCTCTGAAATATTCCTTAACACCCCACCTTCTCTAAAAATGAAACCTTTTCAAACTTCACAGCATGTTTTCTCTTTGATTAAAGACATGGATTTTCACAACAAACTTAATTAAAGGTAAAATGTTTCTGTAACCAAATAGGAGACTGTGACATTTATATTACAGAAATTTTTGTTTGAAAGTAATTGTTGACTTGTTTCCAAGGCTATGGGGAAGATAAAGTAGAAATTTAAATGGCAGGCTTGAGAAAAGAAGTCAAATGTAGCCACAAGGCAAATGGCACATGAAGTTTAAAAGCTTTGTTGATGAAAAGAGTCAAACTCTGTAAAATATTCAAGGAGGTTTATTCTGAACCAAATATGAGTGAGCATGGCCTGTGACAGAGCTCTCAGGAGGTCCTGAGAACATGTCCCCAAGATGGTCGGGGCACAGCTTGCTTTTACATATTTTAGGGAGGTATGAGATATCAATCAAATACATTTAAGAAATACATTGGTTTCGTTCAGAAAGATGGGACAACTCAAAGTGGGGGCTTCCAGGCTATAGGCAAATTTAAATATTTTCTTGTTGACAATTGGTTGAGTTTATCTGAAGACCTGGGATCAAAGGCAATGTTCAGGTCAAGATAAAGGATAGTGGAGACCAAATTTTATCGTACAGAGGAAGCTCTCAGATAGCAGACTTCAGAGAGAGCAGGTTGAAAAATGTTTCTTACCGGACTTAAAAGGGTGACTGGCTCTTAGTTGAATTATCTCCTGGATCTGGAAAGGAAGAAAGGAAAACAAAGTGGAAAGGGGATTCTCTATATAGAATGTGGATTTTTCCCACAAGAAACTTTGCAGGGCAATTTCAAGGTATGTCAAGGAAATACATTTTGGGGTAAAACATTTTGAATTTTTCCCTTGTTATGCCAGAGTCAGATTGGAAAGTAAGTCACAATACACAACGTTAAATAAAATCCATCTGATGAGAATTTATGGTTTGTAGGGCATGACACCCCAGACTCCTTAGAAAGGAGTTTGGGCGAGATAAAAAAAAATCAGAGCTTAGTCCTCAGTGCCCCCGCTTGGCCAAAAAGCATTCCATAGAATGCATGTGCAGGCCAACAACAGCAGCAGGTCCCTCGGCGCTAGGAAGGCTCATTCCTAGGGTTGTCTGATTCGGCCATCTGGAAAGGTCCCATAGTGCTAGGAAGGCTTGTTCCTCGAGTCCTCTGATTTGATGGTAATAGTTTTAAATATTAGTCATTTGGATAATGGAGAGAGGACATGGACTGACCTGATGTAATAGCCAATTGTCTAAGGGGTGAGATGGAGTCAGGCCTAGGGTTAAATTTAAAAAAAAAAAAAAAAAAAAAATCCTGGATCAGATCTATTTTCTGGGCTATCATGGTCCACATCTTTAATTGTGCCTTCCATGCTGCTGTATCTGGCATAACATTTACAAGAAAATGTCTAATGTTAATATAGTAACAAATATCATAAAGATAGTGAAGATTTTGCTGTCCAAGGTTATAGGTAGAATCAGAGGGCAGTAAACAACCCAATCAGCCAGAAAAGAAAAACCCCACGTGCATCACCATATTCTTTGTTTAGACTTACAATGTGTTTACCCTCCTTATTAGGAGTTATTTGAACCCTACAATAAATCTAATTTGAAAATTGTGGGACCAACATTAAATTGGATTTTAATAAATTTGATCTCTCTTTTGGCCAATTTATCTCTATAGGTATAGCACCCTGAGGAAGGTACAAATTAAATGTGAGAAGTGTCTGGTGTTCGGTGTCTAAATTGTTATAGACTTGTCAACAGTAGACAAATCTATTTTTCCCATCACTTTTGTACTGCACCATATGCTGGTACTTGGGAGAGAAAACGTTTTGTCACAGGAGGAGTCATATATTTCTACAGTGTCATTTTTCCTCAGCAAGACTTCCTGTGGCTGAGGGTCATAAGAGTCAAAAGACTTATAACCAATTAATTGTTCTAGGCCGGATAGGAATGGATGTAGACAGGCATTTGCTACTTCTTAAAATTATTATTTTAAGTAAAAAGGCCGACAGAAAAACCAAAAGGAAAAGTTATAAGACTGACATTTTTAACTTCCATGTGTTGAGCTGCTGTGAGCTTGGTTTTTGTTACAGACTTATAGAAATCAGCTATACAAAACGTAAGCATTGTTCTGAAAAATTAAAACAAATATGAAGATAGATTTATCTTCACAACTCAAAGTCAGGAGTATTATATCCAGGAGGCTTTGTTACAAGGTATTTTATCCTGTTAGTAAATATTTTCCTTTAATTTTATAGTAAGCAGATAATTTGTATGGTTGGGGTGAATGCAAAAGTGACACATAATAGTTTAGAAGGCAACTAAACTTGTTTTACCAGCTGTTTATAAGAATTTTTTTGTACCCTCTTCTTGATTTGAAGGGCTTGATCTTGTCCTCATTTTGTCCCCCAAAACTGGCCTTTACAATCTTACACGCCCACCTCTTCTGCAATAGTCCCTGGGCCTAGAGCAAGGCAGCTTGTACAGTTGTAGCAGCAGAGCATTAACGGTGAAACAGATCGGGCCCAGTGAGATGCCAAATGATGGAGATTCATATCTCCGGTCTTCAGAATACCATGATTTTGGTTTCCTTGGAAATAAAACCAAAAGAGATAAATAACATTTATAGTTTGACAACTTTAAGAGTAATTCATATGTCAGAACGGAAAAAGTAACCTGTTCCGTCCGGGCACCAACTAAAAATATGAAAAAAATTATAATCTGGTACTTTCTAGAGGATTATTGTAGCCAACAAATAATGCTTTAATCTGCACTCAAAAATTTAGGGCCGAAATCTAGTATTAAGTGTTACGTTTTACCCTTGAAATATTTTTTTAGCCGCCTTTTTTATTAAAGAGAATATTATAGCAAGGCCAATTTGTGTTCAAGGTTAGTTTTAGGCTTATTATGCTTGTCTGATTATTTGCATAAAATGCAGCAAGAAAGTGACTGGCCAAATAGGTTCCTTTTAAAGTTGGTTTTGCCAAAACTTTACCTGAAAATAGGCTATTTTAGTTTCAGTCTTGGTAAAATAACCAGTGTCTCCAATTGCTTTTTTTTTTTTTTTTAAAAAACAAACTATTATTGAACTTATGCAGACAATTACATTGCTATAAAATTACAATCTGAATTTTGGAAGACTCAGAAAGGTAAATTTGTTTGCAAAAACATACTGTACCCAAATAACTTAAAACAAAAAGATTTTTTTTTTTAAGTTCTAGGGTACATGTACACAACGTGCAGGTTTGTTACATATGTATACATGTGCCATGTTGGTGTGCTGTACCCATTAACTCATCATTTATATTAGGTGTATCTCCTAATGCTATCCTTCCCCACTCCCCCCACCCCACAACAGGTCCCAGTGTGTGATGTTCCCCTTCCCGTGTCCATGTGTTCTCATTGTTCAATTCCCATCTATGAGTGAGAACATGAGGTGTTTGGTTTTTTGTCCTTGCAACAGTTTGCTGAGAACGATGGTTTCCAGCTTCATCCATGTCCCTACAAAGGACATGAACTCATCATTTTTTATGGCTGCATAGTATTCCATGGTGTATATGTGCCACATTTTCTTAATCCAATCTATCATTGGTGGACATTTGGGTTGGTTCCAAGTCTTTGCTATTGTGAATAGTGCTGCAATAAACATACGTGTGCATGTGTCTTTATAGAAGCATGATTTATAATCCTTTGGGTATATACCCAGTAATGGGATGGCTGGGTCAAATGGTATTTCTAGTTCTAGATCCCTGAGGAATCGCCACACTGACTTCCTCAATGGTTGAACTAGTTTACAGTCCCACCAAGAGTGTAAAAGTGTTCCTATTTCTCCACATCCTCTCCAGCACCTGTTGTTTCCTGACTTTTTAATGATTGCCATTCTAACTGGTGTGAGATGGTATCTCATTGTGGTTTTGCTTTGCATTTCTCTGATGGCCAGTGATGATGAGAATTTTTTCATGTGTCTGTTGGCTGCATAAATGTTTTTTTTACCCTAATTTAACCAGAGCAGCAGCTTTTAAAACAATAATGTTTGTTTACCTTGGAAATGCCATTTACTGTAGAATTTAGCAGCTGCTCACAATTAGTCCTAGAAAAGAGGCTCTCTGCCTATTAGGTAGCAAGATTTTATGTAAACCATTTTTTTGTATCATGGAACTTTTTGGGAAACATTATTTCCAGTAGTATAGGGGTAGTGTCAATTAATATTCCATAGCAAGACAGTAAATGCCCCATCAAGTAGAACTTCTCTAGCTCAGTTGTTGTTATTGAAAAGTACTCACAGTTTTTGCCATCAGCTCAGATAAATGCTCCACAGAAAAGTTACACAGTGGAGGATTTACATGAGCAGATTCACATGTCTTCAGTTTTATAGTCCTAGAAAGGGGAAAACATTCCCCAGTTAGATATAGTACCCATTTTCATAAGACATTTAGGTAAAGGGGGTCACAACTACCTTACATAAAGCTTGTTTAAACATCTTACATTTTATAAATTTATTAACCTGTATGTTTTCATGTTCTTCCCAGGAAGTCTTTTGTAACCCCAGACCATTTTACCTTTTCTGGTGAAAAGGGGTTTGGGTTCCCAGGAGGGAGTTGAATCTGTAAGACCTATGAGGGACAGCAGATTTGATTCTGTGGGGCACCCATGTAAAAGGTGCTCTCTTAACCCCCAAATTTACCATGACAGAGGTAATAGACATTATTTGGTGGGAGTGTTCCTGGACCAAACTGAGGCTCAGGCTGCTATTCTTGTGGCCCAATAACGAGATGCAGATGAACTGGAGAGGAAGAGAGTTTTATTTTCTGCAGTCGGTTACAGGGAGAAGGCCTAGAAATTATCACCAGACCAACTCAAAATTACAAAGTTTTCCAGAGCTTATATACCTTCTAAGCTATATGTCTATGTGTAAGTGTGCATTCAACTGAAGACATAAGTGATTAACTTCTTTTAATCTATAATTAAGGTCTGAGTCCTGAAGACCTTCTTCTGGAGCCTCAGTAAATTTACTTAATCTAAATGGGTCTAGGTGTGGGGATGATTACCCTTATCTCATCTCCTGCTAATCATAAAGATGTTGGGGAGTTCCTTTAGACCCCAATACACTTGTTTGTGGAGGCCTGGGGAGTTTCTTCAGACCCCCAATAAAACTTGTTTAATCCTAGAACGGTCCTGTTAAGAATTCCTTTGTTATTTTGTCATACTTAAAGCCCCAGGAAAAGCCTAAGCAAAACTCTTGGTGGGCCTTTGTTACATTCCAGCCTTTGTATAAGGACACTGGCTCACTTAGCTTTTCATATTTAACCTAGCCACTGAGTCAGTGCTGGGACAGTTGTAAAGGAGGGCTGTGTTAATGAGGCCTGGCCTGCCACAGGAGGATATCATAAAATTATCATAAAGCTAGTCCAACATGGCTTGCATATGAGACATATTAACTGCATCCTCTGTGGTACTTCACTTGGTATTTTACAGGGAGAGTTGGGCAGTCCCTTCTCAGGGCAAACCGGCTTTATAATGGCATTATCTGGCCCACCGGGCTGATTGCTTTCTCAGGAATCATCCCCTGTGCATTTGGATCACATATACTCAGTAACTGTTTAGTAATGAGCTGTGGGTACCACATCAATTCAAACAAGCTCTTACATTCTGTAGTATTTACAATTAAGAATTTTATCCTTAAAGTTGTTATTTTTACAATCCACTATAGTAAAGAATTTTTTTAAAGAAGCTAAATGATACCAACCTACAAAATGGAACGATTCCTTTACATTATACTCTTTGGTTTTAAATAGTTACTTGGTTTTACCCTTCCCCCATATCAACTATTTTCTTGGTGACCACAGGGCTCAGAGTTAACTTTTATTGCCCTAGCTTTTTTTTTTTTTTTTTTTAAATAAGAACCCATTTAGTTTTATCTGTATAATTTCCTCCATTATAAAGCAACTCTTAAATGGGTTCTTAATCAAAAACCTCACATTTTTTGGAAAATTAACATTGTGTTTTATACAATTTTAACAAAAGCATATTTTATGCTACTACTATTTTAACTTTTAGTAACCCAAATTTCCAGTGGGGAAAAAAACTGAGGGTTTAAGCATGACTTTAAAATTTTTAAATTACTGTAGAGTTTTGAGATTAAATTTACCAAATTAGTTTTTACCAAAGAGTACCAAGTTTATATAAATTAAAAGGCATCTGAGCTAGCTTTTACCAATCTGATAAGCACTTACATTTTTAAGTTACTTGATTAGAGTTCTTCTGTATAGTTTGGTAGTGAAATATCACTTCTACATTACACATATAAAAATAGAGATATAATAGGCATGCAAAATAAAAGCCATGTTCAAAAAAATACTTTACTTGCCTGTTTTCAAAAACAATTTTTCTCCCTTACTTTAGGTAATTAGTAAAAGTTACAGGAGCCAACAAAAGGTGAAGGAGAGAGCCAGAATTCAAGGCCTTTTCAAAAGAGAAACAGTTGCACTTTTAAGATACCAATCTGAAGAATGTTAAAGGAAATAGATTATAGAATTTAAAAATTTTAAAACTTCTTACATTAAAAATAAGTCAATATTTGTAATAAAATCTTGTTTAAACCAATTATTTAATTTTTTATTAGTGCATTTTTTAATATGAAAGAGCAATCTCTAGAAAGACTATTATGATTTCCTTTAATCACAGCCAACTGAATTATGCAACCTCTTTGAATGTTCCTTCTTACTAACCTTATTATGACTTACATAGACCATTTACAATGGTTAGACTCTCTGTTTTACCCTAAATATCTCTTTCTTGAACAACCCAGTTATTTTATGTTAGGTCAAAAATTCACCACACATGATTCTTTCTTATATAAAATTACTTTCCTTTTACCTTCTTACCAAAAACACCTGTTTATATCTTTCACTATCTTTACAGCTCTTATTGCCTGACTTCTTTACCTTGTTTTATACATAACCCTTAAATAAGCTTTGAATTAGACAAACATATTTTACCTTTAATAAGAACATTTAAAAACAACGTTTTTTTATAATTCTTATATTGGAAATTGCTCAGATACTTAATACCAATTAATAACCTTAGATCCTAAATTATGACAAGTTTGTTTACAAAGATTAATTTTATTACATTTACCTGATTAATTTAGTAGTTTACCTAGATTATTTACAAAAAAACTGTGATAGCCAATATTTAAAGTTATTTTCGTAATTACCATTTTTATAGCTGTGAATTTCAGGTACTTAAGTAATAAAACTTATGGTAAAATTTAAGGGTATTTATACCAATAACTCATTATTTAAGCTGTTTCCATTTAAGCCAACAATATTTCATAAGCATATACAAACAAAGATTATTCTGTCTTGAGCTGGGTTTTATTGTCAATAACCCTTATTGGAAATTTTATAGTATTCTGCGGGAATAAACATGAAACTCCATGATCAATAGATGCAAACAAAATGCTAACAATTCTAAAGACATTGATGATATTATTTTACCAATAATTTTAAAGCTGGCTTATTTGGTAAAGGTTTTAGTTAAATCATGTGAACTTGAAAAAGCATTTGACTAGTATCTGATTTTAAACACTTTAAATACCTGATTTTAAACGCTTTTGTATATTTTTTAGCCAATTAATTAGAGCTCTTTATATATTTTTAGTAGTGAAAATATTGTGTACACACACATAAATATATAGATGTATTAGGCATGATGATAGAAGCACATTGCATAGAATCATAAACACTTCCTTTTTTTCTGTTTTTTAAAATCTTATCCTAGGCAGTTGTTAGCTAAATGGTCTTAAATTTGCATATTAAAGGCAAGTCAGGTGAAAATCAGATAGCAAATTTATATTATAGGGTAAGAAGAGAAAGTCCTGTGTGCTCGAGGGAAATTAAAGCAGATTCAATTGCCAATTAAACAAAATTATACGTCTATTATAAAGGCCTTTAAATATACACACAGGCACACACACAAAGTTCCCATAGCTATTACTTCAGTACTTTAGCCATGAGACAAATACAACTTCACCAGCTTGCAGAAAAAATAAACAACAACAACAAAAAACTCTGTTAGATAACAGTGGTTTTTATCTCAGTAGAAAAGTAACAGCAAATTTAGGCAGAAAAGAAAATAAAACCTAGGAACTCTGTTGTTTGCAGGTTGACCTAAGGGATCAAAATTTTTCCTTAATGCAAATGTGCACAAAGATCATACTACTTCAATTTTATATAAACTCTGGCAAATAGAGGTGCCATAAAACCTATGGAGTTCTTGAAAGGGGACATTCTCCTGATTTTCTCCTTATTCTTAGATTTGTTTCCCGCTTTCTTTCTTTTTTTCTTTTTCTTTCTTTTTTTTTTTTTTTTTCCTTAAAAGGAGGAACTGAGCTGTAGCCTAGGGTTTTTGTGTGGTGCATCAATGAATGCTGTTTGTGGGCAGGACTCCACAATGTGTCACTATTGGGTCTTTTCCACCCTCTTTCGTGCCTCAGTTTCTCTCTCCAGAGGTCTGTGAACTCTGAGAAGGCTCAAAACACTGGGTGATCAGCCCTGATAGGCATTTCCTGGATGAGCCATTTTTAAATTAATTTTTGTTAAGGATTTCCCTGCAGGGCCACTGCATGTCTTGAGGGGTCAATCCCCCAGACACTCTCACGAGGACCCCAGTCACCTAGGGGTGCCTTTCAGCTGGGAGGAGTAAATGCCCTGAAAAACTCAGTCTCTCATTTATCTATGAAAACAACAGTTCAGTTCCTCATGCAAATGTGCACAGACAAGCCGAATTAAGATAAATTTTAGGAGAAAAAGCATTAGGGAATTCCCTTTAGAATGCATGTCTGAACTAGAACTAGGATCCTTAAACAACAACTTTCTAGGAGAAAACCAGCTCGGAATAAATCAAGGACTGTCAACCAAAGGGAGGTCCGGGGCTCAGGAGGACTTACCAGTTCCACCGGAGGAGCAGCTGGAACTCGGTGGGACTTCAATGGGCTCCTGCAGGTATCTTAGCTCCGGTTTCTGGCAACTCCTTTGGGGTCCTGAGTTTTCTGAGTTCCCACGTGTTTGGGTGCCAGATTATTGTTGACGAAAAGAGTCATATTCCAAGCCAAGTATGAGTGGCCGTGGCCTGTGGCACAGCCCTCAGGAGGTCCTGAAAACATGTGCCTAAGGTGGTCGGGGTACATCTTGGTTTTATGAATCTCAGGGAGGCATGAGACATCAATCAAATACATTTAAGAAGTACACTGGTTTTGTTCAGAAAGGCAGGACAACTCAAGGTGGGGGTTTCCAGGCTATAGGTAAATTTAAACATTTTCTAGTTGACAATTGGTAGAGTTTATCTGAAGACCTGGAATCAAACGACATGTTCAGGTCAAGATAAAGGACTGTGGAGACCAAGTTTTATTGTGCAGAAGAAACTCTCAGCAGACTTCAGAGAGAGCAGGTTGAAAAATGTTTCTTATCAGACTTAAAAGGGTGCCTGGCTCTTAGTTGATTACCTCCTGAATCTGGAAAGGAAGCAAGGAAAACAAAGGGGAAAGGGGATTCTCTATAGAATATGGATTTTTCCTACAAGACTTTCAGGGGCAATTCCAGGGTATGGCAAGGAAATTTATTTTGGGGCAAAACATTTTGAATTTTTCCCTTGTTATGCCAGAGTCAGACTGGAAAGTAAGTCACAATATACAAGGTTAAATAAAACCCATCTAATGAGAACTTATGGTTTGTAGGGCATGACTCCCCAGACCCTTTAGAAAGACATTTGGGTAAGATAAAAAAAAATCAGAGCTTAGTCCTCACGTTCTGTGCTATATTGAATTCCAAAGCTGTTATTTTTAAGAGGGTTCTAAAGTTGGCAATCAAAATTCTGTCATCCTTAAATTAAAACAGTGAATTTAATGAAATGCTCTTAAAAATAAATATACTTGAGTGGACTGTTTTGAATACTTTAGAGAAAAATAACCTGACTACAAACAAACCCTAAGAAGAAACAAGAGGAATGCCTTTGGGATATGTTTTGGAAAGCAAGGGCTTCACTCTCCTTTCTTTTACTTCCTTAAGCTTCATCATGAGAAACTCTTTCAGATATTTCAAAAAATCCCTATTAGCCAATTAATGATTCCATTGTTCACATGTTTGTATATGTTTGTGTGTCTTCTGTTAGTGGATGTTCAACTTCATGGTAGTTGATTGATCCTATCTAAAAAGTATTTTCAAAACGTAATGTCTAATGTGATGAATCCGACAGGTCTGGCCATAACTGTAGAAAAAGATGGATATATATTTGTTTTCATTATTATATGATAAGCAGAACTTCTTGCTGGTCAAATTCAGGAGAAAATTCCTGTCTACTTACCATTTTACTTAATGGTGTCTGTGTATTAGTGAAAGACAAAATTTGAACAACCCTTAATATAGCAGTCATGCCACTAAATAGCTGCTCATCCAGATTCTCTGTAAACTTTGACTCTAAGTGTAAAACCAAAGATAATGATTTTAATTTCTATAAAAGAGTACAGAATCCTAATTATTGTTTCCAGAATTAGTACAACTCTTTCTCTCCCTAATCATAATTCACAATCAATCCCTCTGACCTTAACCTTCTTTAGAAAGAATTAACTTACCTGCCTTTCCTTTTACTTTCAGATTCAAATACAAAACATGAAATAATATGGCTTTTACATTTGGTTCCAAATTTTCATCCAGGGTGCTGAAACTATGGGAGAATAGATTTCAGCATAATAAATGTAAGAACTTTCAACAGCATTGTCCAAAGATAGAACTGATTCCTGTCGTAGGTGGTAGATTCACTCTCAGTGAACAACCACTTGGCTGTACTGTTTCAGATGTGAGGTACATGCAAATGGAAACATAACAAAGTAGTTAAAGGCATGGTCAGGCTTCCAAGGCTCAAATCACAACTCTTTTACTTACTAGCTGCATGAAATTAGACAAGTTAATTTTCTTTACTTATCTTTATCATACTTATACGTACAATATTATGTGAAGATCAAACCAGATACCATACATAAATCGGATAATGATATAATTTGTTATTCAGAATAGGCCACTTCTGAGATTGAAGAAGGGGTTGTTAATAACTGTGTCAAGAAAATAGGTGTTCTATCTAGGGGATTCTACAGCCAAAGACTTAAAAGATGGCCTGACATAAATAAGGACTGACTAGGCGTTAGCTCTTGATATTGTTGTTGATGTTGCTGCTGTTGTTTTAGTTGTTGTCAAAAAAGATGGCTCTAAGGGTTTCTTCTAACCTTGAGATTCTAAGATTTGCTAACGAATAGCTGTTATTTGCCAGCCCCGGTGAATTCATTTTCAAACTACCCAGCTCAGGAGAGAGGTGAGAGAGCGAGAGGCAGATGGTAAGTGTGAAGGAGTATGTTTATTTCCAGAATCAATATGCTTTATCTTCGGCACACCAGCTAAGCATAAAATGGAGAATATCTCTGTCAAATCTGTGGAGGAGACCACTTTGTCAAATTGGCACCTTTCTTTCTTCCTATCAACTTTATATCATAAAAGATGAGTAAATTGTGTTGATGTTCTCTGTTGTGACATGCACTGACATGATTGATATGAAGTAACTTTCATGTTGCATAAGTGAAAAGAAAATAATGATATCATGTAGCCAAATGGAGAGTGTCAGGCATAGAGGACCCCTGTGAACCAGAAACATTTTGTTCTTACTTCTCCTCAAGTTAAGAAGAAAAATAGTAAAGTCACAGTTTTACAAGTTAGGGTGGTGCAGCAGAAGTATATTAATGCTTTCTACTATAGTGTTGTTAATATAGTAATTTTTGAAAAAGGTAAAGTCGTGATTCTCACACAGGTATAAATCGAACATGTGTTAAAAATTTAATTCATTAATTAAATAAGGAGGCCAGCAGATGTCAAATCAGTTCAAAGGAAAATCCAAAGAACAGGTATATATATGTAATATATAGAAAGAACAGATATATATATGTGTATGTTTGTGTGTGTGTGTGTGTCTGTATAAAGAATATTGAAATCAATGGGCAAATGGAAGACAAAGCTGGCTTCACAGGTGGAGAAAAAAGTAAATTCAGCCTCTGACAAACAGAATTTACATGTTTATAGGCACGAATTATTTTGCATTGCTACCAATTACTATTTTGCATTATCTATACGTAACAATGTTGTTAGTCCTAGAATCAGAATCAGATAACCCAAAAGGGATCTCTAGACTAGGGGTTGGCAAACTGTGGCTCTAAGCAAGCAATCCTTGTTTGTGAATAAAGTTTTACTGAAATATAGTCATGTCCTTTTGTTTATGCATTGCTTATCATGCTAAATGGCAGAGTTGAATAAATGCAATGAAACTTTATAGCCTACTATCTTGAAGTATTTACTGTTGAGTCCTGTAAAGAAAAAGTTGCTGATTCCTGCTGTAGATAGTGAATAGGACAGTGCACATTTTTTTTTCTGGATTGTGTAGTGGAAAGACAATAATTTAGGAAGTAGATAAATCTGGATTCAAATCTTAATTCCACTACTTGATAAATGTGTAATTTGAGGCAAGTTATGCAAGCTTTCTGGTATTCAGTTATTAAATATGATAATACCTCTCATATAGTTATGAGGATGAACTAAAATAGTGGATAAAAAGACTAGTAGAATTTTTAGATCGAATGTTGTAGGAGGTTTTTAAAAAATGTTATTCTTATTAATTATCATTTATCAGAATATCAGAATCTTCTATCATAATTCTATCTTTAGGGCCAAAACTATCTGTAAGTTAATAGCCTTAAATTACTGGACTTGTCATCAAAAGAGAGGGCGCCATTCATGCTGCCTGCAATAGAATATGACCACCATGCTATTCTTCGGCACAATAAAGAGCAGCCTCCTGTATCAGCCAGCACAGTGAACTAGGGCTTAGTTGATTAGAAACCCAGATTGGTGAATATGGAAAACTCTTTTTTTTTTTTCCTCTGCCAAGATTTTTTTTTTAAAATTTCATTATTATTATACTTTAAGTTTTAGGGTACATGTGCACAACGTGCAGGTTTGTTACATGTGCCATGTTGGTGTGCTGCACCCGGAAAACTCTTGAATCTCTCCGGTGGTCAATTACTTCATCTCTAAAGTAAAAATGTTAAATCAGAGACAGAAAACTGCTGAGATCCTTCAAGGCTTTACAATTCTGTGAAACAATGTCACCATAGCTTCTTTCTTCTACCATTTCACAGCTGAGAAAGGAAGGTTTTAGATAAAGAGAAAAGATGATGGGAAATTGTGACCACATAGAAGGCAATTATATTTTCAGCATAACACTATTACTTTCATTTTATATTTTCTAACGGGAATTCCTTTAGGCAGAAGACAAGGTCTGATATATTCTTTGTTACCTATTCACTCTGCTTCTTACAGAGTTAATAGAGTTCTGCACACAGTGGCACTCAATTAATATCCAATGAAGATGGAAACACTTTTTAAATGGTTATTATCATTAACTGTTCTTCACAGCATCCCTAGGAGGCAGTGTCAGGATAATTACCTATGTTTTACAGGTGAGAAATCTGAACCCAGAGAGGATAAAGCCATGTGGCTAAAGTTATACAGTTATTAATCAGCAGAACTGGGAATAGAATTCAGCATCCCAAGTCCTGAGATTTTGTTCAAACAAAATCATAACTACAGCCTGCCAAAAGACTAGGAACCTTGGGGAAAGGCATTCCCCCGAAAAGACCAGAGGCTTCATACTGCCAGCCAAAAGCAAGGAGCAGAATGCACTCCTGGGAAGCCATTTTATCTCACTTGTTAATTTATTTTCTCAATTATCTTGAACAATTTATATACAAAAATTATCCTTCAGGTTCTAGACAGCTTGTTAACATGGTCTTCTGATTCTTGGGTAAAATATCTAAGCTCTAAAGGCCTGTACTAGCAATGAGATTCGTGAGTTTAAAGTACTAGCAATTAAGAGAAAGTAGGTGGCACAGAGAGCATGATTTATTTTACTCACTCATGCAACAAATATTTATTGAATGCCAGTCACTGATCTAGGCATTGGGAAGACAGCCACAAACCAATAGTATCCTGATGGATGTTATGGTCTGGTGGGGTACAGAAAATGACTAAATATGTAATCTAAGGTTAGTAGTACAAATACTATGGAGAATCATACAGCAAGTGTAGACAAAGATAATAAGTAGGGTTTTACAGAGTTTGCTATCTTTATATACAATTGTCAGGTAAAAACTTTCTAGGGAGGTAACATTTGAGAAGAAACCTAAATAAAGTTAGAAGGTGATGCTGGGAAAAGAGTAGCTGGGTAATCTCGTATGCTCAGAGGCCTTGAAATATCACATGCTCAGTGTGTTCATGGAGTGGCAAACTGCCTGTGCTGATGGAGCAAGGTAAGCGGGAGTAAGAAAAAATCACGTTGGAAAGAAAACTGAGCAGGCCATGGTAAAGACTGACTTTTATTCTGAGTAGAGAAAGCACTGGAAGGTTGAAAGGAGAGAAGTGACATGTTCTAGTTTGTATTTTACCTTGCTCTTCCAATGGTAATATGGAGAATGGATCACCAGAAGCATAAAGTGGGAGAAGAAAGAATTCAGAGGGCCCTGTAAAGGCTGAGTTGTGAGATGTGGAGGTTGTTGTGGAGATGGTGGATGGTTTTTGGAGACTAGATATATTTTGAAGATAATGCCAACTTGTTTTCTAATGAATTAGATGCAGAGTGTGAAAGAAAAGGAAAAGTTAAAGATAATCTCATGTTTTTTTATCTTAAGCACCTAAGTAAATCATGATATAATTTACCGAAATAGAGAACAGAAATGAGAAAATATTGGGGAAGATGCAAGATTTCAGGGTTGGACAACTTAAATTTGAAATCTGAGTGAAGCTGTTCAGAAGGCAGTAGGACTTACGAGTTTGGAGTTTAGAGGACAAGTTGAGACTGATCACGTTTTTGTAGTAATTACTATGTAGATGGAATTTAAAACTGTAGAACTGATCAAGATAACCCCTAGAAAGTAATTAAAGATTAAGCCCTGAGACACTGTAATATTTAGATTCTGGGAGAGAAGGAGAAGCCATATATTAATAGTAAACTGGGAAGGAAGAAGAGCCAGGTGAGCATAGCAGAGGACATGTGAAGAGTGTGTCTAAAGAGGGTTTGATTGCCAGTGTCAAATGCTGTTGAGAATACGAATTAGGAGGGAATTGATAATTGACTGTTGAATTTGGTAATGTGGATGTTGGCAACAAAGTCCTTGGGGATTTCACAAAAATGGTTTTAGTGAAGAGGTAGACACAAAAACTTTCTCGAAGAGCATTCAAGAGAGAATTGAAGAAGAGATATTGGAAAAAGAGAAACAGAAATTTTCAGTTCAGCTTTCCTAAAGGAGGAATCGGAGAACTGGTGCAAGCGCTGGTTGGAGATATCAGTGAAAAAAATCATTTATTTTTTTAACATAGGAGATATTACATTATGTTTGAATACTAATTGGACCAATTCAGGGAAAAGGCTTGCAAGGCAAAGGGGAAACAGATTGATGGGAATGATAGGCAGTGAAACTTTGTGGGGCCAGTGGTTTAGAAATTATCGAGGGTTTAAAAGTTCATTGGGCTTGTGTTACTAGAAGAAGCAAATTTGAGATATAAAAGATCGAGAAGTGAGGTGCTTCAAATGGACTTCTTATTAATAGACAAGTTCCAATCATGTAATAGAATGAGACTATGACTTCCTTGTATGCTGTATTTGTTAATTCATTGATCCCTACAGAGGACAAGTGCTAGTTCTGTTTTCTATATTCACTATGAATACTCAAAATATATGTATTTAGAATAAAACCTAAAATAAAATCTAAGTATAACTAATTATTTCTATTTTGAGGTTGTTTATGCTTTATATATGCATAACATTCTGCAATGGAAATGGGTAAAGAAGAAGAGATAATTTCTGTAGTGAGGCATTCTAGACAATTTATCGATCCTATCAGAAAGGTACAGTGCATGGGGACAAATAATAGGCAAGTTGGTAAACGTGGAGGAATCGTAAGAATATGAAAGCTATCTTCTGATGGCAATGATTTAGTGAAATGAGAAAGAAAAGCTCTAAAGAGGGAGAGTGAGCTGAGTGGAGAAATGAGAAGATTGCTAGGTAGCTCGGAAGGCCCACTGGAGGTTTGCGGTAATAAATTTAAAGTGTGATCAGCCAGCACATTTATGTGTAGTAAAATATTAGTCTTTTCCATTGAAATTAAAAAAATTATTGAATTCCTTCTTCATCTTTTTTTTTTTTTACTGCCATCCAAAATAGTATCTTCAGGCATTAAGGAAAGAATTTTATTTCCGTGAAAATTGGATGATAAAAGTTGGCAGCCAACGTTTATACTTATTTCTGAAAAGCAAATAGACTCTGTACTTTAATTTATTTGCTTATATTAAAAAGTTTTTCAATGACATTTCTTCTTCTAGAGATATGTATGTGAACATAATTTCTTTTAATATTTTGATAAAAAATAAATGTTTATATTGCATGTTATAGTGCAATATAAAATGAAAAAAATGAGTTAAAAATATAAGAAAATAAAAATCATCTGTGTCCCTATCAACCACTTCTAATTACTAGTACTGTTTTAGTGTATATATTTTTCCGGGTATGTACAGATAAATAAATTTATTTCTGTAGCAATAAACACTATACTTTAAAATTTTTTATTACCTGATTTTCATAATATCTATCTAAATAATATGTATCTAAAATGTCTTTCAAAATTACTCTTTAGCATATTATTTTAATAAATCCTTTAGTTTGATGTTACCAATCATATTGTGAACAGTTTTGTCATATAACTGACAAATTACTTATAAAGTTCAAATTGAAGAGAGAAAATAAGGGAATATCTAAAAATATTTGGAAAAAACCCACAAAACAAAGAAAATGCATACCCTTTACCTAGCAATGCCATATATATATATAAATTTGTATTTTTTTTTAGTATAGATGGTGTCTCACCATGTTGCCCAGGCTGGTCTTGAACTTCGGAGCTCAAGCAATCTGCCCACCTTAGCCTCCCAAAGTACTAGGAACTACCACACCCGTCCAACCTAAGCTGTATTTTAATAGAAATATTAGTATGTATAGGAACACTTACTGAAGCATTGATTCTAATAATTCAAATTTAGAAATTAATGTTTTCCAGTAGATAAATGACGATACATTTAATTTAAAAGACAGGTTTTCTACAACAGACAGTTCAGTGATAAATATCATCAAGTAATAGGTATCATATAGTAATAGTAATTTAAAATTTTTATATGAATATTTATATTCATATTCATATATGAATTCATATATATTTATATTCATATAAAAATGAAATATGAACAAAACTTTCTATGTTTAGAGGCATATGAAAGAAGTCTATAAAAGAAAATTTATAAGGCTATACACTGAATGAATTAACAGTGGGTATCTCTGAGGCAAGAAATAGGATTTGAGGAAGGACAGTAAAGCAATTTGGGGGAAATGTTTGCATTTTTACTTTGTATATTTCTTATCAGTTTCATTATTTTATATTTAGAATAACGTGTTATTTATCAGTTATTAGTATATGTGTATTTTTATAAATTATATATATATTATTTTATAAGGCACCAAAATAAAATTAATAACAGAAATGGAATTTGCTGGTAAATTTTTCGAGCTTGCTATAGCTAAATTTGTTTAGGATATGTGTGTTCATAGATAATATAGATAAGGGGCATCTAAAGTTTCATTGAGTAAGTAAATTAGAAGTTGAAGCAAAAAGAATACCAGGCATTAGGCAATAATATCAGAAACATAAGAAACAGCATGTGTGAAGGCTCAGAGGTAAGAAGAAGCATATGGTATTCCCGTAGAGTGGAACTCAAAGATGTAGGATAAGGATGGTGAGATGGGCAGAGTTCAGATCCTAAAGGGTTTTGTAATTTATGCTGTTTGGGCAACATATTGGAGAGCAGTCAGTACAGAGTTTTTAAGTTTGGGAGTGACATGATCAGATTTAGATTTTTATAATTTCAGTTGTACTTCAGAATGAAAAATGGATTCGAAGCGCATGTTTGGATAGGGAAGGCCTATTCCTCACATAGTGGTCCAGGTAAGACAAGTCATTAAAGTGGACAAGGATGATGGTAACAGATATGGAAACAACTGGACTAATTCTAAGAACAGCTATAAAAGCATATTGGCGGAATTACTGGTTGGTTGGATATGAATGAGGATCCAAAAAAAGTTGCCTTTACGCTTTACAAAAGAGGGACAGATGAAGCAAATACACAGAAAGGTTGAAAGTAAAACAGTGAAAAGATTATATCAGGCAAGTACTAACTTAACTAGTGTTGCCATATTGGCATCAGGTTATTAAACTTAAGAAAGAAAACATTGTTTCAGAGAATTATCTAAATTGTGATAAATTCCAGTGCACCAGATACATACAAATTTTAATTGCTAGGTATTACTACATTCTAAATAAAATAAAAGCAAAATTTAAAAAATAATAATGGCAAATTGGGATCTACCAACTCTAGCAGCGGTCCCCAACTTTTTGGCACCAGGGACCAGTTTCATGAAAGACAATTTTTCCATGGATGGCGGACTGTGGGTGTGGGGTACTTTCAGGATTAAACTGTTCCACCTCACATCATTAGGCCTTAGATTCTCATAAGGAGCACACAGTCTAGAACCCCCTTACGCACAGTTCACAGTAGGGTTCATGAGAATCTAATGCCTCCACTGATCTGAAAGGAGGTAGAGCTCATGCAGTAATGCTTGCCCACCTGCTGTTCACCTCCTGCTGTGCAGCTGGGTTCCTAACAGGACATGGACCCATAGGGGTCTGCAGCCCAGGGGATGGGGACTCCTCATCTATAGGAGAGATTTTAATATATCTTTCTCAATTAAGAATAGATAAGCAATTAACTAAGTCTGAAGAAAATAAGAACAATGCAATAAATAAATATGGTCTAATTATAGAAAGTATTGCATCTAGTTATTTAAAATAGCATATTATTTCAACGTATAAAATATCTACAGATATATAGTGACAATGTACCAGTCAAACATAATAACAAAAATTATGTATGTGTTAAATATCAAAAAAGCAAATTGAGGAATTATGAGTAAAGCTGAATTGAATATATATTATTGCTATTAGAACGTTCAAATAGGCTAAATTGGAGGGAAAACTTCAAAGCCATTAAAGAAAGTGAATTTATAGGTTAAAATCTTCTTACAAATTTAAAACAAATTTAGGTAATTTTATTGTGAGTTCTTTCAAACTTAATTCTCCTTAGCTTGATAAACTATATCAAAACCTGTATCAAATATATGTGGCAATAACATGTTAAGAAATAGTCCCTCCCAAAACAGAAAAGCACATTGTTAAAGAATAATTTTTAAAAAAGAGAGTCATGACAGATAGAGTAAAATGAATGTGAACAGGTCAGGCGCGGTGGCTCACGCCTGTAATCCCAGCACTTTAAGAGGCTGAGGTGGGCGGATCACCGAGGTCAGGAGTTTGAGACCAGCCTGGCCAAGATGGTGAAACCCAGTCTCTACTAAAAATACAAAAATTAGCCAGGCGTGGTGGCGGGTGCCTGTGGTCCCAGCTACTCAGGAGGCTGAGGCACAAGAATCACTTGAACCTGGGAGGTGGAGGTTGCAGTGAGATGGGATTCTGCCACTGCACTGTAGCCTGGGTGACAGAGCGAGACTCTCTCTCAAAAAAAAAAAAAAAAAAAAAAGAACATATGCTAAAGATTTTAAAGTTAAAACCTTTAAAATCTTTAGCATATGTTCATATTAATTAACCAATAAGATGTTGCAAGTAGTTCAAAGAAAGTTTTTTTTTTGTTTTTGTTTTTGTTTTTTTAAAAAAAAACCCAACATATATATTGGCAATCAGAAATGCTGAAATGAATTTGCTTAACAAATATGAAGTTGGTCAATATCCTTATGGCAATAATCAATGACATCTAAAACACACAATTTCCATTTCTATGGGCAAGAATTATTTGCATTACCATCAGTGTTCCGCAATTTACAGAATTGTAAAATAGCTTAAAGATGGAAAAAAAAAAAAAAAAAAAGAAAACCCACAGCCTCCATAGCATTATATAACTCGGGCAATACTTAGTTATCCATTAAAGAAACACAGTAATACTTTTGGTCCATTTCAAAAACCTCAAATTTTTCCTATAACTTGTACATTTTAAAGTAAAATTATTAACATTTTGTTTTTCAAGAAATTTGATCGTGAACATTTACTTTGTACATTCACCATAAGCCAGTAGTGATATTATTATCCACATGGAAACAAAAGATACAAATGTGCTAAAAAAGCAATGTCTGTTTCAAAGAGTAGCAATTAGATTAAGAAGGCAATGTATGACTGTAATGAATCTTTTCCTTTTGATCATTTTTAGATCATTTATTACATAATTTTGCTCATTTTTTAGCTCCAAATTTTCTTGTGTATATACAAAATATGAATCATGTTCATATATTGTGATTAATTGAAAAAAAGAACCGTGCAAATAGTAAATGCTTAAAACAGAAAAGGATTTAATTCTAAAATTTTTTATATACCAAGGTAACAGAATCAAAGTAAAGCTTTTCCAATTTTATTCTGCCCATGGTGAATATTGCATTTAAAATAACATTTGGCACCCCAACAAGAAACTTTTATACATTAACAGTCATTCTCCATTTTTCCCCAAATGCTCCCTCTCCCAGCACTAGGAAACCATGAATCCATTTTCTGTCTCTATAGATTTGCCCATTCTGGACATTTCATAAAAATTCAATTGTCCAATTTATGGTTTTTAGTTTCTTTCAGTTAGCATAATGTTTTCAAGGTTCATCCATATGACAGCATGTACCAATAATCTGTTTATTTTTATTGCTGCATAATATTTCATTGCATGGAAATATTGCATTTTATTTATCCATTCATCAGTTTTTGGACATTTGAGTTGTTTCCACTTTTGGCTATTATAAATAATTTGGCTACGAGCACTTTATGTGCAAGTATTCATGTGAATCTATATTTATTTATCTTGGGTACCTCAGGGTGAAATTGTTGAGTTAAATGGCATCTTTACATTTAAACTTTTGAGCCAACTCTGATGATGGAGTCTTAATTTTCAACATTTCAAAATTCTCTTCATCAAAAAGCACAATTAAAATTTTGAAAAGATAAGCCATAGACTAGAAGATAGTTAGAACAAATATATTCTATAATAGATTAGCATCCAAATATTTAAGGACTTCTGTGAATCAGTTAAGAAATTCCAACTTAAAAATGAGCAGGAGACACGAATAGACGTTTCAGAGTATAGGCATTGAATGGCATTTTCTAAAAAGTCTCAGGAGCTTCTCTGGTTTCTGTGGGAACTCTTCTTCCAACAGGAAGGATTGGATCCAAACAGCCTCCTACAGATTCAGTAGCTCCCTAGACCTGAAAGTGTGTTCTCTACCTGACAAATCCAGCACTTTCAGACTTGGGTCAGGTATAGACAGCAGTGAAAGCAAAAAGTATCTTATTATCATCCCTCCTTTATAAAAACGGTAATTGTATAATGAGATGAAACCTTGATATGAAGCAAGCCTGTCAGCACCCTAATGGGTATTTAACGTTAAATTAAGGGCAACATAGCAAAGATTCTGACATTCAGTTATGTGGCAGTTTTATTTTTCAGTGGTACCAGGAGTGTTTATTTTTACTTGTATTTTCATAAGAATTAAACTGAGTGTTGGAAGCTGCATGGTGTATTAGCAAGTTTCTATTTTTCACTTTCATTTTAAGTTGAAGTGTAGAAAATAAACATCTCTAAGTGCAGGCAAGATGCATTTATTTATTGCTGGGGATGACAAAAGGAGAGCAACTTGGCTTAACGGTAGCAGGGATGATTTTGACTGGGCATTATGAGTGTGTCCTGAGTTGGTTCCTTCCCGTGGGTTCATGGTCTCACAGACTTCAAGAATGAAGCCACGGACCTTTGCAGTGGGTGTTACAGCTCTTAAAGATGGCACAGACCTAAAGAGTGAGCAGCAGCAAGATTTATTGTGAACAGTGAAAGAACACAGCGTGAAAGGGGACCCGAGTGGGTTGCCACTGCTGGCTGGGGTGGCCAGCTTTTATTGCCTTATTTGTCCCTTCCTATATTCCGTTTCTGTTCTATCAGAATGCCCCTTTCTCAATCCTCCCCACAGTTGGTTACTTTTAGAATCCTACTGATTGGTCCATTTTACAGAGTGCTGATTGGTCCATTTTGCAGAGCGCTGATTGGTCTATTTTACAGAGCGCTAATTGGTCCCGTTTACAAACCCTGGCTAGCTACAGAGCACTGATGGGTGCGATTTTACAAAGCGCTGATTGGTGCATTTTACAAACCTCTTGCTAGCTACAGAGCACTGATTGGTGCATTTTACAATCCCCTTGTAAGACAGAAAAGTTCTCCAAGTCCCCAGTTAACACAGGAAGTCCAGCTGGCTTCACTTACCATGAGGACTGTCTTATTGGTCCTAGAGATAAAATACTGAAATGGGCTATTGATATAGCCATATTCCATCTTCAGAAAACTTTCAGAAGAGGAAAGGAGACAACGTGATACAACACCACTTCAATGGCAAGTCAGATGATTCCAGGAAACAGCAACATCAAGCCAAGAAAAAAAAAAAAAAAAGGAAAGACAACTTTCCCTTAGGTCTTTGACAAAGTTAAATTGACATTTTTCAATTTCTTCTAGAAGAAGGTTATCTCCCAGGTGGAAATAATTCCAAGCCCATTTTCCCGACACTCCATGTGGGCTCCAACCTATAATTCCCTCCATTATCAAAAGGAGAGCTCCAAATCTTAGCCACATGTTCTAACGTTGCTTCTTTTACTTGCCTAATCCATCAGTAATCTTCTTTGGGATTAGAGTCATTTTAATGAAGAAGCGCTGATTGGTGCATTTTCTTCCTAGAAGCTAACAAATGCTACACTTTAGGTTTTGGAATCAGGTTTTTATCATGCTCTACCTCATAGAATTTTAGCAGTGGCTTCTATGTGTCATTCATAAAATGACTTGAAAGAGTGTTGTGTTTTTCCTTTTAAATTAGAGCTCTGTGGAGTTGATTCAGGGGTCTCATAGTGGGAGGGAATGGTTACAAGAGTGGGGTTCCATGCTTTTTACTTCTCTTTTTTTTTCTTTTTTAACAGCTTTATTGAGATATAGTTTATGTACCATACAAGTCACGCATTTAAAGTGTAGAAGTCAGTGGTATTTAGTATATTCACAAATATGTAACAGAAGCATAGTCAATTTTAGAATATTTTATTGTTGCAGGAAGTCAGGGACCCCGAACGGAGGGACCGGCTGAAGCCATAGCAGAAGAACAGAAATTGTGAACATTTCATGGACATTTATCACTTCCCCAATCAATACTGTTGTGATTTCCTATGCCTGTCTTTACTTTAATCTCTTAATCCTGTCATCTTCATAAGCTGAGGATGTATGTCGCCTCAGGACCCTGTAATGATTGTGTTAACTGCGCAAATTGTTTAAACAGTATGAAATCTGGGCACCTTGAAAAAAGAACAGGATAACAGCAATGTTCAGGGAACAAGGGAGATAACCTTAAAGTCTGGCTGCCTGTAGGCCAGGTGGGACAGAGCCATATTTCTCTTATTACCGAAAATGGGTAAGAGAAATATGGCTGAATTCTTTTCCCAGTAAGGAATATTAATAATTAACAGCCCTGGGAAAAGAATCTATTCCCAGGGCGGGGCCTCTAAAATGGCCTCCCTGGGGGTGTCTGCCTTATGCAGATGTAGATAGGGATGAAACACGCCCGAGTCTCCTGCAGCGCCCCCAGGCTTGCTAGGATTAGGAAATTCCAGACTGGTGAATTCTAGAAAGACCGGTTCTCTGCTCTTGAACCCTGACAATGCATGCACAGTAGGACATGGAAGTTCATTAGTGATTCTAGTTTCACCCTGATCTTCTGCCTTGTGATCTTTTGTTGCCCTTGAAGCATGTGATCTCTGTGACCCACACTCTATTTGTGCACTCCCTCCCCTTTGAAAATTGCTAATAAAAACTTGCTGGTTTTATGGCTCAGGGGGCATCACGGAACCTGCTGACATGTGATGCTCCCCTGGACACCCAGCTTTAAAATTTCTCCTTTGTACTCTTTCCCTTTATTTCTCAGACTGGCTGACACTTAGGGAAACTAGAAAAGAACCTACGTGAAATATCGGGGGCTGGTTTCTCCCAATATTTTATTATCTCAAAAGGAAACTCTGTACCCTTTGGCTATCACCTCCCCTGTGATGGTTAATATTAAGTGTCAACTTGATGGGATTGAAGCATGCAAAGTATTGTTTCTGGGTGTGTCTGTTGCCAATGGAGATTAATATTTGTATGGGTGGACTGGGAGAGACAGGCCCACCTTCAATCCGGTTGGGCACAATCTAATCAGCTGCCAATGTGTCTATGATAAAAGCAGGCAGAGAAATGTGGAAGGATTAGACTGGCTTAGTCTTCTGGCCTACATCTTTCTCCCACGCTGGATGCTTCCCACCCTTGAACATCGGGCTCCAAGTTCTTCAGTGCTGGGGCTCGTGGACCTTTGACCACAGACTGAAGGCTGCACTGTCGATCCCTACTTTTGAGCTTTTGGGACTTGGATTGGCTTCTTTTCTCCTCAGCTTGCAGACAGCCTATTGTGGGAATTCACCATTGTGATCATATGAGTCTGTACTCCTTAATAAACTCCCCTTTTTATATACATCTATCCTCTTAGTTCTGTCCCTCTAGAGAACCCTGACTGATACATCCCCTAACATCCCACATGCCACCTAGCTCTAAACAACCACTAACCTATTCTCTGTCTCTATAGAGTTCTGTGTTACAGAAATTTTATATTAATGGATTTATATAATATGTGCTCTTTTGTGACTGGCTTCTTTTTCTTAGCATAATGTTTTCCTGTTTCAAAATATAACAATGCTTCATTTCTTTTTATGGCCAAAAATTATTCCATTGTAAGTGCCTTTATTTTTTAAACATGTGGCTACAGGCAAATTTTTATTTGAAATAAATTTATATTTGTATACTAAATATGAACACATATATTTGTTATATACTAAATATAATAATTTCAATACTAGTGATGTGAAGTTCTCTTATATCCACAACAGATTTAACACTCTCTGAGCCTATAATTCATCTTTTCTGTAACCAAGGCTTTCACTGCATATTCCTGGTCAGCAGGTGAGTTAACTCCCTTTACTTATAATACAATTACAGAGAAGTTGAATTAGTGTGTAACCACCTTCAATTGTGTTTTCATGTTAAAGATGATCGTGCCCAAAGCTGCTTCCTTAACAAAATGTAGCATACAGAATCTTCCCTCATCTGTCAACTCTCTTGAAACCCTTTAGGTAGAATAATAAAGTGGTTAAGTTTGTATTTTATAGAGTTTATCTACTTGTATTTGAATCCTGGTTCTATTGTTTTTTACCTTCCGAATATTGGGCAAGATACTTACCTATTTTAAACTGATGTTTCTTCATGTGTGAAACAAGAAAATAATTATATACTCATCACAGAGCTTTTGGAGAGGAAATTTAACATGAAAAAAGTATTTGAATCTTAAGCACAGTTTCTGGCAGATAGTAAGCATTTAATGAATATGAATTGCTATTATTTATATTATTATTTTCTATTTTGGTGTTATTCACACTTGCATCCCATCAAATATTGTAGCACAGTGCTTGTTACATCCTGATTGCACTCCCCCAACAAAGTATGTTAAATTAATAAATAAATGAATAAGAAGCCTCTCAAGACAGCAGGATTCAACCTTATAGCTTTGATATTTTTAAACCCTGGATTTCACAACCACAGTTTTCCATCTTTCAGGAGTTATTTGGGGAAGTCTCTGGGGGAAGTTCTTCTCAATAACAAAATTTACTACTGATGTCAAGATGTCTCAAGTACAATCTTCTTTTTAAAAATTTTTTTATTTCAGTAGGTTTTTGGGAAACAGGTGGTGTTTGGTTACATGTGTAAGTTCTTTGGTGGCCATTTCTGAGATGTTGGTGTACCCATCACCTGAGCAGTGTACACTGTACCCAATGTGTAGTGTTTTATCTCTCACCACCCCCCCCCCCACTATATCCCTTGAGTTTCAAAAGTCCAATGTATCATTCTTATGCCTTTACACCCTCACAGCTTGGCTCCCATATATGAGTGAGAACATATGATGTTTGGTTTTCCATTCTTGAGTTACTTCACTTAGAATAATAATCTCCATTTCTACCCAGGTTCCTGCAAATGCCATTATTTTGTTCCTTTTTATGGCTGAGTAGTATTCCATGGCGTGTGTGTGTGTGTGTGTGTGTGTGTGTGTGTATCACATTTTATCTACTTGTTGATTGATGAGCATTTAGACTGGTTCCATATTTTTGCAATTGCAAATTGTGCTGCTATAAACATACATGTGTAAGTATCTTTTTTGTATAATGTCTTTTCCTTTGGGTAGTTAGTAGTGGGATTGCTGGATCAAATGGTAGACCTACTTTTAGTTCTTTAAGGAATCACCACACTGTTTCTCATAGTGGCTGGTTTACTGGTTTACATTGCCACCAACAGTGTAAAAGTGTTCCCTTTTCACCACACCCATGCCAATGTCTTTTTATTTATTTTTTGATTATGGCCATTTTTGCAGGAGTGAGGTGGTATCGCATTGAGGTTTTGATTTGCATTTCCCTGATCATAAGTGATGTTGAGAATTTTTCCATATGCTTGTTGGCCATTTGTATAACTTATTTTGAGAGTTGTCTATTCATTTCCTTAGCCCACTTTATGATGGGATTGTTTGTTTTTATCTTGCTGATTTGTTTGAGTTATCTGTACATTCTGGATATTAGTTCTTTGTGAGATGCATAGATTGTGAAGATTTTTCTCCCACTCTGTGGGTTGTCTGTTAACTCTACTGATTATTTCTTTTGCTGTGTAGAAGCTTTTTAGTTATGTCTCATCTATTTGTATTTGTTTTTGTTGCATTTACTTTTGGGTTCTTGGTCATGAAGTCTTTGCCTAAGTCAATGTCTAGAATGGTTTTTCTGATGTTATCTTCTAGAATCTTTAGGATTTTAGGTCTTAGATTTAAGTCTTTGATCCATCTTGAATTGATTTTTGTATAAGGTGAGAGATGAGGATCCAGTTTCATTCTTCTACATGTGCTTACCAGGTATCCCAGCACCATTTGTTGAATAAGATGTCTGTTCCCCACTTCATGTTTTTGTTTACCTTGTTGAAGAGCAGTTGGCTTTAAGTATTTGGCTTTATTTCTGGGTTCTCTATTCTGTTCTATTGGTCTATGTGCCTATTTTAATATCGTTACCATGCTGTTTTGGTGACTATGGCCTTATAGTATAGTTTGAAGTCAGGTAATGTAATGCCACCAGATTTTTTCTTTTTGCTTAGTATTGCTTTGGCTATGTGGGCTCTTTTTTGGTTCCATATGAATTTTAGAATTTTTTTTTCTAGTTCTGTGAAGAATGAAGATGGTATTTTCATGTGAATTGCATTGAATTTGTAGATTGCTTTGGGCAGTGTGTTCATTTTCACAATATTGATTCTACACATCCATGAGCATGGGATGTGTTTCCATTTGTTTGTGCCATTCATGATTTCTTTCAGCAATGTTTTGTAGTATTCCTTGTAGAGGTTTTTCATGTCCTTGGTTAGCTATATTCCTAAGTATTTTTTTTTTTTTTTTTTGCAGCTATTGTGAAAGGGGTTGAGTCCTTTATTTGATTCTCAGGTTGGTTACTGTTGGTTTATAGCAGAGCTACTGATTTGTAATTTTGTATCCTGACACTTTGCTGAATTCATTTACCAGTTCTGAGAGCTTTTTGCATGAGTCATTAGGGTTTTCTAGGTATATGATCATATTATTAGCAAACAGCAACAAACTAGTTTGACTTCCTCTTTACTGATTTGAATGTCCTTTAATTATTTCTCTTATCTGATTGCTGTGGCTAGGACTTTTAGTACTATGTTGAATAGAAGTGGAGAAAGTGGGCATCCTTGTCTTTTTCCAGTTCTCAGGGTGATTGCTTTCATCTTTTCCCTGTTCAGTATAATGTTGGCTGTGGGTTTGTTGTAAATGGCTTTTATTACCTTAAAATATGTCCTTTCTATGCCAATTTTGCTGAGGTTTTTACTCATAAAGGGATGCTGGATTTTGTCAAATGCTTTTTTTGCATCTATTGAGATGATTGTGATTTTTGTTTTTAATTCTGTTTATGTGGTGTATCACATTTATTGATTTACATATGTTAAACTATCCCTGCATTCCTGGTATGAAACCCACTTGATCATTGTCAATTATCTTTTTGATATGCTGTTGGATTCAGTTAGCAAGTATTTTGGTGATGATTTTTGCATCTATGTTCATCAGCTATATTGATTTGTAGTTTTCTTTTCTTTTTTTTGTTTTTGTTATGTCCTTCCCTGGTTTTGGTATTAGGGTGATACTGGCTTCTTGGAATGATTTAGGGAGGATTCCCTCTTTCTCTATATTTTGGGGTACTGTCAATAAGATTGGTACCAATTCTTCTTTGAATGTCTGATAGAATTAAATTGTCAATCCATTTGATCCTGGACTTGTTTTTGTTGGCAATTATTTTTATTACCATTTCAATCTCACTGCCTGTTACTGGTCTGTTCACAGATTCTATATCTTCCTGGTTTAATCTAGGATGATTGTATATTTCCAGGAATTTATCTATCTCCTCTAGGTTTTCTAGTTTATGTGCATAAAGGTGTTCATAGTAGCCTTGAATGATCTTTTGTATTTCTGTGGTATTATTATCAGTAATAATATCTCCTGTTTCATTTCTAATTGAGTTTATTTGGATCTTCTCTCTTCTTGGTTAACCTCACTAATGGTCTATCAATTTTATTTATCTTCTCAAAGAACCAGCTTTTTGTTTCACTTATCATGTGTATTGTTTCTTTTGTTTGTTTTAATTTCATTTAGTTCTGCTTTGATCTTTGTTATTTCTTTTCTTCTGTTGGGTTTGGATTTGAATTGTTCTTGTTTCTCCTCTTCAGTGAGGTGTGACATTAGATTGCCTACTTGTGTTCTTTCAGACTTTTTGATGTAGGCATTTAGTATTATGAACTTTCCTCTTGGCACCACTTTTGCTGGATCCCAGAGGTTTTGACAGGTGGTGTCTCTATTAGCATTCCGTTCAAATTATTTTTTAATTTTCATCTTGATTTCATTGTTGACTCAACAATTGTTCAGGAGCAGGTTATTTAATTTCCACATATTTGCATGGTTTTGAGGGTTCCTTTTGGAATTGATTTCCAATTTTATTTTACTGTGGTCTGAGAGAGTACTTGCTGTAAATTCTAATTTCTTAAATTTGTTGACACTTGTTTTGTGGACTGTCATAGGATCTATCTTGGCGAATGCTACATGTGCTGATGAATAGAATGTATATTCTGCAGTTGTTGGGTAGAATGTTCTGTAAATATCTGTTAAGTCCATTTGTTCTGGGGTATAGTTAAAGTCTATTGTTTCTTTGTTGGCTTTCTGTCTTGATGACCTGTCTAGTGCTGTTAGTGGAGAATTGAAGTCCGCCACTATTATTGTGTTGTGGTCTACCTAATTTCTTAGATCTAGTAGTAACTGCTTTATAAATTGGGGATTTCCAGTGTTAGGTGCATATATATTTAGGATTGTGACATTTTCCTGTTGGACTAGTCATTTAATCATTATATAGAGTTCATCTTTGTCTTTTTTAACTGCTGTTGCTTTAAAGTTTATTTTCTATGATATATGAATAGCTACTCCTTCTCACTTTTAATCTCCATTTACATGGAATATTTTTTTCCACCCCTTTACCTAAAGTTTATACGAATCCTTATGTGTTAGGTGAGTCTCCTGAAGACAGCAGAAACTTGGTTGATGAATTCTTATCCATTCTGCCATTCTGTACCTTTTAAGTGTGGGTCATTTAGGCCATTTACATTCAATGTTAGTATTGCTATGTGAGGTACTATTCTATTCATCCTGCTATTTGTTGCCTGAATACCTTTTTTATTATTGTGTTATTGTTATATAGGTCCTTGAAACTTATGTTTTAAGGAGATTCTATTTTGGTGTATTTTGAAGATTTGTTTCAAGATTCAGAGCTCCTTTTAGCAGTTCTTGTAGTGTTGGCTTGGTAGTGTTGAATTCTCTCAGTGTTTGTCTGAAAAAGACTTTATCTTTTCTTCATTTATGAAGCTCAGTTTTGCTGAATACAAAATTATTGGCTGATAATTGTTTTGCTTAAGGAGGCTAAAAATAAGACCTCAATTTTTTCTAGCTTGCAGGGTTTCTGCTAAGAAATCTGCTGATAATCTAATAGGCTTTCCTTTTTAGGTTATGTGGTGTTTTTGCCTCACAGCTCTTAAGATTCTTTCCTTTGTCTTGACTTTAGATAAACTGATGGCTATGTGTCTAGACAATGACTTTTTTGCAATAAATTTCCCAAGTGTTCTTTGAGCTTCCTGTTTTTAGATGTCTAGATCTTTAGCAAGACAAGAGAATCTTTCCTTGTTTATTCCCTCAAATGTGCTTTCCAAACTTTAGATTTCTCTTCTTGCTGGAAAACACCAATTATTCTTAGGTTTGGATGTTAAACATAGTCCCAAACTTCTTGAAGGCTTTGTTCATTAAAAATTTATTTTCTTTGCTTTTGAGGGATTGGGTTAATTTGCAAGCTGTGTCTTCAAGCTCTAAGTTTCTTTCTTCTGCTTCTTTGATTCTATTGCTGATACTTTCCAGTACATTTTCATTTCTCTAAGTGTGTCTTTTATTTCCACAAGTTGTGATTGCTTTTTTATTTATGCTATTTCACTGAAGAATTTTCCTTTCATATCCTGTATCATATTTTTGATTTCTTCGAGTTGGACTTCACCGTTCTTTTGTACCTCCATGATTAGCTTAATAATCGACCTTCTGAATTTTTTTTTGACAATTCAGAGATTTCGCCTTGGTTTGGATCCACTGCTGGTGAGCTGCTATGATCTTTTGGGGTGTTAAATAACCTTGTTTTATCATATTGCCAGAATTGTTTTTCTGGTTCCTTCTCATTTGAGTAGACTATGTTAGAGGGAAGATCTAGGATTTAAGGGCTGCTGTTCAGATTCTTTTGTCCCACACAGTGCTCCTTTGATGTGGTGTTCTCCCCCTTCCCCTAGGAATGGGGCTTCTTGAGAGCCCAACCGTAGTGATTGCTTTTGCTCTTCTGGATCTAGCCACTTGGTGGAGCTACTGAGCTCTGGGCTGGTACTGGAGAGTGTCTGCAAAGAGTCCTGTGATGTGATCCATCGTCAGGTCTTTCAGCCATGGATACCAGCACCTGCTCCCGTGGAGGTAGCAAGGGAGTGAAGTGGACTGTGTGAAGGTCCCTGGCTGTGTTTTTGTTTACTGTGCTGGTTTTGTGTTGGTTGGTCTCCAGCCAGGAGGTGGCGCTTTCCAGAGCACATCAGCTGTGGTCCTATACAGAGAATGCAGACTTGCCCTAGGAATACCTGGTTAAGTATTCAGGTTTCTCAAGTGGTGGGAAGGGCCCCATAGGGCTACCAAGAGATTATGACCTTTTCTTCAGCTACCAGGGTGAGTATAGAAAGACTACCAGGTGGGGGCAGGAATAGGCATGTCTGAGCTCAGCCTCTCCTTGGGTGGGGCTTGCTGCGGCTGCTGTGGGGGATGGGGGTGCGATTCCCAGTCCAGTGAAATCATATTCCCTGGAAGATACAGCTGCCTCTGCTGAGTCATACAGGTTACTAGGTAAGTGAGAGACGAGACGCTGGCAGTCATAGGCTTCACCCCACTCCCACATAGCCCGCAGTCCTAAAGATCTGTCTCACTTCCAACTGTACCCGCCCAGTAGTACCAAGTCTATTTCCTAGCAGCTAGTGACCAGGGCTGAGAACTTGCCCCAGAACGTGACCCTTTTCATTGAGAAAGCAAGCCGACTCACGGTTTTTTCAGTGTCTCATGGAGCCTGCAGCGGTGATCCAGTTCCTTGAAAGGGTCTGCGTATTTTCTTGCCTTTCCTGGTATGTTCCTGTGGTAGTTCTTGGAGCAAAAGTTCATGATGTGAGTCTCCACATGCTGCTCTGTCCGTGTGAGCAGGAGCTGCAAGCTAGTCCTGACTCCTATCTGCTCTCTTCCTCTCACTTCTCAAGTACTGTCTTGAACCTCTCATTGCATATCAGGGTGGAAAGCGTATTACTTCTTTCGCTTCTATGTCAATAAACTGTAATGATATCATATCCCCTATCCTTCTTCTCATGTTAAGATGGTGAAATCAGAATCCATGGAAGCATTTCCTCTAGAACTACCTGGCATTGATTTTATTTTAGTTGTCCTTTCTAAGTACTCAGCAGATGTACAAAGTGAAGCAAGCAATAATTCTCTGGACAAGAAAACTGCTGAAGTTCAGCCACATGTCCTTTCTATACCCACTGGTATAACACAGATCCAGTCTTACAGATATGCCGACCTGCTGCTGCTTGAAACAGTTATTTTCTGAGGACTGAGGAGTCTGGGGTTCAATCTCTGTATTTTTATTACTCTTAAGTTCCTGTGGGGGCGTGTTTGTTCCACTTGGTTTTTGAAATTGTAGACTGCTGTGATTTAAGGCAGGGTAAGTTCAGAGTTGTCTTTTAGGAATAAATTATGATTTTGTTGAAGGCTTGCCTTTTCCCTGCACATTTTGTTGGATATACAATAAAACATAAAATAGGACCTTTTCAAAACACAGTAGGGGAAAAAATGACACAGTTGTGCTCTGTCCTCTGAACTTTGGAATCTAAGCAATTGTGGAGGTTAGTTGGCTATTTCTTGGTAAAGCATAGGAATGAAACTTTACGCTTTGTTAGAAGAATGAATGGAAGGACAAAGCTGAAACTGTAGGACGGAAGGACTTAGTTGACCACAGCTGCTTCTAATTCTGTCTCTTCAATGCCTGCCTTCCAGTGGACCACAGGTCCCCCTCTGAACTGATAATGTCTTCACCCTGCATGTTCTTTGGGCTCACTAAAACACGTTGGGTAGAATGGGGACAAACCCATCTTATGTTCACTCAAAATAAACTTGTAGTTTTATAAAGGAATGTTTTAAGAAAAAGAAAATAGAGAAACTAAAGGAAGACAAAATGAAAGAAAACCTAGAAAATAGAGAAACTAAAAGAAAACAAAATGAAAGAAAACCTAGAAAACAGAGAAACTAAAAGAAGACAAAATGAAAGAAAACCTATCCCTTTTCTAAAAGAATAAAGAAAAAATAAACACATGGAGAAAATGGAGGCCGTAGAAATAGATTCATTATTCTCACCAAAGATCAACTTTGTGGCTGTGCCATAGCAGGAACAAACAATTAGTTTCTTCTCTTACTTGAAATTTCTGCATTTACCTCAAACCTCTGTTTATTATGGGCTTTAATCAAGGCTCACTTTAGTTAGTTCAGTTCCTTCTGAAGTTATGTGACCTGAAAGGTAGGTGGTATCCTTGGAGCCTCTATGGTATAAGGAACCTCTCTAACTTGGCTTTGATTAAATCCTGGATTCACTACACTCTATGTGAGTTTTCTAGGTCCCAATTCCATTAACTGTGATAGACTAAAATTCTAAAACCTATCTTGGAAATTATTGTAAGTTATTAATGTCATCTTTATAGTTCTTAGTAGAAGGCCTAGCACAATGTAGAAACTCAAGAAAATGATAGATAATTTGATTCCTATGGTTAATTAGAAGCATCTATATCATCTTACGACTAATGTTTTCCAAGTATCAGTACTTCCTTTTGTTTGAGGTACTCCATGAAAAAAGTCTATAAAGTTCTTCCACAGAGTGAGGTGCACAGTGAGCACTTAGTTCTTTCATTTTCAAGCAGCAGTACCCACTGTTTCCCACCTCAGAGATGCTGAAACCACTACAAACAGTAAAATAATGGCCTTTTACATTGATGAGAACTTATCATAATTTGAAAGAAAAACAAACATATAAAGAGTCATATTGTACATAAATTCTGCTCCCCTCTTCTGGGTTTGTCTACCAGTGTGTTATCTAAACCGCATTTAAATCTCACTTTTCTGTATTCAATTAGCATTGACTATTAAATACTAAGTTATGTAATAAACTATGTGTTACACAATGTTATTTTTAGCTGAATATCAGCTGGGCTGGTCTTGAACCGTAGAGAACAGGGCTAGAAGTAAAAACCCAGGAGATTTGAGATTTTAGAAACAAAGCATAAGTTGAAGCCAAACACGAAGTCTAGAACCAGGCAACAGATAGAAGCCACTAACTTTAGCTGAGCAGATGTCACAGATGTGCAGTGGTCAGGAGAGCAGAAACAGTCACCAGGGAACAGATGACATTAGAAGACAAACAAGTTGTATTAACATAGAAGGAAGTTTATGAGAACTTTAGGGTTGCTGAAATGACCATAAGTCCTAGGGCTTAGATCAGCATTTAGTCTTTTCTACTCCCTAGGTATACAATTATAAACAGATCACTTCACCTCTGTAAATTAAATTTTGCTTACCTATAGAAAGGGAATGGTGTTTATCTTACCCACATTCCAAGTTGCAGGTGATATAATCAATAGTGAAGCACTTGATAAACAATTGAGTACTATGTACATTGTAAGGTAAAGTAGCCTATGGGTTGGATGCCACATGCAGATGTATTTTCTTTGGTCCACATATGGCATCCAACCCATGAGCTATAGAAAATATGGATTTCTGGATTTCTTTGAAACACTGAAAGATCTGGAGCCTCTGGGCCACTGTTACTGGATAATAGCAACAGCCTGAGTGTTTGCATTTATAACCTGTAATAAGAGACGCATGTCTCCTTGCTGCTCAAGTTATAGATCTGACAGCCCAGGATATGATTAATCAGAGCTCAGGGCTCAGGAAGCCATTCTCCACATCTGGCAGAGCCCGACAAAATCTTTGCAATCAGATTAACGAAGCAGTGACATGATGTTCTATTAGTGGGGGCATGGACATGCAAAATCATTATGCAGAACAATTCATTATCATAGCTGACCATGTACAGGGTTTTAGCTGCATGTCGATGTGGCACAGCTCACTGAAGATGCATGGATAAACGCTGTGGCTAAGGCATTGTGAGAGCAATTGGTAGGAGCTAGAAAGCTAGCTCTGAAGCCAAGCTAGAAGAGAAACACAGTTCTGGGATCACCATTCATTTTGCTCTTTCTGGGTCCTTTTATATCTGCTTTAGCAAGGTACCTGCTTTAACAATGTACATTCTTGCATGAATGTTTTCTTTTCTCTTTCAATTCTTCTTCCATCCTGGTGTTTAGGATATCACTGGGGTGGGATAGTGGGAGAGGTGGCAGTTTTATTTTGTTTTTAAGTATATCAGTTCTCCTTTTTGATATCAGCTTTTCTTTTTGAATAGTCCAGGATATACTTGCCTCTCAAGCAGCTTTTTTTTTTCTCAAAGCCAGTTCTTCTTATGCAACAGACTTACTATATCATTCACAGATTGTACCATGAGGGTTCACTTTCTTGCACCTATATTAGGCCACAACCTCTAAGCACAAAGGTCTTTTCATGACTGTTTATTGAAATACCCAGCAAGAATTTTCATCAGACAGAGTTTTAGTCATGCTTTAACTCTGCAACTTATTAAAATGGGAGCACTTTATATAATTTGCTTAACTCTTCTAAGCTTTAGTTCCTTCTTCCTAAAAATAGGAGTTGTAGGAAGAAAGATGAGTGGGTCCTGTTTCATTTGGTTACTTTTACATTAAAATGCAATGAATCTCTATGGGTACTCTGAACTTGTGACTGGCTAGGTAAGCCAGATTTCAGTGTGCTTCACAGACCTGGTGACCTTGGACTTGGAAGGGAGAAGGACACAAGATGTCTCACTGAGGCCTTTTGGAGTAAGCTATTCTCCAATATACATTTCTTACAGGATGCTTGTCTACTTACTCATTTGGTCACTATCCTTAAGTGCATAGCTCTTTATAGGAAACAATTTCAATAGTGGAAGAGAAACGATAAGTTTCATTCACATACAAAACCTCAACTCAACCAATCAATGTTTATAAAGCACACTCATCGTCTTTGAAAAAAGATATCAGTGTCACAGGTCAGGTTCCCCAGAAAGTGCACTCTGAAGTAAAATCTCATATATGGTAAGTTTATTAAGAAATGCTCTTCAGATCAATACTCTTGGAATAAAAAGGAAGGAATCAGGATTATGAAGAAAAGCTTTGGCTGTGATGCAATCTCAACACAATTTTTACCCAATCCCACAGATAAAAATAGCTGGGATTACTGTTTAGAGTGGGTGAAGAGCAAGCCTTTATACTCCACACTGACAAGTTGTTAATTGTGGCTACCTCTAAGAGGAAGAGTCCTCCTTAAAGAGGCAACTCTATCTAGCCCATGGCAATTTGAAGTGTGGGTGGGAACCGAGAAGCTAAATAAATCAATTTTTTGCTTTTCCTCAGTACAGATATTTCCCCTTTTGAAGCCACCTAGAGCATTGCGTGTACCACTTACTTTTGCATGATGCTTTATATTTCACAAACATTATCTCACATGCCTCCCATGATCTTTCATGAAGCAGATAAAGCACATATTATTTAGAGAATAAGAAACAAAACTTTTCAGACTTTTCCCAATGATTGGGAAAAGTAGCCTTTAACAAATAAAAATCTCTGCCGGACTTAGCTTTCTTTTAAACAAAATAGGGGTGTAAAATAACTTACCTGCCTACTATTTAATCCCAGCACTAGGATCTATGAATGTGTACCTTGCACAGATTTATGTGTTTGCTAAGTGGAGGAGACAGCCACAGCATCTGTATCCTGTGGACTACTGTTCCAGGGCTCTATACACTGCCCCACACTACCCTGATAGCACTGAGGTCAATGATGGGTCTATTGCCTGAGACTGTAGAAAAGACAAGCACAAAAGCATGTGAAAGAACAAGGATACAATCTGAGGGAATGTTTCCAGAGTACAGGTGTCTTTGGAGTGTTTGAAATTACTTGAATAACAGTGAGTAATATTTCCATGTTACATTTGCCTTGAGATTTTTTTTCCACTCCAAACTGAGCGATCTGTGCTCCTAAAGTGGAATCATGTGGAGCCGACTTGACAGAATTCTCTGCAAAACTCATGCCTGGGTTTTTTATTGCCAATTGTTGGCACAAGCCTTCTACAGTGGTAGACATGCTATTCTCTAAATTTAGCTTACTCTATTAGTGAAAAACAAAAGCCATGACATTTAACTCAAATGTTGTTTATTCTCAGGTTATATTTCTGTCTTCTGGACATTCCAGTTACACTCTTTCCAACAGAGAGGATTTGTAGAACCACTCTATACTCATGGGTAGCATCCATTTTCCCTATCCATGGGGTAATGTTTAGCCTACCCATTTTCTCACAATTTCAGCCAGCATTTAGTTTCCAAGCAGATTACCTGAGAATGAGGAGCTGGAGCTGACTCAAGTCAGCTCTCATCAGCATTCAATAATACAGGTACAAGATGGGTGAGAAAAAAGGCAAGACACATGGAAAAGGGTTCTGATGAAAGATGATCAGTGAAGCAGAAGATAAGGACATTGTTGGGTTGTTTGGCCCCAGTTTCACACACCTTCCAAGCTATTTATTATGACAACGTGAGGCTTCCTGAACTACTGAAATCTGCCATTTCTAGTACTATAGTTCTGATATTTTGGAAAATCTGGCTGTGTTGTATGTGAATTATGATTTTAGATAGAAGAAAGATATATATGTCTTAGGACTATGCATTTTAAGGAGAGAATACTCCTAGCCCCCTGACATGAAAGAAGTGGCGTAAGCAGGGAGAGGAAGTAGTTTCTCTTACCACTCTGCCTTTGTCCTTGACGACTCTTCTGGGAAGCGCCAGCTGTGAACTACCTTCTTACACTGTCTGAACTTTTTTCTGACATGCCCTGTTGCATTTTCATTTCTTATCTCAAACACTTCCCTCATAAAATCTTCAGTTTTGCCACTGGAATCTCTTCAAGAAAATTTTTTAAAGCACAGCATTGATTTAAATTACATTCTTTAATGCATTATTTTTTGTTTATTTGTAATTATAAATTTTATTGAATGGTATATTTTCTGTCATTGGAAGAAGCCAAAATGTTCTGGTCACAATTCAGGTTGACAATAAATACTGAATTTCACTGTTGTCCTTTCCTAATCTGCTATAATAAAATCAACAGAAATGAAGCCATCAGAGAAAGATTAAAGGCCCTCAGCTGAAAGTTTTCTCAGGTTTTGTGAATATGGGGAGCCATAAAAGCTTATCAGTCAAACTATAGCGTTTGGGAATGGGATGAAATATTTGAAGTGAAATTATATGGACAAACTACACAGTGGTTCTATTGTAACCACAGTGGACATGAGCTCATAATAATAACTTCAGCTATAAGGCCCAGGTCCATTCTTTAGAATGGGAAAAGCACTTTAGAGCTTCTCTGGAATATTCTTGACAGTGTGGTATACATAAAACCAACTAAAACTAAACATAATTGTTCTGTTTAAAACCAAAAATGTGAATTCTAAACTTTCTAAAAGGTCACCTTTTCTCAAATCTATCTTCATCCTCTTTCTGTCTTTGGGATTATTGCAATCAACATTTAGTTATCATGTCTGTCCTGTTTTAAGCAAACTGACAGGCAGACAAACAAAACCAGGAAAAGAAACCAATGGCTATTCAAATAGCAAGATCCTTTTTATCTTAATTTTCCTTCTAGCTACTTACCCATCTCTCCTCTGGTCAGAATGAAGTTTCTGAAAACAGTGTTGTTTCGTGTAAGATGTTAACAATAGGAGAACTGGATGTGGGTGTAGGAGAACTCTCTGTACTATCTTTGCAATTTTACTAAATCTGAAACTATATTCTAAAACAAAAAGTTTAAGCAAAAACAATGTTCTCTTTTCACTGTCTCCATTTTCATTAATTGCCATTCGCTACTCCAACTACTCTAGTCTGATTCTCTCAGCATTGGATTAAAATGAACCTCTATAAAGTTAGCATTAACCTCCATGTTGATAAATCCAGTGATCACTGTTAGTCTTTATCTCTTTTGACTTCTCAGCCATATTGAACACCACTGATCAGTTTCTCCTTTTGAAACATATTATCAACAGAAGAGACTACACTCATTTTCTAAAAGGAAAAGCTGTATGAGTTGTGTGCTAAGTAAGAGAGAACTATTCTTGAGATGCACAGTCTTTCTTGACAATCAGCAGAGTTTGGGAAGATGTGAAATGCAGAGACCGATAGATTTTCAAAAGTAGGAGTATTAGGAATGGGTTAAACGTTAGCTTTGGACAATAGGTTATTGCAATAAGGCTGTTACTGACATGCAGACTTTTAAGTGGCTATTGAAGTCAATTATAGGCATGCAAGTTATCAGTGACCAGTTGAGATGGATTTAAAATCAGTTCTGGAGATAATTGTTCATATCTTGCACTGTGGCTGAAGAATAATCAATATTTCCTTTGAAGTACTGGAGTAAACCAATATTTTACTTTTTCTCTTAGCCTCTGTTCTACCTCTTATGTCTTTAATTTCCTCCTTTCAAGTTTTATTTGCCAGACCATATTCTCCTTTTAAATGTTAGAAATGTAAATGTTAAAATGCCTTCCATTCCATATACTTTAAGTAGGTGATTTCATCTGACCCTTAAATTTCCTCTCTTATCAATTCCTCGATGATTCATCTGAGCTTTCTTGCTGATGTCTCCTGAAAATAGATGTCCAGCCCGAGTTTTACAAGCCTACTCCATATTTGTATATCTACCCACCTAATAAATATATTCACTTGAATGTCTAATGCACATTTTAAACTTAACATGACCAAAATCGATTTTTTTCCTAAAATTCCACTCCATCCATAGCCTTGCTCAACTCAGTTAATAGCAATTCAATATTTTCAATTGGGGTAATTCTTGACTCCCCACCTCTCAAACCACATTGTCCAGTCTCTCAAATCCAATTGCTTGTAACTTCAGAATAAATCTATAACATGATCGTATCTCGCCAACTCCATGGCTACTGTCTTAGTCTTAAGCACCATAATTGCTGAAAATTATTGCAATAGCTTCCTAATTGGTTTTTCTGCTTCTACCGAAGTTATTTAAGCAGCTGTGCCAGTTTTTCTGAGACCTACCAGGTTTTATCACTGAAAGTCATGTGTCTCAGAAAACCCCTCATTCTCAAGAAAACTGGGACATCTGCTATGTACTCTCAAGACAACATGTAGAGTTGTTGTTTAAAAATATATCAAACCATATCACTCTTCTAATGCAATCCTTCATTGATTCCCTACTTCACTCAGGGTAAAAACTAACATCCTTACAATGGCCTTCAAGACCATATTCAATGTAGTCACTGTTTCCTCTGCTTGTCTGACTTCTATAACTCTCCTTCTCAGTTTCTAGCCACGGTGACTTATACTGTTTGAGCCCAGGTGCCCTTCTCCTTTGGGGTCTTTGCACTGGTTCTTCCCTCTGGGACTCTCACCCTCTAGATATATACATGGCTCACACCTCATTTATTTCAGAGCTTTTCTCATACTTCAACTTCTCAATTATCCTCATTCTGGCCATCTTAAATAGTATTACAATGTCCACTCTCAGAACTCTGAATCCTCAGTGTATTCCCAATATTCAGAACAGTTCCTAGCTCAATAAATATTGAGTACCTAATATTTGTTAAATAAACAAATGAATGGCTTCATTTCCCATCCACATATATGGTGTGTTTTCTCTCTCTCCCTCCGAATATATCTCCCTTTTGTTTTATTTTCCTCATGATTGAGATTGGTGCCCTTATAAACAAGACTGCAGAGAGCTAGTCCCCTTTACTGTTTGAGGACATCTGGCTAGATGGTGACATCTATGAGAAAGGGGGACCTCACCAGCCACTGAATCTCCCAGCGACTTCCTATTGGACATCCCAGCCTCCAGAACTGTGAGAAATAAAATGCTATTATGAGTTACCCAGCCTATAGTATTTTGTTATAGCATTCCAAATGGGCTAAGATATATATGTGTGTGTGTGTGTGTGTGTGCGTGTGTGTGTGTGTATGTATTCCAAATGGACTAAGATATGTAAAAGTGTGTGTGCATATGTGTATGTGTATTCCATGTGTAGATGGTAAATGAAGCTGTTCATATGTTTACTATATATACAGTCATGAGTTACCCAGTCTACAGTATTTTGTTATAGCAATTCAAATGGACTAAGATATGTGTGTATATAAAAGCATGTGTACATGTGTATATGTGTGTGTGTGTGTGTGTACCCCACGTGTAGATGGTAAATAAAGCTCTTCTTATGTTTATTATATATACAGTCGTGCATCACTTAACAACAAGTGTATGTTGAGAATGTATTTTTAGGCTATTTCACTGTTCCACAAACTTCATAGGGTGCACTTAACACAAACCTTGACTACATAGCCTACTATACACCTAGGATAAATGGCATAGCCTATTGCTCCTAGGCTACAAACCTGTACAGTACACCATGTTACTGTACTGTAGGTAATTGTAACAAGATGGTGTTTGTGTATCTAAACATATCTAAACATAGAAAAGGTTAAAATATGGTATTATAATTTTATGAAACTGCCATTATATATGAAGTTTATTCTTGATCAAAACATTGTTATGCAGTGCATGTATTATATGTATGTATAAGGTATATATGGTATATAATGTGTATGTATATATGGTATATTTTATATATGTTTATACATACACCGAGAGAAGATATATACATGTGTGGGGGTATATGTAAATACCTCCTCCTATGCAGACATCTCTTAACAGTTCACATATCTAAGTATTTCTGCCTTCTTAACTCTACCACCAGGGCATCCTATTGGCATTTCAGACTCGATTTATTCAAAATTTAGTTCATTGTCTTTCTAAGAAAGCCACACTTTCTCCAGAATGACTATATTTTATGTCTAATTACACAAGGTAGGAATTTGAATTCCACATATTATACCCCCTTCTCCATGATTTTCTTTATCTGCAATCCTACCACTTCTGAATATATGGAATCTCTTTACTTCCCTCCACCTATGTTATTATCCATGACCACAGTATTATTTCTCAGCAGGAGGCTGTTCCTAACTGACTTTCACATTTTCTCTCTCTCCTCTCTTAAATCCATTTTTCACCCTGAGGTAAGCTGGAACACAAAAATATAATTGTCACCTCGTGGATACACACATGCCACCGTTATAATGCTAAACCCTTTTAATAGCTTCATTGTTCTAAAAATAACTGCTAAATCTATATGACCTCCAAGGCTAGACCCTGATTCTAGATCCCTGCCTACTTCACCAACTTCATCTAGTTTAACCTCCACCTAGCTTTCCTGATGTTAGTGTGGTAGAACTTTCCTCCTTAGTTCAGCTAAAACCCAGGTTTTTGTCACATGGCCAGGAAAATTTAGGCACCAGACACATTAAAGGGTGAGTAGAGCAGGACTTTATTGGGAGAAAAGGAAAAAAAGCATAAAAACTCAGCAAAGTGAGATGGAGTCTGGCTAACAGGCCCTCCATCTCGGGGATTGATTCCCAGCTCCCCACAGGAGCTGAAGAGGGCAGGCTCCTTCCCTGCATACGGGGTAAATTCCTCGTGGCTCCACCCACTTCCCCCAGTGCGCAAGTCTGGCTTCAGTCCGTTGTAGGCATTCCCAGACAAGTTCTGAGCAGGTTCCCTCATCTACACAAAAGCATCTGATGTTAAACCTTGTGGGGCAGGTGGGAAATTCTCCAGGGACTCCTTTTTTATCTGCCTAGGCATTTGGTGGTCTTGCTAACTGAGCAAACCAACTTGAGTTCCTTAAAAACTTATACCCTTTCGGGCCTTGAGGCTTTCAAACATACTTTGCTTCTGTCTGAAATGCTCTTCCTTTCCTCCTTTTTAAAATTAATACCGCTTCAGAGCTCATCTCAAACATTGTTTCCTGTAGAAAGCCTTTTATGACTTTCCCAACCTTGCAGTGTCACTGTGTAGGCTGTTAAGCCATACACTTCTGCTCTTTATAGTCCTTTTTAAAAAGTAATTTAGATAATTATGTAATTGCTTTTTAAATGTCTATCTCTTCCACTAAAATATCACTTTCATGAGGGAACAGACTGTATATTTTTCACTGCTGTTTTCTAAGCATTTCTTTGTACGTTTGAAGCATTCAGTAATATTTTGGATGGATGGATGGATGGATGGATGGATGGATGGATAAGTGAGTGAAGAGTAACTCACTAGTTGATATCTGCCGGATTCTGTCCTCCATCTCTCTTTCTAAACTTCTAGAAAGTTCATGATAGCTATATTTTGAGCACTGCATCTGTGGGAGTCTTTTTCCCAATAGTGAAGAATTACCTTCTTTCCCTTCGCAGGTATAGCTGTAAGTTAATCAGTAATTTTCAAATGCTCGTAATTTTGTAAAATAATGAACTTTGCATCCTTTCAGCTGTTAGTATGATATGCTGATATGAAATATGAAGCCTGGATATTGAGGAGCTAAAAGCCTGAGAGAGCCCCTTCCCTGAGAAGCTTTAGGTGAAAAAAAATGTCAGAGGGTGAAATTAGGGTTGCTATGGAGTGTTTCTTCATGGAAGATTCCAAGAGTTGATTGAGGTAGTTATCAGAATTACAGCTCTAGATACAAGCAAATACATATTAGCAAGGTGGATTACACAAGAGAAAATGTCTGCTCACGGAGGAAACATTCAGCAAACTTATTCTCTTGGACAGAGTTTTACAGACTATCTTGTGAAAACTTCATCCCCTATGTACTTACCTTGCCAGCCACATTAAGAGAAGTGCCTTATTCCTGGTAATTCACCCCTCGACCATTTGCATGCTTACAAATTTCCAAGTCTGATTGTGGAATATGAAATTTCCAGAAGACTGGAAATACAGGTATTAGTAAATAAACTGCTATACTTGTTTCAGAAATACAGTATTAGTAGTGTGTCAGGATTAAGGTTAGTTCTACTAACAGAAAAGCAAAATAACAATAGTTTAAACAATAAAACAATTTAAAAATGTAACAATGTGGGCATAAGTGGCTCAGAGCTAGTTCAGATCTTTCACAGTATTGGGAACCAGACCTAGCTTCTGCCTCTTCCATCTCCAGGGTACTGCCATAATCCAGTGCTACCTAAAATCCATATTATACCCTGTGAAAAAAGCACAATGGGAAGGCAAGGACATGTTCTAGAAAGTACACACATGGCTTCTGCTCACATCTCAACGGCCAGAATTTAGAGATGTCCACAGCTTGCTCTGAGGCAGGTTGAGGATAAATGTATTCATTATCATGACTTATCATGTACCTGCTTAAAACTGAAGATACCAATGTTATGAGAGGCAAAGAAGAGCATATTTTATGGGAAAACTAACGATATTTACTATAGTAAGTAAATCTAATCTTCTTTAATTTCTATTCTAACTTTCTATTTCTAACTTCTCACTCAACTTTTTTTCTAGAGTTGATTTCCAGGAAAGATATTTTTTGGGATACTTTCAGCCTCTGGTTAAATAAGTCAATGATAATCAAAAATATTGGCAACTAATATCACCATGAGACTCAGGGAAATTCATACACGGAAAAACAAGTAGCTAGAAATGTGTAACATAAGTTAACTGAGTTACTGTGTTTTTCTTGAAGCAAACAAAGATTTGAGAATGTAGACTATGTGTGCTGGGGGCTCCATGTCCTTTTCGATTTCTTTATGCATTCTTGAGTAGAAAAAAGCAGAGTGCTTGTGTTTTTTTTCTAGTTAATTCTGGCTCTGATCTGTGACATCCTCTGAATTTAGGAAGAAGCCATCTTTTATCCCACTTATGGCACCTCAGGTTCACATTGCTGGTCCAGATGCAAAACACAGTCAATCTTTGATTTATCCCCAAACATAACTCACATAAAGCATTATTATATAAAATAGAATTTACTGAAGATTTTTTTGTAATGCTGAATGTGTGCTTTTCATGTTAAACATTTATGTTGAAGACACATTGTTTATTAGTAGTTGGGTGTTTTTTAGAGTCTCTGAAATTTCTGTGGACATAGTCTCTAGCCTCTGCTCTACCTTTCCCTCTCTTCTCTGCTCTCCATCCCTTTCCAAGTTTCTATTTCTTATCTAGAGCAATTTAGCTTTCTTCTCTTTCTTATTTTCCTCTCATCTCTGTTTATACAAAAATATTCTTTTAATTATGGATGATTCTTAGCTATTTTTTGATACCAGGTATTAAATATTGGTATGTTTTTGTATTATTTTGTTTTGTCTTGCTGTATGTGTCTAACAATATGCATTTTCCTAGATCAGAACCATTCAGTATAAATATAATGTGAGTCATATGTTTACTTTTGCATTTTCTAATAGTCACATTAATGAATTAAAAAAACTCAGGTATAACAAACATTAATTGTATATTTTATTTAACCAAGTAAGTTTAAAATATTATCTCAAGATGCAACCAATATAAAAATTATTGAGATATTTAATCTTTTTCATTGTACTAAGTCTTTATAATCTGGTGTGTATTTTATACCTCCAGCCCATCTGAATTCAGATGCTAAATTTTCATTGGATATGCTTGATCTCTCTTTAGATTTCATAAAATTTGTAGTGGAATTATTAGACTTACATACTCAAGTCATTCCAAACATAAATAAAAGTTTTTCAATAATTGAACTGAATATCAGAAATAATTTTCCTTTAATACTCATATCTATGATGACAAAACATGTTAATATTTTATAAGAAAATGGATTTACTTTGAAGCAAAAGCATATCAGTTTTAAAACTTTATCTGTCCAAATTAGGTAAATTCACTAATGTGTCAACTTGGAATTACTAATATTAAACTCAAAGGAAAGCTGCATAAACTGAAGGGCAATTCCAAATTTGACAATATGAACAAAACATTTTAGAAGTTTTCCTTGTAGTTTTGCAGCTAGTTTACACAGCACAATCAATTCTGCAAATTGATTCACATTAGAAAAATTTGTAACATCAATATTATTGTATTTTTAAAAGTTTTCATTTCAAAATAAATGTTAGTACCTCTCTACTCTGCTCACAAATAAGGTCTTTATTTGAAACTTTAAATTTAGCTTGTTCATATGCAATACAAAAAAGTCCTACATTATATTGCCATTTTTATTTGCTTACTGAATATTTGGTAAGTACATTTTTATTTCAAGAAAATTTAGAATTGGAGTTACAGTATATTATGTATTTCTAAAACTTCTGGCTCAACCAGTGAGCACTGGCAAAGAACTTAAGGTCATTAGATATGTTGTCTTTTATTTCTTTCAATAGTTCCAAAAACTGGTTATGATTCACATATTTATGACACATTTTATAGCTTACTTCAAAAACTAGACCATAAAGACTTTCAGCATGTATCATACAGTGGAACAAAGCAATAAGGGAGCTATCAATCTCTATTTTTAAAATTTAGTAAGTCTGGGTTTTTGACCTAATGTAGAGCACTGTTTACTGATATTTTAAAATACATATATATAGCTGAAATCATTCTTTAAAGATGTAAAATATTCAAAAGTATCTATGCCCCGAGGTTGATATTTTAGGCTGCAAGTTGACAACATTGACTTATAAATTTGAAAGTCCATTGAAACAAAATATGCCCAACTATTTAATTGGGCATTATGTTTTATATTGTAATTTTTTTTGTAAAGCCAAAAGATTATTTACAATATTTAAAATGTATAATTAACTGATCTTTGATATTGTTAGAAAGGTGTACAATGGGAATTGTTTTGTACCTTAACTTTCAAATTTAACTTAACTTTTAAAATCTTTTTCTTCTTGACTTGCTAACTTAATTTTCATAATTGAAATAATTTATTTGCCATCTCTTTATCTAAAACTGACTTTTTGAGCATGCACAGGAATCTAAGCTGTTTTATAGCTCGTGGATATTATAATCTCAGATCTTGTTAAAAATCATTTATAAATTTTTGACATTTAACTTTTATTTTAGGTGATTAATTCATTCAATTCTTTTTTGGCTGTTTAGATATGATTTGCTATCAAGTTTACTATGTTCACTTGATATTGCTCTCTTTATTATTTCCAAGATTGTTTTTGTAAATCGAGCAACTTCTCCATTTTGCTCTGCTGCAGCAATTTATTTATTTTTTCCGAAGAGGAATCAGACTATGTTAAGGAATAAATCATATAAGACCAATCAAGCCTCCTGAGATTGTGGGGCAGACCATGAAAGGAAAAAGACTGATAAAATTAATAGCGTTAAATGCTCATGATGTGCCATTACGTGGACTTTAACAATATTTTGATGACATTACACTTCACATAACATCCTTCCTAAAAGACAAAATTATTAATTAGATAATAGCTTTAAATTTTAAAACTAGATAAACTAACCCCTTCCCCCAGTAGGTTTTGTTATTTTAGAATTGTGCAGGGCTTTAGTATTTTTTCATCTTATTTTTTTAATTGACAGATAAAAATTGTGTATATTTGGTGTAAATAAGATGTTTTGAAATACATATACATTCTGGAATGGCTAGATCAACTTAATTAACATATGCAGTACCTCACAAACATCATTTATTTGAGGCAAATAAAATCCATTCTGTTAGAATTTTCAAGTGTAAGCACATTGCTGTTAACTTTAATCACTGTGTTGCACAATAGATCTCCTAGATTCATCCATGTTATCATAAATGACAGAATTTTCTTCTTTTTAAGGCTGAATAATAGTGCATATGCGTATATATGTATGTATAAATAAAACGTTTTCACTATCCGTTCATCCATTGATAGACACTTAGGTTGATTCTAGAATATGCCACAATGGACAATGGAGTACAGCTGTCTCTACAGATGGATTTTCTTTCTTTGGCTATATACCAAGAAATGAAATGTCTAGATCATGTGGTAATTCTGTTTTTTAATTTTTTTACAACTCTTCCTAACAGTTTTCCATAATAGCTGTACTAATTTACATTTCCACAAACAATGTACAAGAATTCCCTTTCCTCTACATCCTAATACTTGTTATCTTTTGTTTTTCTGATAACAGCCATTCTGAAAGGTGTGAGGTAATGTCTCATTGTAGTTTTGATTTGAATTCCCTGACGATTAGTGGTTTTAAGCATTTTTCATATACCATTGGCCATTTGTATGTCTTGAGAAACATCTATTAAGATCCTTTGCCAGTATTTTAATTAGATTATTTTCCTTGCTATTGAATTCTTTAAGATCTTTATTTTTTTTGTGTATACATAGATACATATATTATTAACGTTGATTATTTATCTGTAAATTTATTTTTATAATTTCAACTTTTATTATAGGTTAAAGACTACACCTGCAGGTTTGTTGCATGAGTAAATTCCTGATTCTGAGGCTTGGAGTTACAATGATCCCATTACTCAGGCAGTGAGAATATTACCCAACACGTAGATCTTCAAGGCATGCACCCCTCCCTCGTTCCCTTGTCTAGTGGTCCCTGGGGTCTATTGTTCCCATTTTTATGTTCATGTGTATTCAATATATAGCTCCCACTTACAGGTGAGAACATGCAGTATTTGGTTTCCTGTTTTTACGTTAGTTCACTTAAAATAATGCCTTCCAGCTCCAACCATGTTGCTGGAAAGGATATGGCTTTGTTTTTATTTATGGCTGTATAGTATTCCCTGGTGTATATGTACCACGTTTTCTTTACCCAATCCACTGCTGATGGGCACCTAGGTGGATTCCAGGTCCTTGATATTGTGAATAGCACTGCAATAAACCTACAGATGCGTGTGTGTTTTTGATTGAATGAACAATTTTCCTTTGAGTATATACCCAGTAGTGGGGTTGCTGGATTGAGTCGTAGCTATATTTTAAGATCTTTGAGAACTCTTCACATTTTGCATATTAACTCTATTATATATGTGGTTTGCAAATATTTTTTTCATACAGTAGATTGTCTCTTCACTCCGTTGATTTTTTAAATTGTATAGTACCTTTGTTTTAATGTAATCTTATGTGTCCATTTTTCTTCACTTTGTTTTATTTTAGTAGTTATACAGTTTCAGGTCTTATGCTTTAAATCTTTTATCCAATTTGAGTTTATTTTTATACATGGTGTGAGATAAAGATCCAATTTTCTTCTTCTCCCTCTCTGTCGCCAGGCTGGATTGTAATGGCGCAATCTTGGCTCACTGCAACCTTGGCCTCCTGGGTTCAAGTGATTCTCCTGGCTCAGCCTCCTGAGTAGCTGGGATTACAGGCACCCGCCACCACACCCAGATAATTTTTGTATTTTTAGTAGAGATGGGGTTTCACCAGGTTGGCCAGGCTGGTCTCGAACTCCTGACCTCAGGTGATCCACCCGCCTTGGCCTCCCAAAGTGCTGAGATTACAAGTGTGAGCCACCGTGCCTGACCCCAATTTTATTCTACATATACATATACATATCCAGTTCTGCCAACACCACTTGTTGAAGAGACTCCCCTTTCTGCATTGTGTAATTTTGGCATCTTTGTCAAAAATCAATTGATGGTAAATGGATGAATTTATTTCTAGGCTCTATATTCTGTTCCATTGGTGTAGATATCTGTTTTTAGGCCAATACAATGCTGTTCCAAAGACTATAGCTTTGTAGTAGATTTTAAAGTCAGGTAGTATGATGCCTCTAGCTTTGTTCTTTTTGTTAAAGATTGCTTTGGCTATTAGTGTCTTGTGGTTCCGTGTGAATTTTAGGATTTTCTTCCTATTTCTGTGAAAAATGCTACTGGAATTTTGAGAGAGAATCAATCTGTAGATCTCATTACATAGTGAAATATTTTAACAATCCATGGACATAGAATATTTTTCTGTCTATATTTGTGTCTTCTTCAGTTTCTTTCATCAAAGTTGTATAGTTTTGGTGTGTAGACTCTTCGCCTTCTTGGTAAAATTTATTCCTAAGTATTTATTTATTTATTTTTATTTATTTATTTTTTTGAGATGGAGTCTTGCTCTGTCACCCAGGCTGGAGTGCAGTGGTGCGATCTCAGCTCACTGCAACCTCCACCTCCTGGGTTCACACCATTCTCCTGCCTCAGCCTCCCAAGTAGCTGGGACTACAGGCGCCCGCCACCACACTTGGCTAATTTTTTGTATTTTTTTAGTAGAGATGGGGTTTCACCATGTTAGCCAGGATGGTCTCGATCCCCTGACCTCTGGATCCGCGAACCTTGGCCTCCCAAAGTGCTGGGATTACAGGCGTGAGCCACTGCACCTGGCCCTTATTCCTCAGTATTTTATGTTTGTTTTGTTTGTTTTGTTTTGGGGTTTTTTTTAGCTATTGTAAGTTGATTTTTCTGATTTCTTTTTTGGAAAGTTCATTGTTAGTGTATGGAAACTCTACTGATTTTTGTATGTTAATTTTTGTATCCTGCAACTTTCCAGACTTTAAATTAGTTCTAATAGATTTAGTTAGTGTCTTTAGAGTTCTAGATGGTAAGATTATATTGTCTGCAGAGACAATTTAATTATTTTCTTCTGATTTAGATGCCTTTAAATCTTTCTCTTGCCTAATTGCTGTGGCTAAAACTTGCTGTATTATGTTGCATAAAAGTGAGAGGAGTGGGCATCCTGGTCTTGTTCCTGATCTTAGAGAAAGAGCTTTCAGGCTTTTACCATTGAGTATAATGTTAGCTGTGGCCTGTCATACATGGCCTTTATTATGTTGAGTTATACTACCCCTATACCAAATATGTTGAGAGTTTTTATCATGAAAATGTGCTTTTCAGTGCATTAAATTTTAATTACCATATCTATTTTTCAAACTAGAAAAGCGATTTGCTTAAATTAATTATAAAATAATAATACATATTTTAATCCATTTATCAATTACAATTTACATAGGTACTGTTGTAACTGCTGCTGTTTGCATAAAATACTCAAATAAAAATACTACAATCTTAAATCAGTACATAGTGAAATATCATTCAAACTGAATCAATCCATAGACACCAACTAGATTGGTGAACAGCTTATGTGTAATACTAGAAATGATTAGTGTTCCCAACATGTGCAGTAAAATACAATAATAATATCTCACATGATGCAATAGTTAAAGTGAAATATAGCTCTATCAAAATAATAAAGTTGTGTAACACAAATGTATTTTATACTGCTTAGGTTTTAAAATTTGAATAAATTAAAATTAAATAAAATGAAATGTTAAGTTTTTTGCTAGCCACATTCAGATGTTCAATAGCCAAATATGACTAGTGGCTACCGTATTAGATAGAACAGTTCTAGATTCTACATTGGTGTTTGTTAATGTTTCACACTCTCAGTGTTTCCTAATGTTCAACATGTCTCTTTCTCCTGCTTTTTTTTAAATTATAGTTTCTAATTCTTCCTATCTAGCACATTGCCTGAATGTCAGTGAATATTATGTAAATGAATAAATAAACAACCCTATACTTTGCCACTGTTTTTGTTCCTTCCATTATTAAGCTTCTCCAATATATTTACAGTGATCTTTTTGAAGAAAGAGTAAAACCCAATTAATTTATCGTCTCTCAATTTTTATCAGTATATTTCAGATAATTTTATTTGATTCTTTCTGAAGATCTCTTGTTATGAAAATATCAATCACAACCGTAGAGAGAAAAATATCAAATACCCCATCCAAAGCACCCTGTTTGAACAATCATCAATATATAACCAATCTTTTTTCATCTATATTCTCCAAATCCCTGCTCCACCACCAAAACTATTGGAGTACTTTAAAGGAAATCACAAACTCATTCACTCAGAAACACTTCACTATGTTACTGTAAAAGATAAACTCTTATAGAAACATTAACACAGTAGCAATTACACATCTACAAAATTTTTTAAAAATCACAAAATACCTATTCAGTGTTCAAATTTCCATAATCATCTCCTAAGTGAGTTTGAAATTTTGTCCAAGTCTGAATCCAGACAAATTCCACACATATCTGTTAATTATCCCTTAATCTATAATAATTTCTTCTACATTTATTTTATTTACTGATATTTGTTTACTGAGGAAACAAGATCAATTTTCTTACAGAATTATCCACATTCTTTATTTTTCAGGGACACCCCTATGTTGTATTGTTCAACATGTCTCTTTCTCTTGCTTTTTTTTTTTTTTAAATGGAGTGGTAGTCAAATCTAGGGAGCACATCAGTTTTTAAACTAATATGCATCCAGCAGGTTTGGTGTCAACTCTCTCTGATAAGCTCAATTACTACCACTCATCTGAATTTTTCTAGTCACCAAATATTGGTGCTATCATTCTCACATATTCTCTCATTCTCTGTGGGTTTATGCCTCTTCAAAAACCTTTTAAATGTAAATTCAGAAAGGTGTGGAAACAAATATGTATGTCCAATGGCCATATTCTCTATTCTCCTTCAACTCAATAATCTACATTTTTGCTTTCTCTTTATCATAGCTGCTTTCTAAAGTTACCAATAACCCCCACTTGAGCAATTCCCACTGATAATGTGTTTTCATTAACACACTATTTCACAAAGGGCTTTAATCCCTTCATATTATGGGGACCAGTTTCTCCTGGTTCTTCCTCTATATCTGTACTCTTTCGTTTATGAAGTTCTTCCTCATTTTTTCCTCTTCATCTGTCTCTTAAGAAATAGATTTTTTTGTCCTGTCGTTATATATTTTTATAGAGACCTTTCTATTTTTTACACAACTGAAGACTCTCCAAATGTGAACTCATCATTCTCTTGCGGACACATATGTAAACTCTATGTGATCAGTAAATATGTTTTCTTTATGCATAATTTTATTTCCAGCCCTCATAAGTAACTGGCATAGAGTAGGTGTATAATAAATGCTATAGAATGATTTAATCCATGAATAAAATCATTTTAAAGGGAAGTTATATTTTCTTATATCTCTAACTAGATATCTTTCATTCCCTTCATTGGATTTTCTTTCTCTGCCACCAGGTAAATGTTGTTCCCCACGTTTTGTCCTGGGTCTTCTACTTGTCTCATTCTAAATTCCTTTTCTATGTTTTCTCTTAAACAACCATGACTGTGGCTACCTGTCAATACTGGTGCCTTCTTACGTTTGGATTTCTAGTTCCAGATTTTACATAAAGTTCCAGGTTCATATTTTCAGTTTCCTACTGTGTACCGTCAGGTCTCACTCTTGCCCCTAAAACTTAACACTTTCTGTGTCCGACACTATGGTCCCATCATCCCTCACAGTCCATTCTTTATCTTTCACTTAGTACCCTGGATTAATAGCCACCAGTTTGTCTGGGATATCTCCCCACATCAGTGAATCAGTTGCCAAATCCTGTGTCATCCAGTCCACAGAGTTTTGAATCCAGTTGCCTTTTTATGTTAATATTGCTACTATCTGGCCAATGTCCCTATTTTCCCTTGCCTCATGGCAACCCTTTCCTAACTGATCTCATCACTATTCTTTCTTACTGTTATCTATCTCCTACCGGATGATTATCTCTGCAAAAATCGAACTTAACTGCATATCTCCCTTAAATAAAACCTCTTTCGCTCCCATTGTCACCGAAGGACCTGACAACCTGTCTTTCTACACTTCGCCTACAATCAGTGTCCTTCACCCTTAACTCTGTCTCTTTCCCTTTATATTAGGTTATAGTGGGCTCTCTATTACCAAGCCCAGTGGAATCATTTTGTCCTTTATTACCTCTCTGTGTCATCTTTAAGAGAAATACATATATATTTCTCTCTACGTAGAATGGCCATCTGTTTCTTCATCACCTGAGGAATCATTCAATATGACTTTCAAATGAATATTCAGAGAATTTTCTAATGTAGAAACATAGGTATTCATCTAAAATCATTTCAAAAACCATCTCCCTTTATTTAAGAATGTTATTCTCTTCTACAGAAAAGCCTCTAGTGTTTACTGGGGAGATTTGTGCTGTGGGAAGAAGGGGACAGTGCTGAACTGCACACAACCTAACAAATCAATCCTGATAATTAGTAGAGTGGCAGATGGGGAGCCCAGCCATGCCCACACCTTTCTGAGAACCAGCTCAATTCCTATCTCTGCTCTGACACATTCTTGCAGGTAGTTAGCCACTCTCTGTGAGTTTTTTTTGCACTCTGTTCATAGTTCCATTAAAGAACTTGTTATATAGCTTTCTAGTCCTTTGTTGACATATCTACTAAAATGTGAATTTCTTAAGGGCAAGTCCATTTTATCTTTATATTTCTGCATATATAGTTTATTCTAAGCTCATTTATTTTGAACGAATAAATTTGGGGAGGAGACAACAAAGTATGAGAGATATGTTTAAAACCTATAAATGCAAAACCTTGAATGGAAAGCTTGTTCTTGATAGTTTTTAAGTTCTTGGATGATGTATTTCTAGAGGGTAGACAGTACCTGCCAAGGCATAAATTTTTAATAAAGGGCTCATTTTTTAAAGAGATCTTTAAAATATCGCCGTTTCTTAGGTCTGTGCATTGAGATTTCAGTTTATCTGTAACAGAACTACTTATTTAGGAACCTTTTAAATGGCCTGGGGTATGGAGACCAGCTCTTCATGGTCCCCTTTGTGACATAAGTAAGGCCACAGCTCCTGTGATTTCTGGTATGTCAAATTGCTAACTAGGAAACAGAAGGGGGACTTTGTCTAAGAATCCCAGCATCTACTTGGAAGCAAACAGACAGTACATTTCCCTTCACTCATTTCAGATAAAAATATTATTTTATTTAAAATTATTGCAGGTGCTGTGTAAATAACATTTTAATCCATAGTCATTTTATAAATGGTATTGTGTTGGCCCATATGCTAGTTTCTACCTTCTTAAAATATGTAACCAAGAACATGAGCACTCTCAAGAATAGGTTTTCTTTATTTTTTTAATTTTAGTGTTAGGCAGATTTACTTGACCTTCAACCAGTATTGGTAGCAGGTAAGTTTAATGAGATTCTTGGAATAACATCACCTTTGGGAAGCAGAAAATCTAAGCTTGAGTAACCTGAGTTGCTAGGGGGAAAGAAGTTTAAGTCTGACAACTCTAGTAAGTGCTCTAAATCCAAATATCCAGCAAGAGATTTGTTTTGGGCAATACTAACTACATAGGTGCGTGTGAACTAAAAAAGTTACAATTTGGAGCCTATAAGTGGCACCACATTAGGAGCTGTGTAGGTATATGGACCTTGTATTATCAGGTAGACAAATTTCTGAAGGACTGTGCAGGATTCTGCTTCAATAATGACAGCAGTATTACTTTCACCAGGCTCCAGATTGTTCTACTCCTGATGTCAGGAGGAAGCTGATTTACCTTTGGAATGAGATAACCTCTGGGATCCCTGAACAGTTAAAGGGCAGACGGAAATAAGGCTTGGTGAGAACTGATGAGATTCCTGCTAATAAGTCAAGATGAATTTGCATGATTAATTAAAGAATTATTAATTAAAGAATAAAGAGATGGCATATATTTGTTCTCTGCATCTGTGGCTCATAATAGTTACACAGAGTAGTTTGTAGAAGTTTTTTTGCATACTTTGTGAAAGTCCAATGTTGTGACATCACTAAGTGAGATCGTGCAGTTAAGGGTACTTAATAAGGTGAAAATATACACATGAAAGAAACTTTATGATACATTATTAGTATGAATTTAAAATTTACATAAGAACACCTAAGAAACTATAATAGTAGCAATTACTCTTGTGAAACTATTTTAAATAATCTGAAAGAAGTAACTTATCAACAATATTTTCCTAATCCTTTCCCACAAGGCAATGAAGATGGACAAGGAACATATGCCAGTGCACATCTATTATAAGCCATTTATCCCAGACTGTGATGCAAGTGTGCTTAAGTCTGAAATGCAAGTGACTCGTACTTACAGGCAAAATACATTCCAGCTGAGGAAAAAAGTAAGACTTTTATTGTCCTTTATGACCTGTTTAATCCTGTTGCTTTACATTCATTGTGGATGTCTCTGGATGGTGCTAAAACAGGTGAAAAGTGGAAGATTAAATCACATTCAGTCAACCACTTGTTTTGCTCATACTGTGCCAAAAATAAATATGCCATTTAAATATTTTCACCAAGTTTACGGATTTTTTTCTCTATAATAGTCTTTATTATTTCCTTTCTTTTTCTCATTTTGAATACAATTTGCTTGTCTAATCTAGTTTCCTTTTGTTTGTTTTTTGAGACGGAGTCTCACTCTTGTCACCCAGGCTGGAGTGCAATGGCAGATCTCGGCTCACTGCAACCTCGGCCTCCCAGACTCAAGCGATTCTCTCACCTCAGTCTCCTGAGTAGCTGGGATTACAGGCACCTGCCACCATGCCCAGCTAATTGTTGTACTTTTAGTAGGGATAGGATTTCACCATGTTGGCTGGCTGGTCTGGAAATCCTGACCTCAGGTGATCCGCCCACCTCGGCCTCCCAAAGTGATGGGATTACAGGCGGGAGCCGCCGCGTTCAGCCTGTCTTATCTAGTTTCTTAAGGTAGAGGTTTAGGTTTATTTATTTGAGATCTTTCTTCTTTGCTAATGTAGGTGTTTACAGCTATAGATTAACCTCTTAGCACTGTTTTGTTACATTCTATCTATTTTGTTGTGTTTTACTTTTCATTCAACTCAAGTATTTCTAATTTCCTCTGTGATGTCTACTTTGACCCATTAGAGATGTTAAAACACTTGAGAAAGTTCTGTGACCCACTCCATCCACAATGGAGAGGTGTTTGGCAGGAGGTGAGTTTGAGTGAGTTCAAATGATGAGTTTGATATTTCTCCCTGTATTACCAGCAATATGAGCTGATATACTCAAGACTACCACTGAGCTGGGAAGTTGGAGATGGGACTAGTGTAAGTTAAAACATCAGAAATCTCACTGGTCTTATGGATACTCATTCATTTTTTTGACTCAATATGACTTGGGTTGCTGCAAAGCTTTGATTAATTTCCAAAGTTTTGAAAAGTTGATTCTGACCGTTTTTTTTTTTTCAGGGATTTTTGTTGCTGATTTAATGGAGTGACAGCCTTTCAGAAGTCTTTAAATTCACCATTTTCACTGATGTCACCCTGTTACCAGAAAGGAGTCCTAATTCTGACCCCAAGAGAAGGTCCTTAAATCTCGTGCAAGAAAGATTTCAGGGTAAGTCCACGGAGTAAAGTGAAAGCAAGTTTATTAAGAATTAAAGGAATAAAAGAATGGTTACTCCATAGGCAGAGCAGCCCCAAGGGCTGCTGGTTGGCTATTTTTATGGTTATTTCTTGATTATATGCTAAACAAACAAAAATGGATTATTCATGAGTTTTCTGGGAAAGGGGTGGGTGATTCCTGGAACTGAGAGTTCCTCCCATTTTCAGACCATATAGGGTAACTTCCTGACGTTTATAAACTGTCATGGTGCTGGTAGGAGTGTCTTTTAGTATGCAAATTCATTACAATTAGAGTATAATGAGCAGTGAGGATGACCAGGGGTCACTTTCTTCACAATCTTGGTTTTGGTGGGATTTGGCCATTTTCTTTACCTCCTGCTGTTCTATCAGCAAGGTCTTTGTGACCTGTATCTTGTGGCTGACCTCCTGTCTTATCCTGTGAGTTAGAATGCCTAACCTTTTGGGACTGCAGCCCAGTAGGTCTCAGTCTTATTTTACTGAGCACCTATTCCAGATGGAGTAGATCTGGTTCAAATGCCACTGACAACCCAAACATTTTTTTAAAATGTTTAGACATACAAAAGGAGACAGGTAGACATATAAAAGGAAATTCCAATAACTTGGTCTCCAACTTAAAGTAAGTATGTCTTTATTGAACACTCATGTGATTGGAAATGTGGAAGGGCTTTTAATGTATTATTTAATTATTTTAACACCTAAAAGGGGTTGGTACCATTAGTCACTCCCATTTTACAGATGAGAAAGCTGAGACTGAGAAAATGAATTACCTGGCCTAGATGTCAAAACAAGAAGGTTGACTTTGAGAGCCATTGCTTTTATTAAGTGTAATATTAGGTTATCTTTTAAAAACTCAAGTTAGGGAGAACTGAAAGTCTTCAAAGAGAGTAAATAACTCCTCATTATGGTGGTTGTTGAGGGCATTCTTACATCATATAAACAATTGGTTTAGAAGATGTCAAAGATGTCTTGAGCATTCACTATGCTCTAATACTCTGCAAAACTTTACCTATAACATCATGTTAGACAAAACAACTTTATGAGATACTTCTATTATTTTCATTTTTAGATGGAAAAATGGTACTTGGAAAGTTTAAATAGTTACCTAAAATCAGTGCCATAGATAAAATTTAGTGCAGGCCTGATTAAATTTTTGACTAAAGTATCTCATTCTCTTCATTACTAATCATTGGATTTAGTGATGCCATTGGGAGCCACAAAAATATGTCAGACTGTTCTCTCATATGGTAACTACTTTCCTGGAAACAGTTGAGGGAAATGAGTGTATGAAAATTTTAGTCTTTATATTGATATTAACTATCATTCAGTTAGCACCTACTGCATGCTACATTCTTGCCATGCATTATCTTTAATTCTCTTATCAACCCAGTAAGGTGGGTATCCTGATTCCCTTTTTTATAAGATAAAACTAGAGGTCAGAGAATGTAAGTATTTTCTAATGTCACACAGTTAGCAAATGACTGAGCTCAAAATCAATTGCAGGCTTATCTGATATCAGAGTTCAAGCTTTTCCCATTGTGCACAGCTGCTTAGTCCTTTTGTAGACAAAGTACTTGGGAGATATTGTAGGTGATAAAAGGGCATCAATGGCACACAATGGCAAAGCATTATACTCCTGCTAAGACTTAATTGAATGGCCATCCATCTTTTTGAGAATAATTGCTATTTTGGAAGCCCAACATGGAGAATTTCAAACTTAACATAAAAGAAAAGTTATGTTCCACTAAGAAAATAACTTCTCACACACCAGGAAGTCCTCAGATATGGTCAAAAATGTACTAGTTAATTCTTTTCTCTTAGAACCTAAAGAAAAGCAGCAATAAAAGGAGACATTACTTTCATGGACCTGCCATTACTGTGCCAATCCTCAGAAATGAAGCTGGTTCCTATTAGTGTTTTGTTATCATGGGTCACCTCTAATGTTTCCTAATACTGTGCAAGGTTTCTGGGGCATAGAGAGCAGAAAATCCAATCCCAGACCTCAAGAAGTTTAAATTATTTTTCTGCATACATAAAGTTATGTAACATTTCTACAAAATCGTAAGATAATCTGGATCTGAGTAAAGAACAATCTGGTGTTCTTCCTTTGTGTTTTTCAATGATTCATAGCCCATGACTTTAAACCTCAGATATAACAAATGTAACAAAATGGAGAGATGGAAAACTGACTCTTATATCCATGATAATTCAGTTTCTTATAACAATAACAGTTATCGCTTGATGACTAATTACTGTGCTTAAGACATTATCCTAGTTTTACCTGTATTATCATGTTTAATCTTTAAATAGCCCTCTTATGAAGGCATCAGCATTACTTACCTTCACTTTTAAAATTAGAAAATTAAAACCAGAAGGAGTTAAGCAACACACATGAGATCATACAGCAGTTGGATATTAGGGATGGGGTTTGAACCCAAGAATTTTATCACCCAAGCCCCCTTTAGACTACTGCATTACATAGCCTGGCATACAAAGCCAATGAAGTAAAATATGTACTATTAAATTAAATGATGAGGAGTCCCGTACCAGCAGTATAACTCCAATATGAGTAAGGACATGATTAAAACAAGTTACAAAATAGGGACATATATGGAAAAGTATTTGATGTCTATGGGATGGAAAAGAGTTAATACCTTTTCCATATAAAATGTATTTAAGATAAATAATAAAATGATAGACACACATTACAATAGACAAAGGCAAAAAATAAGCATGCTTAGTGGCCAATAATAGGTTTAGACTCTGATAATTAAACAAATGCAACTCAAAATCTGAATGAAATGCTAATTTAACCTATCGAAATAACAAATTAATTTTAAAAATTAATTTTAAAAAATAATTTAAAGTTTTGAAGACTGTATGGGGAAAATGACACATTCATACCCATACAATAGTTGTATTACACTTATGCAAAGAATGACAGAATAAAAGAAACATATAGTAAGCAGAAATGCAACTATTTATATTAAATGAAAACATAAAATGCCAGTGACTAGGGGTATAATTAAATAGGCTGTAAAAGTAGACATAACTAGAACTCAAAATCTGAGATCAGCCTTGTAGATATAGAAGTAAAGACATTGTTCTTTCCCAAAAACTTGTGAGGTATATTCTCTAAGACCTAAAATATGTTTCCCATTCAAAAATTCATATATATATGAATATGCATATATTATATGTTTATTGCATATATAATTTTTCATGCAATGTTGTACTGTTATAAGTTTTAAAATATCAGGCCTACATCAAATATAAGTTACCTGGCTATTGAGAATTGTTCTGTATTACATTGCTTAGTTTTATATAGTGATAGAATAAGCTTGAAGGGACAGAGAACAAATTTGAAGCTAAAAGTGTATGTTGTCACTTTTTAAAAATGTTGTTTGATCATAGAAGTAATTGCATTACTGTTTTAAGATGAAAGTCTAATTGAATCCTTCATATGATTTAGAATGAAAAGAAACTTTTAAGTGTCCATTAAATCATTCAAATGTACTCACTTGTCAGCTCAAACATTACCTAGAAAGAGCTATATTTTCTCAGTTCAGATATCAAATCCCCTTATTTGCAGATATTTTCTTTCTCACCACGGAAGCGCACTTATATGCTTTCTTAAAGGGCTTTAATGCATGTTTTCAAATTTGATTGTCATAATGGTGTAAACAAAGCAAACGTAATATTCACTGTTTTAAATACTAGGAAACTGAGGCATAATGACTTTAAATTGCTCTAAGGCTCACAGAATGTTGGTTACGGAATGTAACAAAGTGGTTTTTTAAAAATTTGATGGGGAGAGTCTGATTGCTTTCTTTGCCTTTTATGGATAGTCATTGAACTGTATTTTTGAAAAGGTACTCTCTATTCATTTGTACATTCATTTAATAAATAACTTGCTTTAAATTCTATTAGGACAATTTGACCTTTCTTTTCCTTTCCTACTTTCTCGACAAAGTTGCCTCTCTGAACAAGTGTTTGTCATCATATATCTGACCCCCAGCCCCTACTCTGCAGGAACAGATGAAACACCCTGTGAATCTCTCAACACTATGTTGTCCAACACAAATATAATGTGAGGCCTCTATGTAATTTAAACTTCCTAGTAGCCGCATTTTTTAAAATAGAAAAAAAAGGTAAAATTAATTTTATTAGTGCATTTTATTCAATCTAATATTCTAACTTACAATAATATAAACATTATTAATGAGATATTTTGTACTTTTTTGGTACAAAGTCTTTGATATCCCATGTATATTTTATACTTACACACATTCAATTTGAACTAATTACACTAAAAGTGCTCAATAGCTATATGATTGAACAGTGCAGTCTGAGGGCAATTGGGACTTCTTATTGACTATTTTGACTCTTGGTTAAATAAAATTGAAATAATTTCAGACTTTAAGTGGGCAGTTAGGAATATATCTGCTTTCAAAGTTACCAAGGAAGCTCTGCTAGTTAACTTTATTCTCATACTCTATTATTTTTCATACATTAAAATGTGAACTTCTTTTAATTGACTCTGTGGTTTGTTGTTGTTGTTTTTGTTTTTCTCCTCACTTTGTTCTGACCTTCTTCTTTTCCTTTTCAGTAAGATTTGTCCTGTCTCCACAAGGACCAGGCTTAGAATAGGAATAGTAAATGACCTATCTGGAGAGTAAAGAAATGTTCCTCTTCCCCTCAAATTCCTTTTCTCTTATTGAGGCCTGATTTCCACAGGAGTCTCTTCATTTCTTTTCTTTATTATGTTATTAGTCTGCTAACTTCAATAATAGATAAATTCCAAATTTCAGTTTCTAAACCCCAAATCTACTTCTCTCTCAGATAGTATGCCAAATTCAGGCTTATTTTCAGCAAGGACTCCGGCATGGGGGATTTGAGGGTGGGGTTTCTATTCCACAAAGTCATTCACACACCCAGCAGACTATGCCTTCTGGAACATATTGTCTCCATGATAGTCCTTTAAAACATTAGCGTTGAATAGACAAAGAGCAAGGATAGAGAAGGTACATACACTCCTTAATTATCTTAATCTGGGAAGCAGTACACATCATTTTTACTTATGTTTCATTTGCAAGAACATTCACGCAGGCATCAGATGCAAGGGAGGATGGAAAATGTATCACTGGCTGCTCAGGAAAAAGAGCATAAATCTTTGGTGAACACCAACCCTTTTCTGCCACAAATGTTAATATCTTTTCAACTGTAAATCTTGTGGAGGATTTACCTACCCTGAGAAAGCTGCAGTGAAAGACTAGAGTTATAGAGACCTGTGTTCAAATTTTGATTCCAGTACTTGAACAAATTAATCAGCCTTCTTGAGTCTAGTTTTTTCCATCTCTATCAATATGGTTGGGAGTGGTAGCAAAGATTGAAACTGTTTTTCCAATACCACTATCCTCATATTCTTTATAAAGTGAAATCCAGTTTCGTTTGGGTGGGCAATTCATCCATCTAAAAGCTGCATTTCCTGAATAGGGTTAACATGTAATATATTTTTTGGTCAATGACAAAACTGGTAATTAGTTTTTTTTGGTTTAGTTTTTGATTGTTGACTGATGCTTCTATATGAGAGTGTGAAAAATTTTAAGTTTCAGTTTCTTTTTTAGAGCAGTGGGAGTAAGTAAGTTTACACTGAATTCCTGAGGAATCAAAAAAGTTGTATACAAAGTAGGATAGATGTGTTATGCTGCAGACCAAACTATCCAATTGTCAATGGCCTATTTCAACAAAAATTTATGATTCACATAAATTCTGTGAAAATCAAGGTGATTTTCTATGACAACTCTTTTCCATGCCGTAGATCAATGTCGGGCACTGAAGATGCACTTTCTTTCCCTCAAATTTAAAGATTTCCAGGAGAGCTACACAGAGACCTGTAATAAGGTGGCCTGTGTCTAAAGTGTGCAGACACTAAATCTTACTTGAAAAGGCAATGAAAGAATGTTTAAATGTGTGACTGTATCTCTAGTTTTTTCCAGTTTTGTATACTGTTTTCCAATTTCTTAATATATGATAAAGTCTAAAAAAATCTCTTTTCAGATTTAAAATGACTATTAATAAGTAGGTTTCTTTTGAAAATACATGAGCACAATTATTTTCTTCTTCACCACCAACTCTATTCTAATTGAATAAAAATAATTATCTTTTAAAGGTCTCAATGCGAAAGCTGTCTCCAAATTGCTGTTTTCTGAAAGCCGCCAGTTAAAGGGCTACATCTTGCCAAGGTAGACTAATAGAAGTCAAATTCCATTGTAAAAGCAGAACTGAAATTATACCTCGTGCACATCTGGCAACACGTCCTTTTGTACATAAGAAAGGCATGAATAAGATTATGTCTTGAATAAATTATCCACTGATTATGACATTTAACTGGCTGTCGTAGGTATTCAATTATTTAATTATCTGCCAAAATTCCGTGCCAGATGTTTCCTGTGTCCAGATTTCCATTATGTTACATTTTATTAACAAATTTGCTTCATTTTGAGGGTCCTCACTTAACATACTTGGGCTTGATCAAACTATTTGCTTTTTTCATATTTAAAAACCCAAACTTACACATAAAGCCATCTGAATAATGCATGAAGAGAGTGTGTGGATTCAAATTCATTTGTCCACATTACAGCAACTGTTTGTGCTGGCCCAACTGCTTACTTTGCATGCAGATGTTAAATTGTGCATCTTCGATCTTCTGTTTATAATGCAAAATGACAGTTTGACTTGATTTTATCTAGCAGAAATAACTCAGGCATCCACACTGGTAAATTTGACCCAGAAGGTTTTATGAATATTTAGCAGTGAAACCTGTGGATGAATTAAAATGCATTTTCACAATTTCTGTATATAAGCGTGTACATGTGTGTTCATCACATAGAGTTTTTCAAAAACTGGAGGTTTTCCTTCTTGAGCTCCAAAGAGAAACAATTTTCTCTATGAATCAAAAGAGTATAAATAACACTGTTTTTTCCTTTTGGTTTTACCTCCGACTAGAAAATAGCTGTGAGCGATATGCTCAGGACTGTACGTATCTGCTTTAGCAAATGTAAAGAAATAAGTTCTTTGAGTCTACATTTTTATTTATACAGAAATTCCTGCAGGATTTTACAAGGACTTGTTGGTCTCTACACTTCTTGTGATAGTAAATGTAACTCCCATTGAAACTAGGAAAAAACCTTGTTCTACAAAACAAGTGACTTTGAAAGCCTTTGATTGCATTGTCCAATGCTGTGTCACAGAGCAGCCATACACTGACACCCAGTAATTAACATAAAAGCAAAAATATCTCAGTAGAAATGCCAAGAACACAGGGAAAGAATGCGTGAAGAAAAGAACATGTTTCATAAATATACAGTTCTTATTTTTGATAAAGCCGGAGTTCCCCACAATTGTTTTTCCAGTGTTCCTTTTCTACTTAAAATTCTAACTAAATTACTTCAACATTTTCAAAAACCTACTTGGTCTTTCTGCCACATGTTCTGTGTTCTGAGCCCTCCACCATCTACTCTTCTTTGTCAAATCTAGACCCAGCTGCAGGATAAAGTCTGTAAGACCTTGATCTTATCATCTACTATTCCTCTGTGGGGCCTGTGTGAGTTTAGGATGGGGAGTCATCTTTGTAAGGCCCAGATAAAGAGAGAACCATGTCTAAATAATTCACTTAGCTGTTGGGAATTCTTCACTATGGAGCTGGTAACTAGTTTTCTGACCTTAGCTTCTGCCATATTTTATTCTCTCCCTTCTCCCTATCCACATCCAACACTTCAATACCACTCACGTAAACGTTATTCTCCTGAATAACATATACTGCTCCATTTGCAGGTCGGTCCTTGTCCAAATTTATATACCTAGACTTAAGTCCTCATTTAATGTCACCAATAGGTTCTTGGAAACTGCTACTTCAAGCAAAACAATGTACAGAAGGTCCTCAAATGACTTTGTTTCATTCAACACAGTTCAATTATAATGTTGATGAGAAAAAAATGTTTCGTTATACATTGTTTTGCTTAAAGTCAGTTTCCAAGAACCTATCGATAACACCTAGACCTACAGTATGTATGAATATACATATATACATATTTTCTGTAATGTCATTTCCTGTACTACTTGTCAAAATACAGACATTTTTATAGATCTGCTTATTATATCCAGAAACTGCCTGCGTACACCATTACCCCCACCAATCCCAAGCTAGAATATGTTTTTTATAACCATATCTAGCACATATTTTTTTACCTCATTATGTAACTATGTTTCACTGGCCTATCAGAAGTATCTTACTATAGTATTAATTGGAAGCTTCTGCATAGTAGAACCTGTTATGCTTTCCTTTGTACTGGCTTTGCCACAACTATCAAGATGCAGAACACAGGATATTATGGTAAATGTTTATTAAAGTTAAATTTAGATCATTTATTTAATTAACATTTATTAGCCACTTATATGTTTGGTGTTTGGCTGAGCTTAGAATGCAAATATGAATGAAGCACAGAAACATAAATTATAAAATGTAATTTGCGGGGAAGTAATGAACTCTGTTGGTGGTTGAGGTTTCCAAGGATATTCTGTGTAAACTAAATCTTAAAGCTTGAATATGAGAACATTGTGATGAGGGCATTTCGGGTAAAAGGAATAGTGTAGAAAATGATGTACAGACAGAAACATGTGGTATAATGGACATTACATAATGGTAAAACAAGAACACCAGAACACCTGACTACTGTAAATACACCCAAAACAGGAGCACCCAGATACATAAAGCAAGTTATTAGAGACCTAGAAAGAGACTTAGATTTCCATACAATAATAAGGGGAGACTTTAACACCCCACCAACAGTATTAGACAGATCATCAAGGCAGAAAATTAACAGATATTCAGGATCTGAATTCAACGCTTGACCAAATTGACTTAATAAACTCCCTATTCAAGAAATGGTGCTGGGATAACTGAATAGCCACGTGCAGAAGATTGAAACTGGACCCTTTCCTTACATAATATACAAAAATTAACTCAAATGGATTAAAGACTTAAATTTAAATCCTAAAACTATGAACAACCTGGAGGATAACCTAGGAAGTATAATTCTGGACATAGGATCTGGCAAAGATCTCATGGTGAAGAAACCAAATGCAATTGCAATAAAAACAAAAATTGACAACTGGGACCTAAATAAACTAAAGAGCTTCTGCACAGCAAAATAAACTATCAAAAGAGTAAACAGACAATCTACAGAATGGGAGAAAATATTTGCAAACTATGCATCTGACAAAGGTCTAATATCCAACATCTATGAGGACTTTAAACAAATACACAAGGAAAAAAAAAACAACCCCATTAAAAAGTGAGCAAAGGACATGAACAGACACTTTTCAAAAAAAGACATATATGCGGTCAGCCAGCATGTGAAAAAATGTGCAACATCACTAATCATTAGAGAAATGCAAATTAAAACTACAATTCGATACTGTCTCACACCAGTCAGAATGGCTGCTCTTAAAAAGTCAATAAATAACAGACACTAGTGAGGTTGCAAAGAAAAACCCTTATACACTTCTGGTGGGAATGTAAATTAGTTCAACCATTGTGGAAAGCAATTTGGTGATTTCTCAAAGAACTCAAAGCAGAATTACCATTCAACCCAGCAATCCATTATTGGGTATATCCCAAAGGAATATAAGGTCTTCTATCATAAATACACATGCACATGTATATCCATTGCAGCACTATTCACAATAGCAAAGACATGGAATCAACCTAAATGCCTATAAAGAGTAGGCTGAATAAAGAAAATTTGGTGCATATATGCCATGGAATACTACATAGCCATAAAAAAGAATGAGATCATGTCCTTTGCAGCAACTTGGAGGCCATTACCCTAAGTGAACTAATACTAGGACAGAAAACCAAATATTACATGTTCTCACTTATAACTGGGAGCTAAACATTGAGAACATATGGACACAAAGAAGGTAACAACAGAAACCAGGCCTACTCCAGGGTGGAGGAAGTGAGGAGGGTGAGGATTGAAAAACTACCCACTAGGTACTATGCTTATTACCTGTGTGGTGAAATAATCTGTACACCAAACCCCTGTGACATGCAATTTACCTGATTAACCTTCACACGTACCCCTGAACCTAAAATTAAAGTTAAAAAAATAAAAATAAAGAATTTATTTCCACTGGGGCATTTTGTGAAATTATTGTTTTACAGAACGAATTGTAGGAAATTCTAGACTTGGGCTATATTTATTTGGTAAAATCCCCAAAGCCTAGGGGTTAAATTTGAGACAGTATGCCTCAGTTTCTGACTTGAATGGGGGATGGATAGTGGTGCCATTAATTGTGATAGAAACTTTTGAGGAAAGAAAATTATTTCATTCTTGGACATGCTAAATTTTGAGTTGCCTATGTAATATCAAAGTAAGAAAATTTCTGATAACTATCTGAATATGCACCTGAAGTTTATCAATATGTTTCTTATATATGTGAGTAGCAATTGAAGTTTTATGAATAGAAAAAATATATACTGTCTCAAATTCTTCAGCATAGATTTTGATTGAACTTCCTGTCTGTCTAACTGAGGGCAGTTGAGCCTTGGGAAACATCCTTTGCGAACAGAGTTGGATGATAGTTTCCAACAAAATGTCTAAGATGGGGAAATGAAGGGTTGGTGCAGACTTTACATTTTTAACATAGCTGCTCATCTTACATCCTCTGTCTGTCTCTATTGAAAAAGGCACCTTTGAAAAGCACAGATACACTCCTTAGAGTTTCGGGGTGGATAATGAGTGTCAGCCTCCAGCAATAACTGTGATGTGTGAACTTCAGGCAATGACATGGAATCTCTCAGGTCTCTCTCAGTTTTGAGAGCAGGGATTGTTGTTATTAACTTCAGCATAATTTGAAACAAGAATCTGGAGCTAGCAAAACTTGAGTGGTCATTATGAGCTTTATGAGCTACAAAGATCTGTAAACCTAATTAAATTTATATTTTTAACAAGGTCACAAACTCAAACAGTTCGTATTTTTAGATGGAGCAGCATGAACTCCATGTACTCCGGAGCAGCATGTACTCCGCAAAAGAATGACTCATAAAGACCATCTATTAAACATCCTTTCTCCCTCTTAAAGGCTGTTTCTGTCTTGATCTCTCCATCATTCCATGTCAGAATGTAACCTTGAACTTCCTTCTTTCTTAACCAGTGACTGGCCTGTAAATGTGACAAGAGAAATAGTAGGCAATGTTGCCAAGCTTGCCATCATTTCAGTCTGACTTATTGAGCCCAGCCATAGGCACCGGGATCACTGGTTCCACATTTTCTTAGTATGTTTTCAGGGAATAACCATTGGAAATGCTAATCTCTTGATGCAGAAATAGAAACAAATAATGGTGAAATAGGGAAGAGAAAATAGTGAAGCACATATAGAAAAATATATAGAGTGCACTTGCCTAGAGAAATACATTATGCAATTTTTCCACCACAGATTTATTTAAGTTTAATTACATTTAGAGCAATCATACTGAATGTCTGAAATTATATTACACTTGTCAATAAAAAACTCATAGCAACAGGAGATTCTCAGGCAAATCAGAATGTTGAGGTCTTTCAATGAAATTAAGTGGGTTAAACATTTTCTCATGAAACTTGAAATATCTGATCACTGGGTATGTGGTGGCTTAAAGATGACTATCAAATTCTTTGCCACAGTTGTGTAAAGAAAAATAATTAATCTGCCCTTCCTTTGATTTTTTTTTATTTTTTTTTGCCATGTGACTACTCAAACAGTAGAACATGGTAGAGATCACATTGTGCTAATTCCAAGTTTAGCCTCTAAAATCTCTATCAGCTTCTGCTTGTTCACTCTTAGAACAATTACTCTTTGGATACTACCTCTCAAAATCCATCTGCTTCTCAGAAACCAAAGTTACAGGGAGAGACTGAGTGTAAGTTCTGGTCAACAGCCTCAGTTAAGCTCCAAGCCAAAAGAACATGTCATCTGTCAGCCATGTGAGAAAGCCATTTTGGATGTTCCAGCTCAAATAAATCCCAGATGATGCAGCTGTAGCTGACATCACATGGTGCAGAACTACCCAGCTGGCTTTAGCCAATCCTTAGAATCATGAGAAATTATAAAATTATTTTTAGCCATTAAGTTCTGAGATGGTTTATTATTATGCAGCTATTCATAACTGAAACAGATAACATGGCTTATTCTTGGGGAAAAGTACATTCTCAACTCTTAGAGGTCATTTAGTAACCCAGAAGAAAATTTCTATCCAGTAATGCTAGTGAGAAAATAAGGAATAGTTTAGTATCCCTCTTATGACATAAAATAAGTCAATGAGATTCATGATTACCTGCCCTTAGGGGATCCCAAAACACATGTTGGTCTGTTATTTATGAAAAATAGAAAACAATTGTGTTTAGCCAAAAAGATGTGGAGAAGTCAACTGGTGCAGGCTCTCATTGGAATATGATATAATATTTTAGAATTATGTAATTAAAGCCTTATTGTATCAAGGTTAACTGTAAAAGATGCTTGGATATGCAACTGTATTTAGAGTATAATTATAACAATATAAAATAAATAAGGCCAAAATATGCCTAAGAATAAATGCCTGAGGGCAATGTTCAAAGGTATACGTTAGCTCCCTTGATGTGCCATTTGACGTGCTTAATTCTTAGGGCAAAACAAGAGCAAGTAAAATTCCATGGAGGAACAAAAGAGAGGACAGCTAGATCTCTCCTGGTCAATCAGAGATGATTTCATTGAGGAATTTTTACTTGAATGAGTTTTACAACATTAATGAAAATTGAACAAGTGCTCAATGGAAGAGAAAATTCTAAGCAGAAGTAGCCTCTGAAAGGCACAGAAGGGGAAATAAAAGAGCAAACAGCGCTAAGTGAGAAACTGAGATTGTTCTGGTGCAGAATTTGTGGCGGGAGGTAAGAGATAGGAAGCCAGGATAGAGTATTATGGGCCAATCTACTGAACTCAGTAGTTCCATTTGGATTGATTTCCCCTTTTCCTTGAATGCTCATGTTGCTGTGTGTAGCTATCAATTGTGACACTAAGTTAATTATGCTTTGTATTGTAGCTATTTGTCCACATTTTCACATTCTATCCTAGACCATAAATTCCATATACCTGGAGCAATTGTTCAACAAATATACATGTGCTCATCTAGATTTCCCAGGTTCTCTTTGGCTTTTTAAGATTTTTAAAATGACTTTGGGACTCTGACTCTCTAAGAACAGAAAGTGAGTTGAGAATTTTGTGGTTCTAGAATAAACCACAAAATTCTAGAGATGAGCTACTCTACAAAGCCCAGTGCAGATCATGGTTAAGAAAGAAAATGAAAAATGAGGAGGGCAGAGCTAGGGGACAATAGACAAATAAGAACTTCTCAGAGAGCAGAATCAGAGCCTAATTAAGGGATTATCTTCCCATTCCTCAGAGTCGGAGTTTCTTATGTCTACCTAGTGGGATTTAGACTTATGTTCCAGCAACTGCTGTATGTCTTCTATTCTTCCCTTTTCAAAATAAGGGTGCGTGTTGTAGTTATCCTATTGCAGCATTACACATTGGTGTGGAGGGTAAGATAACGAGCAATATTATTCTATGATCTCAAGGCTGTGATGTGCTACCCCAGTAAGATGAAGAAAGTGTCACTCCACACCCAGAGATGGTAGACTTTGAGGATGCAGCGTCTGTGTGGAACTTTGTGTTGTCTCCTTGTAAGGGGATTTTTTAAAATAAATGTTTTCTTGCAATAGGCTTTTTTTGAAGTGAAGTAACATATCTCTGGCCATGACCTTCTTCCAAATGTAAGTGTATCAATTATCCTACCATCCAGCCAGAAATTGCTTTATCTTCCTTGTTTTGCAATCCTAGTCCATAGGGTTGTCAGTTGCAGTCTCATAACTTGAAGTGTTCTCTTGAACATTCTATATATAATTGAAGACATTTGACATCTGTTTTACTTTTCTAAATTCATGCTAATACAATATGGTATAGTGCCATGCATTTTAAGGAAGAAAAAAATGGAAATTCAAGCATGAAAATAGCAAAGATAAAAATAAAAGAAAAACATAGACATTTGGGTTGCATCCAGTAGTTTCTTGTTTACTTGTTTTGTGCTTTGTGTTTGTGTACATGTATGTATGTTTTGTTATGTTTTGCTTTTTGCTAGTAAGAATACATTTACTGAGAAACTTCTTGTTTGAGACTCTGATACTCCTGAGCAAGATTTTTCTCCCAGTGTAAGTTATAGAGCTAGGGTTGACAATGCTGGAAATTAGTTGAGTGAAAATAATTAATTCAAATAGAGTCTGAATGTCTATATGGTATGTATATGATACAATTTTTGTAAAGCTTAAAAATAAGCATAAATGATATTCTATTTAGAAAGAGCTTATGGGGTAAAGTTGTTTAAATAAATTATGGAATAACAAACGTAAAATTTTAGATAGAAATTGCCTCTGAGGGAACGTAAGGGGATATAACTAGGCAATAGTAGCATATGATTTTCACTGGAATTTGGTAGTATTTTGGTTGTTAAGTTGGGTGGTGGGTTCGTGAATGTTCAATTAATCACTATAATTCACAATTTCCATACTAACTACATAAAGTTTTGATCATATTAAGTGAATATATTTTTTATAATTCAGAGGTAAACAACTACTTCTAAAGTATAAAGAGCCAGCAAGATATAATGAACTCTGAAGAAATTTTAGAGTTCACTGACTAAAAAAAAAATGTATTGTCTATATGTGTTTTATTTGAATTTCAATGTCCCTACAAAGATAAGGAGACTCTGTGGCAGATGGATCTGAAGATGATACCTGGCGATTTCCTATTCCCAGTGTGCATGGCTTTGGGTATTCCCCACCTCTGGAGTATGGGTGAGAACTGTGACTTGCTTTTAATCAATTAAATATGAGAGTTCACTTCCACAGTTAGTGTAGATTACATGGCAAAAAAGATGGAGTGTCACTCTTGTGATGATAAATGTGACTCGTGCCTCAGCCTCCCAAGTGGCTGGGATTACAGGCGTGCGCCACCAAGCCCTGCTAATATTTATAGATATAGTATTTTTAGTAGAGACAGGATTTTGCTGTTTTGGCCAGACTGGCTTGAACTCCCGGCCTCAAGTGATTTGCCCGCCTCGGCCTCCCAAGGTGCTGGGATTTCAGGCTTGAGCCACTGTGTCCAGCCTCAAATCTCTATTTTAGAGTTGTTATTAACCTTTGTGAAACAGAGAACTGTAGCCTTTCTTTTTCTTTCTTTCTTTCTTTCTTTCTTTTTTCTTTCTTTCTTTCTTTCTTTCTTTCTTTCTTTCTTTCTTTCTTTCTTTCTTTCTTCTTTCTTTCTTTTCTTCTTTCTTTCTTTCCTCTTTTTCTTTCTTTTTTTTTCGATGGGGGTTGGGGAGACAGATTGAGAGAGCACGAGAGCGAGAGATTATGCACATTTGTGAGCTCTTTAAAACTAGCTCAAGAAAGATCCTCAGAAGACCAACATCCTAGAAATCAGTACCAAACACAACTAGTGTAACATAAATAGCTTCCTTTCTTAAAAACAGCTATTTGAAGAAAGTTAGCTGTCAATCAAAAACAGTTTTATTTGATCAGACAGAGGCAAGATGCTATGGCTGTTTAGCCAAAGAAAATGACATTATAGATACATGTAAAATTCCAACACATTGTGTAATGTAACAAAACTTAAGCTGTCTTCTCATTATTATTGTTATTAATTTAGATCTATATTCTACTGACTTAGGTGAGAAAATTCTCCACTTACCGCTTTGAAAGTTAACCAACTTTCTATGGATTGTTCATTTGTTTAATAGTACAAGCAATGAAAACATGTTTTACCATAGGTCTTAAGTATGTAGCACCTTCCTCCACCAGTATTTAATCATAGACCTTATACTAAGGCATACAATTTTAGGTATCCATGATAAAATAGAATAAGTAGGATCAAAGAAGATTGTAAACTATCCTTAAACTATGAGATATTTGAGGGAAGGGATTGTACCATATTTATCTTTATCTCCAACTTTTGAGAGCACCTAGGACTCACAGGTCATTGTAAAATGTTTCCTAAATTAAACAGAAAACCAACTCATAGTTATTTTGTGACACTGAATCAGGCACAAAATAACTCTATTGCAGGAAGTTTAACCAGTATTGATAGCCAATACTTGCCGTGAGAATTGGATGGCAGTATTTAGAGCTGAATTTAAATGTATATTATTTGAAAGATTTCCTACTCTTTTCAGTTTGTTGGGACCTTAAATGAGAGTTTTGAATCGGTGTGTAACTAAAATAGGGAAAAACATTTAAGGATCTGGCTTGAAATGCAGATGTTTGGGATTACATCTAATTGCTTCACTGCTGCTGCTATTTTTGTCGATCTGCTGAAAGAACGTTTGTAAATGCTGGAAGAAAGCCTAACTTAAAAGGGTTAGGCTTCTAAAGTGCTGTAATCTACAGTCCAGTAAGAAGTGACAAATTGTAAGCAAAAGATAATCTCTTCCACTTACAGAAATGCCAGACCAAATATCATCTGTAGAAAGACTTCAGGAACTTTAATATATTCATGTTAATGAAGCAGAATTTAAAAATAGGCATTTATGGATCTTTGGAGTCCTGTTGCTTTCTAGATTTCAACTGTGCTGGTTAGCAGGTCTTTTCAGTCATAATCTGATGGAGTACACGGAGGCTCTGTATTTTACAGAGATTCATGGAAAGCCTATAATGTGGAGGTGAGCCAACACCCAGTCTCCCAACTTTTTGCATCTTCTACACAATGGAAACCCACAGCTTGTGAGGCAAGGGACTTTGAATACATTTGGAAAGTTTTACGTTCTAGGTAATAGAACATAAAGTGACTTTAAAAAAGAAAAAATTTAAACCACATATGAGTTATGAAGGTACTCCTTTAAAAAAATCTCAATTATGTCAGGGTTGTGGGCATTTTTGCTTACCTCTAGTCCTCCTCTCATAGGTACAAAATAGGAGCTAGCCTCTACAAAGGACACCACAATATCATATTCCAAACAAAAAGTGGATGCAAATAGAAAAGGGGCGTTCCTTTGTTAAGGAGTAAAATCCTTTTCAGATCTCTCAAGTAGCCTCTCTTTATCTCTACTTAGCTAAAATCACATCATATGGTCATCTGTGGCTGCAAGGGAGGCTGAGAAAGTGGGGACATGGCAAAGAAGAATGAAATAGTCATAAGTAGCTTAGATAAAGGATGTTTAATTCTGTTTTAATTCTATGAAATTGGGTGTTTTCTTTTTCAAAAAAAATTCGGGATCTGTTAGCAAGAAAAAGAGTGAAAGCTATAGGGTAGCAGGGTAGCCATGCAACACTGTTTCTAAATTCTCATTCTATTTTATTACTGTACTAATTTGAAAAACAGTTAAAGGAACTTCTCCACCATCTTCCACATATATCATTGTTATATTTAATCCGAAGAACAATCAACAAAAACAAAATTAAACCTAGTAAAAGACAGCACTAAAGACTCTTGAGATTTATCCATAATTTTATCACTGAAAAAGAATTTATGTTCAAATTTGTATATTACTATCAACTTGCTCATATTATTTGCATATAATTATACTTTTAAAGTCTATATTCTTTTGCATTCTTCTATTTTAATTTGTCATAAAGGCATTTCCTTCTGCAAATTGTTGTAACAATTTTCACTCAATAGTATCATAGGTTTTTACCTCATGTTAGGTTCAAGTGTATGCAACAATTTTCCTATCATTGGAAGTCAATATGCATAGAGAAGTAGCCTAGCAGAACACGAGCTACAGCATCACACTACCTGGCCTCAAATTTCAATATACCACTTTCAAAGTTGGTGACCTTTGCAGGTTATTTAATTTCCTACAGTTTTCATATCTGTAGAATAAAATTAATAGAAAGATCATAATAATAATTAAGGAATGTAATTTCTGTAAATTGCTTAACATGTGTCTCACTGTGCAGTCCAATATGATACCACACATGGCTACTTAAATTTAAGTTTGAGTTAATAAAAATTAAATAAAATTAAAGATTTAAATCCTCGGTTGCATACTACATTTCAAATACTCAATGGTCACATGTGGCTACCATATTCTACAGCAGGTAAAGAACACTTACAACGTTACAGAACGTTTTATTGGGAAGTACTAACTAGAATGTAGTAAGAGTTCAATAAATAGTTGTCCATGTTCTTTTTCCTTCTCCTAAATGTCCTTGGACAAATATCCCTAGGAGTATAGTTTCTAAATCAAAGAACATGAATTTCCCTATGGTGAAGCTCATAACTTTCAAAATGGTATGTATTTATATTTAAGTAGAGTTAACACCTCTCAAAATGCCTTCACAAATACCTATACCTTTTGAAAGCAGTCTTTTCCTCCTTTTAATTACTGAATAACTAGTTTAGAATAATAATGTCACATAATATGCACTCAATAAATATAGTTGTTGAGTGAATGAATGATTGAATGATTGTGCAGTGAAATATCTGAGCAAATATCCTTTCCATTTTACACATGGAAATTTCGAGCCATTCAGTAAATTGTCAGTAAATTTCCACCCAGTTGTCCAAGCCTAAGTTTTATTCAATATTGTCATTGACAAATATTTTAAAGTTATAATCATGAAGAAAACAGCATTATCTCTAAAGATCAACATAGAAATATCTATCTCTAGTCCATGACAAATTTTACTGAAGTTACTGCTTGGAGCAATATATATATATAATATTATACATATACATTATGTGAACATACCATATATGAACACTGCAGGTATATTTAATCATATATCTAAAATAATACTTGATAGTAGGGTAATAGATACACTTACATCTGGATGAAGGCCACGGCCAGAGATATGTTACTTCACTTCAAAAAATATATGGAAGATAATGCCAAATTAGCAAACTTTTTATTATAAAAATTGTAGAAATGGAGCAGAGATTGAATGAAGGATTGAAATATGTGAAACTTTAAAGGTCTCTCATAAGGGTATGTATAATGTTGGAGAAGAAATGTGAAGTAAGAGATGAAGGTTATTTAGCTCTTCCTATGTGAAAGCACTTATGAAGAATTTCCTCCCAGGAATGCATTAATTAAGGTGATTAACACTAGTTGTTGCAATAAACAGTTTCCAGATTTCAGTGGTTTAACACTGCTCAATACAGGTTAGGATGTCTTCTTTCATCTTCTTATTGTACTTTATGAGACAAATGGATTTCAAACTGCCATGACAGTGGAAGACAAAGACAGAAGCATCATCCTAGATATTAACTACATTGCCCTAAAAATTGCCATGAGAATCTCCTGTTCCTAGGACTTTTTTCTTGACAAGTGTAATATAATTTCAGACATTCGGTAACGATATTAATACTCTGTTATAATCTGAAGACCTAGGACCCTAAATACTGCCCAAAATGGATTCATACCTTCCATTGAAGATCCTAAGGAAAATTTGTAAACAAGCACACTCACAAAGGGAAATTAAAGGCTGATTTTATTGTTAGCTGGACTTGTGCCCATAACTACAATGCACAGCATTCTGGAAAAGTGATCTAACCCATAGCCTTCAAAGGTATTTCCCTCTGCTTGTGTCTAAATTTTCCCATAGGCCAGCTTTTAGAAGCTAATTGATTATTGAGCCACAGTACACTGTGAGAAACTGAAACATTTCAAGACAGATGATCTAAGCTGTTCTACTGACGTTGCAGCATAAGCAGAAAAGCCAAAATGCAGCTCCAGAACTATCTAAAACTTCCCTCAGAGGAGGCCCCAGAATGGCTTCCTGTTTTGACATCCAGGAACCCAGAGGAAAGAGAGAGGGAGAATACACTGGAAAGGATGACATCCATGTCTATGTGTATGCCCTTTTAGTGCACAATTGTCTGTCCCACGAGTTAAATGGTCTAATTAGAGTTCCAAAATATAACTCAATAAAATGAGCTGCTTTTTTACTTGAGAGGAACTGACAGTGGGAATTGCATGGAGGAGTGGATCTTTCCTGCTGCGTTTGGGACCATCAGGGAGCCAGCTGGCTCTTGTCTCTCGGCTAGACTTTGTATTGAATTCTAATACACTGTGTGTCTACATTTGCTTAAACATCTATGTTTTCCCAGAAGTGTTTTTTTAAAAAGTGGTTTTCACCGAGCAGAGGAAAAAGGTTTCATAAATGCTAATTTGATATGAACTTGAATTAAATTTATGTAGAAACTGACAAAAATTCTTGAGGCAGTTGCTTAAGTTCTTTCTTTATGGGATGGCTGAAGCTTTGTGACATACAAGGGGCTCAAAGAAAGAAGAGTCAGAACACTATCCTTCAGTAAAATGGTGCGGGTGCCGGGTGAGCTGTGCATTTTGTGTCTAATGTAATTCCAAGAAAAATCATTTATTTTTGGATTCTAAACCCTCTCTGAATGCAACAGAACAATGCAACCCTCTTCTTGAAGGAATCTGCAGAAACTAAATATCACCACTTTATTCTACAATTAGAAGATAATTCTTAACTTTATTTTTAACCCATCACTTATAGCTGTATGCGCCAATTTAAACACACCCTGTGAACTAACTTTATATATTATTATATGTTAATGTTAATCTCATCTACACAATACTATTAAACCAGGCAAAATGGTGAGGATCAATTTGGTATTTGTCACCTTCCTGTCAAATCTGTGGAAATTATGAAGCTAGATATTTATAAGAAATAATGGAAATTCACTAAAATATTCTGAAAACAAAGAGTCTGTTGAGAATCACAATTAGGTAAATAACACAATACATTTTGATTCTTCTATTAATGTAATTTTGTATGCTAGGCTTGATTAGGAAATATATCCAGGTTTTTAATAGAAAAAAGCAAGAATTGGACTATTGTTTCTGTTATAAACTATCTTGATCTAATTCTTTAGTTTTTATAATAATGATGCAAAAATATCACCATAAGTTTAATTGTTTGATGATATTAACTGAATTATGAGACATATTATTTTTGTTTGTAAATTATTATATGAAATACAAAATAAAATGGTTATGTGCGGTAATAGCCAAGGGTCACAAAAGCCTGAAAAGACTAGGATGTGTGTGTGCGTTGTGTGTATGTGTATATGTATAGGTGTGCATGTGTGTTTGCTTATATACATGTTTATTTGTGTAATAGTATAATAAGCAGTAGGAATGGAGAAATAAAACTACTGTTGTTTGGATATTTACTCTCTTCTAGGCAGTGTTCTGGATACTTTTTAGTTATTCTTCCATTCTCTGCCTACTTTACATTCAGTGCATTTAAGGGGTTAATGATCCATCCAACTACAGCAATATTTTGTCACTAAATTCATTCTGATTTGGTATACTTGGTGGTTTTAAAATCAATACATACTTCATCTTTTGGCAGTGCCTTTACTTTTTGAAGTTAGTATAAATGAGTATAAATGCTGTTTAAGTATAAACAAATCTTTTAGTCCCGGAGGAAGACTGAAATTAGCATATATAGTAAACATCTTTACTTAGAAAAAGAAGTTATTTTTGTTTGTGGTTTTCTAGATTTAAGAAATGTGTCTTTGTGTATAGTTACACAAATACGTTATCTCAAATCATATTTACAGTGTATTAAAATGGATACTTTACATAATTTCAAATATAGTATGTACAGGGGCTAGCATTAAAGCTACAAATAGTTGAGTCCAGGTCTACCAAAAGTGGATGCAAGACACTTTCTCCTTTTTCCAGAAAGGAAAATTGTCTGTTATGTCCTGCCTCTTCTATCCTTGCCTAGAGTAAATTTCTATTAGTATTTGCAATCAATCAGCTTAATGCTCTATTTATCTTATTGAGAGATGACTTCTCTTTAATTTTTATAGGTTAATTAATTTAGATAACTAGATCATATGGAAGCATCTAAATGCATGCAAACCAGAAGAATTTCTCTGACTGTCTCGGGTTACCTGATCATGGCTGTCACACTTTGGATTCTGAAGGAAGCAGACTCTAAGAATGAGTTTGGCATGCACTAAGTTGATTGGGGAATATTCTTGGAAAGGAAGGAAGCAGGAGTAGACAGAGGGAGAATTGGGCTGCTACATAGCCTCGATGGAGACCTCTGCTGATGCCGCAGAGAATTCTGGAGCTAGAATAACCCTTCAGTGTTGTACTGAGTTAGGATAAGGGGAATGAGTCTTTAGAGCCCTGGGTCAGTCATTCTATCCAAACCACTCCAATAAAAGAGCATTCAGCTTTCTTCAGCTAAGCAGCCCTCACGTGGGTTGTCAGCTAGGGCTTTCTGCTGACAGCACTATCAGCAGCTGGGAGAATAAGTCCATCATTCCTGAAAGGCAAGCCCATGGTATCTTACAATATCCACCAAAAAGACCAGTAATATATCCATTTCTGAGAAATTAATTATTGAGCTAATAACACAGGAGAAGGCAAAATGGTAAGAATTTATTCATCCTAGAGACAAATGAGTAGGTATCACAAACATAATGATCAGGAAAAGAAGCCAGTCACAAAAGAGTATACATGTTATAATTCCATTTCCCTAAGATTAAAGCAAACAAAGCACACAGATGCACGCCTGCGTATGTGCGCGTGCGTGCGCGCGCGCGCACACACACACACACACACACACACACAGAGAGCTAAAATTAATGTGTGGGTTTTAGAAGACTCAGGATAATGTTTACATTTAGTTTTCTTTTTTTAATTTGGTAGAATTTTTGTCATTAATTTGTTCATTTTGTTGTTATTTATAAGTATAAAGAATTTTTAAACACAAATAATCTATACTTAATTTTGTGTGTGTATTTATTTATTTAAGAAGCATAATAGGCCAGGCGTAGTGGCTCACGCCTGTAATCCCAACCCTTTGGGAAGCCGAGGCGGGTGGATCTCCTGAAATCAGGAGTTGAAGACCACCCTGGGCAACATGGTGAAACCCCGTCTCTACTAAAATACAAAAAATTAGCTGGGCATGGTGGCGTGAGTCTGTAGTCCCAGCTACTCAGGAGGCTGGGCACGAGAATCGCTTGAGCCCTGGAGGCGGAGGTTGCAGTGAGCCGCGATTGCACCACTGCACTCCAGCTTGGGCCACAGAGTAAGACTCTGACTAAAAAAAAAAAAAAAAAAAAAGAAGCAGCAGCAGCAGCTTAATAATAAACATAATTGAAGTCAAAACTAGTGCTCCATAAGAATTTTTTTTTATTTAAGAAGGACCTATCAGTTTTTTAAGCGTTTGAAATGCTGTTTTGTGGAAATTCAGTTGGGCAGAAGCCAATCTTTGGTCAGATGAGTATAAGCAGGTAGGAAAATGGAAGTTAGATTACCAGAGCTGAAAGGGAAAATGTGGAATCAGAGCTATGGGGCCTGAAACCAACACTGGAGAAGATGCGGCTTAATACTAAATACTAAAGACAGCTAACATATGACGATTGGGATGATTTTTCACAGAAGGATAACTATCACAACTGCCATATATTGAAGACTTTCATGGGTCAGACACTCTGGTAAGTGTTTTAAAAATATTATCTAAAATTTAAGAACAAAGAAGATTATATTTTTTTTGAAGTTTTACTGAGGAAGGCATTGAAGCTCAAAATAACTAAGTAATCTAATGTCACAAAACAAAGTGTTTCAGCCAAAAGCCATTCCAAGTCAATTCGAAAGAAAGTTTCTACCTTCACACAAGGCAACAATAACCTGGAGGTGATTTAAAATATATGTATATGAAAATAATAAATGTATTTAGTCACAACAGCTGTGACACAAACCATAAGAAATAGACAACCTCAAATGAGAGAAGATCTGATTGAGTAGTCATTCAATTCTAAGGCCATTCTGCTCAGGCATTACACATACTTTGGCTTCCTTTTTTCTCATTTTAATCAGCAGGAGAATTTACTTGGAAGCAAAATCTTTGGTTTCTTAACTATTATTACCCACCTGAAGTCATCATTTCTGTTTATTACATCATAATCATCTCTACTTGCCACCAATTGTACATTCCCAAAGAGCAAATTATGATTTCAAGTGAAGACAATGGAACAGGAACAGATGTGCTACTGAAAGAGAGACATCCTATTATCCTGGAAATGTACTCCATAATGAAGAACAAGGGGAAAAAGATCAGAAGGTATTGTCATATATCAAAATAAAGTCTGTTCTAGCAGCAGGATTACATTTAGAGAGATCTGCTGATGTTTCCATGCACCATTCATAGTGCTTTATGCTTGACATTTGCATACTAGAGAAATAGCAAAATTAGACCAAAAGAAAAAAATCCATATGCACAATTTTTGGCAAATCTCTTAGTATAGCCTTTGCTGCAATTTCCTTTATCCTCATTTGGTCTTGTCACACCATATTGACCCTGCTTCCAATTGCGGCACTTCTGTGTGGTTCTGACTTTCTTTTTCCCAAGACCTCCGTTGAATTGCACCACCAGCTATTTTAATGATCTTCATAAAATATCTGTGTCTTTTAACCCTAAGGAAGTGAAGCTGACAGAATGAAGACTGTGTAACTATTCAAATTGTTTTTAAAAACTGATGTTTGTGGTTACTCGGACTGTGAAGCATGTGTTTTATATCAATTCACTCATAAATGCAGTATTCACTTAGGCCAGGCACGGTGGCTTACGCCTGTAATCCCAGCACTTTGAAAGGCCGAGGAGGGTGGATCACAAGGTCAGGAGTTCGAGACCAGCCTGGCCAACATGGTGAAACCCCGTCTCTGCTAAAGATACAAAAAGTTAGCCGGCCGTGGTGGCAGGCGCCTGTAATCCCAGGTACTCGGGAGGCTGAGGCAGAATCGCTTGAACCTGGGAGGTAGAGGTTTCAGTGAGGCGAGATTGTGCCATTGCACTCCAGCCTGGGCGACAGGGCGAGACTCCGTCTCAAAAAAAAAAAAAAGTAATATTCCCTTAATATGTGTCAGACAATGTCTGGTAAACTAAAGGTACAGAGATTAAAGACCTGTTACGTAAATTCAATGAGTCCATAGTAGAGTGAGGGAGACAGATAAGGTAATAGATAATCACAAAACAGTGGCTTAGTGCTATGACAAAGAGATTCGCTGTATCTGATGGAAGCTTTTTTTTTTTTTTTTTTTTTTTTTTGAGTCGGAATCTCTCTCTCGCCCAGGCTGGAGTGCAGTGGCGCGATCTCGGCTCACTGCAAGCTCCGCCTCCCAGGTTCATGTCATTCTCCTGTCTCAGCCTCCCAAGCAGCTGGGACTACAGGCGTCCGCTACCATGCCCGGCTAATTTTTTTGTATTTTTAGTAGAGACGGGGTTTCACCAGGTTAGCCAGGATGGTCTCGATCTCCTGACCTCGTGATCCGCCCGCCTCGGCCTCCCAAAGTGCTGGGATTACAGGCGTGAGCCACCGCGCCCGGCCTGGAAGCTTCTTATAAATACAGACGAAGAGGTTAATTCAGACTGACTGGGAAAGAGTAAAAATGAGCTAAACAGTGTTTGCAAAGGTACAGAGATAAAATAAAGCAAGAATGTGTTAGGGACAGAGCCGAGTAGTAATATAAATATATTTAGGCAGTTGGTTGTGGAAGCGTCTGACGAAGATATCAAGGGGGGCAAGAAAGGACCAAATGAGCTTTTTAATCAAAATCAATGTGCACAGACTTTTGTCCTATCTCTAGAGTCACTCTAAGAAAATTCCTAAACTAAACCTGCTGCCGGTGTTCCCAGAGCCCATGAAGGCCCAGTGAGGACCACTGTATTTTCTTCTCCATGAGCTACCCTTTTAGCTCCCTTTGAATTTCCTAGGCTTGGAATAGCTTGTGCTATTTCTATGCCAATAGAAACATTGCCATCTCCTTTCTATTTCCTTCTGTTAATTTCTCCTTTCCTGTTGACCCAGTAAATTGACTTTGATTAAATAAGGTTAACTTATTTTTAACATCATTATACCTGAAAAATCCCTGGAGTGATATCGCATCATATCCATGTCTTCTGCTCACATTCAGGGAAAAGGATGATATGAGATATATATATGTATACACACACCAGGGGGGCAGGAATCTTGAGAACTGTCTTAGAATTCTGTCTACCACATGGACTATCCCATAATGCCTATCACACAGTTCTTTACACAGTAGATAATATATATCTGTTCATTGATTTAGGATATGCATTATATAGCTTCAAAATTATATATATTGTATATAACAAATTAAATAAATAATATTTACCCAAGTTACATAAATAATATGTTTAAATGTTGTAATATTTCTTCTCCTCACAGGGAAAAAGGTCCTTAAGTTCTCTGTAGGTCTGTATTTATTTTATCTTTATAAATCATAATAGCTAATATTATTTGACTCTTTCCACGCTGCTATGCCTTCTGTCAAATGTGAAATTATTTAATGATTTGAACAGTCTTGAGTCCTGGAGGTGAGGCAGAACAGGCTTAGGTTTGTGGGCAGATTCATCTTGATTTTCAGAATCTACAATGAATCTACTATAGGAAGAACTTTATGATTGTTCTAAGGGGAGAAAATTTTCTAATTTCTTTAAATATTTCTCTTAGGGAAGAAGTTAAGGACTCTAAACATTTCTTTCTTTAATCCTGACACTCACAGACAGGTGTTCTTCTATTGTTTTTGTGGGAACACACACGAAAAAAATAAGCATATGCTAATTCTCAGCAAAGTATGTACTGATACTTCATGTTCAGCTTTCTTACTAAAAACATGCAACCTACATACCTGCAAAGTTTGGCTTGTCTTATGTACAAACCTAAAAGTCATAAACTGTTTATTATCCATACGGTTGTTCTCAGGATTGCTATATTGATATTTTATATTATCAAGGAGCTTAAATGCTACGTGGAGATTTTTTATACTGGTCTCCCATAATCAGCATATGCAATGAACACATACGCAGAAGATTTACAAAACTTGTATTTTATTAAATCCCATACAAAGAGAGATAAAAAAGAAAATAAAGTTTACTGTAAATCTATTATGTGTATCTATAGAAATATGAATGTAAGTGAAAATTGATAGCTACTCTAACACCACTTTACCATAATTTGTATTACAGAGCAAAGTTTCTTATGTCCATGTAGTTCAGAGAGTGATGCTGACAAAAAGTGACAGACAGGTATAATAGTTGTATTAGTCTGTTCTTACGCTGCTAATAAAGACACACTAGAGACTGGGTAATTTATAAAAGAAAGAGGTTTAATGGACTCACAGTTCCATGTGGCTGGGGAGGCCTCACAAGCATGGTGGAAGGCAAAGGAGAAACAAAGGCATGTCTTACATGGTGGCGGGCAAGAGAGCTTGTGCAGGGGAACTCCCATTTATAAAACCACCAGATCTCAAGAAATTTATTCACTGCCATGAGAACAGTATTGGGGAACCCCCCCCCATAATTCAATTATCTGCACCTGGCCCTGCCCTTGACAAGTGGGATTATTACAATTCAAGGTGAGATTTGGGTGGGGACACAACAAAACTATATCAATAGTGTAGCATGGTTTTTGTCAACTATTTGAAAAAATACTTCAAAATGAAATAAATGACATTGGCTGTTACATTTCCATTAATATATACTGGCATACCTGATTTGATTGCTATTCACTTTACTGTGTTTTACAGATATGCTTTTTTACAAATTGAGGTTTGTGGATAAAATGCATCAAGTAAGTCTTTGGTGCCATTTTTTTCCAACAGCATGGGCTCACTTCATGTTTCTGTGTCACATGTTGGCAAGTCTCAACATATTGTTTCAATCATTTTAATTGTTATATCTGTTATGATGATCTGTGATCAGTAATCTTTGAGATTACTATTGTAATTGTTTCGGGGTACTAAGAAATGCATCCATATGAGACAGCAAATTTAATCCATAAAGATAGAGTGTGTTTTGACTGCTCTACTGGTTGACTGTTCCCTCATCCCTCTCATCCTCTTTGGACCTCCCTATTTCCTGAGATACAATCATATTGAAATTAAGCCAGTTAATAACCCTCCAATGGCATGTAAGTGTTCAGGTGAAAGGAAGAGTCACATGTCTTGCACTTTAAATCAAAAGCTAGAAATGATTCAGCTTAATGAGGAAGGCCATGTTGAAAACCAACATATGCCAAAAGCTAGGTGTCTGGATGTCACCAAACAGCTAGTGAATTTGGGAATGAACAGAAAACATGCTGAAGAAAATTAAAAGTGCTACTCCAGTAAACACACAAATAATAAGAAAGCAAAACTTCCTTATTACTGATATGAAGAAAGTTGTACTGATCAGGACAGAAGACCAAACTAACCACAACATTCCCTTAAGCCAAAGCCTAATCCAGAGCAAGGATTTTTAACTCTTTTCAATTCTTAAAAAAAAACAAAACAAAACAAAAAAAAACTCTTTTCAATTCTATGAAGACTGAGAGAAGTGAGAAAGCCATAGAAGAAAAGTTGGAAGCTAGAAGAAATTTGTTCATGAGTTTTAAGAAAAGAAGCCATCTCTATAACATAAAAGTGCAAGGTGATGCAGTGAATACTGGTGTCTCAATAATTTGCTGCAGCAAATTATTGAGAGGACCTAGCTCGGCAATTGTTGAAGCTGACTACACTATTCAAGATATGTTCAATGTAGATGAAACAGCCTTCTACTCAAAGCAGATGCCATCTAGGACTTGCATAGCTAGAGAGGAGAAATTGATACCTGGGTTTGATGCAAAACTTCAAAGTTTAGAATGATTCTCTTCCTGGGGGCTAGTGCAACTTGTAACTTTAAGTTGAAGTTCAACGCTTATCAAACATTCCAAAATCCTAGAGATCTTAACAGTTATGCCAAGCCTACTTTGCCTGTATTCTCTAAATGAAACAAAGCCAGGATCACAGTATACCTGTTTACATAATGGTTTACTAAATATTTTTTACCAACCATTGAGACTCACTGCTCAGAAAAAAGAATTTCTTTCAAAACATTACTGCTCATTGTCAATGCATTAGTTCACCCAAGAGTTCTGATGGAGATGTACGAGGAGATTACTGCTGTTTTCATGCCTACTAATACACACCCATTCTGCAGCCCATGGATCCAGAAATAATTTTGACTTTCAAGTATTATTTTTTAAAAAATAACATTTAGTAAGGCTATAGCTGCCATAGACAGTTATTCCTTTATGAATCTAGAAAAAGTAAATTGAAAACTTTTTAGAAAGGATTTGTTATTCTAGATTACGTAAAGAACATTTGTGATCCATGAAGGATGTTTAGATATCAACATTAAGAGGTATGTGGAAGAAGTTGTTTCCAACCCTCATGGAAGACTTTCAGGGGTTCAAAACTTCAGGGGAGGAAGTCACTGCAAATATGGTGGAAATAGCAACAGAACAGAACTAGAATTAGAAATAGAGCCTAAAGATGTGAGTGAATTGCTGCAATCTCATAATAAAACTTGAACAGATGAGGAGTTGCTTCTGTGGATCAACATAGGAAGTGATTTCTTTAGATGAAATCTACTCCTGGTGAAATGCTGTGAACATTGTTGAAATGACAATGAAAAACTTAGAATATGATATAAACCTAGTTGACAAAGCAGCAGCAGGATATGAGATTGACTTCAATTTTGAAAAAAGCTCTACTCTGAGTAAAATGCTATCAAACAGCATCACATGCCATAGAAAAATCTTTTGTGAAAGGGAGAGTCATTCCATGTAGCAAAATTTATTAGCCTTATTTTAAGAAATTGCCATAGCCACTTCAGCTTTCAGCAACCACCACTCTGATAAGTTAGAAGCCAGCCATCAACATCAAGGCAAGATTCTCTACCAGCAAAAATATCATGACTCATGGAAGGCTCAGATGATCATCAGCATTTTTCAGCAATAAAGTATTTTTAATTAAGATAGGTATTTTTTTAGACATAATGCTTTTACATAGTTAATAGTCTACAGTATAGTGTAAACATAACTTTTATATCCACTGTGAAACCAAAAAATTTGTGTGACTTGCTTTATTGTGATATTCATTTTATTGTGGTGGTCTTGAACTGGACCTGCAACATGTTTGAGGTATTTGTGTATTAATATTTACAACTAATGTTGACCTAAATTACTTAGAATTGAAATGTTAACATCTGCTAAATTTTAATTTTTAATAATCAGTTAAATATTAGAAAAAAATCACTGAAGAAATCCTCCAAATATCCACTGCATAATTAGGCACGAATGAGACATACATAGGTTAATAAGGAACATGTAAACGAAACCTACATAATTGCTTCTGATGATGGAATTGGCACATTAATGGAGGGAAAGGATAATTCACATATTTTTAATTTGGATTCTTTTACATTTCTCAGTATATGGATCAGGACATTTTAATTTAAAAGAATCTAAGCATACTGGGCTAGTTTTTATTCTTTGTAGTTTCACTTGGTGAAACAACACCAAGATTCTTTTGGAAGACAAACAGGGTTGTATTTAACATGGGTAGCATTCCATTAGAAAAGACCTGGAAGGGAAAATAACAAAGACACTCATGGAATGATAATATATTGAAAGATGCTATACATTAGAGATAAAAACATGCCAGAGGCATGAGCAAGGATAGATAAATTGGGATTCAGCTCATAAATAGTGCATTGCTATGACAATGGGAAACTAGTTGGAATCAAGTCTTAGAGAAACAATGCTCTAAAGATGATCACAAATACTTCTTCCGTTTCTTATCTAGTTTGACCTTCTCCTTCACATTTCTCTTTTTTCCTATAAGAATCCCATTTTGCTTTTAAATTGATTTGTGTAAAGGACTAGTAAACCCTAAATACACCCCAAATTAGGTAGGATTTTCTTTGTAAATAAAAATACTGGTGACTTAAACACAGTATGTACAATAACTGCCTCTGGCCAACATTGTTTTTCCCAGGCAACTAGAGTCCTAACCTACAAAGATGATTCTTCCACATTCACACACACACAAACACACACACACAAATCCTAAACATGCTTTTAAAATGAAGATTGAAAAAGCCATATATATTAGGCCATTCTCCCATTGCTATAAATAAATACCTTAGGTTGGGTAATAAGAAAAGAGGTTTAATTGGCTCATGGTTTTGCAGGCTATACAGGAAACATAGAAGCTTCTGCTACTGGGGAGGTCCCAGGAAGCTTCCAATTATAGCAGAAGGCAAAGGAGAAACAGGTATCTTACCTGGCAGGAGCAGGAGCAAGAGAGAGGGTGGAGGTGGTGCTACACACTTTTAAACAACCTAATTTTGTGAGAATTCACTCAGTACCATGAGGACAATACCAAGAGGATGGTGATAAACCAATCATGGGAAACAGTCCTCGTGATCTAATCACCTCCCCCTGGGCTCCATTTCCAACACTGGAGATTACAATTTGATGTGAGATTTGGGTAGGAACACAGATTCAAACCGGTGTCACCATAATTTTTGTTTGGCAGTTAAAAAAATTTTTAAATTCTTTCTTAAGTAACTGTTATTTTTATATTATATAAGTAGGTGGCCAGCACTATTTTTTGAACCAAATACCAATAAATGAGAAGAAACAGAGAAGGCAACATCTTGGTGATATCCTAGGCTCTTCTTGTGCAACATAATGGGTATGGTAGGAGGGAGTCACAAGAAGACTAATTTATAAAGAAATATTTACATTGCTGGGTTTGTATAGTATCATATAATTTGATAATGAACTATCTAGAAAGTATACAGAAAGATGAAATAAATATGCCTTAAGGATAGGAAGAAATCACTTTCTCTTTTAGGAGCTAAGCCAAGATCTATATAAGCTAAATTTAAGAGAAAGCAGAATTTACTATGAAAATAACAGAAATTGATCTGACCCACAGTGATGACTTGACAAGGGAAGAAATTGCAAATTACTTCAATAGTTTTATCCCTAGTGGATTTTTAAGCCAAAGTAGATAACATGCAGCAAAGTATATTAATATGAACAACAATATGCTGGCAGAAAGATAGAGCAGAAAGCCTCTTAGGTCATTTTCATTATTATTCATTGACTTTAAAAATCTGTTTGATATCTTAAAAGGTCTTGAAGTTTATGAACACATTTTTCTGTAGTGTTCTAAGGCAAAAAAGAAAAGAAAAGAATAAAAAAATTTTAAATAAAATATTGTACCTGAAAGCAATTTTAACCATTTTCTCAGCAAGTTGAACATTTAGAAATGTCTTATGGTGCAGATTAACATAATACCCTAAAATTTGTGTGATAGTGAAAAATTCCTGGTTCCAGGATCATAGGTCTCAGGCTTAGAGTTTACGACCCTTAAAATACTTGATACCCAAATTACATTCTGAGAGCGTTTTAATCCCCCTCCCTTGCATGTAAGCTGTGCTATAGCCAAACAACAACAATAGCAGCAAACACTCTATTGTCTTCTTTTCTGACACCCCACGTATTTTCTGGAGTCCAAGCTTTTGTTCAAGAAAGTTCCAGCAACTTTTATACAGCCCTATTATCACCCTTTGTAAATATCTTAGAGAAAATGCTCAAACTTTAGAGGCTGAAATAAACACAATTATGTTCTCCCCCTAAACATGCTCTGCTTTATTCCCACTCTTGCTTAGTTATCAACAAATATTCACTTTTTTGAGTTAAAAATACCAAAGTCTAACTGACTTCTCTCTCCTCACTGGACATATTCATTAAGCAAGTCTTACTAATTGTTACATTTATTTGGTTGAATCTCCTGGATATTTTTTCCTCAATTTCACTACCCTTCTTTCAGATGTGACACTTCACTGGATGCGTATGCTGTGCATATATGATTTCATGTTATAAAAATACATTTTTGTATATACAAGCATCCTTAATAGAGAATAATGTTTTTAATGTTTTAAGAATTTACATATATGATATCCTTTTGAACCTACATTTCAAAGAGCAAATCTTTATTTTGTTTCACTCAACATTGTATTTTTGTGATTTATCTATGTCGACATATTTCCTGATTCAGTCTTTTGGTGTTTCATCAGATGACTAGACTATCTATTTCCCCATTGGTGGACATTCAATGGTGCCAATATTTCTATTACAAACTATGTCTAAATGTTTTGGCCACACAAATGAGAGTTTCTGTAAACCCTATACCTAGAAATAGAAATACTGGCCATACGCTGTTACATTAGTTTCCTATTGCTGTTGTAACAAATTACCACAAAATTAGTAGCTTTGAATAGTGCAAATTTGTTATCTTAGAGTTCTGCAGGCCACGGTCTGAAGTGGGTTTCACTGGGCCAAAATCAAGGGGACTGCTGGGCCACGCTTACTCCAGAGGCTTGAGGGAAGGATCTGTTTGCTTACGTTGTCCAGTTTCTGCAGGCTGCCTGTGTTCCTTGGTTCCTGGCCCACTTCTCCATCTTCAAAGCCAGTATGTAGGATCTTCAAGTCTCTCTGATACTGACCATTTACTTACGTTATCACATCTCCTTCTTTGACTCTGACTCTCCTACCACCCTTTAGAGAGACTCTTACATGACATTGGGCCCATTTACATAATTCAGGATTATCTCTCCAGCTTAAAATCTTTAACTTAATCATGTTTCAAAGATCCTTCTGCCATTTAAAGTAACACATTCACATGTTCAACAGATTAGAATGTAGAAATCATTAATGGGATAGCATTCAGCCTACCACAGGTATAAAGATCATGAAGTCACTAGACATACTATCACTTTTTCTTCAATGCAGTTGTAGCAATTTAAGTACTGCCTCCAGTGTTTCTATGTCTTCATCAATACCTGGCATTGTCAGCTTCTCTGGAAGGCATAAAACCTGAACTAATTGCTATTACGTATAACTTAAAATTTTGATGTAATTTTAAATAAACAAAAAAGTTGCAAGAATAAAATAAGGAACCATTGTATATCACCTACATTCGCCTATTTTTAAATTTCATCCCATTTGAGACTAAGGTGCAAATGCATATTTATCTATAACCGTTTATCTAGAAACATTTTGGTATGTATTGCCTAAGAATAAAGATAATCTTTTATTCACTCATATTGCAATTATGTAAATCAGGACAGTTAATATTGATTTAATATTAATTGATCCCCAGTCCTATTCAAATTTTGTCAATTGCTTAATAATACCCTTTATGCTTCTTGTTCCTTGATTCAGGACTCAATTCAGAATCATGTTGCATTTGTTTGTCATCTCTTCTTAGATTCCTTTCATTTGAAAAATTTCTTTGGTCTAATATTTTGAAAGAATGCAGGCCAGTTTTTCTATAGCATTTCTTTCAGTTTGGGTTTATCTAATATATCTCCATGATATTATTCAGGTTTTATATATTTTGGGCAGGAATACCTCAGAAATGATGTTATTTCCTTCTCAGTGCAGCCTATCAGGAGGCACATGATATTTTTTCCCCAAATTTAGCGATAATACATTTAGTTTATTGTTTAGGGTGGTTTTGCTAGATTTCTCCACCATAACATTATAGACACCCTAGAAATATCTCAGGCTCAATTGCAGACCACCACAATAAGGTGAATAATGCAACAAAATGAGTCACACAAATGTTTTGCTTTCCAGTGTATATAAATGTTATCGTTACACTATCTTGTAGTCTATTAAGTGTGCAATAGCACTATGCCTAAAAAACTATGTAAATATTTAAATTAAAAATACTGTATTGATAAAGAATACTAATAATCATCTGAGCCTTCAGCAAGTCATAGTTTTTTTTGCTGGTGGAGGTTCTTGCCTTGATGTTGATTCTGGCTGACTGATCAGAGTGGTGGTTATTGAAGACTGGGTGGCTGTGGCAATTTCTTAAAGTAAGACAACACTGAAGTTTGCAACTTCAGTTGACTCTTCCTTTCATAAAACATTTCTCTGTGGCATGGTATGCTGTTTGATAGCATTTTACCCACAGTAGAACCTCTTTCAAAATAGGAGTCAGTATCTTAACCACTGCCACTGTTTAATTAAGCAGGTTTATATAATATTCTAAGATCTTCATTGTCATTTCAACCCTGTTTATAGCATATTCACCAGAAACAGATTCCAATGCAAGAGAACAATTTCTTTGCATATTTATAAGTAGTAACACCTCATCCTTTCAATATCTGCCATGAAATTGTAGCAATTCAATAGCATCTTCAGGCTTTACTTCTAATTCTACTTCTTTTGCTATTACTTCCAGTTCTACTTCTCTTGCTATAATCACCTGCAGTGATTTCCTCCACTGAAGTTTTGAACCCTTGAAAATATTCCATAAGGGTTGGAATAATACTCTTAATGTTAATATTTTGAAGTCCTTTTATGAATCACAAATGTTATTTAAGGCATCTAGAATGATAAAGGCTTTCCAGAATGTTTTCAATTTACTTTTCCTAGATCCATAAAGGAATCACTATCTATAGCAGCTATAGCCTTATGAAATGTATTTCTTAAATAATAAGACTTGAAAGTCAGAATTACTTCTGGATCCATGGGCTGCAGAATTGACATGTTAGTGGGCATAAATACAACAGTAATCTGCTTGTACCTCTCCATCAGAACTCTTGGGTGACTATGTCCATTGTCAATAAGCAGCAATGTTTTGAAAGGAATTTTTTTTTTCTGAGCAGTGGTTCTCAACAATGGGTTGAAATATTTAGTAAGCCATGATGTAAACAGATGTGCTGTGATCCTGGCTTTGTTGTTTCATTTAGAGAACACAGGCAGAGTAGATGTAGCATAATTGTCAAGTGCCCTAGAATTTGTGAAATGGTCAATAAGCATTGGCTTCAACTTAGTCACCAGTTGCATTAGCCCCTAGAAAGACAGTCAGCCTATACTTTGAAGCTTTGCATGAAACCCAGGCATCAATTTCTTCTCTCCAGCTATGCAAGTCTTAGATGACATCCTCTTAGAATAGAAGGCTGTTTTATCTGCATCAAAAATATCTTGTTTAGTGTAGTACCTTCAACAATTGTCTCATCTACCTCTTCTGGATAACTTGAAGCAGCTTTTTCATCAACACTTGCTGCTTCACTTTGTACTTTTATGTTAGAGAGATGGCTTCTTTCCTTAAACATCATGAATCAATTTCTGATAGCTTCAAACTTTTCTTCTGCAACTTTCTCACCTCTCTCAGCCTTCATAGACTTGAAAAGAGTTAGGTCCTTGCTTTGGAATAGGCTTTGGCCTAAGGGAATGTTGTGGCCGGTTTGATCTGTCCCGGAGCAGTAAAACTTTCTTCATATCAGCGATAAGGCCGTTTTACTTTCTTATCATTTGAGTGTTTATGGAAATAGCACTTTTAATTTCCTTGAAGAATGTTTTTTCATTCACAACTTGGCTATCTGTTTGGTGACATCTAGATGCCTAGCTTTCAGCCTATGGTGGTTTTCAACATGTCTTCCTCACTAAGCTGAATTATTTTTAGCTTTTAAAGTGCAAGACGTGTGCCTTGAACTTTAACACTTGAACACTTAGATGCCGTTTTAGGGTTATTAACTAGCTTAATTTCAATATGGTTGTATTTCAGGGAATAGGGAGGCCCAAAAAGTAGGAGAGAGACAGAGAAACAGACAATCAGTGAAGCAGTCAGAACATTTATTGTCACAACATTTATTGATTAATTTTGCCGTCTCATATGGGTGCATTTCTTAGCATCCCAAAACAATTACAATAGTAACCTTGAAGATTACTGATCACAGATCACCATAACAAATATAATAATGAAAAACTTTGAAATATTGTGAGAATTACCAAAATGTACATAGAGACACAAAGTGAGTACATACTGTTGGAAATGGTACCAACAGATTTGCCAACATAGTTGCCATAAACCTTCAATTTGTGAAAAATGCAATATCTACAAAGTACAATTTTAAAAATGAAATGCAGTAAAATGAGGTATGCCTGTATATTTTTTTCTTTGTAATTAGTAACTAATTTGTGGGGATGTACCATGAGATTATAGGTATTTTTTTAATGAAAGTTTACTCACTAATTTTAGCATTTATGTGTGAGTTTAGCACCATCAATAATTCCGTATTTATTAGTTTGCATTTTTATTTGTATGTTCCAGTTGTCCCAGATTTGGCCAGTTAGAGCCCCTTCAAACCAGCTGAACTATATTTTTAATATATCTCCATCATTCATTGAATAATCTATTATTTTGTGTCATGAAAAGATGTCCTGGTCTCACCTTGTGCCTATGTTTAATTATTTTCTATCCATTTTGTCTTGCAGTGCTTAGCCTTAAATGTGTGATGAAATAATATTATTGAGTGTCTTGGTGGTTAGTATTTATTATTCAATCCTAAATGCATTGAATACTAAAATGTGATGATGACATGAGGGAAAACAGAGAGAAGAGGATGGCAGTGACTGGGAGAGAAAATAATGATATAAAGATGGCATTGATCAGAATTACTATACATCTTGGAAAATGAATTTCTCTCAGTGATGTTGTCTAGGGCTTCATGTAATACTAAACAGCAGAATAGTTTAGAAATACAGCAAGTAATAATTAAAAAGCAACATGACTGTAGCAATAAGAAGGCCTTCTAAACCCTTTTTCCTCAAAAAGATGTTATATACAGTTTTGTATTTCTAAACCCTAGCACTCAAATGTTTTCTGTAGAATAGTATGTATCTTTCTATATGCAGTGTATAAAATATTAGATATAATTTAACTAAATAATTTTGCATTAAAACTCTTTCATATCTACTTGGCCTTTGTGCATGTGTATATGTGTTTTACTCTTACTTGTAGCTCTCTGTGCCCTCTTAAATTGTGGCATTAGTATTTTAAGTGATTGTGTTTTTATTCTTTTATAAAATATACCTGCACACACTCGCCCAGACATTTAGTCTTTGCTGTGTTTCAGTTCATATTAGTTCTCCACTGCTGGTTTAAAAAATTGCTACAAACTTAATGGCTTAAAACAATACAAATTTATTATTGTTCATTTCTGGAAGTCAGAGTCTGAAATGGGTCTCAGCTGGTTAAACCCAACATGTCAGCAGATCTGTGTTCCTAATGAAGGTTCTAGGGGAGAATTGATTTTCTTGCTCTTTCCTGCTCCTAGAAGTTACCCACACATTCCCTGGCCTGTAGACCCATTCCTTGATCTTCAAAGTCAGCAGTACCCAGCTGAGTCCTCACACTGCCATCTCTCTATTTAATTACCTGGATAATCTGAATCATGTCCCTAAATTAAGGTTAGCTGATAGCAAACTTAATTCAATTTGGTACATTAAGTTTCATTTGCCATATAATGTAATATATTCAATGCTTCTGAGGATTAGAAGATGGACATCTTTGGGGGACCATTATTCTACTTCTCACAGTACCCAAGACTAATAATATTCCTGCATGGGTAGAAATTGTATTTTAATGGGGGAGACAGAAATTCAATAAACATAGACATGTGTCATAAATGCCCAAGAATAGATACATACTTGAATACAGCAAGGTAAATATTGAGGGCAATAAAAAGATGACTATATTATCTCCAGTTTACAAATGAAGAATTAAGATCAGGCAGGGTTAGGCACTTTTGCCGTTGTTAATTTGACATTTACATCTATCTCTTCCACAAATCCCATGCTGTTTTCTTTTTTTAAAAAAAATTCAACTTTTATTATGGATTAAAGGGTACACATGCAGGTTGTTATAAAGGTAAATTGTGTGATGCTGAACCTTGGGGTCCCAACAATCCTGTCACCCAGGACATAAGCATAGGACCCGACAGGTGGTTCTTCAGTCCATGCCCCCCTTCCTCCCTCCCATATAATGATCCCCGGTGTCTATTGTTCTCATCTTTACAATCAAGTGTATTCAATGTTTAGCTTCTACTTATAAGTGAGAACATGCAGTACTTGGTTTGCGGTTCTTGTGTTAGGTTGTTTAGGATAATGGCCTCCAGCTCCATCATGTTTCTGCAAAGGACATGATTTTGTTGTTTTATATGGCTACATAGTATTCCATGGTGTATATGTATGACATCTTCTTTATTCAACCTACTGCTGATGGGCATTTAGGTTGATTCCACGTTTTTGCTCTTGTGAATAGGGCTACAGTGAGCATACAGGTGCATATGTCTTTAAGACAGAATGAATTATTTTCATCTGGGTACATACCCAGGAGTGGGATCGTTGGGTCAAATGATAATTCTATTTTTAAGTTCTGTGAGATATTTCCAAATTGCTCTCCACAGTGGCTAAACTCATTTTCACTCCCACCCTCAATGTATAAGCATTCCCTTTCCTCTGCAGTATCACACATCTGTTGTGTCTTGACTTTTTAATAATAGCCATTCTGACTGCTGTGAGATGGTATCTCACTGTGGTTTTGATTTGCATTTCTCTAATGATTAGGGATGTTGAACATTTTTTCATATGTTTGTTGGCAAGCTGTATGTATTCTTTTGAGAAGTATCTGTTTATGTCCTTTGCCCATTTTCTAATTGGATTGTTTGTTTTTTGCTTGTTGATTTAAGTGCCTTGTAGATTCAGGCTATTAGATCGTTGTCACATTCATAGTGTGCAAATATTTTCTTCCATTCTGTAGGCTGTCTGTTTACTCTGTTAGCAATTTCTTTTGCTGTGCAGGAGCTCTTTAGTTTAATTAGATCCCACTTGTCAATTTTTGGTTTTGTTGCAATTACTTTTGGAGATTTAGCCATAACTTCTTTGCCAAAGCCTATGTTGAGAAGGGTATTTCCTAGGTTTTCTAACATTTTTATAGTGTTAGGTTTTACATTTAAATCTTTAACCCATCTTCAGATAATTTTCATAGATAGTGAAAAGTAGAGGTCCATTTCCATTCTTCCCAACACCATTTATTGAATAGGAAGTACTTTTCCCATTGCTTTTTTTGTTGTTGATTTTGCAAAAGATCAGAAGGTTTTAGGCATGCAGGTTTATTTCTGGGTTCTCTATTCTGTTCCACTGTTCTATGTGTCTATGTTTGTACCAGTACTATACTATTTTTATTACTGTAGCCTTGTAATATAGTTTGGAGTCAAGTAGTATGATGTCTCTAGTTTCGTTCTTTTTGTTTAGGATTGCTTTGGCTATTCAGGCACTTTTTTGGTTCCCAGTGACTTTCAGAATAGATTTTTCTAATTCTGTGAAAAGTGACGTTGGTCTTTTAATAGGAATAGCATTGAACTATAAATTGCTTTGGGCAATATGACCATTTTAACTATATCGACTCTTCTATTCCACGTGCATGGAATATTTTCTGTTTATTTGTGTTGGCTCTGATCTCTTTCAACAGTATTTTGCAGTTCTCCTGGTAGAGGTCATTCACCTCCTTGGTTAGATGGATTCCTATGTATTTAATTTTCTTTGTAGTTATTATAAATGAGATTGTGTTCCGGATTTGTTTGTCAGCTAGAGTGCTATCGGTGTATAACAATGCTACTGATTTTTGTACATGATTCTATATCCTGAAACTTAATTTGCTTATCAATGTCAGGGGCTTCATGCTCTTTTCATGATGCAGCTCTGTTTCACCATCTCTCCAGTTCTCAGGTGAAGATAGTAATGAGTCTACTCATGTTATTCATAATTGTATCTCATAACAAAACCTCAATAATAATTTTCTGTTGGTGTTATACTTCTAAGCCATTTTCATCTCATATTTTTATTTTAAGCACAGAGCCAATAGAATAAAATAATTTTCTTGAGATATATACTCATAAATCTCCTTTGAAAAAATTTCTGAAGTCAAACCCATAGAAGTATCTATATCTTATAACATTTCCCACATTTTTCCATGAATTTCTTGAATGCCCTCTGAAGGTGGGCCAGAGCCATGGATAAAATATCAGTAAGCAATGGATGTCACCTCTAAGAAAATAAGCAAGGCAGGCCGGGATTACAAGCCTGTAATCCCAGCACTTTGGGAGGCCCGAGGCGGGTGGATCAAGAGGTCAGGAGATCCAGACCATCCTGGCCAACACGGTGAAACCCTGTCTCTACTAAAAATACAAAAAATTTAGCCAGGCGTGGTGGCATTTGCCTGTAGTCCCAGCTACTCGGGAGGCTGAGGCAGGAGAATGGCGTGAACCTGGGAGGCTGAGGAGCTTGCAGTGAGCTGAGATTGCACCACTGCACTCCAGCCTGAGCGACAGAGCAAGACACTGTCTAAAAAAGAAAAGAAAATAAGCAAGGCAAAGATATTCAAAAATCGTGATCAGTGGCTGATATAGTCCTAAGAGGTTGTTTTTAATAACTTTCTTTCTCCATTTCTTTAAAATGGAGAATAATACTCAAGAAGCAGGTTACATAGTTTTCTTTGTGGTAAATTATTTTCTTCATTTTCTTGCTATTGCTACTTGAGTCATTCTACTGTTCGAAAGTAAAGTTCAGTGAATTCTTATCATCACAGCCCTGTCATCACATTCAAGGCTCTTCACAATCTGCTCCCAGTCTGTTATTTCACCTTCATTTTTTATCATTGTGTATTCTATTGTAGACTACATTGTATTGCATCATAAATGTTTCCAGCTTCCAATAAAGTTTGTGAATCCACACTTATCTATGAGCATGAGTTCCATAAAAACAGAGATTGTGATACATTTTTTTTTTTTTTTTTTTTTTTGAGACGGAGTCTCGCTCTGTCACCCAGGCTGGAGTGCAGTGGCGCAGTCTCGGCTCACTGCAAGCTCCGCCTCCCGGGTTTACGCCATTCTCCTGCCTCAGCCTCCCGAGTAGCTGGGACTACAAGCGCGAGCCACCACGCCCAGCTAATTTTTTGTATTTTTAGTAGAGATGGGGTTTCACCGTGTTAGTCAGGATGGTCTCGATCTCCTGACCTCGTGATCCGCCCGCCTCGGCTTCGCAAAGTGCTGGGATTACAGGCGTGAGCCACTGCGCCCGGCTGTGATACTTATTTTTGTAGCATTGATACTTAGCACAAAGTCAAGCACATAACAGAGATTCAATAGAAAAAATATGACTGAAAGGCTGAATGAATAAATTATTGATACCTTATCAGAGCATTTTGACTCCTCACTAGTTCTGTTATTGTTTCTTAGGTCTGTAACTGCGTTTATCTCTATGCAAAATATGGAACACTTGCTTTATCTTTAGTGTTGAATTAACACAGGTATTTCTTATTTTTTAGATTCAAAGAATTAGCTGGACTATGTCTCCAGGTGGATGACTCTATGGAAACTTTGAGCTGTATGGAACAACCTCCTGATCATCCATTTACCTTGCTTTGGTACATTAGGACTTTAATAGAAACTGCCTAATGTGCAGGTAAGTCAGCAAGAAATGAAATATGGGTCATTATTCAGTGGTACCAATTGAGCAGAGCAGCCAAATGTAAATCATTGAGAAATGGGAATGGTTCATCCCGTTTTGCAATTTGAAGTAAGTCTAAAGACTTCATGTGGCAGAGAGGTCCCAGGGTTCACTTTGGAAAGCTGAGCAGCAAGTTTCTCTCTTCTAAGGGTCCATCTGATACTAACAATTCTAATCTCTGGCAAATGGAAGCACAGACTGTATTTTTCCCTATGCTCTCTAATTGTCTAACAATAACCTTCATGTACATATGTTATACTATGTGACTTTCAGTTTGTCACTTGGGTTTTCCAAACCTCACTTAATTCATAAGACAAAAATTACAGCTACTCTGGCTACTCGGCATGATTCTCTTTTAGCACTGAATAAACTATGCAACAGAACTTGGATACAAGTATCTCAGTGTCCTTTGGCCAACATCCAACTTCTAGTATCTAAAGCTGTGCACCTGAGGGATCTTTTTGCTGGAACTGTGGAAGATTCCATTGCTGTATGTGTGTATGCACACACTGAACAGGTGGAGTGCTGAGGAACTAACACTTCTGTGAGCAATTCTCCACCAATGGTTCTCCAATGATTTGTATATAAATATTCCAGTTTCCTTATACTTCAAGTCAGATGATTATGGTGCATGGTTTTTATGAATCGTGCTATCAAGCTTGGTGATCAATTTCCAGAGTTTCCAAGCAGGATCTAGCTCAAGTTATGTACCATGTTAGTTGGTATATTAGCCCATTCTTATGCTGCTAATAAGAACATACCCAAGACTGAGTAATTCATAAAGAAAAAGAGGTTTAATGGACTCACAGTTCCACGTGGATGGGGAGGCCTCACAGTCATGGCAGAAGGTGAAGGAGGAGCAAAGGTACATCTTACATGGTAGCAGGCAAGGAAGAGTGCAGAGCGAAGGGCAGGGGAAACACCTTATAAAACCATCCGATCCCTAATTCACTATCATGAGAACAGGATGGGGAAAACCACCCCCATAATTCAATTATCTCCACCTGGTCCCTTCCACAACACGTGAGGATTATGGGAACTACAATTCAAGATGAGATTTGGGGGAGGGACATAGCCAAAGCACATCAGTTGGCTTAGTAGCTCACCTTTTGTTGGCTGTCTTCCTTCCTTTTTATCACATCTCTACCTGTGTTATCTGAATTTACCAAACATACCATTTACATTTAAATCGTGGTTTCAATTTCCGTAAAGCCTAAATAAGAGAGCCTGTACGCTGTGAAAGCCACATGAGTGAGGAGTGATATTATTATTAATTTTTAAAATTAATAATATTTGGATGAATTTAATATTTATCAACTTAAGAATACCTTTGATAAAGAAGAAACTTAAAAGGTTTTTCTTTGGTTTGGGGTTTTTCGTTAAATATAAGGAAGAGGTATGTGAAGAGATCTAGTGATAGGCAGGGTAGAAAGCAGATCAAGGGAAGAGTCTAGCTGAGCCCAAAGATTTGGCCCAGAGACTTCTAGTTCCAAAAGGGCAGCATAGTTGCAAGCTGGCTTCATCTATGAAGCCAGAAAACCAAAAATAAATATGCTGCACCAAGATTATCTCCAGCAATATTTCAGAACTCAAACATGAGAATAAGTTAGTTCCTGAGGACACACATAAATGAAAGAACCACAAGCAGATGGACACTTGTCCATACCTCCACACACAGGAAGCATCATGAGTGCCTGTATTAGTCTGTTTTCACACTGCTTTAAAGATACTACCTGAGACTGAGTAATTTATGAAGAAAAGAGGTTTAATTGACTCACAGTTCTGCATAGCTGGGGAGGCCTCAGGAAGCTTATAATCGTGGAGGAAGGTGAAGGGGAAGCAAGGTAGTAGGAGAGAGAGTGAGGTGGGAATTGCCAAACACTTAATCTGTCACTATCATGAGAACAGCGTCAGGGAAACTGTCCCCATGATCCAGTCACCTCTCACCAGGTCCCTCCCTCAACATGTGGGGATTACAATTCGAGATGAGATTTTGGTGGGGACAAAGAGCCAAACCATATCAGTTTCTGAAGGGAGAAATGCCCCTAAGGAAAGACAGAGATAAAGGATTGGATTTTAGCTAAAGTAAGAAAAAAGGAGAGAAGATTCAAATAAATAAAATCAGAAACAAAAAAAGTATATAACAGCTAAGACCACAAAAATACAAAGAATTATTAGAAACTATTATGAACAACTATATATCAACAAATGGAAATACTTAGAGGAAATGGATAAATTCTTGGACACATACAACCTACCAAGATTTAACCATAAAGAAATAGAAAACCTGAACAAACCAATAACAAGTAATGAGATTGAAGCAGTAATAAAAAGTCTCACATCCAAGAAAAGCCCAGGACCTGATGGCTTTCCTACTGAATTCCACCAAAAATTTAAATAACTAATACCAATACCATTCAAGCTCTTCAAAAAAATTGAAGGGGAGGGAATACTTCCAAAATCATTCTATGAAGCCAGATTACCCTGATACCAAAACCAGACAAGGACACACACACACACACAAAGGAAACTACATGCCAATATCACTGATGAACACAGGTGCAAACATCCTCAACAAAACACTAGTAAACCAAATTTAACAACATATTAAAAAGATATTCACCATGATCCAGTGAGATTCTTCTCAGGGATGCAAGAATGGTTCAGGATATGCAAATCACTAAACATGATAAATCACAAGAACAGAAATCATATGATCATTTCAACAGATGCTGAAAAAGCATTCAATAAAATTCAGCATCCCTTTATGAGAAAAACCCTCAATCAACTAAGTATAGAGAGAACATACTCAAATCAATAAAAGTCATATATAACAAACCCACAGTCAACCTTATACCCAATAGGAAAAAAATGAAAGTGTTTCCTCAATTATCTGGAACAAGGCAAGAATTCCCACTTTTACTACTTTTATTCAACATAGTACTGGAAGTCCTGGCTAGAGCAATTAGTCAAGAGGAAGCAATAAGGCATCCAAATTGTAAAGGAAGAAGTCAAATTAGCTTTGTATGCAAACAATATTGTAGTGTGAAAAAGCTAGACTCCACTAAAATACTCTTAGAACTGATACATTAATTTAAAATTACAGGATACAAAATCAACATACAGACATCAGTAGCATGTATATATACCACCAGCAAACAATGTGAAAAAAAAGCAAGAAAGCCGTCTCATGTACAACGGCTACAAAGAATATAAAATGTATAGGAATCAATTTAACCAAAAAGTAAAAGATCTATACAAGGAAAACTATAAAACACTAATGAAAGAAATTGAAGAGATCACACAAAAAAAATGAAAGAATGTTCCAGGCTTGTGGATTGGAAGAATTAATATTGTTAAAATGACAATAGTACCCAAAGCAATTACAGATTCAGTGCAATCCCTATCAAAACGCCAGTGACACTATTCCCAGAAAGAGAAAAAGTAATGCTAAAATTTATATAGGCCCACAAAAGACCCTAGAGTGCCAAAGCAATCCTAAGCAAAAAAAACAAAGCTGGAGGCATCACACTACACCTAACTTCAAAATATACTAAAATGCTATAGTCACCAAATCAGCATGGTACTGGAATAAAAATAGACACATAGACAAGTGGAATAGAATATAAATGCATGAATTTAAAGCCAACTCATTTTCAACAAAGGCACCAAGAACATACAATGGGGAAAGTACATTCTTTTCAATAAATGATGTTAAGAAAACTAGATAACCAAATGAGAAAAAATGAAACTGTATCACTATCTCTCACCAAATACAAAAATCACATCAAAATGGATGAAAGAATTAAATCTAAGACCTCAAACTGTGAAAGTACTAGAAAAAAACTTTGGGGGAGTGTTCCAGGACATTGGTCTGATCAAAGATTATTTTGTGTAAGACCTCAAAAACACACACAACAAAAACAAAAATAAACAAATGAAATTACATTCAGCTAAAAATCTGCACAGCAAAGGAAACAATCAACAAACTGAAGAGACAACCCACAGAATGTGAGTCTTTAGAAATTAGCCATCTAACAAGGGATTAATAACCAGAATATATAAGGAGCTCAAACAACTAAATAACAAAAAAGTAAGTAATCCAATTTAAAAATGAGCAAAAGATGTGAATAAACATTTCTCAAAATAAGGTATATAAATGGCCACATATGAAGAAATGCTCAGCATCATTAAGCGTAAGAGGAATGCAAGTCAAAATCACAATGAGGTATCTTCTCGCTTAGTTATAATGCCTTTTTATCAAAAAGGCAGAGGATAACAGATGCTGGTGAGGACATGGAGAAAGGGGAATTAATATCACACACTGTTGGTGGCAATGTAAAATGGTACAGCTATTATGGAAAACAGTATAGATGTTCCTCAAAAAAATTAAAACTAAACAAAAAAATCTAAAAATAGTGCTATAATACAATGCAGAAATTTCACTACTGAGTATATATCCAAGAGAAAGGAAATCACTGTATCAAAGAGGTATCTGCACTCCCATGTTTAGCACTATTCACAATAGTCAAAATATGGAATCAACCTAAGTATCCATTAATGGGTGAGTGGATAAAGAAAATCTGGTGTATGTACACACAATGGAATATTATTCAGGTATAAAAAATGAAATTCTGTTATTTGCAGCAATGTGGATGGAACTGGAGATCACTAGTTAAGTGAAATAATCTAAGCACATTCCCACTTATACGTGGGAACTAAAAAAGTGGGTCTCTAGAAGACAAGGAGTAGGTTGGTGGTTACCATAGTCTGAGAAAGGCAAAGGGAAGATGAAGAGAGGTTGATTAATAGGTATAAATATGCACTGAGAAAAAATAAGACCTGGCGTTGGATAGATTAGTAGGATAACTGTAGTTAGTATTATTTAATTATATATTTGAAAACAACTAGAAAAGAATAATTTGAATGTTCCTGGCATAAATAAAAGATAAATATTTAAGGTAAAAGATTTTTCAGTTTCCTTGTTTTGACTGTATGAATGTATCAAATTATCACATGTACTGTGGAAATATGTACAGGTATGGTGTATAAATAAAACATAAATAAATATTTTTTAACAAAGGATTTGGCCTAAGGACAGATCACCAGACTACAGCTCAGAAAAACATCTTTCAAACCCAGTAATGATCTCTGATTCATTAATACAACTGGGACAAAGAAAGGAAAGGTAGCAAATTGTATTTCAGGCACATTCCTATGTGTGAACACACCCATAGCATAAAACCTTAACTCTGAAAGAGACCTTATCAACTCATACCAAATTACCTTTGTAATCTGTTTTTCTGACATTTCTGACAGATTGATTTTCAAAATGGTTTCAGAAGAACAATTTGAGAAGGAAAATAATGATACTGTTAGATTATTACCCATAAAATAAAACAGGAAGCCATGAATTACTATTGATTACATAGTTTAAATAAAAATAAATAGTAGGTTACAGACGGGTCTTCCTTAAAGTAGAATTCCAACTAATAAATCTAGAAGGAATGAAAGAAATGGAATAATTGTTTCAGCCAAGAGTTAACTATGGATGTTAGGCAAAGGCCTTATGAAAAAAAAGATATTTATACGGTTTTTAAGTAGCTCCCTATATGTTACTTATTAATCATAAACCAAAATGTAGTAACTTTTAAAGTGGAGAAACTTTTAGGCATCACCTTAACTTCACCAAAAATGAAACATACAGATATCCCGAGCCTGGGACAAGCAGGATGTGCTGAGAAGGCACAGCATTGCTTCTGTGGTACTCTTACAAAAATGCACAATCATAAGAAAACATCAAACTAAGTCAAACTAAGAAACATTTTTACATATTACCTCTCCAGTAGTCTTTAAAAGTGTCAAGGTTGTGAAAGACAAATGGTCAACAGAGGAACCCTTCCAGATTGAACGAAAGTAAGAAGCCATGACAACAAAATGCATCCTCTGACCCTGCATTGGATCCTGGGTCACTACAAGGACATTTATTGGTCAGTTGGAGAAACTGGTCTGTAGATTTAAGTATTATTATTGTATCAAGGTTAATCCCTGATTTTTCAATGAACTGTAGTTATATAAGATGTTAACACATGGAGAATCTGGATAAAGGGTATAAGGAATTCTTTGTACTATTTTTGCAACTCTTTTAATGTCTAAAATTGTATCAAAAATACAATTTAAAAAATAATTTAAGAAAACTTCTAAAATAGACTCCTCAGGAAGATCCATACGTTCCTAAAAAATAATTCCACCTCAAATTTCAAAACAAGGCACCAAAATTTAGAAATCACATCATATTTAAGAGAAATTGTCTCCTTAAAATATTGTTACATTGTTATTAGCTTCTTTAAAGCATACAATATTTTGTAGAAAATCATGTTTGACAAGGACTTATAAAACCAGTTTCTCTCTAACTCTACCACCTGAGTACATTTCATCGTATGTCTCTGAATTTCCATTTTCTTCTCTGAAAAAAGATAAAGATAAAAATCATCTGTACCCTGAGATCTCACAAGTTAACATGAACAAAGACAATCAAAACAGTTGTAATGAAAATCCTGTAAAACAGCTCTTTCTATCTTCTGTTTACTCAGGTTCAATATCCCATTCTGAATGAGTAAAAGACAAGGTCTAGTATTTTTCTTTAAAGATGAATTATTTTGAAATATGATTACATGCTCAATATGTTTCTTTCTATTGAGGCTGAATTTTTTTAACCTCAAAACTCTCTTTTCTCAAGAGGTTGCCTTTTAATTATGTCCCCTCTTGATCTAAGGTCTTTCTTATTTGTTTAAATGTTATTGTTTGGACCTGTATTGATTGCTCCTGTTCAATTGCAGGGTTAGCATTTGCTTAGATCTAGAATGAATTTTTCTTCCTGTTGCCTTGAGGACATTCGTTGGAAACATCATGTTGTGCATGATGGAGGTTCTCCTGATGAAAAGGTTCACAACAAAAAACAAATTAATTTTTTGTAGCAATCAGTGGTGTGATCCAACACATTTTCCTATTCCCTTTACTTTTCTATTCTTTTGGTCTTCCACCTTCCTGATTCCTTTCATGTAGAAAGTGGACTGTAGTTTATTTTAAAAGAAATACTATGACTGTCTCCTTGACTTAATTAAAACAAGGACTTTAGCTCATCTAGAATCCTAATCTGGTAAACAGAAAACATAAAGAATCAAGGGAGACCTATCTTTCCTGAAGTAAAAGAGAAATGGATCCTCCTAGCTGTAAGACAGATTTGTATTCTAGTCAACTCCTTTACTCTTATTTACACACACACACACACACACACACACAATCATACATGCATGTTTGAGATTTGTTTAATTGTGTTGTGATTTTCACAATAAAGGTTATATTATGAATCCACATGGAATAACTAAATTATTTGTGGGTTTATCCTACACTAACTTTTTGGGTGTTATTAATCTTGTTTAGCACCTTCCTTTATAGTGCATAGAGATTGTAGAAATGAAATATAGCATTATTATGACATTGTTCTGAATTTGATACAAGGGCAGCCAAGCTAAACTGACATGGCCAATTTACCCAGCTTAGTTTGTCAGAATGGGTTTGCATGTTGAAAATGGTATACTCAACTCAGAAAGACATATTTCCCCCCAAAATACATATTTGGAATCCCCATGCATTACTAAATATGTGCCAAGTGATATTCTCCCTAAATTGCTATAAGAAAATCAAATGACCCATGGTTCTGACGAATTTTGGGTGGAAGGAACTATACATTGAAAGCATAAAGTCTATCCTCTTATTATAACAAGGGAAAGAGGTTTCTATGTTCAGTGTTCTCTGGAAGTTCTTGAATTGCAGTACTCAAAAGGACACATCATTATTTCATATACATTAACCAATGACTACAAAACCTTAGGATATTTTATATTTTAAATTAATATGCATTAGGATGACACAGTAAGGGGTAACACTTGTTGCTTGGAAATACAGCTTATGATTTTAAAGTTTCCCATTTTTTCCCCAAAGAACTAATATCATCCTGAAAACACAGTAAATACCTCTTTCAAATACATATTTCTAGAAAAAGCTCATATGTCTTGATAGAACCTGTCAAGGGAAATAAGATAAATGGAGAAGAGGAATTACAAGGAAAAAAATGAACATGGGGAGTCTGAAAATCTGTTCAGTTTAGACATCAGCAGCTTCTTATTTACTTTGGGCCAAGAAATTGTCTTACATTTTATTTGAATGAGAAACTAGAATAATTCTTTCTTTACTTATAAATATTCTGAGAGTGTAGGTCATTTGTGTAATGATCTTCACTAAGATCCTCTCAATGTTTCTTTCTGCTTGATTTTCACATATGTGTGCTAACATTATCACAGGAAATTCTACTAAATTAAAATATTGTTACAGCTAAATGTTACAGGTGTTACATTATAATTCATGATAAAAGGTTATTCATTAGTTCAAGGTTCTGTTAGCACAATCTTTCTGCCTTCTTGACTAGGAAGTAACAGTGTTTTTTGGCTCTATAATAGTGACCTAATTGTTCATTTTCCTAATGCTTGCCCTGAAAAAAAATGTAAAGAACGTAGTGACAATATTTTCTGCCTCCTAGTTAAATAAAAAGAGGAAGGAATAACAGTGTAATTGAAAAACTTACAATTGCAGAATTAGAAAAACTGGGTTTCAGATCTATCTTCTGTTCCTATACATCATTCAGAAAGTGATTTCTTATTTCTGAACCTGCTTTCTTTAACTGTAAGATGGGGATAATAACAATTGAAACTATCTCCTAAGGAAGTTGTGAGACTCAAATGTGATTGTGTATGTGATCATACATGTGTACATTTCAAAGTGTAGGGTATTATTAACATTATATTTCTGCAATGATTTAAACATTGGCTTGTGAGAATATATCCCCCATCCCCCCAAAAGCACTAACAACTGTGGGGCTTTATAGGGTTGTTTGGATGTGCTCATGCAACTTACGATGCAAACATTAATCTTTAAATGATCACTAATTATATTAGTATTGAAAGTCATTTCGAAAGAAGGAAAATACTATTACTGTTGCATGGTGAGTAAGAATATGTAAACCTATCCTCAAAGGCCAAGGGATCTGAGATAATTAGTTTCTCAGAGAGAAATTATTGAATAGGGACTTATGTACAGAAGCAATGTCTTGGGTGGTTGTGAAACAGCAGATCTTTACACCTACCCTCTAGAAAGTATCTTTTATATAGCAAGCCTTTATGGTAAAGACATGTGAAGCTGGTTACTTATAGGACTTTCTTACTGAAAACTTGTGACCACTGGCGATGTTAGATAAGCATCTTTATGAGGAGTTATCTATGCTTCACGCATTGCTGAAAGACCTTGTGCAGAACACCTTGGTATGCTTGAGTCAGATATCAGTCATTATGGTGGCTTTGCTTCAAGATGGCATCACTGTGTCCATGCAACAGTCTGTTTTCCTCCACTCCACTCCTCAAAACTGATCCTTGCAATCCCACATGCCCACCTCTTCTGGGATAGTCCCTGGGCCTAGAGGGAGGTTTCTTCATACTTCATGGCTTCAGCAGTAGTGCATTGTCTCCATTGGAGACAGATGCCACAGCAACAGTAAAGGCAAAGACAAGACAGTAAGCAACATATCAATATAACACCTAAACGAAGAAACGGCTTCTGCCACTAGGTATCCCAGGAAGCAAACCAAACCAGCTACGAAACCAATCAAAGTGGAGGTTCAGTCTGAGAGATCAGTTATTTGGGTATTCATGTCAGTCATTCATTTAGTGATATATAACTCATCAGGAATATAAGCACAGCATTCAGTTTTTATGATTGCCCAAGTCCCTCCTTGTGCGGTAGTATGCCTAAAACCATGCCATTTTGCAGGACGGCCTTTCTCATAAGAGGGACTTCCATGTTTAAAAGAGAGATTCCCATGTGGCTATTGTTCAAAGCTTTCTTTGTATAATTGTGTTACAGCTTCCACATGCCAAATAACATCTTTAATGTCCAGTTGAGGAAGAAAAATATAGGTCAAATGATCAGACCAAAAATAAATGGGGCCCAGTGGTATTTCAAATAAGGCAGATTTGCAGGCTTTGTAAGGGTGTGAACTACTTGATCTCATGCCCATGTGTAACCAAAAGGACATCTTTTTAATCATCTGGGGTGTAACCAAGGCCATAAATTGGTGCCATACATCCAGGAAGTTCCATTTTGAGATAACCAATAAATTCCTGGGTGCAGTGCCCATTCTATACCATGGCAGTCATTACTTCGTAATATTTTAGTATGTGAACATTTGTCTCTTGGTATCCGTACCATATTCCTCATGCTATTTGGTAAAGCATTTTTAGAATGATTCTTTTGTTCCTAGAATAGCCAGGCAAATTTACTAGAGTATTGCAAGTGGAGAGTGAGTGAGCTGGTTTTATTGATAGAGAAACTCTTCCTGTGTCCTCTTTCAGAAAGAGTAGTATTAATGGGCCATTGGGTTATTTTATCTCTCATCATCCTTGTATTCAATACCTCCATGCAATTTGGGGAAGCAGTAACATATTTGTGATATTCTATCTAATCTCATCCTTGGAAGGGAGATAACCACCACAGCAGGCCAGAAACGTTGGTGAGTGGCATAAGGCCACACATGCAACAAGTGTTTTCTGTAAGCCGATAGAATAGTCTTGGGTCCATTGTAGGAAAAGATTGGCTTCAAAGGTGACAGCTGGTGATAGCAGCAACAAAACATAATAACTTAAGTTTAAAAGAGAAACGGGGTTCTTGCAAGGGAAATTCTCCAGTTGATTCATCAGATGACACCAGTTGATTCATCTACAGCAGTTAGTAAAAAAGCAGTTCTTGACTTTTGTAAGAGGGTTGTATACCAAATATGTTGCCCAGGGCATCATGGGACAGCAGTGGTTGTCAAAGTAATTTGGTTGGGAGTACACCATATTAGAGATGCCACCACCATGCCATGTATTTCTCCTGACCATTTATAGTGGGTGATTGTGGGTCCAGTATTAATAGAATCAACAAGTACCATTCTAACTCTTTAGGATATTCCCCAGTCTCCAGCAGGAAATAGCCTATCCAGCCTGAAGATATTTGCCATCCCAAGTCCCAGTGGAGTCTTCCCTTTCCTGGTAGTATGTCCATTGGTGTTTTCATGTGAAAAACACGCTGATTGTCAATCAGGTCTGGGAGCAAAGTAGTTGTCTCAGTTACCTATGTGCAAACATAGGTTCAGGGACAGTTGTTTCAACCTGTCATTTGGGGGATGTGTCCCCACTTTGGCTGAATTTAAAGAAATAATGGCTGCAGGTAACACATTCATCCACCTGTGCAATGTAGGTTCCCCCAGTAAAGTTTGAATTTGTGTTTTCAGCAGACCATGATTTTTTCCTTTCAGTTAATCCCACTGCTTGGCGGTTGTATAGGAGAGGAAAATGCCATGCTGTATTGTGTTCCCTGGCCCAGTCCTGCACATCGTGTCTAGGAAAATTGACTCTTTGGTCACTGTCAATGTGCTGAGGATATCTATACATAGTACTTGGAGCCTCTGAACCCTTAGTAGTACTGGCTTGATTAGCTTACTTACAAGGAAACCTTGCAGCAGTCCAATAGCAGTGTCCATGCAGGTTAACACATATTTCTTTTCTTGGCTTACAAGGAGATGTTCTATATAATCCACTTGCCAATCTGTTACAATGTAAAAAACCTATGAATGTGTCCTGCTCGATATGGTATATGTCATGAACACAAACAAGATATAATAAACAGTAACAGCTGTTAAGAGGTCCGTATAATTTAAGGGCAATTCTGCACCCTTGGCTATCTCCCAGCCTACTCTTGCACTTCTAAGACCACTTTTGTTAGGTACCCAGGTTGCTAGTTCAGTGGCCTGGACTGGCACAATGCTCCTAATTTTTTAAGGGTATCAGCTTTCTATATTTTCTGGAACTGAATCTTTGTGTGTGACCACATGATATACAGTTAAATCAGCTGCAGGGTGTTGCTCCTTCTTCCATATGTCTTGCCACATGTTCATGCCTGATATGGGTTTGTGCATAATCATCCACTTTTCTAATTCCCATTGGGCTAGCCACTTCCACATGAGCGATCAGTGCAAAGGGCTAGGGGCCAGGGCTCACATCTGATTACCAACCTAGAAGCTCACAACTCAGCCCACTGACAACTCTAATGTGTACCTGTATCAAACCATATTGTATCAGTTTGTGATTGTAAAGCAACAGTGGTTCAAGTATAGGAAGTTCCCCTGCTAGAACCATCTGTGTTGTCCAGCGTGAGTAACACTCTTTCTCCTACTGTGTCAGGCTCTGGAATAGAAGGGGGTAAAGGAGTGTCCTTTGGTTACTCATATATAACAGGGCCTAATATAGCAAGCAATTCTAGGCTTAATGGACTAATTGCCAGATATTTTGTTGTTGCAAATAGACATGTTATTTATTCAAAGAAAATGTCTGGACTATAGCAGAAGGGAGTCATTTAAACAATCCTTGTATCCATCCCTTGATTGGTAGATCCATTCTCACAGTTACAAGAAGAGTCTTTGTTAACAGTCTTACTTACTGTAAAATATTATATACAGCTAGTACTTATTCAATGAGAGAGTGTCTGGTTTCAGCTCTTTTCTATAATTGTGATCAAAATCCTTAAAGGAGTAATTTACCATACTTTGGTTGTCACAAGGTCCAACTCATATCTTGAGGAGTAGCAGTAACATCCAACGCTATATCCTCTAAAAGTGTTCTTGAGGTTTCTGCCTGTCATGTTAGCACTTTATCCTGTTCAAAGCTTCCTGCTGTAATGTGTCCAGGCCCAATATGCCCCATTTATAAGTCTATATAGTGGTCTCAAACATTGGGCTAAGTGGGGATAAATGCTCTCCAATAATCCAAAAGACACAAAGATATTTGGATTTCCATTACCATTTTCAGAGTTAAAAATTGTCGGACTTTGTCAGTTTGGTACTGTACCTGGTACCAAATGAGTCTTATCTGGCTATGTAACCCCCAAAATTCTCACTGAGACCCTGAGCTCTGGATCTTGAGGGTTGATAACCCATTCCCATTCCACAGATGAGCACACAGTGCTGTAAGACTTTCTTATAACTCAAAGTCTAAGGTAATGTCATCAATATAATAAATGCAAGAAAGACAAGATGGGTTCAAGCAATTTTCCTGCCTCAGCCTCCTGAGTAGCTGGGATTACAGGCACGAGCCACCATGCCCAGCAAATTTTTGTAGTTTTAGCGGAGATAGGTTTTCACCATGTTGGACAGGCTGCCCTCGTTGGACAGGCTGGTCTCACATTCCTGACCTTAGGTGATCCACCCACCTCAGCCTCCCAAAGTGCTGGGATTAGAGGTGTGAACCACCACAGCCAGCCAGGCATCAGCAAAATCTAAGGCAGCATGCCATCTGCAGCGCTGACACTATGTGGTTGACTACCTGAGTAAAACTGGAAACTGCAGAACGCATGGACAGGGTTACCTTATTCAATTTCCAGTAATCCATGGTCATCTTTCAGGTATCACCTAGTTTGTATACAGGCTAGACAGGACTGTTAAACTGGCTTTGAGCTGGGCAGATAATATGCACCTCTGCCAGTTCCTCAGTAGTTACACTTATTTCAGCATACTCCTCAGTCAATTTGTATTGTTTAATGTTGACAGCCCACCTAGGGGCAGGGAGTTAAATGCATTCCCATTTTGCCTTTCCCCTGACAACAGGCTTTACTATAGGTATTTCAATCTGCATTATCCCACTGAAGTTTGAAAAGTCTTTCTTAGCAGAATATCCATGCCTAAAATGTTTTCTAGGATAGGGGAAATAAACACCAAATATAAGGCTGGGGGAGATCCTCTAATACCTAGATGTATTAAAGGGCTGTTTACTTGGATTGTTTGTCCCCCATAACCATTAATGGCAGCCCATTGACCAGGGTGTCTTCCTGAATTTTCATGGGTTAAAGTACATTCCACCTCAGAATCTACTGTGGCAAGTCTTCTCCTAATTTGAGGGGAACTAGTAAATGGTGAACTCAATATAGGGTATCAGTTTCTTCCCTATTGCTCAAACATGGGGTCAACCTTGGCCCAGCTCCTAATCTTGAAGGGCCAGGGTAAAATCCACTGAAGGTAGGCTGGGCCATTAGAAGGAGAGGCAGAGTTGTCTTTCTCTTCAGCTGGAGGAGCAGAAGGAAAAAGCTGAAACTGCTGTTCGGGTGTAGTTTCCTCCATAAAGCTTCTAATGTAGCATTAGGTTGCTTGTTTATTTTTTTCTAGGGATGGTTCTGCTCCCAATAAATCATGCCACATTTGCTTACATGTGATTCTTGTCTCTTTTTCCCATTTCACCCTACTTTTTGCAGCGCTTTCTTTTTCCTTTTGTTAGTCCTTATTGGGTTATCAAATATACCCTCTCCTTGGTTTCTCAGTTTCTCCCAAATCTGCGATGTCTTCTCTCACATCATGTACATCTTGTCCCACTATAAGACTCAACGAAGACAGCAAAGGGACATGCCATTTTCTTGATGCACCCTATAATAATTTATTTTATGCCACCAGTAAAAACTTTTAGTGGGCCCTACAAAAACCTGAGCATAGATGGCTTGCCTCATCCCTAATTCTCAAAGAAGCCCCTGAGCTTCTTCAGTTGATCACCAGGAGGTCATCTCTCCGGTAAATCTCATTCATTAGGTCAAGCCTAACTCATAGGAATCAAGTAATTTAGGTAGATTTCCCACCTCCTTTCCTGCAAACTATACTTTTCAGAAATTGGCCTGATCATCCTAAAGAAGTTCACCTATTGCAGACATGACTGTTTGGTCTAAGAAAGTAAGAAGTCATGCGTGGCCTGAAGAAGGGAAAGAACTTATCTATATTCAGTCTTCTCCAGAGGAGCAGTGACCAGAGATTTTTCCACCTACACTACTGATGAGTTTCACCAAGCAGTGAGACTACCAGCTGGCAGTGACTACAGGGTCCTGCAAAATCTGTGCCACCATCTTCTCTTTCTTTGTTTCCTTCCAACTTTGATATTAGGTTCAGGGGGTACATAAGTAGATTTGTTGCAATGGCAAATTGTGTGTCACTCAGGTTTGGTATACAAATGATTTTGTCACCCAGGTAAGCATAGTACCCAATAGGTAGTTTTTTGATCCTCACCCTCTCACTCCTTCCACCCTCAAGTGGGTCCTGGTATCTATTGTTTCCTTCTTTGTGTCCATAGAAACTCAATATTTGTCTTCCACTTATAAGTGAGAACATGCAGTATTTGGTTTTCTGCTCCTACGTTTATTTGCTTAAGGAAATGGCCTAAAGCTGCATCCATATTGCTGCATAGGATATGATTTTGTTCTTTTTTATGACCACATAGTAGTCCATGGTGTATATGTACCACGTTTCTTTAGCCAGTTCACTTACGATGGACATCTACATTGATTTCATATCTTTGCTATCGTGATGAACATAGACAAGCATGTATCTTTATGGTAGAATAATTTATATTCCTTTGGAATATATCCAGTAATGGGGTTGCTAGGTCAAATGGTAATTCTGCTTTAAGTTTTGAGAAATGTCCAAACTGCATTCCATGGTGGCTGAACTAATTTACATTCCCATCAGCAATGCGTAAGCATTCCCTTTTCTCTGAAGTCTTGCAAGCATCTGTTTTAATAAATAGCCATTCTGACTGGTGTGAGATGGTATCTCACAGTGGTTTTGACTTGCATTTCTCTAATGATTAGTGATGTTTAGCATTTTTACATGTGTTTCTTAGCCGTTGTGTATGTCTTCTTTTTGGGAAGCATCTGTTCATGTCCTTTGCCCATCTTTTAAATGATGATGTTGGTGTTTTGCTTTTTGATTTAAGTTCTTATAGATTCAGGATATTAGTCCTTTGTCAGATGCATAGTTTGCAAATATTTTCTCCCATTCCTTAGGCTCTCTGTTTACTGTATTGATAGTTTCTTTTATTGTGCAGAAGCTCTGTAGTTTAACTAGGTACCACTTGCCAATTTTTTTGTTGCAATTGCTTTTGGAGTCTTTGTCATGAAATCTTTGCCAAGGCCTCTGTCCAGAGTAATATTTCCTAAGTTTTCTTCTAGGGTTTTTATAATTTTAGGTTTTACATTTCAGTCTTTAATCTATCTTGATTTGATTATTGTATATGGTGTAAAGAGAGGGTCCAGTTTCAATCTACAGCATATGACTAGCCAGCTATCCCAGCACCATTTATTGAATAGGGAGTCTATTCCCTCTTGCTTGTTCATGTTGACTTTGTCAAAGATCACATATGCATTTTATGTGTGTAGCTTTATTTCTCAGTTCTTCATGTTTTTCCATTGGTCTATGTGTCTGTTTTTGTACCAGTACCATGCTGTTTTGGTTACTGTAGCCTTGTAATATAGTTTAAAGTCAGGTAGTGTGATAACTCTGGCTTTGTTCTTTTTGCTTAGGACTGCATTGGCTATTTGGGCTCCTCAGTGGATCCATATGAATTTTAGAATAGTTTTAACAAAATCCTGTGAAAAATGTTGGTGGTCATTTTATTGGAATAGCATTAAATCTATACATTGCTTTGGGCTGTGTGGCCATTTTAACAATATTTGTTCTTCCTATCCATGAACATGGATTTTTTTCCCCATTTGTTTGTGACATCTGTGATTTCTTTCGCATTGTTTTATAATTCTCATTGTAGAGGCCTCTCACTTCCTGGTTAGCTGTATCCATAGGCATTTTACTCTTTTTGTGGTTATTGTGAATAGGATTGTATTCTTGATTTGGCTCTCCACTTAGAGATTATTAGTGTATAGAAATGCTACTGATTTTTTATATTAATTTTGTATACTGAAGATTTGCTAAAATTGTTTATTAGATGTAGGAGGATTTGGGCAGAGATTGTGTGGGGTTTTCTAGGTATAAAATTATAATGTCTGTAAAGATAAATAGTTTGACTTTCTCTCTTCCTATTTGAATGCCTTTAATTACCCTCTCTTGACTGATTGATCTGGATAGGACTTCCAGTACTATGTTGAACAGGAGTTGTGAGAGTGAGCATCCTTGTCTTGTTCTGGTTCTTAAGGGGAATGCTTCTAGATTTTGCCTGTTCGGTATAATGTTGGCTGTTGGGTTTTCATATGTGGATTTTATTATTTTCAAGTATATTCCTTTGATGCCTTGTTTTGTTGAGGGTTTTTAACATGAAAGGATGTTGAATTTTAACGAAAGCCTTTTTGGCATCTATTAAGATGAACATGTGGTTTTTATTTTTATTTCTATTTATGTGATGCATCACATTTATTGATTTACCTATATGGAACCAAACTTGCATCCCAAGAATAAAGCCTACTTGATCATGATGGATTAGGTTTTTGATGTGCTGCTGGATTTGGTTAGCTAGTCTTTTATTGAGTATCGTTGATTATTGAGTATTGTTGAATCTATGTTCATCAGGGACATTGGCCTGAAGCCTTTTTTTTTCATTGTATCTCTGATAGGTTTTGGTACAGAATGATGCTGGTGTCCTAGAATGAGTTAGGGAGGAGTCCTTCCTCCTCAATATTTTGGAATAGTTTCAGTAAGATTCTTACCCACTCTTCTTTATACATATGATAGAACTTGGCTGTGAATCCATCTGGTCCAGGGCATTTTCTGGTTGTCAGGTTTTTTAATTACTGAGTTAATTTTGGTATTCATTATTGATTTGTTCAGGATTTTAATTTTTTTCTGGTTTAATCTTGGGAGGTTTTGTTTCCAGGAATTTATCCATTCTTTCTAGGTTTTCTAGTTTTTATACATAGAAGTGTTTGCAATAGTCTATGAGGATTTTTTATATTTCTGTGGGGTTACTGGTAACATCCCCTTTGTCATTTCTTACAGTGTTTATTTGGATCTTTTCTATATTAGTTTAACTAATGATCTATCAATCTTATTTATTCTTTCAAAGAACAAATTTTTTAATTTGTTGAACTTTTATGTGATTTGTTGCATCTGGATTTCCTTCAGTTCAGTGCTAATTTGGGTTATTTCTTTTCTTCTGCTAGCTTTGTGGTTGGTTTGCTCTTGTTTTCCTAGTTCCTGTAGGTGCGATGTTAGTTTGTTAATTTGAGATCTTTCTAACTTTTTCTTGCGGACCTTTAGCACTATAAACTTCCCTCTTAATACTGGTTTAGCTGTGTCCCAAAGAATTTGATATGTTTTATCTTTATTTTTATTAGTTTCAAAGAATTTCTTGATTTCTGCCTTAATTTCATTGTTTACCCAAAAGTTATTCAGGAGCAGATTATTTAATTTCCATGTAATTGTATCATTTTGAGACATCTTCTTGGAATTGACTTTCATTTTTATTGCAGTGTGGTCCAACAGTGTGGTTAGTATTATCTCTTCTAAAAAATTGTTGAGAATTGCTTTATGGCTGAGCATGTAGTTGATATTAGAGTATGTGCCATGTGAAGATGAGAAGAATGTTTATTCTGTTGTTGGGTGGAGTGCTCTGTAGATGTCTGTTAGGTCTATTTGGTCATGTGTTGAGTTTAGGTCCCAAATATCTTTGTTAGTTTTCTACCTTAATAATCTGTCTAATACTGTCAGTGGGATGTTGAAGTTTCCCATTATTTCTGTGTGGTTATCTAAATCTCTTCATAAGTCTTCAAGAACTTGTCTTATGAATCTTGGTGCTTTGATGCTGCGTACATATAGTCAAGGGTTCTTGTTGAATTGAATCATTTATCAGTATGTAATGCCCCTCTTTATCCTTTCTAATTTTGTTGATTTAAAGTCTGTTTTGTCTGAAATAAGAATAGCAACCATTGCTCTTTTTTGTTATCTATTCGCTTGATAGATCTTTCACCATCTCTTTACTTGAGCCTACGGGTGTCATTGCATGTGAGGTGGGTCTCATACGGACAGCATACAGTTTCATCTTTCTTCTTTTTCTGACTTGCCACTCTGTGCTTTTAAGTGTAGCATTTAGCCCATTTACAATTAAGGTTAATAGAGATATGTGCAGATTTGATCCTGTCTTCATAGTGTTAGCTAGTTGTTATGTACACTTGATTGTACAGTTGCTCTATAGTGTCAATGGCCTATGTAGTGAAGTGTGTTTTTTGGTAGCTGGTAATGGTCTTTTGTTTCCATCTTTTGGACTTCCTTGAGGGCTTCTTGTAAGGCAGGTCTAGCGGTAATCAATTTCCTTAGCATTTACTTTATCTTAAATAAACTTATTTCTCCATTGTGAATGAAGATTAGTTTGGCTGGAAATGAAGTTCTTGTTTGGAAATTCTTTTCTTTAAGAATGGTGAATATAGGCCCTCAATCTTTTCTGGCTCGTAGGGTTTCTGCTGAAAGGTTTGCCGTTAGCCTGATAGGCTTCCCTTCATAGGTGACTTGCCACTTCTCTCTAGCTGCCTTTAACAATTTTTCTTTCATTTTGACATTGGAGAATCTGATGACAATATGCCTTTGTGACAGTCTTCTCATATAGTATTTTATAGGAGCTCTCTGAATTTCTGAATTTGATTTTGACCTCTCTAGCAAGGTTGGGATGTTTTCATGGACAATAGCCTGAAATGTGTTTTCCAAGTTGCTTGTTCTCTCTCTCTCTTTCAAGGACAACAATTGGTTATAGGTTTGGTTTCTTTACATAATCCCATATTTCTTAGAGGTTTGTTACTTTAAAAAATTTTTTTTTTAATTTTTTGTTTCACTGTGTTGAGTCAAAGAATCAGTCTTCAAGCTCTGAGATTCTTTCCTCAGCTTAGTCTATTCTGCTGTTTATACTTCAATTATATTATAAGATTCTGGTAGTGAGTTTTTCAGCCTTATCAGATCAGTTTGGCTCTTTCCTAAAATAGCTATTTTGTCTTTTAGCTCTTGAATCATATTACTTGATTCCTTAAATTCCTTGGATTTTGTTTCATCTTTCTTCCTAATATTGATTATCTCCATTGCCATCTACATTCTGAATCCTATGTCTGTCATTTTACCCTTTTCAGTTTGGCCAAGAACCATTGCTGAGGAACGGGTGCGGTTATTTGGAGGTAGGAAGATGCTGGCTTTTAGAATTGCCAGAATTCTAACACTGGTTCTTTCTCATCTTTGTGGCCTGATGTTTGTATAATTTTTGAAGTTGCTGTCCTTTCATTGGGCCTTTTTGCTTTTACATTATTTGCTGCTCTTGAGGGTTTGAATATGGTATAAGTTGACTGCAGTTGACTGGTTTCATTTCTAGATGATTTTAGTGAACCAAGTCTCAGCTCAGCACTCCTGGGCTGCATGTCCTATTTTGGGGGGACCAGGACCAGTCCCATGGCTTTGTTCTCTGGTACCTCAAACTTAAGCACCTCCTGCATGGAGGGGCCAATGTGTTCTCAATCCATTGGCAGCAACACTCTAATAGGGTAATGTTGGCAAAAGTGCTTTGTCAGAGTGGTGGCAGTGGGGCCTACCCACACGCATGCCCACAGGGGCAGAATGGTTGCAGCAAAGTTCATGCACACACATGAGTGCCTGTGTTGGTGGAACAGCAATGTCCACATGGGCATGCCAGCTAAGCAGTTGTGGGAGACTGCAGGCAAGTACACACTGACAAAGTTGTGGGAGGAGGCTGCAGTTGGGTACATGCTGGTGGGGTCCTATCTGCCAAAGCTCTCTGGTGGTTAGGCAGGATCTGTCACCAAAGGAGCTATGGCAGTAGCTTCTGTGATGTGCCCTGGTTAGGCATTTGAAGTTGCACTGCAAGCGGGTGTGGCCAGGCAGTAACCCAGGTAGAGACTGACATAGAGAGGGGCACTCAAGTCAGACTGGCCACATCCCATGGGCAGGATAGCCCTGTTCTCTTCAGGTCCAAGTGTCATCAAAGGCCAAAGCCAGCTAGAGGAGCATGGTGAGCCTTGGGGGTTGAGTATCTCTGGCTGTGCTCCACTGTAGACTTTCCTGAGCCAGACCCTCTGGGCTTTATGCAGGCTGGAGTACTGTCCCTGCCGACTCTTCAAGCTATTCTCCCTGACAGCTCAAATGTCCGTGGAGGCTGTGGGGTCTCCTGCAGGTAGGTTTCTGGAGGTCTGTGGTGACAGTGAGCTACTCCATGTCTATTTAACTCAAACCTTCCCCAGGACCCACTTGAGGTCACGAGCAAGTCCTGGTGCTTGGCAACCCTGTGCATGGTTCCCAACTTCCTTCCCCTTCAGCCTGGGTTCCGTGTCCTCTCTCTGTCCACTCTCAATGCCTTCCTTCTAAAGAGGTGCTCAGAGTGTGATGGTATTCTTAATGTTCTGGTCCCTCAGTGGGAGAAGCTCTTCCTGGCTGCATGTAATTAGCCATCCTAGTTCTTCCCTCCTTTACCCAGGCTTCTTAATTTCATCTTGAACTGTCCTTCTCTTAACTTACTACACTTTAGCCATACCAATCACAATGAATAGTATTCATACCAATAAGAATACTATTCATTCTTAAAATGTGAAGTCTTTCCATCTCAGGACTTTTATATTTTCTGTTTTCTCAATACTCTACTCTCTGTTCTTTGCATAGTTGTCTACTCCTCATCCATGAATTATAAACAAATAGATTTTTGGAGTGAGATTAACAGTAGGCCCACAGTTATATAAACCCAGCATGGTATAAAATAGAGCTGGCATTTACACCTTGAGAAAAAGAAATGGACTATTAAATAAATGGTATTATGATATTTAGCTACAAAATTTGGAGAAAATGTATTTTTAATGTGCTAGAAAACAGAAGAGAGTATGTTTTCAAAATAGAGAGAGCCTTTTATACCCAATGCAGATTACAGAAACTTTAATAACTTAAGCAAACTTAAAATTCTTCTGAAAGCATATACATTTTTAAAAGGACATAAATAAAGTTAAAATGTAAGTGGCAGATCTGGAGAAAACATGTATTTTCAATGTATATGTCAAGAAAATGGTAATCTATGACCAAGATAGCCTTAATGTTCCCCCAGCTATACTAAACTTGTAAACAGACTTCTTTCGGACTCTAGGCCCTGGTCTTCCTTTTCTCAGAGCATTTTCTCTATAAAATTTGTAAATTGTAAATTCTTTTTAAAAATTCTTTAGAAATATATGTAAATCTTTTTTAAAAAGCTTCTTGCCAATTTTAGAATCCAGAAATGCCTTTCTCAAGGACTCGGAAACATCTTTTCAGAATATAATTATCAGGGGAGATAGTGCTTGTATCCCTCAGTTTCTATGGGTGGATTGGAGCCTAACTTCAGAGAAAAAGAGGGTGCCTTGTTCCAAGTTGTAAAACTTTCTCTTCTCATTTATTTAGATATGAGACAAGTTGCTTTAAGGATTAAAGCTAATTATCAAACACTGATGACCTTTGTTGTACACAATCTCCAAGACTTAAAAAGTCTCCACCTTCCGATTTAGTACAGTTGACTTCAGACTGAACTCTGACCTCTATCTCTGCTATTGCAATAGCTTTGGATAAAGTTGTCCTTACATGTTTAACTTAGAAGTAATTTTTGCTTTAACACTAGAAAATATAAAGAGCTAGCATAGATGAGAAAAACAGAGTCAAATTTTAAGTGATAAAATACATAATATATTTGCATAATATGAATCTAAAATGGACAATAAACACAAGAAACAATTCTTGAACTAACTAATTATCAGAGAATCAAAAATTATGAAAAACAATAAAATATCACACTTAACCATAATAAAATTTGTTAACAACTTAGTATTCAGGTTTGATAAGGGCATAAATAGATTCAATTCTCATATACTTCTTTGGGGAATGGATTTTAGTGTGTGTGTGTTTCAAGAATTTGTTGCTATCCATCAAAATGTAACATGGGTGAGCTTTTTTTGTCCTAGGAATATAATTTCTAGTTATCTGTCATAAAGAATTTTTTATTAATTAGATATCAAAAATAAAGAGATCACCTATATTTTAATGATGAAAGGAAAATTAGAATTTTCCAGAAAAAAACCTTTTCTAAATGGAAAAATGACTGTAAAGAATTAGAGTACAGTAAATGTTAAACATGCTGAATATAGGAAAGCAGCTTTTATTATATTCTTTATGCATTTTTGTACTTTCTGTAAATTCTCCAAAGAATGCCGATTAGCTTTACAATAAAAAACATTAATATATTATTATAGCAAAAATATACAATCAAATTTAAAATTGCTGATTGATTGTGGCTCACATCAAAATATAAGTCTTTACTTCAGTAGAGACTATTTGCTATTACTCTACAGTAACCTCTCAGAAATGAATGGTTCTCAGTGATTTAGCACTTTAAATATGATACTTAAGAAGTAAGATATCCATTTACACTGTCCACTCCTCCTCCAGAGAAAAATAAGAAAGAGAGAGAAAGCCTACTCTAAAAATAGCAATCTATCTTTTTAAGCAATAGCAAGGTCATTGCTTAAAAAGATTCTCAAACCTCACCTTTACTTCTTTTGAAGGCCCGTTATTGCAGGCAGGGAAGTTTCCCACCAGCATGTACAACCTCAAGCCTCGGAAATAAGTAGCATCTTTGTAAATATTGCATGTCCATTTGATGGAGCCTGGGTGTTAGTTTCATCTTTCATCTGGTTCTTTCTTCTGTGGCATAGTGATGCCCGCATCCTGGAAAGCACCCAGCACAGTGTGGATGCCCTGATAAATATTAAAGGATGATGATGGTAATGACAGAGCAGAGCCCTGTCTTTGCAGCTGTATAATTCCTCCCTTACATTGCATGCCTCCTCAGACAGCTGTCACATCCTTTCTTTAAGAAGCAGAGATTTCTTGCCAAATTAAAGCTTGAGATGAGCACATTACATCCTCATGTCAATGTGGGAATGTGAGATGTGAATGCCTACAGCCATAGACGCCACTCAGAGGCACATCTATTTGATAAATACTCTTCTAAGAGTCAATTCAGATCGACTACCTGGCCAGTTCAATCAATCATACAGAGAACTGCCCCAAAGAGTTTATAACATGCCCAAAATATTGACCAATTCCAGGAGGGAAATGTCCAGTCCATTTGAGACCTCTTAGCACATTTTAGCTGAGTAGCATTAATTTTAAATTAATGTGTTTTTGAAGATTTTTAAAAATATGAAATTTAATGAAATTTTTTTGAGAGACTAAGGAGATATAATCATCAATATCAATGTCAGTTTTTAAGGAATGAATAACACTACTGAGGCAATTTGCCAGTCACTATACAAAGTACTTTTCATGCATTTTCTTGTTTAATATTCAAAAGTCTCAAAAGGTAGATACTAATACTGTATTTTTGTATACTTGGAAAAACCAAAGCCAAGAAAAATTAAACAGTTTGCTGCAGTCCACAAAGTAAGGAAGAGGAAGTCCATGGAGTCCAATTTAGTTCCTTTGAATCCATAGCTTTCACAAGCTTATTTGGAAACATTTCAAAAATGGAAAGAACACCTTGACAATAATGTTGTTTATTCACTTACGCATTTTAAAACTGTGGACTAAGTATCTTTTTTTTTTTTTTTTTTTTTGAGACGGAGTCTCGCTCTGTCGCCCAGGCCGGACTGCGGACTGCGGTGGCGCAATCTCGGCTCACTGCAAGCTCCGCTTCCCGGGTTCACGCCATTCTCCTGCCTCAGCCTCCCGAGTAGCTGGGACTACAGGCGCCCGCCACCGCGCCCGGCTAATTTTTTTTTTTGTATTTTTAGTAGAGACGGGGTCTCACCTTGTTAGCCAGGATGGTCTCGATCTCCTGACCTCATGATCCACCCGCCTCGGCCTCCCAAAGTGCTGGGATTACAGGCGTGAGCCACCGCGCCCGGCCGACTAAGTATCTTTTGTTCAAGGTCTAATAAGAAATAAGCATAACAGAAAACTAAGAAAAATTCCAAGTTCATGCACTCTGAGCTAGAAATTCTACTTCTTACAAACCATTCAAAAATGGTAATTCTATTCAAATTACAACAAAACCAACAGATAAGAAAATGCGCATGTCCAATAATAAAGGAATGTTTTAAAACCACAGGATGAAATATTTTTTAAAAGAATAGGGTACAGAATAAACTTTAAGTTTATTTTTTAATTTTTGTGGGCACATACTAAGTGTATATATTTATGGGGTACATGAAATATTTTGATACAGAAATACAACATGTAATAATTGCATCATAAAAAATGGAGTATCCAACCCCTCAAGCATTTATCTTTGATGTTACCATCTAATTGTACTCTTTTAGTTAATTTGAAATGTCTATTTAAATTATTTTGACTATAGTCAGCCTGCTGTGCTATCAAATACTCAATATTACTTATTACTTCTAACTATATATATATATATTTTTTTAGGCACTAAGCATCCCTACCTGTCTCACCATCCTACTCCCCTTCATAGGCTCTGGTAACAATCCTTCTATTCTCTATCTACATGAGTTTGATTGTTTTTATTTTTACATACCACAAGTAAGTGAGAACATACTATTTTTTTTTTCTGTGCCTGGCCCATTTCACATAACGTGATGACCTCCATTTCCATCCATGTTGTTGCAAATGACAGGATCTCATTCTTTAGGGCTGAAGAGTACTCCATTGTGTATATGTATCACATTTTCTTTATTCATTCATCTGTTGATGAACACTTAGTTTGCTTCCAAATCTTTGTTATTTTGAATAGTGCTGCAAAAAAAGTGTGCAGATATCCCCTTTATATGCTGATTTCTTTTAGGTGTATACTCAGCAGTGGGATTACTGAATCACATAGTAGCTCTATTTTTGCTTTTCTGAGGACTCCTAACTTTTCTCCGTAGTGCTAATATACATTCCCATCAATGATCTACAAGGGTTTCCTTGTCTTCACATCCTCTCTAGCATTTTTTATTGCCTGTCTTTTGGACATAAGCCATTTTAACTCGGGTGAGATAATATCTCATTGTAGTTTTGATTTGCATTTCTCTGATGATCAATAATGCTGATCACCATTTCATACATCTGTTGGCAATTTGTAGGTCGTCTTTTGAGAAATGTCTGTTCAAATCTTTTCCCCATTTTTAAACTGCATTATTATTTATTTGTATAAAGTTGTTTGAACTTCTTATATATTCTGGTGATTAATCCTTTGTCAAATGGGTAGTTTGCGAATATTTTCTCCCATTTTGTAGTTTGTCTCTTCAATTTGTTACTTGTTTCCTTTGCTGGACAGAAGCTTTTTAACCTGATGTGATCCCATCTGTCCATTTTTGCTTTGATTGCCTGTGCTTGTGGGGTATTGTTCAGGAAATCTTTGCCCAGATCGATGTCCTGGAGTTTCCCCAATGTTTTGTTTTAGTAGTTTTGATAGGTTGATGTTTTAGATTTAAGGCTTTAATCCATTTTGACTGGAGTTTTGTATATGGCAAGAGATAGATGTCTGGTTTTATTCTTCTGCATATGAATATCCAGTTTTCCCAACACCCATTATTGAAAAGATAGTCCTTTCCCCAATGTATGTTCTTGGCACCTTCATCAAAAATAAGTTCACTGTGCATGTGTGGATTTGTTTCGGGTTCTCTATTCTGTTCCATTGGTCTATGTGTCTGTTTTTATGCTAGCACTATGCTGTGTTGGTTACTACAGCTCTGCCATATATTTTGAAGTCAGGTAATGTTATTCTTCCTATTCTGTTCTTTTTGCTCATGATAGCTCTGTCTATTCTGGGTCTTTTGTGCTTCCATATTACTTTTAGGATTTTTTTTTCTATTTCTGTAAAGAATGTCATTGGTGTTTTTATAGTGATTGCATTGAATCTGTTGATTGCTTTGCATGGTATGAACATTTTAACGCCATTGATTCTTCCATTATGTGAACATGAAATAGCTTTTCCATTTTGTGGTGACCCCTTCAATTGATTTCATTAGCGTGTTACAGTTTTCATTGTGGAGAACTTTCACTTCTTTGGTTAAGTTAATTTCTAGGTATTTAATTTTATTTGTGGCTATTATAAATGGGATTGCTTTTCTGTATTCTTTTTAGATTGTTCACTTTTGGCATATAGAAATGCTACTGATTTTTGTACCTTAATATTGTATCCTGTAAATTAACTAAGTTTGTGTGTCAATTCTCATAGTTGTTTAATTGTTTTGGTGAAGTCTTTAGCTTTTTCAAAATATAATATATCATCTGCCAAAAAAGATAATTTGATGTCCTTTCCAATGTGGTTGCCTTTTATTTCTTTCATCTGATTGCTCTAATTAGGACTTCCAGTACTATATCGAATAACAGTGGTGACAATGGGTATCCTCGTCATGTTCCAGATCTTAGAGGAAAGGCTGTCAGTTTTTCCCCATTCAGTATACTAGCTGTGAGTCTGTTATATATGGCTTTTATTATGTTGAGGTAAGTTCCTTCTATACCTTGTTTTGTGAGGATTTTTATTATGAAAGAATGTTGAATCTTATCAAATGCTTTTTCCACATCAGTTGAAGTAATCATATAGTTTTTTTCTCCATTCTGTTGATATGATGTAACACATTGATTGATTTGTATATGTTGAGCCATCCTTGCATCTCTGAGATAAATCCCACTTGGTCATAATGAAAGATCTTTTTAATCTACTGTTGAATTTAATTTGCTAGTATTTTGTTGAGAATTTTTGCATCAATATTCATCAGAGACAATGGCCTGTAGTTTTCTTTTTTTTATGTTTTTTTGTCTGGTTTTGGTATCAGAGTAACACTGACTTTCTAGAATGAGTTTGGAATATTCTGTCCTCCTCAATTTTCAGAATAGTTTGAGTAAGATTGGTATTAGTTCTCTAAATGTTTATGTAAATTCAGCCATGAAACCATTGGGTCCTGGGCGTTTCTTTACTGTGAGACTTTTTATTATGGCTTTGATCTCGTTACTTGTTATTGATCTGTTCAGGTTGTGAATTTCTTCATGGTTCAACATTTGTAGATTGTATGTGTCTAGGAATTAATTCATTTCCTGTAGATTTCCCAATTCATTGGCATACAGTTGCTCATAGTAGCCACTAATGTTCCTTTGAATTTCTGCACTGTCCATTGTAATGTCTCCTTTTTTATCTGTGATTTTATTTATTTAGGTTTTCTCCCTTTCTTTCTTCAGTAGTCTGGCTAAAGGTTTGTCAATTTTATCTTTAAAAAAAAAAACAACTTTCTGTTTTTGCTTATTTTTTGTATTGTGTTTTTTATTTAAATTTATTTATTCTGCCCTGATCTGTATTTCTTTATTTCTACTAACATTGGATTTGGTTTGCTCTCACTTTTCTATTTCTTTAAGATGCATAAATAGGTTACTTATTTGAAGTTTTACTTCTTTGTTGATGTAGACACTTTTAGCTATAAATTTCCCTCTTTGTATTGCTTTCACTGTATTCCATAGGTTTTGGTATGTTGTGTTCCCATTATCGTTTGTTTCAAATAATTTTTCAATTTTCTTCTTAATTTTCTCATTGTCCCATGGTCATTCAGGAGCATATTGTTAAGTTTCCATGTGTTTCTGTAGTTTTCTAAATTCCTCTTCTTGTTGATATCTACTTTTATTTAATTGTGATTAAAGAAGATGCTTGATATTATTTCATTAAAAAATATTTTAAGACTTATTTTGTGACCTAACTTATTGTCAATCCTTGAGAATAATCAATGTGCTGAGGAAAATAATGTGTGTTATGCAGCCTTCAGATGAAATGTTCTGTAAATATTTAGTAGGTCCATATGGTCTATAGTACAGATTAAGTCCGATGTTTCTTTGTTGATTTTCTGTCTGGGACATCTGTTCAATGCTGAAAGTGGGTGTTGAAGTCTCTACTTATCATTGTGTTAAGGTCTATCTCTTTCTTTTGCTCTAATAATATTGGCTTTATATGTCTGAGTGCTCCAGTGTTGGGTGCATATGTTAATATATTTACAATCCTTATATACTGTTGTTGGATTGACCCCTTTATGTTCAATGACCTTCTTTGTATTTTCCTACAGTTTTTGTCTTGAAATATATTTTGTCTTATATAAGTATAGCTATTCCTGCTTTTTTTTCTTGGTTTCCAATGGCATAGAATATTTTCTTTCCCTTTATTTTCAGTCTGTTTATCTTCACAGGTAAAGTGTGTTTCTTGAAGGCAACAAATCATTGGGCCTTGTTTTTCTCATTTATTCCACTACTGGATGTCTTTTTATTCAAGAATTAATCTATTTTTGTTTATGTTATTATTGATAAGTAGGGACTTACTCATGCCATTTTGTTATTTGTTTTCTGGTTGTTTTGTGGCATTCCTTCTTTTCTTCCTTCCTGTCTTCCTCTAGTGAAGATGATTTTCTCTGGGGATATAATTCGGTTTCTTGCTTTTTAATTTTTGTGTATCTATTGTATGTTTTTTTGGTTTAAGGTTACCATGGAGCTTGCAAATATATCTTTTAACTCATTATTTTAAACTGTAGACAACAACTTAAACTGATTGCATAAACAAACAGGAATGCAAAAACAAAACTAATAAAAACTCCCCATTTTAACTTCATCCTCCTGCTTTTTAACTTTTTGTTGTTTATTTTTATATCTTATTGTATTGTCTATGTGTTAAAATTTGTTGTAGTTATTCCTTTGGGTTGGTTAATCAGTTCATCTTTCCACTTAAGAGTAGTTCACACACCACAATTACAGTGTTATAATATTCTGAGTTTTTATGTGTGCTTACTATCATCAGGGGGTTTTGTACCTTCAGATAATTTATTCTTGCTCATTAAAGAACTGGCTTTAGCGTTTCTTGTGGGACAGGTTGAGTATTGATGAAATCCCTTAGTTTTTGTTTATCTGGGAAGGTCTTTATTTCTCCTTCATGCTTGAAGAATATTTTCATCAGATATGCTACTCTAGGGTAAAAGTTTTTTTTTTGTTTTTTTTTTTTCCTTCAGTACATGTCACGCCACCCTCTCCTGTCCTATAATGTTTCCACTGAAAAGTCTGCTGCCAGATGTATTGGAGCCCCATTTTGTGTTATTTGTTTCTTTTATCTTCTTGTTTTTAGGGTCCTTTCTTTATCCTAGACCTTTGAAAGTTTGATTATTACATGCCTTGAAGTATTCTTTGGAATAAATCTGCTTGGTGTTCTATAACCTTCTTGCACTTGAATGTTGGTATCTTTCTCTAGGTTTAGGAACTTCTCTGATATTAACCCTTTGAATAAACTTTCTACCCTTATCTTTTTCTTTACCTTCTCTTTAAGGCCAATAACCCTTAATTTGCCCTTTTGATGCTATGTTCTAAATCTTGTAGGCATGTTTTATATTTTTTTATTATTTTCTTTTGTCTCATCTGACTGTGTATTTTCAAATAGCCTGTCTTAAACTCATGAATCTTTCTTTTGTCTGATTAATTCTGCTACTGAGACTCTGATGCATTTTTCAGGATATCAACTGCATTTTTTAACTCTAGAATTTCTTCTTGATTCTTTTTAATTATCTCAATATTTTTGTTAAATTTATCTGATCAAATTCTGAATTTCTTCTCTGTGTTATCTTTGATTTCTTTGTTTCCTCAAAACAGCTATTTTGAATTCTTCGTGTGGAACATCACATATCTGTTTCTCCAGGATTGGTCCCTGGTACCTTATTTCATTTGTTTGGTGATGTCATGTTTTTCTGGATGTCTTTATGCTTGTGGGTGTTTGACAGTGTCTGGGCAGTGAAGAGTTACATATTTTTTGTTGTCTTCACAGTCTGGGTTTGTTTGTGCTTATCCTTCTTGAGAAGACTTTCCAGGTATTCAAATAGACTTGGGCCCAAAGCCCAGTAATGCTGTTGTTTCTGCAGACTTATAGATGTATCCCTTTGTGGGTTTTGAATAAGATCTGGAGGAATTCTCTGGTTCACCAGGCAGAAAATTTTGTTGTGTCCCTTACTTTCTCCCAAACAAGTGAAGTCTCTCTATCTATGCTGAACAGCCTGAAAATGGGGATGTGGTGATGCAAGCACCCCTAAGGCCACCAACACAGGGACTGCACTAGGTCAGACTTGAAGCCAGCACTGCACTGGGGCTTGCCCAAGCCCCACTGTAACCACTACCTGGCTACCCTCTATGTTCGCTCAAGGCCCTAGACCTCTACAATCATCAGATGGTGAAGCCAGCCAAAGTTGTGTCCTTCCCTTTAGGGTGATGAGTTACCCTAGGACCCAGGCAGGTCCAGAGATGCTGTCTAGGTGCTGGGCATTAAAGTAAAAAAAACTTTAGAAATTTGCCTTATATTCTGTTCTACTCTGGCTAAGCTGGCATTCAAACCACAATACAAAGTCCTACCTACTATTCCCTCCCCTTTCCAGAGGCAGAGGAGCCTCTCTTTGTAGACACTACCATCACTGGTCTAAAGGGGTTCTGCCGGGCCACTGCCAATGTTTACATAAAGGCCAAGAGCACTTCAGTCAGCTTGTGGTGAATTCTGCAAGGGCTGGGACTAATCCTCCAGAGCATCAGGCCCCCCTCTGGCCCAGGGAAGGTCCAGAAATGCTGTCCAAGAGCCAAGCCTGGACTTGGTGACCCAAAGGGACTGCTTGTTGCTCTACCCCACTGTGGTTGAGCTGTTATCCAACTTGCAAGACAAAGTTCCCTTCACATTTCATTCTGCTTTTCTTAAGAAGATGGTCTTTCACTCTAGCTGCTATAACTGGCAATGTGCTGGGTCATACCTGTAGTCAGCTTATTCCAGAGCCCAAGGCTCACGGAATACTATCTTGGTATCACTGCTGGTTATTCAGTGGGCTCTATAGTCAGCAGGTGATGAATCCTGGAGGACTAGGCCCTTCCCTGCAAGGCAACAAGCTCCTTTTTGGCCTAGGATGTGTCTAGAAATGTGGTCCATGAGCTAGGGCCTGAAATGAGAGCTTCATGACTCTGCCTGGTGCCCTGCCTACTGTGACTGAGCTGGTATGCAAGATGCAAGAGAAGGTCTTTATCTCTTGCTCTCCTTTCCTTAAGCAGAAGGAAGCAGTAACTTTCATTGCTTCAGGGTGCACTCCTGTGGGAGGAGTGTCATAAGCACTCCCTTAGCCACCTCAGCTAGTGTCTTTGTTAGGTCATGTGCCAACCTAGTCTTCTGGATCTGAGCCCAGTCCAGCATGAGGAGTTGCCTAGGGATTGTAGTGCTTGTGTCCTAGACTGCCTTTCAAGTTTGCCTAGAATACCAGAGCACTTTGGTCTGTGGTGGCAAGGCTTGCAAGAAATTCAAGTTTCAACTGCTGAGACAGGTGATTCCCCTCTAGCCAAGTCTTGTACAAATGCTCCCTCTATGAGCGGGCAGTGACTAAGCCCAGCTTGGCTTTGCTCTACACTACGACAGGGCAACACTGAGTTCAATGTAAAGTTTCCATTTCTGTGCTCTCCCTCCTCCAAGTGCACAGATTCTTCATGCCACGTGGCTGCTGCAGGGGTGGGAAGATGGGGGAGAGGTGATGGTGTAGATTCAAGACTGTCTCTCTGACCCTTTTCAATGCCTCTTTCAGTATTAAGATGTATTGTGATTGCTCACTTGAGTTTTGATTCTTGTGATGGTGCTTTTCTATGTGCAGATAGTTGTTAAAAATAGGTGTTCCTGTGGGGAGGATGAGCAGTGTAGGCTTCTATTCTGTCATCTGGCTCCATGCCTCCCAGAATCAAATCAAATATTCTGCAGCCATTAAAATTGAGTATTACAAAGAAGAATAAACTCAAAATGCTGACTATAGAACAGAAAATAAGAAAAATGTGAATAAACTGGCTGACTGCATGCCATTTTCTTAAGGTGAATAGAAAAAAAGATAAAAAAATACAACCAAATGCTATAGATGATTATGTTAGGCTGTTGAGTTTATGGATTTTTTCATGTTTTAGTAGTGTCTAAAAACTATTTATGTTAATATCATAATAAAAAGAAACATTTTAAAAAGAGATCCACTATCTATCTAATTAGATCAGCTTTTGTGTTATAAATGGTAGTCATATTAAATTAGGATAACTGAAGTTAAAAATTAATCCTATATATTTTTTCTTTCTCAAAGAGCTAATTCAGCAAAAGGAAAGTTGTAATTTATTGAATTATTTTAAAAAAGATACTTTGCTAAATTATTGGCCAGATTTGTTTGTACAGTATATGTTAATCACATATTTTTAATTATACATTTACTGAATAACCATTTTTTAAAGACAGATTTTAGAAATTTGATTATAATTTATTCAATTTCTTATTTACATAGTTTACTAGTGCTTTATGTTTTAATTAACTCACCATTACCAGCATATTGAAATTGTATTTTAGTGCACCAATTGAAAAGAAAAGGTTGTCAATTTCTGCACTTAGTCATGCTGCTATAAATTTCATTGTCTCCTTCATGAGATTAAGGAGTGTACAATCAAGACAACGATTTTAATACACAAGTTCATGAGGCATTTCCTAAGTTTTTCTTGCTTTCTACTAAATTGCATAATAAACTAGACTGTAAAGGCAAGCTACATCATGAAGAAAAATAATTTTCGCCTTGTTTTGGGAATGGAAACATATTCATATAGAAGCTCCCCTTCACAGGAGGTAAGGAGGGCATGTTGTGAATCCTTGGTGTTTCCACTCAGACCTCCAGAGATGTGTCCTGGAAATTAATTGATTGGTCAATAGTGGATATGAAGGCCTTTGTGATGGTCGGGGATGGACAAAATTCCATTGTATAGTAAATAGTTTTTTAAAATATTTTAACTGTTGGCAACTTCTGATGTTAATTCTTCTCTAAAACAACATCCTCAGCAAAGCTTTTAAACTAGAAGTGACTATAGGGAAAGAGCTAATGCATGCTAGGCTTAATACCTAGGTGATGGGTTGATAGGTGCAGCAAACCACCATGGCACACGTTTGCCTATATAACGAACCTGCACATCCTGCACATGTCCCCTGGAACTTAAAAAAATAATAATTATACAAATAAATGGACAAAAATAAACTAGAAGTGCTTATTTATATTAAGCACTCAGGCTATATAAGAATGTGTTTTATTATTCCAACTGGAAAAGTAAATATAATTTTTGACTTTGCAGTGTTATGTATTCATCCATCCATCCATCTATCCACCCATCTATCTAGTCATCCACCAACCTACCTATTATCTATCTCTCTATTTAGTTTCTGTTTTCTCCTGAGTACAGTTACTTTCCCCATTTACATGTTAAAAATAAACACATTTTGTCTTTAAGAATAAAAAAGGCATAATAGTTTATAGTAGAAGTTATTAACCTTTTCTTCAATCTTCAAGTTACTAATTTTTAAACACTCCTTTTAAAAATCCCTGCACTAATTCATTTACTTAACTGCAATTTCAAAACAATGATTTAAATATATTTTAATTGCTTCCTCTCATAATCTTTGGAACACCCATGAAAAGGGATGCTGTCTTTTAATAAGAATTTTTTTATGAAGTAATCTTGCTTTGCTACTGTAAGGCTTGACAATTAGGGTAAATAGCGCTATGAAGATAATTAACAGAGGCTGAATTTTTTACAAACATAGTGGACAGATTTATAATTGTATTCAGACATTTCAGACATAACAGTTTACACTCTCCTATTGCTGATTTAAAATGCAATGGTTGAGATGTAGGTAAAGATGAAATTGAGTTATATCAAGGTCTGTGTGTCACTGTGCTAGCCAGGGTATCTAATGTCATTTGTCTGTTATAGGGTTTATAAAACATTCCATCTGGCGCAATATGCCTCTAAGACAGAAGGTGCTGGCATATTAAAGGTGCAAGTATCTCACATATGACTATTTACCCATTTATTATTTCAGCAGAATGGAAGACAATATTTAGGAAACAGTGAGGAGATTAGCAAACTCAGACATTTGATTCAGATATAAATTTGAGGACTGTGTCCATAATACATCAAGATATTTTAACAGAAAGTGAGATTTTTGTCTTAAAGCTAAAACCAAATATATCACAGGTACTTTTTCTTTTGTTCATGAAAATTGTACCTTTTACTTTTTGGTTTTTATTTTAAAAGCAAATTTTCAATTTAAGAGCAAATTTTCAGCCAGAGTCTGAGAAAGAGAAACACTCCATTATAGACCGCGCTTTCTCATTAAAAACAGAAGAATCACTTAGATGGTTGCTGATTACATTTTACGGATCTTTTAACAAATTGCAGGGACTGCTACCTGACCATGCACTCCCACTGCTGTTTAACATGGATCATTTTTGTTTGTTTGTTTGCGGTAACACTCAGGTAATGAGATACAGAACAGAAAAAAGATGCCATCATTCCATTAAAAAACAGTTAAATGCCCTATTTTAGATACTGGGAATAATGGAGATGCCGAAACTAATAGTGCATTCACATTCTCTATAATATCTATTCTGTAATCATCGTTATTTGAGAAGATACCACATAGGATATTCCTAGCCTGGAACCTCGCACACATCATTGTATTTAATTCTAAAAACAAATCCTGTATGGATGCTATTATTATGTATCCATTTTATCTATGAGGAAATTCAGGCTAAGAGAGGTTAAGCAATTACTCAAGCTTGGCTTTACCCCCAATAATGTTTGGCTTCAAATCCCATGTTCTTTCCCTTGAGATTCCCTCAAGATGGAATATTACAGGAAGAGTACTGTAGGAGTACTAGAATAATATATGATTTAAAATAGCCTAAATCCATTAGAAGTCCAGGGGTTTTCCTGAGTAGATTATTCAATCATACTTCCCTGAATTGAAATGTGAAAAATTTATCTAACACAAATTCAGTTACCTTACCTCTTAAATGCATTCCAACAGACAGGTGCCTCTAGCATTTCTCTTCTGACTAAACTTAAGTTCTTTCCACTCCAAGACACTGTATTTCCATGTCTGTTTAAAACCTAAACAAAACACATCCCATGTTGACTTCATTTTTCTGTCTGCCCAAATGTTTCTCTTTGTAAACATTTCCCTTATTGACAAAATGGTCTTAAGATAATAAACTTTGTGTTCTCCCTCCTTTTTGGTTTTTTGTGTCTTTTTTACTATCAATGCCTGCCATTTCTCACCAACTACATTTCACAGAAAGATAGCTTCTTTTTCAGAATTACAGGGAAAAAAGAAAATAACCTTCCATTTCAGATAGTTCTTAAAATGCCTTTTTTTTCCCTCATAGGTCTTTCCTTGACATCATCTCTAATCATCTTGCTACCTACAGCACACAAGATTTTACCCAGTAAAAACAATAATAAAAGTATCTTACACAATCAGAACCATATTCCTTGTGCACAATTGCCTTAATCTATTTCTCTGAAATAGTGGTTTCAGCTGCTTCTCACATCAATGAAAATTTAATGTCATGGCCTTTCTATTTCTTCACAAATTAACAAGTTAACCCCCTACCATGTAACTGGCTGTCTTAATATCTCCGTAGGTTTGTTGTTTAATCTTCTGTAAGACAAACTCAGTCTGCCTCTTCAAACATTACAAACACACACACACATATACATACACACACATACACCTATGTATGTATATGTGTATACATATGTGTATATATACATATATATGTACGCCTATATTGTATACCTATGTATATACATATACATATATACCTGTGTATCCATATATACCTATATATATATGTATACACACATATATATACACCTATGTATACACATAACGTACATATACAAATATATACATAGATACATGTATGTATATGTGTGTGTGTGTATATATATATATATACACATATATATATACACACACACACACACATATATATATATACCTGCATGCTCTTTCCAGTCAATACACACCAACATAAGTTACTGGTGCTATAATTTCTAACACCATAGATTCGCTTACCTTTTCTTACATTTTATAGAAATTGAGTCATACAATGTGCACTGTTTTATATCTGGCTTCTTTCGCTCAACATAATTTTGAAATTAATTCATGATTTACACAAATCATTCGCTCATTTTTATTGCTGAGAATGGTCTATTTTATGAATATACTATTATTTCTTTATTCATTTACCTGTTGATGGATATGTGGATTGTTTCCAGTTATTAATTTTATTGTGTAAAGATTTTCTTATTGAATTTTTTCAAATGACCTGGAAAAGTTACTTTACTCCTTTACTTTCCTCCTACCAGGAATATGCATTTCATTACTCTCTGTTAGGTCACACAACTCTCTTCTGCTAGATTGCAAATGTCCTGAGGGAAATGATTGTATCCTTTTCTCTTTCTGCCTTTTTCTGCTGTCCAGCACGATTCATTTATGATCTCAGCCAGTAAGCATTAGCTGAATTAAATGTTGTCAAATCACTATTGAAGGCAGCTCTTTGTATAAAAAAAAATCAGAATGTAAGATTCTATGTTTAATATAAAAAAGTTTTTAAAGATGTTTGTTTTCTTTACTTACCCATTTTTATTCAAAACACTTTTTTCTGTGATGTTGTTTTTTCAATAAATTTATATTTTTACTTAAATCTAATTTATTTATTTTTAGTTGACAAATAATAGTCATGTATATTTATGGGGTAAAATGTGATACATATTTTTAATTTTATTTTAAGTTTGAGGTTATAAGTGCAGGTTTGCTACATAGGTAAACTTGTGTCATGGGGGTTTGTTGCACAAATTATTTCATCACCCAGGTATTAAGCCTAGTATCTATCAGTTATTTCATCATTTAGCTCCCTCTTATAAGTGAGAATATGTGGTATTTGGTTTTCTGTACCTGTGTTAGCTCATTAAGGATAATGGCTTCCAGCTCTACCCATGTCCCTGCAAAGAACATGATCTCATTCTTTTTTATGGCTGCATAGTATTCCATGATGTATGTGTACCACATTTTTTTATCCAGTCTATCGTTGATGATCATTTAGGTTGATCCCATGTCTTTGCTATTGTGAATAGTGCTTCAATGAACATAAGCATGCACATGTCTCCCATTCTGTAGACTGTTTACTCTGTTGATAAGTGTTTTGTTGTTGTTGTTGTTGTTTGTTTTTTGCTGTGCAGAAGCTCTTAAATTTAATTAGATCCCATTTGTCAATTTTTGCTTTTGTTGCAATTGCTTTTTGTGTCTTCAGAAGACAGCTCTTTCAAGAACCCTATTTTGATACGGAAAACCCATCTCTTTCATTTATAAACATCCTGTGTATTCTGTCCTTTCTGTGACTTTTATTTAAGAGTCTCTGTTAAGAGTCTGGATTTGTATGTCTTTTCCACCCACCTTAGATATCCTGGCTTGTATTTCCTTTGTGATACTCCACAGGGACCTTCACAGAGCCATTGTCCTCTGTATATTGATGGCTGTTTCATCAGTCTAATCCCAAGATATTTTTCACACACACACACACACACACACACACACACACACACCATGAACACATTAGTTTTCACGTTAGAAAAGAAGGATAGAATAACTTTTTTCATTCAGATGCATCTTTTTATGGGATTATCTCCCCAAAGGAAGATGGTAAAATATGAAGGAGTAGGGAAAAGTTCAGGAGCCTTACTCTGAGCAAAAACAGCATAAATAGAAAACACTGCAGTGCCCCAACTAGCTAATAATGCATACACCTTTGGAACTCAAAATATCAGTATAAAAGATTCACAAAATGAGTTTGGAAAATCTTTCAACAAATTAAAAAATAAAACTTTACAGCATCTGAATACAAGGGCTAACATTTTTATTCCCTCCTGATGGCATGGTATGGTAGAAATGATTAAGTCTTAGGCCACACAAACAATTCTTAAATTGTATCATGACAAAGAACCTGGAGATTATGCAAACAATTCAGATTCCCAAGCCTCATGTTCAAGTATTCTAATTCAGTAACTAAGGCAAAGTAATTGAATTTTATATCAATGTACAGGTAACTCTGATGGAAATGTTGAAGCTTTTTCTATTCAAAGTGTGGTCTGTGGACCAGCATCACTGGCATCATCTATGGGCCTTGTTAGAAATGTAGTGTCTTAGGATGCTGCCTAGACCTATCAAATCAGTGTAGATTTAAGAAAATCCCTAGATAACTTTCATGACCTTTAAATTTTGAGAAGCACTACTCTAAATATTCCATACTCTTTAAGAAACACAGGAAGTAGGGGTGGCTGGCAAGATGGCCGAATAGGAACAGCTCCAGTCTGCAGATCCCAGTGAGATCAACGCAGAAGGTGGGTGATTTCTGCACTTCCAACTTCAGTAGCAAGCTCATCTCATTAGGACTGGTTAGACAATGGGTGCAGTCCACAGAGGGCAAGCTGAAGCAGGGTGGGGCGTCGCCTCCCCCGGGAAGTGCAAGTGGCCAGGGAACTCCCTCCCCTAGCCAGGGGAAGCCATGAAGGACTGTGCGGTGAGGGATGGTACATTGCATTCCAGATACTATGCATTTCTCATGGTCTTCACAACCCACAGACCAGGAGATTCCCTCAGGTGCCTACACCACCAGGGCCCTGGGTTTCAAGCATAAAACTGGCCGGCCATGAGGGCAGGCACCGAGCTAACTGCAGGAGTTTTTTTTTTTTTTCATACCCCAGTGGCAACTGGAACACCAGCAAAACAGAATCATTCACTCCCCTGGAAAGGGTGCTGAACCCAGGGAACCAAGTGGTTTAGCTTGGCTAGACCCCAGCCCCACAAAGCCCAGTAAGCTAAGACCCACTGGCTTGAAATTCTTGCTGCCAGCACAGCAGTCTGAAGTTGTCCTGGGATTCTCGAGCATGGTGAGGAGAGGGGGGTCCACTATTATTCAGGCTTGAGTAGGCAGTTTTCCCCTCACAGTATAAACAAAGCCATGGGGAAGTTCAAACTGGGCAAAGCCCACAGCAGCTGGGCAAAGCCACTGTAGCCAGACTGCCTCTCTAGATTCCTCCTCTCTGGGCAGGGCATCTCTGAAAGAAAGGCAGCAGCCCCAGTGAGGGGCTATAGATAAAACTCCCATCTCCCTGGGAAAGAGCACCTGAGGGAAGGGGCAGCTGTGGGTGCAGCTTCAGCAGAATTAAGTGTTCCTGCGTGCTGGCTCTGAAAAGAGCAACAGATTTCCTAGCACAGTGCTCGAGCTCTGCTAAGAGAAAGACTGCCTTCTTAAGTGGGTCACTGAGCCCTGTGCCTCCTGACCGTGGTCAACAAACACCTCCCAGCAGTGGTCACCAGACACCTCATACAGGAAAGCTCTGGCTGGCATCTGGCAGGTGCCTCTCTGGGACGAAGCTTCCGGAGGAAGAAATAGGCAGCAATCTTTGCTGTTCTGCAGCCTTCGCTGGTGATACCCAGGCAAATGGGGTCTAGAGTGGACCTCCAGCAAACTCCAGCAGACCTGCAGCAGAGAGGCCTAACCGTTAGAAGGAAAACTAACAAAGAGAAAGGAATAGTATCAATATCAACAAAAAGGATGTCCACACAAAAACCACATCTGAAGGTCATCAGCATCAAAAACCAAAGACAGATAAATCCACACAGATGAGGAAAAACCAGTGCAAAAAGGCTGAAAGTTCCAAAAACCAGAATGCCCCTTCTCCTCCAAAGGATCACATCTCGCCAGCAAGGGAACAAAACTGGATGGAGAATGAGTTTGACGAGTTGACATAAGTAGGCTTCAGAAGGTGGGTAATAACAAACTCCTCTGAACTAAAGGAGCATGTTCGAACCCAATTCAAGGAAGCTAAGAACCTTGACAAAAGCTTAGAGGAATTGCTAACTAGTATAATGAGTTTAGAGAAGAACATAAATAACCTGATGGAGTTGAAAAACCCAGCATGAGAACTAGATGAAGCATACACAAGTATCAGTAGTCGAATATATCAAGCAGAAGAAAGGATATCAGAAATTGAAGATCAACTTAATGAAATGAAGCATAAAGACAAGATTAGAGAAAAAAGAATGAAAAGGAACAAACAAAGCTTCCAAGAAGTATGGGACTATGTGACAACACCAAACCTACGTTTGATTAGTGTACCTGAAAATGACGGGGAAAATGGAAGCAAGCTGGAAAACACCCTTCAGGATATTATCCAGGAGAACTTCCCCAACCTAGCAAGACAGGCCAACATTCAAATTCAGGAAATACAGAGAACATCACAAAGATAATCCTTGAGAAGAGCAACCCCAAGCCACATAATCTTCAGATTCACCAAGGCTGAAATGAAGGACAAAATATTAAGGGCAGTCAGAGAGAAAGGTCTGGTTACCCACAAAGGGAAGCCCATCAGACTAACAGTGGATCTCTCTGTAGAAGCCCTACAAGCCAGAAGAGAGTGGGGGCCAAAATTCAACATCTTTAAAGAAAAAAATTTTCAAACCAGAATTTCATATCCAGCCAAACTAAGCCTCATAAGCGAAGAAGAAATAAAATCCTTCACAGACAAGCAAATGCTGAGAGATTTTGTCACCATGAGGCCTGCCTTATAAGACCTCCTGAAGGAAGCACTAAATATGAAAAAGAAAAACCGGTGCCAGCAACTGCAAAAACATACCAAAATGTAAAGACCATCAACACTATGAAGAAACTATATCAACTAACAGGCACAATAACCAGCTAGCATTATAATGACAGGATCAAATTCACACATAACAATATTAACCTTAAATGTAACCAGGCTAAATGCCCCAATTAAAAGACACAGACTGGCAAATTGGATAAAGAGTCAAGACCCATCAGTGTGCTGTATTCAGGAGACTCTCATGTGCAAAAACACACATAGCTCAAAATAAAGGGATGGAGGAATATTTACCAGGCAAATGGAAAACAAAAACAAAAACAAGCAAAAAAAAAAAAAAAAGCAGAGGTTGCAATCCCAGTCTCTGATAAAACAGACTCTAAACCAACAAAGATCAAAAACAACAAAGAAGAACATTACATAATGGTAAAGGGAATCAATGACACAAGAAGAGCTAACTATGCTGAATAGATATGCACCCAATACAGGAGCACCCAGATTCATAAAGCAAGTTCTTAGAGACCTACAAAGAGACTTAGACACCCACACAATAATAGTGGGAGACTTTAACACCCCACTGTTAATTTTAGATCAACGAGACAGAAATTTAAGGAAATTCAGGACTTGAACTCAGCTCTGGACCAAGCAGACCTAATAGACATCTACAGAACTCTCCACCCCAAATCAACAGAATATGGATTCTTCTCAGCACCACATCACACTATTTCTAAAATTGACCACATAATTGGAAGTAAAACACTCCTCAGCAAATGCAAAAGAAAGTAAATAATAACGAACAGTCTCTCAGACTACAGGGCAATCAAGTTGAAACTCAGGATTAAGAAACTCACTCAAAACGGCACAACCACGTGGAAACTGAACAACCTGCTCCTGAATGACTACTGGGTAAATAACGAAATAAAGGCAGAAATAAGTAAATTCTGTGAAACCAATGAGAACAAAGACACAATGTACCAGAGTCTCTGGGACACAGCTAAAGCAGTGTTTAGAGGGAAATTTATAGCACCAAATGCTCACAGGAGAAAGCGGGAAAGATGTAAAATTGACACCCTAACATCACAATTAAAAGAACTAGAGAAGCAAGAGCAAACAAATTCAAAAATCTAGCAGAAGATAAGAAATAACTAAGATCAGAGCAGAACTGAAGAAGATAGAGATACAAAAAAACCCTTCGAAAAATCAATGAATCCAGGAGCTGTTTTCTGAAAAGATTAACAACATAGATAGAATGCTAGCTAGACTAAGAAGAAAAGAGAGAAGAATCAAATAGACATAATAAAAAATGATAAAGGGGATATCACCATGGATCCCACAGAATACAAACTACCATCAGAGAATACTATAAACACATCTACACAAATAAATTGAAAAATCTAGAAGAAATGGATAAATTCCTGGACACATACACCCTCCCAAGACTAAACCACGAAGAAGTAGAATCCCTGAATTGACCAATAACAAGTTCTGAAATTGAGGCAGTAATTAATAGCCTACCAACCAAAAAGGCCCAGCACCAGAAGGATTCACAGCTGAATTCTACCAGAGGTACAAAGAGGAGCTGGTACCATTCCTTCTGAAAGTATTGCAAAAAATAGCAAAAGAAGGACTCCTCCCTAACTCATTTCATGAGGCCAGAATCATCCTGATACCAAAACCTGGCAGAGACACACACACAAAAAAAGAAAATTTCAGGCCAATATCCCTGATGAACATCAATGCAAAAATCCTCAATAAAATACTGGCAAACAGAATCCGGCAGCACATCAAAAAGCTTATCCACCACGAACAAGTCAGCTTCATCCCTGGGATGCAAGGCTGGTTGCAAATCAATAAACAATAAACATAATCCATCAGATGAACAGAACGAATGACAAAAACCACACGATTATCTCAATAGATGCAGAAAAGGCCTTCGATAAAATTCAACACCCCTTCATGGTAAAAACTCTCAATGAACTAGGTATTGATGGAACATATCTCAAAATAATAAGAGCTATTTATGACAGACCCACAGCCAATATCATACTGAATGGGCAGAAGCTGAAAGCATTCCCTTTGAAAACTGGCACAAGACAAGGATGCCCTCTCTCACCACTCTTATTCAACATACAATTGGGAGTTCTGGCCAGGGCAATCAGGTAAGAGAAAGAAATAAAGGGTATTCAAATAGGAAGAGAGGGAAAAATTGTCTCTGTTTATAGATGACATGATTGTATATTTAGAAAACCCCATTGTCTCAGCCCAAAATCTCCTTATGCTGATAAGCAACTTCAGCAAAGTCTCAGGATACAAAATTAATGTGCAAAAATCACAAGCATTTCTATACATCAATAATAGACAAACAGAGAGCCAAATCATGAGTGAACTCCCATTCACAATTGCTATAAAAAGAATAAAATACCTAGGAATCCAACTTACAAGGGATATGAAGGACCTCTTCAAGGAGAATTACAAACCACTGCTCAAGGAAATCAGAGAGGACACAAACAAAGGGAAAAACATTCCATGATCATGGATAGGAAGAAGCAATCTCGTGATAATAGCCATACTGCCCAAAGTAACTGATAGTTTCAATGCTATCCCCATGAAGGTACCATTGACTTTCTTCACATAATTACAAAAATCTACTTTTAATTTCATATGAAACCAAAAAACTGCCCATACAGCCAAGACAATCCTAAGCAAAAAGAACAAAGCTGGTGGCATCACGCTACCTGACTTCAAACTATACTACAAGGCTACAGTAACCAAAACAGCATGGTACTGGTATCAAAACAGATATATAGACCGATGGGACAGAACAAAGGTCTCAGAAATAACGCCACACATCTACAAACATCTGATCTTTGACAAACCTGATAAGCAATGAGGAAAGGATTCCCCATTTAATCAATGGTGTTGGGAAATCTGGCTAGCCATATGCAGAAAACTAAAACTGGACTCATTCTTCACACCATATACATAAATTAAACTTTTTAAAATGTTTTAAGATAGCTACTAGAAAATTTAAAATTACACATGTGGCTTTGCCATGGTTTGAATGTGTTTCTCAAATTTCACGTTGGAAAGTTAATCCCCAGTGCAATCATGTTGAGAGGTGGGACTTTAAAAAGTATAGGTCGTGAGGACCCTGTCCCCATGAATGGATTAATGCCATTATCTCGGGAGTGGGTTCATTATTGAGAGTGACTTTGTTATAAAAGCCAGTTGGGGCCCCTCCTATTCTCTCACTCTTCATTGCCTTTTTGCCTCTGTCGTAGGATGACACAGTAAAAAGGCCTCACATGATAGCAGCTCCTTGATCTTGGACTTCTCAACCTCCTGAACTGTAAGAAATAAATTTCTGTCCCTTATAAATTACCCAGTCTCATGTGTCTGTTGGCTGCATAAATGTCTTCTTTTGAGAAGTGTCTGTTCATATCCTTTGCCCACTTTTTGATGGGGTTGTTTGTTTTTTTCTTGTAAATTTGTTTGAGTTCTTTGTAGATTCTAGATATTAGCCCTTTGTCAGATGAGTAGATTGCAAAAATTTTCTCCCATTCTGTAGGTTGCCTGTTCACTCTGATGGTAGTTTCTTTTGCTGTGCAGAAGCTCCTTAGTTTAATTAGATCCCATTTGTCAATTTTGGCTTTTGTTGCCGTTGCTTTTGGTGTTTTAGACATGAAGTCCTTGCCCTTGCCTATGTCCTGAATGGTATTGCCTAGGTTTTCTTCTAGGGTTTTTATGGTTTTAGGTCTAACATTTAAGTCTTTAATCCATCTTGAATTAATTTTTGTATAAGGTGTAAGGAAGGGATCCAGTTTCAGCTTTCTACATATGGCTAGCCATATAAGAAAACATGGCACATATACACCATGGAATACTATGCAGCCATAAAAAAGGATGAGTTCATGTCCTTTGTAGGGACATGGATGAAGCTGGAAACCATCATTCTCAGCAAACTATCGCAAGAACAAAAAACCAAACACCATGTGTTCTCACTCATAGGTGGGAATCGAACAATGAGAACACTTGGGCACAGGAAGGGGAACATCACACACCAGGGCCTGTTGTGGGGTTGGGGACAGGGGTAGGGAAAGCTTTAGGAGATATACCTAATGTAAATGACGAGTTAATGGGTGCAGCACACCAACATGGCACATGTATACATATGTAACAAAACTGCACATTGTGCACATGTACCCTAGAACTTAAAGTTTAATAAGAAAATAAAAAATAAAAATAAAAAAATAAAAAAAGTAAATTACCCAGTTTCAGGTATTCTGTTATAGCAACACAAAACAGATTATGACAAACTCTCATTTATGGCTCATTATATTTCTGTAGGACACCTCTAAGGTATAAAACAAGAATAACAAGATTTCAAATAGTCTCTCTTTTGCTATGTTCCATTTTTTTAAAGTTTGCATGACTTTAAGACGAGGAAAAAAGACCCTGTTTCTCATAAGGAAAAGTGGTTAGAATGCAATGGAAAAATGCTTGATGTATTTTTGAGGATATAGCTCTCTAACTCCCTTTTTAATGTAGATAATCCCTAATAATCATGAACCAAATATCTGTACTTCAGGAATAATACATCCATATAAGCACTTAGTTTTAACCAAAGAGTCCTATTTCAAACTTAGAAAAATGAATTTTTTTTCTATTTTCAATTTACTGGTCACTGTCATTTTTGAAAGATAATTTTAAAAATACTGTTCACTCTCAGTTTCTGTGTATGGGCAGAATCCACCCCTATAGGTTCAAGTATCGATTGTTATGAAGAATCCAGAAGACAATTCCAAATTGTCCAAACAGTAATTTCCAAATTCATAAAAATATTTTATTTTTTTAACCTGTGGATCTTCATTTATTACATTTCTTTTGTAACATTGTCAGAAATCAGTGGAGCATATTTGTATGTTTATTTTTGTGCTCTCTATTCTGTTCCACGCAGTCTTGCTATACAGTAAAATTTGCAGTCAGCTATACAATAAATCTTGAAATCATAAAAACTAATATCTTCCATTTTATTTTTCTTTTAAATTTGTTTTAGTTATTCTAGCTACATGGCTTGCTTATACACATTTTAGAATTAGCTTATCCATATTTATCAAAATTCTTGCTGGAATTTTCGTAGCAATTGCTGTAAATTTGTATCAATTTTCAGGAATCAACATTCTTATTATGTGGTGTTTTCCAATTCATGAGCACAGTATGCTTCTTTATTCATCAAAGTACCTTAAAATTTCTCACATCGGCATTGTCATTTCAGCATCCTTATTTTGTTAGATTTATACCTATTTCATTTTCTTCTGAATGACTGTAAATAGTATTTTTTTAATTTTGCATTCATGTGTTTATTACTAGCATATGGAAAAACAGTTGATTTCTCACACATCAGAAGCTTATCTTATATTCTGTGGCCTTGTTGAATTCACTTATTGGTTCTAGGAACTTTTTTTGTATATTCTCCATTATATTCTACATAGACCATCATGTCCTCTTCAAATAGGGGCAGTTTTATTTCTTTCTTTCTAAACTGTGTGCCTTTCATTTTCTTTTTCTGTCTTATTGCACTGGCTAGAATTTCCAACACTAAGAGTAGTGACGTAGATAGCTTTGAGTCTCAAGATCTATAGCCAGTCTACTTTCTTCTCTTTATCTTCCAGAGTGTTCTTATGTTTGACCTATATATGATATCTAGGATTTTTAGTTATACCTATTAGGAAGAATAGGGAAAAATATGTCTATTCTATCTTCCCAGAAGCAAAGGATTTTCTCTGCTGATTTTGTTATTCTTCCCCATCCTGCAAGGAGAGCAGAATACTTTAAAGGTTATATGTCTTGCCCTAAGCTCTGCTTATGGACACCTGTGGATGCTCTCACAAGCAGAGTGGAGGGCTGATGTGGAACTCAAGGCATCCCTAGTTTCTTGCTAGCCTCCCTCTCTCTGACCCACTTTGCCATTTTGAAACTACACATTGTCTTTTATAACAAGCTATTCCAGATACTTAATTAGAGAGGCACAAAGAAATAAAGGCACATAGGGCTGTTTCCTGACAGCATCCATCATTTGGAGAAAGCTTTTAGCTTTTTCCTTTTGTAGGACTTCTAATTATCACAAGGAACTACAAATTACCATGAATCATTTGAGATACAGGGTTAGCCAGCCCATCCACCTGTATGGTGGGAGGCCTGATTTTATTAGCTCTAACCAGTCTTGATAGATGAATGTCAAGACAGCCTAGAATTCTTTTTATAAAAGAAGCCATGTGACATTACTTAGCAGGTTAGTCATTTATTCTTACCAAGTTGTCACTGGGTTTGATTTGCAGTGCAGCTGGCTAATAGAGACAACAGCAAAGGAAAAGAGGTAAAGAAACAAAAAGGTGACATGGAGGCTGTCAGCCAGAGTAGACTTAAGTGGGGGAAAGAAGATCCCCTGGCCTTTAAATTGGAAGAAATTGACAGTGGCAATATATGAGTAGAAAAGGATGAGGAGGACATATTGGGCCATGCACTCACTCCTCAGCATTCTCATCTTCAAACAGGGATCATAATGTTTTCTCTTATTATCTCTAAGGATATTTGCAAGGCTAAAATAAGGTACAGTGTTGAGAATAACTCTGCTATTCCAAGAATAAGTGATTATAAATTTCTCAGAATTGTCAACATGGCCTTTATCAATGACTCCATCATCTATGTCCTTTCTGCTCCCCATATTTCTTCCCCTTATACTTCCATTCAGGGCATCAAAAAGAAAGTGGAGAGGGGAAAAAGTGTCAGTATCCATGGGGTATAGTGGAGTAGGCCTTGTGATACCTATTTTCTTGCTTTCATCATCAGCTTTGCTGGGATGAGAGTGAAAGAAAATGGAGAAGATGAAAATCTGAAGAAGAAATGGATGTTGACAGGAACTTTTACTCACTTAAGAAATATGCATTAATCACTTACTATATGGCAGCCTCTATGCTAGACTTTAAAACTTAAAAGTAGATGGCCTAGTCCTCAACAGGATTCCTGTGTAGAGGGATAGACAATGAAACAAATAATTATTATATAATACGACTATTATCAAAGAGATTTTTGCAAGTATTTTTGGACATTTGGCACTCCTAACTCTGCCTACATCCTCAGGAAAGGAAAAATTCCTTTCCTTTCAAAGTGAAAGGGGTGATCACTTTCAAGCATGCACAGGGTTTAAGAAAAGAACGACAAGGGAATACTGGATGCAGGAAAGGTGAGGAGAAAACTTTGTAGCATCGAAGATTTGAAGTGAAAACAGCAGGACATAATTTACCAATAGCAAGGGAATCAGTTTCTTAAAGTGAGAGGAAAAACAGATACAGCCAATACAATTTGAAAGCAAGATAAAGTTTCATGTGTTTCAAGTTATCAGAAAAAAGTTTGGTCTTCAGGGGGTTCTTTTCATCTGAGCAACATTTTATTTAGGCACAAGACTTCTCTCCACTTGTCTCTTTTCTTGAAGCATCAGAGGCTTTATGACTGAGATAGAAGAACAAAAGTCTTTTGTCTTTTGATTCCTTCACATAAATAGACCATGCAAGGCACTTCATGCCATGTAAACTCACTTGTTTTCTTACTGCATTTTATAGGCCATAAGCCCTGGAATTCTCTTGCAAGTATAAAAAGGCAGAATAGGGGAAGATCAAGAAGTCATTGTTGAAAGTGAGTAGCATTAAAGGAGTGATATTTATTCTTGCATTTGTACATGTTAAATGCACTTAGGAGCCTTGTCCAGAATCTCTAATAGCTGATCACAAACTCAAGGTCCATTTCTGTATGCAGGAAATAGATGTATTCATGTTGTGTATAGAACTTTTTTTTAGAATCTTATAAGTTTGCCCATTTATATTATCTTAATATATTACTTCTCTGTAAAAATCAGAAGACCTGGTTTCTAGGTGCACATTTCTGCATAAAAAATGGACAGAGAATGAGGAGCTATCACTTTCTTCAGTTTACCATATCTCCATCTCTCTCTGTTTCTTATACCTGACTAGATTCTTCCATTTTCTTTTTTTACCTAACTCCAATAGAATTGTAATTTATGAATCTTTCTATAAATAAAACTATTTCGTATATAACTCCTTTGATTTTGGTGATATATCTTATTTTGGGTTTACCCAAATGCAACATCCAATGGTATGCTGGTGTCAGATCATACCAGTTTGTATATCTTTTTCCAATTCCTTGTTCAGTAACTCCATTTTGGCAGTTTGAAATTGTCCATGATAGGAATATTTGCAAAACAAAAATTAAGAAATGTTATAAACCATTACTTTTTATGTCCCTGAAAGCCTGTTGTTAAACATGTACCAGGACCCCACTAATAACATCTGTACTTAATATGTCACAATTCAGCATGAAAACCTCTGAATATCCTTCCATTTCCAAACTTACTGAAATTCCACTTCACCAGAATGATTCCATGCAGCTTTCTCTGAAATAGTGATTGCCCTTAATTTATTTTTACCATCAAAAGAGGCCATCTTTCCTTTATCTGTTATATTTGTTCTTCCAAAAATAAATATATGGTATTGTTATATAAGTATTTTATTGTCTTTCTATTATCTGAAGGCTCAAGAAGAAAAAAAATTACGCTGGAAAACGCAAGTGTGTTCTGCTATCATGATACTATGTTTGACATTGAAATAATAATACTCTGTTGGGTTAACATGCCCTCTTTAGATGGCAGTAATAAAGAATTCAAGTTTAACTGTCAATGAATGAAATAAGGTCTATTCAACCTAGCAAAAGAGTGAGAGTCAGTTTAAATGCCTGAATTTTAATATTATTTGTGTCATTCATTCCTAAATCTCAGGCCTCTGAAACGGTCCCCTTTTCTATTGTCTAATTCAATAAATAGGTAATATTGCCTCCTATTTACTACAAAGAGATATGGTAGAACACCATTAAGGCAACTGAATTTTTGAGAAGACAGGTGCCTTATAAGTAGCAAAGATTATTATTCGTATTCAGGAATGTTGCCAACTCCCACAGATTTCCTTGTGATTATCTGCCATTTTCCAGTAACATTTTAACATTTGATGCCATTTAATCCTAAAAGAGATATATTAAACTAGAAAAAAAGAAAAGAAAAATAAACACTTGGAAATACATACACATTGTATTCTATCATGTCATGTAATTTAAAATTCAGAACAAGAGTGGCATAATTTGAGCCTATTTAAGGATACCCTGTCATTTAGCATAAAATAAGAACTGTAGGAAACAGGGGAGGAAAGCCTAAGACAACATTTCTACAACTACAATTTGATCCTTTACATCTCAATATTATACCACTGAAACATGCTAAATATGCTAATTCCTGGGTTAAAACAAGTTATTTTGCATGTAATATGGATTGGATTCCATCTTCTTAAAGATCTGTTATTATCTGCTTAATCTGTTTATTGTGACACACATACGCAGACATACACACGTATCCACACATACATGTGTCTCCTCTGCAACAAGGAATATACAAAAACAGGTTATTTATGGTATCTCATTGATTTTGATGACCATTCTATGTGCTTTATATAATTAATTCTATTTTATAGGTGATAGAATTATAGCTCAGAAATGTTCAGACTTTGTTTTATGTGAGATACTCAAATACAGAAATGTCATGCACCAAAACACTTTCTTAACTATGTCATGGCTTGGAACACAATCCTCCCAATGATAGTACCTTGGTATGCTGAGTACTTTGAACTGTATACTAGAAGAGTCTCAGAAGCAAGGTGTCTCAGCCTCTTTTTTTCTCCCAAGACAAGTCACAGAAGACAAAATTCCTCTTGCCCAAGGTCCACAGAAACTAGAACTCTTCTTCCCAAAGCAAGCCATAAAACCTAAAATGGTCACTCTAAAATTCTTCCTTCTGTGCTGAAGACTTTCACGTGACAAGTGTTCTACCCTATACCCAGAGCAAAAGAAAGCTACACAGAGGGGCCAAGAAGAATCTAAACGGCCTTTCTGAAGGCTCCTATGGCACATAAAACCTTGATTAAATAAATATGTTGCTGTTTTCTCTTGTTAAGCTGTCTTTTGTTATATGAGTGTTGGCCATGACATTTGTGATGAGTGAGGAAAGGTATCATATCTTTCTGCCCCTACAACCATTATGCTACATTATCTTTCTCCTAGAATTTTGTTTTAAGAAGATGGCTCATGAAGAAATGTTTTCTGTGATTTAATATAATATGCTTGGAAAATTATACATATAATCCCTTCACCCTTGGATAATCAGAAATAATATTAACATTAAAAGCTATGTAAAATTCTGTAATTTACTTAAAACCTGTTTATCTTTGTATAATTCACCATATTCTAGACTTATGTGACTTTCAAATATTTATTGAAGAACATTATCAACTTATGATGCAGCTTGTACTGCATAGAACATAACTGAATATGATGAGCTACAGAAAATATCATGGTCCTACATTTCCCTGCTTTTTCTTAATCAGTTTATAATTTTACTAAAATACCTGCTTGTTTGCTCATAAAAGTTTTTAAATTTACTGTGGATTCTAAATAGAATTTACAGAGATAATGCCTTAGTGTTAAGTCTGTTGTGAAAAAGATAATCAACTGCTGATCTGGAGAATGCCAAATCACTAGTAATTTATAGGTATCAATAAGTAAATTTATAGGTATCTAAATACATCTAGATTTTTGACTCCATAAAGGCATATTATTGGGCGAGAATTGCTTTTTTATTTTTATTTTTTTACTTCGCCATTTTCTAACTTACTAGATCATAAGTTCCATGAGGGAAGAGACTATGTTATCTTATTCACTAGAGTATATCCAGTATCATTCCTGGAACATTAAAAGTGACCAAATAAATATTTGTTGAATAAAGGTCTTAAATGACTAGAAAGCTGAAAAAAATTTTAATGGAACTTATTCTCAAAACTAATCTCTGCCATTAGAATCCTGGATAGTGCTTGTCCTTGGGGTGGGACGGGGATCAGTGGCTGGAAGGAAATGAATGGGGACTTCTGGGGTTTTTGCAGTGTTTGCTGTCTGGCCTTTGTGTTGGTTATTCGAGGGTGCTCAATGTATGAAAATCCATCAGGCTGCACATTTTTCTGTATGTTTATTGTACTCCAATAATATTCAGGGAAATCTATAAGATTCTAAAGTGACCTATGTTTTGCTCCATTTCTTCAGTCCATTCTAAATTTATCAGGTCTTATCACTACTTGGCAACAAGAATTCATCATCAAAAATTGATGATTATAATTTCATTTGTGTGAGCCATCCCTAGATGGACCTTAAAAGGCAAAATATACTATAATTGCCGAAGTCTTGGGCTTTCTATCCCATCTTAGAAAGGTTTTTTGATTGTATATTAGGTTGGTGCAAAAGTAATTGCGGTTTTTGCCATTACTTTCAATGGCAAAAACCACAATTGCTTTTGCACCAAATGCTTCTCTAAGTGCTGGAGATGAGATTAAAAGCCTATAATAGACAAAGAAAGTAACCTATATTGTTATTAGATTTGAACTCTGTGGTTTACATGCATCACCTAATTTAGTCCATCCAACAGTCTGAGGTGGGTATTGATATAGTTTGAATGTTCCCTCCAAATCTCATGTTGAAATGTAATCCCCAGTGTTCGAGATGGGGCCTGTTGGAAGGTGATTGGATCATGGGGGGTGATTTCCCATGAACGGTTTAGCGCCGTCCCCTTGGTGCTGTCCTCATGATAGTGAGTGGGTTCTCACAAGATCTCTTTGTTTAAAAGTGTGTGGCACTTCCCTCCTTGCTCGCCCTTGCTTCCACTTTTGCCATGCAAGTCACCTGCACCTTGTTTGCCTTCTGCCATGATTATAAGCTTCCTGAGGCCTCGCCATAAGCTGAGCAAATGTTAGCACCATGCTTCCTGTAAAGCCAGCAGACCTTTGGGCCAATTCAACTTCTTTTCTCCGTAAATTACCCAACTTCAGGAGTTTCTTTATAGCAATGCAAGAATGGCCTAACACAAGTATTGCCTGTATTATAGATGGGGCTAGTAAGGCCCAAACTACTAAGCTAATTGGTCCAAATTCATAGGGCAAACATAAAATTGAACCCAGACTGTCTAGTTAAGTCTAAACCTTTTCTGAATTCTGTACTACCATGGGATTAACTTTTCTCTAGTGAGAGAACTATCTGTCTTGGTTTAAAAAGAAATAAAACAAAACAAAGAAAAACATCCATACTTCATCATAGACAAATTGGACTCCAATATACCATAATCCTAAGATTTCAATTTGCTTTCAATACCAATGTTTAACATCCATGAATTCCATGGATTTTACTTTTTCTAAACTGTTTTAGTGACCCTTAATAAAAATAAGCATACATGTTTGTGTGAGCTTCTGAATGTGTTGATATAAACACAAATAATATATATGCATGTAAATATAAAATAGAGATAATATATTCATAATTATTAGTCAATAAGTATATATTCTGTGAATTTTTTGAAATGACATTTAATCTTCCAAATTATACATAAAAAATTTGGTGGAACATTCAACATCTCATTCTCTGTTTAACAATTACAGTAGCATGTATTCGATTTAATATATGTAAAATTTTGTTTGCCAGAATGGTACAATAAGTTTGGAAGAGAAGTAGGTTACATAGAACGTACTTAACTTCACATTTGGCCCAAACAGAAAGTGGAGCGATTAAAAAAAGAGAAAAATTTTAATTTCCTTATAATATATTTTGTTAAGGCCTTATAAATGCAAGAGATTTTATCAGGAAAAATCTAAAAGTAACTTATTTAGATTGTGTTTTGGATGCCTTGCAAATGTGTAGCAGAAATCCAAAACTACTTGGTGCAAGTTTTCTACTTTTCTTTTCTTTTTAAAAAATATTGTCATTTACATGTTAGGTAATATCACAAAAATTGGGAGAAATCAGTCAACTCCAAAAGGTTCATTTAGTTTCTGACAATATTTCTCACACTTGCAGTGAACTATGCAGAAAAAGTGCTTTGATTAGAATGCGCCGTTAATCATTTAGGTGAAAGAAAAGGGGCCTTTCATTTTCAATGAGCAGAAAAACAGTGGTAAATGAAGACAAAGTCAGACGATGATGAGTAGTTTACTTATCTCCTAGAATAAAGTCTGATTTGAAAAAAAAAGTTTTAATTTCAGGGACACTCATTTATGATTATTGAAGCCATTTATTCTGTGTGGCACACAAATATATCATTTGTCTAAATGTATTGGGTGGTTTTTTTTTTATTTACCCTTGGTTTTTTTTTTTCCATTGTTCAAAGAGAATGTGATGCTTTTAAATCTAAAAAAAAAAAGAATTAATGGAAATTTTGGATATTCTGTTTCTCCAAAGGACTCTTCAGAGGTAATTTGCCTGCTGCCAATAGAGAAAATTGTCATAGTCATTATGTGAAAGGTGAAAAACCTGAATACTTAATGGCAAAAAAAAAAAAAAAAACCCAAATGCTATTTAAATAGAATTCTAAGTTTAGCCTTTGAGTGGAGAGGATTAGGATTGAAATGAATACATAAGCAGTGATAGGTCAGGTAGTTCTTAGAAGATTATAGGAGTACCCATTACAAAAAGAGATTTGATTTGAGTATCAGTCAGGATCCAGTCAGGAGATAGAAACCATTGAGTAAATTGAATGGGAAAATTTAACGCAAAGATTTATTATATGGCCACAGAAATTAACTACTAATTTCTTCACTAGCAGGGGTCAAGGAAACTGTGGGATAATGAAAACTCTGGGGGTAAAGAAAACTCTAGGGATAAAGAAAACTCTATGGTAAAGAAAACTCTAAAGAATTCAAGAATAGGGATCTTAGGAAACAGCCATGACCTCTAGGGCTAAGACATAAGTACTAAGAAAGAAATACATTTGGAAGACCTACCCCAACCCCTAACCATGGTTGAGATTCAAATCTTGTTTAAAAAGGTGGCTTTTGCACACTGAATAGCAGAGAATTTTGCTGGAGGTGCTGTAGGCTAGGGCTACAAGGCAGAAAACTGGCTGGTAGGGTGCTGGTGAGAGCCACTGAAAAGCTACTCTTACAGGCACCACTAAAACTCACCAGGAAACAACACTCTGGGAACCATTGAAATTCGTTTGCAGATGAGTGCCAGTGTCATTTATAGGTAAGTGCCAGTGAGTGTCTTGCACATCAGCCAAGTGCTGCAGGAGGAGGAAGAATAAAGGACACTAGTACCAGAAATAAAGTCATTTCCTCCTCCTGCAGGGTCTCTCCAGTGCCATCTAAGAAAGCTTAACATTGTTCCAGCTGCAAAGAAGAATATTTACAAGGTCCATTGAGAGTATCACAGAGCAGGGTAAAAATGCATAGGTTTGGAGATAAGACGAAATAAATCAGTAACTTGCATAAGCTTCAAGTATGAGAATACATTTGCATATTTGTTTGCACATGCAAATAAGTATAACATATGGACTCTACAAAAGTACTTCAAACTACTAAAATTAAGATTGTCAATTCTAACTATAGATGAGTAAGATTACATCTTCTCCAAAACTTTAATCTAATTTATTTGGCAAATATTTACTGAGCTAATTATGTATTTAGTCCAAGTTATCTGAGGCATATAAGTAAAAAATGCCTCCCTAAACCAACATACTTATTCAATATTCTTGTAAATGCTTTCAAAATCCACTAAGTTGGACAAGTTAATAAACTAGAAATTATTATTAAAACACAGCCTCAATCACAATATGAAAACAACAAACAAACACTGTCAATTTTTTAAAAACCCTACATATTTCTTTAGTAATTAATTCTTTTCTGTCTCCAACAGAACAAGACATCATTATCTTTTTCCTATAAAATTTCAATAGGTTATCAAGTGATTTTTTAAAATTTCAAATATCATCCATTTCTGTGTATTCTTTCTTCCTTTGTAAAAAAAGATATTTTAAAATTGTGAAATATGTTTTATCTATAGAAGTTTTAACACACATTATAACACATATTATAATTAATATATAATAATAGTACCAAATATGTGCATATACTATAAAAAATAATAAAATGAACACCAACGTAACTATCATGCATTACACCATTACGAACACCGTTGAACGGCTCTGAGTAACCCTGCCAAAATTGTCCTCCTCGGCCACCACTCTTGCCAGAAGTGACCACTTTTTAGACTGTTGTGTTAATAACCATTGCAATAGATTACATATATCTGTATCTCTGAACAAGAAATTGCTCAGCTGTATTTTTTTTTTTTTTTTCGGAGAAGGGGTCTTGCTCTGTTGCCCAGGCTGGAGTGCAGTGGCATGAACATATTAATAGTTCACTGTAGCCTGAAACTCCCCGGCTCAAGTGATCCTCCAGTCTCAGCATCTCAAGTAGCTGGGACTACAAGCATGCGCTACCACACCTGGCTAATTTTTTCAGCTGCGTTTTTAAAAACTTTATATAAAGTAAAATCATGAGATCATACTCTATAACAATAGCATTTTGTTAGTTAAACTTTTGTTGATAAAGTTACTAAAAATGATTTTCATTGGCATATGATTTTCTCTTGTGACTATTCCACGCGTCCTGTGTTCACTTTACTGCTGAAGGACTTCAAGTTCTTTCTAGTTTTGTTTTGTTTTTTCTTCTGTTAAAAATAACAGTGTAACAAATGTTGTGTAATAGCTTCTTTTTGACAAATGATGGATTACAGATTCAGCACATTTTCAATCAACAGTATATAGGATTATCATTGCTTTACATATTTATGAACACTAAGAATGTCTGAATTTTTAATTTTTGCTAACTTTGTGTCTATGAATTGGTAACTTATTGAGTATTATTCTGAATTATTCTCATTACTAATGAGGTTGCCCACTATTCCATATGTTTAATGGCAAATTTATATTTTTTCTTTTGTGAAGAGGTTTTTCAAGTCCTTCACCCATCTGAAAAATTAAATTTCTATCTCATCTTACTGGTGTGTAGCAATCATTTCTAAATTCTGGAAAGAAATATTGTTTCAGGTACATGTGTTGCAAATGTCTTCTCCCATTAAATGGCTCTTCTTTATATTATTTTGATGCTGTACTTTAATTAGCAGACATTCTTTTTTTTGGTGGGTGGGCAAGGTCTCATCCTGTCACCCAGGCTGGAGTGCAGTGGCTTGATCTCAGCTCACTGCAACCCCTGCCTCCCAGGCACAAGGCATCCTCCCACCTCAGCCTCCTGAGTAGGTGGGACTACAGCCGCACACCACCACACTCACCTAATTTTGTATTTTTATGTAGAGATGCAGTTTTGCCATGTTGCCCAGGCTGGTCTCAGAACTCCCAGGCTCAAGTGATCCACTCATCTCGGCCTCCCAAAGTGCACAGATTACAGGTGTGAGCCGCTGTGCACAGCCAGGCATTCATAATTTTAATGTAGTAAATTTTCTCAATTTTTTTCTTTGGGTACTTCATGCCTTTTATTTCTTGTTTAGGAAATCCTACTCTCTCTCTCTCTCTCTCTCTCTCTATATATATATATAAATATATATATAAATATATGTATAAATATATGTATAAATATATGTATAAATATATATATAAATATATAAATATATATAAAAATATATAAATATATATACATATATATATAAATATATATAAAATATATAAATATATACATATATATAAATATATATAAATATATATAAATATAAATATATAAAAATATATATTTAAATATAAATATATAAAAATATATATTTAAATATAAATATATAAAAATATATATTTAAATATAAATATATAAATATATATATTTAAATATAAATATATAAATATATATATTTAAATATAAATATATAAATATATATAAATATATATTTAAATATAAATATATAAATATAAATATATAAATATATATAAATATATATTTAAATATAAATATATAAATATATATAAATATATAAAAATATATATTTATATATAAATATATAAATATATATTTATATATATTTATATATAAATATATAAATATATATAAATATATATTGATATATATATAAATATATATAAATATATATTTATATATATATATTTATATATAAATATGTAAATATATAAATATATATTGATATATAAAATATATATTAATATATATATAAATATACATATTTATACATATATATATTTTTTTGAGATGAAGTCTTGCTCTGTCACCCAGGCTGGAGTGCAGTGGCGCCATCTCGGCTCACTGCAAGCTCTGCCTCTCAGGTTCACGCCATTCTCCTGCCTCAGCCTCCCGTGTAGCTGGGACTACAGGCGCCTGCCACCATGCCCAACTAATTTTTTATATTTTTAGTAGAGACAATGTTTCACTGTAGTAGCCAGGATGGTCTCGATCCCCTAACCTCGTGATCCGCCTGCCTCAGCCTCCCAGAGTGCTGGGATCACAGACTTGAGCCACTGCGCCTGGACAGAAATCCTAAAATATTTAAAGTCTACCCCAAATTCTCTATTTTCTTCTAAAAGTCTAAAAAATCTACTTTTTAAATTTAAATCTTTGATGAAGCTGAAATTGAATTCTGTATATATTAGAAATATTTTATAACTTTCCCTTCCATGTACATAACAAATTGTTCCAACACTATATTTTGAATATTTTAGCATTTTCCTGCTGATTGGCATTGTCAGCCATATTATAAAACATGTTGCCATGTTTGAATCTTTTTCTGGGCTCTCTCCGTCCCTTTGATCTATTCCATACTTATACCACAACTATTTTAATTAATATCAAAAAAATCTTACCTGTTCATTCTCTACAGCAGTGTTTTGGCTTCTCTTAGCTCTTTGCTATTCCTTAAATCTTTTAGAGTCAGTTCTTTGAATTATACATTACATTTTGCTTTGCAATTTCATCAAATCTATAGATCGATTTGAGGAAAATTAGCAATTTTGTTATATTGGGTTTTTACTCCAAAATGTCGTATGTTTTAAATGACTTAGTAAAGTTACATGTATTTTACCTCAAGGTCTTGCATATTTTTGTTATGTTTATTCATTTAATATGGATTTTGTTTCACTATTATAAATGGCATATTTGAATTTCATTTCCTAGTGTTTGATAATATATAAAGATAAAATGATTTTTATATTAATTTTGTATTCAGCAAAGTTTCTAAACTCTTGCATTATTTTAAATTTTTTTTCTTTTTTTTAGACGGAGTCTCACTCTTGTCACACAGGCTGGAGTGCAGTGGCATGATCTTGGCTCACTGCAACCTCCCCCTTCCAGGTTCAAGCGATTCTCCTGCCTCAGCCTCCTGAGTAACTGGGATTACAGGTGCCCACCACCACATCCAGCTAATTTTTGTACTTTCTGTAAAGATGGGGTTTCGCCACGTTGGCCAGGCTGGTCTCGAACTCCTGACCTCAGGTGATCCGCCAGCCTCCACCTCCCAAAGTGCTGGGATTACAGGTGTGAGCCACCACACCTGGCCTATTTTAAGTTTATCTGTAGATTCCTTTGGGCTTCTATATTGACAAGCACATCATTTGCAAATAATGACAGTCTTGCTTCTTCCTTTCCAAGTATTCAAGTTGTGTATTTCTTTTTCTTTTCTTATTGTACAGGCTAGTACCTTCCATAAAATGTTGGATGAAAATAGCTATAGTGGTGGCTTGCCGATTTTGTCGTTTTTTTGACAAGGTCACATTCTGTGATCCAGGCTAGAGTGCAGTGGTGCCATTATAGCTCACTGAACCTCCTGGGCTCAAGCAGTCCTTTCGCCTCAGCCGTCTGAGTAGCTTGGACTACAATTGGACTACAAGAACATACCACTGCTGCTGTTTTTTATTTTTTATTTTTTTGTATAGATGAGATCTCACTAAATTGTCCAGGCTGATCTGGAACTCCTGAGCTCAAGTAATCCTCCCCCCTTGGCCTCCAAAAGCGCTAGAATTATAGGCATGAGCCACCATAACCATCGTTGTTTATTATTTTAATGGAAAATTTTTAGTTTTCAACACTGCATGTATTATCTTTTTGTAGATTGTCGTTAAACAAGTGTCTATTTATTTGCTCACATTGAGGCCCTTGTTTATTGCTTTTAGTTCTGTATTTCAATTCATTTAGAATATGAAAACAGATATTTTATATTCTACATCTGATAATTCCAACATCTGCAGTATTTGATTTTCTGATTGTTCAGTTCATTATTCCTGTTGATTTTGGAGTGGCTTATTTCCCCATGTGTTTCGTGATTATATTTCATTATGAATTTTGGTTCTATGGAAGGTGGCCTGCAGTCACATTTTTCAGTGTGATTTTCCTGGGAGGAGCTGAGAATGTTTCTGGTAAGCTATGGGATAATTACAACCCAAATTTCAACTTGAGTTTTTTAGATAGTGTAGATTTTAGTCACATATTTTGGTCATCTTAAGGATTCTCAGGGGAGAAATATTTTTCTATCTGTAGCCACACATCCAAAGGGAAGAGATGTTAGTATACCTCAAATGTAGTAGATTTTTTTTTTCTAGTTCATCCTTCAAGGATTCTGTCTTTATGTAGGTATTCCAATGATTCCCCACTGTGCTTAGATATACTGACCTGTGCATGGATCTCTAAGACTCACCATCAGGGTGTTAAGAATTGGCCTGTATCTTTAAGGACAAATGGGGTTCTCGATTTCATTTTCTCGTATGAATTTGCATTTCTATTTTAGCATTGGAGAAAGTCTCTTACTTTCTCATAAGCTCAGACATGCTTTAAAAAGTTTTAAATAAGTTATAAAGCAATTTAGTTCCCTGAACCAGGAGGAATTTTTCTATGGTTAACTAGTTTGTCATATTACTAGACATGAAATTCTCCCTCTCAAAACAGTTAGAATGAGTCTATGAAGATGAAAATCTGATATGCCACATGAGTTCCCTGCTTAAAATCCCTCGGTGACTTCACATTGTTCATGTTGTCCTCATTCTGAGTTATCTACTTCCTACCCATGTAACCTTTGATCACGATTCCTGCATTCTCTCTCTTTTTGAACCACTCTGGTCTTCTATTGGTGTCTTGATTGTGACTTGCTTTTTCCTACATCAGGTCCTTCACATATACGCTTCATGAATGTGATTCCTCTCTTCCGTATTAATCTAGATATCTTCTATTTACCCTTTAGAGTTCAATTGAATGTTAGTTCCCTGTTATATGACTTCATTATTATCTGTCATTCTTCCTAAGTAATTAATGATTGTGTATATTTTAAGAATATAAGCTCCATGATGGAAGACTCTATATTTGCTTTTTTCATGCTGCATTTCTAACATCTCATACAATTTTCTGCAGATGCTAAGCAGTGAATAATTTTTGAAAGAAATAGTTTGAGCCTGATCTAGGGATCATTAGTTTTCAAATTTAAGATAAACCAATATCATACGTCATATAGAGTAACAAGGATTACGCCTTAAATTAGACAGAATAGTCATGAAGAAAATAAAAAATAGTATTTAAAAAAACAAAGAATTGGGGCATGAATAGAATTAGTAATGTCACAATGTGAAAGTGAACAATATGAAGATAGAATTTGGCCCAATGGTTGTCTTTGGTAGTGTGAACATGGGGGATACATATATTTTTATATCTTATTTACTCTCCCAAATAATTTAATAGGCATGTTACATTAATTTAAAAAGAAATCAGTCATTTCATTTTCCTCCAGAAAATATTACACTGTATCTAAACTGTATGTGTGTATGTTTATATATGTATATATTTTTTAAAAATGTATACCCTAAAACAAGGTTCCTCAATCAATTTATTGGATGTAGCTTATTGTCTCACTAGATTTGGTCATAAAGTTCTTATGTAATTTATAAAAATTCTTCTTGGCATAATGGCAAATTTTTTTCTGAGTTAGTAAAATTGGAGAATAACTCTTTGATGTTTATACTCAAATATTTCTATATGGTATAAAGTTGTGATAGAAAGAAATTATAGGTCAGGCACAGAGGCTCATGCCTCCCAGCACTTTGGGAGGCTGAGGCGAGTAGATCGCCTGAGGTCAGGAGTTTTAGACTAGCCTAGCCAACATGGTGAAACCCCACCTCTACTAAAAAATACAAAAATTAGCATGTGCCTGTAATCCCAGCTACTCTAGAGGCTGAGGTAGGAGAATCGCTTGAACCCGGGATGTGGAAGTTGCAGTGAGTTGAGATGGTGCCACTGCACTCCAGCCTGGGCCACAGAGCGAGAGTTTGACACTCTCTCTCTCTCTCTCTCTCTCTCTCTCTCTCTCTCTCTATATATATATATATATATATATATACACACACACATATATATATGCTTTTCTGACCCAAAGGTGAGATTTATACACACATATATATGTATGTGTGTATATATATGTGTGGTGTGTATATATATATACACACACACACATATATATATATGTATATATATCTCACCTTTGGGTCAGAAAAATCTGAGTTCCTATAGCCTATCTTCCTGTGTTTAGTTCAGCTCAACAAATACCTCTTGAGGACTTTTTTTCTGGTGCTACTTGCTGCAGGAAAACATAAGTAAGTTACAATTTTTGTTTTAATTGAAATAAATAGTTTCTGAAATAGAAGTATAAACAAAGCTCCATATTACAAGAAAGATAACTTGGTTTACTGAGAGGTTGGGTGGTCATGCAACTCTTCATAGTCATACTAAAATATAATTTCATTATTTTACATGACTCTGTATGCATTGATTCAGATTGAAGTTCTTTCTGGCATTCGTATCCTGAAGCTGGGAGTACATTTCTTATAGCTACGTTTCCTCCTTATGACCTCATTTGCAGCAGCAAGTCAACCAAAAAAAAAAAAAAACTATACCCAGCACTCTCTAGTTTGGAAGACGCGTTTTTGAAAATGAGAACCCCAACTGAATTAGTGCTACATAACACTATTATAGCAGAGATTTGTTCAGCTATAGCAGATATTTGTCCTCAGAATTATCTTGTCCAGTTATCTTCTATTCTCTTTAAGACTCTAACGTCATAACCTGCCTGCCATAAGAGTGTCTTTTAGCTCGTTTCATAAAATTGATCAGTTTATGGTGCCTTCATAAAGTCAGAAAATGTCCACCTATTCCTAAGTGCTGGGATAGATTTTATTATTTATTTCCTTACTAATTGACTTACAGGCCACTTCCGTCACCATAAAACTAGCATATTAATGTTCAGCATTATGTGATTGCCTTATTTACCTGAGTGAGCTCCAAAGCTTTTATTTGCACAGTGCTATGTTATAGAGATAGTTTGTTCCCACCAAACTCATGTTGAATTTGATCCCCAATGTGATGGTATCGGGAGGTGGGCCTAAAGAAAGGTGTGTGGGCTGTTAGGATGGATTCCTAATCAATGACTTGGTGACATGCTGTTCTCATACTAGGAAGTTACTTCTTGCTCTGGTGAGACTGGATTAGTTCTTGTGAGAGTGGATTCCTTCCTGCATAGGTAGGTTGTTACAATGCAGGATGCCTCTCGGATTTTGCTTCTTCATACATGCCCATTTCCCCTTTGACCTTCCCCCATGTTATGACACAGCACAAAAGCCCTCATCAGAAGTTGCATAGGCACTGGCACCATTCTTGAATTTCCCAGCCTGCAGAACCATGATCTAAATAAGCTACTTTTCTTTATAAATTACCCAGCCTCAGATATTCTGTTACAGCAACACAAAACAGACTAAGACACATGTTTTTGTCATACATTAAGGGTTCAAAACAGTTTGATAGAACACAAAATAAAGAGGGGCTGCAGTAGAGTGACATATGTTGCAGAAACAATTTAATTTACAACAGAATGGTAGAATTTCTTTTCACTGATTGAGAAAAAATATATCACTCAGAGTACATGAAGAAAATGCACTGTGTTGAAAAAGAATTTATTTATATTTAAAGTAAAGCTTGAAAAAATGAATAGAATTATAACAAATCAGCATTACATGAAGGCAGGGTAAATGGAGTATGTATGTATATTTTATATAGATCCAGAAATTGAAGGAGGATTGAAATCATTTATCATGTGCTAAGTCACTTCATGTGTATTTTTTTCCCTCATCCTTCTCATGAAATTCTACAGTGGGGACATTATTTCCAAATAAGCTATACCATTGATTAGAGAGATTACAAAGTATACTAAAGATTATTTTCTTCGCAGGTAAAAAACTATCAGGACTCAAAACAAGGCCTGTCCAATCCCTGATGGTATGCTTTCTTCTGTAACCTGAGATGTTTTCCATTTATTATTACTATTAAATAGAATTATCATGGGAAGCATTGATTTCAAGTGTGGGTTTGGTATATTTTGAATGCTCAATGAATGTTAAATGTCATTTTTGGTGCTTTTATATTGTGTTCTCATAAAATGAGAATTTTCTAGAAAAAGAGAAATAACCAATGAAAAGACAGCAGGATCACCACAACTAGTTGGTTTCTACCTACCTCCTGTGTTTCTTTTTTATATTATTATTATTTTGATTTTACTTTAAGTTCTGGGATACATGTGCAGAACGTGCAGGTTTGTTACATTGGTATACACGTGCCATGGTGGTTTGCTGCACCCATCAACCCGTCATCTACATTAGGTATTTCTCCTAATGCTATCCCTCCCCTAGTCCCCCACCCTTCCACAGGCCCTGGTGTGTGATATTCCCTTCCTTGCATTAGGAGGGATACCTATTAGCGTTAGGAGAAATACCTAATGTTGATGACGGGTTGATGGGTGCAGCAAACCACCATGGGACATGTATGCCTATGTAACAAACCTGCATGTCCTGCACATATATTCCAGAACTTAAAGTATAAAAAAGAAAGTTTAATTTAATAATAAATTTTATGTAAAAGAACATATTCACAATACAATTTTAACATGTAATACATATATAAATACTAGTGATAGATTTTACATTCTTTTCTTGTAATAAGTACATAATATCTGGTGTATATTTTAAACTTGCAATGCATTCAGTTCAGACTACCTTTATTTCACGTGTCCAATAGCCACTAGCTAATGATTCTTATATTGGATAGAGCATCTTAGAGAATAAATAAATGGCAAAGGTTTTCTTTATTCAAAAGGACTTCATGTACTGATATTACAACAATATTTCTGTGGTCTGCTCACAATCATGTTTATGTTGCCTTATTAATCTTATATACTAGAATATACTATTTAATAGTAGTATATGATTGCATATTCCAGCTTGGTTTATGTCTTCATCATATATTTATTTGTTTTTGCAACTAAAACTTGAATATAACTGCCTGGAAAATCAAGCACAAACTGCAACATTTTGCAGTAGTTCAATAGTCATAATCAGTAACATTCATCAAAAAGAAAAAGATATGCTCTTGAACATTTTTTGAGTTCTCCTAAAAGACATATAAAAGTAAGCAAGGTCTGCAACTGAAATAAGAATTTATGAATAATCATTCATTTCAGAAATAAACTGTTTAACTACTTTTTAGAAGGAATTTCAGGACAAGGGAATAATGCATTTGAGGTCTCCTAACATTTAGAAAATGTAATCATTTTGCCTATACAAATAAAACAAATGGCTAAAGCCAAATAGTATTCTGTACTGAATTTTATTTTCTTTGGTCTTCTTTACTTTATCTATCATTATCTTACTCATCTCTTGACATATTGGCCTGGTAGTCAAAAAATCTAACCACTTCCTCCCACCTCCATGTCTACCATCCTTTTCTGAGCCACCATCATTTTCTGTCTGGAGTACTGAAATAGCCCCTTGAACACTCCCTCCTTCTATCTGTGATTCTCTACCATCTATTCTGAACATAACATCCAAAAAAACACTCTTTAAAATATGTCAGATTATGTAATTTCTCTGCTAGGACTCATCAATAGCTTTCACATTCTCTCCGAGAGTAAACAACAGCCCACCAAGCTGTCCATGCCCCAGCCCCTCCATTACCTGAGACTTCAGCTCCTGCAATTTCTCCCAACTGTCACCATCCTCCAATCACACAAGTCTCATTGGTGTTTTTGAACAAATCTACAAACTCCATCTTTGGATTGTATGTTCTAGCTATTCCCCCTTCCTGGAATGCTCTTTCTCTAATATCTACATGGCTATTTCTCAACTTCCTCAATTTTTTCCTTACTTTCACATTTTCAGTGAAGTCTGCCTTGACCACCATTTTTTTAATTGCAAACTGACTCTATCCTTTCACCCAACGCACATTCCTAATCCCACTTTCCTCCCTTTGTCTACCTCTATCTCTCTGTCTCTGGCTCTCTCTTTTATAACACTTGTCATCTCACATGCTATATAATTTACTAGTTGATTATATCAATTTTATTTTCTGCTTCAGTACATTAGAATGTAAACTCCACCAGGGTAGGGATATTTGTTTTCTTTTAATATCCCCTGCAAGTTAATGGATGAGTTTTTATTTTTGTGCTTCCATATGGTAGAATATTAAATTTTAGCCTTTATTCCTCACACTTCATCTTCCTTTATCCTGCTTTATACTTACTGTGTATCACTTATATATTGTTTATCACCCTTTAAGAGGCTGTTTACTCTAGTTAGCCATTTTGTTTAATGTTCCTGCTCTCAGCTGAATACATGTTCCCTGGCAGCTTTATTCCGAAAAAAAAAAAAAAAAAAAAGGAATTTGTCTGCTTTGTTCACTGCCGCATCTCCATACCTAACAAAATGTAGAGGTGCCATGGTAGATATTCAATGTATACTCGTTGAATGTATAAATGAGTTCGAGGCTAGCAATTTCATACTTCAGTGAGGTAACTGGTGCATTTGAACTGCTGATTAATATCAAGCAACTTTCACTTCCGTGTGAAATCCAGAAGATGTGCACTTCATGGTCCATTCTATGTCATTCATTATATTCTTACCAATGAGTACTTGACCTTTCACCATAACTGTACATACATACACTCGGCAATGAACATTAAGGAAAAAATAACTCAATTTGTCATCTTTGATTAATAAATTGAGGATGTTTTTATTAAGGCATAATTCATCAGGTGATGTGGAACCAGAGTCACTTCTAAATTATTGAGATAGTCTGTAAAGTAGAAGAAATACAAACAGGATAGGGTAAGGATTAACAAGAGATAATGTATCATGCATACACAGAAATAATCATTTTTTTAAAAAAATATTAAGATAAACCTCTTGGGTTATGGCTTATCAATGCTAACCACATTATTCAGTTAGTTAGATATCTAACTAGCAATAATTCATGTGTATTTAAAGCCAAAGCTTTTCTGCAAGGTTGAGGGTGCAGCATGTATGGGTGCTAGTAAGGAGAAACAGGCTGCTCCAGCATGGACATTCTTAGAGGACACTGTATTTTTTTATGGCTATTTAAACCATTTTACAGTAATAGCAACAGATGTGAATAAATAAACCTGAAATCATTGTGTGGAGTTTCATTTGGTACTTTTGCTTCAAGCTAGTTGTTTTGGTTTTTTTCTATATTTATTTATAGCTGGAAAGCTCCTTCTTATACATTACAAACTGGATGGGATGTTATTATTAGATGTTTGACTGCCGTATTTTAGATGTCAATAATCACACTCTATGTGTTGGTTAATTAGAAGATTAAGAGGATATAGGTTTTGCGAAAACTTCAAGGTGCTTTCAAAATTAAATGTGGACAATATTTAATTTGTTACTAAGTACATCATTTTGAAAACATTCTCCAAAAATAAATATCCTGAAATCAATTATATGTTACCCAAGAAATCTCTGTTTTCTTCACCATGGACTCTTTCATGCAAAGCCTGGATTTAGACACAAAGAATACTATAAAGCTCATTATCTATTAAATATAATTCGAAAATTTCAAATTCTTAATTCTAAAGTTTAAATATTGGTTGAAAAACAATGAGTGTTTGGTTGAATATTTAGATTATTACTTTTTTTCCAGTTCACATTTGACATAGACTCAAAGTAACCCAGATTAATAGACAGAAAATTTGGGGCTTTAGGGCTGGAGGAATTAAATACAGTGAATGTGAGTGACCAGTGTGGCTTCCTGTAAATGAAGGTATTACAATGTCAATATTATTGATCAATTGATTTGCCATTGCATAAAATTATCATCTGTGTGCTTTGAAATATGTGTGCTCCAAACGTATTGTACAAGTTTGAATACAATATAAAAATGAAAAGCGGTATCAGCTGTTTACATCTTTTACCCATTACTTAGTTGCTGCAGATGGCTTAGAGACCATAAAACATACAGGAGTAAACCATGCCAAAAAGGAATCTAAAAAGTATACACTAAAATATAACCAAAGCAAAATAATGTAGATTCTAAAACAGGAAAAATGATTATTAGTGTTCTATTATTATTACTATTAATTTTATATTAATTAGGAGAAGCATTTAGAAGAATCTCTTTTGGTTGTGATTTTTTTGTAATTTTGTTTGTCTTTGCTTAAATTAGTCATTAAGTCATTAGAGCTTGTCAATAAAAGAAAATGTAATTTTTTTGAAGTTGAAATTTTACACATGCTGAATTTCACAGCAAGATCCCACACTTAGTACATAAAATCCTAATATTAGAGTATACACTAATAATTTGTTTAAACTTTTATATATATTAATCACTGTTTTGTTTGGAAGTTTTTTATAGATAATTACAGACATGCCTCAAAGATATTGTGGGTTCAGTTCCAGAACACCATAATAAAGCAAATATTGCAATAAAGTGAATCACATTTTTTTGGTTTCCCAGGGCATATAAAAGTTATGTTTACACTATATTGTAGTCTGTTAAGTGTCAAATAGCATTATATCTTTAAAAATGCACATAACCTAATGTAAAAATATCCGATTGTTTAAAAATGCTAGCAATCATACGGGCCTTCAGTGAAGCATAATCTTTTTGCTAGTGGAAGCTCTTGCCTCAATGTAGATGACTGCTGGCTGATCAGGGTGTTGGTTGTTGAAGGTTTTTGAGGTAGTAATTTCTTAAAATAAGCTAACAATGAAGTTTGCCATATCAATTGATTCTTTGTATTACAAAAGATTACTTCTTGACCCATGGGCTACAGAATGGGTATGTATTAGTAGGCATGAAAACAATACTTATCTTCATGTTCATCAGAGCTTCATGTTCATCAGAGCTTCATTCATTTCCATTAGAGCTCCTGAGATATCATGCATTGCCAGTAAGCAGTAGTGTTTTGAAAGGAATCATTGTTCTGAGCAGTGGGTCTCAACAGTAAGCTTAAAGTGTTCAGTAAGCCATGCTGTAGACAGATATGCTGTCATCCAGGGTTTGCTTAGCTATTTATAGAGCACTGCAGAGAAGATTTGGCATAATTCTTTAAGGCCCCAGGATTTTCAGAATGGTAAGTGAGCATTAGCTTCAACTTAAAGTCACCAGCTGCATTCCCCCATAACAGGAGAATTAGATTGTATTTTGAAGCTTCAAAGCCAAGCATTGACATCTCCTCCCTAGCTATGAAAGTCCCAGATGACATTTACTTCCAATAAATAGCTGTTTCATCTACACTGAAAATCTTTTGTTTGGTGTAGTCACCTTCATCAATTATCTTTGCTAGATCTTCTGGATAACTTGTGGCTTCTACATGGGCATTTGCTACTTTACCTTGAACTTTTATGTTACAGGGAAAGCTTATTTTCTTGAATCTCAAGAACCAATTTCTGCTAGCTTTCAACTTTTTTTTTTGCAGCTTCCTCACCTCTCTAAACCTTCAGAGAATTGAAGAGCGTTAGGTCCTTGCTCTGGATTAGGCTTTGTCTTAAGGGAATGTTGTGGTTGATTTGATCTTCTGTCCAGACCACTAAAACTTTCTCCAGATCACCAATAAGACTGTTTTGCTCTCTTGTCATTTGTGTGCTCACTGAAGTAGCACTTTTAATTTCCTTCTAAAACTTTTATTTTGCTTTCACAGCTTGGCTAACTTTGGCAAAAGAGGCTTAGCTTTCTGCCTGTCTCAGTCTTCAACATGCCTCCCTCAGCTTAATCTTTTCTAGCTTTTGATGTAAAGCGAAAGATACGTGATTATTCCTTCCAGTTGAACATTTAGAGTCCATCGTAAGCTTATTAATTGGCCTAATTTCAATGTTGTGTCTCAGGAAATAGGGAGGTCCTAGGAAAGGAAGAGAGACAGAGAAGGGCCAGTAAGAAGAGGAGTGAGAATGTACCCAATGCTTATTAAGATCTCCATCCTATATGGAAGTGGTTTGTGGCACCCCGAAATAGTAACATCAACAATCTCCAATCACAGATCACCATGAAAGATGTAATCATAATATTAAAAGTTTGAAATATTGCTAGAATTACCAAAATATGACACAGAGACAAGAAGTGAGCATATGCTATTGAAAAAATGGCACCAGTAGTGTTGCCACAAATTTTCAGTTAGTAAAAAACACAGTATCTGAGAAGTGCAATGAAGTGAAGCAAAATAATACAAAGTTGGTGCACATACGAAAAAGCCTGTAAAGATTGTAACAAAACATTGGTTTTATTTTTTGACTTAGCATCACAGAAAACTAATAAGCAGCAGAATAATACTTAACCTTAGCTTGTTTTATTCTCATTTTTTTTAAAGAATAGTTTTTAAAAGACAGGTTATTTGCCTAAATGTATCATTGATTTTCTCTTTTGTTCCCTAGTCACTAGAACTATTAAATAGCTGCTTTATGATAAATGTGATTATGACGATGATACTCATCATTAGTAGTAGTAATACTTTACATTCTACAAATTATGTAGAAGTTATAATATCATGTATTGTGAGTATCTTTCAGGAAGACTTTGAAGAATTTTGAGGGACAGCATATTGCTATACAGCCTTAAGTATATTAGAATATACTATATCTTTGGTTTAGATAAGAAGCTTTAACCACAGTTAGATTGTAGTTAATTATTCAGTGGCTGCTTATCTCTTTTATGGATAATCCAAGTCCTTTGCTTTTCCTGTCATTAATGTAAAGCTCATTAGTTCCTTTTCATAGAGTAGACGAGGAGATAAAGCTCAAAGTAGCCTTGGAGGCATTTTGGTATAGAAGGGAGTCAAAATTGTTAACCAGGAGGAAGATCTTGGGACAAGATTAGTCAATCACACATTAGAGGCAATTTAGGTAGTTATTTGATAGGGTAAATCAAAGAAAACTTGAACAAATATAATTCCAGTGATCCAATATATTGGTTTTCTATTGCTGCCTTGACAAATTATCAGCAACATAGTAACTTAAACAACGTAAACCTATTTTGCTGTAATTCTGCAGAAGTCTGACATAGGTGCTGCTCTGCTAAAATCAAGGTATACTTTCCTTTCTGGAGCCGGTAAAAAAGACTTCATTTTCTTGCCTTTTCCAGTTGCTAAATTAAATAGTCCCCACATTCCTTGGATACTAACCTCCTTCCTCCATCTTCAATGTCAGTAATGTAGAATCTCTGTGATCCTTCTTCTATTATCACATCGCTCCCTCTCTGAACACAGGTGGGAAGAGTTCTCCACTGTTAAGAACTTGTGTGCTAAAATTGGCTCACCCAGATAACCTGAGATAATATCTTTATCTCAAGACTTGTATTATTAATTGCATTTGCAAATTCCCTTTTGCCAAGTGAGATAACATACTCATGGGTTATGGATTACTAAGGCATGAATATATTTAAGAGGTCTTTATTCTGCCTACCAGACTCAGTAGATCCCAAATTTTCACATTGCTCTTCTTTTTATTTTCTAGGTAAAACATTAAATAATCCTACCAAAATATATGTGTAACCCAAGAGTAATAGTTCTCGTGTATCATTTTAAAGATACAAATAGCATCACACATAATTCTCACACAGGTTTATAAATTAGGCATTATTATTATCACCACTTTAAAGATTGAGAGAGGGAGAATAATCACTTGAATCAAGTAACACAGATTGGACTGAACACAGTGGCATAACCAATGTTCTACTCCAAGTTTTCCTGGCTGTAGATTCTACTCTTGACCCTCTTCAAGTTTATAAGTAATTCTGAGAAATTTACACCTGGACTCAAATAGCTTTAGTAGATGAAGGCTGTTAAACAGAAGGAGGAAAGAGCCCTAAAGCAATAGTTCTCAAATATTAGAGGGTATCAAAAGCACGTGGGAGGTCCTGATAGAATGGAGATTGCTGAGTCCCACTTTAAGAGTTTCTGATTCAGCAGATCTTAGTAGAGCCTGAGAATCTGCATTGCAGCAGCCTGATGCTGAGGTTGCTGGAGTACGCTCTAAGAACCACCAATATAGTGAATGAAAAGCCTGAGTTAGGGTAGGGATCTGCCTCAAATGTTTCTGGCAGAAAGTAAACCTGAAGGAAGGGATTGAAAGAAAGAACTAAAAAATCAGATAGGGGGAGAAAGAAAGGAAAGAAGAGAGAAAAGGAAGAAAAGGAAGGAAGGGAGGAAGGAAGGAAGGAGAAAAGAAAAAAGAAGGAAAGAGAAAGAAAAAAAGAGAGGGAGAGAGGAAGGAAGGGAAGAAAGAAGGAAGGAAGGAAGGAAAGGAAGGAAGGAAGGAAGGAAATCATAAAATGTTATAGAGTAGAGAGTATGGAAGAAAGAAAACTAATAAACCTGCATAATCCCTATGAAGTAGAGCAAACTTGACCAAGGCCATTAGTTTAATTAGTGGCGGAGCTGGGACTAAAATCCAAGTTGTCACAGATATGGAAAGATCATTGAAGATAATCATCTGGTTTTAGCCTTTCCTGCGTCTGACACTGTAAATGGATTTAGTCATCTAAACGGTCTCCATTTTCATGTCAGCCAATAAGTGAAAGGGTGGCATCCTAGGTCTGTTTGACCAATTGCTTTGAAAAAAGTTCTGGAACACTTGAGGGTATAAAATAAAGAATACAATCTGGTGTTGTCCCAAATAGAAGGTAAAATGTTTTTTTGAATCCATCATTTTATTAATTTGGGCTGTGTATAAAATACATGCTATTTGAACATCAGGAGGTTTTTGCTAATTTTTTTCCTCCCATATAACATCATTTTGGAACAAGGTCTTTGTGTGCTGTTTCTCATGTTTCTAAAACTCCCTGGCAAGGCATGTGCTAACAGCCTGGCTCCGCTGAGCATCTGGCTGGCACTAAGGCAATCCAGAGAGAGACAGAAGGACCTGCTCTTCATCATCTTTTCAGAAGGATTTAAACTCCATGATGTTTGGCAGGAAGTAATATCTTTGCTTCATCATTTTCTAACATTGGCATTCCTTTTGAAAACCTATTTATTGAGGTTTCTGAAATGCCTTCTCTCACACTAAGTATGGTCGTCTAACCTTAAGATAATCAAAAGAACCTGTGAAACATGTGGAGTCAAATGTATGACATGCCTTAAAATTGAGGCGAAGAGGGAAAGTGAGATGAGGCAGATGTAAGAGCTACAGCTTATGCACTGCATTTCTAGATGTCAGCAATGTTGAAATATGAAGCTTAAAGCAAATGCAGATCAGCAAAGGCTTGGAATAGAAATAACACTCTATTTCCTGGGATGATTCAGTCAAAGAGGCTATTTATTGCATACATAGTTTCAACATCACGTGCCCATTTCCTTCTATGATTGTTCATACATAAATATATTTTACTGGCCCTAAAATTAGCTTGACATTCCCTCAGAATAGGGGGGCAAGTTCACTGAAAAGCCTGCAGTGTCAAGATCTAAACATGCTAATATTATCCTGGTAACAATTGATGTCTTAACATGAGGTCACCAAAGTATGATATGTGGTCCTCGATTCTTGATTTGAGTCAGAGTTTAAGTGTCACACAACTCTCCAGGGCAAAGCTTCATTGAAACGGATGAATGTGTTGATAATGTCTTTCAACAACATGGAGAGGTAAGCACAGCATAATTAGCTCAACCACTGGAAGTCTTCCATTTTGTTTCTGTGGCAGAAATCTGCCCAGGAATTTTATGGGTTCTGTCTGTTATGGTATGTGTGGGATTTACCCAGGACTCAACTTCAGTTTCATGACCTTGGGTAAGAATTTAAGTTGATTCAGAGCTCATTGACCGGGAGGCGAAGCTACTCAGATAGAATAAGTAAAAAATCATGCCATGGCCTATAGGTGTTTCTAGGCTGATGTCTAAAAGATTTCCTGTATATCAAGCCCTCACTGCAGAATCCAATTACCTGTTCTCAGTAAAATTGAAAAGCACTCTTCATTTGCTTAGCTATTTCTGCTTTTCTCCTTTTCTGCCAGTCATGTGGTCTCCTTACATTCAGCAATCTACTTAAGAAATTGTACTGGAAGGCTGTGCAACAAATCTAACCTATCCTCTCGCCTCTCCCCACAACCTACTTTAAGGCAGTTTCTCTCCCTCTTCATGTTCCAACAGTTTATCGTTGCAAACAACAGCATACCCAAATGGCTCCTTGCTGCCCTTTAGCTTCATAAATAAGCAATGGGTATAACAAACAGATTTTGCATTCCATCTGCAAGCTCTTCTCTGAGAACCCATAGCGTTTTAAAACTTCATTCTGAACCCAGGAAATAAATGTAATGAGAAAGACACAAAATTAAGAGTTACCCAGGTAAAAATAAATTGTAAATAAAGTTCATTTATATTAGCTATGATCTCAGGAGAGCTGTTTATAGAGTATGAAACAGAACAACTCCATCAATGCAGTGCTCTGAGATCACAAAAAAAGTATATTTTATATAAGATTTACTAAGAACTCCTGAGGTTGGCAGTAGTTTCTTCTTCTTATTATTATTATCATCATCATCATCATTATCATCATGTTTTTCTAATTTAAATCATTTAAGGTAGTCTAAGTTACCATTTAAGATTTAAGTGTAGAATAGCTAACATTTCTAAAGAACTTAGGAGCTTCCAAACATATGTTTGTGCACCATCAAATGTGTTTTTTGAAATAACTTTGTGAGTTAGCATTATTATATTTCACTTTTCAGATGAGGAATCTGAGGTACAGAAAGTGATGTGGCTTGCCTAGGATCAGACAATTGGTGACAGAACTGCCCTAAATCAAATGTTTATTTCACTACAATAGCAGTTCCAAATCCTGCCTCCAAAGCTTCTGATTATAAGCCCCGGGGAGTTTTAGAAAAAAATAATGTGTAGGCCGCAACCCAGAAAAATTAAATCAGAATCTCTAGGGGTGTGACACAAGGAATAGTATATTCTAGAAACTCTCTGGAAGATACTTACGAGCAGCCAAGGGTGAAACCTACAGCACCAATCTGAATGGCTTCCTTTATCATAGCTCATATTGGAGCATAGATTATCTAATTAACTCTACATCTTGTGTCATAGGCAAGCAAGCTAAAAGCAAAACAACTGGCACACCATTCTTTACCTCCTATTTTCCTTCAGAAAGTGTATTAGGGTATTTTTTCAGGAGAGAGGATATGATGAAAACATGGAGATGTGTAATGCTAATAACTAAAATAACCCTTGATACAATGGGAACACCATACAAGGCAAGCCAAGAGAAGATTCTAACTAGTGGACTCCATTGGGTATCCTACTTTCACAATTCCCATCACCTGTACACCATTCTCCTCTCTTTTCATTGAATCAGTCATTGACTTTGCCACTTTGGGCACGTACTCAAGGGAGATAACTCAGACTGCATGAAGTGACTAGTGGGAAGACATCCCTCGCCAAATTTACACCATTCACTTTTTTCTCTAAGTCAGTTTCTAATGAACTGTGAACTTCTCTTTCAAAATGGCCCTGACCTTTATTTTATTGTTCGTTTTAAATGCTTCTACAGTTCCTAATATAATCAGCTTTCCTCCCCTGAAACTGAGTCTTCAGGCTTATTTTCTAAAATAGAAGATAGCCTGATCTGATACAGACTTGTTCAGCATGACACTGGATTATAAAACAAGATGTGGGAAAAGATGGAATTTTGTAAATTCCATTATCCCCTCTTTAGCTGATGGAGGGCTATACTTGGTAGGTAGAGTAGCAAAAAGTTTTATGTAAGGTGATCAGGCAGGAAGAGGAAGTTTGAGAAAGGCTCCTCTCATGGCATTAGAGAGAAGGCAGATAAAAAGAGGCAAAAGAAGAGAGACCTAAAATTATTTTCCTGTATCCCTGCTAATATCCAGGACTTGGATAGATTGTGATACAGTGAAAGGAACCACAATTGTGCCTCTACTGGTTGGAGTTTTTGAAGGAGAATCCTGTGTATTAATTCATTAATTCATTCATGCAACAAATATTTGCTGAGTGACTACTCTGTGATAATTGATGTTCTAGATGACAGAGATAAAAGCAGGGAACAAAATAAACAGAAATCTTTGCAACATGGCAGCTCAGCAGAGGCTGGTGAGGCATTCTTCACCCTCTCTCAGTTCCTAGGTAGGAGGTCAAAGAGAGGAGCTTTGTTAGGGGGTTGACTTAAATCTGAAATACACATCTGTTGGATTACCCAAGCAGAGACTGAGTTATTCAGAGTCTAAAATATTAGATTGGTCTGAGGTTACTGACCTAAATTAATAGAAAAATTTTAATGCCCTTCCCCCAAAGGCAGACAATGTTCTAAAGTATATCAGATCAGTTACTTACAAAACAAACAAGCAAACAAAACTGTGTTTCTCTGCACACGTACTAGTAATTTTGCAACTCTTTACATTCAGGAACCAGAGAATATAGTGAAACAATGCAATACCTGGGTAAAGGAATTGTATCAGAGTGTTGTTGTAGCCCATTGTCAGCGCTGGTAAATTTAGGAGGACTCAGTGAAGATTATCAAGAAATGGATGGTTCGGAGAAACAATACATTGCTGATGTTTATATTGATATATTTCCTAATAACCCTTTAGGTTAAGAACCAGATCTCTATCCCTAGTCACAAAGATTAACTTCTTAGGAAAAAGAGCAGAATAGATATGCTACTTTGGCCATTGAAATTAGGAACTGCCATGCTCCAAGGAGTTTGTGTGTATCTATGTATATTACAATTCTTTGAAACAGCTGTTTCAATGCTACAGATTTTGAAAAACTCTCGTGATTAAGTGAAACACTATAATAAAGCATGGAAAACAAATATTTAGGTCCTCTGCCTAAGCATCCTTAGACACATCCCAGATTTCAATCTTGATTATATATCCATTTAGTATTTGACACCATCTAACTTCTTTTTCTTTCACTGAAATAGCCATCTTATTTTTCTGCACTGTCTCTAAATATATCATCTATAATTGTGTGATTAAAGGGTTATATAGATGATCTCAAATCTAAAAGCTTTGGCAGAGTATAATCACTTCTGAGAAGATTCTGACATGGCAAGAAGACCATTTTTAGACTTTGTTTTTGCCCATTTAGTGTCAGTTACATATCTCCAGTGCTTGGCATGTTTCCTAAGTATAGATACATGCAATAAGATACTCAGTGGCATCCAATCACAGCTACTTAATTCTCTACTTACATATTCAGGAAAGAGCCTGAAGTGTGAGGCAATGGGTACAGGCATGCAGTTCAGTAGTAATGATGATGAAAGTAAGCAATTTTCCTCCAAGGAAAGGTCATCATTCCTTGGTTCATTAATTGGTTAAAGACCTTGGATCAGCATAAAATGCCTTCAGCTGGTAATTAGCATGCAAATAAGCACTGACCCACAGTCCCAGGATTTAAAAGAAATGAGGCTAGACTTAAAAGGAATGCTAGAGGCAAGGATATTTTAATAAAAATAAAAAATAATTCCCTAAGCATCAGTAATATTTGCTTTATGATGTTTTCCTTTTTAATCCTGTGGACCCCACCTTGTGAATTGATTCTATTATTAAGATCCACCATTGAAGGCATTGCAGTGAAATATTTAAGAAATAACAGAAGAGAACAAGTTGCTTCTGGGAAAGACCTGTGGGTTTTCTATTAGGAAATTTTTGAAACAGTTAGTTGTGGTGCACAAAGCTACGACTTTACACAACAGTATATTTTACAAAGGCTGTAAAGTCATTGCAGGGATTAATAAATCCAAAACCTCAATATCAACTCCACATCTCAAAACCAGTTACCAGCATTGTATGTTTCAGGATAGTCTAGACTATCAGACTGTAACAAATTAACTCCAGAATTTCAGTGACAACACAACCATAGTGGATTTCTTACCCAAGCTATATTTCTAATGCAGGTGGGCAGGGGCCACTTCACATTGTGCCACAGGGACCCAGGCTGATGGAGGCTCTGCCAACTTGTAACTGCACCATCTGGAACATATGCCCTTCTGTGGCAGAGAGAGAGAAAAGCTGGAGCATTGCCACCAGCTCTTGAATGCTTTGCAGTAAGACTCGTTACCTCTGCTCTGAGCCTATTGGCCTCAGCCCTAGTCATCTGGTCCTACCTACCCGGAAAGAGGCTGAGAAATGTGGTGAAGCATACGATGAACACTAAGGGAGTGCTGGGAAGGATTTTACCCAAACCTTCATGTCCTGCTTTGCTACAACAAATTTAGTCAAGTTTAGGTTCCCCAACATGCTTTTATAGAACAAGAATCAGAAGAAAATATGGACACTTTCACAAGAGTGATGTAACAAAAATTATTGGAGATGGGTTAATTTACTAACCATTTTCATATGGCATTTAAAATGTAGTCTCCATTGAAGTCTACCAAAGTGCTCCTAGTTTTAAATTTTAAAAATTGTTTATCTAGATTAATACTTCTTAATCTTTGTTTCTCGTAATAATCCTTTTTAAGCATTTGTTTTCCTAAATGAACTTCTCATGAAATATTAATACCACAGATATACTAGATATCTATTGATGTACTGTATGTATATCTGAGCTTTATACATTCAAAAGAGTAAGATTCTTTTGTCTCCCACAAGAACCAATTTCATTCCCTTAGAGGTGATATCCCTCCATTCCTATCCCCCATGACTTTGAATGCATGACTTAAATTTAGCAGAATAAAAAAATAGAAACCTGACCTATAGTCTAGAATTTATGTAGCTGATTTCATGTACTTTGGATAGTCGTATTTTTACAGCAATTATTTTTTCTCATAAGTCGTTAGGAGTCATGTGCCTCAAACTTCATTTTTCATGTTCCTCCCCCATTACTGTGAAGGCAGTGTAACTTAGTGATTCAGAGCACAGGTTCTGAAGTCAAATAGCATATTTTCAAGTCCTATCACTCTTACTGAGGAAGATTTTTTATCTTAGACAAGTTATTTAGACCCTCTAGGTCTCAGTGTTATTTTTTTCTTTTTTAATATATAAATGAGACCTTACAGAACCAATGTTAGAGAATTGTTTGAGGACAGAGATGTCAATGTTTTTGTATATTGCCTAGAATGTAGTTTGTGGCAAATATTCTTATCATTGTTGATGCTTATGGTTATGTTAGCCTATTTCATAGTCTCCAAATCCCAGAATTTCTTAGTGGGAAGGCAAGAAACTGAAGCAAAAACTTTTCCGTTATGAGCTTTACTCCTGTGTCACCATAGGCCTTAATCCTAATTTTCCAGCAGTAGCATTGTCTTCCTGACTTCCAGATCCCAGGCCACCTAGGCCTGCCAGTATTAAGATTCTGAACAAGGGACCACAATAATCCCTTTGATTTGGAAAGGGCCTAAATCTGTGTGGAAGATCAAATGTGTGTGTGTGTGTGTGTGTGTGTGCGCGCGCGCGCGCGCGTGCACGTGCGTGTGTACATGATGTTTTATTTTACATACATGTTTTTATATGTGTGTTGATCTATATGTGTATACATACATAAAAACATTCATACATACACACACACACACACACACACACACACACATATATATGGACACAAATACCTTAAAAGTATTAAGCCTAAAGGTTTGGACACTGACACAGATTTTAATGAGACAGCCTCCCAGCAGAAGCAACCTGTGAGGGAGAAATGACTTATAGCCTCTGCTGTGATTTATCTAAATCCGTTGACAAGACCCATCTGTGGGGGAGAGTGGAAGGAACACTAACTGGGCTTGGAGTACAAAATTCTGAAGCCAAATTTTAGGAGCATAATTTAGTAGCCAGGTAAACTTGCTTAAATCACTTAATCTCATTGAGCTTTGGTTTGGAGATTATAATGACTATCTTTTTGAAGGATTCTGTTGGGCTCATGACAATACTGGTGTATTGATAAGGATAGTTGGTAGAAACTAAGGCTTTATGTGAATTTGAAAGAGGACTATTATATTTACTAAGTTTTACCCATATTTTAAACTGTGAATTTTTGTTACTACTGTGGGATGGGGGGGATAATTTTCTGATTTCTAATTTTTTTCCTATCTATAAATTTATCTCATTATGACCCTGTTCAATTAGACCTTGTTATTGAATTATAAAATAAATATTTACCCAAAAGGCTGATATTAATTTTAAAGCTGTCTGAGATTTCAAAAAAAAAAAACCCACTAAATCTGCCTTTCACCCCGCTAATAATCTTTCAAATATCTTCAAGGTTAGATGGCTTTGAATGGCCAGAAACCTACATCTGCACTTCCTTTTCCTTTCCTTCTTAGCTAATGGAGTAAAAAATCTGTTTAAAAAACAAACAGACCGAAACCTATCTCTGTACCTTAGATGCATTTCCAGTTGTCTCTGTAAGTCAGTCTACAGAAAGGGATATAAACTGAGGATTGTTAAAATCATCAGGGACATCTGCACGACTACTTTGGACAGACATTAAAGATCATAAAATGTCAGGAATTCATTTTCACGAGGTAGAATTAGAAATGTCCCAGGACAAGGGGCAAAAGTGGCACATGGTTAGCAATGCACCTGAGAAGTTTCTTTCTGTACCTTCTTGTACCATCCTCCTCACTTCAACATGCAGGTAAATGCGAGGACATGGATTAAAGAGACCTGAGAGATTATCATAATTTGGGATCTTAGAAAAATCTCTCAGAAATGGATATAACAAGAAATATTGGTCACTCCCATGAATGTGTGTCATCCTACCAGAAAAATAATAAGCCCCTAAGTTGTGCCAAATAGTCACCTTAAGGTTCAGGTGACAGGTCTCTGTTTAGTTGACAGAAGTACACTAGATTTCCTCTCCTCTACTACATAGCGCATTCTTTTCTGTATTAGCAGAGAAATTTGAGCTACTTTGCATGAATATTGAACAATGAAAGCAACTCGGCATATCACCGGTGTTTTTTTAAACATGCAATGTTTTTAAAATATGCAATGTCAAGCTTTACAAATTAGCATCTTATTTTATTTTATTGATGGCCTGTAAGCTGACTGTGGTACCTGCTCTTGCTCTGGCATCTCTTTCTCCTGCCAGTCTCTTACCTTTTCCATACCAGTCTATTTATTGGAGCAGAGACCAGGGCATGGGTTAATTATGATTCCCCATAGTGTTTATTTCACTCAGTAAGAACTCTGTGAAAGATCTAGAGTAGCAATGGTGCAGAGTGGCAGAAAATTGGTGCATTGGACATTGAGCACAGATGCATTTAATAATTTACACAGAATTAATAAGACACTGGGTTATTTTTAAGACTGACGATCAAGTGACTATTACAGACACACTCTACAAAATTGATACTTTGCTGGGAGACAAACCAAGTTTAGTAATGTAATTAAATAGAAATTAAATTGGGGAAAATGCATAATCATATTCTTATTAATATGTTAACTTTGTAAAGATTATTTGCTTATTGCAGGAATTGAGCAAGATAACTGAGGCAAGTTAATTAGTTTTCAAGTGAATTGCCACCATGTTAATTCATATTTTATAAGAATAGTAATTAAAATCCAACATGTTATAGCTACAGTATGGTATTTTATTATATCCTATACTAACATTTCAGTATAAGTCATTTTAGAACATCAGCTTAATGGATTAGTAAAAGTATAATAGTGTAACTGGGCATTTATTGTTAATAGAATCCAGATTATGAAGTGAATTTTTATTATTCTTAAAGTCATTCACAGCACAATTTTAATGATACAATACTTACATTCTATCTGGCACTCTTGTACGCGCTTTGTTCTGCAAGTGACTTTTTATAGTATATTTACATCCATTTATTTAACCTTATTTTATTTATATAAAATATAATTTCCATGGTCTCTGGATTTGAATATCAAGAAGCAGTGGGCAGGTTAATATGCCACAAGATGTATGGGCTGGGATTTCATTTGGTCAGATCACCATACCAGTTTGTCAAACATTTCTAAGTTTAAACAAGGGTAAGGATGTAATGGGCAATTCTGCTTCCTTCACAGAAGAATAATTATAAAAAGGATGATGAGATAAAGGCCTATTAAAATATGTAGAATCTAATCTTCCCATGAGCAGGTTAAATGCCCTCTTGGTCATCTGCCATTTAGAGAAGAGAAACCTTATTGCTCTGGTGACTTGGAGTCTAGCAAGTTTCCAGTAGTTGGTGTAGCCAGTGTTTTCATTGAAAAATGTGGCATAGAAGCTAGGGAAAAATAATATCAATAGGTTGTTAATCAGATCAGCTTGAGATAGCAACTGCCTTGCTGGGAAGCCTCTGAGGAAAGTTCCTATTCTGTTGGTTGAGAAGAACTTTCTCTCCTTTTTCCTCAGTGCTTGAGATTATTGAAGAAACGTTTAATTGGCCAAAGGAAGGATTTCAATCATGTTTCCAGTAACGTTGATTGTGAAGAATGTATTAACATTTCAACTTTCCAAGTGAAAAAACAGAAGTGCAGATACGTATTGTGCATTTTCTAGTTATTTCTAGAGTTTCCCAGGAAGGGATAATGACTGCATTTCCCTGATGATTGCTTCACATCAACCACTCTCCATTACTGCTCTTAACACAAATTACAACTACTTATTTGCATCTTACCTCTGTGGCTTTTAAGCTCTCAGGAATACTCTACCCAAGTATAATAAGAAGCCTGTGGCTGGGCATGGTGGTTCACATCTGTAATCCCAGCACTTTGGGAGGCTGAGACAAGCAGATTGCTTGAGCTCAGGAGTTTGAGACAAGCCTGGGCAACATGGCAAAACCCCTTCTCTACAAAAAATAAAAAAATATAGCAGGGTGTGGTGGTGCATACCTGTAGTCCCAGCTACTATGGAGGCTGAGGTGGGTGGATTGCTTGAGCCTGGGAGGTTGAGGCTACACTCAGCCATAATTGTGCTCCTGCACTCCAGCTTGAGTGATAAAGCAAGACCTTGTCTCAAAAAACAAACAAACAACAAAACAAAACAAAACAAAACAGAAAAAAACACTGTGATACATGTTGTGATTTAGTACCAACATTATCCTTCAGTAATAAAGGATTTAATCTCCCAGCTACTGGAGCCTCAGCTTTTAGCCCCTTTCAGGTACTGCCTTAGATACAGAGACCCGACTTACTCAAAGTCATGTCACCTTTCTGGGATAGCCCATAGCCAATGACTAATCAAAGGTCCAAAGGCCCAGCTGTCTAACCCTCAAGTTGGAAAACTTAGACGGTGTATCTCAGCTTCACAACTTCCTGCAGGATCTCATGAATACCACTGGGACTGTGTTGCAGGTCAGTTTCTCATTTTGCCCAATCCTGCCTTATTCTTTTTCCTTCCATAGGTTGTATCTCAAGAACAGTCCCTAGCAAACTTCCTGCACACTGAACTCCATCTCAGAGTCTACTTCCTGGTAAAAACCAATTGTCCTGATTCTAGATCTCTGATTTGCCATTATTTTATGGAGAATATAGAGTTAATTCTGCACTAATGTATTTTGTATCCCCATTTTGAATACACACTTCCTGAATGGCTTAAATAAATGAAAATAACAGTTGAATTTAGATGATAGGTTTAATAAAAGAGATTGAGTTTACAGGATTTAAGATGGCCCTTGTCTTAGAGAACATGAGATAAAATGAGGGAATTTTACTCATAATAGAGATAATTAGATTCAGATCTTGAATACATTAATTAGAAATCAAGGATATGAATTTAAGTGAATGTCTGAAAAAAAGGAAGGAACATTTTTCTCTATAATCTTCAGTGTTTGATAATTAAATAAAGGTCCCAGAGGAAAGTCTATTTTTTGCCTTTGAATCTTCAATTGTTGGATAACTACTGGAGCAAAGGCATTAAATTTTCTACAGGAAAAGAGTTTTGAGCAAGGAAAGAAATTTTTCTTGCAAATGCTCCTAGTGAAGAACACTTAAGCTCATTACCCAATATACATAATAAAGCCACTCACTGAACCTCCTGAGAGCCCCTTGGCTAAACACAATTATGGACAGTGAGCATGGAGCCAAGAGGAAAACAATTTTTTTTCATATTAATAACACTTTTGGAACCATTTCAGGAAGCGTTTCCAAATATTTAAAAGAACCTTAAATAGATTTCTATAGGGAGTTTTATTTCGACATTCAGGTACTTTCTAGATAGCTCTGTAACTATGAGCTCTCTATGAGCTCTTAGCTCTCCCCAGTGAATTTGCGTACCTAATTTAACACACTATCTTTGTTTCACAAACTGTAGCCATAAAATTTTCCTGCTTTCTTTGAGTTATTTCAGTCTGAGATTTAGGACATTTCTAAGTTTTAACTTGTCATGTCTTCCCGGTACCATTAAATCATAGCATTCTCTTAATTTTCCCCTAGATAATATTTACTGAGGCTTAGAATTTCAAAGTTAGCTAGGGCTGAATGTAAATGAGAAGTCTCTCTAACAACCTACATTAAGAAAATCATTGCCCTCCCTAATCATAGAGAAGTCTCTGACTGTGATGTGGGCTTATTTGCTATTTTACTTAAATAATGGTATTAGTTATGACTTCAAACCAAAATATTACTAAATATGACCTTTGAAATAGAGACGTTCTGTTGAACAACCCAGCATGTTTCCCTCCCCTCCCTTCCTTTGTTTTCTTCTACCTTTTGCTCTCTTCTTTCCACATATATTCTTTGAATCTATTGTCATCACTGATAGGTGTCAGTAATCCAAACTTTGTATATTCATTTATTCCACAAATATTTAATAAACATATATTATATACTCAGACATATGTTAGACATTTTAAATACATGTGTTAGTCAAATGAGCATTTCTTTGCTCTAAAGCTCAATAACATAAGTGATCCCTGATCTTAAGGAGGTCACTATGGAGTAGGAGACTCAGACATGCAACAGCTAAGTATCAAATATGTTATACATATTAGTTACTACACAAAAATGAGTTTGAGAACTTCCCAGTTTGAGAGCTGCCTTTGGGATTCAGAAAACTATCAATAACAGAGAAATGCAGGCAAGGAAATAGCTTTGTGGGCTTAACACTGAAATCCTGGAACTGCACCTTTAGGGGGTGCTAAACTGTATGGTCTGCAAAGAGGAAGCATTGAGCATTGAGGCTGGAATATTAGCAAAGGGGTAGATCAGGACCTTGCATTCCTTACTGAGAAATTTAGCCGTGGGAATTATATCAAAGAAAACAAATTGACCACCAAAGATTTGGGGTCCCACCAAAGATTTCTTCCCAGCCAGGGATTACATACTCCAGTTTCTAGCAAATCTAGATGATAACTGGTGTTCACTTATTGAATGCAAGCAGCTGAATTATGTGTCATTCCCAGATCAAGGTGGTAAAAAACAATTAGTCTTCTCCATTGCTTCTTATCTCCTGTTTGAATAATGACATCCAGGGCAACCTTGGAAGACATATGTAGATGTCAGAGTCTCCAGCAACCTGAGTTACTGAATTACTGGGCATCAGAACCTCCAGCCTGGAAACCAAGAACACCTACATTAGATGAACATACAAGTGAGAAATCAACTTTTATTCTGTGATACTATTGACTTTTTTAAAAAATTTTCTTTGTTACTGCAGCTAGTGGGCTTTCTTCTGATTAACATAGCAACTATTAAAGGACTTTTTTCATATGAATATGATGTAATCAGGTGTATATTTTTGAAAAATGCTGCTATTAGTGTGGGCAGGAAGATCATGTGATTGGGAGGCTTCAATAAACCACTAGAAGGACAGGATCTGTATCAGAACTTCTATAGCAGAAAGAGAAAGGATAGCTTTGGGTGCCATTTGGATACTCCATCCTTCAGTAACTGCTCCAAGCTTAATTAGGGATAAGTCTAGATAGCCCCCAGGTTTTGAAATATGAAAGGAAAATTTTTAAAAATTAATATGAAAGTATCCAATGAATAATGAAATTTATGGTAAACACATATTAGTTTTGGAGCACCTAAAATGTAATTATCAGTGATGACTGTATTCAGGACCATCATATTAAAACATTTGAAATGAAAGATTATCTTTTAATGGGAAATCTACATTCACTGTAAAAAAGAATACCTTTGGCTTAACTCTTCTTCATAGAAAACGATTTTGTGTGTGTGTGTGTGTGGAAGCTACCCACCTCATAAAGACAGGACTGCCATGATATATTTCAGGCAAGAGTGCCTAGAGACTTATAAATGCACGAAGAGTGGAGTTTGAAGAGAGAAATTCCCTCTGCCAGGGTGCAGAATGCCAGATAATGAATCCTTATGGAGGTAACATTACAAATTGGAATCTGGAAGGAGAAAAGAACTCAGGGAAATAAGAGCCGTTATAGAATGAATGACTGTGGTAATTAAGGTTATGGGTAAAGATGGGTTTAGCTATTGCAATGCAAATAAATCAGGAGTGTGTTTCAAGCAATGAAACAGTGTGCCTCTTGGAATTTGTCAAGTTCTTGCCTTTTTTGTTTCCATATAACCTAATGCTCTAGTCAGGAAATATCTTACAATTGTAAGATATATTGAAAAAAGGTAATTGCTAAAATATGAAAAAAAGCCTTATATATACACTTAGCTTCCTTGAACTAATTTTGGATTATAGCAACAAAAAGACGTCAATCATATTTCTCAATCAGTATTTAGCGTATCATTACCAACCTTGGCAGGGATAAATGACGTTTGTAGGTGATGTTAATGAAGATGACATTTTAAATTCAGATTGGCAAAACTCAAAGCTTCTATTTGTAAAATAATGCCCTAATATGACACTAGATCTCTGAGGCAATGTTTCAATCATTAAGCCAGAATATAGTTTGGTTAAATGTTTTATGTATAAATTGATTATAATTCTGTTTCTTAAAAATCACTTTTATATAATGAAGATTTCTGTTTACTTTTTGGATTTTATGTTGTTTATTAGTTGTCTGTTTTCTGTTTGCTTTGGGGGGGTTGTTTTGTCCTTTTAAAAATGTTAAGCTGATACACTATAATTGTATGTATTTATGGGGTATATGTGATATTATGATACATGTGTACAATATGTAATAATCAAATTAGGTCAGTTACATCCATCACCTGAAACATTTATCATTTCTTTGTGTTGGGAACATACAAAACCCTCTCTTCTAGATACTTTGAAATATACAATAAATTATTGTAAACTGTGGTTACCTGCCTGTGCTGTAGAACACTGTTACTTATTATTCCTATCTAACTGTAATTTTGTACCCAATATCCATACTTCCTCCTTCCCTTCCCAACATCTGGTAACTACTATTCTAATCTCTACTTCTATGAGATCTACTTTTATAGTTCCCACATATGGGTGAGAATGTGTGATATTTGTCTTTCTGTGCCTGGCTTATATTACATGACATAATGTCCTCCAGGCTAATCCATGGTGCTGCAAAAGGCAGGATTTTATTATTTTTACGGCTGAATAATATTCCATTGTTTATATATACTACATTTTCTTAATCCATTCTTCTGACAACGGACACTTAGGTTCACTCTATTTCATAGATATTGTGAATACTATTGTGATAAACATGGCAATGCAGATAACTCTTTGATATACTGATTTCTTTTCCTTTGGATATGTACCCAGTAGTGAGATTGCTGGATCATATAGTAGTTCTATGTTTAGTTTTTTGAGAAAACTTCATACTGTTTTCCATAATGGCTGTACTAATTTACATTCCCATTAATAGCATATAAGTGTTCTGCTTTTTCACACTCTCACCAGCATTTTTGTCCTTTTGATAATAATTATTTTAACTGGTGAGATAATATCTCATTGTGGTTTTGATTTACATTTCTTTAATGATTAGTGATGTTGAGCATTTTTTCATATACTTGGCCATTTGTATGTCTTATTTTGAGAAATGTCTATTCAGATCATGTGCCTATTTTTATATGAGATTATTTGTTGTTTTGCTGTTGAGTTGCTTGAGTTCTTTATATATACTGGATGTTTATCCTTGTCAGATGGATAGCTTGCAAATATTTTCTCCCATTCTTTCAGTTGATTCTTCACTCTTTTGATTGTTTCCTTTGCTGTGCAGAAGTTTTTTAGTTTGATGTAATCCCATTTGTCTATTTTAGCTTTTCTTGTCTGTTTCTGAGTTCCTACCCAAAAATCCTTTGCCCAGACTAATGTCCTGAAACATTTTCCATATGACTTTTTTCTAATAGTTTTATTGTTTTTGGTTTTATATTTAAGTCTTTAATAAATTTTGCTTTGATTTTTGTTATCATGAAAGATAGGGGTCTCATTCAATTTTTCTGCATACGGATATCCAGTTTTTCCATTAACATTTATTGGAAGGACTGTTCTTTCCCAAATGTGTGATCTTGGCACATTTAGTGAAAATCAGTTGGCAGTAAATATGTGGATTTACTTCTGGGTTCTCTATTCTGTTTTCATGCCAATATGGTACTGTTTTTTTTTTTTTTACTACAGCTTTGTAATATATTTTGAAGCCAGATAATGTGACGCCTTCAGCTTTGTTCTCTTTGCTCAGAATTGCTTTGATTATTTGAAGTCTGCTGTGGTTTCATGCACATTTTAACTATCTTTTGTTTCTGTGAATAACGTCATTCCTGGGATTAAATTTTACTTAATCACAGTGACTAATCTTTTGGATGTACTGTTGGATTCAGTATGCTAGTATTTTGTTGAACATTTTTGCATCTTTTTTATTAGAAATATTGACCCGTAGTTTTTTTTCATTGTTTTTGTTTTTTCTTGTGTCCTTGTCTGGCTTTTGTATCAGAATAATGCTGGCCTCATAGAATGCATTTGGAAGAATTACTTTTCCTTCAATTTTTTGGAACAGTTTGAGAAGAATTAGTGTTAATTCTTTAAAAGCTTGGCAGAATTCAGTTACAAAGGCATCTGTTCCTAGGTTTTTCTTTTGGGGAGTTTTTAAAATTACCGATTTAATCTTATTTCTTGTTATTTGTCTGTTTAGGTTTTCTATCTCTTCATGGTTCACTCTTGGTAGGTTGTGTGTGTCCAGGATTTTATCAGTTTCTTCTGTGTTTTCCCATTTGTTGGTGTAAGGTTGCTCTAATGATCCTTTGTATTTCTGTAGCATCAGTTTTAAAGTTTCCTTTTTTCTCTCTGATTTTATTTATTTGGCTCTTCTATTTTTCTTAGTTACTCTAGCTAAAGGTTTCTGGATTTTGTTTGTTTGTTTGTTTGTTTGTTTTTAAAAAAAACCTTTTTATTTCATTGATATTTTGCATTTATGTCTCAATTTTATTTATTTCTGATCTTTGTCTTTCCTTCTATGACTTTTTGTTTTTTCTTCCTTTTCTAGTTCCTTGGGGTGCCATGTTCAGTTGTTCATTTGAAATCATTTTACCTTTTTGATTTAGGCATTTATTGCTATAAACTTCCTCCTTAGTACTGTTCTTAGTACTTCCTTTAGATTTTGGTATGTTATGTTTCCATTTTCATTTGCTTCAATTTTTAAAAAATTTCCTTCTTAATTTCTTCATTGACACATTGGTCATTCAGAAGCATGTTGCTTAATTTCCATATATTTTTATAGTTTCTAAAGCTTATTTTATTGACTTCTAGTTTTATTCTACTGTGATCTGGAAAGATGCTTGATATGTTTCCAATTTTTAAAATTTGTTGAGACTTTCTTGTGACCTATCATGTGACATTTTGTCTTCTATCCTGAAGAATGTTCTACATGCTTATAAAAATAATGTGTATTTTGCATCTATCAGATAAAATGTCGTGTACATGTTGCTTAGGTCCATTCAGTCTAGATTATAGTTTAACTCCAATGTTTCTTTGTTGATTTTCTGTCTGGTTGATCTGTCCATTGCTGAAAGTGGGATGTTGAAGTTCACAACTATGATTGCATTGCAGTCTATCTCTCCTTTTAGATATACTAATATTTGCTATACATATTTGGTTATTCTAGAATTGGGTGCATATATATTTACAATTATATAGTCTTGCTGAATTGACTCCTTAATTATTTTATAATCACCTGCTTTCTCTCTTTTTATAGTTTTTGACTTAAAGTCTATTTTATCTGATGTAAGTATGGCCACTCTTACTCTCTTTTGGATTTGATTTGCATGGAATATCTTTTGCTATCTCTTCATTTTCAGTCTGTTTTTCTTACATGTTAGATGAGTCTCCTGTGAGCAGCTTAGAGATGGCTCTTAGCTTTTTATTCATTCAGCCACTCTTTTAATTGGATAACTTAATTCATTTTTATTCAAGGTTTTTATTGATGGGAATTGGCTTACTTCTGCCACTTTAAAAATTTTTTACTGGTTGTTTTGTAGATCTGTCCTGCTTTCTTCTTCTCTTGCTTTCTTCCTTTGTGGTTTGATGTCTTTCTATAGGGGTGTGTTTTGGTTCTTTTTCTTTTTACTCTTTTGTGTATATTACAAGGTTATGCTTTGTGGTTACATTGAGGCTTACATAAAACATCTTATACCTATAATATGTTATAAAGGTATTAAAAGCTTAATTTTGATTGCATACATAAACTACCCACTTTTGCCCACTTTTCCGAAGTTTTATGTTTGTAATGTCATATTTTACATCTTTTAATAATATGAATCTCTTAGGAGATTATTGTACCATTATTTTAATAGTTTTACCCTTCGACCTTTGTACTAGAGATATAATTGTTTGACTACTGCTCTTACAGTATTAGTGTTTAGGATTTGATGATGTATCAATTTTTACCAATGAGTTTGGTATTTTCATATGATTTTATGTAATTAATTAGTGCTTTCTTCCTACAGCCTGAAGAACTTACTTTAACGTTTTTATAATGTAGGTCTACTGGTGATAATCTCTCTCAACTTTTGTTCTTCTAAACATAAGTCCCTTCAGTTTTGAAAGACAGAATTGCTGGGTATACTATTCTTGGTTGGAAGTTTCCTTTTTTCAGGATTTTGAATATATTAACCCACATTCTTCTGGTTTACAAGGTTTCTTCTGAGAAGTCTACTGATAATCTTACAGGGGGTTTCCCTCTACATGATGATTCGCTTTTCCCTTGATTCTTTCAACACTCTTTGTCTTTAATTTTTCACAATTTGACGAAGATATGTCATGGTAAGAATCTCTCTCTTTTTTTTTTTTTTGGATACTGAGTCTCGCTCTGTGGCCCAGGCTGGAGTGCTGTGATGCAATCTCAGTTCACTGCAACCTCAGCCTCCCCGGCTCAAGCGATTCTCCTGCCTCAGCCTCCCCAGTGGAGGTGGCTCTTGCCACCATACCTGGCTAATTTTTTAATTTTTAGTACAGACAAGGTTTCACCATGTTGGACAGGCTGGTCTAGAACTTCTGACCTCAAGTGATCCAACCGCCTCAGCCTCCCAAAGTGTTGAGATTATACACATGAGCCACCACTCCTGGCCAAGGATCTCTTTTAGTTCATTTTATTTAGTGTCCCATGGGCTTGTTGAATTGTGCATTGTAATTCTTTCCTCTGAGTTGGAAAGTTGTCTACAATCACTTCTTTGAATTTGTTTTCTGTCCCTTTTCCTATTTCTGGCATGCCAATTATTCATAAATTGTTCTGCTTGATAGTGTCCCATAAGTCTCATAAGCCATTTTCACTCCTTTTTATACTTTTTTTAAACTCCTCAAATTCGATGATTTCCAGTGGTCTGTCCTCACATTTAATGATCCTTTTTTTCTGCTTGATCTAGCCTGTTGTTGAACTCCTCTATTAAATTGTTCAGTTTGTTTATAGCATTATTGAGATGTATGATTTCTATTTGGTATTTAAAAATATTTATTATCTCCCATTTGAGATCTCAACTTGTTCTTGCAATGCTGTCTTGACCTCTGTAAGCATCTTTATGACAATTATTTTGAATTCCTTTTGAGTAAATCACAAAACTCTGTTTTCCAGGTCAGTTTCAGAGAGTTATCTTTTTCTTTTTGAAATACATTCCCTTTTTTTATTTTACTCACTTCTTTGTGTTGGTTTCTATATATTAGATAAGAAAACAATTTATCTCAATCTTGTTAAACTAGCATTATTTAGAAGAAGGTTTTTTACCAATCTTTCCTTCCAGAGATTTTAAGGTGCCTCTTTAATCTTTTTTCTTTTTCATTTCTTTCTTTTTTTTTTTTTGGCCTGGACTGTTATCTTTGTTTTTGGTGCCTACCTGGGGCTTAGAATATGTCCCATCTTGTTCATACCCTAAAATGATATAAGAGGAGTCACATATTTTAGATGTACCTGGAAAGATTGGGAATGTTGGATGTGAGTTCCAGTAACTTCTATTTTCATAGTGAGGATGAATGAGGGCATTTTTTCCCTACTTTATCTGGACTAAGCCAGGGAAGAGGACCTGTGGCTAATGCTTGTATTCATATTCAGGCTACACCTTCTGATTCTGAAAGGATAGATGCTGGAAGTGAGCTTGTTATATGTTCTTCTGTTTGTTTTCTGTGGTCTTGGGTCACTCAGGATTGCAATATTCCCTTGAAGTCTAGAAATACTTCATTAAGGAGACAGTTCCTTAGGTGAAACTATGGAAGTTGTGGTGCTTATTGCATGGCCAAACTCCTTTCAGAAAGACTGGATATGCCTGGATTTATCTCTTGGGTGAGCTGGGGAAGGTAGGTTTTATGAAGTGTCAAGCTCTGGCTCTGGCTACTGTAGTTAGATTGGTTATTTGTTTGATTGTATTCCCTGTTAGCTCCTTGATGCAAGTTCGTTAGAGCGCAGGCCATCAATTAGCCACTGAGAATGTGTGTCATGAGCCACTTCCAGAAAGAACGTGAGAGCTTCATGTTCCTACCCCCTTTTCTGCATACTTCAAGAGGGTATAGGCCCTGGAAGTGTTTGGATGTCCATTTAAGACCACCTCTTTGTTCTGGGATCAAGGGAGATTCACATATGCCTAGGCCAGAGCTACTAGGTTTAGAATGGAGTGTTTTAGGAGGCAGCTTTAACAACTGGGGCTTCTCATGTGTGTTCTGGATCTCTTCTAGGGAGAAACAGGGAGTTATTTGTTGTTGCTGTTTTTTAGGCCTCTTCTTTGCCCTAATCCTAGGGGATGTAATACCTTAAAGAGCCTACATGCTTGTACAAAAGCCATGGCCACATGGTCACTGCTTTTTTTTTTAACCTGTGGTTTAGAGAGACACATGTATATGCCAGCCCTTTCTGCTCCCAGAGTTAGGAGATGTCCATTTAAGACCACCTCTTTTTTCTGGGATCAAGGGAGATTCACATATGCCTAGTCCCTCTGTGCCCAGAGCAACTAGGTTTAGAATGGAAGTCGTTTAGGAGGCAACTTTAACAACTGGGCCTTCAGAGTGTGTTCTGGATCTCTTCTAGGGAGAAGCAGGGAGTTGTTTATTTGTTGTTGTTTTTAGGCCTCTTCTTTGCACCAATCCTAGGGGATGTAGTACCTTAAAGAGCACACACACTTGTACAAAGCGATGGTAACTGCTTTTTTTTTTTTTTTTCACCTGTGGTTTAGAGAGACACAGGAGTATGCCAGTCCTTTCTGCTCCCAGAGCTAGGAGATTTATGATTCAGTCAGTTAGGTAGATGTTAATAGAGTTGGGGTGTTTGGTGTGGTTGTAAACTTTTCTTTGGCTGGCCCCAGGTTAATAGTTGACTACCTCTTTTAACTACCTGATACAAGTTGGTTAGAAGTCAGGCTACCTGCAGCCACTGCAGGGGTATTTCACAAACCCCTTCTGGGGGAAACAAAGGGTTGTGTCTTTTATACATCCCTTCTCTGCACTACTCCATGGTGAATAAAGTCCCTGGAAGTCCTTGCATGTCCTTAAAAATAACACCACTTCGTTTCCTACAGTCTTGAGAGACATGAATGTGTCTACTCCCCTCTGCTCACACAGTTGGTGAGTTAAAAGTCAAACCATGGAGAAACTTGGGCTTTAGGCCCTATGTATGAGACCCAGACTCCCTTCACCACAGAGGGAAACTAGGTGTTGGAGAGTTATTTCCCAATTTTATGGTGCAGTGCCCAAGGTGGGGTCCACACAAGTGTGCCTTGGCTTCTCCTACCTACTCAATGTGCATGTTTGCTCAGTGGATCGATGGGTAGGATTCCTTCAGTTGCTCTCTGATTTTCTCTCAGAGGGTGTTGATTTATGGATAGATGTTTATTTGGTGTATCTGTGTGTGGAGGGAGAGTCAGAAGCTTCCAATTTCCCAATGTTGGTGACATGACTATATTTTCTATGACTAGTGATAGAAAATATAATATACCATCCAAGGAATTGATTCGAAATTGAGGTTTTCAAATTCCTTTATATGACTACAGAAAATTTTTTATTTATTCTTAAAATATTTTTTTTTGTTTTCTGATAATAAAGTTTTTATGTGCTCAGTCTACAGAGCTTAGAAATTATAGAAAAGTAAAAGAATATTAAAATATTTAAAAATAATGTGTCTTTCTTTTTTCTTTATGCATAAATAAACGTGGTGTGCTTTTTCTTGCAATGTTTCTTCATATATTCTAATATCAATAATATTCATTTACATAATTTTAGTAGCTGCATAATGATCTATCTCATAGATGAACATATACTTTTACATAATTATTTTCTTTCTGAAAATATGGAATATTTCCACAATTTTGCTATTCTAAAACACACACACACACGCACAAAGGAATAAAAAACCTCCACTTGGATAAATTTCCATATGATGTTTCTATATCTGCACATATTATTTTCATAGCAAAGATTCCTTGAAGTAAAATTACTACATCAATGTGCATAAACCTTTTTGAAAGCTCTTGATATATATTGCTGAAATGCCCTCTAGGTCGCCTCTAGCAATTTACACTCTCATCGTTGGCTATTCTTAACTGGGCCTAGTGAGCTTTGATTATCATTACTGTTTCTAACCTGTGTCAATTTGATAGCTGAAAAATGAGATCTCATTGTATTTCCTATGTTTTTCCATTTCTCTGTCTACAAGTGGAAATAAGTTTTTTGTTAGTCATTTATATTCTTTTCTCCTTTAACTGACTTTCTAAACCTTTGCATATTATTGTTTTCATGATACTGATTTAACACAATATGTTTTTAACAGTGTATATTCTAAAATATTTTTTTCTAAACTCGATTTTTTACTTTTGTACATATCTTTAAATTATTCTACAGATAAATTCTTTATTCATTTCATCTTTAAAATTCATCCATGACATAATCATTTACTAGTTACTTGTATTTTTAAGTTCTTTTTAATATATTTTATAGTTAATCTTTTAATTTATAGATTTTGGCTGCATAAATGTCTTCTTTTGAGAAGTGTCTGTTCATGTCCTTCGCCCTCTTTTTGATGGGGTTGTTTGTTTTTTTCTTGTAAATTTGTTTGAGTTCATTGTAGATTCTGGATATTAGCCCTTTGTCAGATGAGTAGGTTGCGAAAATTTTCTCCCATTTTGTAGGTTGCCTGTTCACTCTGATGGTAGTTTCTTTTGCTGTGCAGAAGCTCTTTAGTGTAATTAGATCCCATTTGTCAATTTTGGCTTTTGTTGCCATTGGTTTTGGTGTTTTAGACATGAAGTCCTTGCCTATGCCTATGTCCTGAATGGTAATGCCTAGGTTTTCTTCTAGGGTTTTTATGGTTTTAGGTCTAACGTTTAAGTCTTTAATCCATCTTGAATTAATTTTTGTGTAATGAAGGGATCCAGTTTCAGCTTTCTACATATGGCTAGCCAGTTTTCCCAGCACCATTTATTGAATACAGAATCCTTTCCCCATTGCTTGTTTTTCTCAGGTTTGTCAAAGATCAGATAGTTGTAGATACGTGGCATTATTTCTGAGGGCTCTGTTCTGTTCCATTGATCTATATCTCTGTTTTGGTACCAGTACCATGCTGTTTTGGTTACTGTAGCCTTGTAGTATAGTTTGAAGTCAGGTAGCGTGATGCCTCCAGCTTTGTTCTTTTGGCTTAGGATTGACTTGGCAATGCGGGCTCTTTTTTGGTTCCATATGAACTTTAAAGTAGTTTTTTCCAGTTCTGTGAAGAAAGTCATTGGTACCTTGATGGGGATGGCATTGAATCTATAAATTACCTTGGGCAGTATGGCCATTTTGATGATATTGATTCTTCCTACCCATGAGCATGGAATGTTCTTCCATTTGTTTGTATCCTCTTTTATTTCATTGAGCAGTGGTTTGTAGTTCTCCTTGAAGAGGTCCTTCACGTCCCTTGTAAGTTGGATTCCTAGCTATTTTATTCTCTTTGAAGCAATTGTGAATGGGAGTTCACTCATGATTTGGCTCTCTGTCTGTTATTGGTGTATAAGAATGCTTGTGATTTTTGTACATTGATTTTGTATCCTGAGACTTTGCTGAAGTTGCTTATCAGCTTAAAGAGATTTTGGGCTGAGACAATGGGGTTTTCTAGATATACAATCATGTCATCTGGAAACAGGGAAATTTGACTTCCTCTTTTCCTAATTGAATACCCTTTATTTCCTTCTCCTGCCGAATTGCCCTGGCCAGAACTTCCAACACTATGTTGAATAGGAGTGGTGAGAGAGGGCATCCCTGTCTTGTGCCAGTTTTCAAAGGGAATGCTTCCAGTTTTTGCCCACTCAGTATGATTTTGGCTGTGGGTTTGTCATAGATAGCTCTTATTATTTTGAAGACATTTATGCAGCCAAAAAACACATGAAAAAATGCTCATCATCACTGGCCATCAGAGAAATGCAAATCAAAACCACAATGAGATACCATCTCACACCAGTTAGAATGGCAATCATTAAAAAGTCAGGAAACAGCAGGAGTTGGAGAGGATGTGGAGAAATAGGAACACTTTTACACTGTTGGTGGGACTGTAAACTAGTTCAACCATTGTGGAAGTCAGTGTAGCAATTCCTCAGGGATCTAGAACTAGAAATACCATTTGACCCAGCCATCCCATTACTGGGTATATACCCAAAGGACTATAAATCATGCTGCTATAAAGACACATGCACACGTATGTTTATTGTGGCACTATTCACAATAGCAAACAAAGACTTGGAACCAACCCAAATGTCCAACAATGATAGACTGGATTAAGAAAATGTGGCACATATACACCATGGAATACTATGCAGCCATAAAAAATGATGAGTTCATGTCCTTTGTAGGGACATGGATGAAATTGGAAATCATCATTCTCAGTAAACTGTTGAAAGGACAAAAAACCAAAAACCACATGTTCTAACTCTTAGGTGGGAACTGAACCATGAGAACACATGGACACAGGAAGGGGAACATCACACTCTGGGGACTGTTGTGGGGTGGGGAGAGGGGGGAGGGATAGCTTTAGGAGATATACCTAATGCTAAATGACGAGTTAATGGGTGCAGCACACCAGCATGGCACATGTATACATATGTAACTAACTTGCACACTGTGCACATGTACCCCAAAACTTAAAGTATAATAATAATTAAAAAAAAATTTATAGATTTATTTTGGTATGTTTTGCTAGATCAAAATTTCAGTTGTAATTCAATAAAGCTGCAGGATATAAACTGAGCACACAAAATCAGTTTCATTTCTATACACTAACAAACAACGAACTATCTAAAAAAGAAATTAATAAAACAATCCTATTTACAATAACATCAAAAAGAATATACTACTTAGAAATAAATTTAAGTAGGTGAAAACTCTATACACTGAAAAGTATAAAACATCAGTAAAAGAAATTGGAAGATATCTTGTGTTCATGGATTGGAAGAATAAATATTGTCAAAATGTCCATACTACACAAAGTGATCTACAATTTCAGTGCAATCATTATCAAAATTCCAATATCATTTTTCACAGAAATAGAAAAAAACCTAAATGCATGTGGATCCACAAAAGACCCCACATAGCCAAGCTAATTTTGAACAAAAAGAACAAAGCTGAAACCATCACACTATCTGACTTCAAAATATACTTTAAAGCTATGATAACCAAAACAGAATGGTATTGGCATTAAATGCAGACACATAGATTAATGGAACAGAATAGAAAATCCAAAAATAAACCTACACATATATGATCAACTAATCTTCAACAGAAGCATGAAGAATACACAATAAGGAAAAGACAATCTCCTTAATAAAAGGTATTGAAAAAACTGCCTATCCACATGCAAAACAACAAAACTGGATTCCTATCTTCTACCATACACAAAAAATCAACACAAAATAGATTAAAAATTTAAATTGAGACCTAAAACCATAAAACTCCTTGAAGAAAACACAAGGAAAATCTTCCTTGACATTAATCCTGGAAATGATTTTTTGGACTTAGCTCCAAAATCACAGGAAATTGAAGTAAAAATACATAAGGGCATCCCCATTGAATTAAAAAATTTCTGCACAACAAAGGAAACATTCTACAAAATGAAAAGGCAATCTATGGAAAGGGAGAGAGTACTTGCATTGCAAATCAAATATCTTATCAGATTTCCTATGATGGCTATAATGAAAAATAAAAAATAAATATTGGCAAGGATGTGGAGAAAATGGAAACCCTGTACATTGTTGGTAGAAACATCAATTGGCACAACCATTATGGAAAACAGTATAGAGGTTTATCAAAATATTTTAAAAAGAACTACCATATCATTCAACAATCCCACTTCTGTGTTATATTCAAAGGAAATGAAATCAGTATGTCAAATAGATTTCTATGCTTCCATGTTCATTGCAGCATTATTGACAATTGCCAAATGTTGAATCAACCTACATGTTAATCCACAAATGAATGAATAAAGGAAATATAAAATGAAAAAATAAAATATAAAATTATTTAGTTTTAAATATATAAATCATGCTATTTGGGACAACATGGATGAACCTGGTAGAAATTATGTTAAGTGAAATAAATGAGACACAGGAAGACAAATACTGTATGATATCACTTATGTGTGGGATCTGTAAAAGTGGAAAATAGGAGTGGTTACCAGAGGTTGTGGGGGTGGGGGAAATGGGGAGATGTTGGTTGAAGGACACTAACTTTCACTTATAAGACAGATAAGTTCTGGCTGGGCACGGTGGCTCATGCCTGTAATCCTAGCACTTTGGGAGGCCAAGGCAGTTGGATCACCTGAGTTCAGGAGTTCGAGACCAGCCTGGCCAAAATGACAAAACTCTATCTCTACTAAAAATACAAAAATTAGCTGGGCGTAGTGGTGGGAGCCTGTAATCCCAGCTACTTGGGAGGCTGAGGCAGGAGAATCGCTTGAGCCCAGGAGGCAGAGGTTGCAGTGAGCCAAGATGACGCCATTGCACCCCAGCCTAAGTGAGAAAGAGAGAGACTCCATCTAAAAAAAAAACAAAGATAAGTTCTGAGATCTTATGTATAGCATTATGTATAGCATGATGGCTATAGTTAATAATAATGTATACGTGAAATTTGCTTAGAGACTAGATCTTAAGTATTCTTGCAACAGCAACAAAAAGGTAACTATGAGAGATAATGGATCTGTTAATTAGCTTGATTTGGTAAGTATTTCACAATATGTACACATATAAAAACATCACATTGTATACCTTAAATGTATATATTTTTAATTTATCAGTTCTACCTCAATAAAGCTATGGGGAGAAAAGATCTAAGTTGTTTGGGCCACACGTGTCCATATAGAAGACCACCTAAACAGGCTTTGTATAAGCAACAAGGCTGTCTATTCACTTGGGTGCAAGTGGGCTGAGTCCGAAAAGAGAATCAGTGAAGAGAGACAGGAGAGGGGCAGCTTTATAGGACTTGGGTAGGCAGTGGAAAGTTACAGTTGAAGGTGGTTATCTTTTGTCAGCAGGGGAGGGGGTCACCAGGTGCATGGTGGGGAGATCAAGAGATCCATTGTCCAGGAGAAGAATGTCATAAGGTCGATTGGTCAGTTAAGGTAGGGCAGGAACAAGTCATAATGGTGGAATGTCATAAGGTTGGTTAATCAGTTACGGCAGAAACTGGCTGTTTCACGTCGTTTTTGGTTCTTCAGCTGCTCCAAATTTCTTGGCTCCTGCAGGCCATCTGGATGTATACGTGCAGGTCACAGGGGTTACAATGGCGTAGTTCTGGCTCAGAGGCCTGACTGTTTGTTTGTTTGTGTGTGTTGTATCTTCCAAAGTTTTTGGAAAGAGAGGATATGTAAAAGGATATATAGATTTATATATAAATCTATAAACTGATAGCTATATTATATATGCTTTAATAAATTAGCACTTTCCTTTACCACCATCTCAAGATATTTGCAACAATCTGACTGTAGCCTCTCTCTTATATATAGAAACTATACTATGCACAAGTGCATAAAAATTACCGTATAACTATATACATATCTGTCTGATGATCAGAATTTACAGGACAGTGTGTGTTCTAGCCTTTATTAGAATATCTCCATTCCTTAGCTGTGTTGTTTTGTAATGCTTTTTGTATCATATCACATATATATTATGCATTATATTCTTATATAGTCTCTGGTCTATATCAGAACTACTTATGTTAGCTCACTGATCTGCTATAACTATAAATCATTCATTTATTTGCTATACTTTTTAAAATGATACATTTTAGAATAATGTGACTGTGCGAGTGTTTTATTTCCCCTTTTCAAAATGGTTTATCTGATTTCTTCCAAGTAACTTAAAATTATTTTGTCAAAATCCAAATAACTTTTTGTTGGTGTCTTTAATACGATGGCAGCCAATGCAAAATTATTTTAAGCATAAGTAAAATCTTTTTAAAAATTCAGTGTTTCCATCCAGGAAAATGCTGTTTCTTTATTTAAATTTTCATAGCTCATAGAAATGTTGTGGCTTTGTTTATGTAAATTCCAGTTATCATTCCCCATTAAAATAGGTTATTTCTATAATATATATATAATATACTTGGTTTTTATTTTAGGAAATTTCAATACATTGCAAGTTCTAATGGGACTTTAGTGATATATAGGAAGCCAGGTACCTTCTTAATTAGGTATTTTACTAGGCTTTGTTGTTAATTCTATTATAGTTAATCATCTGGAAGCTTTAAAAAACAAATATGATGACATCATTGTAATAATTTTGTATTATTCTTTCCACTAGGTTTAACTCATTACTTGTTCTCTTTTCTTCTAGTTTTACTTAGACTATAACTTTCAAAAAATGTTAAATACTAATGCCACTAGCAAATTTATAAAATTATTTCTAAACTGGAGAAAATTTCATTACAGCTGTGTTTTCCAAAGTGTTATCTTTGAAGTATTAGTCTTTCCAGGTGCTCTGCAAGAAAATATTTTGTGTTTAAAAAAAAAATTTGTGAAAGTTTTCATTACAGTGTTATAATGTATTTTTGCATGGTAAAGATCTAAGAAATTCTATAGCAGTAAAAAAAATTTAATTGTGTTTTACTTCATGTTCTTCTAACAGTTTTTTCATAGTATTTTAATTAAAAAGTTATTAGGGGCCAGGTGCAGTGGCTCACGCCTGTAATCCCAGCACTTTGGGAGGCCAAGGTGGGTGGATCACCTGAGGTCAGGAGTTCGAGACTAGCCTGATCAACATGGAGAAACCCCATCTCTACTAAAAAAAAATACAAAATTAGCCGGGCGTGGTAGTGCATGCCTATAATCCCAGTTACTCGGGAGGCTGAGGCATGAGAATCACTTGAACCCAGGAGGCGGAGGTTGTGGTGAGCAGAGATCGCGCCATTGCACTCCAGCCTGGGCAACAAGAGTGAAACACCATCTAAAAAAAAGAGTCATTAGGATTCATTTTTTTCTTGAACAAAATTATCTATCAGTTAATATCAAGGATAGGATTGGAGATGGGAAAAACTGTTCTTCTCTGGGGGCAGACAATAAGGAATGCATTGTCTGAAAAAATTTAAAAGTGGTAATATAGGCAAACTAAAGAACAGTTTTATTATTGCTATACATCTATAATTCTCACCCCAAAAATCTCTGGTTGATCTGAGTTCTAAATTTAGATAATTGTTTTTGTTTCTGTTGAGTCTGTGTGATATGTGTATGAGCTTCCATTTTGACCATTTTTTAAAATTATCCTTTAATAAGTATTATATTCTACATGGAAGTTAGTTTGAGATATTCCCATTTAGATAGTGACTCCCAAGATATACAGAATCAACTACATGTGTTAATTTGGAGAGTTCGTTGGTAAAGGATAGAATTGTCATACAAAATTTGGGCAAAGTTTCTATCACTGTGGGACTATGTAGTCCTTCACTGGAACCACGTATTTGAAGTAAACAATCATAGCATAGTGGTAGCAAAGACAAAGAAACAGAAGGTGTGTTACTTTGATTCTATAATTCAGTATGTACCCTTTGAGATTTTGTGTTTAGGAGTATAATATTTCTGTTGGCTAGATGCAGATTTTGGTTCCTACATAAAAAATTTTGCTACAATAGAATGATATATTTAAGTTGGCATTTTTAGTTTTTCCTATTTGGGCAGCAGAGCTGGCCTTTGTTCTCCTGAATCAGTCATTGGCTCAGGCTGGGAGTGAGGCATCCCATTAGGAGAAGATAATTCTTCACAGGAGAAGCCCTCTGTGAGCAGTTAGCAACTAACCCTCACAGCAGCTGGTGGTGGTTCACTGGCCTGGTAAGGACTCTGAGTGTGGAACCAATAGAATGCACTGCAGCATGAAACTTTTATTCTGTCAAAGAGTTCTTCAGTTTCTTTTTCAAAAAGACACCTGAGGTAGGCATAAAAAAAATTTCCTTTCTCCTTAAAAAAAAATTAATTGCCCAGAATCTGGGAATTTTATCTAATATGATTAAGAAAACAGTCTTTGCAGATGTGATTAAGAATATTCGGATGGGGAGATTAGCCTGGATGTTGCAAGTGGATCCACAGTGCAATCTCATGTATACTTATAAAAAGGAGGTTGAAGGAGATTTTACACAAAAGACACAGAAAAGGTGATATGATTACTTTCATTAGCATCCATGTGAAGAGACCACCAAACAGGCTTTGTGTGAGCAACATGGCTGTTTATTTTACCTGGGTGCAGGCGGGCTGAGTCCGAAAAGAGAGTCAGCAAAGGGAGATAGGGGTGGGGCTGTTTTATAGGATTTGGGTAAGTAAAGGCAAAAGGGGGGTTGTTCTCTGGCAGGCAGGAGTGGGGGGGTCACAACGTGCTCAGTAGGGGAGCTTTTGAGCCAGGATGAGCCAGGAGAAGGAATTTCACAAGACAATGTCATCAGTTAAGGTAGGAACAGGCCATTTTCACTTCTTTTGTGGTGGAATGTCACCAGTTAAGGCAGGAACCAGATATCTGCATGTGTACGTGCAGGTCACAGGGGATATTATGGCTTAGCTTGGGCTCAGAGGCCTGACATTCCTGTCTTCTTATATTAATAAGAAAAATAAAATGAAATAGTGGTAAAGTGTTGGGACGGTGAAAATTTGGGGGATGGTATGGAGAGATAATGGGCGATGTTTCTCAGGGCTGCTTCGAGTGGGATTAGGGGTGGCATGGGAACCTAGAGTGGGAGAGATTAAGCTGAAGGAAGATTTTGTGGTAAGGGGTGATATTGTGGGGTTGTTAGAAGAAACATTTGTCGTGTAGAATTATTGGTGATGACCTGGATACGGTTTTGTATGGATTGAAAAACTAAATGGAATAAGAGAAGGAGAAATACAGGTATTAAAAGACTAAGAATTGGGAGGACCCAGGACATCTAATTAGAGAGTGCCTAAGGAAATTCAGCATAGTCCTGCCAGAAAAGATTATTTATTTTCTTTAAGAGTTAAGAGTGGCCGTTTGGGGATAGCACCAATATCAGCTGTTATGGCTTGGAGAAACAGTGTAAACCGGCAGTGTAAACAAGAGCAGGGCATGTATGAGTAGTTGAGAACGGTGAATAGGAGTATGACTAGACAGAAAATAGTAGGGATGACAAGTTTTTTGGGGCACAGTCCAAGTTGGTCTGGTGTCTGGAATGAGACTGGGGCTTAATAAAAAGGAGCGTCTATACAGGAGCTCAAATGGGCTGTACCTTGCAGCATTCTGAGGACAGTCCTGCATTCTGAGAAGGGAAAGTGGTAAAAGTATTGTCTAGTCTTTTTTAAGTTGGTGGCTGAGCTTGGTGAGGTGTGTTTTTAAAAGACCATTAGTCTGTTCTACCTTTCCTGAAGACTGAGGACTGTAAGGGATATAAAGGTTTCACTGAATACTAAGAGCCTGAAAAAATGCTTGGCTGATTTGACTAATAAAGGCCAGTCTGCTATCAGACTGTATAGAGGTGGGAAGTCCAAACTGAGGAATTATGTCTGACAGAAAGGAAGAAATGACAGTGGTGGCCTTCTCAGACCCTGTAGGAAAGGCCTCTATCTATCCAGTGAAAGTGTCTACCTAGACTAAGAGGTATTTTAGTTTCCTGACTCAGGGCATGTTGAGTAAAGCCAATTTGCCAGTCCTGGGCAGGGGCAAATCCCCGAGCTTGATGTGTAGGGAAGGGAGGGGGCCTGAATAATCCTTGAGCAGTAGTAGAATAGCAGATGGAACACTGAGAAGTTATTTCCTTGAGGATAGATTTCCACGAAGGAAAGGAAATGAGAGGTTTTAAGAGGCAGGCTAGTGGCTTGTACTATAGCATAGCCTGCCTTTGCTGGTGTGTGGTGATTAGGCCTGGTGGAACCGCCATCAATAAATCAAGCGTCATCAGGGTGAGGAACAGGAAAGAAAGACATATAGGGAAATGGGGTGAACATCAGGTGGATCAGAGAGATGCAGTCATGAGGGTCAGGTGTGGTATCCGGAATAATGTGGGAGGCCTGATTGAAGTCCCGGCCAGGAACAATGGTAATTGTGGAGGACTCAACAAAGAGTGAGTATAGCTGAAGGAGCTGGGGAGCAGAAAGTATATGCATCAGGTGTGAGGAAGAAACTAGATTTTGGAAATTATGAGAGCTGTAGAGAGTGAGTTGAGCATAGTTTTTGATTTTAAGGGCCTCTAAAAGTATTAGGGTGGCAGCAGCTGCTGCACGGAGACACAATGGCCACCCTAAAACAGCAAGGTCAAGTTGTTTGGACAAAAAGGCTACAGGACGCGATCCTGTTCCTTTTGTAAAAATTTCGACTGCACAACCCTGCACTTCGGCTGTGTGTAATGAAAAGGGTTGGGATGAGTCAGGGAGAGCTAGGGTGGGGGCAGTCTTTAAAGCCATCTTCAAGGAATGGAAAGAGGAGTGGGGAAAGGATTTAGGATCTATGGGGTCAGCTAGGTTTCCTTTTGTGAGTTTATATAATGGGTTTGTTAGGATGGCAAAACCAGGTATCTAAAGGTAAAAGTATCCAACCATGCCCAGGAAGGAAAGGAGTTGTTGTTTTGTAGAAGGGGTTGGGGTTTGAGAGATTAGTCGGAGATGATTGGCAGGGAGAGCACGTGTGTTTTTATGAGAATTATGCTGAGACAGGTAACAGATGAGGAAGAAATTTGGGCTTGACTGAAGTAATGGGAGCTGTCTGTGAAGCCTTGTGGCAGGACAGCCTAGGTAATTTGCTGAGCCTGATGGGTGTCAGGGTCAGTCCAAGTGAAAGCAAAGAGAGGCTGGGATGAAGGGTGTAAAGGAATAGTAAAGAAAGCATGTTTGAGATCCAGAACACAATAATGGATTGTGGAGAGAGGTATTGAGGATAGGAGAGTATATGGGTTTGGCACCATGGGGTGGATAGGCAAAACAATTTGGTTAATAAGGCATAGATCCTGAACTAACTTGTAAGGCTTGTCTGGTTTTAGGACAGGTAAAATGGGGGAATTGTAAGGAGAGTTTATAGGCTTTAAAAGGCCATGCTGTAGCAGGCGAGTGATAACAGGCTTTAATCCTTTCAAAGCATGCTGTGGGATGGGATATTGGCATTGAGCAGGGTAAGGTGATTAGGTTTTAATGAGATGGTAAGGGGTGCATGATCGGTAGCCAAGGAGGGAGTAGAGGTATCTTATACTTGTGGGTTAAGGTAGGGGGATACAAGAGGAGGATGCAAAGGAGGCTTTGGATTGGGAAGAAGGTCGGTAATGAGATGTAGCTGTAGTCCAGGAATAGTCAGGGAAGCAGATAATTTAGTTAAAGTGTCTCGGCCTAATAAGGGAACTGGCCAGGTGGGGATAACTAAAAGGATTGCTTAAAAGAGTATTGTCTAAGTTGGCACCAGAGATGGGGAGTTTTAAGAGGTTTAGAAGCCTGGCTGTCAATACCCACAACAGTTATGGAGGCAAGGGAAACAGGTCCTTGAAAAGAAGGTAATGTGGAGTGGGTAGCCTCCGTATTGATTAAGAGGGGGACGGACTTACCCTCCACTGTGAGAGTTACCTAGAGCATCTGTGATGGTCCTGTAGGCTTCTGAGGCAATCGATCGGGCAGTGTCAGTCTTCAGCTGCTAAGCCGTGAAGATCTGGGAAGGAGTCAGTCAGAGAACCTTGGGCCAGCGTTCCAGGGGCTCTGGGAGTGGCTGCCAGGTGAGTTGAACAGTCCGATTTCCAGTGGGGTCCCACACAGATGGGATGCAGCTTAGGAGGAATCCCAGGCTGCGGGCATTCATTGGCTTGTGGCCAGATTTCTGACACTTGTAGCAAGCTCCTGGGGGAGTCGGTTCTGGGGAAATGCCTGGCCACTGCGGTTTAGGCGTTTGGAAGTTCTTGTGTCCTGGAGATGTGGCTGGGGTTTGTCTCACAGTGGAGGCAAGGAATTGCGACTCAGAAATATGTTGCTACTTGGCTGCCTCTACTCTATTATTGTACACCTTGAAGGTGAGGTTAATTAAGTGCTGTTGTGGGGTTTGAGGGCCGGAATTTAATTTTTGGAGTTTTATTTAATGTCGGGAGCGGATTGGGTAATAAAATGTATATTGAGAATAAGACGGCCTTTTGACCTTTTAGGGTCCAGGGCTGTAAAGCATCTCAGGGTTGCTGCCAAACAAGCCATGAACTGGGCTGGGTTTTTATATTTGATGAAGAAGAGCCTAAACGCTATCTGATTTGGGATAAAGAAAAAGGAGCATTAACCTTGACTATGCCTTTAGCTCCAGCCACCTTTTTAAGAGTAAATTGCTGGGCAGGTGGGGGAGGACTAGTTGCGGAACGAAACTGTAAGCGGACCGGGTGTGAGGAGGGGAGAGGATAAAAGGATTATAGGGTGGAGGAACAGAGGCTGAGGAAGAATTGAGACCTAGCTCGGCCTGGCAAGGAGGGGAGAGGTCAGATGGGTCTGTAGAAAAGGAAGATTAGAAAGATTCAGTGACACTTGGGTTTGGAACTGAGGGGACAGGTGGGAGGGAAAGAAGGAAGATTTGGGATGAGTTGCACTGGAAACAGAGACTAGAGAGGGACCGATGTGTAAAAGAATGCCTGGACGTCAGGCACCTCTGACCGTTAGCCTATTTTACGTCAAGAATTATTTAGATCTTGTAGAATGGAAAAATTGGAAGTGCCGTTTTCCGGCTATTTGGAACTACTGTTGTTTGTATTGGGGTCAAGCGGCATTGCAGAAGAAAATAAGATGCTTAGATTTTAGGTCAGGTGAGAGTTGAAGAGGTTTTAAGTTCTTAAGAACACAGGCTAAGGGAGAAGAAGGAGGAATGGAAGGTGGAAGCTTGCCCATAGTGAAGGAGGCAAGCACAGAGAAAAGAGAGGTGGATCTTTCTCATGGAGCAAAGAGCAAGAGGAGAGGGGATTGATCTCTCAAGGGATGTCCCCCCATCCAAGTCACGGCACCAAATTTCATGGGCATCCATGTGAAGAGACCACCAAACACGCTTTGTGTGAGCAATAAAGCTGTTTATTTCACCTGGGTGCAGGCGGGCTGAGTCCGAAAAGAGGGTCAGCGAAGGGAGATAGGGGTGGGGCCGTTTTATAGGATTTGGGTAGGTAAAGGAAAAAGGGGGTTGTTCTCTGGCGGGCAGGAGTGGGGGTCACAGGGTGGTCAGCAGGGGAGCTTTTGAACCAGGATGAGCCAGGAGAAGGAATTTCACAAGACAGTGTCATCAGTTAAGGCAGGAACAGGCCATTTTCACTTCTTTTGTGGTGGAATGTCATCAGTTAAGGCAGGAACTGGCCATCTGGATGTGTACGTGCAGGTCACAGGGGATATCATGGCTTAGCTGGGGCTCAGAGGCCTGAGAATTACAGAGGCAGAGATTGGAGGGATGCTGTGGCAAACCAAAAATGCTGGCAGCCTCCAGGAGCTAGAAGGAGCAAGGAATGAATTCTCCCCTAAAACCTCCAGGGGCGTGGCCCTACAAACACTTTCACCCATATAGTGAAATAATAAATTGGTCTTATCTTAAGCCACCACATTTGTGTTAATTTGTTGCAGCAGCCATAAAAAACTAATGCAACACTGTAGTCAAATTCACAGGTAAATAACTCTGAATTAGGCGGACTTCCTCATTCATACCACATTTGTGCCAGATCTGTGAATAAACTTCTTTCCAATATTCATAGATTTCTCTTAGCAAGTTTTTCGTCTATATTGTTGGTACTACATAAATGAATCTTGTTTTGTACTACCTTTCATTAATTGTTTCATGTGTATTTTTTCTTTTATTCATTAGCCTATAATGTCCTATTGAACAGAACCTATTTTGATAAAGGTAGAAAGAAAATAATTTTTGAAGTCAACTTTTCTTGGTTCTCAATTTCAGACCCTAAGCAAGATACTTAAAGTATTAAGCCCTCAGGTTTTTTATATATAACACAGTGATAATAGTACCTATTGCGTAAAGGATTATTGCATAGACTAAACAAGAAACGCAGAGTACCTGGCTCAGAGTAAGAATCAGATAAAATTCCCTTTCTTCTTCTTACCCTGAGTAACAAGTGCATCCTTTGGCACTACCATACCTTTGGGTAAATACTGTACTTGCTTAGGACACACATATAATGAAAACTTTAAATTGAAATACTCTTAACATTTAATATTTACAGGGGGTACATGTATTATTTATATATCAATGTTATACATTGGAGTGAAAGGGGACTTGGGAACACTTTATGTTCCCAAGGCTATGAGGGCTGAATGTTCTTTTTTGCCATATTATAAATCATTCTGCATGAAGAAGCAGTCAAAAACAATTGTTACTAACACTTTTAAATCTGATACTTTTTTGCAATCTGAACATAAGAAAGCAATCACTAGGAGGCTGGCTCCTTCAAATGTACGTAGATATGTGACATCTTTTTGGTGTGGTCTGGATGTTGCTATATGTCTTTGCATATGTTAGTAAGCAGCCTAACTAATTGTCAAGAATAGACACTAGAAATATTAGGTTGGTGCAGAAGTAATTGTGGTTTATGCCATACTTTTATAGCAAAAACCGCAATTACTTCTGCACCAACCTAATACAAATGACATTCCTGGGAAAAAATGCTATTTCTGGGCCTCATATTGAGCCATTTTCATAAGAAAGACACCATGAAAAAAATGAAAGTTAATTAGCTCAAAAGAAAGGTGGATTTAAAAGAAACCAAAATAATTAAGGGAAATAGAGTAATATCCAATAGATATCTTGGTGACCCAGTGAGTCCAGGACAGGCTGGATAGGTAGAAAAGCCTAAGAATCTCAAAAGATAATATAAATACTTTTTTTTTTCTTGTAATCTCAATAGCAAGTGGCTCAGGGTATGCCCTGAGCTGCTGGATGGAACTAGTTCTTAGAGTTCATTAATTAATCTAATTTGCTGCTAGATACACTGTGAGTTTGTCTTTCAGCCTTGCCAATGACACTCTTGTGTTGTCCTTGTTGGCCTGCAGATTCTGACCAGCAGCAAATGTGTGTCTATGTGTGTAAATAAACCCTGGCCTATACCAGGAGTATCAGGAATAATATAACTAATTTATTGAGAAGATTGGTAAGGGAAAGTGTTTACTTTTTAAAGCGTTTTCCCCTCTCTCTCTTTCTGTGTGTGTGTGTATTTACAGATTAAAAAGTTACTAACACAGGAATAGAAAACCAAAACACCACGTGTTCTCACTCATAAGTGGGAGTTGAACAATGAAAACACATGGACACAGGGAAGGGAACATCACACAGCGGGGCCTGTCAGGCGTTTGGGGGCTAGGGGAGGGATAGCAAAGCATTATTTTCTTATAGTCCTCATCTGAATTAATCCATCCCCAGCTACCCCGTAACCCAAACTAGAAATCTGGAACGTGGTTTAGTATAGCAAAGCCTTGGATAGCCTAGGTTTGACTTCAACTTTTCATGACTTTGAATAACTTTGCCTCTCGGTGCCTCAGTTTCTCATATGTAAAATGAGAATATAATAGTGCATTTTAATGCATTCCAGGATTCTTGTGAGGATTAAATGAGAGTTTATATATTGAGTGTTTAAAATTCAATAAATGTGTATCTTTATTCCTTTTTTATGCACTACATTCAGTCTGTAAGTTTATCATTTTATTTTCTCTTATTGGATATTTCCTTCGCATCATTATCACTTCCTTGCTTCAAGTCCTTACAGCCTCTAGCTTTCCTGGATAACCTGTATCCAGTGTTTCCAAATTACTTCAACCATCTCTCTCCACTCTTCCCCTTTGTCATATCTCTTGTCTGGTGGTGTGTACTGCTGATGGAGTGTGTTTTCTTGATATAAAATATTTTACATATTTATGGAATACATGTTAGTATTTGTTACATGTATAGAAAGTGTAAGCTGGGCGCAATGGCTCATGCCTGTAATCCCACACTTTGGGAGGCTGAGAAGGGCGGGTCACCTGAGGTCTGGAGTTCGAGATTAGCCTGACCAACATGGAGAAACCTCATCTCTACTAAAAAATACAAAATTAGCTGGGCATGGTGGTGCAGGCCTGTAATCCCAGCTACTTGGAGCTGAGGCGGGAGAATAGCTTGAACCTGGGAGGCAGAGGGTGCGGTGAGCCAAGATTGTGCCATTGTACTCCAGCCTGGGTGACAGAGTGAGACTCAGTCTCAAAAAAAGAGAAAAAGAAAATGTATTGATCAAGTGAGGGGGTGTTTGGGATATCCATAACCTTAAGTATTTACCATTTCTATGTGTTGGTAACATTTCAAGTCCCTTCTTCTAGCTACTTGGAAATATACTATACAATATTGCTGACTATAATCACCCTACTCTACTATCAAATAATGGGGTGATTTTTTCTATGTAACTATATGTTTATATTCACTAATCCACCTTTCTTTATCTCCCCTTTCCCCTTTCCCAACCTCTGGTATATATCATTCTACTTTCTAATTCTAGAAAATCAATATTTTAGCTTTCACATATGAGTAAGAAAATGTGGCATCTGTCTTTTGGTGTCATTTAAATAATTAAATAAGTCATCTGACTTATTTAAATTAACATAATAACCTTCAAGTTCCACCCATATTGCTGCAAATAACATGATTTTATTCATTTCGATAGCCCAATAGTATTTTGTTGCATATATATATACCACATTTTTAAATTTATTAATCCACCAATGACACTTGGGTTGATTCCATATCTTTGCTATTGTAAAGAGTGTTGCAATACCCTTTGGGTATACAGATTTCTTTTCCTTTGGATAAATATCCAATAGTGGAATTGCTGGATAATAACATAGTATTAATTTTTTTTTTTTTTTTTAGAAAACTCCATACTGCTTTCCATAGTGGTTGTACTAAATTACATTCCCAACAGTGTACAAGAGTTCCCTTTTCTACTCATCCTTGACAGTACCTGTGCTTTTTTGTTGCTTGTTTTTTAAGTAATAGCCATTCTAACTGGGATAAAATGGTATTGCATTGTGGTTTTGATTTGCATTTCCCTAATGATTAGTGATGTTGAGTATTTTTTCATATACCTGATAGCCATTTGTATGTCTTATTAAAAATTGTATTCATGTCCTTAACACACTTTTTAATGGGATTATTTGATATTGGTGGTTGAGTTGCTTTAGTTCCTTGTATATTCTGGATATTAATTCGTCCCTTGTCAGATAAATAGTTCGTAGAAGTTTCTCCCATTCAACAGGTTGTTTCTTTACTCTGTGCATTTTTTCCTTTGCTGTGAAGAAGGCTTTTAGTTTAATATAGTCCTATTTGTCTATTTTTGTTATAGCTGTCTGCGCTTTTGCAGTATTAGCCATGAAATATTTGCCAATGCCAATGTCTTAAAGCATTTTCCCTGTTTTTCCCTAGTAGTTTTATAGTTTTGGGTATTATATTTAAGTCATTCTTCTGCATATGGATATCCAATTTTCCTGCCACCACTTTTTGCAAAGAATGTCCTTTCCCCCTTGTGTGTTCTTGGCAACTTTATATTTAAAAAAAAAAAAAGTTGCTTGTAAATGCATGGATTTATTTCCGGACTCTCTATTCTGTTCCATTTGTCTATGTGTCTATTTTTATACCAATACCATGCTGTTTGGGTTACAATAGACTTGTAATGTATTTTGAAGTCAGGCAGGGTGATCCCTCCAGCTTTGTTCTTTTTTGTTCAGGTTTCCTTTGGCTATTTGAGCCCCTTTTTGTTTTCATACAAATTTTAGAATTTTTTAAAATTTCTGTGAAAATAGAAAATATGTAGGGATTGCATTGAATCTGTATATTGCTTTGTGCACTATGGTCATTTTAACAATATTTATTCTTTTGATCCATAAGCATGAGATGTATTTCCATTTGTTTGTGCACTCTTCAATTTTTTTCATTAGTGTTTTGCAGTTTTCCTTGAAGATATTTTTCACCTCCTTAAATTTATTCCTAAGTATTTTATTTTTGGGAGCTGTTATAAATGGGGTTACTTTCCTGATTTCTTTATCATCTAGCTCATTATTAGTGTGTAGTGTATTGACTTTTTATGTTGGTTTTATATTATGCAACTTTACTGAATTTATTGATTAAATCTACAAGGCTTTTGGTGGAGTTTTTAGTTTTTTCTAGATATCTGATTATGTCATTAGGAAAGAGGAACAATATGACTTCCTATTTTTCACTTTGGATGGCTTTTGTTTCTTTCTCTTGACTGATTGCTCTTACTAGGACTTCCAGGACTATGTCAAATAGCAGTGGTGAAAGTGGGCATCTTTAACTTGTTCCAGTTCTTAGAGGAAATACTTTCAGTTTTTCCCCATTTAGTAGGATTTTGTCACATATGGCCTTTATTATTTTGAGGCATATTCCTTCTGTTCCTAGTTTGTTGAGAATGTATATCATTTTTAAGTGATGTTGAATTTTATCAAATGCTTTTTCTGCATCTTTTGAGATGATCATATTATTTTGTTGATGTGATATATCTTGTTTACTAATTTGTATATGTTGAATAATCCTTGCATCCCCAGTATAAATCCAAGTTGGTTGTGGTGTATTATCTTTTTGGTGTGCTCTTGAATTCTGTTTGTTAGTATTTTGTTAAGGACTTTTTGCATCTGTGTTGGCCTATGGTTTTCTTTTTGTTGTGTTCTTGCCTAGTTTTTGTTGGCCTCATAGAATGAGTTATGGAGAGTTGCCTCTTCAATTTTTTGAAATAGTTTTAGGGGCATTGGTATTTTTTAAACATGTTTGGTAGAATTCGGCCATTAATCCATCCAGTTCTGGGCTACTTTTTGTTGGAAGACTTTTAGTATATGATTCAATCTCACTACTTGTTATTGGTCTGTTCACGTTTTCTGTTTCCTCCTGATTCAGTCTTCGTAGACTTTATGTTTCAAGGAATGTATTAATTTCCTCTAGGTTCTCCTGTTTATTGGCATGTAGTTGCTCATAATAGACTCTCATAATCTTTTTAAATATTTCTCTGATATCAATTGTAATGTCTCATTTTTCATTTCTGATTTCTTTTATTTGGGTCTTCTCTCTTCTTTTCTTTGTTAGTGTGGCTAGAGGTTTATAAATTTTGTTTATCTATCCAGAGACCCAATATTTTATTTGGTTTATCCTTTGTATTTTTAAAGTCTCTCTTATTTAGTTCTGCTGAGATGTTTATTATTTCTTTACTTCTAGTAATTTTGGTTTTTTTCTTAGCTTTTCTAGTTCCTTGAAGTACATTATTAGGTTGTTAATTTGAAATATTTCTACTTTTTTGATGTATGCATTTATTACTATAAACTTTTTTTTCACTTTTTTTGCTGGTTTCTATAGATATTGGCATATTGTGTTTTCATTTTCATTTGTTTCAAAAATTTTTTTATTTTCATCTTAATTCTTCATTAACTCAATGGTCATTCAGGAGCATGTTATATAATTTCCATGTATTTGTATATTTTCCAAAGTTCCTCTTAGTGTTGATTTTTATTTTTATTCCATTGTGGTCTCAGAAGATACTTGATATAATTTTAAGTTTTTAAAAATTTGTTGATATTTGTTTTGTGGCCTATTATATGGTCTCTCCTAGAGAATGTTCAATGTGCTAATTAGAATAATGTATATTCTGCAATTGATTGAAAATTTTCTGTAAATGTCTATAATATCCATTTGGACTAGAGTCCATTTTAAATCCAATCCTTCTTTATTGATTTTCTGTCTAAATTGTCTATCTAATACTGACAGTGGGGTGTTGATATCCCTCACTATAGTTGTAGTAGATCTATCTCTCTTTTTATATCTAGTAATATTTGTGTTATGAATCTGAGTGTTCCAATGTTGGGTACATATATATTTAGAATTGCTATATCATGTTGCTAGATTGATCAATTTTTACATCATATAGTGACCGTCTTTGTCTTTTTTTAAACTGTTTTTGATTTATAATCTATTTTACCTGATAAAATTATAGCTAATTCTGTTAGCTTTTGGTTTCCACTTGCATGGAATATCTTTTTCTATCCCTTTATTTGGAATCTATATGTGTATTTTCAAGTTAAATATGTTTGTTCTAGGATAGTTGGATCATTTTTCTTTATTCATTTTTCTCTGTCTTTCAAGTGAAGAATTTAATCCATTCATATTCAAGGTTAATATTGATATAAGAGGTTTTTTAAGTATCATATTGTTAATTGTTTTCTGGTTGTTTTGTATATTCTTTTTTCCTTTCTTTTTCTCTCATTGTTTGCCATTGTAGGTTGGTGTTTTACTTTAGTAGTACCATTTAAGTCCTTTATGTCCCTCATTTGTGTATTTGGTTTATCACTGACTTTTATCCTTTCATGTGTTTTTATGACTATAATTCATCCTTTAGCTTTAACATTTTGAACTCCCTTGAATTTTTCTTAGAAGGCTAGTTTCAGGGTGATGAATTCCTTCAGCATTTGCTTATCTGGAAAAGACTCAATTTCTTCTTCATTTATGAAGGATAATTTTGTTGGACATAATATTCTTGGGTGAAAGTTTTTTGTTTTCTTTTAGCACTTTGAATATGTCATCCCATTCTCTTCCTGCTTGTAAGGTTTCTGCTAAGAAATCCACTGTTATTCTGATGGGGGTACCTAGGTGCTTTTCTCTTGCTCTTTCTATTATCCTTTATTTTGCTTTGACTTGAGACAGTTTGACTATAATGTGTGATATGGTTTGGCTGTGTCCCCACCCAAATTCTCATCTTGGAATTGTGATCCCCATAATTCCCCAATGTCAAGGGCGGGATTACCTGATGGAGGTAATTGGATCATGAGGGTGGTTTCCTCCATGCTGCTCTCATGACAATGAGTGAGTCTCTTGAGCTCTGACGGTTTTTAAATATCTAGCATGTCCCCTGCTTGCAGTCACTCTCTCCTGTGAAGAAGGTGTCTGCTTCTCTTTTGCCTTCCGCCATGATTGTAAGTTTCCTGAGGCTTCCCCAGCCATGCTGAACTGTGAGTCAATGAAAACTTTTTCCTTTATAAATTACCCAATCTTGGATATTTCTTCATAGTAGTGTGGAAATGGAATAATACAATGTGTGAAGGAGAAAACCTTTTTGTATTACATTTGTTTGGGGATCTTCGAATTTCTTGCATCTGGATGTCTAAGTTTCTTGCTAGAATTAGGAAGTTTTCATCTACTATTTCATTAAATATATTTTCTAACCTTTTTATTCTATGTCCTTAAGGACACCAATAATTCAAATATTCACTTGTTTTCTATTGTTGCCAATGTCATGAAGACTTTGCTCATTTTTTCTTTTTTCTTTGTTTTTATTGAATTGGATTATTTCAAAAGACCTATCCTCAAATTCTGAGATTCTTTCTTCTGATTGATCTAATATATTGTTGAAACTTTCAAATGTATTTTATATTTCAATCAATGAATTATTTAATTCTAGAGTTTCTGTTCTTTTGTTTTAATATATATCTCTTTGGTAAACTTCTCATTAATATCCTGAATTGTTCTTATGTTTTCTCTGTATTGCTATTTCAAATTCTTATGTATGTTGCTGAGTTTCTTTAAAATTAGAATTCTGAATTCTTTTTCTGGGATTTTGTAAATTTCTTTTTGATTAGGATATGTTGCTGTAGATTTATTTTTGGAGATATCATATTTCCTTGCTTCTCCATGTTTTCTGTGTACTTACATTAATATAAATGTATCTAATGTAAGAGTCACTTCTTCCAATTGTTGAATTTGCTTCTATAGGAAAGGAATTTTTCCTGAAACTCTGTGTGTGTGTGTGTGTGTGTGTGTGTGTGTGTAGTATATAATCTTTGTATGATTTTTTAGCTGTAAATAGTGTCAGTGGTATCCAGGATTTTCTTTGTGGCTTAGGAGGTGTTTATTAGTGGAGGCTTGGTGAAGTTTTGCTGAGGACTAGGAAGCCAGGTGGGCCAGTCTTCAGGCCCCAGTGGTGGCAGCAGTAGGCTAAGTATGTCTGTCTTTGAGCCCCAGTGTGGCATACACTGGCATCATAATTAATGAGTCCATGGTTGCTGATTTTTGGGTTTCCAGGTGGCTTGTTCAGATGCTGGTAGTGGCAATGGTAGGCCAGGATTATGGGCAGGTTCTTGTGTCCCTGGACAGCAGACATGATATGGATGATGGCAGAAGAAGTAGTTGGAGGAACCCCCTGGTCTTTGCTGGTGGTGGTGTTGGCTGTGATGGGTTGAGTAGACCAGTCCCCTGGCCCTCTAGGAGTGCATGAAGATGGGTGCTAACTGTGTTAATATCAGCAGGTAGTGTTGTCCTGACCACAGACCCTGGGAGAAGTGTTCAGATGCCAACAGTGGTCAACTGGTAGGGGCAATCACCAGGTCCCTGGATCATATGCTTGAATATAGGGGGGTTGGGGCATGTAGGACTGGGCCAGTGGACTTGTTTCAGTCCCCATGGTCATGTGTTCAGGCACTGGCTGTGATAGGCAGTGACAGCATTATCCCCAATTTTCCAGCATAATACTCATGTATATTCAGTGGCAGCTGCACTGTGAGCCAACCAATGCAAAGGGCAGAGCCCCTCTCAGCAGAAGCAGGATAATCAGGTAGCTGTGGGATGTGAAGTTTCCCCATACTTTGATCCCACAGTGGCCTGCAGTAGCAACAGTGGGATTTGTCTCTGGGATGTGTGAAAGTGCCCAGTCTCACCTCTCTGTCCTTGGGCCTGTGGTGGTAGTGGCAGTGGCAGTTCTGGTCCCAGGGCAAAATAGATCTTCAGAGACTGAGGTCTCAGAATGGCACAGGCTGTGGTCCTGTCAATGGGGAGGGTGGAGCCAGTCTCAGTGGAAGCAGCATGGGTAGGTAGATGTTGGGAGTGTAGTTTGCTTGCATCTTGGTCCCACGGCAGCCCATAGCTGCAGAGGGGGGATTGTCCTCAGGGTGCATGAAGGTGCCTGGCCTCCCCCCTCATCCTTATCAGCAGTGGTGGCATCAGTTTCAGGGTAGGATGCAGTCCTTTAGGGGCTTGGCTCTCAGAATGGTGCCATGCTGAAGCTGCTCATGGCTCAAATGCCTGTGGGACTCAGCATGAGTTCCTTCCCTGAAGCAATGCCTCTGTGCATCTCTAGGCAGCTCTCTTGTTATCCTTGAGGCCCCTGTAGGTTGAGGGACTCTCCTGTAGCTAGAATTGTAGAAGTCCATGACAGGAATGTGGAGCCCTGGGGGCTGCTTACTTACCCTTTATTCATGTCTGGGAGTTTCTCCTAGCTCCCAACTATTCTCAGCTAAGCAGGATGCCATGTGATATGGTTTGGCTGTGTCCCCACCCAAATCTCATCTCGAATTGTAACTCCCACAATTCCCATATGTCATGGGGAGAACCCGGTGACAGGTAATTGAATCATAGGGGCAGGAATTTACCATGCTGTTCTCATGATAGTGAATAAGTTTTACAAGATGTGATGGTTTTAAAAATGGGAATTTCCCTGCACAAGCTCTCTCTTTGCCTGCTGCCATCCATGTAAGACATGACTTGCTCCTCCTTGCCTTCTGCCATGTTGAGCCTGTGAAGCCTCCACAGACACATGGAACTATAAGTCCATTAAACCTCTTTCTTTTGTAAATTGCCCAGTCTCAGATATGTCTTTATCAGAAGCATGAAAACGGACTAATACAGTATATTGGTACCAGTAGAGTGAGGGGCAGCTAAAAAGATACCTCAAAATGTGGAAGCAAATTTGGAACTGGGTAACAGGCAGAGGTTGGAACAGTTTGGAGGGCTCAGAAGAAGACAGGAAAATGTGGGAAAGTTTGGAACTTCCTAGAGACTTGTGAATTACTTTGACTAAAATGCTGATAATGATATGGACAATGAAATCCAGGCTGAGGTGGTCTCAGATGGAGATGAGCTTGTCGGGAACTGAAGCAAAAGTGACTCCTGTTATATTTTTGGACAGAGACTAGTGGCATTTTGCCCCTGCCCTAGAGATTTGTGGAACCTTGAACTTGAGAGAGATGATTTAGGGTATCTGGCGGAAGAAATTTCTAAGCAGCAAAACATTCAAGAGGTGACTTTGGTGCCGTTAAAGGCATTCAGTTTTAAAAGGGACATAGAGCATAAACGTTTGGAAAATTTGTAGCCTGACAATGCAATAGAAAAGAAAATCCCATTTACTGAGAAGAAATTCAAGCTGGCCACAGAAATTTGCATACATAACAAGGAGACGAATGTTAATCACCAAGACAATGGGGGAAATATCTCCAGGGCATGTTAGAGACATTTGCAGCAGCCCCACCCATCACAGGCCGGGCAGTTTAAGAGAAAAAGTGGTTTTGTGGGCCAGGCCCAGGGTCCTTCTGCTGTGTGCGGTCTAGGGACTTGGTGCCCTGTGTCACAGCCACTCCAGCCATGAGTAAAATGGGCCAAGGTACAGTTCAGGCTGTTGATTCAGAGGATCAAAGCCTCAAGCCTTGGCAGCTTCCACATGGTGTTGAGCCTGTGGGTGCACAGAAGTCAAGAATTGAGTTTTGAGAATCTCTGCCTATATTTCAGAGGATGTATGGAAATGCCTAGATGCCCAGGCAGAAGTTTGCTGCAGGTTCGGGTCCCTCATGGTGGGGGCAGTGTGGAAAGGAAATGTGGGGTTGGAGCCCCCACACAGAGTTCCTACTGGTGCACTACCTAGTGGAGCTTTGAGAAGAGGACCACCGTCCTCCAGACCCCAGAATGGTAGATCCAATGACAGCTTGTGCTGTTGCCTGGAAAAGCTGCAGGCACTTAACACCAACCCATGAAAGCAGCCAAGGGGGGCGGGGGGGCTGTACCCTGCAAAGCCACAGGGCTGGAGATGCCCAAAGCTGTGGGAGCCCACCTCTTGTATCAATGTGACCTGGATGTGAGACATGGAGTCAAAGGAGATCATTTGGGAGCTTTAAGACTTGACTGCCCTGCTGGATTTTGAACTTGCATGGCACCTGTAGCCCCTTCATTTTGGCCAATTTCTCCCATTTGGAATGGCTGTATTTACCCAATTCCTATAACCCCATTGTATCTAGGAAGTAATTAACTTGCTTGTGATTTTATAGGCTCATAGGCAGAAGGGACTTGCCTTGTCTCCGATGAGACTTTAAACTGTGGACTTTTGAGTTAATGCTGAAATGAGTTAAGACTTTGTGGGACTGTTGGGAAGCCATGATTGGTTTTGAGATTTGGGAGGGACCATGGGTGAAATGATATGGTTTGACTGTGTCCCCACCCAAATCTCATCTTGAATTGTAACTCCTGCAATTCCCATGTGTCATGGGAGGAACCCAGTGATAGGTAATTGAATCATAGGGATGGGTCTTTCCCGTTCTATTCTCATGATAGTGAACAAGTCTCACAAGACATGATGGTTTTAAAAATGGGAGTTTCTCTGCATTAGCTCTCTCTCTTTACTTGCTGCCATCCATGTAAGATGTAACTTGCTCCTCCTTGCCTTCCTCCATGTTAAACCTGTGAAGCCTCCTCAGTACATTAAACCTCTTTCTTTTGTAAGTTGCCCAGTAAAATTGGGTATGTCTTTATCAGCAGCATGAAAACAGAACAGTACACCATCCTTCCCTCTCCTTAGCTGCCAGAGCTTCCCATCACTTCTCTGTTGAATTCCATTGTTCTCTCTTAGATGATATATTCAAAATGTCATCAATGTGGTCCTTGACTGGACTTTTCTGTCTTCAGCCAATTTCATTGTAATAAAATAACAAAATAGCTCCTTTTAATAAGCTTTCCTCAAATTTTATACAGAAACAAAACATGGGTCTTGGAGTACATGACTTTGATTTCCACATTTAGTTTAAGGCTAGATATATTTTTAGACTATCTTAAGATAAAGTGTATTTATAGACTAGGACCAAGGCAAACTCATGTTATCTTTACTATTGACATCGATAACAATATAAACAAGTTTCACATTTCCATGTATCTCAAATTTTATTATATAATATGGGCATTGTAATATCAACTTCATAAATGTTTTGTGATGAATTATAAAGTATGAGGTATTTTACATGGCAGTTTTGATTTTTTTGGTGAATATATATACATTTTATATTATCACTCCTGATTCAGTGTATTTTAAAACTCAAAAAACTTACTTCTGAATTCCTTTTATAAGCAAGTCAGATTTTCTTTCATTTTTTTCAATAGAAGGCATCTGCCTTCATAAATCATATATAAAGTTGATAAAAGCAAAGAGCACAGCCTTAGGAAAATCTAACAGGTCAGTAGCTATTTATAATTTGACAATTTATGAGAACAAATATCTCCATTACATAAATAATTCCCTTGCATTTCATTTGCTTATACACCATTATTTCTAAAAGTTTGTCACAAAAAGAATGGTGATCGATTTATCTTCTTAGCTGGCACAGTGGGTAAATGTGAGCACCACTGCATTCCTTCAGTCGGCTTGCAAGGAAGATAATATTAATCTTTTATTTTATAAAGATATACCTGAATTTTAGCCAAAGGCCAATGATCCACAGAGACATAAAAAGCCCTATAAGTAATTCAGCCCTGAGCTTTTTCTGTGTGCTCCAGTGATCATTTGGCTGGTTCCACCTGAGTCACTGTCTCTGAATGGAAATGGGAACTGTCCTTAAATATTATTCAGCCCTTTATCCTCTCTCATCAGTATAAGAGTATGAGCTATAAAAGCTTTGGGGCATGTTTGCCAGCTTGTGTAGAAGTAAAAAGAGCCTTCCATGTACTAAAGATTAGACAACTTCTGTTTGAATTATGATCTCCCATTGGGTATTCTTGTGCCAATCAATTATAAAGCATTCTGAAAATCACTTATAAAATAAGAAATATAGATTAGATATGCCCAATGATTTATAAATGACATTAAAAGCACTGTCATTTATAAATCATAAAATCATTTATGATATAAGAAGGCTGGACCATATGCTTGAATGTGTTTTGTCAATTTGGGTAAGAATGGAAACTATATTTCTCAAACTCCCCTTCCCTGTGTGGGTTCAGAATAGTTTCGGTCAAGAAAGAAACTTGTGTAAGATTTGGGAGGCAGAAATAAATGTGGAGTCATTACTCTTGGAAAAAACTTTATAGTCAGACACTAGGATAGCAGGCCAGAAGTGTCCAATAGTCCACTGAACTCCAGTTTATCTTAACTCTTCTCCCATTCTGAGTTCATAGTTGCTGGTATGTCAACCAGCAGTAACCCTAAGCCCACAACCATGCACCTGACTACAAGTGCCTTAGAAGTAGCAGTCATACATAGGCACCAGCTTCTTCAGAAGGGGCAGTAACTATGGGCCTCCCCATGAGTACTCTCTTCAGGGGCCCACTTAGATATCCAGGGGCTATTTGTCTAGAATTTCCTGTCAACTGTAACTTGTACACACATACCAGTGCTTCATGTCAACATGGTTAGATCAGTTATTTCTCTGATCTCCTCACTTTCTCTTTCGTTACATCCTCACATATTCACAATTTGTTGTTACTAAGTATCTCGGTCCAGAATATAAGTTCTCAGGGAATATAGCAACTACAGATCCACAGACATGACTCAGAGCATCTGGGAACACCTGGAGAGTATGTGTTTGTATTGAGTATTTTTCTAGGTAGAAGGGGTACATAATTTTTAACGTATTTATAAAGAATTCAATAAGTTCAGGCTGAGCGCGATGGCTGATGCCTATATTCCCCACACTTTGGGAGGCTGAGGTGGGAGGATCACTTGATGCCAGGAGTTTGAGACCAGAATGGCCAACATGGCAAAACCCCAACTCTACTAAAAGTACAAAAATTAGCCAGGTGTGGTGGTGCACACCTGTAATCCCAGCTACTTAGGAGGCTGAGGCACAAGAATCACTTGAACTTGGGAGGAGGAGTTTGCAGTGAGTCGAGATCGTGCCACTGCACTCCAGCCTGGGGGACAGAGCAAGATCAGTCTCAAAAAAAAAAAAAAAATTCAGTAAGTCCAAACAGATTAAAATCAATGCTTAAGGCTGTACTGCTTAATATGGTCATCACTGGCCACGTGTGGCTACTTAAATTTAATTGATTTAAAACTAATAAAATAAAAAATTCAGTTTCTTTGTCACATTAGTCGCATTTCAAGTGCTTGGTAGCCACATATGGTTAGTTAGCTATCATATGGGACAGTGTAGAAAATGTTTTCATTATTGCAGAAATTTCTGTTGGATAGTGTGCTTTCAGGATAGTTAACATTTTATGGAAATGCAGAAGTTCCATTGCTTTCTATATATAATACTAAGGTAGCTAAGCACCTTTCTTATCATTTCCCTACTTCCTCCAATTTCTCTACCAAACACAAAATCCCTATTCAAGTAGAACATCAAATTCATTGAACAGCTTAGTACAACGTCTATTTTTCCTTTATAAAGGTCAGTGCTTTTGGTACAGCATGATTGCATGCAGAGTTGAAAAACAGATCCAATTCACCTACAGAGCCACATAAATATTTTAAGACTGTGTTTTATAAACTGTAAACTTTATTATCGGCTTTGGTTCCAGAGCAGGTGAAGTCTATATATCATCAAGTCCCACCACTCGTGGCTATTGTTTTAGTAGCCTGCTTCTTCACTTCTGCCATACACTACCCAGCAGACTGGATTAACAGCTCTCCCAGGTCCCCTTCCACCTTCCAGGAGAAATACTGATTGAACCAGAAGCAAATTCTTCCTATTCTGACATATATGTATACAAGAAAAGCCTAGGAGTTACCAACAGCACAATAGGCTACAAACACGAAACCAATCACATTGCTCAGGGAAAGCACTAAGGAGTTTATCATCCTTTCAGGCCAGAAAGGTTTTGAATGGTGAACACAGACCTCTGCAGCTGCAACTGACTTCTTTGCATTTTAAGGAGCAACATAATAGCATCCCCAATTAGGAACTAATTAGAGAAATAAGTAACAGTTCTAGAATTTTGGCAGCTATCCCTCATAACCTGAAAGCAACAACAATGAAAAAACTCTTCAAATTCACCTGCGTAAGGAAAGACTGGAGTGTGAGTCAATATCAGCTTTGTCATACAGGGAATATAGTTATTTACCTTAAAATTCTCTAGAATTTATCATATGCAGCCCTTTTAAAAGTAGGTTCTCTGCTTCTATAGTAACACAAAAAATAATATAGCGGACTGACAGTAAATTGCTCCTTAAATTGAAATATATGTAGCACCAAAGTCTGGAATGCTTTTAGTCTTTCACCATTGAATATGATGTTAAGTGTGGGCTTTTCATATATGGCATTTATTATGTTGAGTTAATTTCCTTTTTTCCCTAGTTTGTTGACAGCTTTAATCATGAAAAAATATTAAATTGTTTTAAACACTTTTTATGCATCAATTCAGACAATGATGTGATTTTTTTTGTCCTTCATTCTATTAACATGATATATTACATTGATTTTTGTATGTTGAACCTTCCTTGCATCTCAGGGATAAATCCCACTTGGTCAGAGTGTATGATCCTTTTAATGTGATGTTGAATTTTTTTTTTGCTAGCATTTTGTTGAGGATTTTTGCATTAATATTCATTGGGGATATTACTCTGTAGTTTTCTTTTTTTTGCAGTATCTTTAGCTTTGGTATCAGGATAATGCTGCCCTCATACATTGAGTTTGGAGGTGTTCCCTCTTCCTCAAGCTTTGGAAGAGTTTGAGGAAGATTAGCATTAATTCTTATTTAAATGTTTGGTAGACTAACAGCAGTGAAGCCATTTGGTACTGGGCTTTTCTTTGTTGGGATGATTTTGATTACTGTTTAACCTCCTCACTAGTTATAGGTTTGTTCAGATTTTTTGTTTCTTCATATTTCCCTTGGTAGGTTGTGTATTTCTAGGAATTTATCCATTTCTTCTAGTTATATAATTTGTTAATGCATAATTGTTCATAGTAGTCTCTTACAATCCTTTTTATTTCTGTGGCATCAGATGTAATGTCTCCTTTTTCATTTCTAATTTTAGTTATTTGGGTTGTCCTTTTTGTTTTTTTCTCAGTTAATCTAAGGGTTTGTAAATTTTGTTGCTCCTTTTTAAAAAAGAACTCTTAGTTTTTTAAATTTGTTCTGTTTTTTACTTTCTATTTCATTTATTTCTGTTCTAACCTTTTATTATTTCCTTCCTTTTGCTAATTGTTGGTTTCGTTTTCTCTTGTTGTAGTTCCTCGTGGTATAAAATTGAGTTGCTGATTTGCAACCTTTCTTCTATTTGAAGGTAAGATTTGCTACCATAAACTTCCTTTTTGGTACAGGTTGAGTATCCCTTATCTAAAATGCTTAGGACCAGAAGAGTTTCAAATTTTGGATTTTTTTCAGATTTTGGAATATTCGTATTATGCTTGCTGGTTGAGCATCTCTAATCTGACATTCTGAAATATGAAATATTCCAAAGAGCATTTCTTTTGAGTGTCATGCCAGCATTCAAAACGTTCTGATTTTAGCACATTTTAAATTTTGGATTTTCAGATTAAGGATGCTCAACTTGTCCTACTTTTGCTGCATCCCACTTATTTTATTATGTTGTGTTTTTTTCATTTTTCTTGAGATGGTTTCTAATTTCTCTTGTGATTTTTCTTTGACCAATTGTTTGTTTAAGATCATGTTGTTTAATTTCCACATATATGTGGATTTTTTGTTCGTTTGTTTTACTCCTGTTATAACTTTTTAGTTTCATTCCATTGTGGTCAGAGTAGATACCTTGTATGATTTTAATCTTCTAAAATTTCAGATTTGTTTTGTGACCTAATATAATCTATCCTGAAGAAAGTTTAATCTGTGCTTCAGAAGAATGTGTTTACTGCTTTTGTTGGTTGCAGTATTCTGTGTGTGTGTGTGTCTGTGTATGTGTGTGTATGTATGTTCCAATTTGTATATAGTGTTATCCAAGTCTGCTGTTTCCTCATAGGTTTTCTATCTACTTGTTCTATCTATTATTAAAAGTCAGATATTGAAGTCTCCTACTGTTATTGTGTTGCTGTCTATTTCTACCTTCTGTTTTGTCAATGTTTGTTTCATATATTTGGGAGCTCTTATGTTAGGTACATCATATGCATTTATAATTATTACGTCTTCCTAATGAATTGACCATTTTATGATTATATAATGTCTTTATTTGTCTCTTGTGACAATTTTTTGCTTCAAGTATATTTTGTCTAATATAGTATAACTGCCCCTGATTTCTTTTGTTACACAAAATATATTTTTATTCTATATCTTTCAGCTCACGTATGCCCTTATATCTAAAGTGAGTCTCTTGTAGACAGAATATAGTTAGATCTGGTTTCCTTATTCATTCAGTCAATCTATGTCTTTTGATTGGGGAGTTTAATCCATTTACAGTTAGAACTTACTATTGTCATATTTTTTGTATGTCTCATAGATATTTTGTTTCTCTTTTTTTTCTGTTATTGCCTTCATCTGTGTTTCGCTGATTTTTTTTTTTTTTTTTTTTTTTTTGTAGCAACATATTTGATTCCTTTCACTTTTTTGTGTATATCTTCCACAGGTATTTTGCCTTTGGTCACCATGAGGATTACATAAAACATCTTAAAGTTATATCAATCTATTTTAAACTGACAAGAACTTAAATCCAATCATATGCAAAAACTCTATTCCTTTACATTTCTACTCCCCCCAAAGTTATGTTACTGATGTCAAATATTGCACCTTTTTATATTGTGTATCAATGAACATAGATTTAGTTATATTTTGTGCTTTTCTCTTTTTTAAACATTTCCAACTTTTAAGTTCAGGGGTACATGTGCAGGATATGCAGGTATATTACATAGGTAAACATGTGCCATGGTGGTTTGCTACACAGATCAGCCCATCAGTCAGGTATTAAGCCCAGCATCCACTGGCTATTCTTCCTGATGCTCTCTCTTCTACCCCCTAGTCTCTGACAGGCCACAGTGTGTGTTGCTCCCCCAGCCATGTGTCCATATATTCTCATCACTTAGCTCCATTTGGTTTTCTGTTCCAGTGTTAATTTACTAAGGATAATGGACTCCAGTTCCAACCATGACCCTGCAAAGGACATGATCTTGTTCCTGTTTATGGCTGCATGGTATTCCATGGTGTATATCTATCACTTTTTTTAATCCAGTCTATCATTGATGGGCATTTTAGGTTGATTTCATATCTTTGCTATTGTGAATAGTCCTGCAATGAACATACATGTGCATGTGTCTTTATAGTAGAATTATTTATATTCCTTTGAGTATATACCCAGTAATGGGATTATTGGGTCAAATGGTATTTCTGCCTCTAGGTCTTTGGGGGAATTTCCACACTGTCTTCCACAATGGTTGAACTACTTTACACTCCCACCAACAATGTAAAAGTGTTCTTTTCTCTCCACAACCTTGCCAGTATTTTTTATTTGTTTGTTTGTTTTTACTTTTTATAGTAGCCATTCTGACTGGTGTGAGATAGTATATCATTGTGGTTTTGATTTGCATTTCTCTAATGATCATTGATGTTGAGCTTTTTTTTCATATGATTGTTTGCCGCATGTATGTCTTCTTTTGAGAAGTGTCTGTTCATGAGAACACATGGACACAGGGAGGGAAACATCATACACCAGGGCCTGTTGGGGGGTGGGGGCTTAGGGGTGGGATAGCATTAGGAGAAATACCTAATGATGGGTTGATGGGTGCAGCAAATCACCATGGCACGTGTATACCTGTGTAACAAACCTGCACATTCTGCACATGTACCCCAGAACTTAAAGTATAATTAAAAAAAAAGAAGTGGGCCAGGCACGGTGGCTCATGCCTATAATCCCAGCACTTTGGAAGGCTAAGGTGGGTGAATCACCTGAGATCAGGAGTTCGAGACCAGCCTGGCCAACATGGTGAAACCTTGTCTCTACTAAAAATGCAAAAATTAACCAGGTGTGATGGCAAGTGCCTGTAATCCCAGCTACTCAGGAGGCTGAGGCAGGAGAATTGCTTGAACCCGGGAAACAGAGCTTGCAGTGAGCCAAGATTGTGCCATTGCACTCCAGCCTAAGGGACAAAAGTGAGACTTCGTCTCAAAAAAAAAAAAAGAAAAGTGTCTGTTCATGTACTTTGCCCACTTTTTAATGGGGTTGTTTTTTTCTTGAAAATTTAAGTTCTTTGTAGATGCTGGGTATTAGAATTTTGCCAGACATATAGATTGCAATTTTTTTTTCTTCTATTCTGGGGATTGTCTGTTTTCTCTGTTGATAGTTTTTTTTGTTTGTTTGTTTGGAGTTTTTTTGCTGTGCAGAAGCTCTTTAGTTTAATTAGATCACGTTTGTCAATTTTTGCTTTTGTTGCAATTGCTTTTGGCATCTTTTTCATAAAATCTTTGCCCTTGCCTATGTCCTGAATGGTATTGCCTAGCTTTTCTTCTAGGGTTTTTATAGTTTGGGGTTTTACATTTAAATCTTTAATCCATCTTGAGTTGATTTTTGTATAGTGTAAGGAAGGACTCCAGTTTTCATTTTCTGTATATGGCTAGCCGGTTCTCCCAGCACCATTTTTATTTTATTTATTTATTTATTTATTTTGAGATGGAGTCTTGCTCTGTTGCCCAGACTGGAGTGCAATGGTGCTGTCTAGGCTCACTGCAACCTCCGCCTCCGAAGTTCAAGAGATTCTCCTGCCTCAGCCTCCAGAGTAGCTGGGATTATAGGCACAAGCCATCACGCCCAGATAATTTTTGTATTTTTAGTAGAGACAGGGTTTCACCATGTTGGCCAGGCTGGTCTCGAACTCCTGACCTCATGATCCACCCACCTCAGCCTCCCAAAGTGCTGGGATTACAGGCATGAGCTACCTCACCCAGCCAACCAGCACCATTTATAAAATAATAAATCCTTTCCCCATTGCTTATATGTGTCAAGTTTGTCAAAGAGCAGATGGTTGTAGGTGGGCAGTCTTATTTCTGGGTTCTCTATTCTGTTCCATCAGTCTGTGTGTCTGTTCTTACACCAGTACCATGCTGTTTTGGTTACCGTGGCCCTGTAGTATAGTTTGAAGTCAGATACCATGATGTCTCCAGCTTTTTTCCCTTTTTCTTAGGATTGCCTTGTCTATTCGGGCTCTTTTTGGTCCTATATGAATTTAAAAATAATTTCCAATTCCGTGAAGAATGTTAATGGTAATTTAATGGGAATAGCACTGAATCTACAAATTGCTTTGGGCATTATGACCATTTTCATGATGTTGATTCTTTCTATCCATGAACGTAGAATGTTTTTTCATTTGTATGTGTCATCTCTGATTTATTTGAGCAGTGGTTTGTAGTTGTTCTTGAAGAGGTCCTTCACTGCCCTTGTTAGCTGTATTCCTAGGTATTTTATTCTCTTTGTAGTAATTGTGAATGGGAGTTCATTCATGATTTGGCTCTCTGCTTGCCTGTTGTTGCTGTATAGGAATGTTAGCGATTTTTGCACATTGATTTTGTATCCTGAGACTTTGCTGAAGTTGCTTAAGAATCTTTTGGGCTGAGAGGATGGGCTTTTCTAGATATAGATTCATGTCATCTGCAAACAAAGATAGTTTGACTTTCTCTCTTCCTACTTAAATACCCTTTATTTCTTTCTCTTGCCTGATTGTGCTGGCCAGAACTTCCAACACTAGGATAAATAGGAGTGGTGTGAGAGGATAAATTTGTCTTGTGCTGATTTTCAAGGGGAATGCTTCCAGCTTTTAAATTCTATACCATAACTTAAATAATTTCTAAATCACCACTATAAGACTATAGGACTGTGTATTTGTCTATATATTTACCTTTACCAGAGAGGTATACATTTTTCTATGTTTTTATGTTGTCGTATAGCATCTTTTCATTTAAACATGAAGGACTCTCTTAAACATTTTTAGGGAAAGCCCAGTGGTGATGAACTCCCTCAGCTTTTCTTTAGAAAAGTTTTATTTTTATTTTTTAACGACAGTTTTAATAAATATAGTATTTTTGATTGGCAGCTTTTTCTTTCAGCACTTCCCGATATAAATATATCATCCCACTGTCTTCTAATCTGTGAAGTTCTTGCTGAGAATCCTCTGACAGTCTTATAGGAGCTCCCATGTATAATGAGCCTCTTTTCTCTTACTGTTTTAAAGATTCTATCTTTGCCTATGACTGTTGACAATTTGATTATTATGTGTTGCAGTGTAGGTTTCTTTGCATCTCTTAGTTGGAGTTTATTGAGTTTCTTTAATTTGTATATCCATTTTCTTTCTTACATTCAAGAAGCTTTTGCCTATTGTTTCTTCACACCAATCTTTGTTCCTTTCTCTCTCCTCCTGGAATTCCTATAATGCATATTTGGTCTGTTTGACAGTGATCCATAAGTCTGTTAGGTTCTTTTTACTTTATAAAATTATTATTAACTTTTTTTCCCTCTGACTTGATAATTTCAAATGACCTGTCTTCAAGATGGATGATTCTTCTGCTTAATGAAGTCTGCTGTCAAATCCTTTTAGTATATGTTTTAATTCATTTATGATATTCTCCAGCTCCAGAATGTCTATTCACTTATTTTTATAGTTTCTACTTATTTGTTGATTTCTCATTTTATTTGTGAATAATTTTCCAGATGTATATTGTCCATCTTTATTCTCTTTTAGCTCATTGAGCATCTTTAAAATGGTTATTTTGAATTCTTTGTTAGGAAATTTATAGTCTTTATGTCTTTAGGGTTCCTTTTTGAAGATGTACTTTGCCCCTTTGATTGCACTATGTTTTTCTGTTTCTTTGTATGCCTTGTTATATTTAGTTGAGATTTGGGCATTTGAAAAAATAGCCAACTCTCTCAATCATTAAGGAATGGGTTTGTAAGGAGAAGGCATTCACCAACCAGCCTGGCTACAGGTTCTGGAGACTTTTCTAGAGACACATTTTCTCTAGGATTGTTTGAGTATAGCTTTCCCAGTTAAAAAAAGGTTTGTCTCGGTCTCTTCTAAACACTCTGTAATCTCTTGCTCCTCCTGGTGTCTCTCTGCAGTACTGTAGTCTCTCTGGTACCATTACAAGACACAGTGCTCACCTTTGTGTTCAGCAGTCCCCAACTTGGCATCCAATGTACAGCACTGTTTCATTCAGTGCTCCAAGTCCAGCAATACAGGAAACAATCTTTCAGGATGCCCCTTGAAAAACCAGAATGTTTAGCACATGTTCTACTCTTCTTTTTCACTTCCAAGAGAGAAGCTAGGACTTAGGAGTTTTGTCTAGATTGTACTATGCTGTAGTGGGGGTGGGGGCGTAGAGGAAAGGGGGTAGGGTAAGCAAATGCAACAAACTTTCATGCCCATTTCTTTGCAGTTCTTTGTGGCTTTGTCCTCTTCTCGGCGGCTGCAACCTCTTAACTGGTTTCTGGAGTTTTCATAAAGGCAATTTGGTCTGTATATTAAGTCAGTGTCTCCACAGGGTAACATGGGCTTAGGGCTTCCTTTCAGCCATCTCGCTGTCATCACTTGAAAGCAAGTAATTTTTAAGCAAGAAAATACATTAATGACCAGGAAAGGCAGCTGTGTAAGAAAATATGTATACTTGCATAGGGATCCCTTAGTTAAAATCAAAACTCCAAACTCAAAAAATGGAAGGAGGGTAAAAGCTTCTAATAAAATGTCAGAATATGTTTTTGAGTGGCTGTCTGCTCAACTAGACTAAATGCCATGTAGAAACAGAGATGGGCCCTTATTCACCTTTGTGGTTGTGATGACGTTGACGTTCATTCTTTCATGCTTCCAGCAATGACTACTTTCACTGAATGCATGTTAGCCCATATATTTATTGCTAGGTACAAATGGTAAGCAAACACAACCCAGTTCCTGCCCTTATGGAGTTTCTAGTCTAGTAAAGAATACAAGCATATGAACAAACACCTAAAATCTAGTGTGACAACACTCAGAAAGGCTTGATTGCAGAGTACTAGGGGAAAATAAAAGTGGGACTTGTACTATAAATAAGAAAAAAAATCACATAACAAATGTCTATCTTTGCTAAATTGAATGGAAGAAAGACTATACTTGTACCAATGTTCCAAAGGTGGTCAGCAACCCCATAACATAACCCAGCACAGCTAAAATAGTCTGTGAACTTGCCAAGCCTCAGTGAAAGCAACCAGTGAAAATTGATACTTCTTCCATTGTTCTCATTAGATGGGGCTCCTTACTTAGCTCACCAACTCCCCAAATCTTTATCCTTTTTAAGTGAGCTCTTGATTAGCCAGCTAGGCATTTTTGACACCAGTCTAGAACTTGAGGAGTTAATAGTGTGGAGGCTGTGGGACATGTAGAATGGATGGCTTTAGAGGACAAGAGGTGGCCAGCACTCAATTTGTCTTGTGCCTCCAGTTGCATTTCAAAAGCTCTCTGTTTTAGCTCTGACATTTCAGGTGTGAAGAGCAGAGTCAGCAAGTTCCCTTAGTGAATATTTTAAAATGATGCTGCAAGACACTAGGGAGGGAGATGTGGAAGCAAAAGCCAGACAGTGACAGGAAAATAGACAGAATTCTTAGTCAAGGGAAAAGGAACAGCATCCAGTATTCTGATATGGATGGTCACTGTTCAGGGACAGTTAGGTTTTTTTATGCTTCAGGAAGAAATCTATTATTTGTTTTCCACTCTTTTAACAAATACTTTAGAAACAAATGAAGTGATAAAAAAGGTTTCTTTTTAAAATATAATGTGAACACTATTCAGATAGTATATAGTATTTTCAAAAGGAAATTTGCTCTTTGATTGTGAGAGAACATGTTTATAAAACTCAGAGGGAAGGACAATAAATTGATCCTGGAGCAAAATGGAGCTGTGTAGTTTCTTGGTGACCTTTTTTAAGTTTCTTCTCAAACTTAGAATTCTACTTAGCCATCTTAAGCTGAATATTTTACAACCATCAGTATATATCCCATAAAGTATTAGAGCAAAATACATTAGAGTATAGATTCTAGATGAAAGACAAATGTGCTCTCTAGGCTTGCAGGAATGATCCTTTAATGATGGTCTTTCTGGCAGTGAGGGAAGTGATATACCTACAGTAGAGCTCTTTGAGTGTGAGGATCATTTTGTAAGGCGACTTGATTCCTGGCATTTTGACAACTTCTACTCTTCTATTTCATCATTAAGGTTTCTTCTATGAAAGTTGAGATAATGAGTTGGTATATTCTTAGTTCTCATTGCACAAACCTTGAAAAGCCCCCAACCAAGTGGTCTATACATGATAAATTCTAAATATTTATTTAATATTGTATAGCCTTGCTCAACCAGTTCCAATTTTTTTATTCAAATTGATATCCTACACTGTCTACCTTTGTGAGAATATGATTTGGTACATGTCATCATGCAAATTTCTCAACAATCCTCTGATTCCTACCTATCCCCCCAAAATCAAATCTAGACTTATGACTCCATGAAGCTTTTCCTGACCTCTACAGACTTCAAATATCTTCCTCTCCACTTATCTCCTAGAAGTCTTTTATTTATATATATTTGGCATTCATTATATAATCTCTCAAATTCCAGTATTCTACTGAATCATCTCAAGTTTAAGCTCCTGAAGAGAAGAAGCCATACCTCATATCATGTTTTTCCTGTCTATACATTTATTAATGTCTCAGTCCAGTGGTTCTCTATTTGGATTGATTATATGCAGCCCACCTTAACAAAAATATAATAAGCATCTTCTATGTTAAACAATGGAGCTTCAGAGATGTGTAAAATAAGATCCCTGCCCTTATAAAGATAAGTAACTAGTGGAGAAAGAAACAAGATCTTGGTTTCCAACAGCCAAGATCATTTCCAACAAAGCACATTGGATTGGAGGGCCCTTGAGATCAGAGACCATACTTATGCTGTGTCTTCAGCATGTAGCACATTTCAGCCCTGACTTGATTCTTGAGCACTAGGCTAATATATCCAACAGCCTGTGTGACATTTCTACTGTCACGGGCATCTCATACTTAATATGGCTCACAGAGAACTATTGATTTATTTTATCCCATAGGAAGCCTGTTTCTTCTATTAACAAATGACAACAGCTTCTGCCAAGCTCCTAAAAACCCAGGAGTTACCTTTACATTCATATCATCAGCCAATCACATTAGTTTTAAATTTGAAAAATATGTTCAAGGCCGGGCGCGGTGGCTCACGCCTGTAATCCCAGCACTTTGGGAGGCCGAGGTGGGTGGATCACGAGGTCAGGAGATCGAGACCATCCTGGCTAACATGGTGAAACCCCGTCTCTACTAAAAATACAAAAAATTAGCCAGGCGTGGTGGCGGGCGCCTGTAGCCCCAGCTACTCAGGAGGCTGGGGCAGGAGAATGGCATGAACCCAGGAGGCGGAGCTTGCAGTGAGCCGAGATCCGCGCCACTGCACTCCAGCCTGGGCGACAGAGCAAGACTCCATCTCAAAAAAAAAAAAAAAAAAAAAAAAAAGGAAGAAAAATATGTTCAAATCTCACTATTTCTCTCGCTACAGTTGAAGCCACTAAGTGTTTCTCTGTATTAACTATAACCACCTCCTAACTCATCTCCCTGCTTCCACGTTCACATCCTTTTTGTTTTGTTTTGTTTCACATAAAGCTTATTTCTGCTTCAGGGTCTTTGGCTTTCCTGTTTTCATTTTCTAAAATTCTCTCTTCTTGAAGAGAAATTTTATCTAATTTATCACTAAAGTCCCAACACATAGTAGACTGCGTGGTACAAAGCAATAATTCAATATTTATCGAAAGAGTGAGCACAATTTTAGTTGTTTAAATATATGTAGAAATGAATCATAAGTGACTTGAGTTTGTGTACCTAGAAGCTAACATAGTTTAGATCTCAAGAAGGTTATGGCTTAAATATATTTGATTCTATGGGCTATCTGTATAAATGAATGAGTAATCCTCCACTAAGTATTAGATGAGTGACTAGAATGTCCTGAGTGAGCTCACAAAACCAATGGCTGGCAACCACGATAGTTAAGCCAATAGTTAAGCAGTGATTTTCATCTTTAATACATGTTTTCATGTTAATAAAAGCTTACTCTTAGCCAGACAGGACCTCTTTTAGCCTTTAAGGACTGGAAAAGTTCCCAAGTGAACAAGCATCAATTTCATGATTTATCTTAACTGGCTAAATACATCAGTAATTCCTGGAAGCTGAGATAGGATGAAAACAGGACTGCATTACCTCTCTTGCCTACAGTGTTGTGCTGCTTTAATCCTTTTCTGGATCTCAGCTTTTAAAAACATTGTATCAGAAAATTGGGGATAATAATAGTAACTACTGAAGGAATGGTTGTGTGTATTTAGAAAAGTAATGTACATAAATTCATTAGGACAGGGTCTGGTATATACTAAGTCCTCATAAATGATAATATAATAATGATGATTATGCATTAAAGCATTTTAAGCTATAATAGTGCTTTCTAAATATAAGGGAGAAGAAATCAAGGCCTTAAAAATACAAATTATGTTTCGCTTCTGGAGTAGAGATTACATCACTCTGCATCTCACACAGTTTTCATTATTTTCACCAGGTATGTACTAGGTACTCAGTTAAATGTTTTCGAAAAAAGTTTGTTCAGAATCAGAGAGAAGCAAGGTCAGAAAAATTCAGGAAATTTTTTTTTTATTGAAAAAATAATTCACATCATGTTTAAATTTTCCAGTTTATAACTAACTTTTGGGAGGGCGCAAATATTTCTTGGGGTAATTGAAGTAAAGGTAATATTCTCCGCCAAAATACATAATTGAAAGCCTACATTTTGTCCCAGTCAAGTTTAAATTTTATTTGTGATACTTCTTTCAAGAACAAAGTTAAGGCATACGTTAGGATTCTGTCAAACATTAGGAAAAGAAGGTTTTATTTCTTCTGAAGTTGACCTTGATTACTTTATATCTCTCATAGTTTTCAGTACTTTAACTAGGTTTATTATAACTTCTCAATAAATATCTTTTGAAAAAATGAATAAAAAGGTATTTAGAAATGACACATATAAGCTTCATGTGACTTTAGAGACACATGTGCAGATAGTTGTCGAGTCCTTTATTCCCTTGTGACAAAGGCCATTTGTCATGATTAATATCATCTATCACATGGCCTCTTTACCTTCTTTTGAAGCCCTTGCTTCCAAAAGACTTCCCATTTCTAGGAATTATATCCCAGCCTGGTCATCACAAAGCTTCTGTTTTTCAAGCTCCAATTATAAGCTTCCCAGGGGCTGAAAAGCATTTTCTGTACTCCTTAAGCCTGTGGTGACTTCCTTTCAGTTCTTTGTTACGGAGTGTCTCTGACACTCTGACACTCCACCAACCCACACAGACTGGTCACAAGAGGGCCTATTCGTTTAGGCTTATTACATATGAGAAGCTAAGTCACCTTCAAAGCTGTGAAAATCAGCAATCTTGAGTGCTTGAGTGTTTCTCCAATGACTGCCAATCTGATGGGGTCTCTGGTTGGCCTTGTGGATGCTTTCAGTTCCCTCTGACTTCAGCAGACAGCTTTATTGTGGAGGATGTTCTTGACCTGGAGCACCATTCATCAGAGGCACCATTCTTTCTCATTGCTTTTATACTTACTGGAATTGTTACTGAGGAGCTTAGCTTCAAAATGCATTTTGAAACTTTTTTCCTTTCCTTCTTAATCTCAGAATTTAGCCTTGTATTTTTTAGAACTGTTTGTTTCCCTCACCAAGTACTCCTATGCAAAGTGCTCACTTATCTAACTATGTGCTTGCTTAGAAATTCCAGGGGCTAATTTTGAAACAAACCAGGAACAGAGACCCAGCTGCAGAATCCTCCCACTTAGTGGGAGTCACAAACTATTAGTCCACCACAATCTGGACAAAAGTCAAGGTGATTCCAACCAGACCTCCAGAGGAGAGATTATTCAAGATAGCCATAAGGCCAAGACACGCTACCTGCACCCTCCTAAACCACTCCTGCATGTTTCCTTTTTAAACCCCTTCACTCAGCCCAAAGGGTGGGAATGGCCTTTTAAGGGCATGAGCCTGGTCATTTCCCAACTGCTAGTGTTCGAGTAATAAAACTTTTCTTTCCTTTCACCACACCTTGCCTCTTGCTTTTGGTCTCTGACTGGTGAGCAGCCAGACTTGAGTTGGTTACAGAATTCCCTGTGAGAATATATCCAACTAAGTTCTCAAAGTTTATTTATTTTTATTTTTCTTATATTTAGAGTGGTTGTCAAATCCACTTGATCAAAAACCTAGGTGGAAAAATTCAACTGTTTATCCTTTGATCTCTACTCAATAGAATAAAACTGGGGTTTGTAAGAAGAAAGTTATACTTTTGGCTGTGAAATAGGTCCCCTGCTCCAAATGTGTCTACTAACATTATAACTAGGGATTGATAACTATCCCTTAACCTAGTATTTAGACAGAACTTTCACTGTGATCTTGTGAACGTCTGTCTGTCGCTTTTTGCCTACACTGACCACTTGCATGTTTAGCTACTCTGAGCTCTAAGACTGTGAGATGTCTGGTGGAACCTCCCTACTCTATAGCGAGGTTTTGGGAAAGCCTATTTTCTTTACACAGTGTGCCAAGTGATTACACCTACCCCTGAGCACAAGATAAACACCAGACATAGAGCTTCTTTATTTAAGCTTCACTTGGTATGGTTAGCTAGCTTTATTCTGCTCTAGATTGTACTGTCCTCTCCAATTTCCCCTTAGGTCTGTATCTGAGCTCACACATGAGATCTTCTCTCCCTTGCCTTTTTTTCTACCAGTTCTTTCCGCTGCCTTGGGTCTATGCCACACATTGCTATCTCTTGTATCAATATAGATAATTAACTCTTTCATAAGACCTTGACATGAGAGAAACACTACAAACAAGATGCCCAGAACTGCTAGAAAATGACCATGAATTGCACTCAAGTTAGTTCTCACATCTCTTCTGCAGCTATTTTGGCTTCTGGCTCCTGCATCTGCTCCACTCCAACCTCTAAGAAACAGATCCCAATATTTTGCATGGCTTCTTCAACACAGTGTAAAAACAGAGTAAAACTGGGAATTATATCTCACTGCTAAAAATGTAGGTTGGTGGCTTTAGTGACCCAGAAATGATAATAATAATGCTAAGTAATCTTAAAGTAATTCAATTTTCCTGACCTCAGGGAAGGAGGAGGATTTTGTTTCCTTTGTTTGGCCTACATAAATTATTTATGCAAAACCAAGGTCTTTAAGGAAAGAGAATGTAGCCAAAGAAAATGTTTTGTATTTCCTCCCTCATGTAGCCCTCCACCTTGCTCAGAAGGCAGTTGCTAATTAAGTTAAGGCTGTTTTCTCCCAAGGAGGGAGTTAGAACCCCAAATGTTAGATCTGAGTAAATTCTCTTCCTCCAGATCTCCCACAATAAACTTCCCATTATTAAACAAAAACTACAATTTTACTTCATAGTTTGTTGTGTTCTGGGCACTGAATCCATCTGATTAGAATAAAACCAGTGGAAAAAGGGGAGAATGAAAAAGGAAGGTTTCTTTCTTTAAATCCTTTCAATCAAGTGAGGAATTTTTAGCCAGTTTTATTCCCATAGTTTCCAAGTTGTTTTGAATGAAAACCAGCCTTCTAGCTAACTCTTACGGGTGCAGTCTCTATCAAATAAAAGTGCTCATGAAACAGTTGGTTGGAGGTCAAGTGAAAAGAACACATCAAGTTTCCCACAGATTTCCTCCCCAGCAGATAATGGATGTAAGTTCACTGAGAAGTGACAAAGCATTTAAGGGGACCCTTCAAACAGTATCTGCCCAAGGAGTTCACAAGAATTGCCCCTCTAGCCTAGGGCTTCCTGTTGTGAGTATGAAAGGTTTTTGATCATGTCAATTCAATTTGTCCCACACAACATGTCTCAGAGAGAAAGAGAAGTATTTACCTCATGAACACTGGTTGTTAGCCCAGATCTTTTTTCTTTCATTCTTTCCGTCTTTCTTTATTTTTTTTTCAGTAGATATGTCTCCTGAAGCTTTATTCCTGCTATGACCAAAGTGCCTTCTGTTATCACAACAGGATAAAAAATAACAGCTAAAGAAAGAGAGAAAAAAACAATAATGCATTGCTTTGTACGAACTCATACTCTCAAGTCTACTATTACTTTTGCACCCAAGTCTGCGCATTCAGATTTATCTCCTCTAGGCTGCATATGCTTGGAGGCCTAAATAGGTTGTCCGCATATCAGAGTAGGTTGAATAGGTGAAGCTACTAGGCAGAATCACAGAAGCGTTTTGTGGGGCTGACAACAAAGAGAAGGTGTGATGCTTCCTGCAAAGCTGATTTGTCAGCTATCAGATAAGAACTCTAATTGGTCTCTCTGTCTATGCAAATGATGACTTGTAGTTCTGAATAAATTTAATTTGAAACAAACTGTGAGCCTTGTACTCACAGAAAAGTTAAAGTAATTAGGTTGAGAGACAAGGTTTTTAAACAATAATCATTTTCACTGTAAAGAAATGTTTTGGTTCCCTAGATATTACATATATACAAATATATCCTCTCTTTAAAATATGAATAAGCTAAAAAGAAAAATTCTGATTCTGCTACTAAATGTTCAAAATTTCATTCTCTCCTCTTCACATTTGGTCCCCGCTGCAAATGGTTGACCTTAGGAGTTATGTAGTCCCTCTCTATGTCCTCATCTGTCAAATGGGCTGAAAATGGTGCCTACCTCGCTGGGTTGTTAAAAATATTAAATGAAATACTATGGCAGGTACATAGTAAGCTCACATGGTTATAATTAACAAAGCCCTTCATTATTCCATCTGTGTCTAACTCTCCAGTCTCATTTGTCAAAGTTCTGATTTTGTGTTTTATAATCATATGATTATATATATAAATATATAATCATATATATATAATCAGGGGGCAGAGAAATTGTAGACAGAAAAGGGTGGGTTCCCGGCAAAATCCCGCCCTCAAGCCGAAAAGCCTGAAACCACAGCCCAAAGTGAGATATATCATCCCTGTTTTCCCCCTCGAATACTGCCTTTTCTTAAACTACCCATGATCCACCCCACTCTACCCCATTCGGTGCCCATAAAGACCCCCCAGACTCAGCCGGCAGAGAGTAGAAGCAGCCGGACGACAGGACTATGGCTGGACGTCGGAGAGAAGTGGCCTGACTTCAGAGGGACAGCTTGAGGTATAATTTCGGAGAAGAATCTGGCCGGAAATGGCCGTACTTCAGGGGAAAATTAACTATCAGCCTCATCCTCTTTTCAGCTCCCCTTCCCATTGAGAGCTGCTTTTATTGGCAATAAAATCCCCCACATTTACCATCCTTCAATTGGTTCGTGCGACCTCATTTTTCCTGGACAGCAGACAAGAGCTTTGGAACTACAAGTGCAGATAACAAAAGGCTGTCACATTGGCCCTTTGCCCTTGCTGGCGGAGGGCAGCCACCCCATGCGACGAGGCAAAGGGCCCACTGAGCTGTTAACACCTAAACCATCCACAAATGGCAGAGCTAAAAGAGCACTGTAACACGCCCTCTGGGGCTTCAGGAGTCACAGGCACCCCCATCTGGATGCTGCCACGGGGCCTGCGCAGAGTTTGCTCCTGCCAGCACCGAAGCAGCCGCTGGTTCCAGCACTCATGCACTCCAGTTCCTGCCTCATTTGCTCACGCACTGCCTCCCCACAAGGAGTTGAGAACGATACACTGAGTAAACCGGGCACCCCTGTCACGAGTTCCGCGAAGGGGTCAGGGAAATATCCTGCTTCAATTTCAGCCCTCTAGATACATGGACATCCCTACTGTATCTGGAATATGCTTCTCCTTACCTGATTCTCATCCGTTCCGCCTTGGGAACTGCTTATTCAAAACTTGGTTCAGCTATTGCTTTTCTTATGGTTATGGTGCTCCATCTTCTCAAAACACTTAATTATTCTTTTTTTTTTTTTTTTTTTTTTTTTTTTTTACTTTTACTACTTGTAACAGATTGTATTTTCTAAAGACAGCTCAAAAATATCTCTCACCATATGCTCTTCTGCATTTGGATAGTGCCATTGTCATGATTCTATCAAAAAGTGAAATTTATTGCTCCACTCCCCTGAATCTGGTCAGGCCCTGTGACTGTTTTTGCCAATAAGTTACAGCAGAAATGATGCTATAATTACTACAGGCACAGGCCTTAACTGGCCTAGCAGTTTAGCTTCCTGCCTCTCACAGCTTTGAATATCCATTAAAAAAGTCCAGGTTACTTTGGGAGCCAGAGACACCACATAGAAGGGCTCTGAGGTGTCAGACCCATGAGTGAGGAAGCCATTTTTGATATCCAGCCCAGCTGGGTCTTCAATGACTCCGGTTCCAGCTGTTTTCTGTCTGCAACAAATAGAAGGCTTTAAGCAAAAACCACCAGCTGAACATAGCCAAACCATAAAACCATGAGAGACGATGAGAAATTATTTAAAGCCACTGAGATTTGAGGTTGTTTCTTATGCAGCAATAGATTACCAGGATAATATGTATCTGGTTTCAAAGAACCTTTACTAGTGCTTGTGTACGTTCTTTTTGTTGGTTTCATTTCTTTGTATGTTTGTCCCCTTTGCAAGACTATGAACATCTTAAAAATTGAGGGTTTCTTTTTTTTTTTTTTTTTTTTTTTTTTTTTTTTTTGAGACGGAGTCTTGCTCTGTCACCCAGGCTGGAGTGCAGTGGCGCTATCTCGGCTCACGGCAAGCTCCACCTCCCGGGTTCACACCATTCTCCTGCCTCAGCCTCCTGAGTAGCTGGGATTACAGGCGCCCACCACCACGCCCAGCTAATTTTTTGTATTTTTAGTAGAGATGGGGTTTCACCGTGTTAGCCAAGATGGTCTCAATCTCCTGACCTCGTGATCCACCCACCTCAGCCTCCCAAAGTGCTGGGATTACAGGCGTGAGCCACCACACCCGGCCGAGAGTTTGTTTAATAAGAATTTGTAATGTAACTACTGGGATCATTATAGGCTCTAAATATTTGTTGAAATGTAAATGTACAGGGTAGAACTGTTATTTCATTATATTTCTTAAACTTTGTGAGAAGATGAAATTAAAATCATTACTTATGCTACTATATAGAACATATTTTTTGAGTATCCTGTTCCTCTGCCCCATCTTCTCTACCAACACCAAGGAGGATGAGAAGATAAGATGTGACTCATATACCAAAATGTATCCAAAACAAGGTAAATTCTTAATGGAGCAAAGATTGCTTTCATCCTTGACAAAGATATGAAAAGCCACACTCTGAACCATTATCAGTTGCCTCCACGGAGGGGATAGACATTGCTGGTGGGGAGGAGTCCAGTGGTGAGTAAGGACATTAACTTTGTACTCTGTGTACTTCTGTAATGCTTGAGGGTTTTTTTAATGTGCATATTTTACTTTTAAATGTATGTATTTATTTATTTATTTATTTATTTATTTATTTATTTATTTATTTATTTATTTTGAGATAGGGTCTTGCTCTGTCACCCAGGTTGGAGTGCAGTGGCACGATCTCAACTCATTGCAACCTCCGCCTCCCAGGTTCAAGCGATTCTCCTGCCTCAGCCTCCCAAGTAGCTGGGACTACAGGCACCTGCCACCAAGCCCAGCTAATTTTTTGTATTTTCAGTAGAGATGGGGTTTCACCATGTTAGCCAGGATGATCTCGATCTCCTGACCTCATGATCCGCCTGCCTCAGCCTCCCAAAGTGCTGGGATTACAGGCATGAGCCACCGCTCCCAGCCTAAATTTAAATTTTAAAAGATTTTAAAAATAAAATAAAGGAAAACAGAAGATAGAAATAATCACAGATAGACTGCACACCCTGTGATAATACGGGGCAGTAGATCTGCTGATGGTTCATTAGTTATGCACTTGGACTTCAGTGTTATACAGACATGGATTGTATTCTGACTGTACCTGGGTGACTGGGTCCAAGCACTCCACCTCTCTAAGCTCTAGTTTACTCATCTAAACAACAGGCATAAAAAACGTCTAAAATTGTTGTGCAGACCAAGAGGCAATACATACAAAAAGTTTGGCACAGTGCCTGACATAGAGTAAGTGCTCAATTATTGGAGTAAAGTAAGAAAAGATGAAGAGAATTGGAAGTAGCAGCTGTTGAGGAAGAAGAGGAGTCAGTGCTGGGTGTGGTGGCTCACACCTGGAATCCCAGTGACACAGGAGGATCTCTTGAGGCTAGTAGTTCGTGACCAGCCTGGGCAATGTAGACCCTGTTTCTTAAAAATAAATAAATAACTAGAGAAGTCAGTGACAATGGCCACCTTTGCTAGTATGAATGGTGGGATTCTTTATTTCATTCACTTTTTATGTTATGTTATCACCTTAGTCCACACACTCATTACCACACACTTGAATTACTGAAATACACTCTGTTTTGTCTCCCTAACTCTAGTCGTTTTCTTTTCTTGAATCCTCCCTGAATAGGTTAATCTGGTCTCATTCCCCACCGGTGTCTAATTGGAACTGGCATGGCTTTTCAATGTCTGCTCATTAATGTTCATGTTCTCTATCACTCAGATTTCTTATGAACAAGACTCTAGATAACTTGAGCTCAGAAAAATTCTCCCTCACCCAAAAATCTGGCATGGAAACACTACATAGATGTTCAATCCACTACTTTCCATTAGTATTTTAACAAAGGATAGAATAACACATATTCATAAATTTGAAGTGCTCCATGTTTAGGTATTTGTGTGTTCCCAAAATATAAATGACCCAAACACTCAGCCAATGAGTTGCCCATATGTAGATAAGCCATTGTTTTAGATGCAAGTCATGTGCATTTGGTGCAGGATGGAGCATCATATGTCAAAGCATATGCCTGCTGCTGAAGCCAAATGCAGATAACATATGCTTGGAGGTAAAATATTTGTAAGTGTTATTGCTTATCAAAAATTAATGAGAGCAACTGTGTGTGTTTACACTATTTTGGTTTTATAAACAGAACAGCAGGGTTAATTGTAGAAACTGTTTTTGCAAAACAGTCAAGTGTAGCTTGTTCAAGCTGTGGGCCTTTCTTTCTACACCTCAACTCTGAAATACACATACACACCTACCCTTCCCACACACAGGCAGGCAACACAAACACGCATATTTACTTTGGGGGTGGCTACATGTCGGAAGCCCTATTAATGGATCCTTTAGCTCAGAGCTGCTTTTCCTCACAATGCAGATAAAGTAATAGTGTAGGAGGTTACTCATTAAAAGTTCACGTCTGGAAATATTTACATCTCTACTGGGGGAAAAATCTGTGTGTAAAATTCAAACAGAAGCCATAAAAAATCCACGCTATGCATAGTTACATAAAGCTTCTTTGTTTAAAAGTTGATTCACTTACATGATCTGGTGTAACTTTAATATGGTGACAGATATTTTTGTTTTTATTTTATGGCTGAATAAATTGAGATTCTGCTTGATAAAGTCACTTTTATAGTTGGTTTTGCTGATGACAGACCTTGAGCCTTTACCTGCTGCCCCACCTCTAGGGTAGTTTCAACTCCATATAGCTATTCAACATCATTAAAGAGTGATGTCATATTAGTAATCAGCTGATGTTCTGATTAAGTGCTTAATTGGTGGTGAGAGCTGGGGGAGTTGTATCCGATATCATTACCACTAAACCTACTATTTGTAGATTTCAGAATATTTGGGATAAGGAGGTTTCGCTGCACCATCAGAGCATGCAGTGATGTCACTGGTCCTTGGTAAACCAGCAATATAAATAAACTTTTCTTTAAAGATGGTGACATTTTCTCTTTCCAAACAAACCCACCAGAAACCTGAGTGCCAGATCTAAATCAACAGTGTATTGCACAGCTGCTAGATAGGATGGCTCTTCCCAAAACCTCTACATGTAATCATTATTCTAATACTGATAATTATATTTCCATATCAACTGTACTACCCTCTCCTTTTGATTCCATGTACACCGCCTTTATTTGGGCCTCCATCACCTCTCCCAGGCACTCTAATTAAAGCTCTCTAAGTAGTTTCTTTGCCTTCAGTCTCTCCTTTCCCAATTCTACCTTACAACTCTTCCATGATAATTACTTTCCTAGTGTAAATCTTGATCATGTCAGCTACCAAACTCCAACTGTTCTCAAGAGTCTTCTGAGAACAGAAAATTAGTTATTTATTTTTCTAATTATAGGATCAGGGTTAAGTAGCATTTTTTTTTTTTTTGCATTTTATCTATGCTTGCTCTGATGCAAGATTGCTTTACATGCATATGATGTTTTAGGTCTTAACTATTTAAACCAGGTACCATGTAGGCCATAACACATAAAGACAGAGTATGACACTATTGGTGGTTCCAATCAGTCTAGAACAGCAATGTGAAAGCTACATCTGCAATTTTAAGTTTTCTAGTAACTATGAATTCTATAGACAGAATTTGTATGATCCCCCAAATTCCTATGTTGCAATCTTACCCTCCAGTGTAATGGTATTAGGAAGTGGGGTTTGGGGAGGTGATGAGTCATGAGGGCAGAGCTCTCAGGAATGAGATTTGAAATCTTAAAAAGGAGACCCCAAAGAGCTCCCTCAACCATTCTTCCAAGCAAGGACACAAGGGAAGACAACTGTCTGTGAATCAGGAAGCAGGCCCTCACCAAACACTAAATCTGCCAGGATTTGGATCTTGAACTTTCCAGGTTCCAGAATGATAAGAAATGAACTTTTGTTGTTACCCAGTTTATGGTAATTTGTGATAGCAGCTTGAATATATGAAGATATTACATTAAACAAAAGTAAAAAGAAATATATTACATTCACTTTAATACTATTTTATTGGACCTAATGTATCTAATATATTTTCATTTCAACATATAATCCTATACAATTGTTGAGACATTTGCTTTATTCATGCTAAGTCTTTGGAATCCAGTAAATTAACTTTATACTTATAGCACATTTCAATTTAGATTAATCACAATTCATGACACATGACTATAGCCTACTATGTTCAATATTGCAAGGCTAGAATGCTTTGTCCTATCTGCCTTCTCTTTCTCTCCTCCCTTTCATGACTGAACTTCCAGAAAGCATCTGCCTTGCTTTCTGGACTTACTCACCATTCAATCTCCTGAACCCCCAGCAGTCTGATTTTTATCCCACTTTTACACTGAAATAGTTCTTGTCAAAATGCTCAGCAACTTCCTTGTCACATTCAATGCCAATCCTCTTTTCAGCAGGAGCTCTAAATAAGTATAGTTCCAACCAAGAACACAAGAACCATGCCAGATGTTTCAGATGGAAGAGAAGGAAACTATTTACAAAAATGGAAGAATTAAAATAACCTCAAGTCTATTGGAGTGTTCATTTTAAATGAGAGAATAGAACAACACGAATTATTAAGAAAAATTATCCAGGGCATGATCATGCAGTATCTTGCAAGTCATTTTTAGGAATTTGGGGTGTTTGAAAGGCTGAAGAAACAAGAGCAGAAATCAAGTTACCACAGGAAGTAACTTCAGGAAACTTTTACTATGTCTATGATAGGACAAAAAAGGCAATAGGTAGCTTCACCACCACTCAGGAGTGCGCTTACAGCTGACACTGGTGGAAAAAAAGTGCTGCTGCTGGTGAAACCTCTGTGTGGAAATTTCTGACATTGGGGGAGCCCATAGTGCCTGGTGGACCTTGTCACTGCTGCTGGAGGGATCACCAAAAAGAATGACCGTAAAAGATGAGTAGCTTGTCTCTTCTTTACATCTTTTAATATCCAGACAGCACTTCTCATTGCTGAAACCAAATTCACAAAGGAATCTGGAAAATGTAGTTTTAATTGGTCTAATTCTCTGCAGTACACAGATGAGCTCAGAAGAAAGGAAATAAGTTAAGCACAAATAGATAAATGTCAAGCTGAACATTCTAGTGACATTTGGTACAAAAATGCTTTTTCCTCCAACATCTCTGATCACTCCCTTCAATCTCCTTGCTAGAATACTCTTTCTCTTAAATGTTAATTATTAAATATTATGAAGATTATTACATATATTACATATTAATATTATTTAAAGTCTTGTACTCTACTCTCTTCTGTTCTACTCAGTGGGTGATTTCATACACTCCATCTTGATCCCCCTGTTTCCAATTATGTTTTCTATAATGATGATTCCCCAAGCTCAAATTCTCCTATCTTCCCTGAGTTGTGAATCTAAGCCAAAGAAACTGCCCACTGGCAAACTGCACTTGGATATACCATATGCATATAAAATTCAGAATTTTGGAAATAGAAGTCATCTTCTCCCCTCTCAATAATACACTTCATCCTTCATCAGTTATTCCACCTTGGCCAATGAATGACATCATAATCCAGGCAGAAACCCAGTAAAAGTTTTCTTTAATTCCTACATCTAATCAAAAAGTCATATCTACCCTCCATTTACTAATGATTTTTCAAAATTGCCTCCTCTTAGCCAGCCACAGTGGTATGTGCCTGTAGTCCCAGCTACTCGGGAGGCTGAGACAGGAAGATTGCTTGAGCCTAGGAATTTGAATGCAGCCTGGGAAGCATAGCAAAATTTTGTCTTTAATAACTTTTTAAAATATTGCTTCCTTTTTCCAGAACACACTGATGTTTTTCTACTTCAAGTCATTATCTCCTTTGTAGTAACAATTAGGTTACCACCTCAGTAATAACAAGTTGTAGTAACAATTAGGTTCCTGTATCAGTCTCCTAACTGCTCTCACCGTGTTCAATTCACACTGAAATTTGAGTGATTACTCTCATATCCAGACCTAAACACATCATTTTTTGCCTACAACCCCTACTAGGCCCTGCAACATTTCTCTCTCCTTATATTACCAACCCCATTTTATGCCATTCCCTGCCCTCTTTCGAGGTCAACACATTGATAAAATGGAATTAATTTCATTTCCTGCTTTCTCTCCTCCCTTGACCTTGGTGCATGCTGTTCCTTTCTTTTGCATGGCACACACTCCTCCTCCTCTTCTTTGCTTCAGTCCTCACCTTGCACCTTACCTGAATACTCCTACTAATTTTGTAGATCTCAAGATATCTTTTTCTTCGTCCAAGAAGACATCCTTGACTCCTGGTACTTCAAAAATCTTGATATATCATAACAGAAGGCATTTTATGCCTTAGGTACCTGCTCTCATCATCCCAATCTAAAATGTCAGCTCTTGGAGGGAGGGAGAAACTGTCAGTTCTTTTCCCTGGCATAATACTTGGCACATACTAGGCATTCAATAAATATTTTTAAATCAATGAATGAATAAATAGTTGAATGAAGACATGTAGCTGGATGAAAACATGGACAATTTCCCAGCATCCATTAATACCTTTACCTTTTTCACCCTGAAATATTGCTTCAACAGAGATTGTTCATCATATTTTAGTCCACTCTATCTTCTTGGATACAACACATGAATTACAAAAGGGTATATTCACTTTAACTTATTTTCTCGGTATTCCTTTTCTCCAGAGATCAATTGAGAAATTATATAAATGGTCAGTTGGGGAGGGTGTTATGACTGTTGAAAACTCGGTCTCCCTATGTGTAGTTCTTGACATCATTAAGAGTTTATTTATATTTGCAGTTCCCAAATTGCCCAGGACATAGTTGTACCCCATTACTGTTTGGTGAATGAAATAATAAGGGAACACATAATCAATGAAAATTTGTGTTCTAATAAATAATACTTGGATGTAAATTTTGTTCAAGAATCACTTTCTTAAAGGAAGTAAGACCAATATCAACCCGAGAAAGCAGGTCATTGGGTTTGGGAATTGTTGCAATTGCTCCATGAAAGCATGAGAGCACTGAGCTTGTGCAATTGCCCTGAAAAACCAATGATTCTTTGCAAATGTTCATGAGTTCACCAAACTATTAAGTTCTCACAGCTTGGATGCTTAAACCAAACAAATTAACCAGGAAAAAAAAGAATCTGTGAAAGCACTCTACTTCTAACATGTATTCCACTTTTTAAACTTGATTTGGGACTATCATAAGATACAAGTAGGCATTCCTTAAGATGTCTCTTCCCATAAACCATAAAATGTGAACATAGAAAGGGGCCTTGAAATTTCTCCTATTTGATCCACCCCCACAACCCTATGGATTTATATTATAGGTAAGCAAATTGGAGCCCAGAAAAGCCAGGCGACTTTCTCAAAACCACACAATTCTTTCGATTACTGGGACTCCAATTTAAGTTTCCATGAATAAAATGAGAGCAATAACTATTCTACACTGAGAACTTTTTATGTATTTGAAATTAGCTAAGTATTGTAGCATTTGGGTTTGGGAGTTGTAGCATAATTACAAATGTAATTATTCATACAAAGGCTGACTTCAACATAAATTTCTGCCAAGATTTATTGGCATACACTAGGTGGATGCTGAGCACTACTTTTAGTTATGAGGTTGAAGTGAAGCAGAATAAACTAAAAATAGTGTGTAAAACAAACTGTGAGAGCTACCTTGTCTCCTTATCTCTAGATTTTCAAATTACAGTGATGCATTTCATGATGATTCTATTTAGCCTTTTCCCTGATTGCCTACTGAGGAAACAAACAAACACACAAATGACACATGCACAAACAAAATTCACCTTGAAACTAGGTGATTGCTTTGGAAAAAAAAAATGAAACAATGTGAATGAACTGACCTAGGATAGTAAATTTTCAGGTGGTCATACTGCAAAACAGTGCCCAGTGAAGAGGCTGTGTATTTTCCAGCTCTTCCTATTTCTATCCAATTTTTCTGTAAGGACTGCTGTGCATGGTATCTGCGGTTGACCTACACAGTGCTCCACCAGATGCTAAAGTGTCAGTTGGACAGCCACAAACTGCAGTGAAGGCAGGAATAAATGTGTTTATTAGCATCCCCATTTACTGCCATCCAAAATACTCACATGAAAACACCCACCATACTCCCAACCCACCCCTCCATCTGCACGCTGGCTGGCAAAGGAAAAATGCAAACTGAAAACTCTCTTTGAGGCCCTGTTTGCATCCAGCTTTCTGAGTAAAAATGCTGGTTCTTGTGCTATGGTTTGAATGCTTGTGTCCCCGCAAATGCCTATGCTGAAACCTAATTCGCAAGGTAATGTTATTAAGAGGTTGGGCATTTGGGGAGTTGATTAGGTCATGAGAGCTCAGCCCTCATGAATGGGACTAGTGCCATTATAAAAGAGGTCCAAAGGAGCTCCTTTGCCCTTTTCACCATGTGATGACACAGCTAGAAGTCCCATATATGAATCAGGAAACTGATGCTTACCAAACACCAAATCTACTAGCACCTTGATCTTGGATTTCTCAGCCTACGGAAACTATGAGAAATAAATTTCTATTGTTTTTAAGCTGCCTATTTTATGGTATTATTTTTATAGCAGCCAGAATGAACTAAGACATCCTGGGAGGGACATCTCAATTCCAGGGAAGTGTCAAACAATGCTGTGCAATGTAGCCAGGCTTCTACGGCAGAGACATGGAGCCCTGAACTCTCCTAAGAAGGTGAATGTGTCCCCTCATGAAGTGCAGCTAATGGGACCAATGCAGTGGAGCAGCTACTGTGAGTGTTTCCCAGCCTGCAGTCACACAGAACCCCCATCTAGTGCACACTGGATATTTTTAATTCATCCACTCTAATTGTGATAGATTGGAAGAAGATGCAAAGTACTCTCCCTTTGTCAGAAAAGCCTTGGTGGTCATCAAGGTTTCTATCACCCAAGGTTACAACCATTTCAAGAAAATGGAAACCATGGACGATTTCTACTGAGTACAAGTACGGGGGCTTATCTTTGGCACAGGAGCTTGTATGTTTTGTGTAAAATATTCAGATCTCAAACACTCTTCATTTTCTAATAAATAGAAATAGTTCATGGATCAGATATCTTTTATTAGCCAACATCTGAGTGAGTAATTCTAGAGGATAATAACCAAAATGATGTGTGTTGTCCATTTCAAAGAGATAATATCTTCTAGCAAAAATAGGCCATTATGTAATATTTGGCCACATTGATTGAATAATTGGACACACTTTTATTTGTTCACAAAAGGCCTCTCAAAGGATTTCTAAATGTCCAAAATAGACAAATTCCTCTTCATCAATAAAACCTTGAGTAAGTCGGTTTGGTCTAATAGTCACCTTAGCTATAAACTATATAGACTTGGAAAACGTATTCTGTGTCCTGATGCGGGTCCACAGTTGTCCTCTGGAGCTTCTGGAATCTCAGGAAAAGATCCAGTCACACAGGCCTGGTGGCAGAGACTGTAAAAATAGATGATCTTCTGCCATTCTCCCTAAGTGACCCTAAACAGTGTATTTTGTAATGATCTTTTTTAGCTATGAGATTGGTGAGTTGAAATCATTAATTTGATGCCATTTAATTCAACAAGTGTTTATTAAACAATTAATTTCTTTCATTATATATAGAATATTTAAGACAGAATCTTTTTCAACTTCCTAGATAATTTAAAATGCAATTGAAATAGTTAAAAACAATATGAGATGGTCATGCTGAAGACAGGAAGAGCACAAAACCAGATTAAAAAAAAAAACAGAGAAATGGCCAGAGCCATTGGAAGGGTTTTATTTAGAAAGAGAATAGGGCTGGCATGTGGAAAAATGAAGGCACTTTCAATAAGCAGAGACAGGAAGCGAGAGAGTTAATAAATGAAGTAGTGTACTGTCAAATAAAATTGGGCCTAGAGTGAGCAGAGAACAGTAATCTATAGAGAACTTTGTTAGTAAGTCATGGAAACAGAGTTGGGTAGGTATTTTGGGCCTGTTCACAAGAAGGGAAGAATAGATTCTTAAGTAGCTGAATGCTAAAAGCTATTATTTGGGAATAATTACTCTAAAATTCCTTTGAAATTGCTTTTGAAAGACTTTCTCTAATGTAGATTATAGCGTATTGAGATAAAATATGACTGTATCCTGCCACTTTACTGAAAATTCATTGTTTCTCTTCCAGTTCTAGTTCTTTCTTGAAGCCACTCATGCATAAGAGGTATGAGAAGTCATATTTGAGTTAGAGCCAGATGAAAACCTCAAGAATTACCAGTTATTCCACTGAAGTAAAGCACTGTTTCCAGAGGACTTCCATTTGAAGGAAAACATGCTTCTTCCTTCATTCAGTGCACACTTATTGGATGCCTTCTCTGAGCCTTGTGCTGAGCCACAAGAGCTAAAGCATAAACCCACCAGGAACTAACAATACCTAACATAAGTTGATTTTTTTTCAGAGTGCATTGATCACAGTAGATCATAGTCAAGCATTATCTTCATAGAATAGAACTTGATGTCTGTAGGTGTAATTTCTGAGTGGTTGATAAAGGTCTCCTGCTAAGGTGCTAGTAACCAGGAAGGAATTGGAGGGTTGGTGGGTACTGTGGGTACAGCACGGGACCTAGGCTAATTGGGACAGTAGAAAAAGGCACCTAAAGAAAACTATTTCTGATTTTGTGTTTGGCCTGAGACTGAGCCTGCTCTCTGTATTGTAAAGGAATGGTACATTATTTCTTACATCTGGTTCAAGGCCCAACTGCAGAGGGTGTATACATACATCCTGAACATTCCAGAGGGACTTATCTGACAGTAGAACCAGTAAATGTTACATTTCTAGAGATTAGAACATCCTAAAATTGCACACAGCTGGCAGTAAACTTGGGAGAACCGCTTTTTTGTGTGGTCAGGACAGTTTACCCTTCCCTGATAGAACAAAAATTAGTCAAAGGGAAGTATGGGTAAAAGGAAAGGGAAAACTTTCCTTTCCTCTAGGTTTTCATTGCCAAAAAGGAAGTATCGAAATAATTTCAGTTGGCTGATGAATGGTAAAATATTCCAGGCAGGGAGCTGCACAGCTCAAAGAGAATTAATTTTATAGTTTTCTGCCAATTTTTCATTTCCCACCTCTCCCCCATAGAAATGCGGTGTCTTAGTTACACACTAGATGAATAAAATGAGCACATAGCCTACTGTTCAGAGCTGGGATTGTGGTCATCTTCTGCCCTGGAAGATAGGCAAGGACTAATTAGGCATGTGTCTCTTCCCATCAAGTTTTGACAACCTGGAAGTTTGGTGGTAGCATAAGGGGAGGCCTGCTGACAGGGCTCTTTGGTAGAAGGGACTGTTTAAGAGGCTGGGAGCCTTAACAAATAGGCATCTGGCATTATTTGTCCTGTCGTTTATTTCCTGGATCTCCTACATTAGTGCTATTCCAATCTGGCTGATGATTTGATTCATTGGGGAAACTTTCTTTTTTAAAATGTGTGTGGTCTCAACCTCCACTTTGAACTTTAGTGAATAGGAATTTCTCGGGATGGGTATCAATAATCTACATTTTCAAATATGCTTTTCAAGTGTTTCTAATGACCATCCACATTTTGCATCCATAATTTGAGATGACCATAAGGTTTTAACTGAAAAATGAGTGGGCTGGGGGAGAACTTATTCAATGTAAAGCCATGGAAGAAGAAATGCTTCTCTGTTGCTTTATGCACATCTGGAAGATTGTAGAGCAAAGACAGTCCGTTTTTTTATGAAAATGTATTAAGGTAATAGAATTTTAACATTAAACAGAATTGAGTAAGCCCAATTATTATCTTAAAGTCAGAATGGTTTCAACGTGCAGACAGAGGCATGGTGCCTTTGTTGTTGCATCTTCCTTGGGACTAATTTAATGAGTTCCATACATTACTCTGCATTAAAAACGTATGCATAACATTGTGTTCGCTACACTCCATAGGGTTTTGCACAATATTTACAAAGTGAATTTAACTATATTTAATTATAATCTAGAGTGGATTTTAGAACCTAATCCTTTCATAAAATGCTACTCAACATTTTGACCTCCAAAATATTTGATTTCAGATGTCTTCACAGGTGAAGATATATTCCTCTTTACTGAATACATTAAAAAACACTCTCCAAAATCATGTTGACTGTTTTGTTTCCATAGCCACTAGATAATTGAACTCATATTCTATAGATGATGACTACTTGACTGAGAAGAATTTTAAAAATTGACGATACCTTTGTGTAAATTTGTACAGATATGATGGGAATAGACAATGCATAGTTCTGAGCATATGCTCTTTTTTTTGTCCATTTTTACACAAAAGGATACAACCAACACCAGTAGTTAGTATATGGGATAACCTTTTGAGAATAATGAAAGCAACAAAGAGTATTTTTTAAGTAAGTCTAGAGCTTAGCTTTCTCACCTTTAAAGTGACAGACTGGCCCAGGCGATACTTCCTTAAATACACGAGCCTAGCTTCATCACTCTGTGCTTCTGCTAGTCTCAGAGATGACTGAGTCAGAAAAGAAGATTAAGGGCTAACTACCATTTAACAGGATGAGAGTTTCACCATAACTTTGGTTGTTCTGTTCAAAAAGCACTATAGCCAGGCATGGTGACATGTGCCTGTAATTACATCCTCTCAGGAGGCTGAGGCAGGAGGATTGCGTGAGCCCAGGACAATAGTGAGACCCTATCTCAAAAAAAAAAAAAAAATGGAAAAGCATTATTGCATTAATCCCAGTGCAAATATTATGTGTTAAGTGACTTTTCCTACCTTTGCCCCTAACCCTCATCATAGCTTATCTTCCCCCAACCCCACAACCCAAGGATTCAGTAGTACACACAGCCAGGATTATAATTAATAATGGAAAACCAGTGCATATTCAGGTGTCGAGACTGTCTACACAAGGAGGACTGAAACTCACATATTGAGAAATCAGTGCTTATTTAGCAGAAGCTGGAGTTTTCTGGCCCTGGGCTGTTTCAAGGCCAGGTAGCAGCTACCTCTCAATTCCTGGCAGAAAGCACAGGAACCCCAGAATTTTGAAGTCTTCTGGAGAAGAGACTATTTCTTCATGTTCTCCTTGCTAGATATGAGGTATTAAAGGTAAAGGAGAAGAGAAAACAAATTAAGAAAGTATGACCAACAAGATATATTTAGTTGTTCTTGACAATAAATGATGAGATCTTGAATACGAATGGGCTAAGCCTGACATGATAATATCACTGTAGTTTTTAAAAATGATGAATCTAATATTAGTTGTTACATAGGTTGAAACCAGAGAGAGAAGATGTTAGATAGGAAACAGGAAAATATGTATCAAATACTGGAAAGAAGAAAAAGAATCATATAGCAGTCACTAAGATAAAAAGAGAGAAAGAACATCCAAAGTCCTTCCTACTTTTCCAATTATTGCACCTAAACACAAATGTACAGTTTTACCTTTTATTGTCTGTTCACTAATATGTTCTTTTTGCTTCCTCATAAACACTGCCCATGTATTTCATCCCCTGCTCATTTCATGATATCTTCATTTTTACTTTCTTGACTTCCAAGACTGAAGTCAGCAACTCTCGGCATGAATGTCTCTATTACAGAGCCCCATGTGCTAGGAATGACCCCTGGTGCCCAGAAACCATGTCTACACTGCTTCACCCTGCTCCCTTGGTCATCGCCAAAGAAACGAGAAATTAGACATTGGTTCAATTGGAACACTCAGATTTTTGTCGCAAATTTACAGCTAGACATTGTCAATAACACTAAGGAGGCTTATAGTTATCGTATACTTGGTGTCTATTCCATAGAACATGTTCTTAATGAGGCATTGTTATTACCAGATAGATTTCATAACAAATGCCAAAATGTATGTAATGGGGGAGAGAGATGTCAGTAAGCAAGATTATGTGATGGGAGGGCTACAACCAGAAGTGATTTTGATTCTATATTATGCAAATATTTAAAATTTTGTCTTGGAAAAATTATGGAAAGTTTTTAGACTTCTGCTTTATTTCTGTATTAAAAAGTGAGTTTAATCCTGGAGTTCTTATATCACTGTTTCTACTTTTTGAATAGGGACTATTAAGGAAACTATACCTAATCAAATTTTTTTTATATATTATATGCATAAAATTATATTGAGGTTTCAATTTAAAAGTGTCCTTAATAAGAAGCACTACATGTTCCGTTTCCTTTCAAGTTCATAGATTTCACAAAAGGAAAGTTCTGTTTTGATTCCAGCATCCACTCCTGTTAAAGACATGAAAGGCTTCCCAGAATATTATCTGCTAGTTCTTCAGTTAGGAAAATAAAACCCTTCACCTCCTTATGTTTAACAAAACCAAGCAATTTCAAAATCAGTTCTCTAGTTCCCGTCATAGAAACAATTTCTTTAATTTGGGTTTGCCATGTCATAGCTTCTGCTTATTAGTCCATTATTTTTACCCTGTGTTTCAGAGAAGAAACTAATCCACTAGGTCTTTTAATGAGTTTCTAGAATTATCTGAGATGGAGATAATTCTCTGAGGTTAAATAACTAAAATAGTGATTGACCTTCGTCTTCTTCTCAAATTCAAATATAATTAATTCCTCAGCTACCTACACCTAGGTTGCTCTAAAGAGATTCATATACTTCTGACCTTGGTCCAGACTTTATCTCTTTTGCATTAATTGACTAAGAATGTTGTCCACTTGGGGAACACTATCACCCAAAGTGAAGTTGATTCGTATATGCATACATTGCAAACTTTTAAAAAAACAGATTGGAATAAATTCAAGGTTATACGCATGAAGGAAACTACCTTTACTATCTATATAGTTTACATACAGTGTGTTTTATTACATTTTTGAGTGCGCAATTTAATTGTTTGAAAGACTCTACTAGAGTTTTTGTTTATATTTTATCCACAATCACAATTGTAAAGATTTCTGAGTTTCCTTTTAAGTAGCTTGATTATGGCTCTGTGTACTAAAAAGTAGACATAAATTATAGAAGTATTTTTACTAAAAATGAGCAAATTATTTTTCCATAATTTTCACAAATACAGAACTCAATTAAAATAAATGGACATTAAACAGAAACTGTTAAAGAAAAATGCATTGAAAGAAAATTGCTTGTGTGTATGTGTTTGAATTCTAGTTTTAAAAAGAAAACTAAAAGAAATATAATCACAGTATGGGAAATTTACAAAGCAGTGATATGATGAAATATGTTAATTGATTTTCAAATCTTGAACTAGCCTAGAAAACCCAGGATAAATACTACTTGGTTGTGGTATATAATTCCTTCTATACATTGTTGAATTAAGCTTGCTAATATTTGGTTGAGGACTTTTACATCTATGTTTATGGGAGACATTGGTCTGTAACATTCTTTTCTTATAATGTTTTTGTCTGGCATGATATTAGGGTGATGCTGGCCTTATAGAATGAGTTACAAGCAGGTCTTCTGCTCCTATATTCTGAGAGATATTGTAGAGAATTGGTATAATTTCTTCCTTAAATGTTTGGTAGAATTCACCAGTGAGCCCTCCAATTTGGGCGTTTTCTGTGTTAGAAGGCTGTTAACTATTGATTCAACTTTTTAAGTAGATATAGGTCCATTCAGATTGTCTATTTCTTCTTGTGTGAGTTTTGGCAGATTGTGTCTTTTAAGTAATTTGTTCATTTCATATACGTTACCAAATTAATGTGCAAGAGTTGCTCATCGTATTCCTTATTTATCCTTTTAATGTTCATGGGATCTGTAGTGATGTTTTCTCTTTCATTTCTGATATTAGTCATTTGCTTTCTCTTCTTTTTTTTCTTAGCCTGTTTAATAGCTTATCAATTTTATTGCTTATTTTAAAGAACCAGCTTTTACTTCCACTAATTATTCCTACTGATTTCCTGTTTTCAAAATTGCTTTTATTTCTTTTATTCTACTTACCTTGTATTTCATTGACTCCATTTTTCTAGTGTCCTAAGATGGAAACTTAGATGATTGATTTTAGATCTTTCTCCTTTCTTTCTTTCTTTCTTTCTTTTTTTAATTATACTTTAAGTCCTGGGATACATGTGCAGAATGTGCAGGTTTGTTACATAGATATACACATGCCATGGTGGTTTGCTCTACTCACCAACCTGTCGTATACATTAGCTATTTCTCCTAATGCTATCCCTCCCCTAGCTCGCCACCCCACCCACCCCCCACAGGCTCCACTGTAAGATGTTCCCCTCCCTGTCTCCATGTGTTCTCATTGTTGAACTCCCACTTATGAGTGAGAACATGTGATGTTTGGTTTTCTGTTCCCATGCTAGTTTGCTGAAAATGATGGTTTCCAGTTTCATCCATCTCCCTGCAAATAACATAAACTCATCCTTTTTTATGGCTGCATAGTATTCTATGGTGTATATGTTCCACATTTTATTTATCCAGTCTATCATTGATGGGCATTTGGGTTGGTTCCAAGTCTTTGCTATTGTGAGCAGTGCTGCAATAAACATATGTGTGCACGTGTCTTTATAGTACAATGATTTATAATCCTTTGGGTATATACCCAGCAATGGGATTGCTGGGTCAAATGGTATTTCTGCTTCTAGATCCTTGAGGAATCGCCACACTGTTTTCCACAATGGTTAAACTAATTTACACTCCCACCAACAATGTAAAAGCCTTCCTATTTCTCCACATCCTCTCCAGCATCTGTTGTTTCCTGACTTTTTAATGATCGCCATTCTAACTGGTATGAGATGGTATCCCATTGTGGTTTTGATTTGCATTTCTCTAATGACCAGTGATGATAAGCTTTTTTTCATATGTTTGTTGGCTGCATAAATGTCTTCTTTTGAGAAGTGTCCGTTCATATCCTTCGCCCCGTTTTAGATGGGGTTGTTTATTTTCTTGTAAATTTGTTTAAGTTCCTTGTAGATTCTGCATATTAGCCCTTTGTCAGATGGATAGATTGCAAAAATTTTCTCCCATTCTGTAGGTTGACTGTTCATGCTGATGATAGTTTCTTTTGCTTTGCAAAAACTCTAGTTTAATTAGATCCTATTTGTCTATTTTGGCTTTTATTGCCATTGCTTTTGGCGTTTCACTCATGAAGTCTTTGCCCATGCCTACGTCCTGAATGGTATTGCCTAGGTTTTCTTCTAGGATTGTTATGGTTTTAGGTTTAAGTCTTTAATCCATCTTGAGTTAATTTTTGTATAACATGTAAAGAAAGGGTCGAGTTTCAGCTTTCTGCATATGGCTAGCCAGTTTTCCCAACACCATTTATTAAATAGGGAATCCTTTCCTCATTGCTTGTTTTTGTCAGCTTTGTCAAAGATCAGATGGTTGCAGATGTGTGGCATTATTTTTGAGGCCTCTGTTCTGTTCCATTGGTCTATATATCTGTTTTGGTACCAGTACCATGCTGTTTTTGTTACTGTAGCCTTGTAGTATAGTTTGAAGTCATGTAGCTTGATGCCTCCAACTTTGTTCTTTTTGCTTAGAATTGTCTTGGCTATATGGGCTCTTTTTTGTTTCCATATGAAATTTAAAGTAGCTTTTTCTAATTCTGTGAAGAAAGTCAATGGTAGCTTCATGGGCATAGCATTGAATCTATAAATTACTTTGGGCAGCATGGCCATTTTCACGATATTGAATCTTCCTATCCATGAGCATGGAATGATTTTCCATTTGTTTGTGTTCTCTCTTTTTCCTTGAGCAGTGGTTTGTAGTTCTCCTTGAAGACGTCCTTCACATCCCTTGTAAATTGTATTCCTAGGTATTTTATTCTCTTTGTAGCAATTGTGAATGGGAGTTCACTCATGATTTGGCTGTCTGTCTATTATTGGTGTATAGGAATGCTTGTGATTTTTGCACATTGATTTTGTATCCTGAGACTTTCAGTAGTCCCACCTAATCTGCAGAGGATGCATGCCAAAACCTTGAGAGGATGCATGAAACCATGAAAATTGCCAAACTCTACATAGGCTGAGTGTCCCTAATCTAAAAATAAATCCAGAATGCTCCAAAATATGAAAATTTTTGAGCACTGACATGAAAGGAAATGACTATTGGAGCATTTTGGATTTCAGATATTTGGACTAGGGATGCTCAACCAGTATCTATTCTGCAAATATTCTAAAAAAAAAAAAAATTGAAATCCAAAAAACTTCTGTCCCAAGTGTTTCAGATAAGAGATCCTCAACCTGTATATAATATGCACAAATTTCTTTTTCCTACTTCACAATTTCACAGATAAAAGATGTGTTTTTACTGTAAATCTCAGCAACCTCAGCATACAATTTTTTTTTTCTTTATTCAGTCAAGAGTTTTCACCTTTTCACTTAAGAGGGTCACTTTAAGGCTTCTCCTTGGCATATTCAAATTGCCAGCTTTACTACTCTTGTGCTTTGGGGACATTATTAAGTAAGATAAGTGTTAGTTGAACACAAGCCCTGTGGTACCGTGGAAGTTGATGTGATAACCAAGATACTATGTGACTAACAGGCAAGTAGTATATACAGCCTGGGTATGCTGGGCAAAGAAATAATTCATGTTCCAGGTACGACAGAGCAGGATGGCTCAATATTTCATCCCACTAATCAGAATAGTGTACAATTTAAAACTTATGAATTGTTTATTCCTGAAATTGCTCATTTAATATTTTCCAACCCTAGTTAACTGCATGTAACTGAAACTGTAGAAAGCAAAACTGCAGATAAGGGAGGACTACTATATGAAGTCAATATTATAAATTCCCCACTAATTACTGCATTCACTGAATTTCCCAAATTTTGATGTTAGGTTTTCATTTTTATTTGGTTAAATTTTTTAAAATTTCTCCTGAGATGTCTTCTTTGATCAATGTATTTTTTAAAAGTGTGTTGTTAAATCTTCAAGTATTTTGGGATTTTTCAGCTATCTTTCTGTTACTGATTTCTAGCTTAATTTCATCAAGGTCTGAGAGAAGACACTGTATAGCTTCTATTCTTTTAAATTTGTTAAGGTGTGTTTTATATTCCAAAATGTAATCTTTCCTGGTGAATGTTCCATGTGAGCTTGAGAAGATTGTTTATTCTGCTGTTATTGGAAGAAGCACTCTATAGCTATCCATTATATCCAGTTGATTGATGGTATTGAGTTCAACTAAGTCCTTACTGCTTTTCTGCCCTCTGGATCTGTCCATTTCTGTTAACTGGGTATTAAAGTCTCCAACTATAATAGCAGACTCATCCAATTTTCCTTGTAGTCCTATCAGTTTTTGCCTCATATATTTTGATGTTCTGTTGTTAGTCACATACTCATTGACACTTGCTGTCTTTTTGAAGAATTAATCCTTTTATAATTAAGTAATATTCTTTATCCCTGATAACTTCCTTACTCTGAAGTCTGCCATCTCTGAAATTAGCATAGCTACTCCTGCTTTTCTTTGATTAGTGTTAGCATCATATACCTACCTCTATTCATTTACTTTTCATTTCTATGTCTTTATATATTCAGTGGGTTTTTTTTTTGCAGGCATCATATAATTGAGTCTTGTTTTTTGATCCACTCAACATTTCTAGAGTTGGTACATTTAGAGAACTGGTGTTCAAAGTGATTACTGTTATATTAAGATTTATATCTTCCATGTTTGTTACTATTTTCTTCCCCTTTTTCTGTTCCTATTTTTGTCTTTTGCTCTTTTTATGCCTTTTGTGGTTTCAATTAAGCATTATATATGTTACTATTTTCTCTCCTTTCTTAGTATATGAGTCGTACTTTGTTTTTTTTTACTTTTTTAGTGTTGCTTTAGTTTGCAATATACATTTACAACTAATCCAAGTCAATTTTCAAATAACGTTATACCACTTCACAGGTAATATGACTTTCTTATAATAAAAGAATTCTAATTTTTCTCTCCCATCCCTTACAGAATTGGTGTCATTCATTTCACATATATAAGCATATATATTCATGTGTTGCTTAATGATGGGGATGCGTTCTGAGAAATGTGTCATTAGGTGATTTTTCCATTGTGTGAACATCAGAGTGTACTTACACAAACCTAGATGGTAAGGCCTACTACACACAGGTTATATGGCATAACCTATTGCTCCTAGACTAAAAACTTATACAGCCATGTTACTATACTGAATACTGTAGGCAATTGTGACACAATGGTATTTGTTTATCTAAACATATAGAAATATGGCAAAGGTGTAGTAAAAATATGGTATTATAATTTTATGCAAACATCACTGTATATGCAGTTTATCCTTGACCAAAACATCATTATGTAGTACATGAATTTATTATATATATATTTATATGTATGTTACATATGTTATATATTTATATATACACACAGAGGAGATGTGTGTGTGTGTGTGTGTGTGTGTGTGTGTGTATGTATCATCTTAGGCTAGAATTTTTATTAAAAAGAAGCCATTGGCCAGGTGCGGTGGCTCACGCCTGTAATCCCAGCACTTTGGGAGGCTGAGGCCGGTGGATCACGAGGTCAGGAGATCGAAACCATCTGGCTAACATGGTGAAACCCCGTCTCTACTAAAAATACAAAAAATTAGCCGGGCGTGGTGGCGGGCGCCTGTGATCCCAGCTACTTGGGAAGCTGGGGCAGGAGAATGGCGTGAAACCGGGAGGCAGAGTTTGCAGTGAGCCTAGATTGCACCACTGCGCTCCAGCCTGGGCGACAGAGTGAAACTCCATCTCAAAAAAAAAAAAAAAAAAAAAAAAAAAGAAGCCATTGTGTCTATGGAAAAGTTAAAATATCTGTAATTAATGTCATACAAAAGTGGACAATATCCCTAATATAGAGAGAATTGCTGAAAGTCTAGAAGACAATGATCAGTAAAACTATAAAGAATTAATTAGAATTGACTAAAGACATAATAGACATTTCATAAAAAACAAAACGCCAAATGCTACTAAACATGGGAGATGTTCAAATTTCTCAAACTCATTAATAATGAAAGAAATGCAAATCAAGCCTGCATTGAATGTGGTTTACAGTTATCAAAATGACCCCAAGGGAATCACGCCTCCAGGGAGTAATGCTCCTCTGAAGTCCCCTCCACTTTGACTCTGGGCTGGGTCCTGTGATTTGCCCTGCCACTGGGAAATCAGAAAATGTGATGCAAGGCTACATGCTGGGGTTTGCCTCCTGGAATTCTGCTGCTACCCTGTGAGAATGCCCAGTGTGGCCTTGAAGATGGAAGACTGCCTGAAGAGACACGACCAGCTTTCCCAGTTATCCCACCAACCTCATGTCGCCAAATGAGTAAATCTAGGGAAAACCAGCAGAACAGCTCGACCAACACACAGAATGGTAAGAAAAAATAAATCATGGTTATTTTAAGTCAGTACTTTGAGAGGGGCTATTGTCATCTAGCAATAGATAATCGATACACTGAGATATCATTTTCACTTACAGAATTGGTAGAAATCCAGGAGTTTCACAGTACACTCTGGTAGTGACTCTATGGAGAAAAAACACTCTCATACGCTGCTGATGGGAGTGTAAGTTGATACAATCCCTGTAGAAGGCAACTTGGCAATATCAACTAACATTTCAAAGGCTTATTGTCTTTATCCAACAATCCCATTTCTAGTGAGTTATTCTACAGATAGATTTACCCAGGTACAAAATTGTGTATATGCAAGTTTATTTAGGCAGATGTAATGTTAAAAGATAAAAATAATCTAAATGTGTATTAATACAAGTCTGGGTAAATATACAATGGAATTATGATCTGTAAAATGATAAAAAAAAAAAGGACTCATTACACACAATGTGGAAAAAACTTAAAGATATATTATTAAGCAATAAAAGCACAGGGTAAAATAATGTTAATAGTATGCCACATATTGTGTATAAAAAGAAGAAAAATAGAAATCTGTGCTTGTGTGTTTGAATATGCATTCCAAAAACTCTGGAAGAAAAGTATAGCTGTAGGCTTGGGGTTGGGGGGTGCAAGGTGTTTGGGATCTGGGCTTACAGGGGATGGGGCAAGTGGGAACCTTTACACTGTATTATATTTTAATAATTCGAGGAACACATAAATATAAACATTTAATTTGCAAATTAAAAATAAAAACTTTCTTAAAAAATTAATATTTGCATACTACAGGGATACATTTATCTAACAAAACCCATGTAGTAGCAAATTAGATTTTTTTTTCTTTTTTTAATTATACTTTAAGTTTTAGGGTACATGTGCACCTTGTGCAGGTTAGTTACATATGTATACATGTGCCATGCTGGTGCACTGCACCCACTAACTCGTCATCTAGCATTAGGGATATCTCCTAATGCTATCCCTCCCCCCTCCCCCCACCCCACAACAGTCCGCAGAGTGTGATATTCCCCTTCCTGTGTCCATGTGATCTCATTGTTCAATTCCCACCTATGAATGAGGATATGCGGTGTTTGGTTTTTTGTTCTTGCGATAGTTTACTGAGAATGATGATTTGAATTTCATCCTTGTCCCTACAAAGGACATGAACTCATCATTTTTTATGGCTGCATAGTATTCCATGGTGTATATGTGCCACATTTTCTTCATCCAGTCTATCATTGTTGGTTGGACATTTGGGTTGGTTCCAAGTCTTTGCTATTGTGAATAATGCCGCAATAAACATACATGTGCATGTGTCTTTATAGCAGCATGATTTATAGTCCTTTGGGTATATACCCAGTAATGGGATGGCTGGGTCAAATGGTATTTCCAGTTCTAGATCCCTGAGGAATCACCACACTGACTTCCACAATGGTTGAACTAGTTTACAGTCCCACCAACAGTGTCAAAGTGTTCCTATTTCTCCACATCCTCTCCAGCACCTGTCGTTTCCTGACTTTTTAATGATTGCCATTCTAACTGGTGTGAGATGGTATCTCATTGTGGTTTTGATTTGCATTTCTCTGATGGCCAGTGATGATGAGCATTTTTTCATGTGTTTTTTGGCTGCATAAATGTCTTCTTTTGAGAAGTGTCTGTTCATGTCCTTCACCCACTTTTTGATGGGGTTGTTTGTTTTTTTCTTGTAAATTTGTTTGAGTTCATTGTAGATTCTGGATATTAGCCCTTTGTCAGATGAGTAGGTTGCGAAAATTTTCTCCCATTTTGTAGGTTGCCTGTTCACTCTGATGGTAGTTTCTTTTGCTGTGCAGAAGCTCTTTAGTTTAATTAGATCCCATTTGTCAATTTTGGCTTTTGTTGCCATTGCTTTTGGTGTTTTAGACATGAAGTCCTTGCCCATGCCTATGTCCTGAATGGTAATGCCTAGGTTTTCTTCTAGGGTTTTTATGGTTTTAGGTCTAACGTTTAAGTCTTTAATCCATCTTGAATTGATTTTTGTATAAGGTGTAAGGAAGGGATCCAGTTTCAGCTTTCTACATATGGCTAGCCAGTTTTCCCAGCACCATTTATTAAATAGGGAATCCTTTCCCCATTGCTTGTTTTTCTCAGGTTTGTCAAAGATCAGATAGTTGTAGATATGTGGTGTTATTTCTGAGGGCTCTGTTCTGTTCCATTGATCTATATCTCTGTTTTGGTACCAGTACCATGCTGTTTTGGTTACTGTAGCCTTGTAGTATAGTTAGAAGTCAGGTAGTGTGATGCCTCCAGCTTTGTTCTTTTGGCTTAGGACTGACTTGGCGATGTGGGCTCTTTTTTGGTTCCACATGAACTTTAAAGTAGTTTTTTCCAATTCTGTGAAGAAAGACATTGGTAGCTTGATGGGGATGGCATTGAATCTATAAATTACCTTGGGCAGTATGGCCATTTTCACAATATTGATTCTTCCTACCCATGAGCATGGAATGTTCTTCCATTTGTTTGTATCCTCTTTTATTTCATTGAGCAGTGGTTTGTAGTTCTCCTTGAAGAGGTCCTTCACATCCCTTGTAAGTTGGATTCCTAGGTATTTTATTCTCTTTGAAGCAATTGTGAATGGGAGTTCACTCATGATTTGGCTCTCTGTTTTTCTGTTGTTGGTGTATAAGGATGCTTGTGATTTTTGTACATTGATTTTGTATCCTGAGACTTTGCTGAAGTTGCTTATCAGCTTAAGGAGATTTTGGGCTGAGACAATGGGGTTTTCTAGATATACAATCATGTCATCTGCAAACAGGGACAATTTGGCTTCCTCTTTTCCTAATTGAATACCCTTTATTTCCTTCTCCTGCCTAATTGCCCTGGCCAGAATTTCCAACACTATGTTGAATAGGAGTGGTGAGAGAGGGCATCCCTGTCTTGTGCCAGTTTTCAAAGGGAATGCTTCCAGGTTTTGCCCATTCAGTATGATATTGGCTGTGGGTTTGTCATAGATAGCTCTTATTATTTTGAGATACGTCCCATCAATACCTAATTTATTGAGAGTTTTTAGCATGAAGCGTTGTTGAATTTTGTCAGAGGATTTTTCTGCATCTATTGAGATAATCATGTGGTTTTTGTCTTTGGCTCTGTTTATATGCTGGATTACATTTATTGATTTGCGTATATTGAACCAGCCTTGCATCCCAGGGATGAAGCCCACTTGATCATGGTGGATAATCTTTTTGATGTGCTGCTGGATTCGGTTTGCCAGTATTTTATTGAGGATTTTTGCATCAATGTTCATCAAGGACATTGGTCTAAAATTCTCTTTTTTGGTTGTGTCTCTGCCTGGCTTTGGTATCAGAATGATGCTGGCCTCATAAAATGAGTTAGGGAGGATTCCCTCTTTTTCTATTGATTGGAATAGTTTCAGAAGGAATGGTACCAGTTCCTCCTTGTACCTCTGGTAGAATTCGGCTGTGAATCCATCTGGTCCTGGACTCTTTTTGGTTGGTAAACTATTGATTATTGCCACAGTTTCAGCTCCTGTTATTGGTCTATTCAGAGATTCAACTTCTTCCTGGTTTAGTCTTGGGAGAGTGTATGTGTCGAGGAATTTATCCATTTCTTCTAGATTTTCTAGTTTATTTGCGTAGAGGTGTTTGTAGTATTCTCTGATGGTAGTTTGTATTTCTGTGGGATCAGTGGTGATATCCCCTTTATCATTTTTTATTGCATCTATTTCTTCTCTCTTTTTTTCTTTATTAGTCTTGCTAGCGGTCTATCAATTTTGTTGATCCTTTCAAAAAACCAGCTCCTGGATTCATTAATTTTTTGAAGGGTTTTTTGTGTCTCTATTTCCTTCAGTTCTGCTCTGATTTTAGTTATTTCTTGCCTTCTGCTAGCTTTTGAATGTGTTTGCTCTTGCTTTTCTAATTCTTTTAATTGTGATGTTAGGGTGTCAATTTTGGATCTTTCCTGCTTTCTCTTGTGGGCATTTAGTGCTATAAATTTCCCTCTACACACTGCTTTGAATGCGTCCCAGAGATTCTGGTATGTTGTGTCTTTGTTCTCGTTGGTTTCAAAGAACATCTTTATTTCTGCCTTCATTTCGTTATGTACCCAGTAGTCATTGAGGAGCAGGTTGTTCAGTTTCCATGTAGTTGAGTGGTTTTGAGTGAGATTCTTAATCCTGAGTTCTAGTTTGATTGCACTGTGGTCTGAGAGATAGTTTGTTATAATTTCTGTTCTTTTACATTTGCTGAGGAGAGCTTTACTTCCAAGTATGTGGTCAATTTTGGAATAGGTGTGGTGTGGTGCTGAAAAAAATGTATATTCTGTTGATTTGGGGTGGAGAGTTCTGTAGATGTCTATCAGGTCCGCTTGAGGCAGAGCTGAGTTCAATTCCTGGGTATCCTTGTTGACTTTCAGTCTCATTGATCTGTCTAATATTGACAGTGGGGTGTTAAAGTCTCCCATTATTAATGTGTGGGAGTCTAAGTCTCTTTGTAGGTCACTCAGGACTTGCTTTATGAATCTGGGTGCTCCTGTATTGGATGCATATATATTTAGGATAGTTAGCTCTTCTTGTTGAATTGATCCCTTTACCATTATGTAATGGCCTTCTTTGTCTCTTTTGATTTTTGTTGGTTTAAGGTCTGTTTTATCAGAGACTAGGATTGCAACCCCTGCCTTTTTTTGTTTTCCATTTGCTTGGTAGATCTTCCTCCATCCTTTTATTTTGAGCCTATGTGTGTCTCTGCACGTGAGATGGGTTTCCTGAATACAGCACACTGATGGGTCTTGACTCTTTATCCAATTTGCCAGTCTGTGTCTTTTAATTGGAGCATTTAGTCCATTTACATTTAAAGTTAATATTGTTATGTGTGAATTTGATCCTGTCATTATGATGTTAGCTGGTGATTTTGCTCGTTAGTTGATGCAGTTTCTTCCTAGTCTTGATGGTCTTTACATTTTGGCATGATTTTGCAGCGGCTGGTACCGGTTGTTCCTTTCCATGTTTAGCACTTCCTTCAGGAGCTCTTCTAGGGCAGCCCTGGTGGTGACAAAATCTCTCAGCATTTGCTTGTCTGTAAAGTATTTTATTTCTCCTTTGCTTATGAAGCTTAGTTTGACTGGATATGAAATTCTGGATTGAAAATTCTTTTGTTTAAGAATGTTGAATATTGGCCCCCACTCTCTTCTGGCTTGTAGGGTTTCTGCCGAGAGATCCGCTGTTAGTCTGATGGGCTTCCCTTTGAGGGTAACCCGACCTTTCTCTCTGGCTGCCCTTAACATTTTTTCCTTCATTTCAACTTTGGTGAATCTGACAATTATGTGTCTTGGAGTTGCTCTTCTCGAGGAGTATCTTTGTGGCGTTCTCTGTATTTCCTGAATCTAAACGTTGCCCTGCCTTGCTAGATTGGGGAAGTTCTCCTGGATAATATCCTGCAGAGTGTTTTCCAACTTGGTTTCATTCTCCCCATCACTTTCAGGTACACCAATCAGACGTAGATTTGGTCTTTTCACATAGTCCCATATTTCTTGGAGGCTTTGCTCATTTCTTTTTATTCTTTTTTCTCTAAACTTCCCTTCTTGCTTCGTTTCATTCATTTCATCTTCCATCGCTGATACCCTTTCTTCCAGTTGATCGCATCGGCTCCTGAGGCTTCTGCATTCTTCACGTAGTTCTCAAGCCTTGATTTTCAGCTCCATCAGCTCCTTTAAGCACTTCTCTGTAGTGGTTATTCTAGTTATACATTCTTCTAAATTTTTTTCAAAGTTTTCAACTTCTTTGCCTTTGGTTTGAATGTCCTCCCGTAGCTCAGAGTAATTTGATCTTCTGAAGCCTTCTTCTCTCACCTCGTCAAAGTCATTCTCCATCCAGCTTTGTTCCATTGGTGGTGAGGAGCTGCGTTCCTTTGGAGGAGGAGAGGCACTCTGCTTTTTAGAGTTTCTAGTTTTTCTGTTCTGTTTTTTCCCCATCTTTGTGGTTTTATCTATTTTTGGTCTTTGATGATGGTGATGTACAGATGGGTTTTTGGTAAGGATGTCCTTTCTGTTTGTTAGTTTTCCTTCTAATAGACAGGACCCTCAGCTGCAGGTCTGTTGGAATACCCTGCCGTGTGAGGTGTCAGTGTGCCCCTGCTGGGGGGTGCCTCCCGGTTAGGCTGCTCGGGGTTCAGGGGTCAGGGACCCACTTGAGGAGGCAGTCTGCCCGTTCTCAAATCTCCAGCTGCGTGCTGGGAGAACCACTGCTCTCTTCAAAGCTGTCAGACAGGGACATTTAAGTCTGCAGAGGTTACTGCTGTCTTTTTGTTTGTCTGTGCCCTGCCCCCAGAGGTGGAGCCTACAGAGGCAGGCAGGCCTCCTTGAGCTGTGGTGGGCTCCACCCAGTTCGAGCTTCCCCGCTGCTTTGTTTACCTAAGTGAGCCTGGGCAATGGCGGGCGCCCCTCCCCCTGCCTCGCTGCCACCTTGCAGTTTGATCTCAGACTGCTGTGCTAGCAATCAGCAAGACTCCGTGGGCGTAGGACCCTCCGAGCCAGGTGCGGGATATAATCTCCTGGTGTGCCGTTTTTTAAGCCCGCCGGAAAAGCGCAGTATTCGGGTGGGAGTGACCCGATTTTCCAGGTGCCGACCATCACCCCTTTCTTTGACTCGGAAAGGGAACTCCCTGACCCCTTGTGCTTCCCAAGTAAGGCAATGCCTCGCCCTGCTTCCGCTCGCACATGGTGCGCGCACCCACTGACCTGCGCCCACTGTCTGGCACTCCCTAGTGAGATGAACCCGGTACCTCAGATGGAAATGCAGATATCACCGTCTTCTGTGTTGCTCACGCTGGGAGCTGTAGACCGCAGCTGTTCCTATTTGGCCATCTTGGCTCCTCCCCCACAAATTAGGTTTTTATTAACATAATGCTGTTGTAAATATCACTGCTGTAATTATCCTTACGTAAAAGTTTTCCAGTTCACCTTTGATAACTTTCTCAAAGCAAATATCTCAAAGTGGAATTGCTATGTCAAAGGATATGAAAATTTTAAGTATCTTTAAAGAGATAAATATCGTTTTGTAGGAGGGAGGAAAGGTTAAATCTTTTTTGAATTGTACTATTGAATATTTTTCATTGTCTATTTAAAAATAAGATTATTTGCTTTCATGTTGATTTCCAATCACTTGAAAATAATAATTACAGTAAACTTTTGTCAAATTTATGGCACAGTATTTCCTAAATTTTGTGTTTATCTGTAAATAACAGAAATCCTTAAAAAGTAACTCATTGTATCTATAAACAAAGTAAGTATAATGTAGAAAGTTTGGGCTTACAGACAATAAAAACTAGAAATGACATACTTTCACAACTTAGGATAACCACTATAAAGTAATGTTTCATATATTTCCAGATTTTTTCTCATATAAATACATTTTAACATGCCTTTGCAATCTGATTTTGTCAGAAATCATCTCCATTCCTTAATTTAAGAAAATTTTAGTTTCATTTAATCAACTGTATTCAAGTATTCCCAATTATTCCAAAAATGTTTTTTACAGTTTGCTAATTAAGACTAGTACTGAATTCAGGCCCATATATCACATCTAGCTTTTATGAACCCTAATTCAATGCAATAAAAAAAGGTTGTGTTAGTTTAAGAAAAATCCTTCATTTATCCATCTTTTTAAACCACTGTTAATTTGGCCTTCATTTCTGCGTATGATCTTATTTCAGAAATAGTCTAGAATTTGATATTTAGAGGTGACGTGCTGCTACGAGAGAACTTAAATGGCTTTGGCTTAGTAGCTGGTTGATGGACAGTGTTGACAGATCATTGCTGTCTGGAAAGCTGTGACCTTGTGATTTCATTATTAATTTTTTGGTCAAATTGTCATCTGTGATGTCTTGGAACTCAGACAAATTTTGTATCTCTAGTGAAATGAGTTGGAAAACTCAAAATGATGGTATTAGTTATCTAATTTTTGTAGTTTCTATTTTGAAAAATTAAATTGATAAAGAGACAAGAGTTTAACACATGCTAAGGATAAGAGGTGCCTCTGGAGAGGCAGTCCAACGAGTGTATGAGCCTGTGCCCCTATCCAGTACCTCCCATTAAAAATTATCAAGTTAACAATTTTGTCTCCCCATCCCAAGCAGACTCTGTCAGTACTCTGCCACTGTTCACTGTAATCTCTTTACAATTTCAGTTCACATCAACTTCCAGACTGCTTTCTCTTCCTGCAGCCAACACCTGCATCTCTTTTTTGGCAGACTGCCCTTGATCTACTGGCACCGCTTTGCCTCAAACTGGGAAAGCCAGAATTACTGGCAAAGATAAATGTCTTTATTTATCCTGGGGCAGCCCCTAAACAATGACCAGTAGATATAGGAGTATAAATACTCCAGCTTCCTTGTGACTTGATTAAAACAACATTAAAAATGTGGTTTATACCACTATATCATCTCCAAAGCTCCCCTGGGTGTTTGAGGCGATGTTAACTTTCACTAGCTTTCTTGACTTTCTTAACATCTTAGTCCACTTTTCCACTCCTTTGTTGCTTTTCCTTGATAACATGTGCTAATGAAGCACTTTCACATGAATACTTATCTTTGGTTCTGCATCCTGGGAATTCCATCAGAGACATCATCCAAGCTCATTATTTTAATAGGATTCCATTGATCCTTTACTAAGTTGAAAAACAGAGAAATGGACAGATCATTTAGGCTAGGAAATAAAGGAGCAAAATTATCAAGTATAAAATAAATGTATATTTACATTATATCTTTTGCTATTGTTTCTGGCACATAATGATTGACTGAAAGTAACTAGACAAGAGGTCTAACAGATTATTAAGAGTATTTTACTGTTCCAGGCATCACAAGCATGAGCTTCAAAGCCTGTGGCTGTTTGACACTTAAAGCAACCCAGAGCTGCACAACCCTCAAAAAGGTAATTCTTTTCAGTGCCCATTTCAGAAGTGGCCATGGAGGATAAAATACAAGGGAGAAACTCCAAGAGGAAAAGTCCTCGACCATAAAAGAAAACAAACCCAAAAGCAAACTAACCATTACTAGATACATTAATCCAGCAACTTAATTCATGGACAAGACTACAAATGTTCACAATATTTTCACAGCAAGATTTAATAAGTTGTTAAGAAGCGTAACAACTGTGTATTTCCCATTCCTACCTTCTCCAAAAAGCAGTTTTTATTGCAGATATTCTGTGCACACACTCTTCTCTCCACCATTGTATATGGAGTGTGATGAGGGTTGAGAGAGAAGCAAAAACACTTACATTTTAGTTTATGGGTTGCAAGATAATGAAGGAACACACGGAGAACTAAAGAAAAGTACTTCATACAAGCCAAAGACCTTGGGTGTTGAGCTGAAGGTCACAACTACATAGAATTTTGACTCTTTTAGGGAGGAGTGAGTGGTTCTACCTATGAAAAAAACTGCAAATATATACAAGAAGTGTGGACTATATAAGATACTGCTAATTGTCCATACCTACACATTCTTCTTCAATTTTTCCACCTTTAGTAACAGAACCCCTAAATTTTAGCTAGAATGTGGTGGGTTTAGCATGACCACCCAGTTAAAGACATTTCCCAATCTCATTGGCAGATAGGTGTGGCCACATAAGTTCAGGTCAGTGGTATCTGAATAGATAGAACAAATTCAATGTTCAGTTTATGACTTGAAGGAGGATGGCTGTATCTTCCCTTGTCTTTTTCTCATCTTCTTGGCAGTTAGTATGTGTTTGTTAGTATGTGTTTGTGATAGTGAGAGCTGAATAGTGTTACCATGTCCTACCTGGACTACTTAGGATTGAAATACTGTGGGAAAAAGGAATAAACATCTGTCTTTTAAACCACCTTTATCTGGGCATTTGATTTGGCTGCTTAGCTAGGATCCTAAGTAATATTCAGATAAGGATTGAATTCGGTTCAGTCATATGAGCTTGAACTCCTAGGAACAATCCTTGGTGAGTGCGTGATTCACCTTCTTGTATTTAGCAAGGTAAAACATTAATTGTAAATTAACTCCCAGCTGTCCGGGCTTCCCAGATTCAATATTAGCGTGGCTCTGCTTGCTTCTACCTCCGTTGATTCTAGGAAGACAAAAAGAAAAGATTTTCATTAATTAGGCAACTGGACAAAGCTAACAAAGCATGATAAGACTTGTCACTTATCACAATAAATCATTGTTTTATAATGAAAAATATTCAATTAACTTTGCAAAGCTTGATCTCTATGTTTTCTTTTTCAAACCTTGCAACATCTCTATAAGGCATGTACTAACATTATTTCTATTTTACACATGAGGAAGCTAAAGCAGAGAGGCTAAGTAACAATTAGTATTAGAATCCAAACAATCCGAACCATTATTCTGGACTTTGAACCACCACTCTCTACCACTCTGAGATCTCAAGTGTATTTCAAAGACTTGCCGAAGTTTCATTTTTACAAAATGGAGAGATTGATATGTCAGACTACATAACAGACGTTAAGGTAGGTTATTATGAGATACCTCAAAACCTATTTTTGTGGCCTAGGAATATAGATATCTGTACTTGTTGGAGGAAAAAAATGCTTACAGGCGAATAAAAGAAATAGGTATGGAAATGCATAAGTTTTTATTTGGGGTTTTTTTTTTAGGATGACTTTAATAGTCATTTTTCTTGACTTCTATTCTGAAGAGATAATACATAGAATCAGCAGACCTAAATGAAAATAATAGAATTAAGTTTGGTTCTATCAGCCTTCAGAAAGTGAATTAACCCTGTAATAAGATTCTCTCCTAAAGTTCAGGTCTCCCGTCTCCTGCAGGGAATAACTCCCACTGCATCACACTGCTGACCATCCCAGTGCAGAGTCCCAGCTTAACCTAGCCAGAGGAAAGTAAAACGATGTATTAGATTGAGTGGGTTACTTAAAGGACACTGATGGTCAATTTTAGAATCAATGGGACCATCAAGAAGGGAGACAAAGAAGGGTGAATGGAGGAAAGCAAAGTACATGGAATTTGATTTAGGTTGGGAGTGAAAACATTATCATTATTCCAAATGGGTTATAAAGAGCAGCTGAAAAACATTTCAAGCAAAGCTGAAGATAGAAGTATACATTAAAAACAAATGTCT